>NC_000004.12:51793951-54193951 GCF_000001405.40 Homo sapiens
GAATTCTGTGAGTTGAATCCACACATCACGAAAAAGTTTCTGGGAATGCTTCTGTCTAATTTGTATGTGCAGATATCCCGATTGCAACGAATTCCTCAAAGAGCTCCAAATATCCTGAAGCAGATTCTTCAAAAGCAGTATTTCAAGACTGCTCTATCAAAAGGAAGGTTGAACTGTGTGAGTTGAATCCACACATCCCAAAAAAAGTTTCTGAGAATGCTTCTGTCAATTTTGTGCAGACATCCCGTTGGCAACGAATTCCTGAAAGAGCTCAAAATATCCTCAAGCAGATTCTGCAAAAGCAGGATTTCAAGACAGCTCTATCAAAAGGAAAGTTGAGCTCTGTGAGTTGAGTTCACCCATCCCTAAATGTTTCTGAGAATGCTTCTGTCTAGTTTATATGTGAAGATATTTCACTTTCCACCATGAGCCTCTAAGCACTCCAAATGAACACTTGCAGAGTATGCAGAAAGAATGTTTCCAATCTTCTCTATCAAAGGAAAGATTCAACTCTGTGAGTTGAATGGACATATCACAAAGAACTGTCTGAGAATACTTCTGTCTAGCTTTTATGTGAAGATATTTCCTTTTCCACCATAGGCTTCAAAGCGCTCCAAATGAACACTTGCAGATTCTACAAAAAGAATGCTTCTAAACTGCTGTATCAAAGAAAGCGTTCAACTCTGTGAGTTGAATGCACACATCCCAAAGCAGTTTCTGAGAATGCTTCTGTTTAGTTTTTATGTGAAGATATTTTGCTTTCCACCATAAGCCTTCAAAGCGCTCCAAAGGAACACTTGCAGATTATGCACAGAGAATGCCTCAAATCTGCTCTATCAAAAGAAAGGTTGGACCCTGTGAGTTCAATGGACACATCACAAAGCAGTTTCTGAGAATGCTTCTGTCCGGTTTTTCTGTGAAGATATTTCCTTTTGCACCCTAGGCTTCAAAGCGCTCCAAATGAACACTTGCAGATTCTACAAAAAGAATGTTTCAAAACTGCTCTATCAAAGACGGAGTTCAACCCTTTGACTTCAATGAACACAACACAGAGCAGTTTCTGAGAATGCTTCTGTGTAGTTTTTATCCGAAGATATTTCCTTTTCCACCATAGGCCTCAAATCGCTCCAAATATCCACTTGTAGATCGTAAGAAAACACTGTTTCAAAACTGCTTTCTCAAAAGGAAGGTTCAACTCTTTGAGTTCAATGCGCACATCACAAGGAACTGTCTGAGCAAACTTCCGTCTAGTTTTTATGTGACGATATTACCATTTCCACCGCAGGTTTCGAAGCGCTCCAAAAGAACACTTACAGATACTGCAACAAGAATGTTTCACAACTGCTCTATCAAAGAAAGCGTTCACCTCTGTGAGTTGAATGCACACATCCCAAAGCAGTTTCTGAGAATGCTTCTGTGTAGCTTCCATGTGAAGGTATCTCCTTTTCCACCATAGGCCTCATATCGCTCCAAATATCCACTTGGGTGATACTGCAAAAACACTGTTTCAGAGCTGCTCTCCCAAAGGAAGGTTCAGCTCTGTGAGTTGAATGCAGACATCACAAAAAAGTTTCTGAGAATGCTTCCGTCCAGTTTGTATGTGCAGATACCCCGTTTACAACGAATTCCTCAAGAGCTCCAAATATCCTCAAGCAGATTCTACAAAAGCAGTATTTCAAGACTGCTCTATCAAAAGGAAGGGTGAACTCTGTGAGTTGAATCCACATATCCCAAAAAAGTTTCTGAGAATAGTTGTGTCTAGTTTGTATGTGCGGACATCCCGTTTACAGCGAATTCCTCAAAGAGCTCCAAATGTCCTCAGGCAGATTCTGCAAAAGCAGTGCTGCAAAACTGCTCTATCGAAAGAAAGGTTGAACTCTGTGAGTTGAGTTCACACATCACAAAAAGTCTCTGACCATGTTTCTATCTACCTTGTATGTGCAGATATCCCGTTTACAACGAATTCCTCAAAGACCTACAAATATCCTCAAGCTGATTCTAGAAAAGGATGGTTTCAAAACTGATCTATCCAAAAAGACCTTCAACTCTGTGACTTGAATGCACACAACACAAAATTTTCTGAGAATGCTTCAGTCTAGATTGTATGTGGAGATATCTCGTTTGCCACGAATTCCTCCAAGAGCTCCAAATATCCTGAAGCAGATTCTACCCAAGCAGTGTTTCAAGAATGCTCTATCAATAGGAAGGTTGAATTTTGTGAGTTGAATCCACACATCACGAAAAAGTTTCTGGGAATGCTTCTGTCTAATTTGTATGTGCAGATATCCCGATTGCAACGAATTCCTCAAAGAGCTCCAAATATCCTGAAGCAGATTCTTCAAAAGCAGTATTTCAAGACTGCTCTATCAAAAGGAAGGTTGAACTGTGTGAGTTGAATCCACACATCCCAAAAAAAGGTTCTGAGAACGCTTCTGTCAATTTTGTGCAGATATCCCGTTGGCAACGAATTCCTGAAAGAGCTCCAAATATCCTCAAGCAGATTCTGCAAAAGCAGGATTTCAAGACACCTCTATCAAAAGGAAAGTTGAACTCCGTGAGTTGAGTTCACACATCCCTAAATGTTTCTGAGAATGCTTCTGTCTAGTTTATATGTGAAGATATTTCACTTTCCACCATGAGCCTCTAAGCGCTCCAAATGAACACTTGCAGAGTATGCAGAAAGAATGTTTCCAATCTTCTCTATCAAAGGAAAGATTCAACTCTGTGAGTTGAATGGACATATCACAAAGAACTGTCTGAGAATACTTCTGTCTAGCTTTTATGTGAAGATATTTCCTTTTCCACCGTAGGCTTCAAAGCGCTCCAAATGAACACTTGCAGATTCTACAAAAAGAATGCTTCTAAACTGCTGTATCAAAGAAAGCGTTCAACTCTGTGAGTTGAATGCACACATCCCAAAGCAGTTTCTGAGAATGCTTCTGTTTAGTTTTTATGTGAAGATATTTTGCTTTCCACCATAAGCCTTCAAAGCGCTCCAAAGGAACACTTGCAGACTATGCACAGAGAATGCCTCAAATCTGCTCTATCAAAAGAAAGGTTGGACTCTGTGAGTTCAATGGACACATCACAAAGCAGTTTCTGAGAATGCTTCTGTCCGGTTTTTCTGTGAAGATATTTCCTTTTGCACCCTAGGCTTCAAAGCGCTCCAAATGAACACTTGCAGATTCTACAAAAAGAATGTTTCAAAACTGCTCTATCAAAGACGGAGTTCAACCCTTTGACTTCAATGAACACAACACAGAGCAGTTTCTGAGAATGCTTCTGTGTAGTTTTTATCCGAAGATATTTCCTTTTCCACCATAGGCCTCAAATCGCTCCAAATATCCACTTGTAGATCGTAAGAAAACACTGTTTCAAAACTGCTTTCTCAAAAGGAAGGTTCAACTCTTTGAGTTCAATGCGCACATCACAAGGAACTGTCTGAGCAAACTTCCGTCTAGTTTTTATGTGACGATATTACCATTTCCACCGCAGGTTTCGAAGCGCTCCAAAAGAACACTTGCAGATACTGCAACAAGAATGTTTCACAACTGCTCTATCAAAGAAAGCGTTCACATCTGTGAGTTGAATGCACACATCCCAAAGCAGTTTCTGAGAATGCTTCTGTGTAGCTTCCATGTGAAGGTATCTCCTTTTCCACCATAGGCCTCATATCGCTCCAAATATCCACTTGGGTGATAGTGCAAAAACACTGCTTCAGAACTGCTCTCCCAAAGGAAGGTTCAACTCTGTGAGTTGAATGCAGACATCACAAAAAAGTTTCTGAGAATGCTTCCGTCCAGTTTGTATGTGCAGATACCCCGTTTACAACGAATTCCTCAAGAGCTCCAAATATCCTCAAGCAGATTCTACAAAAGCAGTATTTCAAGACTGCTCTATCAAAAGGAAGGGTGAACTCTGTGAGTTGAATCCACACATCCCAAAAAAGTTTCTGAGAATAGTTGTGTCTAGTTTGTATGTGCGGACATCCCGTTTACAGCGAATTCCTCAAAGAGCTCCAAATGTCCTCAGGCAGATTCTACAAAAGCAGTGCTGCAAAACTGCTCTATCGAAAGAAAGGTTGAACTCTGTGAGTTGAGTTCACACATCACAAAAAAGTCTCTGACCATGTTCCTGTCTACCTTGTATGTGCAGATATCCCGTTTACAACGAATTCCTCAAAGACCTACAAATATCCTCAAGCTGATTCTAGAAAAGGATGGTTTCAAAACTGATCTATCCAAAAAGACGTTCAACTCTGTGACTTGAATGCACACAGCACAAAATTTTCTGAGAATGCTTCTGTCTAGATTGTATGTGGAGATATCTCGTTTGCCACGAATTCCTCCAAGAGCTCCAAATATCCTCAAGCAGATTCTACCCAAGCAGGGTTTCAGGAATGCTCTATCAAAAGGAAGGTTGAATTCTGTGAGTTGAATCCACACATCACGAAAAAGTTTCTGGGAATGCTTCTGTCTAATTTGTATGTGCAGATATCCCGATTGCAACGAATTCCTCAAAGAGCTCCAAATATCCTGAAGCAGATTCTTCAAAAGCAGTATTTCAAGACTGCTCTATCAAAAGGAAGATTGAACTGTGTGAGTTGAATCCACACATCCCAAAAAAAGGTTCTGAGAACGCTTCTGTCAATTTTGTGCAGATATCCCGTTGGCAACGAATTCCTGAAAGAGCTCCAAATATCCTCAAGCAGATTCTGTAAAAGCAGGATTTCAAGACACCTCTATCAAAAGGAAAGTTGAACTCCGTGAGTTGAGTTCACACATCCCTAAATGTTTCTGAGAATGCTTCTGTCTAGTTTATATGTGAAGATATTTCACTTTCCACCATGAGCCTCTAAGCGCTCCAAATGAACACTTGCAGAGTATGCAGAAAGAATGTTTCCAATCTTCTCTATCAAAGGAAAGATTCAACTCTGTGAGTTGAATGGACATATCACAAAGAACTGTCTGAGAATACTTCTGTCTAGCTTTTATGTGAAGATATTTCCTTTTCCACCGTAGGCTTCAAAGCGCTCCAAATGAACACTTGCAGATTCTACAAAAAGAATGCTTCTAAACTGCTGTATCAAAGAAAGCGTTCAACTCTGTGAGTTGAATGCACACATCCCAAAGCAGTTTCTGAGAATGCTTCTGTTTAGTTTTTATGTGAAGATATTTTGCTTTCCACCATAAGCCTTCAAAGCGCTCCAAAGGAACACTTGCAGACTATGCACAGAGAATGCCTCAAATCTGCTCTATCAAAAGAAAGGTTGGACTCTGTGAGTTCAATGGACACATCACAAAGCAGTTTCTGAGAATGCTTCTGTCCGGTTTTTCTGTGAAGATATTTCCTTTTGCACCCTAGGCTTCAAAGCGCTCCAAATGAACACTTGCAGATTCTACAAAAAGAATGTTTCAAAACTGCTCTATCAAAGACGGAGTTCAACCCTTTGACTTCAATGAACACAACACAGAGCAGTTTCTGAGAATGCTTCTGTGTAGTTTTTATCCGAAGATATTTCCTTTTCCACCATAGGCCTCAAATCGCTCCAAATATCCACTTGTAGATCGTAAGAAAACACTGTTTCAAAACTGCTTTCTCAAAAGGAAGGTTCAACTCTTTGAGTTCAATGCGCACATCACAAGGAACTGTCTGAGCAAACTTCCGTCTAGTTTTTATGTGACGATATTACCATTTCCACCGCAGGTTTCGAAGCGCTCCAAAAGAACACTTGCAGATACTGCAACAAGAATGTTTCACAACTGCTCTATCAAAGAAAGCGTTCACCTCTGTGAGTTGAATGCACACATCCCAAAGCAGTTTCTGAGAATGCTTCTGTGTAGCTTCCATGTGAAGGTATCTCCTTTTCCACCATAGGCCTCATATCGCTCCAAATATCCACTTGGGTGATAGTGCAAAAACACTGCTTCAGAACTGCTCTCCCAAAGGAAGGTTCAACTCTGTGAGTTGAATGCAGACATCACAAAAAAGTTTCTGAGAATGCTTCCATCCAGTTTGTATGTGCAGATACCCCGTTTACAACGAATTCCTCAAGAGCTCCAAATATCCTCAAGCAGATTCTACAAAAGCAGTATTTCAAGACTGCTCTATCAAAAGGAAGGGTGAACTCTGTGAGTTGAATCCACACATCCCAAAAAAGTTTCTGAGAATAGTTGTGTCTAGTTTGTATGTGCGGACATCCCGTTTACAGCGAATTCCTCAAAGAGCTCCAAATGTCCTCAGGCAGATTCTACAAAAGCAGTGCTGCAAAACTGCTCTATCGAAAGAAAGGTTGAACTCTGTGAGTTGAGTTCACACATCACAAAAAAGTCTCTGACCATGTTCCTGTCTACCTTGTATGTGCAGATATCCCGTTTACAACGAATTCCTCAAAGACCTACAAATATCCTCAAGCTGATTCTAGAAAAGGATGGTTTCAAAACTGATCTATCCAAAAAGACGTTCAACTCTGTGACTTGAATGCACACAGCACAAAATTTTCTGAGAATGCTTCTGTCTAGATTGTATGTGGAGATATCTCGTTTGCCACGAATTCCTCCAAGAGCTCCAAATATCCTCAAGCAGATTCTACCCAAGCAGGGTTTCAGGAATGCTCTATCAAAAGGAAGGTTGAATTCTGTGAGTTGAATCCACACATCACGAAAAAGTTTCTGGGAATGCTTCTGTCTAATTTGTATGTGCAGATATCCCGATTGCAACGAATTCCTCAAAGAGCTCCAAATATCCTGAAGCAGATTCTTCAAAAGCAGTATTTCAAGACTGCTCTATCAAAAGGAAGGTTGAACTGTGTGAGTTGAATCCACACATCCCAAAAAAAGTTTCTGAGAATGCTTCTGTCAATTTTGTGCAGATATCCCGTTGGCAACGAATTCCTGAAAGAGCTCCAAATATCCTCAAGCAGATTCTGCAAAAGCAGGATTTCAAGACAGCTCTATCAAAAGGAAAGTTGAACTCTGTGAGTTGAGTTCACACATCCCTAAATGTTTCTGAGAATGCTTCTATCTAGTTTATATGTGAAGATATTTCACTTTCCACCATGAGCCTCTAAGCGCTCCAAATGAACACTTGCAGAGTATGCAGAAAGAATGTTTCCAATCTTCTCTACCAAAGGAAAGATTCAACTCTGTGAGTTGAATGGACATATCACAAAGAACTGTCTGAGAATACTTCTGTCTAGCTTTTATGTGAAGATATTTCCTTTTCCACCGTAGGCTTCAAAGCGCTCCAAATGAACACTTGCAGATTCTACAAAAAGAATGCTTCTAAACTGCTGTATCAAAGAAAGCGTTCAACTCTGTGAGTTGAATGCACACATCCCAAAGCACTTTCTGAGAATGCTTCTGTTTAGTTTTTATGTGAAGATATTTTGCTTTCCACCATAAGCCTTCAAAGCGCTCCAAAGGAACACTTGCAGACTATGCACAGAGAATGCCTCAAATCTGCTCTATCAAAAGAAAGGTTGGACTCTGTGAGTTCAATGGACACATCACAAAGCAGTTTCTGAGAATGCTTCTGTCCGGTTTTTCTGTGAAGATATTTCCTTTTGCACCCTAGGCTTCAAAGCGCTCCAAATGAACACTTGCAGATTCTACAAAAAGAATGTTTCAAAACTGCTCTATCAAAGACGGAGTTCAACCCTTTGACTTCAATGAACACAACACAGAGCAGTTTCTGAGAATGCTTCTGTGTAGTTTTTATCCGAAGATATTTCCTTTTCCACCATAGGCCTCAAATCGCTCCAAATATCCTCTTGTAGATCGTAAGAAAACACTGTTTCAAAACTGCTTTCTCAAAAGGAAGGTTCAACTCTTTGAGTTCAATGCGCACATCACAAGGAACTGTCTGAGCAAACTTCCGTCTAGTTTTTATGTGACGATATTACCATTTCCACCGCAGGTTTCGAAGCGCTCCAAAAGAACACTTGCAGATACTGCAACAAGAATGTTTCACAACTGCTCTATCAAAGAAAGCGTTCACCTCTGTGAGTTGAATGCACACATCCCAAAGCAGTTTCTGAGAATGCTTCTGTGTAGCTTCCATGTGAAGGTATCTCCTTTTCCACCATAGGCCTCATATCGCTCCAAATATCCACTTGGGTGATAGTGCAAAAACACTGTTTCAGAACTGCTCTCCCAAAGGAAGGTTCAACTCTGTGAGTTGAATGCAGACATCACAAAAAAGTTTCTGAGAATGCTTCCGTCCAGTTTGTATGTGCAGATACCCCGTTTACAACGAATTCCTCAAGAGCTCCAAATATCCTCAAGCAGATTCTACAAAAGCAGTATTTCAAGACTGCTCTATCAAAAGGAAGGGTGAACTCTGTGAGTTGAATCCACACATCCCAAAAAAGTTTCTGAGAATAGTTGTGTCTAGTTTGTATGTGCAGACATCCCGTTTACAACGAATTCCTCAAAGAGCTCCAAATGTCCTCAGGCAGATTCTACAAAAGCAGTGCTGCAAAACTGCTCTATCAAAAGAAAGGTTGAACTCTGTGAGTTGAGTTCACACATCACAAAAAAGTCTCTGACCATGTTTCTGTCTACCTTGTATGTGCAGATATCCCGTTTACAACGAATTCCTCAAAGACCTACAAATATCCTCAAGCTGATTCTAGAAAAGGATTGTTTCAAAACTGATCTATCCAAAAAGACGTACAACTCTGTGACTTGAATGCACACAACACAAAATTTTCTGAGAATGCTTCTGTCTAGATTGTATGTGGAGATATCTCGTTTGCCACGAATTCCTCCAAGAGCTCCAAATATCCTCAAGCAGATTCTACCCAAGCAGTGTTTCAAGAATGCTCTATCAAAAGGAAGGTTGAATTCTGTGAGTTGAATCCACACATCACGAAAAAGTTTCTGGGAATGCTTCTGTCTAATTTGTATGTGCAGATATCCCGATTGCAACGAATTCCTCAAAGAGCTCCAAATATCCTGAAGCAGATTCTTCAAAAGCAGTATTTCAAGACTGCTCTATCAAAAGGAAGCTTGAACTGTGTGAGTTGAATCCACACATCCCAAAAAAAGTTTCTGAGAATGCTTCTGTCAATTTTGTGCAGATATCCCGTTGGCAACGAATTCCTGAAAGAGCTCCAAATATCCTCAAGCAGATTCTGCAAAAGCAGGATTTCAAGACAGCTCTATCAAAGGAAAGTTGAACACTGTGAGTTGAGTTCACACATCCCTAAATGTTTCTGAGAATGCTTCTATCTAGTTTATATGTGAAGATATTTCACTCTCCACCATGAGCCTCTAAGCGCTCCAAATGAACACTTGCAGAGTATGCAGAAAGAATGTTTCCAATCTTCTCTACCAAAGGAAAGATTCAACTCTGTGAGTTGAATGGACATATCACAAAGAACTGTCTGAGAATACTTCTGTCTAGCTTTTATGTGAAGATATTTCCTTTTCCACCGTAGACTTCAAAGCGCTCCAAATGAACACTTGCAGATTCTACAAAAAGAATGCTTCTAAACTGCTGTATCAAAGAAAGCATTCAACTCTGTGAGTTGAATGCACACATCCCAAAGCAGTTTCTGAGAATGCTTCTGTTTAGTTTTTATGTGAAGATATTTTGCTTTCCACCATAAGCCTTCAAAGCGCTCCAAAGGAACACTTGCAGATTATGCACAGAGAATGCCTCAAATCTGCTCTATCAAAAGAAAGGTTGGACTCTGTGAGTTCAATGGACACATCACAAAGCAGTTTCTGAGAATGATTCTGTCCAGTTTTTCTGTGAAGATATTTCCTTTTGCACCCTAGGCTTCAAAGCGCTCCAAATGAACACTTGCAGATTCTACAAAAAGAATGTTTCAAAACTGCTCTATCAAAGACGGAGTTCAACCCTTTGACTTCAATGAACACAACACAGAGCAGTTTCTGAGAATGCTTCTGTGTAGTTTTTATCCGAAGATATTTCCTTTTCCACCATAGGCCTCAAATCGCTCCAAATATCCACTTGTAGATCGTAAGAAAACACTGTTTCAAAACTGCTTTCTCAAAAGGAAGGTTCAACTCTTTGAGTTCAATGCGCACATCACAAGGAACTGTCTGAGCAAACTTCCGTCTAGTTTTTATGTGACGATATTACCATTTCCACCGCAGGTTTCGAAGCGCTCCAAAAGAACACTTGCAGATACTGCAACAAGAATGTTTCACAACTGCTCTATCAAAGAAAGCGTTCACCTCTGTGAGTTGAATGCACACATCCCAAAGCAGTTTCTGAGAATGCTTCTGTGTAGCTTCCATGTGAAGGTATCTCCTTTTCCACCATAGGCCTCATATCGCTCCAAATATCCACTTCCTGATACTGCAAAAACACTGTTTCAGAGCTGCTCTCCCAAAGGAAGGTTCAACTCTGTGAGTTGAATGCAGACATCACAAAAAAGTTTCTGAGAATGCTTCCGTCCAGTTTGTATGTGCAGATACCCCGTTTACAACGAATTCCTCAAGAGCTCCAAATATCCTCAAGCAGATTCTACAAAAGCAGTATTTCAAGACTGCTCTATCAAAAGGAAGGGTGAACTCTGTGAGTTGAATCCACACATCCCAAAAAAGTTTCTGAGAATAGTTGTGTCTAGTTTGTATGTGCGGACATCCCGTTTACAACGAATTCCTCAAAGAGCTCCAAATGTCCTCAGGCAGATTCTACAAAAGCAGTGCTGCAAAACTGCTCTATCAAAAGAAAGGTTGAACTCTGTGAGTTGAGTTCACACATCACAAAAAAGTCTCTGACCATGTTTCTGTCTACCTTGTATGTGCAGATATCCCGTTTACAACGAATTCCTCAAAGACCTACAAATATCCTCAAGCTGATTCTAGAAAAGGATGGTTTCAAAACTGATCTATCCAAAAAGACGTTCAACTCTGTGACTTGAATGCACACAACACAAAATTTTCTGAGAATGCTTCTGTCTAGATTGTATGTGGAGATATCTCGTTTGCCACGAATTCCTCCAAGAGCTCCAAATATCCTCAAGCAGATTCTACCCAAGCAGGGTTTCAGGAATGCTCTATCAAAAGGAAGGTTGAATTCTGTGAGTTGAATCCACACATCACGAAAAAGTTTCTGGGAATGCTTCTGTCTAATTTGTATGTGCAGATATCCCGATTGCAACGAATTCCTCAAAGAGCTCCAAATATCCTGAAGCAGATTCTTCAAAAGCAGTATTTCAAGACTGCTCTATCAAAAGGAAGGTTGAACTGTGTGAGTTGAATCCACACATCCCAAAAAAAGTTTCTGAGAATGCTTCTCTCAATTTTGTGCAGATATCCCGTTGGCAACGAATTCCTGAAAGAGCTCCAAATATCCTCAAGCAGATTCTGCAAAAGCAGGATTTCAAGACAGCTCTATCAAAAGGAAAGTTGAACTCTGTGAGTTGAGTTCACACATCCCTAAATGTTTCTGAGAATGCTTCTGTCTAGTTTATATGTGAAGATATTTCGCTTTCCACCATGAGCCTCTAAGCGCTCCAAATGAACACTTGCAGAGTATGCAGAAAGAATGTTTCCAATCTTCTCTATCAAAGGAAAGATTCAACTCTGTGAGTTGAATGGACATATCACAAAGAACTGTCTGAGAATACTTCTGTCTAGCTTTTATGTGAAGATATTTCCTTTTCCACCGTAGGCTTCAAAGCGCTCCAAATGAACACTTGCAGATTCTACAAAAAGAATGCTTCTAAACTGCTGTATCAAAGAAAGCGTTCAACTCTGTGAGTTGAATGCACACATCCCAAAGCAGTTTCTGAGAATGCTTCTGTTTAGTTTTTATGTGAAGATATTTTGCTTTCCACCATAAGCCTTCAAAGCGCTCCAAAGGAACACTTGCAGATTATGCACAGAGAATGCCTCAAATCTGCTCTATCAAAAGAAAGGTTGGACTCTGTGAGTTCAATGGACACATCACAAAGCAGTTTCTGAGAATGCTTCTGTCCGGTTTTTCTGTGAAGATATTTCCTTTTGCACCCTAGGCTTCAAAGCGCTCCAAATGAACACTTGCAGATTCTACAAAAAGAATGTTTCAAAACTGCTCTATCAAAGACGGAGTTCAACCCTTTGACTTCAATGAACACAACACAGAGCAGTTTCTGAGAATGCTTCTGTGTAGTTTTTATCCGAAGATATTTCCTTTTCCACCATAGGCCTCAAATCGCTCCAAATATCCACTTGTAGATCGTAAGAAAACACTGTTTCAAAACTGCTTTCTCAAAAGGAAGGTTCAACTCTTTGAGTTCAATGCGCACATCACAAGGAACTGTCTGAGCAAACTTCCGTCTAGTTTTTATGTGACGATATTACCATTTCCACCGCAGGTTTGAAGCGCTCCAAAAGAACACTTGCAGATACTGCAACAAGAATGTTTCACAACTGCTCTATCAAAGAAAGCGTTCACCTCTGTGAGTTGAATGCACACATCCCAAAGCAGTTTCTGAGAATGCTTCTGTGTAGCTTCCATGTGAAGGTATCTCCTTTTCCACCATAGGCCTCATATCGCTCCAAATATCCACTTCCTGATACTGCAAAAACACTGTTTCAGAGCTGCTCTCCCAAAGGAAGGTTCAACTCTGTGAGTTGAATGCAGACATCACAAAAAAGTTTCTGAGAATGCTTCCGTCCAGTTTGTGTGTGCAGATACCCCGTTTACAACGAATTCCTCAAGAGCTCCAAATATCCTCAAGCAGATTCTACAAAAGCAGTATTTCAAGACTGCTCTATCAAAAGGAAGGGTGAACTCTGTGAGTTGAATCCACACATCCCAAAAAAGTTTCTGAGAATAGTTGTGTCTAGTTTGTATGTGCGGACATCCCGTTTACAACGAATTCCTCAAAGAGCTCCAAATGTCCTCAGGCAGATTCTACAAAAGCAGTGCTGCAAAACTGCTCTATCAAAAGAAAGGTTGAACTCTGTGAGTTGAGTTCACACATCACAAAAAAGTCTCTGACCATGTTTCTGTCTACCTTGTATGTGCAGATATCCCGTTTACAACGAATTCCTCAAAGACCTACAAATATCCTCAAGCTGATTCTAGAAAAGGATTGTTTCAAAACTGATCTATCCAAAAAGACGTTCAACTCTGTGACTTGAATGCACACAACACAAAATTTTCTGAGAATGCTTCTGTCTAGATTGTATGTGGAGATATCTCGTTTGCCACGAATTCCTCCAAGAGCTCCAAATATCCTCAAGCAGATTCTACCCAAGCAGTGTTTCAAGAATGCTCTATCAAAAGGAAGGTTGAATTCTGTGAGTTGAATCCACACATCACGAAAAAGTTTCTGGGAATGCTTCTGTCTAATTTGTATGTGCAGATATCCCGATTGCAACGAATTCCTCAAAGAGCTCCAAATATCCTGAAGCAGATTCTTCAAAAGCAGTATTTCAAGACTGCTCTATCAAAAGGAAGGTTGAACTGTGTGAGTTGAATCCACACATCCCAAAAAAAGTTTCTGAGAATGCTTCTGTCAATTTTGTGCAGATATCCCGTTGGCAACGAATTCCTGAAAGAGCTCCAAATATCCTCAAGCAGATTCTGCAAAAGCAGGATTTCAAGACAGCTCTATCAAAAGGAAAGTTGAACTCTGTGAGTTGAGTTCACACATCCCTAAATGTTTCTGAGAATGCTTCTGTCTAGTTTATATGTGAAGATATTTCACTTTCCACCATGAGCCTCTAAGCGCTCCAAATGAACACTTGCAGAGTATGCAGAAAGAACGTTTCCAATCTTCTCTATCAAAGGAAAGATTCAACTCTGTGAGTTGAATGGACATATCACAAAGAACTGTCTGAGAATACTTCTGTCTAGCTTTTATGTGAAGATATTTCCTTTTCCACCGTAGGCTTCAAAGCGCTCCAAACGAACACTTGCAGATTCTACAAAAAGAATGCTTCTAAACTGCTGTATCAAAGAAAGCGTTCAACTCTGTGAGTTGAATGCACACATCCCAAAGCAGTTTCTGAGAATGCTTCTGTTTAGTTTTTATGTGAAGATATTTTGCTTTCCACCATAAGCCTTCAAAGCGCTCCAAAGGAACACTTGCAGATTATGCACAGAGAATGCCTCAAATCTGCTCTATCAAAAGAAAGGTTGGACTCTGTGAGTTCAATGGACACATCACAAAGCAGTTTCTGAGAATGCTTCTGTCCGGTTTTTCTGTGAAGATATTTCCTTTTGCACCCTAGGCTTCAAAGCGCTCCAAATGAACACTTGCAGATTCTACAAAAAGAATGTTTCAAAACTGCTCTATCAAAGACGGAGTTCAACCCTTTGACTTCAATGAACACAACACAGAGCAGTTTCTGAGAATGCTTCTGTGTAGTTTTTATCCGAAGATATTTCCTTTTCCACCATAGGCCTCAAATCGCTCCAAATATCCACTTGTAGATCGTAAGAAAACACTGTTTCAAAACTGCTTTCTCAAAAGGAAGGTTCAACTCTTTGAGTTCAATGCGCACATCACAAGGAACTGTCTGAGCAAACTTCCGTCTAGTTTTTATGTGACGATATTACCATTTCCACCGCAGGTTTCGAAGCGCTCCAAAAGAACACTTGCAGATACTGCAACAAGAATGTTTCACAACTGCTCTATCAAAGAAAGCGTTCACCTCTGTGAGTTGAATGCACACATCCCAAAGCAGTTTCTGAGAATGCTTCTGTGTAGCTTCCATGTGAAGGTATCTCCTTTTCCACCATAGGCCTCATATCGCTCCAAATATCCACTTCCTGATACTGCAAAAACACTGTTTCAGAGCTGCTCTCCCAAAGGAAGGTTCAACTCTGTGAGTTGAATGCAGACATCACAAAAAAGTTTCTGAGAATGCTTCCGTCCAGTTTGTATGTGCAGATACCCCGTTTACAACGAATTCCTCAAGAGCTCCAAATATCCTCAAGCAGATTCTACAAAAGCAGTATTTCAAGACTGCTCTATCAAAAGGAAGGGTGAACTCTGTGAGTTGAATCCACACATCCCAAAAAAGTTTCTGAGAATAGTTGTGTCTAGTTTGTATGTGCGGACATCCCGTTTACAACGAATTCCTCAAAGAGCTCCAAATGTCCTCAGGCAGATTCTACAAAAGCAGTGCTGCAAAACTGCTCTATCAAAAGAAAGGTTGAACTCTGTGAGTTGAGTTCACACATCACAAAAAAGTCTCTGACCATGTTTCTGTCTACCTTGTATGTGC
Source organism: Homo sapiens (assembly GCF_000001405.40). Classification (NCBI taxonomy): domain Eukaryota; kingdom Metazoa; phylum Chordata; class Mammalia; order Primates; family Hominidae; genus Homo; species Homo sapiens. Next base: position 51,809,155 of record NC_000004.12, read on the forward strand.
AGATATCCCGTTTACAACGAATTCCTCAAAGACCTACAAATATCCTCAAGCTGATTCTAGAAAAGGATGGTTTCAAAACTGATCTATCCAAAAAGACGTTCAACTCTGTGACTTGAATGCACACAACACAAAATTTTCTGAGAATGCTTCTGTCTAGATTGTATGTGGAGATATCTCGTTTGCCACGAATTCCTCCAAGAGCTCCAAATATCCTCAAGCAGATTCTACCCAAGCAGGGTTTCAGGAATGCTCTATCAAAAGGAAGGTTGAATTCTGTGAGTTGAATCCACACATCACGAAAAAGTTTCTGGGAATGCTTCTGTCTAATTTGTATGTGCAGATATCCCGATTGCAACGAATTCCTCAAAGAGCTCCAAATATCCTGAAGCAGATTCTTCAAAAGCAGTATTTCAAGACTGCTCTATCAAAAGGAAGGTTGAACTGTGTGAGTTGAATCCACACATCCCAAAAAAAGTTTCTGAGAATGCTTCTGTCAATTTTGTGCAGATATCCCGTTGGCAACGAATTCCTGAAAGAGCTCCAAATATCCTCAAGCAGATTCTGCAAAAGCAGGATTTCAAGACAGCTCTATCAAAAGGAAAGTTGAACTCTGTGAGTTGAGTTCACACATCCCTAAATGTTTCTGAGAATGCTTCTGTCTAGTTTATATGTGAAGATATTTCACTTTCCACCATGAGCCTCTAAGCGCTCCAAATGAACACTTGCAGAGTATGCAGAAAGAACGTTTCCAATCTTCTCTATCAAAGGAAAGATTCAACTCTGTGAGTTGAATGGACATATCACAAAGAACTGTCTGAGAATACTTCTGTCTAGCTTTTATGTGAAGATATTTCCTTTTCCACCGTAGGCTTCAAAGCGCTCCAAACGAACACTTGCAGATTCTACAAAAAGAATGCTTCTAAACTGCTGTATCAAAGAAAGCGTTCAACTCTGTGAGTTGAATGCACACATCCCAAAGCAGTTTCTGAGAATGCTTCTGTTTAGTTTTTATGTGAAGATATTTTGCTTTCCACCATAAGCCTTCAAAGCGCTCCAAAGGAACACTTGCAGATTATGCACAGAGAATGCCTCAAATCTGCTCTATCAAAAGAAAGGTTGGACTCTGTGAGTTCAATGGACACATCACAAAGCAGTTTCTGAGAATGCTTCTGTCCGGTTTTTCTGTGAAGATATTTCCTTTTGCACCCTAGGCTTCAAAGCGCTCCAAATGAACACTTGCAGATTCTACAAAAAGAATGTTTCAAAACTGCTCTATCAAAGACGGAGTTCAACCCTTTGACTTCAATGAACACAACACAGAGCAGTTTCTGAGAATGCTTCTGTGTAGTTTTTATCCGAAGATATTTCCTTTTCCACCATAGGCCTCAAATCGCTCCAAATATCCACTTGTAGATCGTAAGAAAACACTGTTTCAAAACTGCTTTCTCAAAAGGAAGGTTCAACTCTTTGAGTTCAATGCGCACATCACAAGGAACTGTCTGAGCAAACTTCCGTCTAGTTTTTATGTGACGATATTACCATTTCCACCGCAGGTTTCGAAGCGCTCCAAAAGAACACTTGCAGATACTGCAACAAGAATGTTTCACAACTGCTCTATCAAAGAAAGCGTTCACCTCTGTGAGTTGAATGCACACATCCCAAAGCAGTTTCTGAGAATGCTTCTGTGTAGCTTCCATGTGAAGGTATCTCCTTTTCCACCATAGGCCTCGTATCGCTCCAAATATCCACTTGGGTGATAGTGCAAAAACACTGCTTCAGAACTGCTCTCCCAAAGGAAGGTTCAACTCTGTGAGTTGAATGCAGACATCACAAAAAAGTTTCTGAGAATGCTTCCGTCCAATTTGTATGTGCAGATACCCCGTTTACAACGAATTCCTCAAGAGCTCCAAATATCCTGAAGCAGATTCTTCAAAAGCAGTATTTCAAGACTGCTCTATCAAAAGGAAGGTTGAACTGTGTGAGTTGAATCCACACATCCCAAAAAAAGTTTCTGAGAATGCTTCTCTCAATTTTGTGCAGATATCCCGTTGGCAACGAATTCCTGAAAGAGCTCCAAATATCCTCAAGCAGATTCTGCAAAAGCAGGATTTCAAGACAGCTCTATCAAAAGGAAAGTTGAACTCTGTGAGTTGAGTTCACACATCCCTAAATGTTTCTGAGAATGCTTCTGTCTAGTTTATATGTGAAGATATTTCACTTTCCACCATGAGCCTCTAAGCGCTCCAAATGAACACTTGCAGAGTATGCAGAAAGAACGTTTCCAATCTTCTCTATCAAAGGAAAGATTCAACTCTGTGAGTTGAATGGACATATCACAAAGAACTGTCTGAGAATACTTCTGTCTAGCTTTTATGTGAAGATATTTCCTTTTCCACCGTAGGCTTCAAAGCGCTCCAAATGAACACTTGCAGATTCTACAAAAAGAATGCTTCTAAACTGCTGTATCAAAGAAAGCGTTCAACTCTGTGAGTTGAATGCACACATCCCAAAGCAGTTTCTGAGAATGCTTCTGTTTAGTTTTTATGTGAAGATATTTTGCTTTCCACCATAAGCCTTCAAAGCGCTCCAAAGGAACACTTGCAGATTATGCACAGAGAATGCCTCAAATCTGCTCTATCAAAAGAAAGGTTGGACTCTGTGAGTTCAATGGACACATCACAAAGCAGTTTCTGAGAATGCTTCTGTCCGGTTTTTCTGTGAAGATATTTCCTTTTGCACCCTAGGCTTCAAAGCGCTCCAAATGAACACTTGCAGATTCTACAAAAAGAATGTTTCAAAACTGCTCTATCAAAGACGGAGTTCAACCCTTTGACTTCAATGAACACAACACAGAGCAGTTTCTGAGAATGCTTCTGTGTAGTTTTTATCCGAAGATATTTCCTTTTCCACCATAGGCCTCAAATCGCTCCAAATATCCACTTGTAGATCGTAAGAAAACACTGTTTCAAAACTGCTTTCTCAAAAGGAAGGTTCAACTCTTTGAGTTCAATGCGCACATCACAAGGAACTGTCTGAGCAAACTTCCGTCTAGTTTTTATGTGACGATATTACCATTTCCACCGCAGGTTTCGAAGCGCTCCAAAAGAACACTTGCAGATACTGCAACAAGAATGTTTCACAACTGCTCTATCAAAGAAAGCGTTCACCTCTGTGAGTTGAATGCACACATCCCAAAGCAGTTTCTGAGAATGCTTCTGTGTAGCTTCCATGTGAAGGTATCTCCTTTTCCACCATAGGCCTCATATCGCTCCAAATATCCACTTCCTGATACTGCAAAAACACTGTTTCAGAGCTGCTCTCCCAAAGGAAGGTTCAACTCTGTGAGTTGAATGCAGACATCACAAAAAAGTTTCTGAGAATGCTTCCGTCCAGTTTGTATGTGCAGATACCCCGTTTACAACGAATTCCTCAAGAGCTCCAAATATCCTCAAGCAGATTCTACAAAAGCAGTATTTCAAGACTGCTCTATCAAAAGGAAGGGTGAACTCTGTGAGTTGAATCCACACATCCCAAAAAAGTTTCTGAGAATAGTTGTGTCTAGTTTGTATGTGCGGACATCCCGTTTACAGCGAATTCCTCAAAGATCTCCAAATGTCCTCAGGCAGATTCTGCAAAAGCAGTGCTGCAAAACTGCTCTATCAAAAGAAAGGTTGAACTCTGTGAGTTGAGTTCACACATCACAAAAAAGTCTCTGACCATGTTTCTGTCTACCTTGTATGTGCAGATATCCCGTTTACAACGAATTCCTCAAAGACCTACAAATATCCTCAAGCTGATTCTAGAAAAGGATGGTTTCAAAACTGATCTATCCAAAAAGACGTTCAACTCTGTGACTTGAATGCACACAACACAAAATTTTCTGAGAATGCTTCTGTCTAGATTGTATGTGGAGATATCTCGTTTGCCACGAATTCCTCCAAGAGCTCCAAATATCCTCAAGCAGATTCTACCCAAGCAGGGTTTCAGGAATGCTCTATCAAAAGGAAGGTTGAATTCTGTGAGTTGAATCCACACATCACGAAAAAGTTTCTGGGAATGCTTCTGTCTAATTTGTATGTGCAGATATCCCGATTGCAACGAATTCCTCAAAGAGCTCCAAATATCCTGAAGCAGATTCTTCAAAAGCAGTATTTCAAGACTGCTCTATCAAAAGGAAGGTTGAACTGTGTGAGTTGAATCCACACATCCCAAAAAAAGTTTCTGAGAATGCTTCTGTCAATTTTGTGCAGACATCCCGTTGGCAACGAATTCCTGAAAGAGCTCAAAATATCCTCAAGCAGATTCTGCAAAAGCAGTATTTCAAGACTGCTCTATCAAAAGGAAGGGTGAACTCTGTGAGTTGAATCCACACATCCCAAAAAAGTTTCTGAGAATAGTTGTGTCTAGTTTGTATGTGCGGACATCCCGTTTACAACGAATTCCTCAAAGAGCTCCAAATGTCCTCAGGCAGATTCTACAAAAGCAGTGCTGCAAAACTGCTCTATCAAAAGAAAGGTTGAACTCTGTGAGTTGAGTTCACACATCACAAAAAAGTCTCTGACCATGTTTCTGTCTACCTTGTATGTGCAGATATCCCGTTTACAACGAATTCCTCAAAGACCTACAAATATCCTCAAGCTGATTCTAGAAAAGGATTGTTTCAAAACTGATCTATCCAAAAAGACGTTCAACTCTGTGACTTGAATGCACACAACACAAAATTTTCTGAGAATGCTTCTGTCTAGATTGTATGTGGAGATATCTCGTTTGCCACGAATTCCTCCAAGAGCTCCAAATATCCTCAAGCAGATTCTACCCAAGCAGGGTTTCAGGAATGCTCTATCAAAAGGAAGGTTGAATTCTGTGAGTTGAATCCACACATCACGAAAAAGTTTCTGGGAATGCTTCTGTCTAATTTGTATGTGCAGATATCCCGATTGCAACGAATTCCTCAAAGAGCTCCAAATATCCTGAAGCAGATTCTTCAAAAGCAGTATTTCAAGACTGCTCTATCAAAAGGAAGGTTGAACTGTGTGAGTTGAATCCACACATCCCAAAAAAAGTTTCTGAGAATGCTTCTGTCAATTTTGTGCAGATATCCCGTTGGCAACGAATTCCTGAAAGAGCTCCAAATATCCTCAAGCAGATTCTGCAAAAGCAGGATTTCAAGACAGCTCTATCAAAAGGAAAGTTGAACTCTGTGAGTTGAGTTCACACATCCCTAAATGTTTCTGAGAATGCTTGTATCTAGTTTATATGTGAAGATATTTCACTTTCCACCATGAGCCTCTAAGCGCTCCAAATGAACACTTGCAGAGTATGCAGAAAGAACGTTTCCAATCTTCTCTATCAAAGGAAAGATTCAACTCTGTGAGTTGAATGGACATATCACAAAGAACTGTCTGAGAATACTTCTGTCTAGCTTTTATGTGAAGATATTTCCTTTTCCACCGTAGGCTTCAAAGCGCTCCAAATGAACACTTGCAGATTCTACAAAAAGAATGCTTCTAAACTGCTGTATCAAAGAAAGCGTTCAACTCTGTGAGTTGAATGCACACATCCCAAAGCAGTTTCTGAGAATGCTTCTGTTTAGATTTTATGTGATGATATTTTGCTTTCCTCCAAAAGCCTTAAAAGCGCTCAAAATGAACACTTGCAGATTATGAAGAAAGAATGTTTCAAATCTGCTCTATCAAAAGAAACGTTCGACTCTGTGATTTGAATGCACACATCACAAAACTTTCTGAGAATGCTTCTGTCTAGTTTGTATGAGCATATATCTCGTTTACAACGAATTTCTCCAAGAGTTCCAAATATCCTCAAGTAGATCCTACAAAAGCAGTGTTGCAAAACTGCTCTATCGAAAGAAAGGTTGAACTCTCTGAGTTGAATCCACACATCACAAAAAAGTTTCTGAGAATGCTTCCGTCCACTTTGTATGTGCAGACATCCCGTTTACAACGAATTCCTCAAAGAGCTCCAAATGTCCTCAACAGATTCTACAAAAGCAGTATTGCAAAACTGCTCTATCAAAAGAAATGTTGAACTCTGTGAGTTGAGTTCACACATCACAAAAATGTCTCTGACCATGTTTCTGTCTATTTTGTATGTGCAGATATCCGGTTTACAACGAATTCCTCAAAGAGCTCCAAATATCCTCAAGCAGATTCTACAAAAGGATTGTTTCAAAACTGATCTATCTACAAAGACGTTCAACTCTGTGAGTTGAATGCACACAACACAAAATTTTCTGAGAATGCTTCTGTCTACATTGTATGTGGATATATCCCTTTTGCAACGAATTCCTCAAAGAGCTCCAAATATCCTCAACCAGATTCTACCGAAGCAGTGTTTCACGAATGCTCTATCAAAAGGAATGTTGAACTCTGTCAGTTGAATCCACATATCACAAAAATTTTCTGAGAACGCTTCTGTCTAGTTTGTATGTGCAGATATCCTGTTTACAACGAATTCCTCAAGGAGATCCAAATATCCTCAAGCAGATTCTAAAAAAGCAGTATTTCAAGACTGCTCTATCAAAAGGAAGGTTGAATTCTGTGAGTTGAATCCACACATCACAAAAAAGTTTCTGAGAATGCTTCTGTCTAATTTGTTTGTGCAGATATCCCGTTTACAACGAATTCCTCAAAGAGCTCCAAATATCCTCAAGCAGATTCTTCAAAAGCAGTATTTCAAGACTGCTCTATCAAAAGGAAGGTTGAACTCTGTGAGTTGAATCCACACATCCCAATAAAGTTTCTGCAAACAGTTGTGTCTAGTTAGTATGTGCAGATATCCCGCTAACAACGAATTCCTCAAAGAGCTCCAAATGTCCTCAAGCAGATTCTACAAAAGCAGTTTTGCAAAACTGCTGTATCAAAAGAAAGGTTGAACTCTGTGAGTTGAGTTCACACATCACAAAATAGTCTCTGACTATGTTTCTGTCTAGTTTGTGTGTGCAGATATCCCGTTTACAACGAATTCCTCAAAGAGCTCCAAATATCCTCAAGCAGATTCTACAAAAGGATTGTTTCAAAACGGATCTATCCAAAAAGACGTTCAACTCTGTGAGTTGAATGCACACAACACAAAATTTTCTGAGAATGCTTCTGTCTAGATTGTATGTGGAGATATCCCTTTTGCAATGAATTCCTCAAAGAGCTCCAAATATCCTCAAGCAGATTCTACCCAAGCAGTGTTTCAAGAATGCTCTATCAAAAGGAATGTTGAACTCTGTGAGTTGAATCCACATATCACAAAAATTTTCTGAGAACGCTTCTGTCTAGTTTGTATGTGCAGATATCCCTTTTACAACGATTTGCTAAAGGAGCTCCAAATATCCTCAAGCAGATTCTAAAAAAGCAGTATTTCAAGACTGCTCTATCAAAAGGAAGGTTGAATTCTGTGAGTTGAATCCACACATCACAAAAAAGTTTCTGAGAATGCTTCTGTCTAATTTGTATGTGCAGATATCCCGTTTACAACGAATTCCTCAAAGAGCTCCAAATATCCTCAAGCAGATTCTACCCAAGCAGTGTTTCAAGAATGCTCTATCAAAAGAAGGTTGAACTGTGTGAGTTGAATCCACACATCACAAAACAGTTTCTGAGAATGCTTCTGTCAAGTTTGTGCAGATATCCCGTTTACACCGTATTCCTCAAAGAGCTCCAAATATCCTCAAGCAGATTGTACAAAAGCAGGATTTCAAGACAGCTCTATCAAAAGGAACGTTGAACTCTGTGAGTTGAATTCACACATCACAAAATGTTTCTGAGAATGCTTCTATCTAGTTTATATGTGAAGATATTTCCTTTTCCACCATGAGCCTCTAAGCGCTCCAAATGAACACTTGCAGTGTATGCAGAAAGACTGTTTCAAATCTTCTGTATCATAGGAAACCTTCATCTCTGTGAGTTGAATGGACATATCACAAAGAACTGTCTGAGAATACTTCTGTCTAGTTTGTATGTGAAGATATTACCTTTTCCACTGTAGGCTTCAAAGCACTCCAAATGAACACTTGCAGATTCTACAAAAAGAATGTTTCTAAACTGCTCTATCAAAGAAAGCGTTCAACTCTGTTTTTAGTTTGATATGTGTTGGAGGGATTTGTAGTTTCCCTCTATTTCCTTCCTTTTACCAGACATCAGGACGAATACATTTCTAATCCACTGCAGTGAGTAAATGTAGTGAAGTGAGAAATCCTTTAGAGCCCACTTGAAGGCCTATGCCTTGCCTCAACATTAAGTCACTTCCTAATAGATTAGTTTCCACATCAGGAAGTAATAAAAATTGAATAGGAGTAAATCGATCTTTTTATCTGACTTCTCTGCTTTCTAAAATTTTTGTCTTAAATCCTTTTTATTTTACCCCAGAGACTAAAAGTTCTTCTGAAAAGCAGGGAAGACCAGGTTCGGGCAAACAAGCAGAGGAGCGTTAATCCCTGAATCAACTAAAATGGTGATAAATCCGCATTTAGGTCCCACTTCCAAATTTATTAAGGGCTCCTGGTGGGACACAAAATAAAAAATGTGGAGCCCCTGACTCCCCTATTGCTCTTCAAAAGTCATGAGTGTGAAAGTTTCTCTCTCTTTCTTTAGTTCAGGACATTCCCTCTTGAAGTGACCTGTTCTTCCACATCTGTAACACATCCATAACATCTATCTTGCTCTTCTTCCTTCTCAGTCTTAGCATTCTCTCCCCTTGCTCCCCTATACTCCTTAGGGGGCTTATCAAATGAGGGCCTCAACCCTCTGGATGGAGGCTTGGGTCCTCTCAAGGAGGGTTTAGGCCCCTTATAATCTCAGGCCCCTTGAAAGTCCTGCTTAGGGATATATGGATTTGGAGCTATCTGTTGGAAGGTGGATAACTAAGTTTTGCCTTTTGTTTTTGTTTTCCCTTGTCTCTTCTTACATATACTTTTTAAGCCTCCCTGAGCAGTTCACTTAGGGACGGTCCTCCCAATTTTCTATCTTTTGTAATTTTCTTGAAATGTCTGGCCAACTTTTAGTAATGAAGTGAAGTTGTAATATTCCTTGCCCAAGGAGGTTTTCCAAATCAAGGCCTGCATATTGTCCCATTTGCTCCCTCAATCTATTTAAGAATCTAGCAGGTCCCTCATCTTTTTCCTGTTGAACATCAAATGCTCTAGAAAGATTTTGAGTTTGGGGTACTGATTTTTGTATTCCTTTTATTATCATCTCCCTTGGGTCTGGCATGTTTTCCCAGTGATTTGCATTGTTATTGTCCCACTAGGGATCTCGAGAGGGAAATTTATAGTCCATAGGAGGAACACTTTGACCGGGAGTGTGCTCACGTTCCCAAACCACCATAGCGGCCCTCCAAATCATACTTTGTTCTTCCCCAGAAAAGAGGATGCCCAAGATGGACACCAATTCAGCCCAAGTGTATATTTGAGGCCCTAGAAATTTATCAATTTGATCTGATACTTCATTAGGGTCATCCAGTAGTGTCTTAGGCTCCTTTTTAAAATTCTGGAATTCTGAACTAGTCAATGGGGCATTTACAAAGCCAATAGCCCTCCCCTCCCCACCCCCTGGTACCTCTCTTAGTGGAAAGAAAGTCGGATCTGTCTCTCTAGGTGTGGAGGGAAATGGAAAGTTTTGAATTTCCTTTTTACATTGTTCTATGTCATGTTGAAGCCCCTTTAATGAGGGATACTTAATAGGTTGGGGGGCAGGCTCACAAGGTAGTAATTCTGCAAAGTCGGGATTATAGGGAGGGGAAGCAATATCAGCAGAGACACCACAAGCGGGGGAGGGATCCGCAGCAGCAGTTGGGGGAATAGAACACGGGCAAGTAACACAGGCAAAGGAGTGCCCTGAAACAGCTGAGGAGTAACCCGAAACCGCAGCTGAAGGGACAGACAGCACAACCTGGGGAGTGACCTGGAATGGAAATGGGGGGAGTGGGATGGGGACAACTGGAAGAGTAATGCAAGCTGGGGAAGGACCTGAAACAGAAATGGGAACCAGAAGGGCGGGATCGGGGACAGCTGGAAGAAGGATGCAAGCAGAGGAAAGACCTGAAATGGAAACAGGAACCGGAGGGGTGGGATGGGGGACAGCCAGAAGAAGGATGGAAGCAGGGGAGTGTCCGGAAATGGAAACTGGAGGAGTGGGGTCGGGGGCACTGAATGAAGGAAGATGATCTAGAGGGTCTGATGTGTTAGTGGTTGTGGGTTGTCTAGACATGGGGACACTTTCCCTTCCAGAGAGGTTGGTTTCTGGTTTTCTCCCTCCGGATTCTAAAGGGTTAAGGAGGACAGGCCTCTGCCACCAACAGAAGGTGTAATTGATTTCTTCCCAGGAGACAGGGCTCTTATTATTAACATGCTCGATTAAGAGCTGACAAATCGCTCCTCATTTAGACCCAAATTTTGGCCAGAAAAGTCAGGGTTTAAGGATGGGTTCTTGAACCCAAATAAAACAATATTTTATCATCTGCTGTTTTCATTCATACTTGGTTCTCTCATTATCTTTCCAATACTTCAGCATAGGCCCCAAGAGGCTATCAGAAGGAATTTTGTCACTATCTAGACTCCTTAGTTTTCCTGTCTTATTTGAAACATTCCCCACCTTAGAGGCCATGTGGTGGGGGAGGCTCCAAACTCTCCTATTAGAGGTGTCTAACCCCCTCTTTCTGTAGGCTCACTAAGGCTTTTAAGAGGGGGTCAAACCTCTCGTATTAGAGGTTTCTCACCTCCCAATTTCTGGAGGCTTATTAACATTTTTAAGAGGAGGTCCAATATCCCAAGATAAAAACTAGAAAGAAGCTATCTATGAAACTGCTTTGTGACGTGTGGATTCATCTCACAGATTTAAATCATTCTTTTGATTCAGCAGGCCTATAGTGAAAAACCAAATATCCTGCAATAAAAACTTGAAAGAAGCTAGCTATGAAAACATGTTGCAATGCTTGAATAAATCAAACAGAGTAAAAACTTCTTTTTGATTCAGCAGGTTGGAAAACTATTTTTGTACAATCTGCGAAGGAACATTTGGGAGCCCAGTGAGGCCTGTGATGAAAAACCAATATCCCACTGTAAAAACTATAAAGAAGCTATCTGTGAAAGTGCTGTTCAATGTGTGGATTCATCTCACAGAGTTAAAACTTTCTTTTGTTTCAACAGGTGGGAAACAATCTTTTTGTAGAATCTGTGCAGGGCCATTCGGAAGCCCATTGAGGCCTATAGTGAAAAAATGAATATCTTGCAATAACTAAAGAGAAGCAATCTGTGAAAATGCTTTGTGATGTGTGCATTCATCTCACAGAGTTAAACCTTTCTTTTGATTCAGCAGGTTGGAAACACTCTTTTTGTGGAAACTGTGAAGGTACATTTGGGAGCTTACTGAGCCCTATTGAAAAACCAAATATCCAGCAATAAAATCTAGAAAAAAACTATCTGCGAAAACACTTTGCAATGAGTGGACTCATCTCACAGATTTAAATTTTTCTGCTGACTCCGCAAGTTGGAAACACTTTTTTTGTAGAACCTGTGAAGGGACCCATGGGAGCCCATAGAGGTCTGTAGTAAAAAACTGAATATCCTGCCATAAAAACTAGAAAGAAGCTATCTGTGAAAATCCTTTGCAATGTGTGAAGAAATGAAATTGTTAAACCTTTCGTTTTATTCAGCAGGTTGGAAACACTCTTTTTGTAGAATCTGTGAAGAAATATTTGGGAGCCCTTTGTGGTCTATGGTGAAACACTGAATATCCCATGATAAAAACTTGAAAGAAGATAGCTGTGAAAACACTTTGCAATGTGTGAATAAATAAAACACAGTTAAACCTTTGTTTTGATTCAGCAGGTTGGAAATGCTCTTTTTATACAGTCTGCGAAGGAACATTTGAGAGCCCATTGAGGCCTGCAGTGAAAAACAAATATCCTGTGATAAAAACTTGCAAGAAGCTAGCTGTGAAAACACTTCACAATGTGCGAATAAATCAAACACAGTTAAACCTTTGTTTTGATTCAGCCGGTTGGAAACGCTCTTTTTATACAGTCTGCGAAGGAACATCTGGGAGCCCATTGAGGCCTGCAGTGAAAAACCAATATCCCGTGATAAAAACCACAAAGAAGGAATCTGTGAAAGTGCTGTATGATGTGTGGATTCATCTCACAGAGTTAAAACTTTCTTTTGATTCAGCAGGTTGGAAACACTCTTTTTGTAGAATCTGTGCAGGTACATTTGGGAGCCCATTGAGGCCTATGATGAAAAAATGAATATCCTGAGATAAAAACTAAAAGGAAGAAGATGTGAAAACGCTTTGTGATGGGTGGATTTATCTCACAGAGTTAAACCTATCTTTTGATTCAGCATGTTGGAAACACTCTTTTTGTAGAATCTATGAAGGGAAATTTGGGGACCCATTGAAACCTGTAGTGAAAAATCAAATATCTGCAATAAAAACTAGAAAGAAACTAACTGTGAAAACGTTTTGCAATGTATGAATTCATCTCACAGATTTAAACCTTTCCTTTGGTACAGCAGGTTGGAAACACTCTTTTTGTGGAAACCGTGAAGGGACATTTGGGAGCTTATTGATTCCTATAGTGAAAAACCAAATATCCGGTGATAAAAACTAGAAAGAATCTACCTGTGAAAATGCTTTGCAATGAGTGGATTCATCTCACATAGTTAAACCTTTCTGTTGATTCAACAGGTTGGAATCTTTTTGTAGAATGTGCAAAGGGATATTTGGGAGCCCATAGAGGCCTACAGTGAAAAATGGAATATTTTGCAATAAAAACTAGAAAGAAGCCATCTGTGAAAATGCTTTGCAATGTGTGGATAAATCAAACAGAGTTAAACCTTTCATTTGATTCAGCAGGTTGGAAACACTCTTTTTGTAGAATCTGCGAAGGGACATCTGGGAGCCTATTGAGTCCTACAGTAAAAAAACGAATATCCTGCAATAAAAACTAGAAAGTAGCTACCTGTGAAAATGCTTTGCTGTGTGTGGATTCAACTCACAGAGTTAAATCTTTCTTTTGATTCAGCTGGTTGGAAACACTCTTTTTCTAGAATCTGCAAAGGGACATTCGAGAGCCTATTGAAGCCTATAGTGAAAAACTGAATATCCCATGATAAAAACTAGAAGGAAGCTATCTGTGGAAACACTTTGTGATGTGTGGATTCACTTCATAGAGTCAAACATTTCTTTTGATTCAGTAGGTTGAAAATGTTCTTCTTGTAGAACCTGTGAAGGGACATTTGGGAACCCACTGGGGCCTACAGTGAAAAACTGAATATCCTGTGATAAAACTAGAAAGAAGCTATCTGTGAAAATGCTTTGTGATGTATGCACTCATCTCACTGAGTTAAAACTTTCTTTTGATTCAGCAGGTTGGAAACACTCTATTTGTAGAATCCGTGAAGGGACATTTGGGAGCCCTATGAGGCCTAGAATGAAAATCCAGTATCCCACAATAAAAACCAGAATGAAGCTATCTGTGAACATGCTTTGTGATGTGTTGATTCATCTCACAGAGTTATACCTTTCTTTTTATTCAGAAGGTTGAAAACACTCTTGTTGTAGAATCTAACAGGAGCATAGAGTCACGATGATAAATAAAATGGGCTTGAGATGTTAAAGACATGGGAGAAAGACTTTACAGATATCTTTGAGAGTGGATGAAATAGGATTGACAATTCAAATAAGACAATTGAGAATGATATCTTCTTCAAGATAAGCCAGTTGACAGAAGAGGAAGCAGAATGAACTGTATATCTAAAAATCACACACTTACACAACAATCATTCACTGGTATGCGAAACACAGTGGTAGGCATTTAGTTGAGAATTAAACAAAAGAGAAATAGTAGTAATATTTTCATGGGAGGGCACTTTATAATGTCTTGACACAGATATAAATTAGTAGGTTATTTATATCATAAATGCCTATGTTTTAATGCTTTACTATGTTTTTATTGAGGTGAAATTCACATAACATCAAATTAACCATTTTAAAGTAAACAATTCAATGTCATTTAGTATATTCACAATGTTGTACAATCACCTCCTCTATCTAGTTCCAAAACATTTTCATCACCCTACAATAAAACCCTGTGTCTGTTAAGCAGTTACACCCCACCCCTTCTGACAACTACCAATCCATTCTTTGTTTCTATGGATTTACTTGTTCTGAATGTATTATATAAATAGAATTATACAATATGTGACCATTTGTGTCTTGCTCCTTTCACTTAGCAAAATGTTTCCAAGGTTCATCCACATTGTAGCACGACTTCATTCCTTTTTATAGCTGATAATATTCCATTGCATGTATATATTACAATTTGTTTATTCATTCATCCATCCATGGACATTTGGGTTGTTTCTACCTTTTGGCAATTGTGAAAGTGCTGCTATTCATGTAAAAGTAATTGCTTGAGTGCCTGTTTTAAATTCTTTGGGGTATGTACCTAGGAGTGAAGTTGCTGGGTCAAATAGTAATTCTATGTTTAAATTTTAAAAGAAATCCCAAATTATTTCCCACAGTGGCTGAACCATTTTACATTCTCACCAGGAAGAGATGAGGCTTATAATTTCTTTACATCTTTACAAACACTTGTTATATTCTGTTTTTTCAATTATAACCATCTAAGTGGGTATAAAGTGGTATCTCCTTGTGGTTTTGATTTGCCTTCTCCTAATAATCAATAATTTTGGGCATCTTTTCACTTGCTTATTGTTTGTTTGTATATCTTTCTTAGATGAATGTCTATTCAATTCCTTTGTCCATTATAAAATCTTGTTGTCTCTTTGTTGATGAATTGTAAGAATTCTTTACGTATTCTGGATACCAGGTCCTTGTCGGATGTGATTTGTAAATATTTTCTCTCATGTGAATTGTATTTTTTCTAAATAAATTAGATAGATTTAAAATTATCTTTATATTAACTTCAATTTCACTCCCTTGTATTCTCATATTCTTGAGTGGAGACTTGGTTAGGGCCCTGTATACATAAAAACCTATGCTATATATATTGCAGCACTCCTGATCTTAATAAGTCTTTAGGAACAAGTTGCTCATGGGAACATAATTTTTTATGTGTATTATGACAGAAAAATGATTGAGAACCACTTTTTTAGACCAAGTGTCTAGATTCAAGAATAGGATTATGTCTTTCTTATTCCTGGGTACCAAAAACTGGTACAGAGGTATGAAATAATGGCAACGAAGGATACCAACTAACCTAACATGAATAGGAAGTCTCCTGTAATTAAAAAGATAGTGTTTGAATAGCCTTCAACACAGCCTGCTGACATTTCTATCAGAAGTTTAAAGTATTAAGGGAAACTACTTCTGTAAACTTAATGGCTTAAACTGCATTGTTTAAGACTGTTTTTTATTGCGTTAAGACTCTTAAATCCCAACCTAATGTACTAAGTTCTCAATTATTTCATATGGATGCAGTTTCATTCTTTCTGTCTCTTGGCTCTGCCCTCTGCTGGATTGACTCTCTTCTTAGACAGGTTTTCCTTTCTAAGGGCAAGATGGCTCAGGTAGCTCTTCCAGGTTTAATACAGAAGGAGAGATGGAGACTCGAGTACCTCAAATACATGCTGGCTCTGACTGACTTGACTTCAGTCATGTGCCTGTCACTGAACCAATTACAATGGCCAAAGAAATTCAATGAGCTCATTGACTTAGGCCTAGGTCTAAGAGGAATTACAGGGGCATATGATAACTCTATGTTTAAACTTTTGAAAAACTGTTTTTTAAAATTTAACTCTTATTTTAAGTTCAGAGGCACATGTGCAGGTTTGTTATATAGGTAGGTAAACTAGTGTCATGGGGGTTTGTTGTGCAGATCATTTCATCGCCCTGGTATTAAGCCTAGTACCCATTAGCCATTTTTCCCAGTCCTCTCCAACCTCCTACCCTCTACCCTTTGATAGGCCCCAATATATATTGTTCCCTTCTATGTGTCCATGTGTTCTCATCATTTAGCTCCCACTTCTAAGTGGGAAGATGTGGACTTTGGTTTTCTGTTCCTGCGTTAGTTCGCTAAGGATAATGGCCTCCAGTTCCATCCCTGTCCCTGCAAAAGACATGATCTCATTCTTCTTTTATGGCTGCACAGTATTCCATGTGTATATGTACCACATTTTTTTTATCCAGTCTACCATCGATGAGCATTTATGGTTGATTCCATGTCTTTGCTATTGTGAATAGTGCTGCAATGAATGTACACACACAGGTGTCTTTATGATAGAACGACTTAAATTCCTTTGGGTATATACCCAGTCATGGGATTGCTGGGTTGAATGATATTTCTGTTTCTAGGTATTTGAGGAATTGCCACACTGTCTTCACAATGGTTGAAGTAACTCACACTCCCACGAAGAGTGTATAAGCATTCCTTTTTCTCCACAACCTTGCCAGCATCTGTTATTTTTTAACTTTTAATAGTAACTATTATGACTGGGGTGAGATGGTATCTCATCGTGGTTTTGATTTGCCTTTCTCCAGTGATCAGTAACGTTGAGCTTTTTTTCATATTATTATTGGCCACGTGTATGTCTTCTTTCAAAGTGTCTATTTATGTCCTTTGCCCACTTTTTAATGGGTTTGTTTGTTTTTCTTTTCCTTGTAAATTTAAGATCTTTATAGATGCTGTATATTAGACCTTTGTCAGATGCACAGTTTGCAAATGTTTTCTCCCATTCTGTAGGTTGTCTGTTCACTCTGTTGATCACTGCCTTTGCTGTGCAGAAGTTATGTAGTTTAATTAGATCCCACTTGTCAATTTTTTCTTGTGTTGCATTGCTTTTGGTGTCTTTGTCAAGAAATCTTTTCCCATTCTTAGGTTCAGAATAGTATTGCCTAGGTTATGTTCCAGAGTTTTTATAGTTTGGGTTTTACATTTAAGTCTTTAATCCATCTTGTGTTAATTTTTGTATATGGTGTAAGGAAGGGGTCAAATTTCAATCCTCTGCATATGGCTAGCTAGTTACCCCAGCACCATGTATTGAATAGAGAATCCTCCCCTCATTGCTTATTTTTGTTGAAAATCAGATAGTTGTAGGTATGCAACCTTATTTCTGTGTTCTCTATTCTGTTCCCTTGGTCTATGTGTCTGTTTTTGTACCACTACCATAATATTTTGGTTACTGTAGGCCTGTCGCATAGTTTGAAGTCAGGTAGTGTGATAATTCCAGCTTTGTTCTTTTTGTGTGAATTTCCTTGGCTACTCAGGCTCTTTTTTAGTTCCATATGAATTTAAAAATATTATAGTTTTTTTCTACTTCTGTGAAGAATGTCAATGGTAATTTAATAGGAATGGTATTGAATCTATAAATTGCTTTGGGTAGTATGGCCATTTTAGTGATATTGATTCTTCCCATTCATGAGCTTGGAATGTTTTTCCATTTGTTTATGTAATCTCTGATTTCTTTGAGCAGTATTTTGTAATTCTCATCGTAGAGATCCTTCACCTCTCTAGTTAGCTGTATTCCTAGGTATTTTACTTTTGTGTGGCAGTTGTGAATAGGATTGCATTTCAGAGTTGGATCTCAGCTTGACTGTTGTTGATATGTAGGAATGCTTGAGGTTTTTGCACAATGATTTTGCATGCTGGGACTTTGCTGAAGTTCTTTATCAGCTTAAGGAGCTTTTGGGCTGAGACCATGGGGTTTTCTAGATATACAGTTATGTCATCTGCAAATAGGGATAATCTGACTTCCTCTGTTTCTATTTGGATGCCATTTATTTCTTTCCCTTGCCTGATTTCCTTGGCCAGGACTTCTAATACTGTGTTGAATAGGAATGGCGAGAGAGGGCATCCCCATCTTATGCTGGGCTTCAAGAGGAATGTTTCCAGCGTTTGTCCATTCAATATGATATTGGCTGTGGGTTTGCATAGATGGCTCTTATTATTTTGAGGTATGTTCCTTCGATACCTAGTTAATTGAGAGTTTCTACCCTGAAAGGTGTTGAATTTTATTGAAAGCCTTTTCTGCATCCATTGAGATAATCATTGGTTTTTGTCTTTAGTTCTGTTTATGTGATGAATCACATTTACTGATTAATGTATGTTGAACCATTCTTGCATCCTGGAGATGAAGCCTACTTGATGATGGTGGGTAAGTTTTATGATGCGCTGCTGGATTCAGCCTGCCAGTATTTTGTTGAGGATTTTTGCATCGATCTTCATCAAGAATATTGGTCAGAAGTTTTCTTTTTTGTTGTGTTTCAGCCAGGTTTTGGTATCAGGATGATGCTAGCCTCATAGAATGGGTTAGGGAAGAGTTTTTCCTGCTCAATTTTTTGGAATAGATTTAGAAAGAATGATACCAGCTCTTCTTTGTAAATATGGTAGAATTCAGCTGTGAATCTGTCTGGTTATGGGCTTTTATTCGTTGGTAGGCTATTTATTACTGACCCAATTTCAGAGCTCATTACTGGTCTGTCCAGGGATTCAATTTCTTCCTGGTTCAGTCTTGGGAGGGTCTATGTGCCAGGAATTTATCAATTTCTTCTAGATTTTTCTAGTTTATGTGCATAGAGATCTTCATAATATTCTCTAATGGTTGTTTGTATTTCTGTGGGGTCAGTGGTAATATCCCCCTTATTGTTTCTGATTGTGTTTATCTGAACCTTCTCTCTTTTCTTCTTTATTAGTCTAGCTAGTGGTCTAGTTTATTAATTTCTTTCAAAAAACCAGCTCCTGGATTCACTGATCTTTTGAATGGTTTTCCGTTTCTCAATCTCCTTCAGTTCAGCTCTGATTTTGGTTCATTCTTTTCTTCTGCCAGTTTTGGAATTTGTTTGCTCTTGGTTCTCTAGCTCTTTCAGTTGTGATGTTAGGTTTTCAACTTGAGATCTTTTAAGCTTTTTGATGTGGGCATTTAGTGCTATAAATTTTCCTTGTAACACTGCCTTACATGTGTCCCAGAGATTCTGGTATGTTGTAGCTTTGTGCTCATAGTTTCAAAGAACTTCTTGATTTCTGTCTTAATTCCATTATTTACTCAGAAGTTATTCAGGAGCATGTTATTCAATTTCCATGTAATTATATGGTTTTGAATGAATTTCTTAGTCTTGATTTCTAATTTCATTGCACTGTGGTCTCAAATAGTAGTTATTATTTCAATTCTTTTGCATTTGCTGAGAAATGTTTTCTGCCCAATTATGTGATTAATTTTAGAGTATGAGCCATGTGACTGAGAGAAGAATTCATATTCTATTGCTTTTGGGTGGAGAGTTCTGTCGATGTCTATCAGGGTCCATTTGATCCAGTGCTGAGTTCAGGTCCTGAATATCCTTGTTAATTTTCTGTCATGATGAGTTGTCTAATATTGTCTATGGGGTATTGAAGTCTTCTACTACTGTTGTGTGGGAGTCTTAGTCTTTTTGTAGGTTTCTAAGAACTTGCTTTATGAATCTCAGTACTCCTGAGTTGGGTGAATATATATTTTGTATAGTTATATCTTCTTGTTGAATTGAACTCTTTGTCATCATGTAACGGCCTTGTCTTTTTTGATCTTTTGAAAAATTGCTTTCTAAAGCTGCTTTATCATTTTACATTTTCACTAGCAGTGTATAAGGGTTCCAATTTCTCCCAGATGTGTTGGCCTGTAACACTTTTGCCAAGACCTGTTATCATTTGTCTTTTGATTAGAGCCATCCTAGTAAGTATGAAAGGGTGTCCCACTGAGGTTTTGAATTGCACTTTCCTAATAAGTAAGATACTGGGAAACTTTTCATATGCTTATTGGACATTTGTGTATATTTTTTGGAGAAGTGTTTATTCAGGTCCTTTGCCCATTTTGAAATTGAGCTAGTTGTCTTTCTAAAGTTGAGGTGTGAGAGTTCTTTATATGTTCATAATACCAATACCTTGCAAGATATATGATTTGCAAACATTTTCTCTCATTCTGTGCATGGCCTTTTTACTTTCCTCATGGTGTCCTTAGAAGCACAAAAGTTTTTAATTTTGATGAAGTTCGGTTTATCTGTATATTTTGTGTCACTTGTGCTTTTGGTATTATATCTAAGAAACCATTGCCTATTCCAAGTTCACAAAAAAATGTATGCCTACGTTTTCTTATAAGCCTTTATTTACAGTTTTAGCTCGTACACTGAAGTCAATGATCCATTTTGAGTTATTTTTTGTATATGGTGTGAGGTAGCAAGGCAAATTTATCCTTTTGCCTGTGGATATCCAGTTGTCCCAGCACTGGTTATTGAAAAGACTATTCTTTCTCTGATGAATTGTTTTGGCAGCCTTGTCAAAAATCAATCAACCATAAATGCTTACATTTTTATTTCTGTGCTCTGAGTCTTATCTTATTGATCTACATGTCTATCATTATGCTAGTAACACGTCATCTTGATTACTGTAGATTTGTAGTAAGTTTTAAAATCTGAAAGTGTGAGCTTCCAAATTTGTTGTTATTTTTCAATATTGTTTTGCCTTTTCAGGGTTCCTTGAATTTCTATACATGACTTTTTATCTGTTTTGCTAATTGCTGTATCCCTAGAGTCTAGCACAGTGCTTGGTACATAGCAAGTGCTCAACAAGTATTGTTAAAACAAATGAATGCATTGTCATAAAATAACAATAACAATTACAAAGTGACATCTTTAAAAAAATTTCCTGCTTAGCATTTCTTTCCTCTATTCTTCTGGAAACAGCCTCATGCCTTCTTTGGAGTACTGCCCCTTCTTTACTAACTTTATGTTGTTCCTTTGGGGCTCCCAATCATAGTACCCAATGGCCCCAGAAGAAGTTATATGATTCAGTCCTGGCCAATTCTATTCCATCCCCTGCTGTGCCATAGGCTTAGATATACGCACATGATTTAAGCCCTGCCAATCAAGATCCTGAGATCACACATTTTAAAGAGTGACCCTAAACTGCAAGATAATATATCCTTACCAAAATGAGAAGTGTGTGAAACCACACACACAAAAAAACTCAAAACCACCATCACAACCAAAACAAGTCAAAACATACATAGAAGTGGAAACAAGACAGTGAGAGGAATCCCTTTGTGTTCCGGTTCCTAGATCAAGTTGACCCTGAGACTAGATTGTGTCTGCTGAACTTGGCAAGATTCTTGGTTGCACACAACAAAAGTGACTCTGGTTAACTTATACAGATGATTCATTTAGTGGGAGAGCACTGGGGAGTTCATAGAAAGCATGGAAAGTTTGAAAACCCTAGCTTATGCAAGAACCAAGCAGTTTAGAGCATAATTTAAGTCCTGCCACAGAGATGGGTCACTTAGGATGCTGCCACTGGCACCAGGCCAGTGCTCCAGACACTTCCTGCATAATGCTGGACTCTGCTGCTTCTGAATTCTCTGTGTTGCTGTTAGACTCTCAACTTTGCTGGAGTCAAGTGACGATCTCTAATACACTCTTGTACCTTTGCACCACGTTGTAAAAGTGAAAAGTCCTGGGCAAGAGTATCTGCTTTTTGTTTTACATGATCCCAGGCAAGCCACTGGGGCCCCTCTCTCAATGTCAGGGCCAGTGCTCAATAAATAAGTTTTCTTCTATTAGCATACCTGTTTTGCTTTGTTTTGATTACTCCTTTTTTACCTAAGCTATACAGGTTGAACTTTTATCATTTATAACAAAAGTGATCTGACTAAAGGAAACAAAAATAATAGTGAAAGCCACAACAACTTATGAAATTTTATCAGGTACCTGAATAAGTGTTTTACATGCCGTATTAATTTCTTATGACTGCTATAACAAATTACCGCAAATTTTAGTGGCTCAAAACAGCACATATTCATTGTCTTACAGTTCTTGAATCAGAACCCCAAAATGGCTCTCATGGGATTAAATCCAGGTGTTGTCAGGGCTGTGTTCCTTCTGGAGGCTCTAGGGGAAATCTGTTTCCTTGCCCTGTTCAGTTTCTAGAGGTCACCACGTTCCTTGGCTCTTGGCTCCTGGCTCCTTCCAGCAATCGCCTTACTCTGACTTTATCACATCTTCTTCTCTGATTCCTTCCTTCACTTCTAAGGACACTTGTGATTGCATGAGGCCCACAGTGAGAATCCAGGATAACCTCCCCAGCTCAGGGTCCTTAATCACATCTACAGTCTCCTTTGCCATTATCCTGTCTTTCGCATTATGCATTGTCTGTTTGAGTCCCCACAACAGGCCTGTGAGGCAGGTGGCGCCATTGGGCCATTTTAGAGACAGAAAATCTTGCCTGGAAAGGCCATATAACAATGTCCTCTGTTGGGTGGAAGAGCCAAGATCAAACCTTGGCTATTTCATTGCAAAATGTAGGTGTACCATCTTTTTGCAACCCCCACCACCCGGTTTCAATAGATTTGCTGGTTCTATAGTCTTGGGGGAGAAAGTGTGAACAGAATCTGATGGAAGCATTGTCTTCATGTTTATCCTCTTATGAGATGAATTGTGAAAAGAATGAAAGATACTCTCGAAACCCTTGGGTCCCAAGATTCTGGGAAGAATAGCAACCTAATTCTATGATTCTTATGCCCAAATATCGGTTTATTCAGCAGCCTCTGTAGGTCAGCCTGGGTCTCAGCCAATAGAGTCCGGCTTATTAAAAAGGGACATGAGTCTCAAACACCAGCTCAAATACCAGCCTTTTTAACAAAAAGCTTCAAACACCAGCTTCTTTAACAAAACTAATAGCAATGGTGGTGGCAGCAGCAGCAACAGCATGAGATGCGATAAGAAGCTGAAATTCTTCAGGCCCTGGAGTTGCAGGGGAAGGATATGCCGCAAAGAGTGATTGCCTTTAATCTAAGAATAATACAGAGACCAATGGGAAAGCAGACTGTTGTTGGATGACAAAACCACAGAGGATTTCAAGTTGCCTGACACCTCTAGACAGGGCCCTAGTGGATATTAAGCACAGAGTGAAAGTCATCTTTAACATTCAGCAATAGACTTTCAGATCTGGAAAACACCTTAACCTAAAGGTGGCCCACTGGCACTCAACATACTGAGACAGAATAAAAGCTGCAGACTCTTTTCCTCATGAAATCAACCACTCTAGCTATCCATAGACAAATTCTAGAGTCATCAGACTCAAATCAGAGTCATCTACTAACATAAGTATAAGCCCGAGACTGCGTATAGAAATAGTACCAGTAGAAACCTGTGGATGAATTTGGAGGGTGATGAGAGAAGTACAGAAAAGCCAACCTATCCCTCAGTACTTCACCACATCGTCCAGCCATGGTGGATGAAATGACTACTAGCAAAGAATTTGTCAAATCTTGATTTGTGAAATGTTTATTGAGCTTCTATTATCTGCTAGAGACAGTGCTAAATCATCAACAATAGAGTTCTTGCCCTAAAGGAGAGCAAGTCATACAGAGTAGAAGTTTCTATCATGGAAGGAAGGGGTCTGGTAGAGATAATGGAGGCTCCCTGGACTTGGGAGGAAAGAGAGTTGGACAAGTTTTGCTCTATGAGCTGTGACTTTCCTGGTTTCAACGGACAGAAACCTAACTTGAACTACAGAGGGGGATGGATTGCCATGAGACCAATGCCCTGGAAGGCCAGAGAATTGGCCAGGCCTTGGGAGTGATTGAAACCAGGGGCTAGAAAGTCATCATCAAGACAAGGCCATTGCATAGGCTGTTCCCTGTGTCTGGAAAGCTCTTTCCTCCAACTTAGTTTATCTTTTGCTCATTGTTCATGTGATTCCAGTCACCTCCTCAGTGAAGCCTCCCCCTCCTACCACTCAACTCCCTGACTGGATCACACCCAGATTCCTGGCTGTTCCACTCAAGTGTTTGGGGCAAATTAGAAAAAGGTGATCCCTTTGGCTAGACAGTGCCAGTATGTGAAAAACAGAGTGCCCCTTTTTCTGAGCAAACACAGCTTCTCGCCAGGGCTCTTGGCTTGATGAGCAGAGTATGACATTTCAGCCCACTTGGCCCCTTGGCTCATGCTGTTTTGTGCAGTGCACAAATTGCACAACTGTATACAGCAACTGAGCCAGATTCCATAGCTCTCAAAAAAATCTGTGCACTTTTTCATCTCACTACTTGTTAAAATGGTAGTTTTACTTTGCTTACATGATTATTTAAGGCAAGCCCCATGAGGGCAGCAACTGGGTCCATTCTTGCTCAATGTATAATGCCTAGAGCCCAGGACAGTGTCTGACACATTGAAGGCCCTGGATAAATAATGGTTGTTTCATGAATGAAATGAATATGCAAGGAAATGAGTGTTTCTGCCTATTTCTCTTAGACTAGCTTTTTCTATGAGGTGGGAGCCATGGTTACTGGTAGCTATGAGCTCACAGCCAGAGAAGGCTGCTTCTCCTTAATTCTAATTTTTAGAATTCCAGGGAAGGATGTTCATTGGTCCAGCTGAGATCACATGCTCTCTGGGAGTGGGAGTCTCCCTGACTGGCAACCCCTATTAAAACTTTGTTGCATAAATGGTGGAGTAAACAGTTTCCCAATAGATGAAGGAGTCCTTCTCAGCCAAAGACAGGAGGGCTAAACAGAAACAACTCCAGATGTCCCCCAAACAGCCCACTGATGCCCACAGGCTGGCCACTTCTGTGTCTTCCTTTCCTCACCTGTGAAAGGGGAGAATGTGCTGAGCTCACCTCTGAGATTATCTAGCCCCAAGATTCCATTCCCTTTTGTTCTGGTTCTGGTTCTGGTTCTCCTGCAAAATTCTGTTCTAGTGCTGGAGGCAGTAAGCGGAAAAAGACATGACTGTGGGGAGCCTCAGTCAAGGAAGGCTTAATGGAGGTGAGCTTTAAGCTGTGGCATCAAGGTGGATGAGGATTTGTATACCAAGAGTAGAAGGGGGGAGATTTTGCAGAGTGGGAGCCTGGCTTGGGGAAGTATTTTAGGTTTTGGTGTTGAGCCATTTGTTTGTTAGGAGTCTTTCTCTCTCTCTCTCTCTCTCTCTCTCTCTCTCTCTCTCTCTCTCTTTTCTTTTCTTCTTTCTTTTTTTTTTCTTTTTTTTTTTTTTGCTGTAAATCTGTTTGCAAGGGGTAATATCTTAACTCATCTATATTTCTCCCCTAACCGAGAACAGCAAGCCAATCATCCACAAGGATCTGAGGGAATGAGACGTTGGAAAAGCAAGTTTTGATAAGGGCAAGTTAATCAAAATAGGTCCTAAATACAAACATGTCTAGGGTGTCTGAATTAGGCTGATTCCCTTGGGGTCTATACTTCGTATGTGTGCTGGGGGTTTTGGGGGTGGTAGTTTGTGCTCCAGTAGCACAAACTGAGAGTGCTTCAGGGAGGCAGGGAAGAAAGAAGCATCTCCATTTCATGATGCTGAAAGGACATGAGGCTTTTACACACCCGACTGGCCCTATACCCTTCCCTAGATCATTAAAATAGAATAATCTTGGCACTAGTCTATTCTCCTTCTGAGTCTTCAGGCTCCTTCTCCACGGCTTTCCTCAAGGATGTTGTTCAAGCTCTTTTTAATCTTCTTCAGCCTATTCACAAGTTTAGGGAACAAAGAGTGAGGTTTGCCTTTACTCGCTGAGAATGGGCCTTGTCCCGAAAATGGGAGCAGTCTGTCCAGGAGGGCCACCCACCAAGAGCCATGGTCAGAGGCCCTGGGCACCCGGGACAGGAAGCTGGAAAGGGGAGCAGAGGCTCCCAAAGAGGATGTGGGAGAATGGGAGCAAATGACGCACGTCTGATCCATGCACAATGGCAATCCTTTAAAGTCGCATTGCTTGTAACTACACTCTGCTACTTAGGGACCTACTCTTACATATGCCAACTTGTGGTCCTGTTTCCAGATCCTCTAATCTGCTTATCAAGGAAAAGAATAAAGGCCCATACCCTGATATTGGGGAAACTGTGTTTCATGTTGCCTGTAATGGTGGGCAGAGAGAATACAGGAGATTTGCCTTGGACTCCAAAGACTATGCTAGGTGTTTACTGATGCTAGGAAAAAAAGCACAGCTTTCACATTAAAGAATTTGGAATCTGTGTTGGGGATGCAGGTAGCGGGTGGGCAAGCAGCCCTCTGTAAAATGTTATCAAAGAGGCAACATAGCACAGTGAGTAAAAATACCAATCTGAAGCTCATCTGCTAGGATTTCATTCTCTGACTTCCATCACTTACTAGCTGTGTGTCTTTGAGAAAGTTACTTTACCTCTCTGTGCTTCAGTGTTTTCACCCATAAAGTGGGTTTTACAAAAATGTCTACCTCTTGGGATTGTTGGGAAGATTAATGACTTAACATGAGTACTTGAGACAGTACCTGCTACAAAGTCAGTGGTACTTAAAATGTTTGCCAATATTTCTATTCCCCAATCTGTTATCTGTGGATTTGAAATGTTTCTCAAAGCTAAAGCTATAAAATGTGAATGGAGGTTTAGGAACCACTGAGGTTGTGGTGATGGTGCTTTGAAGCCAGAAAAAGTGCTTGTGAGATGGAAGAGTAAAGAATAAGAGAGAAGCTATTGTGGGGGCCCAAGGCTGGACTTGTAGGCTAAGACTAGCCTGTGGGGTGGGGACAGGGCAGCTGGGAGGTCTGGGGCATTTCTGGGGCTTGAGGAGCTGCTTGGGGCCTCGGGTTGAGGGTGAGGGAATGCCATGATGAGATGAGAGAGATGGCAAAGGAAGACTGTGGGTGGGGGTACCTGTGTCTGGGTGTGGGTGGCCTCACAAGAAGCAGTTCTGACTAGACCCCTGTTTGGAGCTGGAATTGGGTAAAATTTCGAAAGAGATGAAATCTATTCTTGGCATTTCATCTCCAAGAGCTCTTCTCCTCTCTTGCTTCATGTAAAGTACCTTCCCACTGCCTTAAAATACTGGCCCCCCAAGCCAAGCCTTCCTCCTCCCACTGCTCCACAGCCTGAAACTGTTCACTTAACCCACCAGCCCCCTAACAGAATTCCCATCATTTGAGTGCAGGCTCAGATGTCAACCAGACTCGGGAGGAAAGCTAACAGAGTGGAACTAATCTCTCACTAACAAAATTACTGAGAGCCATGGATTGTTCCCTAAAGCCCCTGGCTTTTAAAAATAAAATACTTGTTAACTTGAATGTTTAATCTAGGAATTCTTAACTCAGGAGCTGGTGGGGTAGCATGAGTGGGTTGCAGGCCTTTGATAATCATCACTGTGAATGATTAGTAAAAGGGGTCTGTGACCCCTAAAATGTTAAGGACCATTTGCTTTAACCTGTCTTAGCTGAGGCAGTGTAACAAAGTAAAATGTAAGCATTCGGGTTAGTTGGAAATAAATATTTTTCAATGGGGTAAGCTAGTGGTTTGCATGTGTTTGTGTGCGTGCCTGCAGATGAACATATGTGTGTGTGTCCAAATTTATTTCTTTTTCAATTTTGGAACCATAGATTTTTCTTCAGTGCTTGGATTCATTGCTTTCCTCCCACCAACATAGCCCCTGTGGTAGATTCAACTGGGGGTTCAGATCTGAGTGTTGGGCAGAACGGGGTGGCTGAGGCGGCTGTAACCCGGTTGTAGGGTCTGGAATCTGCTTAATCATGGGTTTTTGACATACTTCATGCTCTTCCCCACTAGGACAGGAAGTTCTTACTTCCATAACACATTATCATCACCAAGGAAGTGAGCACATATTTTCCACAGCTCCCATCCTCCTCTTCCCTCCCCCATTTCCTATTGCTGTCTGCCTTCCCCATCCACTCTCCCAGAATGCTTCACTTTGCCATAATGAGATGCTCAGCTGCCATGCAGCCACCAACAACCGGAGATGGATGGGGTCTCCTGTACTGCCCTGAGAGGGATGTTAGAAAGACACTGTATTCATGGTAGCAGGCTAGAGAAGGCAAGGAGAAATTAAGAGCCTGACAATACACAGAAGCCATTATCCAAATAAAATGATTATTCTTTCTGTCCAGCCCCTGCTAGCTGGAGTAATTGAAACAATGCTATATTTATGAAAAACACCATAAAGGTCATGCATTGTTTAGACTCAGTTGGAAAATTGCACCTTCTGAGATCAAATTTAATGCAGCATCATTAGGACTTGATTAGCTCAATGCAGAATAAGGTGAAAGTACTCAATTCAGAGAAGAACATGTGGTAATGAATGAATACATTTTTATTCAAATACTTTGTTAATTCCCTAGGCAGGTGTGATTTCCATAAAATAAAAGGTCCTGAGTAAAAAGGAAAAGAGTCAGTTTAAGAATTCTATGGCTGTACTGGAATAAAATATTAGCAAAAAGACTTGCTAATGCTACCCTGATAGTGATGTGTTAAGAAATCTTAGGCCGGGCGCGGTGGCTCACGCCTGTAATCCCAGCACTTTGGGAGGCCGAGGCGGGCGGATCACGAGGTCAGGAGATCGAGACCACGGTGAAACCCCGTCTCTACTAAAAATACAAAGAATTAGCCGGGCGCAGTGGCGGGCGCCTGTAGTCCCAACTACTCGGGAGGCTGAGGCAGGAGAATGGCGTGAACCCGGAAGGCGGAGCTTGCAGTGAGCGGAGATCGCGCCACAGCACTCCCGCCTGGGCGACAGAACGAGACTCCGTCTCAAAAAAAAAAAAAAAAAAAAAAAAAAAAAAAGAAATCTTAGAAGTTAGAAATAATTTACAAATAAATGATATTTTCTCTATATCCAGGAGAGGCAAAAAAAAATCATTGCTAAACGAAATTAAAACTGAAACACAGATGTCAAATATAATTGGAAAATTCTTAGCTTTTCTGAGAGATTTCTAAGATGGCTCCTTCATGAGGAAAGATATCAGGATTTTCTAGAAAATTTAAAAGTATAGGGCCAGGCACTATTGCTCATACCTGCAATCCCAGCACTTTGAGAGGCTTGAGGCGGGCAGATCACTTGAAGTCAGGAGTTAGAGACCAGCCTGACCAACATGGTGAAAACCTGTCTCTACTAAAAATACAAAATTAGCCGGGCATGGTGGCACACGCATGTAGTCCCAGCTACACGATGAGCCACAAGAATCACTTGAACTCAGGAGATGGAGATTGCAGTGAGCCAAGATCATGCCACTGCACTCCAGCCTGGGTTCTCAGTGATATATCGAAGTCGAGAATTTATAACATTCAGCAGAGCTTCATTAGACACTCTGAATAAATAATCTCATTTGCTGTGGGGATAAGGTCAAAAGGGTAAAATAAATAAGAATTTAGTAACCTGGATGTAATCCTTCTGACCCATACTTTTCATTATATAGATCTATAAAAGGAGCCTGAGTGGCTAGATGTTCATCCCTAAAAAGAGGCCTGGTTTCACTTTATTTATTTATTTATTTATTTGAGGCAGGGTCTCATTCTGTCACCAAGGCTGGAGTGCAGTGGCGTGATCTCAGCTCACTGCAGCCTCCACCCATAGGGCTCAAGGGATCCTCCCACCTCAGCCACCTGAGTAGCTAGGATTACAGGCAGCTGCCACCACACCCAGATAATTTTGCATTTTTTTGTAGAGATAGGGTCTCCCTGTGTTGGCCCAGACTGGTATCAAACTCTTGGGCTCAAGTGATCCACCCACCTCAGCCTCCGAAAGTGCTGGGGTTTCAGGCATGAGCCACCATGCCCAGCCTGATTTCACTATCTTTTGAGAGCATGTTAACAACCATATTATTGTATCCTTATAAATAATCTCTGAGGTATATAGGGGCATATATTAACCTGATTAAAAAGAGAAGGAACTGGCCAGGTGCGGTGGCTCATGCCTGTAATCTCAGCACTTTGGGAACTGAGGCGGGCAGATCACCTGAGGTCAGGAGTTTGAGACCATCCTGGCCAACATGGCAAAACCCCGTCTCTACTAAAAACACAACAATTAGTCGGGTGTGGTGGCGTGTGCCTGTAATCCCAGCTACTTGAGAGGCTGAGGCAGGAGAATCACTTGAACCCAGGAGGCAGAGGTTGCCGTGAATGGAGATCCCACCACTGCACTCCAGCCTGGGCGACAGAGTGAGACTCCGTCTCAAAAGAGACAGAGAGAGAGAGAGAAAAGGAAGGAAGAAGGGAAGGAGAGAAGGAGGGAATGAGGGAGGGAAGGAAGGAAGGAAGGAAGGAGAAGGAAGGAAGGAAGAAAGGAGAAGGAAGGAAGGAAGGAAGGAAGGAGGGAAGGAAAGAAAGAAAGAAAGAAAAGAAGGAAAGGAAGAAAGAAAGAAAGAAACTAAAGCCCAACACAGGAATATTAAAAACATGGAGTCTGGCTACTTAGGGGCACGTTTACTTATTAGCTGGGTGGCAAGTTACCGAAGCTCTTGAAGCTTCAGTTAACTTACCTGTAGATTGGGGATACTATTAGTTATTAGTACTCCACTGTGTTGTTGTGAAGTTAAGTAGATTAGTTTACCAGTACAGTACTATTAGAGTAGTGCCCGTCACATAGGAAGCATTAAGAAAGAAGTTGTTATCACTTGGGACAGCAAATTCAGTTGGTCATATTTGGAGAAAGAAAACTATCCTGCCCTCTATGGATAAATTCTCCTTTCGGAGGGGGTTTATTTTCATTTCCAAATACTAGAAACCCACCTAGCCTGACATTTTATTACTAAAGGAGTTCTGCCAACTCTCTCACTGTAATCTAAGGCCAAATTAATTCCTCTCTGTCCTGTGTTCTTTCTTATTCTCTTTAAATCTTACCAGGGACACATTTATCTGTCTGTGCAGGCCCAACTTATTTTCAGTCTCAAGAACTATGCTATTCTTCCTCCTACTCCCAATCCCAACACATGCAGGAAAAGCATGCTACAGTGGGCTTAGCAGAATTTAGGGGAAAGCGTAACATTTGATTGAAGAGCTCTGCTGTTTTTTTTCTCTTACTAGACTTCTCCATATCACATTCTAATCTAGGCTTAGGGCATTTCAAAATATATCTGATTAAAATTAATATTGTATGACTAATAAAATAGAAAAATTCCAATTAAATTAGGTATCATTAACATGGAGTAACTTGCTTCAATATTACCTTAAAGCAGTAACTGGGTGAAATGAAATGGCATAAAGACTGCATCTCCAAATATCTCTACCCATCACAGTCCCAAGATATTCAATTATTAATTTTTTTCTCCAGGGATTCAAATATAAATGTACAGAAGTATAACATTATTATCTCAGTAAACCTCTCCATGGGGATCATGTTCTTTGGGAATACTACAAATGAGAAAAAAAAAAGTGAAGTATTGATTTACATATTGAAAAAAATCCTGAATGAAATACATAAAAAAGAAGGCAACATTTCAACCATGAAGCAGACTTGTATTAGATTGGCATAGTAACTTTCAGATGGGAAGGGAGAGTAGTTTACCTATCTTTGGAATTTGAAGCTTTGATATTAGACAGTGTGGTACAGGGGATAGAGTTGAGAAACCTGAATTTAAGCCCTGTTTTGTTATCAACTAGCCAAGTGACTCAGATTAAACATTTAACTCCTTTGGATGTCAAGTCTCTTATTTTTAAAATGAAGATGTTGGATTTGATAATCACCAAGGTTCCTATCCAGATCTAAAATTTCATGTACGGTAAACATTCATTTTAAGGGGTATGGTTAACCAGTGCCTACCACAATATTTGAAAGCATTGTACTAGGTGCTAGGCAAGTAAAAAGATAACTATAACAAGTTTCCTGATATCAGAGGTTTATATGGTGTGGATTATTTAAATGACCAGGTAATATTTGCAGAGCATTATGTAGTCATTTTATTATACTTTGTAAAACGTGGGGGCAGTGAGGGTCAGCCGACTAGGAATGAGCTTTGCCTCTCAATCCTTAGGCTATAGCTGACTCTTTATAAAGATCTGGGTAAATTACCTCTAAGTCTGTTTTCTACTTGAAAATAATCATACTGACTCAACTGAAAGCAATGTTGAGAAATAACAGAGGTTGTACATTCTATAAATTTTTATGGACACCATGCATATGCCAGGCCAGTGTTGGGAGCTGGGGCAAAGCAGCCGACCCATCCTTCATCTAGCTTAACTCTTATACACATTATTATAAAGTATGCTGCAAATAAATTAATAGAGCAAATGACTAGCTATAATTAATTGTGGGCTTATTGTAATTTAGAGGTGTCACGAAGGAAGCCCTTTTCTGTGCAAAATAACATGTGTCTCAGTCTTTGAAG
This sequence comes from Homo sapiens, assembly GCF_000001405.40. Lineage (NCBI taxonomy): Eukaryota > Metazoa > Chordata > Mammalia > Primates > Hominidae > Homo > Homo sapiens. The sequence continues at coordinate 51,841,225 of NC_000004.12, forward strand.
TACCATGGTAAACGGTAAAAAAAAAAATCATAAATATTACACACACAAAAGATTTGAAACTTGTATTAAATGACATATAATTTATTATTTCCTAGATGTAGATTAAGCTGAAACATAAATAGAATAAAGAATGCAGGAGCAGCTTCCCTGCTCAGAGTAAGGGCGGATATTCTTACTGCTAGATCTGCCCAACAAGCAATCCCCTATCTCAGAGTCCAGAGGTACCTACCCATCACTGTGGGGCCCCGCTGAGGTACTGTCATGATAAAGGTGATCAATAAGGATGTTCTATGAGAGATTCTTGTCTTGCGAAAGAACCTGAAGCAAATAATAAATAACTTCAGGTACAGTTCTGAGATTCCATAAAGTGATTCATAAATGTTTGAATGATAAAAATATTATATAAATAGTATTATAAGGATGTAATTTATTAAAGAGAAATTAGCGATTAAGATGGAGGGAGCATTTTACCATGGGAGTGCTGTGGGACACAGAAACTGGTTTGTCTGAGCCCCTTCCAAATAGCATAACATTTGTGTCCTGATTTAAAATCTAAATTTCAGAGCCTGGAAACCCAAAAGCCTGGGCTGTAGAAATCTAAAACCAAAAAGACCGTGCGTTCTGTTACCTGTGATTTGTGGTGTCACCTACTCTTTGAGGCTCCCAGATGGCCCAGGGCCTTAGGATATGGGGATGCCTTGTAGGTGTGTTGTTGTTGGAGTTGGTGGCTGGGATGAGGGTGGAGGCAGGGTAGGGTGGGGGTGGGTTGGGGTGGGGGGAATCCTCCGTTAATATCTCGAAATATTGTTCTGTTACCATAATGCGGTGTGATAAGTTAGCTTCAAGTATTGAAAAATCAGGGCAGGACTCATGGAAATGGTGCGAATTCTTGACTTAGGGTCAGAAGAATTCACCAAAATTAACGTCTCCCTCTGCCAAATAACAGCCAGTTTCAATTTCTGGACGGCCTCTCCGCGGGAGTGACAGGTTTTCTTAGATGCCGCCGGGGGTCTTTCACGGGCTGGTGGTCTGCCCCCTGGACTCGTCCATGTGTTAGGCTCAGTCCGCAGCTCAGAGCGCGGCCCTGTATTTCTGTCTGATGTCTGGGGCATACAGATGTGTGTGACGGACAATGCTCGTGGCATTCGAAGCCTCTTTAACAGACATTAGTGACTAGAGGAAAGAAGTGTGCGAACTCTGCGAAACAAGTATGCGGACTCTGGAAAAGAAGTACATTTCGAAAGTGGGGAGAGGATGGATCTTCGTAGGAGAAATGGAAATTTGCTCCCCACCAGAAGGTTTGCTGGAAATTAAGACGCGGCAATTCTTAATCCAGTTTCCTGCGGTAGGAAGCAGCTGACAAGAGAAGTCCCAGTCCGAGTTCGGCGCGAACTGGACAAGTGTCGTGGGACAAGTGGCGGGAGACCCGGCCGCGTCGCGCCGGGCGCTAGGGACGGACGCATTTCCCTACTTCCAGCAGCTGGTACGAGCCGCCCCCAACTGCGCTGCGCTGCTCTATTCTTTGGGAAACACTTCGCGTGCTTTGTTTCAGACGCCGACCCATCTTTCTTGGTGGGTCTCCAGCTCCACCAATCCCGCCCGCCACTGGGCGGGGTTTCAGGGTCAAGGTGGACCAATTTCCCAGCTTCGCCCCTACACGCGCTCTCGGACCCCTGGGGGTGACTGACAGCAGCCGGGCCCAACCCGCTGCTCCGGAGCATGGCCTCCGCCAGGGGCGTTACGGAGACAAGGCCCCAGGACCAATCGTATTGGCCAGTGGGGGGCGGGGCCTCGTTGCCAGCTCCAGACCGGCGCTATGGGCACTCCTTTTGTCAAATGAGAGACGCAGCAGGGCGGCCCCTGAGCCGCGGTTTAGCCAATGGAGAAGGCGAGATGGGCGGGCTGGGAGTGCCCGGCGGCGGGTCCTCAGCTTCGAGCCGAGGTGCAGTGAGCTGGTGGGGGGACCGCGAGGCGAGCGCGGGAGCCTGGGCGGCGAGCCGGGTGTGAGCTGCCTGAAAATGCACTCGGATGCCGCCGCTGTCAGTGAGTAGCAGAGAGCCAGCCAGCGGGCCGGGGCCGGGCGGCTGCCAAACTCGCCACTCGGCTCCCGCAGTCCCCGCCCCACGCCTCGGGTCCCGAAACGCGCCGGGAGCCCCTGCCTGGGAACCACCCCTTCCCCTCCCGGGGCCGGGGCGGGCGGTGACGCTGCGGGCGGCGTGGGGCGGGGGCGGGCGTGGGGGGAAGGGACCGGCCTGCGGGGAGGGCGGAGGTGAGGGGGGTGGGGACTGGCTCTCTTTCAGTGTTGGGGGAAGGGAGGGCTGGACGTGCGATGAAGGGCCGAGATCGGAGTGTCCGGGGTGCATGGAGGTGGAGGCAGCGTTGGGCTGTAGCGGGCAGGGCCGGGGATGTGGGGGGGTGGCACCGGCGGGGAGAGGGAGGGAGCGAGCGAGCGAGCGGGGCACAAGGGTGAGGATTTCCAAAGGGCTGAGTGGTGCGGGCGGCTCCGTGAGAAAGGCGGGTGAGTGCGAGGGGGGCGCGGGGGCGGGGACAATGGGAAGAAGGGCTGGTTGGCGGGGGGGTGGGGGGGGGGCGGCGAACAATGGGGTGGGGGAATGGGGGCAGCGGCCGAGCGGGGCAGGAGGGCGGGCGACTGGACGAGGGCTGATGTAACGGGAAAGCGAGGTGGTGGGAGGGACTGGGGTGTAATGGTAGTTGGGGAGTCCTGCGGGGCGGGAGGGGCGTTGGAAGGGCGGTGGGTAACGGAGAGTGGTGGGAGTGGAAGATGTTGGGGTAAAGAGATGGGGCAGGTGTGGAAGGGTAGGGCGATTGGGAGGAAGAGGAGAAAAAGGTGGGTAGGATTTGGGGTGGCAGAGTGGGGGCAGGGGTGGAGAATATGAAATGGGGGTGAGGAGCTAGTCGGGGAGGAAGGGGAGGTGGGGCGGAGTTGGGCAGGAGGACTGTCACGTCCAGATTCGGTCCGGAGCCGGGCTAAGGGGGTGTCAGACTGTGCTTAGGGGAGGTACTTCCTCTCCCTGTCGAGGCAGGGTCCCTTGAAGGGGGGAGTCCAAGCTTCGGGGTGCGGAGAGAGGAGGGGGCGGGGCTGAGGTGGAGGAGACGGGGTAAGTGCCCTAAGGTTGGAACTGGCCGTGGTTCCCCCCGGACGGCGGGAAGCGAGGTCAGCGCTGGCGCGGGCTCCGGCAGCGGGACTAGGAGGCGGGGCAGGGGTGCGGGCTGCGGGGTTTCAGCAGCGGGAGCCGGAGGGGTCGGGCCCTGATGGCCGGGTCGGGGGCTTGGCGCCGGGGAGGTGTCGGGGTCCCTGGCAGTCCGTGGGTTTGATAGTCTGTGACGCAGTTGTCTAATTTCTGGCTATCAGGTGTGGGGGTTGGTGCCATGGAACCCGCTTCCTTAGAGGGATGGCCGGGCCCTAGGCCGCGCCCCACGCCCGGGGGGCGCGACTTCTCCCAGGCGTGCTGGGAGGGCGCTTGAGGGGTTTCCTTTAGGGTTTGTCTCCAGTCAACGGGTATGAAGGGGAAAGGCGGTCCCGCCGAATTCTGGGACTTGTAGTCGCGGCCGCGCCCGGCCGCGGTTGGGTTGGGTGCACGTGGGTAACTGTGGAAACGGGTCCCGGCATGCAGCGCGCCCTTGGAGCCTTCCTGCTCGGCCAACTCGTGCTTTATTCCCCGGCCAGCTCCTGCGCGCTCTCGGGAGGCGGTTGAGTTCCCAGGGACGGAGCGACTCCCCAGCCCTTCTCCCTTGGGAGAGGGAGAGCCCACGCCAGGCGCAGCCCTCTTCACGCTTAGGTTCTTGGTCCCCAAGTGAATTTCCCCCTGCATTTTGTGGCCTTACTTGTGGAATAAATGCTTGGTCTTGTACCATCATGCGCACGGGTTGTGGGAAAACATTTAAGAAGCAACACAATGTAAAGCAGCCTTTAGAATGGTGTATTTAATTTTGGCATCCAGTGTGTGTAAGCACTGGGTTCCAGCATTCCCTTGCATAAATATGAGAACACAGTGGAGGTACACGTAACCCTTGTAACGATAATATAAACTATGTGTTGGTATTTCTTGGGGTGTTTGAAAAAATAACTGTCTTGAAATGAGTGATGGAGGTGGGTTAGTGGAATTTAGGGTGGAAATGTGAAGGTGAGCAAAGGTAATATGTGACGTCTTCAATTTTCGAAGAAGCTTGGAAAGCAAATGAGAATAGAAGAAAACTGTAAAAAGTGGAGAACCATAAGACTTTTTTTGTTTGCTTGTTTTATTATTAGCTGCAGGCTGCAATTCCTTCTCTCCTTAATACTAGAAACCTTCCTCTCCATAAGTAGACTCCCTAAACGTCACATCCTTCACCAGTTCCCTTTACTGTTTACAGGGAAGGGACTCCAGAATCTGTAATGTAGAAGGCTAAGATTAATGCAGAGATGATAGATTTTTGTATGTAATATATAAGGTATTATGAAACTACTTGCAACATAGTCATTAGAAGAATATTGTAATTTTTCTGATGATAAAAATATTACCAAGAAGTCCTAAGATTTGTAAACCTTTTGGTGTGGTTACAAACATACTGAACTTGGATACTTGATTGTTTGATGGTTCTTTTCATGATGAGTGAAAAATTGGGCAATGTGTGTGGTGTTCTTGTGGAGATCATTTATATCTATCTGTCATATTTTACTTAATCGTGTGGTGAAATATCCAGGAAACTCTTGGTAATATAAAAATATGTACAAAAATGTGCACTTAACTCTGGAATTTTTTCTTGCAGAGGGTAAAGTGATGAGGTTGAAAAACATGCAAGAGCTATAATTGTCTTCAAAATGGTGTTTTTAAAGAAAATATGAAGCTAGTCATAGCTTTCTCTTTTTCTTTTGTTCTATTATATCCCAAAGGGCAGGTGCTTTTTATACACATATAGCCCACCTCCCTCCATTCCCCAAAGCCCTAGGCTCCTACACACTTTCTGCTCTGGTTTTTAGGTTCCTTTTTGATTTTTGGCGCTTGGGGAGGTCCTTTATTTTCTTGTGAACGTAGCTGTGCATTTAAACAGATGTTTCTTACACGTTATCCAGAATTTTTGACTGTTTTATATTAAGAAGGATTTTTAGGTAATCTTGTCTGTAACATTGCCAGAAAAGAAGGCCTGCCTCATTTTCTCTTAGTGGACTTCACTCTCTTCTTCCTCTGTTGTTAACTCTGTGTACCCCTACTGGCACTTAATCATGTTTTTTCAAACTTTATCATTGTCTCCTTTTCTGTTTTTATGTTAAGTTGCTCCCAGCAGCTCTTCTTGGCTTATTACCTTCTTCCTGGCTACGTTTACATTATTATCTCAATCATCATCTGCTAATTATAACTAATAATTAATAGCTAATAATCCTGCTAACTTAGCAGTATAAAAATCAACCTGTGAGAAACTGACCTCATGATGATCTCTTGTATCAGTTAGGATGCCTTTGCCAATACAATGCTCAAATTAATGGCTTAAATAATAGGGCTTATTATTGTTCGGTAGCAAGAAACCTAGAAGTAGTTGGTTCTAAAGCTGGTGCAGTGGCTTAATGATGTCATTAAGGATCTAGGTTCTGCATCTTTTTCTTCTTCTATTAGTGTTTTAGCTTTTATTCCTCAGGCTCATTTGCCTCATGTTTGCAGTATGGTTGCCGTAGCACCAGACATCATGCCTGGATTGGAAAGCAGGGAAGGAAGGTGCATATTTCCTTATAACTCCCTGTTAACAGAGAAGTCTTTTGCAGAAACTCACTTTGGAGAGTTCCATTTCAGTGTCATTGGATTGAACTGATCTCATGCCACTGCTAGCTGTGAGGAAGCCTGACACAGTGAATGTCTGGCATTTACCAGCATCTCTTGTAAGATATGGCCTTTCGTAGGGTGGAAGAAGGGTGAGAAGAATGCGCTGGGTTGGCAACTTGCAGGTTATATCCCTGAACCAGCTACTTTGGCCAGCTGTCTCTGGCTTGGTCTCAACCTTTACGTTGATTTATTTTCTGCCTTATTCTAAAAGAATTAGGGGTGACTTGCTAAATATAGATAAAACCCTGTCAAGAGAAGAAAAATTTATATATAGACTTGTAAGGTACACAGAAACACTTGCCATATGTTAGAAATATTTGGCACTGAGCTTTTTAATAGTCAAAGAAGAGAACAAAACTAATAAATTTTATTCATTTGGTAAATGAAGCTGCAGTAATTTTAATAACCCACACTGAAATCCTGGACATTTCTTATCCTCTTCTTCCCTGGTCAGTGGCAAGGAGAGATTGCATCTCTTCCCATGCCCAGCCTCTCTTTCCCATACCTATTGCCATGGCCTTATGTCTGAGACAGCCTTTCTTACAGTGTTATAATAACCAGCAATACATTTTTCTTTCTTTTTTGTTTTTTTTTTTTTAGAGGTTGGGTCTTGTTATGTTGCCTAGGCTGGACTCGAACTCTGGGCTTCAGGGGTCCTTCCACCTCAGTCTCTGAGTAGCTGAAGTTATAGATGCACGCCACTGCACCCGGCTCCAGCTGCCCTCAGTGCTGCTGTTTTAGAATTTTTCTTTACTGTGCTCCCTCTCTAGCAGACTCTCCTTTCATGGAATCTCTGAAGCAGTGCTTCCTTCTGTTACTCAGTTTTATGTTACATAACAATAGCTGCTTGTTTACTTTTATTTCCCCTCCCCAATTAGATTATTACCTTTTTGAGATCTGGGACCATGTCTTACCCAGTATCCACTTTAGCATCTAGCATGATGCCTTGCATAGCTACCCAAATATGTATTGAATTGAACTTAAATGATCAACTATTGAATAACTTGTGCATTATCTAGAAAAATTAATTCTTCCTGTTCCTGTTGTCTTTCATTATCTTTAGATTTTTCTTCAAGGAACACAAGCTTTCACCTACTCATTCTTTGCATTTTTTAGACAAAGTCAGTTGTATGCAAACTAATTTAATATTTTTCAAACATGCAGATATCAGTTTTAGAGAATGTGGCGTGGAGAAATTCTCAAGGAAAGAGTAAAATGCTGGTGATGTGCTGAGGGAACAGAAGGAGTGTTTGTGAATGTGCACACGTCCGTTTCTGGTCTCTCGTGTCAGCGTCCTACCTGCACAAGGTTAAGGCAGCATTAACAGGTCTGATGTTAAGGGGCCTAGAGTGTTTGTCCTTTTCCCTTCTTTTTGTTTTATATCCATATTCTGGTCCTAAGGATTTATTTCTTAAGTTAACAATATAGTGAGATCACTGAAAGTCTTTCTTCAGATTTACAGAGTAAAATTTTCTTTGATGAATCTGACATAAATGCTGGTAAATTTTTATAGTTGGTCAACTCGAATTGGTATTAATTCTTCTCATAGCTTGCTTTTTTTCTTTTGAAATTTACATTAGGAGAAGTACCTCTTGAGAAGTATTCTAAGCAGAACATGTATTTTAAAATGTGTTTTAAGAAGGAAAACATTGAAATGCATTCTAAATAGAATTAGGTATTTTAACAATCATTGTGTGACAGTTTTAGATGTAGCAAAGTATCTGCTACTTCAGGTTTGAATTGCTTTTAATCAGAAAATGCTGTTAATGAGTTATGTTCAATCTAGGAAGATAGGCTTGTCATTTGTAACTAATGTACTGAAAAAAACACTAGATATGAAAAAGACCCCTGCCCTCTTCAAATAGCATTACCTGTGGTATGATTTATTTTAGTTCTGCCTTCGAGGATTTTTTTTTCCTTGTGAAATTTTTTGCTGGCCTGTATCAGTAGATTTGCAGAGACGGGGAGTAATCCATTTGTGCTTCTCCCCCTGCCCCACGACCACAATTGTTGGCTTTTAACATATGTCATCTTAGGCCTCCTCCATATTAGTTTATGATTAGTGTCTGTAATGGACACTGTCAGTCCATTGACTCTTGGTCTGATTGGAGAATTCTTACCCTGGCAGGCAGATCTTCTCAGACACACTCGCCTGAGACTGTGAACCTGAGGCTGGAGGCAAGGAAAGAAGAGTAGCCCATGTGGCCATTTTCTGGGGGGATGCACAGTGGTGGCTGCTGTGCTGCTTCTAGAGGCAAGGTCTAGTTGTTGCTGCAATGATGATGCAGTCTGCTGTGTCCCCTTAGGCATTGTTATGGCCAGGGGGAGATTCTGTGAACTGTCTAATAGCCGCCTCCCCTTTTTTTAAATCACTTTTCTGTTTAAATTACCTAGAATTAGTTTCTGATGCTCTCAACTAAGAATTCTGATACTTCAGCATCCAGACTTGTCACTGTCGCTGGTCAGATACGTGGTAGAAGCCCTTGTGAAGAGCAGTGATGTATCTTTTTCATCCTGGCTGCCTGTACATTCTGGTCAGAGGTGACCCAGAGGACTGGAGGAGGACACAGTCGATATCAGCTGTGGGTCGTGGGAGCTGTGTTTGCTGGTGGTCAGGCAGGACTCCCGAACCACACACTAGCCCAGCCCACTGGGTCTCATCATGTGCCACTCTTTACTGCTGCTTTTTCCTAATTCTTTGTCCCCCAAAAGTTGGGATGCCTAGGAGCTAATACATAACTCCTTGTGCATTTTTTTTTTGGCTCTGATGTGGGAATATTAGCTACAGAAATATGTGTGTGTGTGCGTGCGTGTGTGTGTGTGCGTGTTTTAGTGGAATGTTTATTTTGTTTAGCCAAAAATTACATCTGATGTACCAAATACCTTTTTAGTCAACATTATTTAGGTATAATTTCACGTATTATAAAATTATACTCATTTTAAGTGTTGTTGGGTGAATTTACTAAAGATATAGAACATTTCATTACCCCAAAAGTTCCCTTGTGTCCCCTTGTAGTCAGTGCTTCTCCTCCTGCCCCACTACCACAATTGTTGGCTTTTAACATATGTTACCTTAGGCCTCCTCCATATTAGCTGATGATTTGTCACTTTGCTGTTCCTGAGGATATTACAGTATAATAAAGGCATGATAAATCTCTCGTTTTTACTGAACTATGAAATCCAAAGAAAAACTATCAGTGCTGTATAAATTATCAGTCTGATAAATAATACTTTGCCGCACAGAAGTGTCTTGAGTTAGATGACTTGTTCTGGTGAGCGGCTTTCCAGTGGATGGCTTTTCTGGCTTCTCTGTGGCCTGTAGACATGCAGGGCTCGGGTTTTCTCCCTGGATGTGATGATGTCTTTTAATTGTTATCTGGGTCAGGTTGGGAGGCAAGAAAGCCAAAATGGCTGAATTCAAATCCTTGCTCTGTCATCTCCTAGCCAAGGGACTGGAGTAGAGTTACCCAGCTGCTCTGTGTGCGCTTCAGAGCCCTCATGCCTAAAAATTGCCTGTTGAAGGCTGTTCAGTCACCAAGTGTTTATTGGGTATCTACTATGTACCAGGCCCTGCTCTTCATATTTCATGAAGTTTTCCTTTTAGTGTAGGGGAGGGGGCAGATAGTAACAAGTAAATTGTGTAATACGTCAGATGGTGATAGGTTCTGTAGAGAAAAACAGCAGGGAAGGGGTGCATGCAGGCACCCCTGTGTGCGGGCGTGGGGTGGGGTGGAGGGTGTTGTAATTTTAAATAGTGGAGCCAGGAAAGGCTTCACTAAGGAGGTTTTAAGCTAAGCCCTGATGGAGCTGAGGGGCCATTCCAGGCAGAGAGAATACAAATGCAGAAGCTCAGAGTGGGGAGCAGGCCTATATTTGAGGAACAGCAGAGGCTGGGGTGCTTAGAGTTGTGGGGGAGGGCAGAGGGAAGAAAGTAGGAGGCAAAAATCATAAGTGGTCCAAAGGATTAAATGAGATGAAACACGTAAAGTGTTTTTGATGCTTACAATTACTGTGTGATGACAGTCTCCTAGGTAGCCTTTAAAAAATCACTCTTGAGAAGAAAAGTTATAAGAAAGAACAGAACCAAATGAGGCATTCCCTCACTCAGCCATTCAGCAAACATTCAAGGGGATTTTTGCTGCCAGGTGCTGCTGTCACAGGCAGGACTGTGTGGGGGAGACCGGGGCTTCAGGAGCTTCCTTCAGTGAGTTCATTGTGGAGACAGAAGGAATGGATGCATGGGACGATGATGCCTGCTAGGTTAGATGGATGCCCCGGGGGCTTTGAGAACATGTGGGGAATGGTTAGCAGTTGTCATGTGAGTTTTAGCTTTTGAAGTTGGATTATGTGAAGAACAGGATGTGTATGCATGTGCAGGTGGCATATGGGGTCAGGTGGGAGCTTTCCAAGCCCAGCGACAACATGGCATGGTGGGGACAGAGAACTGTGGCAGGAGAGTGGGTGTTTGGTAGGCTAGAGTGGAGGGGAAGGTGAGGTGCAGGGCTAGGCAGGAGCTGGTGGCAGGGGTGGGGTGGGGTCGGTGGGAAGAACTCAAAAGAGGCACCAGGGAGAGTGTATGAGTGGAAAGGAACTGAGAGAAGGAAAGAGAAGTCCCAGGTGGGGCACAGGGAGGGAGGAGGAGCAAAGGGGAATGGGGAGGGACTAACACGAATTCAGTGATGATCTTGGATTTGCTTCAACTGCTTTGCCTGCATTAACTCATTTAATCCTCACAGCAACCCTCAATAAGTTAGGGACTGTTATTATCTCTGTTTCACAGATGAGGACGCTGAGGTGTAGAAAGGTTAACTCCCCTTCTCAAGGTCACACAGCTTATAAGTGGTGAATTGAGATTCTAACTCAAGCATTCTGACTCCATGGTCTTGGTAACCCTCTACTGCCACTGAAATCATTCTTAACATTTTGTTTGTGCTTTTCATTGAACCCTGATTGGAACACTGCATGTATATTGGAATTCTTTTTTTTTCTTTTGTCACTGGCCTATGAATGATGCTGACAGAGCCAGCTGATGGATTATCTCTTGGTTCTTTTCTTCTTGGAATGAGTCCCAGCAGGATCAGGATCTGGGATTTCTGAGTCTCTTCTTTCCCATTCTTCTTCATCCCCTCTCATTTTTGCTGGTTTGCTTACAATGAGAGTAGACATTTAAAAACTGATTTTAAGTGGGAAACTGAAGAATTGTGGCAAAGTATTTTCATACTCTTAACTAATGAAATAGTCATTTTTAGTCTTCTTAGATTTTATTTAAATAGACTTTGTTATTTTTAAATATAGGAGATCTCAACGACATTGCAGCAAAACTAGAAAACAACTACTAACATCATTTTTACATAACATTTTTGAAATTATTTTTATTTTTTTTCCTGTAGGTTAGGGTAAGTTTAATGTCTTGTCCTACATATGCAATTCCCAAAATTAAGCCACAGATCACTTCTTAATTATTAATTAAACAGGAAACGGGATAGTTGTACATTTAAGTCCAATAGCTAGTGAATTAGTAGTTTTAAACACCATCACCTTGTGATCTCTTCTGCCCTGTCTTTTTGTAGTTCTAGGTTCAGTCTGTCTCAGTGTCTTCTACGTTCTAAATAATAATAGGGATGAAAACAATTAACGTTGATTGGCACATAATATGGACCAGCACTGTGCTAAGTGCTTGACATGCACCATCTCATTTAATAATCCCCACAGTAGCTTCGCAAAGAGGTTCTGTTATTTCGGCTTTATGGATGAGGACACGGGCACAGTGAAGTTTGGAAGCATGTACAGGGTCACTCAGTTGGGACTCAGTTGGAGCTCTGACTCCAACCCAGGGCTTTATGTTATCAGAGCTGATTGACATTCTTTAACCAAAATCTGGGCTCATTTAACATTAGTGAGATGGAAAGATTTTTACTGTGAACTACCCAGTGATTCTGTGTGCTTCAGTGGGTAGTACAGATCATTTGTGCTCACCTTCAGTGGGTAGGTGGGGTGAGGAGAATGAAGCTAGGGCCCTTTGTACCATGTCACATTGGGAGTGCAGCCAGACGGGTGTCCTGAAGTGACTGAGTCCCTTGGGATAGCACCAGCAGGCACAGGCAGTGTGGTGGGCGATGGATGGATGCTGCCTCCCTTGGGCGGATGGTTTCTTCTCCCAGCCCCTTTTTTGAGTCCTGCAAGAGGAAGAAAAAGCCAGCAGCAATATGCTTGGATAGCTTTAACTTTGGATCTGTGTTCAGTGAAAATGCTGAGTCACTTTGAATGACCTGTTCCCTTATCAATTTTCTCCTTTGGCTTTTGTGCCTTGTAAATAGCAAATATTTATTGATGAGGAGAATGAAGTTAGTTAACACCTTCCTCACCTGCTACTTTCAATTCTTTTGGTTTTTACCCTGCTTTTCAGCTCTGCAATCTTTTTCCTGGACCTTGGCCTTTTCATCGTGTGCTGATAGGGTATGGTGAATGAGTTAGATTCCTGTCTAGCAGTGCTGAGGTTGTTCCAGGAGTGGATTGGCTACTGGCACGCCAGGGATTGAGTTGAGAGTCAGGGATAGAATCTACTTCTCTGGTTGCATGTTAGAATCACCTGGGCTGCTTGAGAAACACGTGGTGCCCCACACCCATTTTTATTTAATTGATCTGGATTGGGGCCCTGGTATTTGGTGTTTTTCAGTCTTCTTAGGTGATTCCACTGTGTAGCCAATGGTTTCATTTAAATATTAATAGCTTAATTAGGAAGCTGGGTTTATTTTGGGCTGTGGAGATGGGGCTCAAAAGATGCAGCAGCTCCCCCATGGGCACTGCACTGGGCAGATCGTGCAGACCCTTCCTGCTCGCCTATGACATAATAGCCAATTCTTGGTAGTGCTTCCCCTGTGCCACGCACTGTTTGAAGCACAGTGCAGCATTAACTCATTTAATCCACACGATATCCTTATGAGGCAGGCACTGTGATTATCCATTTCGTAGAAAAAGAAATTCCTACTTGTAGCCATGAAGGACATGTAGTATGAAACTGACCCATAAACCTAGGTTTTGGTTTTTCCTAGATTTACAGTATAGAAAACATTTCAGATCTTTGTGTTTTAGTAATTTAGCCTCAAATGTGAATATATTTGTTTTTACAAATGAAACTGAGACCTGTGCCATGTCATGTAGCTAGTGACTATCAGTTAGCATACAGAGTTGTAAATTGGTATTGTAAATCATTTAAAACACTACTTTTTTATGGTTTTGACATAGATTTTACTTTATGGTACATTTTATATTTCAGGTTATTTGAGATGTACCTCATTTTTAAGGGAATCTTTTTTACTTAAAATTGTATTTTGTACTTTTTAAAAACATATGTACTATGATCTTTGAGTGCATATTAGATCTTCACTGACTTGTGATCTGACCTGCCTCTTCACATTCTGGCTACTGTAACCCTCCAGGATACTAAGCAAAACTAATAGCAGCATTTGAAGCATGCTCAAGTCCTGCCATTGTAAAACCCAAACTCCTTCAAACCCACATGCATTTCTAGTCTCCCCTTTAATAGCCAACTTATTGAACAAGTTGTCTTTGCCTGACATAGTCTGTATTTCTTCATCACTCATACAATCCTCAGCCCACTTTGTTCTGGTCTCAGTTCTGTCATTGCAGTCTTTGAGGTCATGGAGTAACCTCCATGTTGCTAAATTCAGTAACTATTTTTAAAGCATTTATTCCCCTATTTATTGGTACCTGCCTTGTGCTAGGTTTGTGCTGTTGTAGGTACAGGTCAAGTGTCCTTTATCTGAAAATCTGAAACCCAAAATGCACCAAAATCTGAAACTTTTTGAGTGCTGACATGACACTTAGAGGAAATGTTCATTGTAGCATTTCAGATTTTTGGATTAGGAATGTTCAGCTGGTGAGTATAATACAAACAACAAAACCTGAAGAAATCTGAAATCTGAAATGCTCTGGTCCCAAGCATTTCTGATAAGGGATACTCCAAAAGATATTGGGATAGAGTAGTGAATAAAGCAAAAGGAAGTCCCTATCCTCATGGAACTTGGGCTCTAGGAAGAGTGACAAAGACATAAATAAATATTTAATATAATGTCAGGATCATGAAAGACCTCCTGTTGTGTGACTCTGCTGATATAAAATGTCTAGAATAGGCAAATCTATAGAGACAGAAAGTAGATTAGTGGTTGCCTAGAGCTGAAGAGGGGTGAAGGGAGAAATGGGGAATGACTGCTAATAAAAAATGTTTTATTATTAGATTGTGGTGATGTTTGCACAACTCTGAATATACTGAAACCATTGAATTTTACACTATAATGAGTGAATTCCATGCTATGTGAATTATATTTCAAAGCTTTTAATATCAGGAAGTGGTAAGTGCTATGAAAAAAATCTAAATCCACTGGGAGATGGAGGTACTGTTTTGCATAAAGAAGTTAGATGAGACATCTCTGATGAGGTGACATTTAAATAGATATTTCAGGAAAGATAGCTGTTGGGCCTGTGAACGTCAAGGGTCATGGAGGCTGAGGGGCACAGTAAATGCAAAGGCCTTGAGGTAGGAATTCACTTGAATATTCACGAATTGTGTGGCTAGAATGGAGTAGGCAAGGATAATGGAATGGGATGACTTAGGTCAGATCACGTAGAGCCTTGTGAGGACTAGAATTTTTTTTCTTTTATGCTGCAATAGCAAATACAACATCTCAGTGATTCAAGTAAAAGGTTGTAATGCATCCTTTGTGGGTTGGAATGGGTCTCTGCTCCACATCGTTGACATTCTCATCCCTAGTCTATCTGAAACCCATGGAAAAGAGGGCATGTGTTTCTAGAAGGAAGGAAACAAGGCAAATCTAAAGAGTGGCTCCCAACCACAGTGCAGCCTTGGCTTTAACAATTTTTGTTTTCTTTTCCCATATCACGTGGTACAATTGACTTTTCAGGAGGCTGAGCCATGTGACCCATGGCTTGAAACACCCTTAAGCATTCCCTGATGAATCCCAGTTAGAGAGGCAGATCCCTATACCTCAGTCGTGTTCTTGTTCTGTTCCAGAGACATTTAGATGAGTGCCAAGGTTAGATGGTAACCTTTAATTTTGTCCAATTTTGTTTTGCTTTTTTGGCAATAACATGGTCACTATTTTGCCCTTTCCTTCTGCCGCCTTTACAGGTTTATTTCATCATTTTCATCGTCACTTGAAAAGCATTTGTTAAGAGCATAATACTGTTTAAAACTTTTATATCTGAGAGAATTGTTCAGCTGTAGTTTAATAATAAAACACTTTGATGATGCTTTAGTGACCAGAAGAGCGAATTGTGCTTAAAAATAGAAAGTTAACACTGGTGTTAAATCTTTTCTGTACCATTATTTCCCTGGGGGAAAAATGGTGAATTGTTTTAGATTCAGCCAGTTTTAAAATTTTTTTCTTTAATATTAAATTACTTTAAGTGTGTGGTTGCTTGTTGACAGCTTTGGTTAGGAAACGTTGCTGCTTTTTTCCTATTACAGAGTGTAAAGTTAGATTGATATTTTTGCTTTTATTGGAAATAATTTAGAATGGAAGAAGTAGCCTTGGATTGGGAGTTAGAAGATAAGAGTTTTGCCCAGCTTGGCCATAGCTAGCTCTCTGACTCCGCTCAAGCTAATAAAATGAGAATTGGACAAAAGAACATGAACCATTGAGTGCCTCACTTGCTCATCTCTCACATGCAGTCCTGTTAGTTTTTCCTTACACTGCAATCACATTTTATATAGAGGTTGGTTCTAAAGTCCCTGTGTAAGGTGAAGATCATTGGTGTTAAAAATACCACTGGAAACACTTGCAGAAGATTCCTCTTTGGAAGCTGTCTCAGAAGAATCCAGCACAGCCTATTCCTTCCTCCAGCATTGGAATAGATCTCTGGCTGTTTATTTGAGCACCAGTTGAAGCATCTGGCCTCGTCTTCAACTTCAGTTTAGGGACCATGTTTTATGAAAATACATCACTTTAAATACTCGACTCATACCGTATTGTGAGATGCACAAAATCTGATTGGCATGTGGAAACTGAGACCAACAGAGTGACTATTCATGTGTCATGTCTCGTGCTCATTAAGTAGAAGGGAGGGTGGGCAGTTAGTGAGACAACTGAAATTTCTTTTCATCTCGCTTCTTCCTTTTTTATTTTTTTTGACCAAATGAGAAGAGTTGAATTTGTGTAAGCTAAATATCTATTTTCTGCAACTCCAGTGTACTCAGAATCTCTCCTCTCCATTTTTACAGCCAGTGTCTAACTTACGGCCCTAATGCTTTCCCACCTCAGTCACTTCTAGTCATCTCCATAAATGGCCACTCTAAATTCAGATCACCCATCATCTTTGCTGCACACTTGTCCTAGAGTGATCTTTTTAAATAACTCTCCTGATCAGAACACCTCCATGGCACCAAGACTCTCAAAGGAGTGCTTCTCAGACTTCCCACCAATGTTTTCCTGTACAGAGTTTGGTGGAATAAGTTGTTTCAGGGTCCTGGGAGCACAGCTTGATGTGGGGATTATGTTTGTTTTCATGTAAGACTGTCATATTATTGCTGATTAGAATTGATGCTGCTGGAATGTGCCATTCCTGTCATTACGTTTGCATGGTCTCTGGTGCCTGTGTTTGAGGTACAGATCCTTAGGAGATTAAATCTAAACGCTCAAGCAGGATTCACAAGTTCTTCATTTTCTGATCTTTGCCTTCCTGTTCAGTCTCCTCTTACCATGACACTTCTCACATTTGAAGATCACTTGAAGTGCCCTGAATGTATTGAATTTAAGCCTTTGGTGCCTTTGTATCTGCGTTTATTCATTTGTTGAATATTTATTGAGCACCTAATATGTGCCAGGTACTCTTCTAGGTATTAATATTACGGGATACAGCAATGGGCAAGATTTAAGTCTTGGCCCTTGTGGAGCTTACATTCTAATGGGAGAGGATGATGACAAATATATAATATAATGTCAGATGGTATTAATGCTGTGAAGAAAAGCAAAGCATGGTAAGATGATAGAGTGAAGATGGGGCTCTGTTGGTCTGGCAAGGTTATGTAAGGAGGTGATTTTTAAGAATTTTATCCTTAATTGACAAATAATTGTATATATTTACGGAGTACAATGTGATGTTTTGATACATGCATAATTGTGGAGTGATCAAATCAGACTAATTAACATATCCATCAAAGGTGATATTAAAATGGAAACCTGATGAAGTATGAGAGCAACCATGTTATTATTAGGGGGAAGAGCGCTCAAGGTAAGGAGAACAGCACGTGCAAAGGCGCTGAGGTGGGAGTGTTCTTGGAGTGTTAATGGAGCAGTAGGAAGCTCACTGTGGCTGAGTAGAATGAACAAGGGGAAGATGAGTAGAAGATGAGATTGGAGAGATTAGCAGATGCAGGGTGTACAAGGCCCTGAGCCCATGATAAGTTTTCTTTTGCTTTGAACAGCTTCCCCTTCCATCTGTAACTATTGGGTGAGGTGGAATTAATTTTAATTTGTTCTACATGCTGACCAGTTGCCCCTCTGTTTACTGAATTATTATGTCTTCTCCATTGAGTTTGAAATGCCATTTAATTATATGTTGTGTATGTGTATTTATACGTATATGTTTATCAGCTCTCTGTCATTGATTTTTCTTCTTGCACACATAGTATAACATTTTAATTACTGTACCTTTATACCAGGTCTTGGCAAACAATGGCCCATGGGGCAAATCCAGCCCTACCACCTGGTTTTTATAAATAAAGCTTTATTGGAAAGCAGCCATACTTACGTATTGTTTATGGCTGCTTTTGAGCTACTATGGCAGTGTAGTTGCAACAGAGACTGTATGGGCCAGAAATCCAGAAATATTTACAATCTGGCCCTTCATACAGAGTTTACCAGGCTCTGCTTTATACTGTGTATTGATATCTGATAGGGCAAGTTCATCCTCATTCTTTTTCAACAATTTCTTGGCAGGCCTAACATGTTTATTTCTCCAGATGAACTTTAGAATCAATCTGCCAAGCTTGCCTGACTTCCTTCTTTTCCCCACCTCTTTTTGGGGTGGAGAACTGGGGAGCCAGCAGAATAGGAATTTTGATTGCATTAATTTGTGGTTTAGTGAAGGGAGAAGTGATTGCTTTACAACGTTGGGTCTTTCTATTCCAGAAATATCTCTTTACGTGTATATCTTTCAGTAAACTTTAATTGTTCATTCTGAACAATAAAATCATACATATTGGAGTTTATTCCTATATGTATTGTTGCTTTTTGTTGCCATTATAATTGCGTTCTTGTCCCAGTTATATTTTGCAAGTGACTATGGTATAAAGGGAAGTTTTTGCTTTTTATGTATTTAAATTCTGTTTCTAACCCTCTTATGAGAGTAAACTATTAGGACTGTTAATTTTTGTTTCTTTTGATTGAGAGTCATTGTCTGAACTTACCAATAATTGTTTTATTAATGTTTATGTCTCCCCCTGTATTGTGTAGTTTTCTTACCTAGAGTAGTTTGGGGGAATGGACTTTGACCCCCTCAATGGCATTCATTTTTTTTTCTTTTGTGTAGGTCACAGCAAATGGTAGTTAAAACAAGCAAAAAAAAAAAAAAAAAAAAAAAAAAACCCAGACAAGTTTATGCCCAATCAGCAGTTGTTGGTAGTTTTAAGAAAATCCAGAAGATAATCTAGGCAAGCTATTTATCAAGCAGGCTGTGCCTTTGTAGAGCTGATTGCTGGTTTTAATACAGACTATAGAGTTGCCATGTCACACAGGAGAGTCAGACTCAGCACTGCTTTACTTTGGAGAGCCGTCTGATCATGGAATGCAGTCAAAACCCAGCATTTATCCTTTGGAATTGAAATACGAGCAGAAGGAGATTTTTATCAATCAGTGCTTTCCAGAATACGTTCTCGGTAAAGCATTTGATCTTTACCCTTAACATCTAGGCCTTAAGGAGGTGAAATCTACTGTAGATTTCAAGGGCTATTACTTGCCATGAGCATTGAACAGATGAACTGTAAATCCAATGTGTGTTAACCTTTGTGAATCTATCTTTTAATGACATTTTTGTCTTTTTTTTCTCCTGAATTTGTGTCTTAACTTCTCCTTATGTTGATGAGACGAAAGAAAAATTATCCATGTTACTGGTTTCATTTCTTCCTTTTTCTTTTTTCTTTTTTTAGTTGAAGTGATGATGATGTGGTAGCAATAGGGATTGGATATAGAAATGGATAATTGGTGACATATATTATGTATTTGTGAAATGAACCTGTTTACTCTTGTTGCCTTTAGTAAAGTAAAACTTCATACGTGGAACCTGATTTTAAACATAATATCTGTATTTTTGTTCCTGTGTGTTGTGATTATCTGCAGTCAACATTATGAACATCAGTTGCTGGTATATGAGTCGCAGTGCCATTCTTGCATTACTATAAAGAAATACCTGAGACTGGGTAATTTATAAAAGAAAAGAGGTTTAATTGACTCACGGTTCTGCAGGCTTTACAGGAAGTATGGTGCTGGCATCTGCTTGGCTTCTAGAGAGTCTTACAATCGTGGAGGAAGGTGAATGGAGAGCAGGCACACCACATGGCGAAAGCAGGAGCGAGAGAGAGAAAGGGTGAGAGGAGGTGCCACACACTTTTAAATGACTGAACCCCATAAGAACTCACTCACTGTCTCAAAGACAGCACTAAGCCATGAGGGATCCGCCCCCATGATCCAAACACCTCTCACCAGGCCCCACCTCTGGCACTGAGAATTACAGTTCAACATAAGACTTAGGTGGGGACATATCCAAACTATATCACCATCATAGGCTAAAAGATGTACCAGGCCACCTGCCTCAATTACAGAGGAAGCTCTGACCTTGGGATCATTGATGTAAGGCGAGAATTGAACCTAGGAAAAGTTAGAGACTATTTTAGACAGCTGTGTGGTATGGAGAATGGTGTAAGTAAATATAGTCGGAATTGATGTCTTTTATTGAGCACTTACTATCTTCCAGGTATTGTAATGGGTACCTGACATACCTAGACATTGTAATAGGTGTCTGATAAATATTTTCAACCATACAACAACATTATGAAGGAGAATTTTTTATCCTCACTTTACAGATGAGAAAATTGGTAGACCTGAGATTTGAACCAGCTGTTAGACTCCAGAGTCAGGTTGTGAAGCAAAGTGGATTTTTGACAGGAATAGAGTGGTTTTGTGTGTGTGTGCAAGTGTGTGCACACATTTGAATTCTCTTGGGTGTAGGAAGGGCAGTGGGCAGAATGTGGGGTTGGAAGGAAGGGTTTTGTGGAGTGGGGTGGTGAAAGATGTTTGGAGTATGAGTTGGGCCCAGCTCACCGAAGTCCTGGAATTCCAGATTGAGGATAACTTGTGTTTCTTGTCTTTTCTACTTCTTCCACATTTATATAAAGGAGGGAGAAAGATATAACAGTTTTGGTTTATTTAGATTCTCTTATGGGAATTTTGGGAGTTTAATTAACAGCAGGGTGGTGAAATGACAAAAGCATAGCCTGGAGAGTTAGAAGAGACCTCATTGCTGGAATGGCTTTTGGCAAGCCCCTTTTTCTCTCCCCTCCCTTACCCTCAGTGAAAAGAGAATCAAGAGGCTAAAGTTTTCTCAGTTTTTGCTTTTTGTTTTTTTGGGGGCCCAAGAGTTTAACTTCATATTTTAAGGTGATAATGGAATGTATCATTTGTCTTCCTATATTTAATCTGAGAGAGTACAAAAAGGGGGCTATGGCTTGGTAGTGGATGGGGTGGAGGTGCAAGAGTTGAATGTTCAAGCTCCTCAGCACCTCTTGCTGGTCCTGAGAGGCCTCTTGCTGGTGAGAGGGCTGTAGCTTCTAGCTTCTACCCCTGTTCACGTTTAATAAATATAAATGTAAATAAATAGGTGTATAATACACATACTTTTCTAAACCTCTGTGCAGTCGTATTTAGATGAAAAATCCAGATTCTCAGCCACTTTATGTCATCATTTACCTTAAGCATGGCTGGGCTATTCAGATGCTAAGCAATTCAAGCATGTCTATATTGGAGGGCCATTTAGAGCTTGAGGCCCTGCTCTGGCTGTCTCTCAGCACAAAATGCTGGTTTTGGGGACCATTCTATATGGCTATGACTGTGAACAGTGCATATGCACATGTATGTATACAGGTATGACCTGCTGTTCCTGACACTGCATGTGAATGTGAGGGGCTCTGCTTCTGCCAGCCCCTCTGCCCTGCAGACCTACTCAGAACTGGATGCCCAACAAGCTTTAGAAGAGAAAGTAAAGCTTTCTAACTGTGAACAGGGAGGCCAGCTTGTTTTCAGGGTTCAGAGTAGCAGCACAGAGGATCCAGCCCAAGCACAGACACCTGATATTGTAGCACCTGCTCTTTGGATCTGTTCTTTGGATCTGATACGTGTCCTAAATAAAATGTTTCAGTAAAGGGAGCTTTTTTTCTTTCTTTCTTTTTGTCAGAATGGTATAACTTGGAGAGTTACAATATCTTTTCATGGTCATTTTCATACTAACCTTTAATAGGAAAGAAGGAACTAATGTAAATCCTGATATTTTGTGAAAATACTTCCAGTGGTACTTATATATGAAATTATTAATAAACTTTCAGCTTACATTTTTATTGCCTAATATATATGCAAACATACTTTACTTCAAGTTGAGGCTGCGCGTAGTGGCCCACACCTTTAATCCCAACATTTTGGGAGGCTGAGGCAGGAGGATCACTTGAACCCAGGAGTTCAAGACCAGCCTGGGAAACATAGAAAGACCCTGTCTCTACAAGAAAAAAAAAAAGAAAAATTAGCTGTGCATGATGGTGCACACTAGTAGTCCCAGCTACCATGCAGGCTCAGGCAGATCACTTGAGCCTGGGAGTCTGAGGCTGCAGTGAACCATGATTGCACCACTGCACTTCAGCCTGGGCAACGTAGTGAGATCCTGTCTCAAAAAAAGGAAAAGAAAAAATAAATACTAATGTTGGGATGCTTTTCTATCATTTTCTTGCCATGAGCTTACTTAATTGTACCAGTAATTCTAGGGAAGAGAGGGGAAAGTGAACATTTCATTTGAGACTTATCTTTCTATTAAGTTCAAGTTCACTGCTGGCAGGATTTTATAACTACTGAAGTACTTTTTGTTTTACCTTAGAATTCACATGAAAATTTCATGAACTTTAACATTTGGTTGGGAATTTAACTTTATTGTCAGACTATTTCTAGGAGGTCACTAATTGCATGTTTTTAAAAAACTTTAGTGTCAAATTAATTGAGATAGTATTTAATTATATCAAAACATTTGTTTATTTTCTGAGTTTGTTTTTTTACAATATTGGAAATAAATGACGCTGACATTTTTCCTTTTTCTTTTCAAGATTTTCAGCTGAACTCTCATCTCTCAACACTGGCAAATATTCATAAGATCTACCACACCCTTAATAAGCTGGTAAGTCATTCTTTTAAAGACAAAATTACCAACTGTTTGAAGTAGTCATTTTGTATAAGTGTATTTGATAAAAATTTAGATTCTAGATATTAGGATATCAGTTGTTTATGAAAATGCTAACGGTATGTGATTTCTTCGTAATAACGAACATATTTCTTTCAGAACCTAACAGAAGACATTGGCCAAGACGATCACCAAACAGGTATCTGTAAATGCTAACACTACTTAATTTTAAATAGCTTCTTAATATTAGGAAAGAGAAATACTAGCTATGAATGCGCTATGTTGTCATAATGTACTCCATTAACAAATTGTTCCTTGGCTGAGGTTGTTTTTCAGGGAGTAATGAAGGCAGCCATGTTATAGCTTCTTCCCAGTAGGAAATCTCTTCTGGAAGCACTTTTTAATGCCTTTAAAGAGGCTCGGGATTCTCATAGTTTCAAGATACCTTGTTTTCTCTACTGCAGTATTTTCATTTATATTAAAAAGGTGCTACAGTAATGCAATTTGAAAGGTATTCCACAAATATTTGAGAAATTCAGCTGAAAAATGATTTAATATGGTGTGTGTGTATGTGTTCATAGTTACTGAAGATTTAGAAATCAGAAAATTGAAGCTTGATTAGTATAAGTTATCCTCTAACCCTGTGGTTCTCAGAGTTTAGCTGGCATTATGATCACCTGAGGGAAGGCCTTGTTTAAAGTACAGATGTTAGGTTCCACCCCAGAGTTTCTGGTTCTGTAGACTTGGGGTGGGGCCCCAGAGTTTGCTCCTATGTGATGCTGATGGAGCTGGTCTGGAGACCACTCTTTGAGAACCACTTCTCTCAACTGTTAGTAATCATCAAGTCCAGAAACTTGCATTTGATCTATGGTTACTAAAATCCTAGCAAAAATTATTTAAACACATTTTAAAGTTTTTGAAAATGGCCATAGTAATAGACGAATTGAAATTTGTCTTAGTCTGGGCTGCTGTAACAAAAATACCTTAAACTGAGTAGTTTATAAACAATAGAACTTGATTGTTCATGGTTCTGGAGACTGGTAAGTTTAAGGTGAAGGCACCAGCAGATCCTGGGTCTGGTGAGGGTCTGTTCCTCACTGATGGTGCCTCTTGCTCACTGCATCTTAACATGGCAGAAGGGGCAGGCAGCTCCCTCAGGCCTCTTTTATAAGGGCACTAATTCCATTAATGAGGGCTCTACCTCCCTGACCTAATTGCCTCCCAACTCTACCTCTTACTACCAGCAGTCTGGGGATTAGCTTTCAGCATGTAAATTTTGGAGGGGCACAAACTTTCAGGCCATAGCAGTGCTTGTTGGGGAATTTTGAATAGCACAAAAGTAAATAGAGTGGAAAGTTACAGTCGTCTTTTAGACAACTATTTAGACGTCTCTTTAGATGACTAAATAGAGTGAAAAGTGACAGCTGTCACTTTCTGCCAGCACATGGTTTAACATTGGTTCTTTCAGACTTTTTTTTCAAAGCAAAAACTCTTTAAGAAAAAGGTATGATTTCTCATTTTCTATTCTTAGCATAAGTTTTAATTCTTTCCAGTGGAACCCAAACCTCCTGAACCTCTTTCAGTGTCATCCAAAGCTTTGAACTTCTATTTCTGGATAAAGATTTGTTCACAAATGAACTGCAGTTCAATCACCTTTTTTGACTTCAGACTTTTCTTTGCCAAAATAAAACAGTACAGCACCAGCATTTCCTCTGTAATCTTCCTTTATGATACCACCTCCTACATCTATAAAGTGTTTTGCAGCCAAGCCAGCGTGGAGCTACTCTTCCACAACACCTGGAAGGAGGAGCTCTATCTAAATGTCTGTTCACAAGAGCTTTCTCCATAGGTGGTATTGTATCATCTTAGGCACTGTACAGGTCATAGCCTGCAGCCTGTACAGACCCTCAGGTCAGGCCGTGGTATGCTTGGAGAGCTGGGCAAGGCAGAGCTGCATGCTGACCTCCTCCACAGACCAGAGAGCTTGCTGGGGGAAATGGCAGGTATCTCTTTAGAGAAGGGCATGGCAGAACGAGAAGGTGAGCGAAGGAGGGAATGAGAGGGTGCAGGATCCCTTCTCACATTTGTATGCATGCATATATGTTTATAGTCGTGGTTTTTAATTTAGCATTGGTGATATCATACTGTACGTGTTATAGTGTGTTTTTCTTTTTCATTTAATGGTGCATTTTGGGGGCTGTTGAGATTTAAGACTGTCCCCACCTTCTCTAAATTGGTTCAGAATCAATTGAAAATTAGGTGTAAGATGGAGACTGAAGTAACAGTGTTTTTGGAAAACACAACTTAGATGTGCAGCAAGAATGCACAGGACTTTCAGCATTTCACCTGAATCACTGTCACAACTAGATAAGCACAAGCCAGCATACCTGCTGACCCTTTACACCCTGCACTATGACAGTGGAAGTGTTCATACTCTTTCAGCTTGCTCCACTGCAGGCAGATCTGAAAGGGAGTTCAGAGGGGTTGGGCTTTCTGCTCATTTCAGGCTCTCTGCTCAGTTCAGTCTCTCAGCACTTAGATCAGGCACTCCTTCTTCCAGGGAAAGGAGTGAGACAGAGAGGCAGAGAATGCGCTAGGAGTGTTCTAGGAGTTCAGGGGTACTAAGGGTCCCTTCACCTGATCATTCCATATCAGCAAATATAGATCAACTCAAGGACAGTCAAAAACAATTTATTTAATAATTTTAAAAGCAGTATATTCGCATAGTTTTGAAAGAAGTATTGAAAAAATATAAAACAAAAAGTGAAGATTTCTGTCCCAGTTTATCACCCCTAGGTTCCATCCCCCACTAGTAGTCCACGTTTGACTTTCCAGAGGTAACTCTTCTGTTTGTTAACCAAATTATGGTGATGATGATGATGATGATGATGATGATGATGTATTTTTTCCTTAAATACAAGTGTACATTTATATTTGCCACTTTTCCACTCAGTATATCCTTGAGATCTTTTCATATTAACACATTTATAAAGCATCTGCTTTCTTTTTTAATGACTGTAATTTTCTAATCCATGGGTATTTTATAATACGTTCCTTCAGCCTCCTGTTGATTTATGTACACTTATGCTTATATGTTTAACTTTTAGCCACCACTAATAATGCAGGAATATAACTTTTGGACCAGTTTTAGTAGTTCTGAACTTTTGAATTAGATAAGTATTGTTACTATAGTAATTTTGCATGTAAATATTTAACCCAAAGTGTGGCACTTGAAATTCAGTTAAACGAAAGTATACTTGGACTCATGCCTCCACTTTTGCCTTGGTTACAGTGGATACGTCCAATACTGGGAGTACTTTTCATGGGATTCTTGGGGTGTTGCTTTGCCAGCCGGAAACTTCTGTGGCTGGTGGCACCTTCTGCCTGAGTATTGCCTGTGTCTGCTGGGCTCCTTCCACCCACTTGGCCAGGCAGGCTGCACTCAGTTCTCACTACTGGCCTGGATCCCACACCTGCCAAGTGTGAGTTAGACATGGAGCAGCACACGGTGTGTGGGTGAGCAAGCACCCGCTCCAATCACTGCACACAGCCAGGCATGCTGGCTGCTGCAGTGGGGCAAGTAGCTCCAGGTGCCAGCACAGGCGCCAGTACAGGCACCAGCTCTGTGCGAGGCTGCAGCTGGACCAGATGTACTGCATGTGGCTTCCACTGTGGGCACCTGCACCTGGATGAGGGGAACAAGGTGGCGCCCGGAAGCTTGGAGACACCAGGAACCACAGAACCCCAAAGAGGGTGTCACAGCCCTGGCTCAAGGAGCCCATAGGTCTAGGCTCCTCAAAGGGCTGCAGCTCTTCTCTCTTCACCGCCCACAACGTGGCAAGTGGCAAGGGGTGCGTTTCAGCCCTGTTTGTGTTACAGCTCTTTTAGTCCTGCCATTTGGTGGATCCTGAGTTCTTGTCCCGCATCCAGGAAGAATGAGGTATGCAGACAACTGGAGGGTAAGCAAGGTGTAGAGGAGCTTCATTGAGTGGCAGAACAGCTTTCAGCAGACCCAAAGTGGGTAGCTCTTTTCTGCAGGCAGGTCCTCCCGACATCTGTGCAGCCCTCGGTGGAGAGGAGACCTGGAGTGAGTAGCTCCTATCTGCAGGCAGGTTGTCCTGTCCTCTGCCTGAGTCTGGCAGAGTCTGAGGTTTTTAATGGGTTTCAGAGGGGAGAAAGCACGTGCTGATTGGTCCATGGGCAGCCATGAGCTGGCCTGGAAAAAGCACCATAAGTTCTCACTCTAGTCCCTGGAACTGGCAGCCCAGCCTCCAGGCCTCAGGCCATTCCAGGCTTGAAGTTGGGGATTTACCGGGGACCCACCCCTTTCTGCGCAGAAGCCTGCTTCCTGATGCCATCAACTTGCCATCCATGGTGCCCACGGCGCTCAGGTTGTTCGTGCCAAGGGGCACCTGCAGGTCTGCGCCAAGCTGCTCTCAGCCCCCCTCGGCTTCCCCCTCGTGCTTGTTGGTGCCCAAAGTTTGAAGGGGGCTGAGGTGGCAGGGGGCTGGTGTGTCAGCATTGCCCCAAGCATGTGCACACCTGGTCAGGTCACGACAGTGCCTGGGCTCAGCCTCAACTTTACTCTGATAACGGACAAAGCACCAGGAGTAGGGAGATGCCAGGAAGTGGGAGCAGTCACTTTTGAGGCTGTGGGGGCAGGGGGCCTTCCCAGTCCTTGAGAGTGCAGGGATGCCTGGGTCCGCAGCCATGGCTGGGCGGCTGCAGCTGTTCCTGGAAGGGCGAGACTCCTGCCCCCACAGCTCAGAATGGGGTGGGGCTCCTGCCTGTTCCAAGCTCCGTGGAGTGTGCAGCCCCTGCTGCTCCTCCTCCACTGCAGCCCACCTCATGGCAGTGATTGCTCCAGACGGGCTGCTGCTGCCATCAGTATGACATGCTGGTTTATTGCCTGTTACCTTGTAAGTGCCCAGTCAATGTCAGTTAGTGTTAGTAATTTCTTGGAGTAGTCAACTTCATTAACATTTGCCATCTGGTTATAGCATCACTTGTGATTCCGGTACCCAACAGAGTATACTTTAAAAACTGAGCAACATAAAATCTATGATGTTTAGAAATCTGAAATAGTTGAGTCATTGTAGTACTTCTTTGAGTCTCTTGGCCTAACAGTAGTCTGGGCAATGCTACTGTGTGTGGAAGAGCCAAACCTAAGTCACAGAGATCGGGTATCTTCCTGCTCTGCCTCCTCTCAGGCCTTTCTTTTGTGTGTCACAATCTTCCTCCTACCAAAAGGAAAAAGAGAGAATGAATTAGTGGCTAATCTTGGAGAAATAGCACAAAATAGGAGTGAATTTTAAAGAGCCCAATCAGGCTGGGTGTGGTGGCTCACGCCTGTAATCCTAGGACTTTGGGAGGCTGAGACCAGTGGATCACGAGGTCAGGAGTTCAAGACCAGCCTGGGCAACATGGTGAAACCCCGTCTCTACTAAAAATACAAAAATTAGCTGGGCATGGTGGTGCATGCCTATAATCTCAGCTACTCGGGAGGCTGAGGCAGGAGAATTGCTTGAATCTGGACCCGGGGGGCCGAGGTTGCAGTGAGCTGAGCTCATGCCACTGCACTGTAGCCTAGGCTACAGAGGGAGACTCCATCTCAAAAAAAAAAAAAAAAAAAAAAGTCAATCAGAGAGGACCAAAAATAAAAAAAATAAAAAAAAATGAGTAGGGATGATGATGATAGATGTCAGAAGTATTTAGAGAGAGGAAAAAATTCTTTTGTCCTTAGCAGTTCAATGATCTGTTCAAGAAAATGAAATAAAAATATTAGCTACTGGTAAGATATCTTAAGCGGCAAGCTATTTATGAACTTAAGTTACTGTATCTTTGTGACAATGTTCAATGAAAAGTGAGGTGAAATAGCTATATAAAAAGTACTGAAGTGGCAGAATGAGCTCCGTAAAATGTTAGTAAGTGAAACAAGGCTGTGATACAATCAGCTCACTAAAATGAAACATGAGACAGTGAGATTTTTGTATTGGCACATCTATTTGTATTAAGTTTGGAGAAGTAAAATATATTCTCTAATTTTGTAAACCTCTTGTACTCTTTTTTACTTGAGGACCACAAAGCAGAAAGATTAAAAAAAAAGGAAGTGAAGCACATACTTAGGCACTATTTGTTAAGAATAATGTGCTACGTAATTAAATTATTATGAAAATAGCAAGCTGGATAGATGATAAAGGGCCTTTAGTCTGAACCAGGTGAACTCAAGTTGCCCTTTAAAATGGACTTTCTGTCATAAATATTAGGATAGACCTGTTGAAAAAATGTTGGCAGTATTTCTGATTAATGTGGGAAGAAAAGCTCTATTCATTGACTGATTTATTTGAAATCAGATGGGGTCAGTTAAAAAATATTTAATTTGTTCTCTTGAAACACTGAACCCAAAAGAAATGAATCTGAACTTAAATAATAATCTTTGGGCAAAAATTGCACACAATTTTGATTGCTTTCCTAAGTGTCATGTAAACACCAAAACATTAAGAAAGAGCTTCTAATGATAGGAGGATTGATTTCCGATTCACTAAAACGTCAGCCTTAATATCTTGCTTCTACCTCTGATGCCAGATGTTCGTACCTAATTAAGTACTTTAAAATGGTTAAAATAGCTCATTTTCTGAAGCAGATAAATATTCCGTAACATTCTTGTTTATATTATTTGTATTTTTTTTTGTAGTTTAAAGATAAACTTGTAAAGTCAAGTAATACAACTCATACAAGTTGTAAGTCGGTGAAGTCTAAATTTAATGATACAAATAAATACAAATTTGTAGAAATTATTTATATTTAAGTATTTTTATCATAAAAAAATCACAGTTATTTTAAGAAGCAAGCATTCCTTGAATATGTCTTCTAAAAAAATCCTATCTGCCAAGAAACTTAAAGTTAACTGTTTGTTTTAGTGACAAATGGGGAAAAAATCTGAAATGATGGTGTTTTATTTACTCATAGGTGTTTTAAGTCTCTGGAAATGTACTTTTTTTTTTTTTAGAAGAATCTGATTTATACATGTTTTAGGAGCATTTATTCAACAAATATTTACTGAGAGTCTACCGTATGACTCAGTAATGGATGTATCTTATTATTACTGTAATAAGATACTGTATTAGCTGCTGAGTATGCACAAGTGAACCAAACAGGACCCCGCAAAGCAGTATGTGCCTTTGCACGTGCACTTGAGAAATCCTAGTTGTTGCTCTTGCTTAGTTGGGATCCCTGCAACCATTGGGGGAGCAGGTTTGGGGTAAACAGACTTGAATTGGGTGTTCTCTGTGCATTTTGTTTATTTAGTTCATGTTGGCAAATTACTATTTTAAGTAAAGTTGTTTCCCTAAGCATTAAAAAGTTGTTTTTTTTTTGTAGCCTGAATGGGTTCCAGGGTGGCTCTGCCTTGACCAGCTGTGCTGTGTGGTCCTAAGTCAATTCCCTTCCCTTGCCTGGATCTGAGTTTGCCTCATCCTCCTTGTGAGCCAGCCATGTGAGAGTCAGTGAGTCAGTGCCTGAACTAGGATGGCTGTTGGGGCAGGTGGATAGACACAGTTTCTTTGTGAAAAATGACCCCTTAACTGTCACTTGCTTACACTGATGATTAGAGTGGAGAGATTAAAAAAAAAAAAAAAGTCATGCCTCTTAGTTAGGAGATAAACATTTTAATAAATGACAGAATCACTGGGATGATTTGGGTCTCAGAGATGAGTAACTTTTCCACAGACACAAGAAAAAAGTATTTGTGAAACTTTTAATAGAAAGCATTTATCAATAAGAAAGAAACATAAGAGAAAGCTGAAAATGTTAGTTAACTTATGATGTTTGTGTATTTGCCAAAAACATGCTAATCTTGACAAGTAGGATTCAGTGGAAACCAAACGTTGTACAGTGTGTGTCTAGGAAGAACCAGGTGGTAGAGGAGCTAATGAATGAACTTTTATTGGTGAATATATTGGTGTAGACGTTATTTTAAACAGTGTTCCTCTTCTTATGGATTGAGGCGATAAGTGCATTTTCTTCTGTGTTTTGCACATGTGGAAGGGGAGGGGTTACTGCTAGACTGGAAGCTAAGAACCAAACCGTGACTGCTATTGGAAGAAAATGTCTTTTCTTCCTGCATATACATCTAAGGAGGGAGAAGCCAGCCTTGAGGATCAGGACAGACTCTTCATTTCTGGGCAGTATAACAGGCTTTACAGCTGAGCAGGGCAAACTTTTTCCTTCTGCAAGCCCTGCCCTAGGGCATTAATAGATATGAATAAATCTTTGTTTTTGTATGTTGGCAGTCTGCAGAAGCTTGGGTCACTGCAATTCTTTGGACCTTTTAATATGCTTTAGTGGTGTTTGTGAACCAGGGCAGCATTTTACAGGGAAGATGAATGGGGTGTGTGGGGTGGTGGGCAGCACTCCCCTTGACTCTTTCTCTTCCACACCCTGCTGGTGTGGGAGGAGTGATATGGGGGTGCTTAGTGTCTCTGAAGAGCTCTCTACTCCAATCCTTGGAAGGAAAGAGCCTGGTTGGTTCCCCAGGAATGGTGGCTGAGGGTCATCTGTTTAGACCTGAACTGGTTTTGTGCCGAAGGAGCAGGCAGGATCCTTGAGCCTGGGCACTGTCCAAGACTGGGGTCTGGGAAGGACCCTCATCTGGGCCAGAGTCCCAATTTATAATGGAAAGGGTGCTTTGAACTGGTATGTTGCTGAAGCATGTCACCTTAGGAACTTAGCACAGTGATGGAAGCCCAGATATGAACTGGGATTTAGGTTTCAGCTCTGATCATTGCTCTTAGCAGGGTTGTGAATGTTGGCTATTGACAGCTCTCTCTGCCTTCAGAGCAGGTATCTGGAAAGAGCTGTTCACATTCACTGTGTCCACTTCCTCACCTCACATCTCTTGTCTCTCCACAGCCCGCTGCAATCTGGCCTGCACTCCCACCAATCCATGGACACTGTACTTGATTGCTAAATCTCATGTGTGCCTTCACTCCTTACCTGAGTTGACCTCCGTGCTGCAATTGAACACTCCCTTCTCAAAGCATGCTCTCCTCCTTTGGCTTCCAGGACATGACACTCTCCTGGATTTCCTTCCTGCCTGGGTTTTACCTTCTTTTCCCAGGGCTCTGTCCTTAGTCCTCTGTTTCTGTTTCTGCTTTTATGGCCTCATAGAAGTGGCAGCAAATGGTAGCTGAGAGCTTGGGCTTTGCCACTGGGCTGCTTGGGTTCATACTGACTTGGCTTTACGTGCTGCTTTCCAGCTGTCACTTAATCTCTCTGCTTTGGTTTCCCTGTTTGTTAAAATATGATACATGCTGGTGAATAGTGTCCTGAGAGTTCAGTGAATGCTGAAGGCCGCCATGAGCGCAGTGCGCATGCCTCCTTCCGTGATGCTGCTCGGAACCAATGTCTTTATTTCAGCAACACCCGAACACAACACTTGGCACCTAAGCACTTAGTGAATGGGTATTTTTTTCCTTCATAAAACTCCTGAGAGGTAGCTATATAACATTTCTCATTCTTCAAATGGCGAATGAGAGACCCTAAGTAGGTTAGTGACTGATAGAACCACATAGGTGAAGAACTGGAACTCACTCATTGACTGCAGATCATTCAGTCCCCAGCACCCTTCACGCTCTCCTGTCCTCATCACTCCCTGAGAGCCCTGGGCCTTCAACCAAGGGCTTGTGCAAGGAGGAAAGGCATGAGGTTCAGAATTCACCACTTCTCACTCCTGAGACCTCAGGAGGTCACTTAAATACCTAAGCCTTAGTTTTCCCTGTCTGTTAAGTAGAAATAATTATCTTTGCCCTGCCTGTCATTCATGATTATTGTAGGAACCAAATGACATAATATATTTGAGGGCACTTGTACCAAGGTGGGGTATTTTAATCATCTTATAGTTGTCTTGTAGTTTATAACTTAAGACGGCCTGAAGCAAGACTGCCCAGATTCGAATCCTGGCTTTGCCGTTTGCCTAACCTCCCTCCGCCTCCGTTTTCTTATCTGCATAAGGCAATAATAGTTCTTTCCTCATGGAAACTGAACCTAAATGAGTTAGTACATGCAAGTGTTAAGAACAGGGCCTGGTTCAAAGTAAGACCTCAGTAAGTGTTCAGTGGCTATTATTATCTGTTATTACATTTTGGTATCAGACAATTACCAAATGAAAGTTATGTTTCCTAACTGAAAACCCTGACTGAATGTGGCAAAATCTTCAAGTGGCAGAAACAAACAAAATTGTTGTGGACATTTTGCTCAAGGTCATGTCAGACTTCTGCTTAAAAAACCCCAAATCCTGTTTTTTTTAAATCAGATATCTCTTGAAGCTTAAGACTACTGGGACTGATGTGCCTACGTGTATTTTAGAGTCAGGGTTACTTGTTGAGCTAACCTTGTTTCATGAAGTGTGTACATGAGATAGCACTGCAGTGCATTTTGAGAGAACATTGACATATAAGAGAAACAGAAAGGTTAGATGACTTAGATTAGTATTTTTGGAGAGTAAATTGAAATTATAATAACTTCTATTTCTGGTGTGATTTGGGTTGGTGGAAGTATTAACTTATTTGTGTCGTCGCTAGGTTTATTTCTTGACCATAACATTTTTTCAAAAAGGAACTAAAAACCCATCTTTTCTTTAACATCTAAATTCCTTACAATACAAGCTGTGGAAGTGTTTAAATTAGCAGTACTGTTCTTTGGAAGTACAGAGTTAGGATGTAGCATACCTTAATTTTGTGCTCTTTGAATTTGTTTTGTAGGAAGTCTGCGGTCTTGCAGTTCTTCAGACTGCTTTAATAAAGTGATGCCACCAAGGAAAAAGAGAAGACCTGCCTCTGGAGATGATTTATCTGCCAAGAAAAGTAGACATGATAGGTATGATGTAGAGACAGTAGATCAGAATCAGTGATACATATGTCGAAGATGCACATTTCTACCTAATTCAGTGTGGGTCTTCTAAGTGTGCAAATGCCAAGTGGAATGGGCTTTGCCAGTCGATTTTTCAAAATGTAATTATTTAATCATGTTTATTTTGTGTTTTAGTTTAAAAACGTAAGAACAAATTAGGTAATTTGAATTCTTAGAAGTTAAAGTTTTATCTTAATCCATTGATCGCCCAAAACTGGTGCAGAGTTGATTTCTTTCCTTTCAAAGCCTTGCTGTCTGTGCCTGCTGAGGACCACAGAATTGGTGTCTTGTTCTTTAAGCAGGTCTCACTCATTCACTTCAACCACAGAGCTGGAGAGATCTTCCTGTACTTAATGGTCTGTGCCCGCCCAGAATATCAGCCAAGCTGAGGTTTATTCTCACATGGGTGAGAATTCGATAGAACTGTGAAAAACAAGGCTCTTTAAATCGCTTCTCTTTCAGATAAGTGAACTTGTTAATTTTGGTAACTCCAAGGGCCTGTTAGATTCGTTTATTTCAAACATCTTTATTGTTTCACCCTGAGTTTAGTAAGTAGTTTTTTCTTCCTTGTTTCAGAAACAACAAACGAACATCATTGTCTAGTCTTTTCTACCTTTCTCCATCTTTCCCCATTCTGGCTTTGTGGGTCATATCACTAATGGGCCAGAATTTCCACATGTATTAATCCAGGGAATTTAAGTGAGATTTTTCTGTTTCTTTCTTGCTGTGACTCAGAGGAATAAGAAAGACTCTGAAAATGTAAAAATAATGTCATTGTTTATATCTCAAATGAATAGAAAATATTATCTGAAAGAAGATAGTAGTGATTTAGAAAATAATCACCAGCAATCTTTAGGCCAGTGATTTTTCAACTTTACAAAGGCAGGCTACTTTGATACTTTTTTGGTGGTGTGGACGTTATTATCAGAATTGTTAAATTCTAACAATCACATAACATTTTGTGACTTTGTAGCGCTTAGTATTTTCTCACCACAGTCTAATAAAATATAGTATGATAAAGCCAGATTTGAAACTGGCAGTGTAGTTGCAGTTTCTGAGTTTCATTCTTGGCCTTTCTTTTTTAAACAACTTTATTTACATACCATAAAGTTCATCCATTTTAAGTGTACAGTTTAGTGATTTTTATTAAGTTAACTGAGTTGTACACACCATCACTACAAACCAGTTATAGAACATTTCTATTATCCCAATAAGATCCCTAATGCCCATTCAGCCACTCCCAGCCCCAGACAACCACTAATCTACTTTGTCTCGACAGATTTCCCTTTTATGGATATGGTCTTTGTGTCTCGCTTCTTTCACTAAGCATGATGTTTTTGAGATTCTTGCATGAAATAGCATATATCAGCATATCATTCTTTTTATTTGCTGAATGGTATTCCGTTGTATGCTCTTGGTTCTTTTTTATGTATTTTTGAATAATTTATATAGTGTCTCCAAGTTATTGACCATTTACAGGCTTTGAGCTGAGATAGGAATGCCTGGGCCCAGAATTAGATCATATCTATTTGAACACTTGGCCGGTATCCACTTTTGTTTCTAGGTGGTATGGCTACCTTTTATAGAAGAAATACAAAACTGCTGGTTTGCAGTTTCAGTAACCTAACACCTTATTATAACCATGTACTTTTTTTGGTGTTAAAACCCAGAAACTAATCAGAGGCATATACTGATAATCGGGTGAGTGTCTAGGTCATGAATCAATGTTCAATAAAAAAGAATTATACCAAATGTCCAACAATGATAGACTGGATCAAGAAAATGTGGCACATATACACCATGGAATACTACGCAGCCATAAAAAATGATGAGTTCATGTCCTTTGTAGGGACATGGATGAAGCTGGAAACCATCATTCTCAGCAAACTATCGCAAGGACAAAAAACCAAACACCGCATGTTCTCACTCATAGGTGGGAATTGAACAATGAGAACACATGGACACAGGAAGGGGAACATCACACACCGGGGGGCCTGTTGTGGGGTGGGGGTAGGAGGGAGGGATAGGATTAGGAGATATACCTAATGTTAAATGACGAGTTAATGAGTGCAGCACACCAACATGGCACACGTATACATATGTAACAAACCTGCACGTTGTGCACATGTACCCTAAAACTTAAGTATAATACAAAAAAAAAAGGATTATACAGTTGACTGTTGAACAATACAAGTTTAAACTGCACAAGTCTACTTCTGTGGATTTTTTTCAGCCGAACAGAGATGGAAAATATACTATTGAGGGATGTGAAACCCCACCTGTATGGAGCACTGACTTTTGGTATACATGGGTCTTCCAGGGCTGACTGGGGGACTTGAGTATGTGTAGATTTGGGTATAGGTGGGGGTCCTGGAAACAGTCCCCTGCATATACTGGGGAATTACCGAATATTATTTTCATATTCTTACATACTATGAAAATAAAAACTGTATTTATAAATGCTTATATACACCACTAGGTAATTTATATATAAGTAAGGGATATAAAAATGTATATACTTATAATTTTTATATCCATATCATCATTTTAAAGCTATTGCCTCCTCTTCCCTCTCCATGTGAGGAGTATCACCTTCCTCAGCCCCTGGTTATTATGAAGTATGTCATTTTTGTGGAAGGTCACAGTTGCAACAGGAGGCTGCTGTGCTTCCTGATTCAGTTCTCTAGTTTATGCTGGGCTGTCCACAAGGCTAGAATTAGAAGAAAAAGGCAGAAGCTAGTTTCTCTATACTTCTGTCTCCTGAGGTTTCTAAGGTTATACT
Organism: Homo sapiens; assembly: GCF_000001405.40. Classification (NCBI taxonomy): domain Eukaryota; kingdom Metazoa; phylum Chordata; class Mammalia; order Primates; family Hominidae; genus Homo; species Homo sapiens. The sequence goes on from NC_000004.12 coordinate 51,877,201, forward strand.
AATCAAGAAACCACCCAAGCGACATTGTCTTTGTCAGCCTTACATCAAAGTTTATTTTTTTCCCGGAAGCTTGGACATGATTTGATGTTTCTTTTTATTTGCTTAGTGTTCTCTTGAGTTGTCTAATATTGAGAGATTCTTCCTTAGACTGTGTTCCGTGCCCAGTCTAACTTGTAAGACACAGAAGACAGACATGAGTTGTAGGCTACATTAATAAATGTAGGCAAGACATTTCTTGCCATATCTCACCATTATTTTGTAGTTCTGGCTGGTGAGGTAGAAGGGAGTATATCAAATACCTGTTCTGTTCAGTTCTTACTGATTATTTGTTAATCAGAGAAAAACTTGTATTAAGTGCTTACCAGTTCTATATTAGGAGTGACTGTGTTTAAACACTGTAGTTAAAAGCTGAAGCCTGCAAATGCAGGAAATAAAACGTTTAAAATATACTTAAAATACTGATTGAATAGATGTCTGGTTTGGGTAAAAGAATATAAATTATCTGCTACTTTAAAGAACTCAGTATCTTTAAATAACTTAAAACTGCCTTTTCAATTTCCAGCATGTATAGAAAATATGATTCGACTAGAATAAAGACTGAAGAAGAAGCCTTTTCAAGTAAAAGGTGCTTGGAATGGTTCTATGAATATGCAGGTAGGTATTCATTTGTATCATCTAAGACTGATCCTTATGACAATAAGGAGTACCTTAGAGATGATTAAAGAATTTAAAAATGTGTACATTTCAAATTTGGGTGTGTGTGTGTGTGTGTCCCTGTTAGAGGGAGAGAGGGACATAGCTGTAACAAATCACCAGATAGCCTATTTTATAGCCAGCAGCTAAGCCAAATAATTCAGAACACTAGAAGGGAACTGAAAAGATGAAATGACTTGGGAGAAATACTTTGGATTGCTGGGAAACCTATTTGGAATGCTGATAATGGGTGATTATTTGGTCAAAGCACCTGTGTTAAAATAAGCTTTGCTGCTTTGAACCCTTACTTAGTGCAGTGAAATTTCTTTATATTAAGTGTTTCTATTTGGAAAGATCATTTGGCAGAAAATGTTTGTTTTGTCACTTAAAATGTTTTAAATTTAGTCTTTCTTTTTGCAATTTACTATAATTGGTTGGGTAATATAATGTTGCGACCTGGGGCTTATTTGTTATTGTGGCTTTGTATGGTGTAAAAAAGAAAAAGAAAAAATTTTCAAACAAGCTCAAGCTGAAGGCTCTTTTATCTTTCTTCTTTCTCACCTTATTTCAGGCTCTTTTATAACTTACCAACTGGCTATTCTAGCAACCTTTAAACCAATTTTCCTGTCATCTCCTCTCCAGACAACCTGCCATGTGCCACTGTTGTCTAATTTTTTTAAAACTAAGCTGAGCAGATCATACATACATTCCTGAACAACCTCAACCACTCCCCTCTAATCCCAACCCTATCTCCTGGCCAAAAGAATCCCTGCTATCTGCAGGATAAAAGAGAGTGAACTCCCCGTGCCTTTGCCTGAAATGATTTTCTCCGTTTTTCCATCTGACATGCTCTTACATCTTTTAAACCCTTAATTACCTTAGTAGCCTTTTCTGTACTTCCACAGGATAGTGTTTATAACTTGTTGTAACTTGTTTTGGTTCCCTTTTATTGGTATCAAAATGAGGAATTCCCCCTGTAGCCTGATCTGGCTATTTTTCTCCTATTCCCATGCAACCCTTTTTGTGATAAGAGCCTTGCCCCTGTTGGCCACAGAGATTGGTCTAGGTGGCTGGCACATAACCCAGGCCAGGCCAGTCAGACAAATCTTCACAGGGGTTTTCAGATTGAAGCTGGGAGGATCATGTCTTTCTCTTCTGGTGGAGGACTCGAGAGGTTATAGTTCTGATTCCTGTAGTTCTTCTTTGGACTTTTATGAGCTACCCCAACATCTTTCTAATGGATTCTCTGTCATTTCTTTAATGAGTTTGATCTGGATTTTGTTTGCGGGGCATGGACACTAGTGCAAACACATGGATGCTGTTAGCATTTGTCTGTTTTCATGTTTACAGACAAATTAAACATGAGTTCGTTTGATTCATTGAACCTGAATCTCTTGGAAACCTTTAGAATTTCTAGTAAAAGTGATTGACGGCTGGGCGCGGTGGCTCACGTCTGAAATCCCAGCACTTTGGGAGGCCAGGGCAGGAGGATTGCCTGAGTTCAGGAGTTCCAGACCAGCCTGGGCAACACGGTGAAACCCCGTCTCTACTAGAATACAAAAAACTAGCCAGTTGTGGTGACATGCACCTGTAATCCCTGCTACTCAGGAGGCTGAGGCAGGAGAATCACTCGAACCTGGGAGGCGGAGGTTGCAGTGAGCCGAGATTGTGCCACTGCACTCCAGCCTGGGCGACAGAGCAAGACTCCGTCTCCAGAAAACAAAAATAATTGACACTGTACCAGATATTCTGTAAATAGGTTCTGAATGAATGAAGAGCGTTCTCATATTCTTATCACATTGATTATGAAGATCTCTTGCTTTCCTATATTGATTCACATTTATTGTTATGAAAATGTTTTATAAGAAGGAAATTTTAAAGAAAAAGTACACTTAATCCCATCACCATAGCATAGCTATTCTGATTTTTTGGTACCTTCCTTTATAAGCAAATACAGATTTTTTCATAATATAAGCCAAGAAAATAGCAAGGTGTGACTTTTCTTCTTGTTTGCCTTTCTCTGACTTTAGAAGGGTGACATTTTGGACATAAAGATTAAGCTACATTATTTAGGTTCCTTGAAATCCCTGCTAAGTCCTTCGTTTTAACTGAACCCTTCAAGAAATTTGTGTGGAGGTGACTATTCCTATTTTTAGCCACCCCCTTCTTTTTCCCCCTTTTGCTATAGCTTGTCCATAGGGAAAATAACTGGCATTGGGAATAACTGAAAGCCCCATTGGCATGTGTTTTCATTTTGTGTATCTCAACCACATAAACTGAAACTGTAGGTCAGTATTAGTCAAGAAAAATGAATCGTGAGAAGAACCAGTGTGACTAACAGGTTGTGCTGTAGGATGAGTCTGTGGGAACAGGCTGTGATGCCACAGACCCCCTAGATACCAGCACGAAGAGGGCTTGTAAATGAAATTGAGCCATGTTCATTTTCCGTAGAAGAGAGCAGGCTGGTTTGGGCTGAGGATAAATGCTGACTCCCTGCCTTTTAATCTGGAGTAGAGTGGAGTGGAGGGGCAGCGGGGGCCTGGTGTGTGATTATTTCACATGGATGGACCTTCAGCTCTTCCCAGAATTCTCAGTTCCACTTTGTACCTTGCCCTCTGCTTTCCGTGGCTCCTGAGGCCTGAGCCCAGCTCTTCCAAGTTTCTGTCTGGCCAGTTAACCCCAGTCATCCTCTGCACATTCTAGGATGCAGCTTCTCACTTTCTAAAATCTCCACCAGCTCAATTTCTGATCTCCAGAAATATAATGAATAAACCCTTCTTCGCTGGGGGCTTTTCCTCCTGTTCTCTGGTTGTAGGTGTACTCCCTTTCACACTTTGGTACTTTAGCTCTCTGTGACTTTAGAAAGGATCGGCTGGGAGGTTCAGGGGAAGTGTTTATTTAGACCTTGATCTGAACCTGGAATCCCATTTTGTTTCATTAGAATGAAGACAACCAGGCTGGGCATGGTGACTCACGCCTGTAATCCTAACACTGGGAGGTCAAGGCGGGTGGATCATGAGATCAGGAGATCGAGACTATCCTGGCTAACACGGTGAAATCCCATCTCTAATAAAAATACAAAAAATTAGCCAGGCGTGGTGGCATGCGCCTGAGGTGCCAGCTACTCGGGAAGCTGAGGCAGGAAAATCACTTGAACCCGGGAGGCAGAGGTTGCAGTGAGCCAAGATTGCGCCACTGCACTCCAGCCTGGGCAACAGAGTGAGACTCCGTCTCAAAAAAAAAAGAATGAAGATGACCAGTTTACATAATTTATCTAATAACTTCCACTTTTTGAAATATATCTAAGAATAAGGAATTAAACCAAATACACAGGTGCCAACATTGGTTTTACAGTTATACTAAAGCTCACATACATAGGTCATAATAGTTCTACAAGTCCTGACTGTAGGCCCTTAGTCTATTTTGGATTAAGTTCTATAGCAGAATTGTTTGGTTTACCAAAAATAAAGTCAGTCATGGACAGTTGCAACAAATAATAAACTGGTCTGATAGCGAAGGAAGAGATGTTAAAAACTACCTAAGAGACCATGTGGGCCCCATTTGCCTCTGTGATGTGGTATGCTATAATTATGGGGCCATTATGAAAAGGTCAAATATCTTTAGTTAGGGGCCCCTGCTTAAGATGGCAGGGAAAGTGGAAGGACCACTTCTTTCTGGATTATTGTCAGTATATCAGCCTTACCAGATGTACCTCCAGTATCTTGTCACCTAGGGCATTTTATAGCTTATTATTTTAGATACAAGTTAAAAAAAAAAAAAAAAACAAGAAAAAAAAAACCTCTCTGTCTCAAACTTCACTTCTAACCCACTTTGTGTTAGCCAGTGGTGTATTTGTTAGCTTGCTTGACAGAGGTAATTACCTTAATTCTACAGGTAAATTTAGTGTAAAATACAACTAGAATCCCAACAAATCATGCAATTACAACTAGATTTAAATGTGTGCATGGGAAAGATGAGAAGAAAAGTGTTAGGGCTGGGTGCAGTTGGTCACGCCTGTAATTCCAACAATTTGGGAGGCTGAGGTAGGAGGATCGTTTGAGCTAAGGAGTTTGTGACCAGCCTGGGCAATATAGTGAGACCCCATCTCTTAAGAAAAGTGTTAGATGGCAGGGTTATTGGTAGCATTTCAATAATGTTGATTGGCAAACTATATTTTAACCTATTTTGGATAAGATATTACTTTGACAGTCATGCCATTGCAAATTAAAATCTTGCTCTTCTAAAACACACAGACACATGTATTTATAAGTAGTACAGCAACACTATAAAATTGGGAAAAAAGAAAAAGCATTAATAACTTACATAACCACTGCAAAGGATACCTCAGTAGACCTTCGTTGAGGTCTGGGGTGCAGTCAGCAGAAGCACCGTGCTCAGAGTTCATTTTCCCATGTGGCAAACAGGCAAATAAGTAGAGAAACATTACCTTTATGGTGAACATTGACAGAAAGAGAAGGCAGTAGCCAGGTTGGAGGATGCACGACGGGGAGAGGAAGCCGGGGAACACCCAAGCCATGTGCAGAGGCATGGCAAATGCAGGCGGCTTGCTAGGCTCAAGAATAAGTTGCACAGGCCGGGCACAGTGGCTCATGCCTATAATCTCAGCACTTGGGGAGGCCGAGGCGGGCGGATCACGAGGTCAGGAGATCGAGACCATCCTGGCTAACAGGTGAAACCCCATCTGTACTAAAAAATACAAAAAATTAGTCGGGCGTGGTGGCGGGCACCTGTAGTCCCAGCTACTCTGGAAGCTGAGGCAGGAGGATGTCATGAACCCGGCAGGCAGAGCTTGCAGTGAGCCGAGATTGCACCACTGCACTCCAGCCTGGGCGACAGTGCCAGACTCCATTTCAAAAAATAAATAAATAAATAAAAGAATAAGTTGCACAGAAAGAGCTTTTTTAAATTAGGAAGAATAGAAACCAAAGAGAGAGGAATTTTAAAAGAATTACAAAGTAACTTTCCCCCCCGGCTCTATGCAGCTGCTTCTCAATAAGCCATATCAGTAGATACCAAAAAGTATCTGTTGCTTAAAAAAAACACCCTTAACAAAATAGGAATAGATGAATATTTCCTTATCAGAATATTCTTCAGTCTCACAGCCTAAATACTTTAGTAGAATGATGAAAAGAACTTTGATTCATATCAACACACATATGTACACTTACAATGGGATAACATAAAATGTATTAATATTAGCTAAGAAGAATGAAGTAGATGTATGGGTACTGTCACAGGAAGATTACCAGACACAGTCAGTGAAAAAGGCAAGGTGTAGAATTACAAGTACCTCACAAACCCATGTGCGTAGGTGAACAAATTTGAAAACTGCATTTTAGTATATATTTGCCCATATGCAGCAAAAAGGTCCAGGAGGATACTATCATGTCTTATCTGGTAAAGAAAGGGAGAAGGCAAGTTTCTTTTTTTTTACTGTTTATTTTATTCTGTATGTTCTCTATTTAAATATTTTGTCATGTGAATGAATTGATGTGTAGTGTGTCTAATACATACATGAATGTGCACATGTGGATATATGCACTCTCAAACCAAAGAAAGCAGGCAATATATTGTGTGATAAAATGCTAAATGTCGTATTTGAGTCAAGAATGAGATAAGAATGTCCACTCTCACTACTCTTACTTGCCATTGTTTTGGAAGCTACTAGGCACTGCTGTTAGACAAGAGAAAGAAACGAGGAGTGTAAATATTGGAAAGGAGGAGACAGAAATGATCATTGCAGATGAAATGATTAAATTATTTTACACTTGGAAGGCCAAAGAGAATTGCCTGGGCAAACTTAGAAACACTAAATAAATATGTATATATTCCATGCATATACAATTCTATAGATGGCTTATTTTGAGAAGTGTTGTTAAAGAAGCTCTTTAATAAATAGTTGTCTCTGCAGAGTAGGGAGGAGTTAGAGGGGACAACTTCACTTTTGGAACATTTTATTTTTTATTTTCAAATGAAACTTTGTATCATGTTTATGTATTAATGTACAAAACTAAAATAGTATTTGGTTTTCTTCTGATAATCAAGATAAGAAAACTAGGAATATATAAATATATATATTTATATATAAATTTATATTTTTAAATTTATGTTTATACATTTATATAAAAAGGGGATAGAAGGGGACAAAACCCCAGAAAAAAGTAACAGATTTGAATATATGAAGTAAAATATTGTGTAATGAAGTAGAACATTTGTGATTAAAAGGAAAATAATGGCAACAAGAAAAAAGTATTTGCTTTGGCCAGATTATGAGGAAGGGCCTGAGTTTGAACTTTAGGGGGAGCCAAGGATTTGAAGCAGAAAAATGACGTAAGACTTCCCAGCAGGAGCTCCGGGTGACTTTAGTGTTCCTCCTTTGTTAAGAACAGCCACCTTATACTTTGTGTTAGTGAAAGTCTTGTTGTTACTTTGTATTGAGGTTACTCCTGTACTTTGTCTCCCTTCATGGAGGGCAGGGACTGTTTGCACCCTAGGCAACTACTGCAGTGCATAGCTCCAGGATGTGTCTAACAAATGTTATGGGAATGAAATGGATACATACTAAGAAGGTGAATTCTGCTGGACTTGGTGACTTGCTAAATCTAGAGGGTATAGGAGGATTGTAGAGCGTTTCCTATATTCTGGTATTCAGCCATTCATTTAGTCCTTCATTCAGTTTTTATTGGACCAGCTATTCTATGCCAGATAGTATGCTGAGCTTGTAAGAAGAATAAAGGAACTCTTGCTCTTGAGTTTAGAGGGAAAGACAGATGAGCTGGGACTTTGAATGCAGTGTGCTAAATGTGTGAGAACCATTCCTAGCATTGCGAGGGGTCACAGTACTGCCTGACCCAGCCTCTGCAGGTGGGGAGATTGTGAGGACTACTCCTTTGCTCTCAGTCTTAAAGGTTGAATAAGTTAGCCAGGGGAGTTGGGGGAAGGGAGAGGAGGGGACAGGAAGGGGACTAGAGGAAGACAGGCAGAGACACAAAGAGTAATACTGTGCTGGGTGTGTGTTCGGTGGTGGTGCAGAGTGAAGCCACAGGTAAGTAGGTGTTTCTGGACCTTAATTTTTTTTCATCCAGCAATATTTATTGATTCATTTACTTCTGAGAAACTTGTTTTGCAGTTGGAAAGATGTAAGACTGAAGAGGGAAGAAAGGCACTAGATCATAGAGAACCTTATGTGATAAGCCAAACACTTTGGATTTTATATTTAGGCTCTAGGGAGCCATTGAAGGATTTTAAGCCAGCATGGGATTGCGTTTGAAGTGGATCCCTTCAGTGGCTGTTTGCAGGATGGGTCGGGGGGAAAAGACTCTGGAATTAGGAGATCATGAGGAGACTGCTGTAGTTGTCAAGAATAAAGCCTTGAAAGAGCATGGTGCAGGAGAGGCACAATTAAGAAATAATTAGAAGGTAAAATTGGTAGTACACTTGATAATTGATTGGGTGTGAGAGAAAGGAGGAATACAGGAAGACTCCCAGGTTTCTATTTCTGGGTGTGCCACCAGCTGGGACAGCATACAGGAGGATAAGCAGGCCTGATATCGAGAGACATTGGGCTCCGTTTTAGTGAGGCAGTGTTTGAAAATGTGAAATGCGGGAGGAGTAGGTTTGAAGCAGAAGATGAGTGTAGTTACGGCAGTTAAACAGGAGGTGGAGCAGCTAGTGATAAAGAGGCAAGTAGTTCAAAAGTAAGGGGAAAGTGTGGTCTAGAAAGACATTTGGGTAGGACCCGAGACCTTGAGTATGGTTAAAATTTCCTAGGAATAATGTATATAGCAGGCACTAGAAGAGGTTTAAGGATGAATCTTTGCACATCAAATTTAACCATCTGGGAGAAGCAGAAGAACCCATAAAGAAGCCAGAAGGGGAGAGGAAGGAGGAAAGCCAGATGAGAGAGGGTGCTTCAAGAAGCCATGGGAAGAGACAGTTTTGTGAAAAAAGAACTGCTTCAGATTTTCAGATATCACACAATGGTCAGATAAAACAAAGACTGAATTTGTCTGTTAGATTTGACATTTAGGGGCTTATTGGAGACCTTGGCAAAAAGAATTTCAGTGGAGAGCTAGGAGAAGAAGAAACCAAATTCCAATGGTTACAAAGTGAAGGGGAGATAAATTAGAGATGGAATGTGTGGACGCTTCCTTCAGGAAGAATCAGAGCTAATGCTAGAACGGAAAAGGGGGCCTTACTGTCTTTATCAAGAACAGAGTGATAACTTGATTTTTTTCTATGTAAAAGAAACATTTATGTTTTTTCTTATTTAATTTTATAGAGACTATTATGTGGTTCTTTGCTATGTTTCCAAAAATTATTTTATGTATTGAAATTATTACCCAAGTAAGAGTAGAACATTAAGCTGTTTTAAAGAGCAGGAATTGAATTCAGCCTTAACTTTAGACAAATGGTATATACCATATTCCAACGATTGAAGGACATGGTGATAAGTTGATTTAAATGATTGTACAAAGTAGAGTCCTTTAAAGATACTGAAATTCGAGAATACTTTTCAACTTAGACTTGATTTTTTTTTCCAAAAGGAGTTAATGGCCTTTAAGTCTTACTTGTTGACAGTATAATACTACTACAGTGGTAATAGTATGGTGTGCATGGTCAGATTTAATTTACATAAGACTGTATTTCACAGGAACTGATGATGTTGTAGGCCCTGAAGGCATGGAGAAATTTTGTGAAGACATTGGTGTTGAACCAGAAAACGTGAGTCAAACTTACTGAGTTGGGTGAATCAGTTGGTTGTTTTTCATACTTAAATCTTTGTTCTTTAGCAAATAAATAAATAATTAAAAAGTAGTGGTATGTTAGTTTTTATGAAGCAGTCTAAGAAATAAGTTCTAATTCTAGTTTGACTTATAAGCAGATTCTCCATTCTTGTAAGTGATATGGTGTAACTACAGTTATTTTTTCTCTCATTTAATTTCTTGTATGTAAAAGGTACAGTAAGCCAGATGCTTACAAAATGGTGTGGCCACATGTGCCTACAATGACGGATCAACTGGAGGCCACATTGTACGCTGTGTACCTTCGTGCCCCTCAGTAGTTGTTTTAGCCTAATGTAGAGTCAATCTAGGACTTATAATTATTCATCATGATTTTGAGTAGATTGTAATCATCAAGAATTTTTCATAGATCGTTTACTTCCAATTGAATTTAGCTCAGAAGTGATTGCTTTTTTTTTTTTGAGATGGAGTCTCGCACTGTCGCCAGGCTGGAGTGCAATGGTATGATGTCGGCTCACTGCAACCTCTGCCTCCCGGGTTGAAGCGATTTCCCCTGCCTCAGCCTCCTGAGTAGCTGGGACTACAGGTGTGCGCCACCATGCTTGGCTAATGTTTTTTGTATTTTAGTAGAGATGGGATTTCACCATGTTGGCCAGATGTCTCTATCTCCTGACCTTGTGATCTGCCCGGCTCAGCCTCCCAAAGTGCTGGGATTATAGGCGTGAGCCACAGCACCCGGCCATGATTGCTTTTTATAATGTAAAAGCCCTAGGTATTTATTTTTAATTAGAGTGATTTTTATAAGCTTAATTATTTTTGCCTAATTCTTAGCATGTTATTGTTGAATATTTTTTCTGTTCCTACATCACCTCTCTTACACTAAAATGAAAAACTATGCTTATACACATGCCCTGCCTCATTAACTATGCAGTTTGATATTACATTAGCTCCAGTTTAATAAATATGTCCAAGATCCTCAATGAATTTGTGATCTGGGAAGAGATCTCAAGAGATCATTCTCTTCATTCAGGCTGTTTCCAAGACATCTGGTGCCCAGGCATGTATGTCATGCTTTTAAAGAAACTAGCAAAATTCACATTTTTTTCTTTAAACTTTTTATTTTACCCTTACCATTTCTGTGCTTCTGTCATCTATCTTGGCCCCCAGCAGTGCTTTAAATTTTCTAAAGAGCCTTTGGAATGTCTTTCACTTATTACATAGATTTTTATCTTGGTTTTTTTTTTGGTTTTTTTTTTTTTTTTAAATGTATTCCAGTTCAGGTATTTCAATAAATTACCCAACTTGGCATGAAGGTTTGGGGACACCTGGGTCAATAGTATTTTGCCACAGACTGGGCCGTAGACACAAGAAAAGACCATTACATTGAATTTAAGAAGGAAGTTTTCTATGAGAACTGGGCCAAGCTTGGCAGAGTGTTTTCTAAACATGTAGTCAGAGGGCTGAGAGTGAGTTGGGCTTGAGAGGGGCTCCGGAGGTTCCACATGGGGTACCGTAGTAAGTATATGACAGAGGAGTGGCAGCAGGGCCTGGGCTTGAAGTTAGAGGCTGAGAAGACTGGGAGACAAAGGGCTTGCTGGTATGTGAGGGATTAGCTGAGCATTTAGTCTCAGAGGCAGAAAAGCCTGTCCAGGATGGGAGAGCACTGACGTTGACTCTAACTGAAGAAGAAAGGGAGGCACAGCTCTTCAAGTTTCCTCACCCCCAAATACCAGTACTCAATAAAAGATAGTTATTGTCATTCTTTTTTGGCAGTTATGAGTCCTTTAGAACTCTATTTCTGGCCTGGCATGATGGCTCACGCCTGTAATCCCAGCACTTTGGGAGGCCGAGACAGGCGGATCACCTGAGGTCAGCAGTTCGAGACCAGCCTGGCCAATAAGGCGAAACCCCGTCTCTATTAAAAATACAAAAATTAGCCAGGTGTGGCTACTTAGGAGGTTGAGGCAGGAGAATCGCTTGAACCCAGGAGGTGGAGGTTGCAGTGAGCAGAGCCGACATCATGCCACTGCACTCCAGCCTGGGCAACAGAGCAGGACTCCATCTCCAAAAAAAAAAAAAAAAAAACTCCATTTCTGTAGGAATAGAAATATCCTTAAAATTTATAATCATATTAAAGACTAAAAGACCATATTATCCAAGTATGTAGGCCAGGCGTGGTGGCTCACGCCTGTAATCCCAGTACTTTGAGAGGCCGAGGTGGGTGGGTGGATCACATGAGGTCAGGAGTTCAGACCAGCCTGGAAAACATGGTGAAACCCCATCTTTAATAAAATACCAAAATTAGCCGGGCGTAGTGATGTGCGCTAGTAATCCCAGCTACTCAGGAGGCTGAGGCACAAGAATCACTTGAGCCCAGGAGGTGGAGGTTGCAGTGAGCCGAGATCGCACCACTGTACTTCATCCTGGGCAACAGAGTGAGACTCTGTCTCGAAAAAGAAAAAAAAGAGAGAATATTATCCAAATATTTATACTGTATGTACTTCAATTCCAAGCTGTCACCAATAGAAGTTGTATTATTTTATATCACTAAGAAAAAATGTGCTAAATAAACTCTGATGTGCTATATCAATTGTGGGTGCATTCCCATTTCAGAGACATTAACATTTGTAAAACAAGTGCTGAAATATGGTGTTTTCAAGCCTTGTCTGCATTGATGGGCAAGCACGTTTAAGGTATTTAAAACCCTCACTTTGCCTGATATTTACAGCTTATGAAATTAAGCAGGCTTGTAAAATTCAAGTCTATGTTCATTTACCAAGATAACAGCAACATTCTTTATTTAAGTACTTAGATTTCTTGTTAGTTAACTTATGAAAGTCTCTTTTTTATGAACTTTCCCATTATGAGTACCTGTTTTGGCTCTTTAGCCATGTTTCATTCATGCTTGTGTGTGTGTGTTCTTGCACCCTCACCATTTTTTTTTAACTTAACAAGTGTTTATGTAGAATTTTTAAATCTTTTTGGTAGAGAGTAGAATAGAGATGGTTTGAGAATACCTAGTTTGCATTAGAAAATGTGAGTTGGTTAGTTGTCCTAGGTAAATCGATATACAAGAGTCAGAATTCCTAGAAACCTGAGGGATGAGGAGAAAATCCACTAATGTGTGAATAATTTGAAGAACTGTAACCCCATCTTTTTGGGAAATTCTTAGTAGCACCTTGGTCTTTTAAGTCACCACTTTAACCTATTTAACAATCATTGCCTTTTAAGCAGTCATTACTAATCAGTCCTAGTAATTTACCTAGTAATCTAAATTTTTAATCCAAAAAAAACCTAATGACTTTCAAAAAATTGATATGTACTAATTTATTTGATGAAAGATCCTAAAAATTTCGTAGGTTCTCACTGATATTAATTTCCAGTGAGGAAAACCATAAAGTCAGCATCAAGCGAAAGCTTCTCCTTAACTCCCCTGCATGTAAATTAGACAAAGCTAGAGATTTTTTAGCCTACAAACTAGCTTATTGGCAGACAGATTAAAAAGAAGAGCTTCTGAATCTCCTAACTACTCTTGTTCTAGAGTTTTTAATGGACATGTTGGCTCTCGGAGGCTCAGAAATCATTAAAAATGATTTCTTGCCTCATGTTTCATGTTTTTATGTCATCTTAGTTCCTTTCACCATAGCCGCCATCTGACCCAGTTGGGCACAGGGATGGTGTTTTAATGGTTTTGAATGGTTCTTTCAGTAGCTGAAATGAAGCCTTAGGCTCTACGTAAAGAGATCAAATTAACTGCCAGTGTCGGATATCCTAGTCCTTGGAGAAACATGTGTTTATCTACCTATTGCCTTTTTCTGTTTCAGCACAGAGAGAGAGCCCATTAACAGTGTATACCTGATCCCTAATTTAGGAGTTGGGTGTTCCTTATGTATGAATGGACTGTCCAGAGATAACCAGCTCTACAGAGTGGCTGGCAGAATGGTCCTAAGAAGGCCCTGTCCCTCTTCTTTACCTTTTTAGGACTGACATTCTTTTTTAGTTACTTCTCACCTCTTCTAGGATCTTTGAGGTAGATGAGAAGGAAGGCTTCCTCCTCCTGTCCTAATCAGGCATGGCCTCAACCCTGTCCCTGTGTAGCATTCCAGATAGCTTAAAGCTGGGTGCACCTTTGAAATGTCATTTTGTCTTTACACCTTTAGGTATTTATTAAAACTCACCATCAGTTCCCTGTGCTATCTTTTCTCTAAAATAGCTAAGGAAAAAGTAGTAAGCAGTGGCATAAACCAGAGTTGTCACTGTTTCTGAAACCTGCATGGTTTCAGAAGAGTCACAAAAGCACAGGTGGCACCTGGGGGCCTGCCCCTCCTTTACAAGTGATGACACCATGCCACAGACCCTGGGCCCATTCCAGGCATAGTGCTGTCTTAAGTGGAATGTGGGGCTACTTTAAAATAATTTCCCACCAGTGTATATAGTGAATTCACAAACATTAAAGTATGTGTGCTACAACTTCACTGCGTGTCTCCCCCTGTCCACCTTGTTATGTTTTAATACACTGTTCTACACCTTGCTGTTTCACTTAATACATCTTGGAAATTATTCCATATTTGTCCAGCTAGTTCTACTTCATTCATCTTAGTGGTGTCATAGTATTCCTTTATATGGAATGTATTCGGCAAAGAAGTATTTAACCAGTCCCTTATTAATGGCCATTTGGTTGTTTTCAGTCTTTAACTGCTACAAATTGTACTGCAGTAAATACTGTTGACTAAAATTCATCTTTGTGTCTGTTTACAGGTAGACCTATAAGATAACTTGCCATGGGTGGAATTGTCAATAACTGGTTTTACATTTGATATTGCCCTCTGGAGAGGGTGATCACCTTACACCTCCACTATCGTGCATCAGGAGAATACATGCTTCTCCAAACTCTTGTCAGCAGACTATATTGTCAACTTTTTTAGATGTTTGCCAAACTAGAACTCATTTTTGAAGTTAACTCTGCTCATATTTCAGTGACTAAACTACTGTGAACAGAAGCATTTAGCAAAACGTTAATGTATTAATGACAGATCTATTTGTTTTTTCTTTTTAATTTGTGTAATATATTTTTTTTTAATTGTGTATTTTTTTTTAACAGGTAGTTATGCTTGTCCTAGCTTGGAAATTGGATGCACAAAACATGGGTTATTTTACTCTACAGGAGTGGTTAAAAGGAATGACTTCTCTCCAGTAAGTCCTAGGCTGCACTAGTGGGGGTCCCTGCCCTTCCCAGGTGGTTGCCTCCTTCCTCCCTAGGACTTCAGGAGGTGATTGAGTGAGTGGAAGGAAGTCAGGTGGTCTGGCCAAGCTTCCCCAGTGGCCAAAGATGTAAAGACTAAGACCCATTTTGAGGACTATTCTGGGCAAATTTATAAAGTGTCTATATGTGTATTTGGAGCGAGAGAGTGTGTTGGTATTCTTGTAGAGCAGCTCTCTCCAGGAGAAACAGACCAACATTTTCTCATACGAGAAAGCCACCTCTATGTAACTTAAGATTTTTTAATAGCTACATGTAAAAGTAGAAACAGGTAAAATCAGCTTTAATCTATTTTATTAACCCCAAACAGTCCAACATATTTTCATTCCAACATGTAATCAATATTCTTAAGAAATCAATGAGATATTTTTATATTCTTTTTTCTCATGGTTAGTCTTCAAAATCTGGGGTTTATTTTGTGATCCATCTCCATTTGTATTAACCACATTTCAAGTGCTCAGTAGTCACATGTGGCCAGTGGCTATTGAGTTGAACGGTGCAGTTTTAGAGCTTAAAAGGCAAAGACTTACTGGCATCTGGTTTATACTTAGTGAGAAAAAGTTGAGTAATGTATAACTTGTAAGTTAAAATATTTGATATCTCTATATATTCTGATTTTAGCTTTGGGCAAAATTAAAACTTCATTACTCCAGTGATTTAAAAAATTAAAAAGATTTGGTTTGTGTAACCTGACCCAGGATAAGAAAAATCAGTGGTTTTATGTATTTGCCTTGTGTATGCAATATGTGCGTGTGTGCATGCGCCTGTGTGTTGTGTATTTGCTCAGTTTCATTCAAGAAAACAAATTGTCATTCTATATTAGGCCTTGAAAGATACAGTTGAAGTGGATAACTAAATGTTTCAAATAGCATTGACGATGAAGTGCTAATTCTTAACATAGTAATTTTAATCTAAAGTAATTGGGATGACTTTCTTTTCACTTTAGGAATAATAGATCTTGATTTTTACTGGATTAAAATTTGAGTTGAAATGGTTTTATTTAAATAATTTTGGAATTTGTCCACTTTTAATATCACTGTCCATTTGTTATTGTTGAGAATGCTTTCGCATTGTGCTTTAGTAGTTTATGAAGACTGTTCACTATTCTCCCATTTGAATGCCTCATAGCTACTTTGTGAAGAAGACAGATCAGATTTTATCCTGAACATGTTACAAATGAGGAGACTGAGGCATAGAGGGGATCGGTGATGTGTGAATGTGGCAGAGATGGGAAGAACACTTAAGACTTCTGATTCTTAAATCACATTCTTCCTTCTAACAATATTATCTGATGACAAATGAGTTTTAGGTAAAAGCCAAACCACCCTTTTACAAATATACTTTCCTATCAGAGTGTGTTCTAGAATTTTAGAGTTAAATTCTCTGAAATCTTTTAAAACTTGTGTATCCTTTTGGGGGAACATCTCCTTATGATTTTAATCCTATTCACTCGTTTTTTCATTATTTTTCTCACTTTTCTTCATTGCTTCCTTTTTCTTTTCTTTTCTTTTCTTTTCTTTTTTTTGAGACGGAATGTCCCTCTGTCGCCCAGGCTGGAGTGCAGTGGCGTGCTCTCAGTTCACAGCAACCTCCGCCTCCCGGGTTCAAGTGATTCTTGTGCCCCAGCTTCCCCGAGTAGCTGGGATTACAAGCAGACACCGCCACGCCCGGCTGATTTTTGTATTTTTAGTAGAGACGGGGTTTCGCCATGTTGGCTAGGCTCGAACTCCTGACCTCAAGTGATCTGCCCGCCTCAGCCTCCCAAGGTGTTGGGATTACAGGCGTAAGCCACCGTGCCTGACCATCATTGCTGAGTAGAGCAGCCGATGGCTGCTTTTTAAAGTGTCCTTGTGATGATGAAGGCATGGGCATATCAGGATTTTATTTCAAGCCTTCAGACGAGGCACCATCAACATTTTCAGGTCCATTTTTATTTGTCTTAAGAAGGTGTGATACCCAGTTTGTATAGTACTGAGTTCTTTACGAAAGAATGTCCCTCTACAAAAGAATATTACCTGATACCAGACCTTGCCCATGTGTTTTGAGGGCCCTATCTCCTGGGAAGTGAGAAGCAATTTCCTGGAAGAGGTCTGCGTCTGCGTTCTGAGTCCAGGGTACTCCTTCAGGCTGTTTGTTGGGAACCTTGCTTGCCACTTTGTATGATGCAGGTGGTGGCAGGTGGGTTCTCAGGGTGATTGCCACTTGATCCTTGCAATTCAGGGTTTAGTGACAAGCCTGATCCACTGTAAAGGCATGGAGGAACCGCTTGCTTTTTGTGGTATGAAACTCTGAAGTTGATGTCCTCATCAGTGAGGTGGAGATAATTATTCAGAATAACTTTTAAGGTTCTTTGTAGTGTCCTCATCAGTGAGGTGGAGATAATTATTCAGAATAACTTTTAAGGTTCTTTGTAGTTCAAAAATAGTCCAACTTCAAGTTTAAGAACCTCTGCCTACCCTCCCACCCCCACCTTCCAACCTTTCTAGATTAGTCATTTGTTTGGCAAATGTTTGAATGACAGTGATGTGCCAAGTGTAGTATTCCAGGCCCTAGGGAATCAAAAACCATGAGTAAGATAAAGTCCATTAAGAGGAGGGGCTTATAAACAATATTCAGACAAAAGATCCAGAAGTCATAAGGTCACTTGTCTTTATGCCAGTAAAGTAACTAAATAAGCATTGTATTTGTGAAGTATGTGCACCTAGTACACAAGAAAACCCAGAGAGTAATCATTTATGTGCTCTAAAGGCAGAAAGTAGTCGATCTTTAAACTATTTTGTCTTCTATTTTGGATTTCTTTTCTATTTTTGCTCATTTTAATTTTATTAAACCTATCTAATGAAATATTTTGATCTCAAACTAGAATTAACAAGTATAGAACAAAATATTTTTATGTATTCATATATGTCTTAGGCCATTTAGGCAGCTATAACAGAATGTTTTAGACTGGGTGGCTTATAAATAAAATTCCAGAGAATTTTATTTCTCTGGAGGCCCAGAAGTTCAAGACCAAGATGCCGTAGATTTGGTGTCTGGTGACAGCCTGCTTTTTGATTCATAGATGGTGCCTTCTAACTGGGTCCTCCCATGTTGGAAGGGGCAAACAAGCGCCCTTGGGTCTCTTAACTAATCTCATTCAGGAGGATTCTGCCCCCAGGACCTAATAATCTCACAAAGGCACCACTTTTTGATACCATCATCTTGGGGGTGAGGATTTCAACCTACAAATTTCAGGGGGATACAAACATTCAGACCCTTCATTATATTTGGTTAAAATGCTGTTAAAAAAAAAAAAAGGTTACTGTATGATGGGAGTGTGATAGAAACAGAAAGCCCATCGGCTGTGAAACCAGAGTTTTTAATCATTTCTGTCATTTCCTGGGTGTCTCTGGTAGCATCCTTAAACTAGGGTGGTGAAGTATGGCTTATGGCTTATGCCTGGGCTCTCAGAGGAATTGTGTGCTTGGCTTCCCTAGGGCCTGTGAGCCTGGGGCAGGACGTGGGTGGTATGAGAGTTTGGACTTAGGCCGGCAGCTGGTAGGGAACATCTATCCTTGCACTCCTGAGATCATTCCCCTGCCAGAGAAGACACAGCTCCTGTTTTGGTCTGATGAATTAAGCTAATTGTGGTGCTTAAACTTAAAAAAAAAAAAAAAAAAAAAAAAAAAAACAGTGACAATTGTTAATTAACTGCAATAAACTGATGATGGGCTGGAAAAATACTAAGTGAAGGGGCAGGGGCCTTTTCCTGGGTAATAGGGGAAAGCTACCTCTGATTTTATAAACTTCGATGATTACTGTGTTGATTTCTGTCCTTACAAATCTGTTAGAGCAGCAAACTCAAAAAGAAATTATCTTACATTGTGTGCATTTTTTTGTGTTGGGAAATGGTGTTCCTTAGAAGCGTGGCACTGTCACTGTGACTTCTACACATTTTTTTATACATGGTACACAGAAACATGTGGGAAGACTTGAGTTGAAGATGTGACTGCTTTCTGAGGTCACATTGGTGGCTTACATGTCCCAAGCCAGGCTCTAGAGTCCTCTGAAGATGTGTACGTTGAGTGGCCACTAGATGGCAACCTGTGGTTCTGGACAGGGTGACTCAGCAGCCTGTTTCACTATTGGGGGCCAGTCCAGGGGCTTTGTGTGTTCAAGACACCCTTTAAAGCAGATTAAACTCTGTATTGGCAACATTAGCTCCCAACCCCAGGTTTTTAATGGGTACCAGAGTTAGTAATATTACTTGTGTTTTTTATGTTTAAAGCACAAGAACTGTTCATTTCCTGCATTTCAGACAGGATCTCTGAGCATCTTTCAAACATAGGGACATCTTTTTGCCAGGATGTTGGGCTTGCTCCCAGGCATGCTGCAGAACTTCACATTTCTTCTCATAGCTCTGCCTAGAGTTTACAGCTAACTTTATTTTCTTTTAACTATGGGGTAGTTATCTAAATGAGTGCTTCCTGCTCTTGAATCTGTTAAAACAAACAACCGCTCTTCTTCTTCGTAGACAGGACTAAACTAAACTACCAGTCAAATCTATGGCTTTGGTCCTTGACCCTCTTTCCGGTGAAGAACAGGGACCTCGACCTTATGTTTTTGGGTTACCCAGTTTCCCTCCTCTTTGACCCTCTCCGATTATTATTAATATTATATTATTATATACACACCATTAAAAAAATCTAACCCTACAGTAGAAAATCTAACCCTATAGTGCGAATTCAGCCCTGCCTCCCAAACTTACTCCTGTTTACTGCTTTCTTGTGTATCTTTCTAGTCCCTGTGACCCCCTCATTGGGATTCTGGCACTAGATCTCTAACTGGCTCTCAATATCTCTTTTCCTTCCCACCAGTCCTTCTCCATGGAGATCAAGAGTGAGCTTGTCAAGATGCAGCCCTGATCGTGGTCTTTCTCATAGTGGCAGGTGGCCTCCATTGTTCCTAGGATGTAATTTTAAAAACCCTCACTGTGGACTACAAAAGCCTTTTATGAGACTGACCCCATGTTCCTCTCAGCATCATCTTATACCTCTTTCCCACTTCCTCTATCCACTCCAGCGACAGTGGCTGTCTTTTAAGTCTGTTGGACTTACCATACTCCCATCTGCTTCTGGGCCTTTGCCTATGCTGTTCCTAATAGACAGAGAGCCTTTCCCACCTCTCCAAAATATCTAGTTCCTGCTTATCTCTCAACTCTCTTAGCTTATGTGTCATTCTCTTGAAGAAGTCTTTTCCGACTCTAAAATAGCCTAATTTTAATCTTTTTTATTTTCCACATTAGGAAGAAATAAGGGGCTTTCTAAATTGTTCTGTTTCATAGAAATTAAACATTTAATATAATTGCAGGCTTTTAGATAGTTTATCATATCAACAAAGAGATCATAAGGACTTATTTGTAGTTAGGTACAAAGAAGGAGCTTTCACAGGCTTGTTTTTAAAAATAGATTCGTGTGCTCTATTATGAACCATTTTAGTTCATACAGTATACAAAATATATTGATAATACTTGGTGTATGTATTATCTGTACTTAGTAGGTTAAAGATCTATAGAGAAAATACGTATTCAGTGTTGAAAATCTTTAATATTGCTGGTGAAAATGGTGACTCTTGATTCTCATTTTTAAGGGCTAGATATTGCAAACAAAATTAGTTTGTAAAAATAACCAATAAGTATGCTTGCTTATGAAAAGTAAACACTGTATCACTTACTGGTAAAAACAGGTTATTATCACCAAGGCTCCCTGGAGAAATGGCTGATTTCAAGTCTGGAATAGGGTAAGAACAGGGTGAGCTGTTCCATCTTGTGCCAGAAAGCAAGGAAATGCTCAGAGACTTGTGGGGGACATGTCAGAAGGAAATTGGAGCCAGCTTTAGGGGGCTACTGCCCAAATGGGGAAAGTTTCTACAATCAAAAAGAGTAATGACAGTAACAGATTATAACACACTGAATTAGACGCAAAAAATCCTAAGTCCAGAAAATAAGAAGGTCATGTGTGGAGCTCTTCTTTATAGAAGAATTATAGCCAATAAATGTAGAAGGAATGATAGGATTAGAAAATCACCATCTTGGGTATTCAGATGTTACTGATTCAGGCAGGTATCACCAATGGATGCTATAACCATTGTGTGTTGTCAGGAGTATGTCCTCCTTGTGAGGTCTTTAGAGATCATTCCAACCTGGCCACAGAACTTCTACTGGGAGAGGAATAGGAGATTAAAGGATTTATTTTATTCTCAGTTCCTAGAGAGGGAAGCATGGCATGCCACACAGGGAGCTATATGGGAGGAGCTCCCAGGGAGTGGGCTCCGCTAAGCAGGTGGGGAACTGAGAGAGAGTGAGGACCCATGGGCAAGTGCCTTCCCTGGATGTCAGATTGGTATGTGTGGATGTCACTCAGTCATAGTCAGGGGAGTGTAAGAAGGGGACCTTGTGGCAGGGGGGCAGACTTACCGCTAGTGGACTTGGTCTCCTGGGTAGGATGTTCATTGCTTATTTGTGGGGATACTGAGGCAGGAGGAAAATAGGAAGTTTAAGTGGTGTACAATACACATTGAGTGAAATGTTATTGGGGACTGGACATTTATAGTCTCAAAGTATCATCCTGTAGATACTTACTATTTCAAAGAGGAAGAATTGCCTTTAAATGGAAAATGGTGGACACCACCATAACCATAGGAATCCACCAATAATGGAACAGGGACAGACAGACATGATGAAGGACACACATCTTGTCAGAAGTGTTGGATCTAAATATAATCATAGGGACATTATCTGACAGATGGACATTCTACAAAAGCAAGTGGTCTGGTCTCCAAAAATGACATTGTCAAGAAAGAAAAAGGCAGAGAACTCTTCTAGAGACTAAGGAAATATGACAGCTAAAAGCAGCGCATGATCCTTGATTGGATCCTGATTGAAAACAGCAGCTATAAAAGAAATTGGGGAATAATTGGGAAATTTGCAGGTGGTTGTATATCAGCTAAGAAAGTTAACATTGATACAGTAGTAAGATTGTTGATGGTGTTGAAGTGCTTAGGGATGAAGTTTCATTATGTTTGCAACTTTTAAATGGTATAGAAAAATGTATATGTATATGAGAGAGAGTACATAAATATAAAAAAGGTTAATTGCTGGATCAAGGGGATGGTATATGAGTGGTTATTTGCTATTCTTTCAACTTTTCTGTACATTTAAAATTTTTTTTAAGTGTAGAAAAAATAGGTTATGGATGTGTTTCAACTTCAGGGATTTGTTCTTTCCTTTGGTATTGTGTTTATATTACTGCCTCTATTAAAAAAATAAATAAATGAACTCAGGTCATAATTTGCCTTTATTCTGTTTTTCTAGATGTGATACAACAGAAAAACTCAGAAATACTTTGGATTACTTAAGATCATTCTTAAATGATTCTACAAACTTTAAACTTATTTACAGATATGCGTTTGACTTTGCACGGGTGAGTTCTCTGGAGCCTATCCAGATGTTTCCCTCTCTTCCCTCCCCTTTTTAAATTGCCTTTTGAGGTTAGTTTTTACATGCCACAGCAAAAAAACTTGAATAAGTTAACTCCCAGGATGCTAGTTAGTATTTCTTTCTACATGTATGCTTTTGAAAACTAAGTTTGATTCTGGTCAAACATTCTGTAGGTCAGCAAAAAGCTCTAGTGGCAGACGTTTACTGGCTCTTGGAATTGGCTTAAAAGTGACATGGGCATGCAATACACACTGTCTTAAATGTCTCTTAGATAAGGTTGGAAAAGCTTTCCTTCTCACAGAACAACAAACCTTCTCCTGTTGAGTTTACTAGAATAAGCTAATCATATCTAATTCAGATTCACCGTGGGTGCTATTATTGTATTTGGAAATCATGTGAATTTTAGACGTAAGCTAATTTCTTACATTACTTAATGTAATACATTACTTAAATGTATTTTTCTAATCATCGTTTTGAAAAGCAGTTACCCTATTTGTCACATAGTGAGTCAAGTCGAAGTATGTGAAAGTGGTTCCCTTGGAGTGAAATAAAAATCTTACTTTTCAGCCTAGTCACCATACATAGAGAATTTTGAAGCACCAGTTGGCATCATACTCAATTCAAACAAAATCTATATCCCATACAATTACAATTTATTCTGAAATGATGTTTTCTGTTAGGTCTGTTTGTTTAGTGGATTCAGGTGACTAGGCTTTCTTGTTTGATTGCACTTTTTTAAATTATTTTTTTTTAAGGCAGAGAACTCGGTGACAATTTATTCTTTTTTCCTTACCACCATATTGATTTTTTTCACTTTTTACTCTCTTTGGCTCTGCCAGTTCAGCACCAAAGGTTTATTTGATGGTGAATTTTGATGCATCTTGCAATAACGTTCTCTGTGGTGCCCTCATTCATGCATTTTCCTATTATTACAACCTTCTAGTTAAATCACACCATGCATAGAAATTTATTGATGTTAAAAACGATAAGGTGAAATTCAGATACAGTGTTTGATAAAATGGCATTTGCATAATAATATATAAAAGTTACCTGCCAGGCCAGATGCAGTGGCTCATACCTGTAACCCCAGCACTTTAGGAGGCTGAGGCAGAAAGATCACTTAAAGCCAGAAGTTTGAGACCAGCCTGGGTAACATACCCTGTCTCTATACAAAACAAATAAAAAAATTTAAAAATTAGCCAGATATGGTGCCTATAGTTCTAGCTACTCAGGAGGCTGAGGTAAGAGGATTGCTTAAGAACAGGAGTTCGAGGTTAAAAAAAGAAAAAGGAAGTTATTTGCCAGATGCTTTTTTTTGCTAGATGCTTTTAGAATAGTTGACTGGTTTCTAGGATTATATAGTTTATTTCATGAGTTTTTTTTTTCCTCCCAAAGTCAGCTGTTTCTTATAGTATGGGTAGAAATTCATTTAGAAACATCATACCTTCTCTACCCAAATCAGCTCTATTTTCTAACTTCCTTGACTGGGGGAGTCACAGTTCTCCCAGATATCCAATGTGCTTTAGATCTAGGTTCTGCTTTACTCCTCCCTGGCTAACGTCCTGTTCTGGGGCAGTCACCCTGGCACATCTCATGAGTGCTCTTTGGCCACCTTTTTCTTGGTGCCTCCACTGCAGCCTCACCGGTGGAGGCCTTGCTTCTCCTTACCAGCCCTCTTCTGGTAGCCTCATGTCCACATTCTTTCACTTCTTACCCTGTGCTCACATCACTAGGGTGTCATTCGTCTTCCTTCAGCCCCTGGGTCACTCAGCCACCTTCCTGCTCCCCACAGCCTCTAGTACCTCCCCACTGTGTTTATATCGACCCAGCACTTCCCTGTGTATACGACACAGTTGTTCCCATGTCAGCTCTGAGGGACAGCCGGGGTGGTTTCAGTCCACTTTACAGAGTAAGAAAGTGCGCTTCAGCAAAGGGGAGAAATGGCCACGTTGTTCATAGTAGATCCATGACTCAAACCTAGGCCTTCTGTCTCCAAGTCTAGTATGTGGGTTACTCCAGACCCTCACAACTAAGTCCCAAGCTTCCCCACTCAACGCCTGCATTATGATGAAATTGCACTAACGGTTGCTCACTGGCCCTGCTTCCTGGCCTCTCTGCATTCTGCCTTTGGGAGTGCTGGGCCCTTGCCTAGAGCCCCGTTTGCATTAGCACAGTTGTACCCATCCAGGCCCTGGGTCTGAGCCATGTGCTTCTGCTTCGACACAGCCTCCTGGTCAGCCTGTCAGGGATCAGCCTGTCGGGGTGGGATTGTGCTGGTTTCAGTTACATACCCCTGGTGTCTCCTCTACTTGGCTTTGGAGTTTGAGTACAGGCCTTAATTTTTCCTGGCAGATTGAGGGACTCTGTAATTTCTTTCTTTGTACATCCTTTGTTTTAAAGGAGAGTCTCAATTAATATTGGTGAATTAAGCCCTTTCACATAACAATAAATAAAAACAACCATATTTAATCATTGCTTAATTACCGGATAGATTCAGTTTAGCTAAAATATGCTCTAAGATAAATTTTTTAATGAATCCTGTTCTTTTTTGCTTTGTTTTGTTGAGCTGTATCTTCACAGATTTTGAGATGTTATATTTTCATTTTCATTTAGTTAAAAATATTTTCTAGTTCACCTTGTGAATTCTTTTTTGGCCCATTGATTATTTAGAAGTATGTTATTTTCCAGGTATTTAGGATTGTCCAGATAATCTTTCTATTATTGATAGTTTAATTCTGTTGTGGTCAGGGAACATACCCTGTATAATTTTTATCTATTTGATTTATGGTCCAGAATATGGTCTGCTGCGGTGAATATTTTATGCGTACTTTAAAAGAATGAATATTCTGCTGTTGTCAGTGGAGTGTTCTATAAATGTCAATTAGGTCAAGTTAGCTGATAGTGTCTTTCAGGTCTTCTGTATTCTTCCTGATTTCTACTTGTTCTGTCAATTACTGAGAGAGGAATGTTGAACTCTCCACCTGTATGTCTTCTGTCACCTCTGTCACTTTTTTGCTCCACATGTTTTGAAGCACTGATACTAGGTTTAGTATTGTTATATCCTCTTGATGAATTAAGACGCTTTACCATTATGTAATGTCTCTCTTTATCTCTAGTAATATTCCTTATATTGAAGTCTACTTCGTCCAATACAAATGTATTCACTCCAACTTTCTTTTTATTAAAGTCTGCATGCTATATCTTTTTTAAATCTTTTACTTTTAACCTGTTTGTTTCTTTATGTTTAAAGTGGATTTCTTATGGATAGCATGTGGTTGGATCTGACAATATGTGTTTTAACTGGGATGCTGAAACTATTACATTTAATGTAATTATTGGTATGGACAAAATTTATATCTCCTCGCTTGCTATTTTTTCTCTATGTATCCCACCTATTTTTTGTTCCTTTTTTCCTCTTTTCATGCCTTCTTTTTGGATATTTTCACTATTGCCTTATTAACTTTTTTTTCCTAGTAGTTGCTCTGGGTGTTCCAGTATACATCTTTAAATTTCACAGCCTACCTTCATATAATGTTATGCCACTTCATGTATAATGCAAGAATCTTTACAACTGTGTACTTTCATTTTGCCCTCTCATATTTTATGCTGTTTTTGTCATTTATTTTATTTAGGCTATAAATGTCGCAATATGCTACTATAACTTTTGCTTTAAATTGGCAAAAATGTCTTTTATTGTTACTCAGAAATACCAAATATATCATATATATCTATGCTCCTTATTTCTTTTGTGTAGATCCAGATTTCTATCTGGTATCATTTTCCTTCTGCCTAAAAAACTTTCTTTAATGTTTCTCATAGGCTAGATCTGCTGGTGATGAGTTCTGTAAGCTTTTATTTTGCCTTCAACTTAGAAGAGACTTCTGGGTAAAAAAATTCTAGGTTGACACTTTATTCTTTCGGTACTGCAGTAATGTCTCTGCATTGTCTTTCATCATGTGTAATTATAAATCTGGTGTCATTCTCACCTTTATTCCTCTAAACACGTCTTTTGTTTTCTGACTTTTTATTCTCTTTCCATTGCTTTTTTAGCAAGTTTATTATAATATTCCCTGGAATAATTTTCTTTATGTTTATTTTGGTTGGGGATTGTTGAGCTTTTTGGAACTGTGGGTTTATAGTTTTTATTAAGTTGGGAAATCTTTCTGCTGTTATTTCTCCAAATATTTTTTCTGTTCTGTCTCTGCTCTTCTGCGACTACAGTTACAACTATGTTAGGTTGCTTGAATGTGTCCCACAAGCCACTGATGCTGTGTTCCTTTTTATTTTTTCAGTTTTTTCTGTGTCTCATTTTTAATCATTTTTATTACTATGTCTTCCAATATTAATCTTTTCTTTTGCAGTGTTTAATCTGTTCATCTCAACCAGTATATTTTTCATTTCAGATACTATATTTTTCATCTTTAAAAGTTCCATTTGGGTCTTGTTTATGTCTCCAGTTTCTCTCCCCATCATGATAATATTTTTTTCTGCTTCGTTGAATTTCTAGAACATGTTTATAGTAGGTATTTTTATAACCTTGTCTTCTGGTTCCATCATCTGTTAATTCTGTGTCTCTTTCTGTTGGTTTATTTTTCTCTTGGTAATGTGAGTTACTTGCCCAGCTTCTTTGCATTGCTTGTAATTTTTTTTTTTAATTGGAGCTGGATATTATGAATTTTAGGTATTTGGTTGCTGTGGGTTTTGTTGTATTCCTTTAGATAGCGTTGAGTTTGTTTGTTTTTTAAGTGCATAAATTACCTGGAATCAGCTTGATCCTTTGGAAGGGCTGTCCAAAGCAGTCTTGATAGGGATGATTTGGCCCCACTACTAAGGCAATATTTTTTTTGAGGATTCTACCCAATGCCTTGTGTGCTATGAGATCTTTCCATGCTGACTGGTGGGATTACAAACTGTCCCCAGCCCTGAATAAACCCTGGGGACTTCTGCTCACTCATTTGCAATGTTTCTTTTCAGACTCAGGTTGTTTCTTCACATGTGTATATGGCCAAAGACTGAAGGAGACCACTCTGGAGACCTTCACATCTCTTTGTGTAGTTCCCACCTCACTAGTATTTGGCTGCATAAATTATAGTTATCTTTGCCACCTTGAACTCCAAGCTCTGTCTTTTCCAACTCAGCAAGATTGCTAGGCTCAGTTTTGGGTTCCCCCTCCTTTGCTATGGCCTAGAAACCACCTCCACAGAGTAAGCTGGTATCAACCTGAGGCTTACCTTATTTATTTTCTTTTTCTTGGGGATCACAGTCCTGTGTTGCCTGTTTTTCATCATCTGAAGCCATCATTTCACCTTTTTTGTCCAATTTCCTGGTTGTTTTTAAGTGGAAAGGGAAATCTTACCTGTTAGCCTATCTTGGTTGGAAGAAGAACTCAAACCTCATTTTTTCCCCCTCAAATCTGTTTTTTCCTACTAGAAAAGTGGACTCCTGGAGGTAAAACTCAATTAACCAGCAGTGGACCTTTTAAAAATCACACTTTAATGAAAATTGAGCTTTATGATATAATTTTAATATCCCAAATATTATATTGCAACTGACAATGGTGGTATATATTAAATATTCTGAATTCTGCTTTAATATGCTGGGAAAGAAACTACAGTACAACACCAGAAAATGATAAAATAGCCCCTTTAACAGCTCTCTACCAAAATTGCAGCCCCAAGGGGCTGATCATTTCTTTCTTCCCCTTTGAACCTTGTAGCCAATTTAAAATAGTACTTGGCTATAAAGTTGTGTTATTTTTCTCCTAATTTGTCTTTGACTTGAACTTATTTATAGTTCTATATGATGCTTGAGAGCTGAAAGGATCCTCAGAAGTCATCTGGTCCAGGCCTGTCAATGTAGGATGATGAGATTGAGAGCCAGCGAGGAGGGGCAGCAGCAGGGCCCGCATCTGCCCTTGACGTCCAGGCCAGTGTCCTTCACAGAGCCACATTGCTTTCCCTCCACAAAGCTCTCCTCCCGCTGTGGAATCTTGCTAGAAGAAGACGGTGGAATATACACAAGGGCCAACATGATCAGTTCTCTTCTACAGTTGGAATTTTGCCTCAGTATTTTTATGCATAGGGTTTTTTGCCCTCAATATAAATTTTATTATATAAACAATTGTTGTTATATGGATTCTTTTAAATAAAGCAGCCATTTTTCCTTGCTTCCTTTTTAAAAAAGGACCTAGTGAGAACAAGATTAGATGAAGAGAATAGACTAAAATGCTATATAATTTTTCATTGATCTGAGACTAGTTATAAATATCAGTCCATTGGATGTTTTACCTTCTCTGTGGTGGAGACAAGCTTGCTGGTTCAAGGTTGTGCAGAGGCTGGCGCATGGGATTTGGAGGAGGGTGTGCGCTGATCAGCAGCATTGAGGGCCAGGTGAGAGCAGAGACCACGGATTTGCAGTGCTGTTGTTCTCCACAGAGTAGGATGTGTTTCTAGCATTGCAGTCCTACCTTGATGCAGGAAGGGACAGATTTAGAGTGAGAAGTTTGAGAGGAGCCCTGGTGGAGTGATCGAGGTGAACCAGACAGAATCAGGAAGGAAACAAAGTTAGGAGAAACTGCTAGAGAGGGAGAGAAAGGGAGGCCTTTCAGGAGAAGGGGAACGAGTGAAAGGGAAGATGGAAGGAGGGCACTGGAGAGGTCGCCTTTTCACTTCTTGAAATAAAACCTTAAAGAAGTCGAATGAAGAGTCTTGTGGAGGCAGAACACTCAAGTGGGAATGGCTTTTACTGAGAGGTAATCTTGTGGCAGGTTAGAGAGCAAGTCTGTCAGCCCCTCCATGTACTCTCTTTCCCAGCAGAACGTGCCAGCTGCTCTTCTCCAGTGTTTCTGAGGCTGTGTTTCAGGAAGCTGTAAGCAGCCACACAGGTTCAAGCTGGTACACTGTCCTCTTCTCTGTACCACAATGGCCAAACCAGAAATGATTAGGGATGTTACTCATAGAATTCACTAAGGAAAATTTTGCTAGGTCTTGTGTTCAACAACCCGTGTTATCAGAGAAATCCTCTTGAAGCTTAACCTAAATCTCCTGCAATCATTTGGATTCACTTCCTCTTCTGATGTGAGTCAGCCTTTCATTTGTTAGTTGATGTATTCGTCCAGTTTCCTTCTCCACACAACCCACCCCCAACCTCAAACACACGTGTGTCCACGTGCACACTCATACACTCTCCTCACACTCTCCCTCATACTTCACTGTCATTTACAAAGAAAACAGAAGGTAGGCCTGGGTGACAGTAAGAATAAGAATATGATGGAGTCATCTAAGCCCGGGTCTATTACACTGAAAATCTTAGTTTTATCCTTAAGATTCCTCTTTAGTTGTTGCAGAGCCAGGCATATTTGCTCAGCAGTTACTGATAGAGCCCACTGGCCTGTATGTTTCTTCATATCGAAATCTCTCTTCCTTCCTTACTTCTGAGGGAAGCAGCCTTGGTAGGCAGTGAAGAGCTCCAGCTTAGAATCAGCTTCCTAGCTCAAGTTCCAGCTCTACCATTTATTGATTTTAACTCCTTGTGCCTCAGTTTCCTTATTTATAAATTGGGGATTATAGTAGTCCCTATTTACTAATAGAGGTGAAATGAGTTTAAGTGTAAGGCACTTAGAACAGTTTCTAGCTTGAAGTAAGTTCTCAGGAAAAGTTAACCATAGAATTAGAAATAATTGTTGAATTCTTCACTGATATTACCTAGGTGTCTGCAGACGTCATTTCAAATAATGACATTTTTTTAGAGTAGTGCTTACAGTAGTAGAATCAGATTGTACCAAATAAAATAATAAAGCCTGTGCCAGCTGGCAGATGTTTTCCTTTTGTTTTAAAGGAAGTGTCAAGAATTGAGCTTAATTGATTGCCTTGCAAACATTGTTGTCTCTAAACTAATGTTAGCTAAGTTCTAAGAGCACAATTAAACTCCCGTTCAAAAAATTATTTTGCTGTATTTTTGGTTTCATAAACTGAGCCACAATATTTCAGATATGAGCTTTTTACAGCCCTCTATTTTTATCTTTTGGTTACTTAGGTTAGCTGGGTTAAGGAGGACTGCATTTTCTCTATGTCTGTTTTTCCTGTGGCCTCAATTGGAACACCATGACACATGTAATAGGTCTTCACTTAAGGCCTTTTGATTTCATGTACCAATTTCTGACTTCACCATTTATGTTTGGAATTGTGATTTGCCTGTATATTATTTCTTGATTCCAGCTAGTCTCTCTTGAAAATCTTCTGGGTTTTAATTTTTCCCGTTGAATTTTTTTCTTTGTAATTTTAATAATTCAGGGTTCCTCTTTTCCTCTTTTCATATGTAAGTCTTAAGCTGTAAAGTTTGGTATAAATTGGAAATACATCTTTTGAAATAGTTAGGGGCCTTTGATTTAGCAGATCTGGATACTCAGATGTTTAAAGGTTCATTTTTGTAATATATTTCTATTTACATGTTTACAGTTAACTATTTTGTTTCAGTTGTTAAGTCATTTGTGTCATCTAAGAAAAAAATGCTCAATTGTCACCTTTTAGAGGAGAACCTATACTGAAACAGTAGTATGTGAACAAAGGCACTGGTTTTTTATTTCATACTAGAACTCTAAATCAGATTGTAATAAAATTTCACTGTTCTCTACACTAGCTCTTAGTCTTTAGCTTATGGAGTATATTTATTCCATTTATAAAATATAACGTAGAATATTTAGAGTAGGATCCTTTGGTTTTGCAGCTGTACTATATCATTCTATAACTTCTATTTTTAATCTGCATTAAGGAAGACCACAAAGTAGAATCTAGTTGTATATTGTGGGGGATTGGTATATCTTTCGTGTATAGAGCCTGTTCAGTTTGTATTATTATTTGAAAAATGACACAAAATTCCGTTGCTTTTTATCTTAGTAAATTAAAGTTTATGAAATACCTACATACACATTTTGGGTCAAGAGGTGGGTAGGGAGAGATGTTTTCATTTCCTTCTCCTTTAACCTTGATGGGCCTTCTGGGGATGCTGGTTGGCTCTTGGCAGGCTCTCAAGGTACCTTCTGTCTAATTCTGACCTTGGGATCCAGGAATCTATTGGTCTGCCCCTTGCTCCTTGGTGCTCCATGAGCAGAGAGTCACAGGATTTGTGTTGACAGCGTATAATTTTAATTTCTTACAAAGAGCTTTTGGATGTCTTTACTCCTTGAATTTGTTACGGTGATTTTTTTTTTTTAAATGCCTATAAAGTTGATGGCTGCCTGATAGCATCCTGGGAGATTCATTTCACTTTTAATTGGGAACCCCTTTGCAGAGAATGTCATTAGGATCATTGTTGTCAGAGAACCCCCTGCGAGTGTCTCCAATTTTGATGTTTAGTAGATGTTTGCTGTGGGAGCTCTCGACTGTTGTTCCCGGGAATTTTTAGTGTTTCCAGTCATGGTCATTTGCACATAGCCACAAGTCCACTCACAGGAAATGTTGGTTATCAGTGAGATGCCACTATTCAGATTGTGAGTGCATCCATAATATCTTTCTCTTATTTGCTAGGCCGAAGATGGTGTTAGTGATTGCGAGCTGCTGGCTGGCACCCTTGCAGAGCAGGAGTAAGTGAGTGCTGTTCAGCTTTCCAGTCCTGTGAGTCTGATGCCTTTCCTCCGTGTTTTGGCATCACTGCCAAACATATGCATTGAAATCCTTCATGATCATCAGTTTGTCAGATGATTATATTGTTGCAAAGAGTCTGTCCAGGTCTTTTGTATCTTTTTTTTCTTTTTTGTCACCTTAGTGTATGTCCATTGTGACGGGGACATAGGTATTGATGATGGTGGAAGAAGGCACAATATATATCACAGCAAGACTAGAGATTTGGGGTTTAGTGAATGATTACAAACTCTGCAAAGGGAAAACTCTTCCAGAGCGCCAGTGTTGTCAGCCCAGTGCTGCATAAGCTGTTGTTCAACAAATGGACTTTGGCCGAGTCCTGTGGTGCCGCGTGTGTTTCTCAACAGTTTACTCGTTTATCTTGTGGATTGCTTCATAGTATGGTGTGCTGTTGCCGTCTGCCACACCTGTGTTACAGGGTAAGAGGAAGTTTTCCATTTGCTTGCACAGTGTCATCACAGAAGTGTAAGCCCTTGAAACACAACAAACCAATGCAGTTTGTCTGGCAAAAGGCAGGCAGTCTCTAGATCACCTCTTCTCCTGTCCTCTTCTCCATTGGGAGTGCGTACTGCAGCCCTGAGCAGGACAATACATATGGCCAAGGGACAGGCAGAGAACCCTGTGGAAAGGAGGTCCCACCTGTTTGCATAGAACTGTGGAACTGGGATACACCTGCCCTCATCAGACTTAAGTTATGTGACCTCTGAAAGAAGGGTGATGTGGAGCCATCTGACCTGGTCTATTCATGGACAGTCGTTACACTTCACAACTGAGACCAAAAGGCCAGATCTATTGCACATCTTCCTTAGGCAACAAGTTTCCTTGTCTTCATCTACCTTGATTGTTGTTGTTAAGTGAGGCCCTTACATTTGCTGTATTAAGTCCCAATTCAGGGTCATGGCTAGAAATGGTTTGTATACTAAAGAGTACCTCACTGTTAAGCGTCCTTGCAGTGATGATTTATTTTATCAGGAGGTATATATGGCTGCATATGTGGCTTAGGGTGGTGGTCACAGCATCATCCCTTAATTTGAACATTTAGATTCCACTGCACTGGGCTAGCCAGGCACTTTCTCCCTTTGTAAAAAACTACTTTTACAAATTTCCACTGTAGTTAAGATAACACATGGAGGCTAGCTTTGGATATGTAAGGTATGCTTATGGTCCCAGGCCCTCTATTCCTTTCCATGGAAACTGACCGCTTGTAGTTCTGGAATGGAAGCATATAAGAAAGACGGAAATGAGAAATTAGGATCCTTAATTGCAAATGTAAGTGGAATGAGCTTACCCTGCCCTTATTTAGGTTTATGTTCTTATCTTTTTTTCTGGTGTCCTTATGAAATGTTGTCTTTCACTTGGTTACTAGTTAGGAGTATTTTACTAGGAAATTTACGTCTAAGAAATCTATCTATCTATCTGTCTATTGAAGGACTGTATTGATAGACTTCCTGCCTTCCACCAGAGTGGGTAGATGAATCTATCCTCTGATTTAGAGAGACACTTCAGAGCCCCAGCATTTGGTATGAGCTGAAGTCAATTCCAGCATGTTTAGGTTCAAGAAAAATATTTATCAATGAAATCAAATTGATTTCGTTTTTATTAAGGAAACCTGATTCCTAATCATAGGC
Organism: Homo sapiens; assembly: GCF_000001405.40. Taxonomy (NCBI): domain Eukaryota; kingdom Metazoa; phylum Chordata; class Mammalia; order Primates; family Hominidae; genus Homo; species Homo sapiens. Next base: position 51,910,662 of record NC_000004.12, read on the forward strand.
ATCAAAACCTTTAAGCTCCGTTGAGTTATAGGCTTTATGGTCAACAATTAGGATTTTGATAATTATCATAAATATCAAACAAGCAAGTGATTGAGTTACAAGTTTTTATTAATCCCATGAAAAGCCTGTAGAAACTGCTACGACATAACTAATTGATTTTGCATTAGGGTGATCATTCAGTTGACATAAATCTTTCTCACAGTAAATTTATATAATATCGTAATGCCCAAGCCTTCCATTGTGTTTGACTACCTCCCCTCCCTAACCTTAGTCTGGATGCAGGGTCTTTAAGGTGTATGATAAATGAGCTGTTTACTAATTTCCTGTTGAAGTGAATACACATTTGCAATTATTGGAATTTATTATTTGGGGGCATCTGGCTCATCCTTGTTTTTGTTTGTTAAACAGGAAAAGGACCAGCGCAGCCTAGACATAAACACTGCCAAGTGCATGTTGGGACTGTTATTAGGAAAAATCTGGCCCCTTTTTCCAGTTTTTCACCAATTCTTAGAGGTACCAAATTGTTGTTTTATGAAATGTATGTTTGCTTGCTTGGAACTACCAAATAACTTTATTCACCCGTTGTATGTAATTTTTTGTTTGTTGTACTTTTCTGCCTATGTAGGAATTACGGTGACATAATTGCTGTCAGTCAGCAGCTACCTATCTTCTTGGAGTGCATCTGTGTATGCGTTTAATGTTGTGTTGCTTCATTCCACATTAAAAATGCATCCGAAACAGCCACAGCTCTGTCCTTTTCTCTCTTTTCTCATCCCCATTTTAAAGCTTCACTTTTGTTTAGATTTTCTGTTCTTTGTAACAATAGAAAAAGAAGATTTACTTTCTTTTGACTTTAGATGAACTTCCACTTTTATTAAGCAGAGGTTTAAAAGACAGTCATCTGCCTTCTTACCAAAATTAGTTTGTAGTATGTTCTTATCTACTCTTGTCACCAAGTAACTTGAGGACCTTAGATCAATCTAAGTATTAGGCAGACTGACAATATCTCCTTCAGTTTAAATTGTCTTCAGATCAGTATCAGAACAATCCAGCACTTTATTCCATCATTGTTTGTGTGCTTTTAAGTATTGATGATCAGAAATTCTGAGCTACTGGTTTTGTTGAAGTGTCATTCTGTGGGACCTGGAAGTATATGGGATACAAGTTTGAGTTACTTGGGTTGTCATATATGGCATCCTCCTTTCCCTCCTGCCCCAAGCCCTTCTAAAAAGTGTCCTTTGCTTGCAAGGATGAGGGTGTTGGGTCTTTGAGAAAATGCTGGGCCGTAAGATGACTCTGGCTTCACTCTTGAATAATCTTTCTCACAACTTACTTTATGTAATGGTCCAGAATATTTTTAATATCTGATAGGATTCTTTGAGAACTGTTATTAAAAATTTCTTTTAACATTACTAAGTGGGACTCCTCAAAAATTTAAAAACTAGTTTTACGTAAGTATCTGTTTACCCAAAATAGTCCATGTTGACATATGGTCTGTTCTAATTTCTCTGACAATCCCTTGAGATGAGTTAGCATTATTTGGAAAAATAAATAGAAATAGTTCCCTGTTCTCAGAGAGTTTAGCTGGATTTACACCTGTGTGTAAAGAGTCTTAAGCTGGAAGACCTGGCCTGGAGGAAATCTGACTTTGTGTAATTCCAGGTGCATCATCAACTGTTTCAGGACTGGTTTTTGCTTTTACCTGCTTAGAAAGTTAAACTTGTAGTCTGTGCTTTGTTCTCTCTCTTACATTAGTTTGCATTTTTCTTTAAAAAAGACAGTATTCCTCTCATTTCAGCTTTTCTTGTGTTTGCATCCTCAAAACCATTGACTCAACTCTCTTTGCTTTTTATGTACTTGTATTGTTTTACTATGTTTCTGATTTTAGTGGGGAAGATTTAAAAATCATTGGTTCTGGATTTTATTTATGAATCTTCATACAGGGATACTGTATTTTTAAATAGACACATGGCAAATTTCTCGTCTAAGAGGAATAGAAAAACGATTTCACAGCTATTCTAGCTTCTTTTATGATCAGATTCGAGTTTTGAATTATTAGAACAGTAATTTTTTTCTGTGACAAGAACACCTAATTTTGAGACCACTTGCAGCACTTACCGGATCTCGTCAAGTAACCTGCTGCTGCATGTGCTTTAAGCCGAAGGCTTGGCCATGGGCAGTGCTGGTTATGTCAGGGGTTATATTAATGGGAGCTACTCTTTATTTAGCACTTACTTTGTGCCAAACACTGAATGAAGTGCTTCACATAAATTAGTAAATGATCTCTTTTAATTCTTATAATATCTTTATGAAGTAGATATTATCTGCATTTTATATAAAATGGCTTTTGCAGTTTAGAATTTTCACTTCTGGGGATATATAATCATGTTATTTTGATGTGCTTTCCATTTTGTATTGAGACCCTGTCATATTTTTGTAATGACAATTGTCATCTTAAATTCTACTCTTGCTCTCCCTCACCATCCTCCTAGATTGGTGCTTAACAAACCTCAAACAGAAAGAGTTAACCTTACATGAACTTAATTAAGTTGATTCATAAAGCAATTGAAACCGTCCCATTTGTTCATTTTAAGTGTCAGTAATTCATATTACTTTTCCCTCCATCAGCAATCAAAATACAAAGTTATTAATAAAGACCAGTGGTGCAATGTCCTAGAGTTTAGCAGAACAATTAATCTTGACCTCAGCAACTATGATGAAGATGGAGCATGTAAGTACTGCCGCTACCATTCTGCCATTCGTGTACATTTCTATATCATCCTCATTGGGAAAAGCCTCAGCTACATTACTATTATTATTATTGTTATTATTATTATTATTACTACTGTTTCTCTCTTTCTCTCCAGGGCCAGTTTTGTTGGACGAGTTTGTGGAGTGGTATAAAGACAAACAGATGTCCTAGGACTTTATGCATAGCAGCGAGAGAGTCACTGTTACCACAGTTTTGTCACCCATTAGCCATAAATTGCTGTTTGTATCAAAGCGCATGCTGCTTCTCTTGCACTGTTTCCCTTTCGCAGGGACATGTTGGTGTTTGCTATTGAATTGGCCAGCTCTGCTTGCTGTGTGGCATTGTTCTCTTGGAAGGCTGCTTTGCAGTTTGTATTTACACTACAGATTGGTGAATTTGCCAACGTCCTCACTGTGATTATGTGTATATTGCTGTTTAAATTTTGTATATGTGTATAAAAGGAAAAAGGTTCACCTAGAGATTATTTCTGAAAAATGTATTGTAAAAATAATTTTGTGGCATTTCTAGTCCCTTTTTTTGAATGAACCAATTATACTTTATTTGGTCTCCTATGTAGCATTTCAGAAAACAAGAGAAAACTGTTACCATGAACAAACATTGCCAGAATTAACCTTACTGTTTAAGAGGCCAACTTCTGGAAGGAGGTAGGAGTCATAACTTTTTAGAGGCATATGCCAAATATCATTTGGTATACTTAACAATATTAGTGTTTTAAAATGATGAGTTATAATTATTTGAACATATAGATATGTAACATGCCACAAATCATTTCTACCATGCAAGGTGTATAAGTTGTTTATTTTTTAGTGTTAAAACTATAATAGCTTGAATATAGGTACCAATGAACAAATTCAAATTGCACCTCTTTTCTTAAAAGAATGGGATTTAAACTCTTATAAACATTCTTTAACTTTTTTGTTTGTTTGTTCTCTTTTTTTCCTTTTGCATTCTTCTAGCCAGTGATTGATCTGCTAATGCTTTCTTTGCCACTCTAAGTAAAATTTATTTCACCTCCTCAATGAAAACCTCATGGTTTTGCTGGCTGTTTATAACTGCATCGCACTTCTAGTTGTGGCTTGAATTTTCAGTTAAGCTTTCATGGTATGTAATTTTCCAGCCTTTTGAGAAAACAAGCATACTATAAGTGAGAGCTGTTTTGTTTTCCTTGTTTGTTTGTTTCATGCTAGGCTTTTCCTGGCAGCATGTCCATTGCAGGCAGTGGACAAGAAACCACCAGCATTGAGCTAACCCAGTACATGCTAGGACCTGTCCTAGAGGGGCCACTTTTCATTACCTGAGTTATTTGTACAGAAGGGCAATAGCCATTATTTTTGTGGATGAGGAAACAAGAATAAACAGAATGGTATTTTTAGGTTTGTATTTTATGTCTTTTTTTTTTTTTTTTTTTGCCATTCTTGAGGAAATATAGAGATGACATGTTTTCACCCCAACTATCTGGTGCTATTGAATGACTAATTCAGTCCCTAAAGTTCTGTGAAAACACAAAAGTCTAATGATTTGAGTGAGTAAAAGGTAATGGTGCATTTGAACAAGTAAATGCTGTCGTGGTCAGCAAGATCCGTGATTTGAACATGTGATGACTGGAAAAAGGTTTGGGTTATTTGGAACTCTGGCTAAAACTTCTTTCGGGTGACATGTGATCGTTTAAATGGCATTAAGTGAATAAAGCACACAGACAGTGCTACTCTTGACCACTATTTTACCATTTCTTTGCAAACAGTGTTCACATTTTCATATTTTTTCCCTAACTAAACCACCAAAGAAAGAAATTTTGTATGTATATACAGTGTGTGTGTATACAAAATCATGATATAGTAGAATGCAACTACTTTCTTTTTCTACCAAACGAAAGGTTTTATTTGCTGTGAAATAAACCAGAAGTTTAAAAAACCCTGTAGTGATTAAGCATACTTAACCACTCCTTATTTGTAGATTCACTTTCAACCTTAAAAATTAATACCAGTTTGCATAAACCAATATCTGAAAAGAACAGGAAATGTTAATGGCAAGCAACAGCTATTAATACTGATGTGATGGATGCATTTGTTTTGCAGTGGTGACTGGCCTAGGCAGGTTTGGATCTGTGAAGAATTGATTCATTTTCAAAATTATTCCATAAAGTTAAAAAGTTACACTTTAAAGGCAACAGGTCATACAGTTCTTTAAATCTGATCAACTGTAGCTTTATTTAAAGCAAATATAAATCATAGATGAAGTTATTTTAAACACTATGTTAGAATATAGAGATTTTTAAAAAATGCTGATAAGCACAGTTAATTCTAAAATGAGAGGATTGTTACAGGAGGGAGATGTTACAGTTAATCCACAATCAACATTTTGATGGTAGGGAAAAAACTGCGTAAAAACTATTGCATTATGTATGATAAGAAAGTAAGTATTCCAAAGGGATAATCTTGCATATTAAGAAAACTCCAAATAATCTTTAAACTGCCTTGAAAAATAAACCTCTTTGACTGCTGAGCGGCAGAGTGCTTACCCTTGATTGTCTTGATTTTATATATTTATTTCTAAGGGGAGAAAAAGGGGTCAGACAGAGTAATATGATACATTTTCTTAAAAACTTCTCTAAGTTGCACAAAACTGAACAATCATCAAGCACTTATTTACTGGCTAATGTTGAATAAATTAGGGTGCCTTCATCTGGGTTTTCTTTAGTACCTAAGTCTACAACCCTTTCTCTTTTTCTATTGTGTTTCGAACTCCACATTGCAATACTCTGTTGTCATGGAATACAACCTTTAGATGTTTACTGCTGAAGTAGGTCAGAAATTGTATTATTTGATTTGCCTCAAACATCCACTGTAATGTTACATGCACCTTTTTTGAAGCATGAACTCTGAATTATGTTTTTATAAATCTGACTAGGCAAACCTAGATTCTGGTTTCACAATGGATTTATTTTCTCTCTCAGTCTCCATTTTAACAGTGCTTTTGAAGTTTATACAGAAAGCTTTAAAAGTTAGTTTGTGCCCTTGGTTTTTATTCTTAAAACTGCTAAAATACCTCTGTAAGCCTTATCCTTTATTCTTTCATATGTTGTATAATAAATGTATAGATTTCATTGACCAACTAAAATGTTGGGTGTCTGTAAATGAGACCAAAACGTGGGTTGCTTTTTTCATAAAATAATTTCTATTGGGGGTTACTGTTCAATGACAGCAGGTAACCTATAACTGTGAATGCTTCGTGTCGTCAGTATTTGCATTACATTCATAAAAGTGTGCAAGTCCTGTGACTCCCAGCTTAACTGAAATACTGTTATGCCACCTAACTTGAGTACAGCAAACTGGTTTTAGGTTTCAATGACATTGATGTAAAATGATATCCCATGAATAAAAAGTATTTGTGTTTGGTTTCAGAACAGATGTGTAAATTTTTTCTTCTCTCTTCTGGCTTTCATTTCAAAAACCATTTAAGGTAGTCTTTAAAGCATTTTTTATCCTTTTTTGTTTGTTTTTTTTCCAACTTCTTCTATTGAAAATTTCCAAAGCTACAATAATATAATGAACAACTGTGTACCTGTCACTTAGATTTTCCAGTTGTTAACATTTTACTGTATTTCCTGCCTTACTCTTGGGCTATACGTGTGTGTACTTCTCACATTCTGTAAATAGATTCTGAGAGTAAATTACATTATGACACATCACACCTGTTAATTTGGAATAAGGGCATTCACCTATAACCATGATAAAATGATCACACTCAAGAAGTTTAATGGTGGTACTATACTATAATAAACAGTGCAGATTTAAGTATCTCCATTTGTGCCAGTCATGTTCTTGATAGCTATTATCTTTTTAATCCAGGGATAAGCATTGTATTTAGTTGTTACGCCTCTTTAGTCTCTTTTAATCTAGAACACTTTCAGATACAGTATTTTAAATGTTTTGATTAAAGATAGTGCAGTCACTCCTCAGCCAAATAGTGATTTTAAAAAAACCCACCATGTTTTGTGTATTTCTACACATTGAGCTAAAGAATTAAGTACATAATGTGGGCCACAAGCTAGGCAGGAATGACCACTTTACTACCCTCAAGGCTGCCACGCAATTAGTCTATAAGTGTGTGTTAGCCCTGGCTACCCCTTTCTAAAATTGTCTTACACTATACTAGAATGTAAGCTTTCTGAGGGCAGGACCTCTGGCACGTAGTGGATGGCCAGAAAATGGAAGGAAGCAGGTAACAGAATTTCCTCTCTGGGCAAAGAATTGTCAGGACCTAAGAAACATGTAAAGATTAGAAAATCCAAGAATAAATCGAGGAAGACTTTTGATTTTTATACGCTTGAAAGCAAGAGAGAGGAAGTAGAAAATAAGATTCCTTAGAATCCAGGTGCACGCTGTTAAAATTGTCAATGTGGATGATTCTTTAAACCATAATTTGGGCCAAAAGCTGAGCATCACACCAAGAAAATATCTCTGCTTCTAGACATCAAGAAAGAGAGGTGGAGATAAAGGAAAAAACTTAATCCCGAATTGATAGGAGTGAGAGACAACAAACCTTAGGACAGGGAATTCTTAACTTGTGGCAGAGCAAACAGTAGAAACTCATGAGACGTGTTATCCAATAATAGAAAATAGGAACATGAGATTTATTCCACTAGACAGTACTAGGACTCTACATGTAAACTCATGGGAATTGAAATAAAGTTCTCTGCTGTAATTGGAGCAAGATAGACTGAGGAGAGAGTAAACCACGAATGCTGGCTCAAGACAAAAAACCTAGCAGAGGTGCATTGCAGACATACCCATGAAGGAAAAACTTACACAAGGTCACCCTAAAGGAAGGACATTGTTAAGCCCTTTGAAATAATGGGGTGGAGAGGAAAATGAACTGAAAAAATGAAAAACACCCACAGGAAGAAATCAAAGACGATTGTGTCAACCCCAGGGCTACAGAAGTGAGGAATAAAATTGGCTATTTCCGGACACTGACTTTCTTGATTTGTTGAACATACGTGAAAGCAGGACATGCCATGGTCGCTGGTTGCATCAAATAGAAATGACTCATTGGAATGTTACCTCCAAATCCTTACATGAAGAGTAAGCAAAAGATGAAAGCTTTTATGATTCCTTTAGAAAAGAATTGCTTTTGGGACTTTATCATAGCTAGAAAAAAAAAAAATATATCAAGCGAAGAAATAACACATCAAGCTTTCTGGCCCGGTAAGGCAGAAGGTAATTCAAAATCGGGCATGTTCACCACTTTTGGCACATTCAGCAGAAAAATGTTTAGTTTTTTCTCTGCCAGAATTTGTTCCTAGCATTTATTTCCAATTGCCTTAACGAAAATAAAATCATCCCATGTATAGAAGTACTTGCTTAGAAATCATGGTGAATTAGTACGTAGGCTATGCTGAGAATAATAATTGGAAACTGAAAAACAAAGATTGACTATAGTAATTAAATGGAAACTTTAAAAACCATCATTTAAAATGTAAATCTCTTCTCCAATAAGTGTATTCGGTCCTTTGAAAGAAACTCCTTTGCAATCACTCTCTGAAAAATATAGATTGTAAAGAATCCTGGCTGTGAGAAAGGAAGCTGAAAAGGGTTTGTTTTTCCCTCTGACACTTTCCAGCAGAGACATCTCAGAATTGCCTAAGTGTGAATATCTAAAATTACAAACTAGTGTTCTCTAGAAATCTTAGGATACATGTGTGATGATAAAGAGAGCTACAGCTGTACTCATTACCAGTGAAATAACTCATGAAAAAGTTTTGGGCCAACTTTCGATAGCATGTTGAAAGCCACTGCGTTTTCTTTGTCTCTACTTGCTTATTGTTCATTTTTGCTTCATTACCTATGGTGGCTTCTCTGTATCCCATAGTGAGAGTAGGGCCTGGACAAGGTTTGTAATCCTATCACACTTCCAAAATTATTGAATAAAATAATAGATGCCTTCTAGCAACCTGTTCCATGTGTCTGTGTTCTGTGTGTCTCAAAGTGCTCATAAATCCTTCAAGTCCTTATTTTGCCTACATCAGGGTTGATTTTCAGATTCTCAATATAATCATTGTATCAACAAACTTTAATTGTGTGTTAGGCCGAATTCCTATGTGAAATTGGTAACACAGGCATTAAAGTTTACAAGAGTGCATAGAGGAAACTGGAATAATAGAAAATCAACAGACTAAAGAATTAGGAAAGACCTATGAATGGGAGGCCTATGCCCACTGAGTGTCAGTGCCTTCAGACACTTAGCAATGGTAGACCAGAAACACACCAACTGGGTTAGAGCTGAGAGTTCCTTTTGGAGAGTAAGGTACAATAGGAAGAGATCAGGAATCGGTGTAGGGCTCTCCTTAGATGCCACAGTGCACACTCATGGATCTGGTTTTGATAGTTGATGCTCCAGCACCTGAATGGGTCAGCAAGCTCTAATGGGTTTTAGAGATGTAGTCAAGAAGGCCAGTTGGTTGCTTATTGATATCATTTAGCTCCTTTGAGAAAAAGTGTCCAGACAATGTGCTTTACACTGATCTCCTTGAACACCTTTCAACACTTACGTGAAGTATGTAGAGGAACCTGAAGTTGAGGGAATTTAAATAACTGGTCTAAAGTCACATAGCTGGAAAGTTGGGAAGCTGAGGTTGAAGCTAAAGTCTGTCTCCACCCCAGCACCTTGGGGAGCCCCAAGAGATAAACCAAAGTTTGACAAGAGCCAAGAAGATTGAGGTCTGTAAGTGTGTTTGCTGTCTAGCTCATTCAAGGTCTCCTAGTGCCCTTAACAGGAAATCCCCTCTCTCCAACCCAAGGCCCTGGCATCCACTGAGTTCTAATTTTTTCTCATTTGCTGGGATGTCATATATATGGAATCCTATGTGACGTAGCATTTTGTTTTTGCTTGTTTCACTTATTATGCTTTTCAGATTTAGCCATGCACTATTGATTCATTGCTTTTTATTGCCGAGCAGTGTTCCATTGAATGGATGTGCTATGAAATGTTGGTGGACATTTGGATTATTTTCAGTTCAGGGCAATTATTAATATTTTTGGGGACATAGGCTTTTCTCTCGACCATTTTGGGATCGAATAGGATTGCTGGGTCATAGGGTAAGTGTATGTTTAATTTTGTAAGAAATTGCCAAGCCATTTTCCGAAGTCATAACCATTTGGCATTTCTATCAACAATGTATGAGAGTTCTAGTGGCTCCCTATATCCTCATCAGCATTTAGTATTTTCAGTTTTTAAAACTTTAGCCATTCTCTTAGGTATGTACTGGATGCTTTCTGACTTGCAAAATATATCAAATACATAATGGTGAGCTAATTAACCCAGGGTTGGTAAATTGATTTATGGTTTGAACAAATTCAGTTTTCTATAACAAACATACTCTGCAGATTAACTGAATAAACATAGTGTCCTGTAACATGTTTTACAAGGTCTGTAGTAACATGTTTCCCAGCTAATGGTTGCAATACTTCAGAGGATAGTAGTTGAGTATTTTGGAATATTTCTTGCTCCTTTTCAGCTCTTGTGAAGAAGAGCTATGATTTGATAACTAGAGATTGTCTATATAGATTTCAATGTAAATAAGATTTTATATTCACTTATCTGGTCCACTTTGTTCACTGTGTCCCTCTAGCCTTCTCTTCCTCATTGGCCCACTCATACGTATTTGGAATTGAAAGGCTGTCACTAAAATTCTTTCCTCTTTAGTTTTGGAGAACTTCTAAGGATAGATCCATTTCGAGAGGCTTATAATTACATTTCACAGTTGACAAAGTGCTTTTTACATAGTCTTTCATTTTAGTCCCACAACCACCCCATAAGGTAGATTTTATTATTTTCATTTAGCAAATGAAAAAAAAAACCAAAGGGGTCACAGAGTTCCAGTGGCTTATTCAAATTCACACTTAGTAATTGAAAGAAGTATGCCTGGAACCTGCATCTTCTAGTTCTGAATCCTATGTACTTTCTTCCATGCCACCCAAACCCCATGCCCTGTGCTTTAGCAGCTTTCCTCTGCGATTAGTGCTAAAAGCCACAGGCCAAGTCAAATGTTGAAGGCCAATTGAGGATGGCCAGGTCTAGCCCTGACATCCTGGAAGCTGCTTTTGGCTCCACTAGGCCCTACCTTCAAAGAGCCTGGAGGATCTCATTGCTGCTCCGAGGAGACGAAGCAGAACATCACTCAAAGGAGTAGAGGAAATGCACAAGGCAGCCCCCAGTATAGTCTGGCCGAAGCCATCTGGGAGCCAGCACAGAAATCTTGACAGCCAAGTACTCAGCAGGCCGGAAAGCAGAAGATGGACCCTGGAGGGACTGACTGTGTGTCAGGCACAGGGTTAGGGACTAGGGATAAGATCTGGTCCCCACTCTTAAGCTTAGACCCATGGAGGAGCTCTGAATGGTTGTACCCTGTTAAGCTTAGGCAGAGGATTCAAAGGGTGCTGTGAGGCAAGGTGGGAGGTTGGGTGGGTTATATTAGTATTCTGAAGAGTAATAGAACCAATAGGGTGTGCGTGTGTGTGTGTACCATATGTAGGTAGAGGGTGGGGTTGTTAAGGAATTAGCTTATGCAGTCATGGAGGCCGAGAAGTCCCAAAACCTGCCAACCACCCATAAGTTCCAGTTTGAGTCTGAAAGCCTGAGAACCAGGAGAACTGGATGTAGTTCCAGTCCAAAAGCCAGCAGACTCAAGACCCGGGAAGAGCCAATGTTTCGTACCAAGTTTGATTGCTGAAAAAATTCATGTTCCAGCTCAAGCAGTCAGGCAGAAAGGGTTCCCTCTTAATCTACTCTTCTTTTCTGTTCAATTCTTCAATTGAATGGATGAGGCCCATCCATATTATTGAGTGCCATCCACTCAAGTCTGCAGATTCAAATGTTAATGTCATTCAGAAACATCCTCACAGACAAACCCAGAAAAATGGGCAAATGTCTGGGCACTCCATGGCCCAGTCAAGTTGAAACACAAAATTAATTATCACAAGTCCACCCTTTGTCAACTTGGAACCTATACACATCTCCTTAAACCATAAACTCCAAATAAAGACGATAACAATGTCATAATTTCACCTAATGAAAATAACTACCTTGCATACAACTGAAAACACACCAACTCCTTTCCCAGAAGAGAAGATGAGGTATTTGAGTGATATTTACTCTTCTCCATAATATCCCATTACTTCAATAATATGATATAAAATTAATACTTAAATACTATTATATCAATACACCTATTACAAGATAAAAGAGAATAAGAGAAGAAAGAAAATAAACATATAGAGCATGTTAGGGACTGAATGTTTATGACTCCCCAAAATTCATATGTTGAAATCCTAATCCCCAATGTGATGGTATAAGGCCGTTTGGAAGGCACTATGTCATGAGGGGGGGGGTATGCAGGAATGTGATTAGTGCCCTTACAGAAAGAGACCCCAGAGAGCTCCTCAACCTCTTTCTGCTATGTGAGAATATAAGGACAAGTCAGCAGTCTGCAACCTGGAAGAGGGCCCTCACCAGATTCCAACCAAAGTGGTATGATCTCAAACTTTCAGCCTCCAGATCTGTGAGAAATAAATTTCTGTTGTTTATGAGGCACCCAGTCTGTGATACCCTGTTACAGCAGCCTGAACTAAGACTAAAACTGACACAAAGATCCATGACAAGATAGGGAGGAAATACTCATGAGAATTACGGTCTTCATTCCTGTTACTAGTCATGTGGTTGTAGGTGGTATTTGTGACTGACTACTTTTTTCTACTACCCATGCTTTATTCCCTTTACCATAAGCAAGCACCTTAGCTGGTCATGGTTCTTTACCTGGCAGGGTGACCCAGTCTATTTCTGAAGGGTCTTGGCCACTACTTGGCCAAGTCATCTTGCTTGGATTGGGTTGTTGTACTTTTCCATTGATCTTAATCACAAGACTTGGTAATACTAAGAGATGCTTTAGGGGATCTCCCGTATTTCAGACATACTCTTCCTTGCCTCCATTGTGTAACAGAAGTATAATTTCCCCTTGGTAGGCAGGATCAGTCACCCTAGTTGGCATTGTAACTCCCTTATTTGCCTGTCGATTCAGAGACATGGGGAATCCAAAGTGACTCAGTGGCAGTCTTAACTTTCAGTTCAATGGAATCATTGTTCTGTCTCCTGATGGAAGCATTCCTCCCTTTGGCACAAAGATTTCTAGTCCAGCAGAGCAAAGGGCACAGGAACAGGAAGCAAAATTTTGCTAGTGGATCACTAGTGTGGTAGTGATTTGTGTCACTCCCATTTCTACCCCTTGATTCCTAGGCCAGCAAATCCTTGTTATGGAAGAAACAGCACCATATATAGGATGCTGATTCAGAAGATGTAACCCTTCTGAAGAAGCTTGCCCCGGCCCTGCAAGGTACTGTGCCCACTTTGTATATTCAAAAGGCCACTCCATGATTCTATCAAGACAGCTGCTTCAGAGAGTGAATTCCTTAAGCGTGAGTCCATTGCTGCACATCTTTTCCCATGAAATGAGTTCCTTGATCAGAAGCAATGCTGTGTGGAATACCATAACAGCAGTTGTGGCAATCTGTAAGCCCATGGATGGTAGTTTTGGTAGAAGAATGCAGGGAAGGCCAATCCATATCTAGAGTGTCTATTCCAGTAAGAACAAAATGGTGTCCTTTTCTTGATGGAAGTCATCCAATGTAATCAACTCATGGGCAGGTAGCTGACTGATCACCCTGGGAATGGTGCCATATCAGGGACTCTCAGTGTTGGTCTTTGCTGCTGGCAGAGTGGGCACTCAGCAGTGACCACAGCCAGGTCAGCTTTGGTGAGTGAAAGTCCATGTTGCAGAGCCAATGCACAGCCTCCATCCATGCCACCATGACCAGTTCATTCATAAGCCCATTGGCAATGACAGGGGTGGCTGAGGAAAGAGGCTGACTAGTCTCACAACAGTCATCTATCCACTTATTCCTGTCCTCCTCTGCTGAGGTCACCTTTTGGTAATAGCACACAACTTCATGTTTTTTCCCCATTCAGAGACATCTAACCACATCCCTCTTCCCCATATTTCCAGGGGAAATATGTTGGTTGCCAGTTTTCCAATCATGTTCCTTCCAAGTCCCTGACCAGTGAAGCCATTGGCCACAGTCTATGAATCAGTATGTCACTGGCTATTGCTCTTCCAAGCAAAGTGAACAATCAGGTACATTGGTTGGTGTTCTGCCCACTGGGAGGACTTCTGTCCACCATTGTCCTTCAGGGATGTCCCAGAGAGAGGCCATAGTGCTGCAGCTGTCCACTTTCATGTGGTGCCTGCATATTGTGTGGGATCATCTGTAAACCAGCCCTGAATCTTCCTCTGTCAACTGATCATAGGGTACTCCCCAGGAGGCCTTAGGTAGAGGCTGGAAGAGAGAAGGCAGTACAGCAGAAGTGTGAAGCATGGGCACTTGTCACTTCATGTAACTTACTTATGCTATCAGGGCCTGCTCAAAGCCAGTCTCCCATATATACCACTTCCATTTGATGTTGGAGTACCTCCGTGTACACTTAACTTTATGGCTTGGTGGGTCAGAACACCAAGTTCATGATGGGTAGCCTAGGTTTCATGGTAATTTTTTGGCCAGTGGTTAACCATTCCAGGCTTCTTAAGGCCCACTAGCAGGCCAATAGGTGTTTCTTATAAGGGAAGTAGCTGTTGTTGTACCTCTTTTGGTTGCAGGAGATACTAGATGCAAAACCTTGTCTTCCACTTTAGGAAGACATCTCAACAAGTCCCACACCACGAGACCTTGAAAAATTTCACTGAGATAGAAGGCTCCTAAAGTTTTGTTGAATTGTTTTCTGACCTTTGGCATACAGATGTCTTGCCAGTATGTCTAGAGTAATTGCTACTTCTTGTTTACCAGATCCAATCAACATAATGTCCTAGATGTAATGGACCAGTGTGATATGCTATGGAAGGGAAAAGTGAAGAGCCCTGCAAACTAAATGATTACATAGGGCTGGAGAGTTTATATACCTTGAAGTAGGACAGTGAAAGTGCATTGCTGACTTTGCCCACTGAAAACAAACAACTTCTGGTGGAGAATGTTGGCAGGGGTGGAGAAAGGAATTTATCAGGTCAATAGCTGCATATCAGATACCAGGTCCATGTTTCAGACAGCCAACCAACTAAACTGTTAAGAGACCTGCATTAGTCAGGGTTCTCTAGAGGGACAGAACTAATAGGATAGATGTATATATAAAGGGAAGTTTATTAAGCAGTATTGACTCACACTATCACAAGGTTAAATCCCACAATAGGTTGTCTGCAAGCTGGGGAGCAAGGAAGTGAGCCCGAGTTCCAAAACCTCAAAAGTAGGGAAGCCGATAGTGCAGTCTTCAGTCTGTGGCTGAAGGCCCAAGAGCCCCTGGCAAATCACTGGTGTAAGTCCAAGAGTCCAAAAGCTGAGGAACTTGGAGTCTGACGTTTGAGGGCAGGAAGCATCCAGCACAGGAGAAAGATGAAGGCTGGAAGTCTTAGCAAGTCTGCTCTTTCCAACTTCTGCCTGCTTTATTCTGGCAGCTGATTAGATGGTGCCTACCCAGATTTAGGGTGAGTTTGCCTTTCCCAGTCCACTGACTCAAATGTTAATCTCCTTTGGCAACACCCTCACAGACACATCCAGAAACAATACTTTGTATCCTTCAATCCTATCAATTTGACACTCAATATTAACCATCACAAGACCTAACTCCCAGAACTGCAACATTAAATGCAGAATCTCTGCCTAGTGGGGTGTGTCAGTCAGACACCAGAGGATGTGTTTTGTGTCACCCCACAAAATGGGCTCACAGGCTCCAGCCCCAAACTTAAATTGGCAAACCTAAAAGGCTTTGGGCTTTGGACTCCTCTGACCTGGAGGATTTCTTCCTCTGTACAAGCTGCTGACACAACTCCACTTTGGATATGCCTTCTGAGAAAAAAGGGAGTCCCAGCAAAACCATGTCCACTGTCTCGAATCATCATATATCCTTGAATACTTGCATATACTTTGTATTGTTTATTAGGTGAAAGGATGGTAAATAAAATGGAAGTTTCCGTAGTTCAGTCCCCATTCCCACCAATCTTCAAAATCATTTGTGTTAATTTGCTCAAGCAATGAAACCACATCTGGTACAGCAGCTGCAATTGCAATCACCACCTGGTTAAAGTTATGATAATCCATTGTTATTCTCCTATATCTATTGATTATTAGACCTCCATAATCCCCTACTGTGACTGGTGAGCCACAGTATATATAGATATTTTGGGTCTTCTGGAATTAGTGTCAGTTCAGAACCCGTGTCCAGTAGTCCCACAAAGATTTGATTATTTACTTTTATCAATGCACAGTTATCCTGGTAAAAGACCATAGTATCCTTTGGGGAAGACTGGGAGATTAATAGTGTAATCTTTTTTTTTTTTTTTTTTTTTTTGAGATGGAATCTCTGTCACCCAAGCTGGAGTGCAGTGGCACGATCTTGGCTCACTGCAACCTCTGCCTCTGGGATTCCAGCAATTCTCCTGCCTCAGCCTCCCGAGTAGCTGGGACTACAGGTGTGCACCACCATGCCCGGCTAGTTTTTTGCATTTTTTAGTAGAGATGGGGTTTCACCATATTGGCCAGGCTGGTCTTGAACTCCGGACCTCATGATCCACCCTCCTCGGCCTCCCAAAGTGCTGGGATTACTGGTGTAAGCCACTGCGCCTGGCCTTAATAGTGTAAATTTTTGACAGTGTACTGGAGTCCTTCCTCAAGGGGATTTAGTGTCCCCTTTATTCAAGGTGTTCCGGGTCTGTCACTAGGGTTAATAGTGAATTGTTCCACTCCCTTTTCTACTCTTTGACTCCTAGACCCACGAATCCTAGTTAGCTGAAATCTGGGAGTTGATTGAGTAGTTGTCACTCTCTGCTTTTATGATTCAGGTTAGATTTTTGTTCACCTGACCTGGAAGTTTTCTGCTTATACAGATAAGGTAAGAATTTAGTAGGTTCTAATCTATTTCACTTCTAGGTACACTGTGATCAACCAGTCAATAGCAGAAGTTAGTGAGAGTCAGATTGCTTCTCTGACTCTGTTGTTTATTATTGTTACCAGGCCCACCTACCTTTAGTCCCTGCCCCACCACTTGGCCCCTGCCTCCCTGGGATCCAATTATTCCCACTGCATTTAGGTTTCCCAATTCAGTGGCTGAAGTTCCCATGGTGAGGTCCCACCTACAGAGAAGAGCAATCACAAACTTTTTCAAGAATGTTGGGCTCCCCTCACAAATTGATTTCTCATGTTATTGGTGAAAGGTATGATTTCTGAATCCTCCCAGGGTGAATGAGTATGTCTTAGGTAACAAATCCATTCTAACATACCAAACTCCCTAAACCTTTGAATCCCTTCCTCTGCATTAAACCAGGGCAGGTAGGGCACTTCCAGTTTGCTCACTGTGGGCCATCTTTTGGTCAATGTTTCAGATATCCAACCAAACCAATTTTTAGAGCTCCTTCTAACTCCCAGAACTGCAGCATTAAATGCAGAATCTCTGATTAGTGAAGCTGTGTCAGTAAATTTAACCTGATCCTTCTGTTCCTTCCACCATTAACCCACACTTTTTTTTTTTTTTTTTTTGAGACAGATTCTCCCTCTGTTGCCCAGGCTGGAGTGCAGTGGCACAAACTCGGCTCACTGCAAATTCCACCTCCCAGGTTGAAGTGATTCTCCTGCCTCAGCCTCCCAAGCAGCTGGGACTACAGGCATGCACCACCACGCCCAGCCAATTTTTGTATTTTTAGTAGAGATGGAGTTTCACCATGTTGACCAGGCTGGTCTGAAACTCCTGACCTCAGGCGATCCACCTGCCTCGGCTTCCCAAAGTGCTGGGATTACAGGTGTGAGCCAAGGTGCCTGGCCCCCACACCCTTAATATCCATTCCCACAAATTCCCCAGATGTCTATCTCTATAAATTAGAAAACTCGAGTAGTTTTTTTGGAGTGTAGCTCACATCCTCATGGGTCACATTTGTATGTCTCCTTTAGGGGCCCACCGGGACTTGAGTCTAGTTATAGGTCTAGAAGCAAAGAGGATTGGTAGGGATGGGTCTTGAGGAGACTCAGCATTGTCTTGCATGGCAACTGCCTCAGGAAAGATCATTGTAGTTTCCTCAGTCATTGCAGGGTTAATCTCCTCAGTCGGAGGTGAAAACGCCAATGCCACTGGGGGTGGGAAAACTGCCTCTACTGGGGATGAGGAGAACTCTTACACTTGGCAGAGAAGACTCCTCAGAATTTTGATGAATCTTCAAACTCACTGATGAAACTCAATGTTCCCAGCTTCATCAAGGTTTTCCCACATGTCACCATTCCAATTTATAGGATCTCATTGTTTCCCAATCCCAATCTACTTTAACAGTAGACACTCTGCAAGGCTGAGAGTTCAACCTGCATTGTAATTCAGCCAGTTGCAGGATGAGATTCTGCATGTGATTTGATATTTCAATTATCTCAGCCTTGAGGCTACAGAAAATAAGGGTCTCTTTCAGGGAACACACAGAGACTTCAGGTCATTTATATGGCACTTGAGTTGGAATACAAATCCCTTAGCTTTTTTTTTTTTTTTACCACGTTTTCCAATGCCATTAAGAGCAACCAGCCAACCTTAGCATATTCATTAATTTTTGAAAAATTTTGGAAAGTATCATATACACAATCACCCAGCTTCTTGCTTCTTATAAGCGGTGGATTAGGAGTATCCAATGCAGGTATTTTGCATATCTCTATTGCCAGATTACAGCATGGACAATCAGAACTTTCTTTACTACTAGAAATATATTCATTAGCATCTTTAAATCTAATCACATTAGAGAGCTGATTATAGAAACTCTGGAACCAATTCAGAAAACACTCTTTAAAAAATTCTGTTTCTCTAGACCCACTCCTGGTGCCAAAATCTGTACTACTCAGGATTCACCAGAGAAACAGAACCAATAGGAGACTACATATATCTCATATATATGATATATATATATAATATATATATTATATATATTATATATATATCATATATATATAGATAGAGGTTTAGACCATATGTATGTACACATATATATAATGTGTGTACATACATATAGTCTAACATTCCAATCTCCCATATATATACATATATATTTTATATATATAAAGAGATTTATTTTAAGGTATTGGCTTCCATGATTCTTGAGGCTGAGAAGTCTCACCATCTGCTGCCTATAAGCTGGAGACCCAGGAAAGCTGGTGGTATAGTTTGAAAGCCTGACTGCTGAAGAGCCAATGGTGTAGATTTTGGTCTAGGTCTGAAGGTCTGAGGTCCAGGAGTGCTGAAGGTAGGAGAAGATCCATGTCCCAGTTCAAGTTGTCAGGCAGAGAGAGCAAATCCTTCTTTCCTCCACCTTTTTCATCTATTCAAGTTGTCAATGGATTGCATCATGACTTCCCACATTGGAGAAGGAAATCTGGTTTACTCAGTCTACCCATTCAAATGCTAATGTATTTTAGAATCACCATAGATACTTCCAGAAATAATGTTTTACTGGCCACTTGGCCATCCTGTAGCTCAGTCAACTTGACCCAGAATGTACCATCACAGGTCCCTAACTTTATGACTTCATTTAACTTTAAACCTCCCTAAAGGCCCTGTCTCCAAATACAGTCACATTGTGAGTTTTGGCTTCAACATATGGATTTCAAGTGGACATATTTTAGTCTATAATGGAGGGAGAACAGAGAAGAGGGTAGAAAATCCAAGGAGAGAGGTGAAAGTTTGGAAATGCCCCTGAAAAGAGTAAGAAAAGATAAGGAATAAATCTAATTGTTGAGACAGAAATAAAATTGAGAATTTAGACTAGGTATGTAACTGTGGTACAGAATGAACTTATGAATTCAGAACCTGGACATTAGGTCAAGGTGACACGAGCTGATAGGCTGCAGCCCAAAACCTAAATTGGCATTAAAGGCAGCAGGATTTGGGCTTTGAACTCCTTTGGTTTGGAAAATTTCTCCCTCTGTACAAACTGCTGAGACCACCCAACTTTGAACATGCCTTCTGAGGAAATAAGGGAGTCACAGTGAAACAATGTTCACTAGCTTGAGCCATCATGTATGTATCCTTGAATACTTGCATATACTTTGCATTGTTTACTAGGTGAAGGGATGGTAAAAAAAAGTGGAAATTTCCTTAGTTGAATTGAGCTCCTCTTCCCACCAGTCTTCAAACTCATACCAGCCCTGTGTCCAGTACAGTCCTTGTGGAATGGTCAGCAGGCTTGGGCAGAACGACCTCATTTCTAAGAAAGAGCAGGAAAAGGCTGAGGCCAGCATGAGAAACTTTCTAAGTTACTGGAGTTGTGTAATCTAGTTGGTAACTTTCCATAGCTTTTGAGCTGCAGGCCCAGTGAAAGATGGGCATCTGTGGGATTATTCTGGTGCACTGGAGGGGATGACTTGGTGGGTTAAAGTAGAAGAGTGGGACAAGGTTCATGCTGCATCTTAGCACTGCAATACTAGGAATACAAAACTTCTCACTAATTTGGAATAAACATCAAAAGAGGTCAAATTCTCCAAAGGATACAGTAAGTCTTAGGGAATGAGATGCTAAGGTATAAAGACACTGTATGACCACTTAAGTAAGGAGGACTCACCTAGTGGTACCACAAGTTTCCTCCCTTGGATCATCTCCAGGGCTGGATTCTCACTTGGCGATTAGGGGATCCTAATCACAGCATAGATGATTATCACAATTTCAAAATCAAATAAAAGAAACCAGACACAATTCATTCCCTGTGATTATGTTTATGTAAGGTTCAAAAACAGGAAAACCAACTTAAGGTGTTAGAAATCAGGACAGTGGTTACCTCTGAGATGGGGTGAAGAGAGAGTAATGGATGGAAGGTGGATTTCTAAGGTACTGGTAGTGATTTGTCTTAGGGTGATGGTTATATAGGTTTCTCTACTTTGTGACAGTTCATCAACCTGTATATTTAATATTTGTGCCATTTTCTGGTATATGCATTCTACTTCCATAAGAGAGTTTACATTAACATGATAGCATACAAAGTTGCCCATTTTACTGAAGTTCTAAAACCTTTGAATCACTATATAAATACTCATCATGTTTCTTGTTCTGTAAGGCAGCAACAATTTATCCTGCAACTCTACAAACCCTAATGTAACTCAGGAATGGGGCCAATGAGTACAATGTAGAGCTTTAGATGTGGTATGGGAAGCATCCAGATAGATCCCTGAGCTGTCATAATGGAATCACAGAGCTGTCAGGGATCTCAAAGAACAGGGGAGAACAATTTTAGAAAATCCATTATGGGGTAGGGGCTTTGTTGAAGGCTTGGTTAACAAATACCCTACAGAACTCCCTAATGTCCCTCTCCTGATGAATCATAGAGGGCATCTCCTGGATCACAAGCAATTGAGAGGAAATGTTTGACATCAAAATAATCATAGGTAACATCTGCTGAGTGCTTTCTATGAGCCAGGCCCTGTTCTAAGCTCTTTGAAGGCAATAACTTACTTAGTCCTTGCTACACTATGAGGTAGATATTAGGATATTATTATTCTTACACAAAAATATAAGCTTTATTAATCTCATTACACAGATGAAAAAATCAGAGGCACAGAGTGGTTAAGCAATTTCCCCAGGATCACACATTAAATAATAAGAGGCGGCAAGATTTGAACCCAGGCAATCTGGCTACAGAGCCCATACTCTTAACTTTTATCCACACAGCTAGCTCTTCTAGGCTAATTAGCACCTTCAGAAACTGCTTTTGCGTGCACACTCAGTAAGGGTATCAAATACAATTTTTTATGCAGTGGAAGAATGTTCTTTCTACCCAAAGAAAATATTGTGGGTTTTTTTTTTCCCTCCACTGGCTGTGGTTAGAAACTCATCTGTGTGGAAAGCCTTCACTTTGGCAGCTTTGCAATAAAAACCCTTCCTGTAGCCTAGTCACGGGGGAAATTTGGAATCAGGGGAAGCTGCTGACCAACTAGAAGCTTCTGACTTAAGAGGAGCTTGGGCGTGACAATAAGTAACTCTCCCAATCACAGCAGTGGCAGGATCCCTCTCCTGGCAAAGCCCTTTTCTGCTTAAGACTGGTCCAGTGTCAAACCCTAAGTCCCTGGGAAGAAGGGAGGTTATAGACTGCATGTCATTTTGTAACATCAGAGTTTTCTCACTGAGACCCTGTAAGTTCTAAGCAACTAAATAGAAGGTGTCCAAGGAATGTACTAACAGTTAAGATATTAGCATTTCCTACCATTGGACCCGTTTCTTTCTGTAAATATGTGCTTCTGGAAATGATGGTTTAAAGAAACTAAGAGAAGACAAATAGAACCCTGACCTGGTTCAGACTGTCCACAGGTGCCAGGCTGTCTGGGGACTCTATGTTTCCAGCCCAGGTAACAGTTAGGTGTTAGCAGATGGCAAAGTGTTTGTTTGCTAGAATGATGCTTGAATGAAGCCATCATGAATTTTTGTAACCCGTGCAGTATTTCTGCTTGCCTGGGCAGTGATCTCAATATGTGAGACCTGATAATTATGGCTCATGTCATGCAACTTCATTATATGAAGGCTAATTTTAAGGATATTCATAGATGTCGGCTTGGTGCCACAAACAACTCAAAAATTTTCAGTCATCAAATAAAGAAGATTCATAAAAATAACTCTTTTTATAGTAAGTCATCACTTCTTGACTTAATAATTTCTGTTTCTTAGAGGGGAGCTGTTTCAGATTCTCTCAATGGTACAGATTTGGTTTCTGTTGTTTTGATGCTATGTCCCCCAAATGCAGCAACAACAAACAACATATGACTGAGATGCTTTGCCCTATTGTTCATGACTTAGTGATCAATAAGATTCTGTGTTCTTTCCATAAATTTAAAATTTGTTTCATGCTGGTCATGGTGGCTCACACCTATTAATCCCAGTGCTTTGGGAGGCTGACGTGGGATGATCACTTGAACCTAGGAGTTTGAGACCAACCTGGCAACATAGTGAGACCTCATCTCTACAAAACCAAATTAATTGAACAAAATAGCTAGGCATGGTGGCATGTGCCTGTAGTCCTAGCTACTCAGGAGGCTGAGGCAGGAGAATCCCTTGAGCCCAGTAGTTTGAGGCTGCAGTGAGCTATGATCAGGCCACTGTACTTCAGCCTGGGTAATGGAGTGAGACCTTGTCTCTAAATCAATCTATCTATCTATCTATCTATCTATCTATCTATCTATCTATCTATCTACCTACCTATCTATCTAAAATACTGGCTGGGCACAGTGGTTCACCCTGTAATCCCAGCACATTGGGAGGCTAAGGCAGGCAGATCACTTGAGGCCAGGAATTCGAGACCAGTCTGGCCAACAGGGTGAAACCCCATCTCTACTAATATATATATATACACACACACACACACACACACACACATATATATACACACACATATATACACACACACATATATATATACATATATATACACACATATACATACATACACACACACACACGCACACACATATATATATACATATACACACACACACACACACACACATCCAGGTGTGGCGTTGGGTGCCTGTAATACCAGCTACTCAGGAGGCTGAGGCATGAGAATTACTTGAACCCAGGATGCGGAGGCTGCAGTGAGCTGAGATCTTGCCACTGCACTCCAGACTGGGCAGCAGAGCGAGACCCTGTCTCCATTAAAAAACAAAACAAACTATATATTCATCAAAATAATAGACAAACACAGTCGTATGAATTGTATAATTCAGAAAGTCTTCTAACAAAAACCAAATCATCTGTACCACTCATTCCCAGCCCAGTCCACTCCTTATCATATTTTTAATATTCAATCACTTTCTCCTGTTACTTGATGGTTTATTCTCCAATTATCTCTGTTTACTACTGAAACATTTTATTAATTTGGTTTACTGTGGTCTTGTTCTTGAACATTTTGGGCTTTATTTAAATGAAGAGTGAGCTGTCAGAAAACCTGCAAATTCACTACTGTTCTTGAGTCTCTCAGGGAGCAGGGGTTGCAAGGCAAGCAACTAACTTGAAATTTAAAAATCAACAGGCACATCCAAGGAGGAGTGGGCCATGAGCACTTCCTTGCCCAGGGCAGAGGCTTCTAGATGCCGTACAAGTTGGCAAGAAGAATTCAACTAAGATTTTTAATTAATTGTTAAAGGCAGAGTGTGAGCTAGCATAATAATATAGAAATCTCAGAAGGTACAGTATTTGAACCCACTTACAAGTTCTTCACTAAACCTGACCAGGCACTCACAAGAAAAGTTAGGGCAGGTTGAGGATGGTTTGTATAATGGCCAAGGAGCACTAAGCTTAGGGAGTTGACCTCTTTCACAGCAAGTCTGCTGTCTGTCTGGGGGAAGATGTTTCCTTATCCCTTAGGCTGCTCCCTGCAAACATAACCCCTAGGAGTGGCCGAGACAGGCATGAGAGCCTCACACTCTTACCACACCCAGCAAGAACTGGTGGGGACCCACACAGCCATCTCTTCTCCCAGCATGTCCAGAACCAGCCTCAGAGGACTCAGCATGGGGAGTTTCTTCCATTAAATAAGGAAGTTATCTTTTTTTTTAATTATTATTATACTTTAAGTTATAGGGTACATGTGCACAATGTGCAGGTTAGTTACATATGTATACATGTGCCATGCTGGTGCGCTGTACCCACTAACTCGTCATCTAGCATTAGGTATATCTTCCAATGTTCTCCCTCCCCCGTCCCCCCACCCCACAGCAGTCCCCAGAGTGTGATGTTCCCCTTCCTGTGTCCATGTGATCTTATTGTTCAATTCCCACCTATGAGTGAGAATATGCGGTGTTTGGTTTTTTGTTCTTGCGATAGTTTGCTGAGAATGATGGTTTCCAGCTTCATCCATGTCCCTACAAAGGACATCAACTCATCATTTTTTATGGCTGCATGGTATTCCATGGTGTATATGTGCCACATTTTCTTAATCCAGTCTATCATTGTGGGACATTTGGGTTGGTTCCAAGTCTTTGCTATTGTGAATAATGCCACAATAAACATACGTGTGCATGTGTCTTTATAGCAGCATGATTTAAAGTCCTTTGGGTATATACCCAGTAATGGGATGGCTGGGTCAGATGGTATTTCTAGTTCTAGATCCCTGAGGAATCGCCACACTGACTTCCACAATGGTTGAACTAGTTTACAGTAACACCAACAGTGTAAAAGTGTTCCTATTGCTCCACATCCTCTCCAGCACCTGTTTTTTCCTGACTTTTTAATGATTGCCATTCTAACTGGTGTGAGATGGTATCTCATTGTGGTTTTGATTTGCATTTCTCTGATGGCCAGTGATGATGGGCATTTTTTCATGTGTTTTTTGGCTGCATAAATGTCTTCTTTTGAGAAGTGTCTGTTCATATCCTTTGCCCACTTTTTGATGGGGTTGTTTGTTTTTTTCTTGTAAATTTGTTTGAGTTCATTGTAGATTCTGGATATTAGCCCTTTGTCAGATGAGTAGGTTGCAAAAATTTTCTCCCATTTTGTAGGTTGCCTGTTCACTCTGATGGTAGTTTCTTTTGCTGTGCAGAAGCTCTTTAGTTTAATTAGATCCCATTTGTCAATTTTGTCTTTTGTTGCCATTGCTTTTGGTGTTTTAGACATGAAGTCCTTGCCCATGCCTATGTCCTGAATGGTAACGCCTAGGTTTTCTTCTAGGGTTTTTATGGTTTTAGGTCTAACATTTAAGTCTTTAATCCATCTTGAATTGATTTTTGTATAAGGTGTAAGGAAGGGATCCAGTTTCAGCTTTCTACATGTGGCTAGCCAGTTTTCCCAGCACCATTTATTAAATAGGGAATCCTTTCCCTATTGCTTGTTTTCCTCAGGTTTGTCAAAGATCAGATGGTTGTAGATGTGTGATATTATTTCTGAGGGCTCTGTTCTGTTCCATTGATCTATATCTCTGTTTTGGTACCAGTACCATGCTGTTTTGGTTACTGTAGCCTTGTAGTATAGTTTGAGGTCAGGTAGTGTGAAGCCTCCAGCTTTGTTCTTTTGGCTCAGGATTGACTTGGTGATGTGGGCTCTTTTTTGGTTCCATATGAACTTTAAAGTAGTTTTTTCCAATTCTGTGAAGAAAGGCATTGGTAGCTTGATGGAGATGGCATTGAATCTGTAAATTACCTTGGGCAGTATGGCCATTTTCACGATATTGATTCTTCCTACCCATGAGCATGGAATGTTCTTCCATTTGTTTGTATCCTTTTTTATTTCCTTGAGCAGTGGTTTGTAGTTCTCCTTGAAGAGGTCCTTCACATCCCTTGTAAGTTGGATTCGTAGGTATTTTATTCTCTTTGAAGCAATTGTGAATGGGAGTTCACTCATGATTTGGCTCTCTGTTTGTCTGTTGTCAGTGTATAAGAATGCTTGTGGTTTTTGTATATTGATTTTGTATCCTGAGACTTTGCTGAAGTTGCTTATCAGCTTAAGGAGATTTTTGGGCTGAGACAATGGGGTTTTCTAGATATACAATCATGTCGTCTGCAAAAAGGGACCATTTGACTTCCTCTTTTCCTGATTGAATATCCTTTATTTCCTTCTCGTGCCTAATTGCCCTGGCCAGAACTTCCAACACTATGTTGAATGGGAGTGGTGAGAGAGGGCATCCCTGTCTTGTGCCAGTTTTCAAAGGGAATGCTTCCAGTTTTTGCCCATTCAGTATGATATTGGCTGTGGGTTTGTCATAAATAGCTCTCATTATTTTGAGATACATCCCATCAATACCTAATTTATTGAGAGTTTTTAGCATGAAGGGTTGTTGAATTTTGTCAAAGGCCTTTTCTGCATCTATTGAGATAATCATTTGGTTTTTGTCTTTGGCTCTGTTTATATGCTGGATTACATGTATTGATTTGCATATATTGAACCAGCCTTGCATCCCAGGGATGAAGCCCACTTGATCATGGTGGATAAGCTTTTTGATGTGCTGCTGGATTCGGTTTGCCAGTATTTTATTGAGGATTTTTGCATCAATGTTCATCAAGGATATTGGTCTAAAATTCTCTTTTTTGGTTGCATCTCTGCCCGGCTTTGGTATCAGAATGATGCTGGCCTCATAAAGTGAGTTAGGGAGGATTCCCTCTTTTTCTATTGATTGGAATAGTTTCAGAAGGAATGGTACCAGTTCCTCCTTGCACCTCTGGTAGAATTCGGCTGTGAATCCATCTGGTCCTGGACTCTTTTTGGTTGGTAAGCTATTGATTATTGCCACAATTTCAGATCCTGTTATTGGTCTATTAAGAGATTCAACTTCTTCCTGGTTTAGACTTGGGAGAGTGTATGTGTCGAGGAATTTATCCATTTCTTCTAGATTTTATAGTTTATTTGTGTAGAGGTGTTTATAGTATTCTCTGATGGTAGTTTGTATTTCTGTGGGATCGGTGGTGATAACCCCTTTATCATTTTTTATTGCGTCTATTTGATTCTTCTCTCTTTTTTTCTTTATTAGTCTTGCTAGTGGTCTATCTATTTTGTTGATCCTTTCAAAAAACCAGCTCCTGGATTCATTAATTTTTTGAAGGGTTTTTGTGTCTCTATTTCCTTCAGTTCTGCTCTGATTTTAGTTATTTCTTGCCTTCTGCTAGCTTTTGAATGTGTTTGCTCTTGCTTCTGTAGTTCTTTTAATTGTGATGTTAGGGTGTCAATTTTGGATCTTTCCTGCTTTCTCTTGTGTGCATTTAGTGCTATAAATTTCCCTCTACACACTGCTTTGAATGTGTCCCAGAGATTCTGGTATGTTGTGTCTTTGTTCTCGTTGGTTTCAAAGAACATCTTTATTTCTGCCTTCATTTCGTTATGTACCCAGTAGTCATTCAGGAGCAGGTTGTTCAGTTTCCATGTAGTTGAGTGGTTTTGAGTGAGATTCTTAATCCTGAGTTCTAGTTTGATTGCACTGTGTTCTGAGAGGTAGTTTGTTATAATTTCTGTTCTTTTACATTTGCTGAGGAGAGCTTTACTTCCAAGTATGTGGTCAATTTTGGAATAGGTGTGGTGCAGTGATGAAAAAAAATGTATATTCTGTTGATTTGGGGTGGAGAGTTCTGTAGATGTCTATTAGGTCTGCTTGGTGCAGAGCTGAGTTCAATTCCTGGATATCCTTGTTGACTTTCTGTCTCGTTGATCTGTCTAATGTTGACAGTGGGGTGTTAAAGTCTCCCATTATTAATGTGTGGGAGTCTAAGTCTCTTTGTAGGTCCCTCAGGACTAGCTTTATGAATCTGGGTGCTCCTGTATTGTTGGGTGCATATATATTTAGGATAGTTAGTTCTTCTTGTTGAATTGATCCCTTTACCATTATGTAATGGCCTTCTTTGTCTCTTTTGATCTTTGTTGGTTTAAAGTCTGTTTTATCCGAGACTAGGATTGCAACCCCTGCCTTTTTTTGTTTTCCATTTGCTTGGTAGATCTTCCTCCATCCTTTTATTTTGAGCCTATGTGTGTCTCTGCACATGACATGGGTTTCCTGAATACAGCACACTGATGGATCTTGACTCTTTATCCAGTTTGCCAGTCTTTGTGTTTTAATTGGAGGATTTAGTCCATTTACATTTAAAGTTAATATTGTTATGTGTGAATTTGATCCTGTCATTATGATGTTAGCTGGTTATTTTGCTCGTTAGTTGATGCGGTTTCTTCCTAGTCTCGATGGTCTTTACATTTTGGCATGATTTTGCAGCGGCTGGTACTGGTTGTTCCTTTCCATGTTTAGTGCTTCCTTCAGGAGCTCTTTTAGGGCAGGCCTGGTGGTGACAAAATCTCTCAGCATTTGCTTCTCTGTAAAGTATTTTATTTCTCCTTCACTTATGAAGCTTAGTTTGGCTGGATATGAAATTCTGGGTTGAAAATTCTTTTCTTTAAGCATGTTGAATATTGGCCCCCACTCTCTTCTGGCCTGTAGGGTTTCTGCCGAGAGATCCCCTGTTAGTCTGATGGGCTTCCCTTTGAGGGTAATCCGACCTTTCTCTCTGGCTGCCCTTAACATTTTTTCCTTCATTTCAACTTTGGTGAATCTGACAATTATGTGTCTGGAAGTTGCTCTTCTCGAGGAGTATCTTTGTGGCATTCTCTGTATTTCCTGAATCTGAACGTTGGCCTGCGTTGCTAGATTGGGGAAGTTCTCCTGGATAATACCCTGCAGAGTGTTTTCCAACTTGGTTTCATTCTCCCCATCACTTTCAGGTACACCAATCAGACGCAGATTTGGTCTTTTCACATAGTCCCATATTTCTTGGAGGCTTTGTTCATTTCTTTTTATTCTTTTTTCTCTAAACTTCTCTTCTCACTTCATTTCATTCATTTCATCTTCCATTGCTGATACCCTTTCTTCCAGTTGATCGCATCGGCTCCTGAGGCTTCTGCATTCTTCACGTAGTTCTCGAGCCTTGGTTTTCTGCTCCATCAGCTCCTTTAAGCACTTCTCTGTATTGGTTATTCTAGTTATACATTCTTCTAAATTTTTTTCAAAGTTCTCAACTTCTTTGCCTTTGGTTTGAATGTCCTCCCGTAGCTCAGAGTAATTTGATCGTCTGAAGCCTTCTTCTCTCAGCTCGTCAAAGTCATTCTCCATCCAGCTTTGTTCCGTTGCTGGTGAGGAACTGCTTTCCTTTGGAGGAGGAGAGGCGCTCTGCTTTTTAGAGTTTCCAGTTTTTCTGTTCTGTTTTTTCCCCATCTTTGTGGTTTTATCTACTTTTGGTCTTTGATGATGGTGATGTACGGATGGGTTTTTGGTGTGGGTGTCCTTTCTGTTTGTTAGTTTTCCTTCTTACAGACAGGACCCTCAGCTGCAGGTCTGTTGGAGTACCCTGCCGTGTGAGGTGTCAGTGTGCCCCTGCTGGGGGGTGCCTCCCAGTTAGGCTGCTCAGGGGTCAGGGGTCAGGGACCCACTTGAGGAGGCAGTCTGCCCGTTCTCAGATCTCCGCTGCGTACTGGAAGAACCACTGCTCTCTTCAAAGCTGTCAGACAGGGACATTTAAGTCTGCAGAGGTTACTGCTGTCTTTTTGTTTGTCTGTGCCCTGCCCCCAGAGGTGGAGCCTACAGAGGCAGGCAGGCCTCCTGGAGCAGTGGTGGGCTCCACCCAGTTCGAGATTCCCAGCTGCTTTGTTTACCTAAGCAAGCCTGGGTAATGGCGGGCACCCCTCCCCCAGCCTCGCTGCCGCCTTGCAGTTTGATCTCAGAGTGCTGTGCTAGCAATCAGTGAAACTCCGTGGGCGTAGGACCCTCTGAGCCAGGTGCGGGATATAATCTCGTGGTGCGCTGTTTTTTAAGCCCGTCGGAAAAGCACAGTATTTGGGTGGGAGTGACCCGATCTTCCAGGTGCCGTCAGTCACCCCTTTCCTTGACTAGGAAAGGGAACTCCCTGACCCCTTGTGCGTCGTGAGTGAGGCAACACCTCGCCCTGCTTCAGCTGGTGCGCGGTGCACGCATCCACTGACCTGCGCCCACTGTCTGGCACTCCCTAGTGAGATGAGGCCGGTACCTCAGATGGAAATGCAGAAATCACCCGTCTTCTGCGTCACTCACGCTGGGAGCTGTAGACCGGAGCCGTTCCTATTCCGGAAGTTATCTTTAAATAGGGACGATCCCTTTTCTGCGGGTGATGCCTGGGCCACAGGTTTGTTGCTGAGAATAGGTTGTGAAATAATGGGAGGGAAAGGTTGGAACCTGCCCCTTCCAGCCTTGAGGGATTGTGGGGGGTGATAAGAGAAGAGGGGAGATGGCCTTTCTCAATACAGAGGTAGACATGTGGGTTAGAGCAGACCAGGAAAATGCTGACAGCACCAGGACTCTGGGAAGCTGACCACCTCAGACACTCACCCACTCACCAACCTGGGCCACCACAGCCAAGAAATCCCAGTGGTTCAGTTCAGTGAAGGTGAGGGGGGCTGCAGGCCAGGTGTCCAGAGCTGCTCTCTACTCTACTGTGGTGTGGCTTCAACCCAGACCATCCCACAGTGACCCAGGATGAAAGTCGACTGGGCCTCATTTCTCTGCCTCCCTGGGTTCACCTGGCCATGTGCTCCTGGACCCACTCATGAGCCTTTGGCCAGCCATGGGAAATCCTTTCCATTTCTTCCCCTCATTTCTCATTTTAGGTACCTTGGGCTAGTAAGGGCTGTAGTTTGGCCTGCTTGGCCTGGAGGAACATGACTTGCCCCAGGTGATGCTATTGACCTTACCTCCTAACGGCTTGTTGTGTGTCCTATGGGAGCTATTGCTGCTGAAGCCAGAGCTCCGCCATGTTCAAGGTCAGATGCAACATGGTTCGACTTCCCTCAGTGCTGCCTGGAGAGGCTGGGAGCACTGCAGAAAAGTTTTGTGCATCACTTTGTATCTGCATTCTCTTGGCCCCTACTTTAGTTACATTTCCTTTCATTCTGGCTTTCTCAGGATTGACCCCCTGCCCCAATAATACACTGACTTTTAAGTTTTACTGCAGACTCTTTTTCCAGGCAACCCAGCCTCAAGTGGCATGTGTTGAGGTTAGTTAAGGGTTGGCCTGGGGACCTTGTCAAACAGGATCTCCACGATGAGGGTCAGGTGGCTTTAGGGATGGGAGTGGAAGAAAGTGAGAGTCAGACCTCTCGAGTCACAGTGTTTGCGGGAGTCTGGGTGGGGGCAGGTCAGTCAGGGGAGGTCATCAGGTCTTGACAAAGCCAGAACAAGTGACAGCTGCTTTCAGCCAGAGACTGACAATAAGACGAGCAGCCACTGGGCAGTCCAGAGACACCTTCTGCAAAGCCACGTCTGAGAAGCCCTATGCTCCAAAGCCTCAAAAATGAAGTGTGCCCTCATATACTCAGATGCCAACCCCAGGAAAAAGAAATGAAGCAGAAACAGAAGCCAGAGAGGTGAGTCATTCCAGAGAGGCTGCTTTGACCAGTCCTAAAAGAGAGAGTTCAGTGAATTTTTAAGATTAAAATTGGAAATAGAGAGGAAACCATTTAGATTGGAAGAGATAGAAATATTTTTCATTGACGAATCTGTTATTTCTGCTATCCAGGGTGGTGGGAGCCCCAGGAAGACGATCAGTTATAGATGAAAGTAAGAAATTGCATTTACTCTGCAAATCTGTGTGCCTTGTGAGTAATGTTGTGACCCTGCTATAATTCATTGGAGTTGTAGAGGAGAGCCTTTGCTGTTGGCCAAGATTACAGATATAAGGAGCACCCAGAATGGAACTAGATGGGCAGACAGGAGATATGAGCATTGCTGTTACCTAACTTTGTAACTGGGAGTGAATGCTTTCTTTCTCTTTAAACATGGCCATTTGACCAGATCTGTGATTCTAAAGTGGGGGTTGCAAACTGCAAATGCCCACAGGAGCCAGGCAGATAAGGCAAAGGGATGAAGTGGACCAGATGGGAAATGGGTGAACTGGAGCCCTTTTCCCCGCATGTGCACAGGGCAGATGCTGCTTGAGTCCTGCAGGAATAAAGTTTGGTGTTCCCAGATAATAGGTTATGTTTACTAAGGGTTTAATATGCTTTAAACAAATCGATGTTCTCATTTTAAGCTCACAATAACCCTATTCAGGAGGTACTATTATTATCTCTATTTTTCAGATGAGGAAAATAACTGGAGTTCCTTCCAGTCCTGAGGTAGAGAGGATAAATAACTTGATGAAGGTCAGAGAAGTAGAAAGTTGCAGAACTGGGATTAAGACCCAGACAGTCCAGCTGCAGAGCATGCTTGATCATGACGGCACAGTTCTCCTGATTTTTCCTGATTAGTGGGACATTGAGATTTTTTAAAAATTAAAATCTTGCAATTAAAAAATGAAAAGTTAAAAAAACAAAAAACAAAAACTCAGCGAGCTGCAGAAGACCAAAGTGAAAACTGAGCGAGCTTCAGAAGGTCTGTGAGTTGCCAGCTTGTATTTGGCATTCCAAGTCAATGACTCATGATGTATCGTTGGAAAGCAATGATTTTGTAGGGTTGTTTTCCCCAAATATTCATACCAGAGTATAAACTTGTAGATTTTCCTTCAGAGTAGTCAAGTCGGACACCTACACACTGTTTCAGATAATGTTTCTTTGGCCCAAAATATTTTCAAAATTCCACGTTTGGAATTGCCTTCAGAAAGGTTCACAAATCAGTTATATTATCTTGTGGTCATATCTCATTTGGTGAGATATGGTAGAGAGTGTGTGTGCATGGGCATACACACCTGTGCTTATACGCACACACACACAGAGTGGCTGCTCATGTTTTGCTGATGGATACTCAGAGGCATGTAGAGAATTTCACATTTCCAAAACAACAAAGAATTAGTGGAGGTGTCAGAGGTGTTTGAACCAGAGTGACTCCATCTTGAATAGGTGTGATAGGAATCAGCAGGAAGAGTTTTGCAAGGTTCAAGCCACAAAGACCTCACGGATCAAATGAGATTAGGTGAAGAAGCTGGCCAAAACCCACCAAAACTAAGATGGCCCTAAAAGGGACCTCTGTCATCCTCACTGCTCATTAAAAGCTAATTAAAATGTATTAGCATGCTAAAAGACACTCCCATCAGTGCCATGACAGTTTACAAATGCCATGGCAACATCCGGAAGTTACCACATATGGTCCAAAATGGAGAGGAACTCTCAGTTCTGGGAGCCCCCATCCCTTTCTCAGAAAACTCATGAATAATCCACCCTTTGTTTAGCAGATCATCAAGAGATAATCTTATATATAATCAGTCAAGCACCCATGCCGATGCTCTGCCTATGGAGTAGCGATTCCTTTATTTCTTCTTTAATAAACTTGGTTTCACTTTACTCTGTAAATTTGCCCAGAATTCTTTCTTGCGTGAGATCTGAGAACCCTCTCTTGGGGTCTAGATCAGGACCACTTTCCAGTAACAGAAGAGCTAGGAATAAAAATGCAATCCCTGCCTCAGTAAAGCAGTTCGTTACCACTACTCTATATTTCCCTTCCTCTCATTCACAACCTCTCTCCTCCCCTGCCCTCATTCACAGAATATATGATTCAGAATAGGGCTGCAGTATAGTTGGGTTGGGGGAAATTATCATAGACAATGGGAAGGTGTGGGGAAACTCATGTAAGGAGAATTACCTGGAGCATGGGGGGGCCAAATAAAATGTTTATTGAGTAAATGAATGATGAGTTAGAGTGAGAACAGCTTGGAGGTTATCTCAGTTCCTGGCTATTATAACAAAACCTTAGACTGGGTGATTTGTAAACAACAGGTATGCATTCCTCACAGGGCTGGAGCTCGAGAAGTCCAATATTAAGGCTGTAGCCAATTTAGTGTCTGGTGATGGCTGCTCTCTGCTTCATAGATCTGGCACCTTCTATGTGTCTTCACATGGCAGATGGGACAAACAGGTTCCCTCAAACCTTTTTTAACAAGGGCACTAATTCCATTCATGAGCCCTCATGACCTAATCCCCAAATCCTCCACCTCTTAATACTATCACACTGGGGATGACGTTTCATGTCAAAGTTCATATGAATTGTTGGGGGGACACAAATATTCAGACCACAGCATTCCACCTCTTCCCCCACTAAATTTATGTCCATTTCACAGGCAAAATAGATTCATGCCATCTCAACAGCCCCCAAAATCTTAACTCTTCCAGGATCAACTCAAAAGTCTAAAGTCCAGAGTCTTAATCAGATGTGGATTGATATGGTTTGGATATGTGTTCCTTCTAAGTCTCATGTTCAATTGTTATCCCTAGTATTAAGAGTTGGGGCCTACTGGGAGGTGTTTGGTTCATGGAGGCAGATCCCTCTTGGTTTGGTGCTGTCCTCGAGATAGTGAGTTCTCATGAGATCTGGTTGTTTAAGTGTGTGGCACCTCCCCCCTCACTCGCTTGCTCCCACTCTGCCATGTGAGATACCTATTCCTGCTTTGCCTTCCACCACAAATAAAAGCTCCTTGAGTCCTTCCCAGAAGCTGGGCAGATGCTTGTGCCATGCTTCTCGTACAGCCTGCAGAAACATGAGCCAATTAAACCTCTTCTTTTATAAATTGCTCAGTCTCAGGTATTTCTTTATAGCAATGCAAAAAATGGCCTAATACAGAAAATTGGTATCAAGAATGTGGAAGTGTTTCTGGAATTGGGTAACAGGCAGAGGTTGGAAGAGTTTGAAAGGCTCAGAAGAGAACAGGAAGATGAGGTAAAGTTTGGAACATCCTAGGGCCTGGTTAAAAGGTTGTGACCAAAATGCTGATAGTGATATGGGCAGTGAAGTCCAGGCTGCTGAGGTCTCAGATGGAAATGAGAAATTTATTGCGAACTGGAGTGAAGGTCATGTGCGTTGTGCATTAGCAAAGAGTTTGTCTGCATTGTGTTTATGACTTAGGGATCTCTGGAAGTTTGAACTTGAGAGTGATAATTTAGACTATCTGGTGGAAGAAATTTCTAAGAGTAAAGCATGCAAGATGTTGCCTGGCTGTTTTCTAACATCCTAGGCTCAGATGCAGGAGCAAATAAATGACTTAAAATTATAACTGATATTTGAAAGGGCAGCAGAGCATAAATATTTGAAAAATTGAAGCCTGGCCATGTAGTAGAAAGAAAAGCCCATTTTAAGGGGAATAATCCAAGCAGGCTGTGAAGCAACCACTTGCTAGAGAGATTTTCGTAACTAAAAAGGGGCAAGGTGCTGATAGCCAAGAAAAGGCCTCAAAGGCATTTCAGAGACCTTTGTGACAGCCCCTCCCATCAAGGCCCAGAGGCCAAGAATGGAAAAATGTTTCCATGGGCCAGGCCCAGGGCCCCTGCTGCCCTACGTGGCCTTAGAACACTGCTCCCTGCATCCCAGCAGCTCCAACCCCAGTCTCAGCTCAAAAAGCTCCAGATATAGCCATAAGCCTTGGTGGCTTCTACATAGGGTTAAGCCTGCAAATGCTCAGAGTGCAAGAATGAAGGAGGCTTGCCAGCCTCTGCTTAGATATCAGAAGATGTATGGAAAAGCCTAGAAGCCCAGGCAGAAGCCTGCCACAGGGACACAGCCCTCACATAGAACCTCTACTAGGGTAGTGCAGAGGAGAAATTCTGGGTTGGAGACTCCACACAAATTCCTCACTGGGGCACTACCTAGTAGTTCTGTGAGATGGGGACCACCATGCTTCAGGCCCAGAATGACAGATCCACTGGCAGTTTGCATCCTGTGACTGGAAAAGCCACAGTCATTCAACTTGAACCCATGAAAGCAGCCACTGGGGCTGACCCCTGTAAAACCACAGGGGAGTGGAGATGCCCAAGGTCTTGGGAGCTCACTCCTTGCACCAGTGTGCCCTGGAGGTGGGACCAGGAGTCAAAAGTGATTACTTTGGAAACTTGAGATTTGATGAATGCCATTCTGGGTTTTGAAATTGCGTGGGGCCTGTAGCCCTTTTCTTTTGGCCAATTTCCTCCTCTTGGAACAGGAATGTATACCTGATGCCTGCACTTCCATTGACTCTTGGAAGTAAACAACTTGTTTTGATTTTACAATGCTATCTCCATTCATTTCCAGATGAGACTTTGGACTTTGGGACTTTTGAGTTAATGCTGGAATGAGTCAAGACTTTGGGGGAACTATTGAGAAGGATGATTGTGTTTTGCAGTGTAAGAAGGATATGAGATTTGAGGGTCTGGGGCAGAATAATATGGTTTGTATCTATGTACCCTCTAAATCTCATGTTGAATTGTAATTCCCAGTGTTGGAGGTGGGACCTGGCGTGAGTTGTTTGGGTTATGGGGGCAGATCCCTCATGGTATGGTGCTGTCCTAGAGATAGTGAGTTCTCATGATATCTGGTTTTTAAGTGTGTGGCACCTCCCTCCTCACTCTCTTGGTCCTGTACTGCCATGTGAGATAACTGCTCCTGCTTTGCTTTCTACCACAAGTATAAGCTCCTTGAGGCTTCCCCAGAAGTTCAACAGATGCTGACGCCTTGCTTCCTGTACAGCCTGCAGAACCATGAGCCAATTAAATCTATTTTCTTTATACATTACCCATTTTCACATATTTCTTTTTTTATTATTATACTTTAAGTTCTAGGGTACATGTGCACAACGTGCAGGTTTGTTACATATGTATATATGTGCCATGTTGGTGTGCTGCACCCATTAACTCATCATTTACATTAGGTATATCTCCTAATGCTATCCCTCCCCCATCCACCACCCCATGACAGGCCCCAGTGTGTGATGTTCCCCTTCCCGTGTCCAAGAGTTCTCATTGTTCAATTCCCACCTATGAGTGAGAACATGCAGTGTTTGGTTTTTTGTCCTTGCAATAGTTTGCTGAGAATGGTGGTTTCCAGCTTCATCCATGTCCTTAGAAAGGACATGAACTCATCATTTTTTATGGCTGCATAGTATTCCATGGTGTATATGTGTCACATTTTCTTATCCAGTCTATCATTGATGGACATTTGTGTTGGTTCCAAGTCTTTGCTATTGTGAATTGTGCTGCAATAAACATACGTGTGCATGTGTCTTTATAGCGGCATGATTTATAATCCTTTGGGTATATACCCAGTAATGGGATGGCTGGGTCAAATGGTATTCCTAGTTCTAGATCCTTGAGGAATTGCCACACTGTCCTCCACAATGGTTGAACTAGTTTACAGTCCCACCAACAGTGTAAAAGTGTTCCTATTTCTCCACATCCTCTCCAGCACCTGGCGTTTCCTGACTTTTTAATGATCGCCATTTTAACTGGTGTCAGATGGTATTTCATTGTGGTTTTGATTTGCATTTCTCTGATGGCCAGTGATGATGAGAATTTTTTCATGCGTCTGTTGGCTTCATAAATGTCTTCTTTTGAGAAGTGTGTGTTCATATCCTTTGCCCACGTTTAGATGGGGTTGATTTTTTTCTTGTAAGTTTGTTTGAGTTCTTTGTAGATTCTGGATATTAGCCCTTTGTCAGATGAGTAGATTGCAAAACTGTTCTCCAATTCTGTAGGTTGCCTGTTCACTCCGATGGTAGTTTCTTTTGCCATACAGAAGCTCTTTAGTTTAACTAGATCCCATTTGTCAATTTGGTTTTGTTGCCATTGCTTTTGGCATTTTAGACATGAAGTCCTTGCCCATGCCTATGTCCTGAATGGTATTGCCTAGGCTTTCTTCTAGGGTTTTTATGGTTTTAGTCTAACATTTAAGTCTTTAATCCATCTTGAATTAATTTTTGTATAAAGTATAGGAAGGGATCGAGTTTCAGCTTTCTACATATGGCTAGCCAGTTTTCCCAGCACCATTTGTTAAATAGGGAATCCTTTCCCCATTTCTTTTTTTTTTTTCAGGTTTATCAAAGATCAGATGGTTGTAGATGTGTGGTATTATTTCTGAGGGCTCTGTTCTGTTCCATTGGTCTATATCTCTGTTTTGGTACCAGTACTATGCTGTTTTGGTTATTGTAGCTTTGTGGTATAGTTTGAAGTCAGGTAGTGTGATGCCTCCAGCTTTGTTCTTTTGGCTTAGGATTGACTTGGCAATGCAGGCTCTTTTTTGGTTCCATATGAACTTTAGAGTAGTTTTTTCCAATTCTGTAAAGAAGGTCATTGGTAACTTGATGGGGATGGCATTGAATCTATAAGTTACCTTGGGCAGTATGGCCATTTTCATGGTAGTGATTCTTCCTATCGATGAGCATGGAATATTCTTCCATTTGTTTGTGTCCTCTTTTACTTCATTGAGCAGTGGTTTATAGTTCCCCTTGAAGAGGTCCTTCACATCCCTTGTAAGTTGGATTCCTAGGTATTTTATTCTCTTTGAAGCAATGTGAATGGGATTTCACTCATGATTTGGCTCTCTGTTATTAGTGTATAAGAATGCTTGTGATTTTTGCACATTGATTTTGTATCCTGAGACTTTGCTGAAGTTGCTTATCAGATTAAGGAGATTTTGGGCTCAGACAATGGGGTTTTCTAAATATACAGTTGTGTCATCGGCAAACAGGGACAACTTGACTTCCTCTTTTCCTAATTGAATACCATTTATTTCTTTCTCCTGCCTAATTGCCCTGGCCAGAACTTCCAACACTATGTTGAATAGGAGTGGTGAGAGAGGGCATCCCTGTCTTGTGCCAGTTTTCAAAGGGAATGCTTCCAGTTTTTGCCCATTCAGTGTGATATTGGCTGTGGGTTTGTCATAGATAGCTCTTATTATTTTGAGATACATCCCATCAAGACCTAATTTATTAAGAGTTTTTAGCATGAAGGGCTGTTGAATTTTGTCAGAGGACTTTTCTGCATCTATTGAGATAATCATGTGGATTTTTTGTCTTTGGCTCTGTTTATATGCTGGATTACATTTATTGATTTGCATATGTTGAACCAGCCTTGCATCCCAGGGATGAAGCCCACTTGATCATGGTGGATAAGCTTTTTGATTTGCTGCTGCATTCAGTTTACCAGTATTTTATTGAGGATTTTTGCATCGATGTTCATCAGGGATATTGGTCTAAAATTCTCTTTTTTGGTTGCGTCTCTGCCCGGCTTTGGTATTCAGAATGATGCTGGCCTCATAAAATGAGTTAGGGAGGATTCCCTCTTTTTCTATTGATTGGAATAGTTTCAGAAGGAATGGTACCAGCTCCTCCTTGTACCTCTGGTAGAATTCAGCTGTGAATCTGTCTGGTCCTGGACTTTTTTTGGTTGGTAAGCTATTAAATATTGCCTCAATTTCAGAACCTGTTATTGGTGTATTCAGGGATTCAACTTCTTCCTGGTTTAGTCTTGGGAGGGTGTATGTGTCCAAGAATTTATCCATTTCTTCTAGATCTTCTCGTTTATTTGCATAGAGGTCTTTATAATATTCTCCGATGGTAGTTTTTATTTCTGTGGGATCGGTGGTGGTATCCCCTTTATCATTTTTTATTGTGTCTATTTGATTCTTCTCTCTTTTCTTCTTTATTAGTCTTGCTAGCAGCCTATCAATTTTGTTGAACTTTTCAAAAAACCAGCTCCTGGATTCATTGATTTTTTTGAAGGGTTTTTTATGTCTCTATCTCCTTCAGTTCTGCTCTGATCTTAGTTGTTTCTTGCCTTCTGCTAGCTTTTGAATGTATTTACTCTTGCTTCTCTTGTTCTTTTAATTGTGATGTTTGGGTGTCAATTTTAGCTCTTTCCTGCTTTCTCTTGTGGGCATTTAGTGCTACAAATTTCCCTCTACACACTGCTTTCAATGTGTCCCAGTGATTCTGGTATGTTCTGTCTTTGTTATCATCAGTTTCAAAGAACATCTTTATTTCTGCCTTCATTTCGTTATGTACCCAGTAGTCATTCAGGAGCAGGTTGTTCAGTTTCCATGTAGTTGAGCAGTTTTGAGTGAGTTTCTTAATCCTGAGTTCTAGTTTGATTGCACTGTGGTCTGAGAGACAGTTTTTTATAATTTCTGTTCTTTTACATTTGCTGAGGAGTGTTTTACTTCCAACTATGTGGTCAATTTTGGAATAAGTGCAACATGGTGCTGAGAAGAATGTATATTCTGTGGATTTGGGGTGGAGAGTTCTGTGGATGTCTATTAGGTCCTCTTGGTGCAGAGCTGAGTTCAATTCCTGGATATCCTTGTTGACTTTCTGTCTCGTTGATCATTTAATGTTGATAGTGGGGTATTGAAATCTCCCATTATTATTGCGTGGGAGTGTAAGTCTCTTTTTAGGTCTCTAAGGACTCCATTTATGAATCTGGGTGCTCCTGTATTGGGTGCATATATATTTAGGATAGTTAGCTCTTCTTGTTGAATGGATCCCTTTACCATTATGTAATGGCCTTCTTTGTCTCTTTTGATCTTTGTTGGTTTATAGTCTGTGTTATCTGAGACTAGGATTGCCACCCCTGCCTTTTTTTGTTTTCCATTTGCTTGGTAGATCTTCCTCCATCTCTTTATTTTGAGCCTGTGTGTGTCTCTGCATGTGAGATGGGTCTCGTGAATACAGCACACTGATGGGTCTTGACTCTTCATCCAATTTGCCAGTCTGTGTCTTTTAATTGGAGCATTTAGCCCATTTACATTTAAAGTTAATATTGTTATGTGTGAATTTGATCCTGTCATTATGATGTTAGCTGGCTATTTTGCTTGTTAGTTGACACAGTTTCTTCCTAGCCTCGATGGTCTTTATAATTTGGCATGTTTTTGCAGTGGCTGGTACAGGTTGTTCCTTTCCATGTTTAGTGCTTCCTTCAGGAGCTCTTTTAGGGCAGGCCTGGTGGTGACAAAATCTCTCAGGATTTGTTTGTCTGTAAAGGATTTTATTTCTCCTTCACTTATGAAGCTTAGTTTCACTGGATATGAAATTCTGGGTTGAAAATTATTTTCTTTAAGAATGTTGAATATTGGCCCCCACTCTCTTCTGGCTTGTAGAGTTTCTGCTGAGAGTTCTGCTGTTAGTCTGATGGGCTTCCCTTATGGGTAACCTGACCTTTCTCTCTGGCTGCCCTTAACATTTTTTCCTTCATTTCAACTTTGGTGAATTTGACAATTGTGTGTCTCGGAGTTGCTCTTCTTGAGGAGTATCTTTGTGGCATTGTCTTTATTTCCTGAATTTGAATGTTGTCCTGCCTTGCTAGGCTGGGGCAGTTCTCCTGGATAATATCCTGCAGAGTGTTTTCCACCAGTTGATTGAATCAGCTACTGAAGCTTGTGCATTCTTTGCGTAGTTCTCGTTCCATGGTTTTCAGCTCCATCAGGTCATTTAAGGACTTCTCTACACTGGTTATTCTAGTTAGCCATTCATCTAATCTTTTTTCAAGGTTTTTAGCTTCTTTGAGATGGGTTTGAACTTCTGCCTTTAGCTCAGAGAAGTTTGATCATCTGAAGCCTTCTTCTCTCAAGTTGTCAAAGTCATTCTCCATCCAGCTTTGTTCCATTGCTGGCGAGGAGCTGCCTTCCTTTGGAGGGGGAGAGGTGTTCTGATTTTTAGAATTTCAGCTTTTTTTGGTGTAGATGTCCTTTCTGTTTGTCAGTCTTCCTTTTAACAGTCAGGACCCTCAGCTGCAGGTCTGTTGGATTTTGCTAGATGTCCACTCCAGACCCTGTTTACCTGGGTATCAGCAGTGGAGGCTGCATAACAGCGAATATTGCTGAACAGCAAATGTTGCTGCCTGATCGTTCCTCTGGAGGGGCACCTGGCCGTGTGAGGTGTCAGTCTGCCCTTACTGGGGGGTGCCTCCCAGTTATGCTACTGAGGGTTCAGGGACCCACTTGAAGAGGCAGTCTGTCTGTTCTCAGATCTCAAACTCCTTGCTGAGGGAACCACTACTCTCTTCAAAGCTGTCAGAAAAGGACATTTAAGTCTGCAGAGGTTTCTGCTGCCTTTTGTTCAGCTATGCCCTGCCCCCAGAGGTGGAGTCTACAGAGGCAGGCAGGCCTCCTTGAGCTGCAATGGGCTCCACCCAGTTTGAGATTCCCGGCTGCTTTGTTTACCTACTCAAGCCTCAGCAATGGCGGGCACCCCTCCCCGAGCCTCGTTGCCACCTTGCAGTTCCATCTCAGACTGCTGTGCTAGCAATGAGTGAGGCTCCATGGGTGTGGGACCCTCCGAGCCAGGCGTGGGATATAATCTCCTGGAGTGCCATCTGCTAAGACCATTGGAAAAGCACAGTATTAGGGTGGGAGTGACCCGATTTTCCATGTGCCATCTGTCACAGCTTCTCTTGGCTAAGAAAGGGAATTCCCTGACCCCTTGCACTTCCTGGGTGAGGCAATTCCTCGCTCTGCTTTGGCTCATGCTTGGTGGTCTGCACCCACTGTCCTGCACCCACTGTCTGACAAGCCCCAGTGAGAAGAACCCGGTACCTCAGTTGGAAATGCAGAAATCACCCGTCTTCTGCATCACTCACACTGGGAGCTGTAGACTGGAGCTGTTCCTATTTGGCCATCTTGGAAACGCCCCCACCACATATTTCTTTATAGTAGTGAAAAAATGGCCTAACACATGGTGAAACTCAATATTCCTCTTGAGGCAAATTGCTCTCATCTGTGAACCTGTGAAATCAAACAAGTTATGGGCTTTCAAAACACAATGATGGGATAAGCATAGTAGAGACATTCCCACTTTGAAGTGGAGAAATAGGATGGAAGAGAGGTGTAACTTTTAAAAAATAAATCCAAAATGAAACAGGACAAACATTAAACCTTAAGACTTGATGATCATCTTCTCTGACTCCATGTTCTGTCTTCTGGACACCCAGAGGTAGGAGTTGGGCCCCCAGGGCTCCAGGTGGCTGGGATCATCTCCATGGCTTTGCTGGGCACAGCCCACACTGCAGACTTCATGGTTTGGAGTCACTTACCCATGGCTCTCCCAGGATTGATTTTCACACCATAGGTTGCATGCTTCTGAAATCTCAGGGAGGCTCTACAAGATAATGTCTCATCATGGGTAGTGGAGGAGGGGATGTTCCCTATGGGGCCCCACCCCTCTGGCAGTTCTCTTCCTGGGCCCTTGAGGCTCTCCAGGGCATCCTTTGAAATCTGGGTAGAGGCAGCCTTCACCACAAAGCTTTGTACTCTGTACAGTAGTGGAGAGAGCACTGTGTAGACACTGCCATGGTTACCATCTGTGACTTCTGGAGGGCCAGAGAGGTGTCACACCCAGGTCTGTTTCAGTCCCACAACTGGAAAAGCCAAGGAGTGCTGATGTGGTTTGGATTTGTGTCCCTGCCCAAATCTCATGTTGAATTATAATCCAGTGTTGGAAGAGGGGCCTGGTTGGGGTGATTAGATCACAGAGGCAGTTTCCAATGGTTTATCACCATCCCCCTAGTGCTGTCTTGTGATAGAGTTCTCCCAAGATCTGTTTGTTTAAAAGTGTGTAGCACCTCCCGCCACACCTCTCTCTTCCTCCTGCTCCAACCATGTAGGACGTACCTCTTTCCTCTCCACCTTCCACCATGATTGTAAGTTTCCTAAAGCCTCCACAGTCATGCTTTCTGTACAGCCTGTGAAACTGTGAGTCAATTAAACCTCTTTTCTTTATAAATTACCCAGTCTTAGGTAGTTCTTTATACCAATGCTAGTGCTATACTGGAATGTCTGGAGAAGAGCAATGAGATCGTTCTGCCCCAAAATGCTCTGGCATTTTGGGTCTGTGATAGGTGGGCAGACCCAAAAGTCTCTGAAATGACTTCAGGGTCATTGTTTCATTGTCTTGATGAACAGCATCTGTTATCCCTCTGATTCATACTAATCTCCTTATCACATGATCACTTGGTCACACCCTTGATCTTCTCTCTTGAACATGCTTCTTCATTCTTTACATCATGGCCAGGCTAAGACTTCTCCAAATCTTTAAGTTTTGCTTCCCTTTTGATTATAAATTCCATCTTTAATTAGTTTCTCCTCACGATTTACTATAAGCAGTCAAGGGAAGTCCTGTCATGCCTTGAGATGAAATTTCAGGTTGAAATAATGCATCATATACTGTTTAAAGATGTATTATACACTGTTATCTTTCAGTGAAAGGAAGTGTTTAACAAACAAGCACTTGTCAAACTGAAATAATCAAAAGAGTCAGGATCCAGTTTTAAAGAGTTTCTTCACGTGAAAAGCTAGGAATGGATATTCTGGGACACAAAACTCCAGAGGAACAGGGTCAGTTCTCCAAAGTTGAAAGTTAATTTCTTGCATGTATAGGAAGAACACAAAAAAATTTTAACAGGGTTACAAAAGGTTCTATACAAGACTAATTTAAGAATTATAATAAATTAATTACAGTCCCCCTTCCCCTTGAGGATTGTTTTCTCTTTTTTATATAGCTTGTCTTCGTTTCCTTTACAATTTAAAATAATTTAAGGCAATGTGATAGCCATGAAGTCTTTGTTTAAGACGGGTAAGAGAGAAGTTGGACTGTCAT
Source organism: Homo sapiens (assembly GCF_000001405.40). NCBI lineage: Eukaryota > Metazoa > Chordata > Mammalia > Primates > Hominidae > Homo > Homo sapiens. The sequence goes on from NC_000004.12 coordinate 51,955,338, forward strand.
AAAAGTCAACCCTGGAGAGGAAAGAGGGTCTTCCCTGGTACCCTTAGGCCATTTACAATGTTTTATAAAACAATGCAGGTAAGGGAAAAGTCTTAATCTATAATCAAAGAAACAAAAGATTACAGCTTCCTAGGTTATAGCTGCCTGTCATAGTGACTCAGGTTCCATAATCATATTTTTCTAAGGCTCAAAATAACTTAGAGTTCCAACATCTTAGATTTTTCAAAAGTTTATTCACCTATTTTTAAAAGGACGGTGTCTCACTATGTTGCCCCGGAGATGGTGTCTCAAATTCCTGGTCTCAAGTGATCAGGTCCTGCCTTGGCCTCATAAGAGCTTAGATTTTGAATTAATTATTTCAAAATTTTGCTTAGATATTTCTTCTACCAAATATCCTAGTTCATCACTCTTAAGTTCTACCTTCCACACAACACTAGAACACAAGTACAATTTAACCAAGTTCAGTTCCACTTTATAATAAGGATGCCCATGAGGAGCATGTTATTGGAAACTGGAGGAGAGGTCATCCTTGTTATAAAGTGGACCTTTCTGAGATCTACTGTTCATATTTCTACCAATATTCTGATTATGAAATCTTAGGGAATCTCTAAGAAGATTAAGATGTTTTCTCCAGCTCTCCTGTTTTTCTGACCCTCACCAGAGTTACCCTTTATAGTCCATTCACAGCAATACAGGCTTTTTCCAGCATGCACTTCAAAACTGTTCTAGCCTCGGCTGGGCGTGGTGGCTCACACCTGTAATCCCAGCACTTTGGGAGGCCGAGGCAGGTGTATCACGAGGTCAGGAGATCGAGACCATCCTGGCTAACATGGTGAAACCCCGTCTCTACAAAAATATAAAAAATTAGCCAGGCATGGTGGCACACACCTGTAGTCTCAGGTACTCAGAGGGCTGAGGCAGGAGAGTGGCATGAACCCGAGAGGCAGAACTTGCAGTGAGCCAAGATCACGCCACTGCACTCCAGCCTTGGTGACAGAGCGAGACTGTCTCTACCTGTTACTCAGTTACAAACCTTTATCCACACTTTAAGATACATTTTACAATTTATTAAAGCAGCATCCTACGTCTCAGTTTCTATCTCAGCCTGTTCAAGCTGCTATAACTAAATACTTTAGACTGGTAGTTTATAAACAAGAGAAATGTATTGCTCAAAGTTCTGGAAGTTGGAAAGTCCAAGATCAAGGCTCCAGCAGGCTTGATGTCTGGTGAGGGCTGTTCTTGGTTTCATACATATGGCACCTTCTATGTATCCTCACATGGTGGATGTGTTGCCAGAAAAGGAATCTTGATCCAGACCCCAAAAGAGGGTTTTTGGATCTTGTGCAGAAAGGAATTCAAGGTGAGCCACAGAGTGTGGTGAGAAGAGAAAGTTACTCAGATACAGAGTACGACATCCTCAGAAAACAAGAGGAGGAATGCATGGCCTTTGTTTTATATTCTTCTTATGTAGGTTTTTGTTTCTTTTAATCAACTTAAAAGCTAAGCTAAGTTACGACTATGTGTGGATGGGCTGACAGTATGAAAAAATGTATTACTTTGTTGATATAAAGAAGGTTATCCTTGGCATTTTAGTGCATAAGTACATCAAAGAATGACTATAATAATCTTAAAAGCATATATTGTTATATAATATTCGGACATCTGGACATTCTGCTGTTGTAGGAGTTTGTGCTTGTAGTCATTATTAGGCAGCTTCCTTAGCCATAAACATCTTATTACCATGGGTTGTGACTGGCAGGGAATGTGCCTTGCTAGTTTTAAGATGGGATGGGTTTTAAAACGGGTCATCCTGGCTGTCCTATTCTTCTATTTCCCTAATAGATGGGGAAAATAGGCTTTCTCAAGCCTATTTTATAAGGGAACTAATCCCTAATCACCTCCCAAAGGCCCCACCTCTTAATAATATTACATTTGAGATGAAATTTTTACATATGTTCATTTTGAGGGAACACAGTCAGACCACAGCAGAGGTAGCAATCAAGTAAGACATGGATAATAACAATAGCAACATAGGAAACTGTATGCCAGATGTTCCCTGGGTATTGCACATACATTATGTCATTTAACTCTCACTACAATCCCATGGGGTAAGTACTATTGTCTTCCCTATTGTATGGATGAGTATCTAGGGCTTAGAGAAACAGTTGGCTTGGGAAGGGAAGGAGACGCTGATTTGTACTGTCTCCCATTTTCCATGGTGTAAAATATCACTATTCTGAGGTGTTAAGTGAGGTACTTAAGTTAGGTTAGGTGTTATCCAGTTTTGGCACAGTAAAGGGGCATTTAGATAGGAATGGTGACAAAATTAAGTTTATTACTCACAGATCCCAAGAGTGGAAGGCAGCACAGACCACAAGAGGGGACCTTCCAGGACGTGTAACCAGTCGGGGAAAGAAAGGGAGGGACCTGTGGGCTGAAGGCTTTATGGGAGTCCAAGACATTACCTAGGTGGTTTCGTGTGACAGATTTGGACTGGTTCATTTTCAGGTGGGGTATGGCTAGGTTTGGGAATTTGGGAGTTACATTCTTGGGTTCACCAGACTTAATGAAGAAGTAAGGTGGTCAAGTGGTTCAAGGTATGGCCTTATCTATCTAGAACATGAAACTGGGAACTGGGTACACAGACTGTCTTACAATATGTAGGCCAAAGGTGACAAGCCAGGGACACAACGAGCAGACGGATGCCAAGGCCGCATTAATGCAAATGAGAGTTATGACAATCACCATAGCTAATTTCAAGCTACCAACACAATGTCACTGAAAGTAGGATTGGAAAGAGATGCACAAAATTTGCTCCCATGTGCCAGTTAGCCATCTTTAGTACGTGTCTGCTTAGTTAAACAATTTCCTCAAAAGCACTTCTCTGCACATTAATGGCAAAGCCAGGCTCAATCCTTGGTCTCACCCTGAAACACCTCTTAATCATTGCACTATAGCACCTCTTTGTTAAGCCACCCAGGATTTAAAACAAATCCACTTTGGAATGCCAGCAGTAGCAAAGAAGGGGAAAGGACGGATTAGAGAAAGCACTCTAAAAGACAAAGTTTTCTAATTTTTTTCAGCCCAGCAGCCCTAAAACCAGAGTTCAAAGATCAATGATCAATTAGTATCCAGCTGCCAAAAGATAATAGTGCTTTAAGCTTAGCAGAAAATCATGTAAACTCTTCTCTGGGAAGAGATTTCCTAGGGAGAATTAAGTAGCAGTACTAACAGAATTCATTTGGGAGGAACTGAGAAAACTTTCATGTTTAATCCATAGATTTGCAGTTAAAGCTGTGGGGTTGAGCACAGAGGGGTAACAATATAACATCTCTTGAGATTATGGGATTAAAGAATCAGGTATTTGTAGGTATTTCAAAGTGAAACTCAGTGGGGGTTGTTGCAGGGGGGTGCTGGGGGGTAACTTCCAAATTCTTCTGTGTCGTCTTCTATACTCAAACTTGTTGATTGCAGTAAAAGCTCTGGCTTTATTGAGCCATTGGCACATGGTGCTTAATTTGATGTATATGGTGCTCAGTGTGGCACATTGGAAAGAGCTTTGAACTGGATCCTAGTCTCAGCTTTGCCATTACTGGGCTGGCTGACTTAGGATATACTATGCTGGGCCTGTTTTTGCCATTTGTAACTCAAAAGGGTTGGACTAGATTGGTTTTTAAAGTCTGTTCCAACTCTATAAGGTTTCAATTTTGTGACCCTTAAATATTTTCATGTCCTAAGTGATATGATTCATGAAGAAACTTTGAAGAAGCAAAATTAACTTGGACACAGAATAACCATAACAGTAAACATTTCTATGGCACCTCTTAGTGCCAGACACTGTTGTAAGTGCTTTACCCATGTTAAATCATGAAATCTTTACAACAATCATTTGAAGTAGGTAATATTATTAGCTCCATTTTACAGATGAGGAAACTGAAACAAAAAGTATTGCATAAGCCAATGCATAGGGGCTTTTCTAATCCTTACTACATGGATGAAGAAACTAGGGCTCATAGGCAGTAGTGTGCTGCTAGCTTGTGGCAGAGATGGAACAGGTCCTGTGGGCTGGCAGCAGCTCCATGAATGGGCCCAGGAGCACGTGGCTAGGGGAACCTGGGGAGGCAGAGAAATGAGGCCCAGTCCACTCTCATCCTGGGTCATTATGGGATAAACCACACCACAGTGGAGGAGACAGCAGCTGTGGACAGCTAGCTTCCAGCCCCCATCTCCTTCACTGCACTGCATTGCAGGGCTTCCTTAGCTGTGGTAGCCCCAGGTTGGTGAGGTGGTGGGTGTCTGAGGTGGTCGCCTTCCCAGAGTCCTGATGCTGTCAGCATTTTCCTGGTCTGCTCTAACCCACATGCTTACCTCTGCATTGAGAAAGGCCATCTCACTTCCTCTCTTATCACCTCCCACAATCCCTCAAGGCCCGAAGGGGCAGGTTCTAAACTTTCCCTCCCATTATTTCATATCTTCTTATCCTCAACAGCAAGCCTGTTGTCCAGGCATTATGGGCAGAAAAGGGATTTTCCCTATTCATTGGAAGACACTGTGCATTCAGTTTTCTGAGACTGGCTCTGGACCTGTTGGGAGATGCGATGGCCATGTAGGTCCCCACGAGGTCTTATGGGTGTGCTGAGTGTGTGGCTCTCACTCCTGTCCTGGCCACTCCTCAGGGTTATGTTTGCAGGGAGTAGCCTGAGGGATGAGGAAACATCTTACCCTAGACAGAGAGCAGGCTTGCTGTGAAAGAGCTCTCCCTAAACTCAGTGATTCCTTGGCCATGACACAAATCATTCTCATCCTGCTCCTGTCTATTTTGTGAATTTGATGAGGTTTACTGAAATACTTTGGCAGTTGATTTGTAGCATTTGTCACTTTTCTTACTGTACGCAGCTTTAATCTGTAGTTGTGTTTGAGCCAGAACATATACAAAGCCAGGTGGTTAAATGTTTCTAGAAAGAACTAGTTGTTTATTGGCTTCCTGGCTCCAGACAATCTGATTCATGATTTAATATGACCTCCTACAGACTAGCAGGAGGAAGATGAAGCACTGTGAACCCTGCTTACTTTTAAAGTTTGCAAGAGTTTTTGTTTGTTTGTTTGTTTGTTTGTTTATGCCAGGGGTAGGCACTTTTCCTCGAAAAGATTGTTTTAAGGTAACAAAGTGGACAAAGGTCACATGTTAAATGCAAGAAGGTATTTGGTAGGCTGACTGCACCCACTGTCCCAGTTTTGTGGAATGAGCCATTGTACCAAGACAATTATGTAAACCTGCTCCTTGCCCTTAAGGAATGGTAAAACGCCAGGCAGACCCGTTGATGAGACCACAGAGGATTATAATAAACGCCTTCCACTGCTGTGTGACTGAGCCTTTGGGCACGTGTGTCATGCAGAAATTGGGGTTGTGCCAAAGTGTAGGTGAAAAGCCCAGGCAAGTACAGGACTTTGGTTGAAGCACTGCAACATGCCAAGGAAGGTATGAAGACTCAAGAGACTAAAGTGAAGTCAAGGGTGAGCTAGATACCACCAGGGACCTAGAATCCCCAGGAATTCTTACCCAATTCCTTTAATAATACAATGACAGGTGTGTTTCCTTTCACCAAAGCATATAAAAGTTGGATCAAAGCAGCCACCTCCCAGTGGTGAAAATTGTCACTATTTGGTAGCTCCTCCTCTACTGAAATTTTGTGAAAATGTTTTAAGTGAAGAAAAAGACTGAGACTCAAGGATAGTAAACATTCTGCTAAGTTTTCAATTTTTTGGAACATGGAGATCCTTCCCACAAAATCACATAAAGTCATTAACAGAGTCAGGCATGGTGGCTCATGCCTAGAATCCTAGCACTTTGAGAGGCCAAACCGGGCAGATCATGAGGTCAGGAGATTGAGAACATCCTGGCTAACATGGTGAAATGCTGTCTCTACTAAAAATACAAAAATTTAGCCGTGTGTGGTGGCGGGTGCCTGTAGTCCCAGCTACTTGGGAGGCTGAGGCAGGAGAATGGCATGAACCTGGGAGGCAGAGGTTGCAGTAAGCCAAGATTGCACCACTGCACTCCAGCCTGGGTGACAGAGTGAGACTGTCTCAAAAAAATAAATAAATAAAATAGAAAATAAAGTCATTAATAAAGGAGATTGAATGCATTTTTCTTCAGTCCTTTCTGAATTTGGACAGTCTGAGACCTCATTCCCATCACTAATATGTGTGTCCTTTCTAATATAGTATGTTGAAAAGCATTGTTTCTATTTGGTTTATCTGGAGTCCAAATTTATTTGTTGAATCCACAAATGTTGACTGAGCACCAGTATACTGTGTGCCAGGCACTGTCCCTAGCCCAGGAGATGCTGTAGCAACCAAGACAAATGAGATTTTTACCTTTATTGGGAAGACCAATAATATACAAGGAAACACTTAAAAAAACAATAGTTCTGTAGATCATTTTAGGGGGTAGGAAGACAATAAACACCAAAACATGATAGAGAATGCTTTGAGATGGGTGTGCTACTTTAGACAGGGTAAAATGGAAAGGTCTATGTGCACAGGTGAGATTTAATCTGAGATCTTTATTACAATAAGAAACTGGGCTAGGAAATACAGACAGCACATTCCAAGCAGAGGAAATGGCAAACATAAAGGCCCTGTAGTGGCCCCAGTTGGGATATTCCAGGAGCAGAGATAAGCTACTGTGGCTGAAGTGGTGAAACACAGAGAATAGCAGACTGGCAAGGTGGTGGTGGGGCAGGTCACACAGGGTGTTGTGGTCCCAGGAAGAAGCTGAGTTGAAAGATTTTCTACAGGGCAGCCACATGATCTGGCTACCCAGTGGAAAGTTCTGCTTTGTAAAGAAAATGATATTTATTTGTGAATGGGCATTGTAATGAGAATATACATGCCATAGTAAACTATGTGAATATTCAGGACAGTAAAGGAAGACAAAGTGTTTTAATGTAAAAATGAGGAGGATTACATAATTGTTTTGAGACAATTACTGTCAGCTACAAGGATCAATAAGATGGGCAGTGCCAGTTTCAGGTTGGACAGGCAGTTATTGGGTAGATGTCCTTGCAGAAGTATTTTTGGTGTGTAAGACTTTGATGGAAAGGTTGTGGTATTTGCAGAATCTTTCGTGATAGTTCTTGTTATCTGGCATTCATGCACAAAAACCCTGCATGCCTTCATGGCCTTCTCTGGCTCCATTTTGTCAGGGATTTTAACATAAGTGACTCCATTTTTATTTTGACAACTTTCACAATGGAAACTTGTGTGTGAAGGGCTGGCCTTTCCAGCCCAACTTGCAAAGTCCTACACGCTGGATCTCTGTGCCATCTGCTGACAGGGAGTCTGTGGGAAGATAGTACTTCTTGAAAAGTTCAGCCTCCTGCATGCCCATGGAGTTCTTCAGTTTCATGGTTGCTGCTTTAGGGCCTACTAAGATTTGGGCATTCTCCTTTCTCATTCTTCTTCTTCTTCTTTTTTTTTTTTTTTTTTTTTGAGACAGGGTCTTGCTCTGTTGCCCAGGCTGGAGTGCAGTGGTGCAATCATAGCTAACTGCAGCCTCTGGCTCCTGCACCAAGTGATCCTCTCACTTTAGTCTCCCAGTAGCTGGGACTATAGGCATGTGCCACCATGCCTGGCTATTTTTTTTTTTTTTTTTTTTTTTTTTTTGTAGAGACAGGGTCACAACATGTGTTGCCGAGGCTGGTCTCTAACTCCAGGGCTCAACTGATCCTCATGCCTCTGCCTCCCAAAGAATTAGAATTACAGGTGTGAACCACCAACCACACCCAATCCTGTTCTTTTGAAATAAATAATAAGGCAGAGGTTCAAAGCTAGCAATGTTTTAATGGAGAATAACGAAAAGCAATCTGTGCATTCACAGCCAGGTTTCACAATTTTTTAAAGGAAAACATTTCATATTTTGTGTGATGATAATCTTATTTATACAGAAATGAATGCACATTTGCATTTCTTTCGGTGTGTTGAATTTTGCTCACGTATTGCAGCTTATAATATTACATACTCAAAGATAAAATTTCCATATGCTTTCATCTGTAGATTTGGACTGTCCAAAGTGGTTAGGACTTCATAAACTAAATGTAAATAAAAGCTGGTTCATGAATTTGCAAATTGATTTTTCTTCTACTGCTTCACATAGGGCCAGAGCCCATTATATTCTAGTAGTTTGGGATGTAATTTAACATCTATTATTTAGATATGTGATCTAAACAACACATTGGCATTACTTCTGCATAAATCCATATATTACTTTAAAATATGGACAAAAGTCTTGCATGCATATAGTCCCCACCTCCCTAGGCTCTCACTTTTACTTCCTCTCCTCCATCCTTCCCTTCCCAAACACGGAGTTGATCTCTCTGGACAGCATATGTTTGTACTTTTGGTGTACAAGTTTGTCTTGGTGAGTCTTTCCCATGGGATTCTAAGCTCTTTGAGGGCAGGACTGTATTGCTGCAGCCCCTACCTCCATTCTGTCTCATACCTCACTCTCCTCCCATGGCTTGCTTTGCATTTTGTGCAGTAGATGTGTTCGGTTGAATTGAGTGGTAAATATTTTCCATGCGTGTGTGTACAATTGAGCAAGCCAATGTAGTGCTTATGTTATTTTTTTTTAAAAATGCATCATAGAGTTAACTGAAAGTAATTCCTTCCAGGCTGCTGAAGTCAGCCACAGTAACAGCAGCTGCATTTTGAAGCTGTGGGGATGGTAGTGGTGGAAATTACGGCATGGAAGGCTCTCAGGAAGCCTCATCTTTTGAAACTCTCCAAGCTTTTACATAAACCACAATCTCCCTGCAAGTGACTCTCTGCTTCTGTGCAAGAAAACACTTTTGCAAGTATTTTGTTTTTTCATGTTTAGTTTTGTTTTTCTTTGGCAACTGCAGGCAGGACTGAATGTTCTGGGTTTTCTCCCCCCTGTATTTGGGTGTGAGTGAATTTACACTTTTACTGTTTTGTAAATCATTGCCTAGGCTTTGACAGAGGCACTTTTGTAGGCAGGGGTGGTATGTGCTTAGCACCTCATGCAGAACATACCAGACATGTAATCACTTCTTTGCTGCAGAGGATGTAACTCAGCAATATTCGCTTTCCTCCACCCTAGCTGGAACTGCAGAACCTTTCTGTACATTACATGGAAGATTTTTCAGTTCATTTTATTTGAATACTAAAGTAGGATTGCCAGATAAAATACATTCACCCAGTTGGATCTGAATTTCAGATAAACAGTGAATAACACATTAGTATAAATAGGCCCTAAATATTACATGGGAAATACTTAAATACTAAAAAAGTATTTATTGTTTGCATAGTATTCCATGGTGTATATGTGCCACATTTTCTTAATCCAGTCTATCATTGTTGGACATTTGGGTTGGTTCCAAGTCTTTGCTATTGTGAATAGTGCTGCAATAAACATACATGTGCATGTGTCCTTAGCAGCATGATTTATAATCCTTTGGGTATATACCCAGTAATGGGATGGCTGGGTCAAATGGTATTTCTAGTTCTAGATCCCTGAGGAATCACCACACTGACTTCCACAATGGTTGAACTAGTTTACAGTCCCACCAACAGTGTAAAAGTGTCCCTATTTCTCCACATCCTCTCCAGCGCCTGTTGTTTCCTGACTTTTTAATGATCACCATTCTAACTGGTGTGAGATGGTATCTCATTGTGGTTTTGATTTGCATTTCTCTGATGGCCAGTGATGATGAGCATTTTTCATGTGTTTTTTGGCTACATAAATATCTTCTTTTGAGAAGTGTCTGTTCATATGCTTTGCCCACTTTTTGATGGGGTTGTTTGTTTTTTTCTTGTAAATTTGTTTGAGTTCATTATAGTTTCTGGATAACCTACTCATCTGAATAGATATATTTTTATATATTTATATTTATATAAATAATTTTTTTCAGAGAGAGAAAAATATAATTATATAGAGAGACATAGAAAGAGAGGAGGTACATGTGGCAGAAATGTTAGTGAATGTAAAAATAGTCAATGAAGGTACAGCTCTAGGTTTTCCAGAGGTGTATTCAGGTAACTACTACTTACATGGTCATAAAATTGAATTTGTCTGCAAAATTAGCCTTTAAATCAATGAGCTAAAATAAATGACTGCAATATTAAAGACAAGTATAGAGAAAGATGACTTTGCATGAATTCAAATAATTTATGGAAAATAGCTAGTATTAATAAAATGTTCTCCTTTCCCATAATAGACAGTGAAAGAATAATTTTTGTTGTTTTTGTGGTTCATTTTGGAACTTTATATCTTATTTGAAAAGCATTTCTAATCCCTACACCAAGACCCAGGCAAAGTTGTAGGGACCATTGGGTCCCATTCCTCCCAGCTACATCTGCATTGAGTGAGTCACAGTGCTCAACTTAGAATCGATTAAGTCTCTGCTAAATCTCCTTGTTTATTAGTTAAAACCTAGCTGCTTTTCATGAAAACTAAAGAGTCAACTCTATTTACTTTAATTTGATGAGATCATTTGCCAGATCAGGATTATTTGAAATTTGACCTTTCCTTGAGTTCTGTTTTATATGTGATACTTGAATGTAGAGGGTAGGATAAATGTACAAAACATGATCCTTGCTCTCAGTGACCTTGCCATCTAGATGCTGGAGGACACAGGTTACACTAGCCCGAGGACTGAAGTTTTAGTTCCAGAGATGAAATTGGAAGCAGGTTCTTTTTCCTTTCCTTTCTCTCCCTCCCTTCCTCCTTCCCTCCCTCCCTCCTTTCTTCCTTCCCTCCTTCCCTCCTTCCTTCCTTCCTTTCCTCCTTCCCTCCTCCCTCCTTCCTTCTCCTTCCCTCCCTCCCTCCTTCCTTTCCTCCTTCCCTCCTTCCCTCCTTCCTTCCTTCCTTTCCTCCTTCCCTCCTCCCTCCTTCCTTCCTTTCTTCCCTCTCTCCTTTTCTCCTTCCTTTTTTCCTTCCCTCCCTCCTTTTCTCCTTCCTTCTCTCCCTCCTTTTCTCCTTCCTTCCCTCCTTCCTTTTCTTTCTTTTTTTTGAGGCAGGGTTTCACTCTGTCATACAGGCTGGAGTGTAGTGGCATGATCTCAACTCACTATAACCTTCATCTCCTGGGCTCAAGCTATCCTCCCACCTCAGCCTCCTGAGTATCTGGGACTACAAGTATGCACCACCAAGCCTGGCTAATTTTTGTATTTTTTGTAGAGTGAGGTTTTGCAATGTTGCCCAGGCTGGTCTCAAATTCCTGGACTCAAGGGATCCACCCACCTCAGCCTCACAAAGTGCTAGGATTACAGGCGTGAGCCACCACGCCTGGCCATGTTCTTTTTTCTCTAAAAGAGTGGACCTTTATGCCACCCCACAAAGAATGAGTAAAACCCAGCAAGTTTCAATGCCATCTCTAGCCCTTTCAGACAGAGCATAGTAGAGTATTCTCAAAGAAGGGAAGGTATTCTATGGTGTATCTGTACCACCATGGCACACATTTACCTATGTAACAATCCTGCATGTTCTGCACATGTGTCACAGAATTGAAAGTAAAATAAAAAAGAAGAAGAAGAAGAAGGAAAGGGAGAAGGAGTTGTTCTGATAACTTGAGACTTCCAAGCATTAGCAGTGGGACCCAATGCACATCCTGTTGCCTTGAGCCACTCTGCAGAGAAAGGCAGAGAACCCTGTCTATTTATGGGGTCAGTGGTGTAGTCCTGGCCAAAATCAAGAGAAACCAGGTTTCAAGGCCTGGGTGGCCCCGGCACAATAGCACACCTACCTATAAAAATACAAAGCAGGAAGTCAATTTCACTCTTACATTTCAAACAAAATATTAGGGCCTAAATTTAATCTGCTATTTTTTTCCAGTTGCAAACTTTTTTTACTTATTTTTTTAGAACACTATTTATTTTAATTAATTAATTAATTTAAATTTTAAGTTCCAGGGTACATGTGCAGGATGTGCAGGTTTGTTACATAGGTATATGCGTGCCATGGTGCTTTGCTACACCTATCAACCCATCACCTAGGTATTAATCCCAGCATGCATTAGCTATTTTTCCTGATGCTCTCCTTCTTGCCACCTCTCCACCCCCACAGGGTCCAGTATGTGTTGTTCCTCTCCCTGTGCCCATGTATTCTCATTGTTCAGCTTCCACTTATAAGTGAGAACATGTGGTGTTTGGTTTTCTGTTCCTGTGCTAGTTTGCTGAGGATAATGGCTTCTGGCTCCATCTATGACCCTGTGAAGGACATGATCTCATTCCTTTTTATGGCTGCATAGTATTCCAGGGTGAATATGTGCCACATTTTCTTTATCCAGTCTATCATTGATGAGCATTTAGGTTGATTCCGTATCTTTGCTATTGTGAATAGTGCTGCAGTGAGCATATGTGTGCATGTATCTTTATGATAGAATGATTTATATTCCTTTGGGTATATACCCAGTAATGGGATTGCTAGGTCAAATGGTATTCCTGGTTCTAGGTCTTTGAGGAATCGCCACACCGTCTTTCACAATGGTTGAACTAATTTACATTCCCACTGACAGTGTAAAAGCATTCCTATTTCTCCACAGGCTCACCAGCATCTGTTGTTTCTTGGTCTTTTAATAATTGTTATTCTGACTGGCATGAGTTGATATCTCATTGTGGTTTTGATTTGCATTTCTCTAATGATCAGTGATGTTGAGCTTTTTTCATATGTTTCTTGGCCCCATGAATGTTTTCTTTTCAGAAGTATCTGTTCATATCATTTGCCTACTTTTTAGTGGGGTTGTTTTTTTCTTGTAAATTTGTTAAAGTTCCTTGTAGACTCTGGATATTGGACTTTTGTCAGATAGATAGATTGCAAAATTTTTCTCCCATTGTGTATGTTGTCTGTTTGCTCTGATGATAGTTTCTTTTGCTGTGCAGAAGTTCTTTAGTTTAATTCAATCCCATTTGTCAATTTTTGCTTTTGTTGCAATTGTTTTTGACGTTTTCATCATAAAATCTTTGTCTATGGCTATGTCCTGAATGGTATTGCCTAGATTTTCTTCTAGGATTTTTATAGTTTTGAGTTTTACATCTAAGTCTTAAATCCATCTTGAGTTAATTTTTGTATAATGTGTAAGGAAGGAATCTACTTTCAATATCCTGCATATGGCTAAGCAGTTTTCCCAGCACCATTTATTAAATAGGGAATCCTTTGCCCATTGCTTGTTTTTGTCAGGTTTGTTGAAGATCAGATGGTTGTCAATGTGCAGTTTTATTTTTCAGTTCTCTATTCTGTTCTGTTGGTCTATGCATTTGTTTTTGTAGCAGTACCATGCTGTTTTGGTTACGGTAGCCTTGTAGTGTAGTTTGAAGTCAGGTAGTGTGATGCCTCCAGCTTTTGTTCTTTTTGCTTAGGATTGTCTTGGCTATATGGGCTCTTTTTTGGTTCCATATGAACTTTAAAATAGTTTTTTCTGATTCTGTGAAGAATGCCAATGGTAGTTTAGTTGGGATAACATTGAATCTATAAATTACTTTAGGCAGTATGGTCATTTTCACAATATTGATTCTTCCTATCCTTGAGCATGGGAGGTTTTTCCATTTGTTTGTGTCCTCCCTGAATTCCTTGAGCAGTGGTTTGTAGTTCTCCTTGAAGAGGTCCTTCATTTCATTTGTTAGCTGTATTCTTAGGTATTTTATTCTTTTTTTTTTTTTTTTTTTTTTTGAGATGTAGTCTCACTCTGTTGCCCAGGCTGGAGTGTAGTGGCGCAGTCTCGGCTCACTGTGACCTCCACCTCCCAGGTTCAAGCAGTTCTTCTGTCTCAGCCTCCCAAGTAGCTGGGACTACATGCACATGCCTCCATGCCTGGCTAATTTTTTTGTATTTTTGATAGAGATGTGGTTTCACCGCGTTGCCCAGGCTGGTTTCAAACTGCTGAGCTCAGGCAATCCACCCGCCTTGCCCTCCCAAAGTGCTAGGATTACAGGTGTGAGCTACCATGCCCAGCCTATTTTATTCTTTTTGTAGCAATTGTCCATAGGAGTTCATCTGTGATTTGGCTCTCTGCTTGCCTGTTGGTGTATAGGAATGCTAGCAATTTTTGTACACTTATTTTATATCCTGAGGCTTTGCTGAAGTTTCTTATCAGCTTAAAAAGCTTTTGTGCTGAGACGATGGGGTTTTCTAGATATAAGATCATGTCATATGCAAACAAATATAATTTGACTTCCTCTCTACCTATTTGAATACAGTTTATTTCTTTCTCTTGCCTGATTGCTCTGGCCAAAAGTTCCAATACTATGTTGAATAGGAGTGGTGTGAGAAGGCATCCTTGTCTTGCGCCTGTTTTCAAAAGGAATGTTTTCAGCATTTGCCTATTCAGTATGATGTTGGCTATGTGTTTGTCATAAATAGCTCTTATTATTTTGAGGTATGTTCCTTCAATACCTAGTTTATTGAGAGTTTTTAACATGAAAGGATGTTGAATTTTATCAAAGGCCTTTTCCGTGTCTATTGATATAATCATGTGGTTTTTATCTTTAGTTCTGTTTATGTGATGAATTACTTTTATTGATATGTTTATGTTGAACCAGCCTTGCATCCTGGGGATGAAGTCAACTTTATTGTGGTGGATACGCTTTTTGATGTGCTGCTGGGTTCGGTTTGCCAGTACTTTATTGAGGATTTTTGCATCCATGTTCATCAAGGATACTGGCCTGAAGTTTTCTTTTTTGTTGTATCTCTGCCAGGTTCTGGTATTAGGATGATACTGGCCTCATAAAATAAGTTAGGGAGGGGCCCCTCCTTTTCAGTTGTTTGCAATAGTTTCAGAAGAAATGGTACCAGCTCCTCTATGTACCTCTGATAGAATTCAGCTGTAAATCTGTCTGGTCCTGGGATTTTTTTGATTGGTAGGCTATTTATTACTGCCTCAATTTCAGAAATCATTATTGGTCTATTCAGTTATTCAACTTCTTCTTGTTCCAGTCTTGGGAGGGTGTATGTGTCCAGGAATTTATCCATTTCTTCTAGACTTATTAGTTTATTTGTATAGAGGTGTGTATAGTATTCTCTGATGGTTGTTTGTATTTCTGTAGGGTCAGTGGTGATATCCTCTTTATCATTTTTTATTGTGTCTATTTCATTCTTCTCTCTTTTCTTCTTTATTAGTCTAGCTAACAGTCTATCTATTTTATTAATATTTTTCAAAAAAACAGCCCCTGGATCTGTTGATTTTTGAAGTGTTTTTAATGTCTGTATCTCCTTCAGTTCAGCTCTGATCATGGTTGTCTCTTGTCTTCTGCTACCTTTGGGATTTGTTTGCTCTTGGTTCTCTAGTTCTTTTAGTTGTGATGTTAGGACTTCGATTTGAGATCTTTCTAGCTTTTTGATGTGGGCATTTAGTGCTATTAATTTCCTTCTTAACACTGCTTTAGCTGTGTCTCAGGGATTCTGGTACGTTATCTCATCTAATTAGTTTGAAAGAACTTCTTGATTATTTCTGCCTTAATTTCATTATCTACCCAGGAATCATTCAAGATCAGGTTGTTCAACTTCCATGTAGTTGTGTGTTTTTCAGTGAGTTTCTTAATCTTGAGTTCTAATTTGATTGTACTGTGTTCTGAGAGACTTTGTTATGATTTCAGTTATTTTGCTTTTGCTGAGGAGTGTTTTACTTCCAATTATGTGATCAATTTTAGAGTAAGTGCCATGTGGCATCAAGGAGAATGTATGTTCTGTTGTTTTGGGGTGGAGAGTTCGATAGGTATCTATTAGGTCCACTTGATCCAGAGCTGAATTCAAGTCCTGGATATCTTTGTTAATTTTCTGTCTCGATGATCTGTCTATTGACAGTGGGATGTTAAAGTCTCCCAATATTATTGTGGGGAGCCTATGTCTCTTCCTAGGTCTCTAAGAACTTGTTTTATGAATCTGGCTGCTCCTGTATTGGGTGCATATATATTTAGGATAGTTAGCACTTCTTATTTAATTAAACCCTTTACCCATTATATAAAGGCACTATATAATGTCCTTCTTTGTCTTTTTTGATCTTTGTTGAGTTAAAGTCTGTTTTCTTTTTATTTTTTTATTTATTTTTATTTTATTTTATTTTATTATTATTACACTTTAAGTTTTAGGGTACATGTGCACAATGTGCAGGTTAATTACATATGTATACATGTGCCATGCTGGTGTGCTGCACCCATTAACTCGCTAAAGTCTGTTTTGTCAGAAACTGGGATTGCAACACCTGCTTTTTTCTGCTTTCCATTTACTTGGTAAATTTTCCTTTATTCCTTTATTTTGAGCCTGTGTGTGTCTTTGTATGTGAGATGGGTCTCTCTAATATATCACACCAACGGGTCTTGACTCTTTATTCACCTTGCCATTCTGCTGTTTTTTAATTGGGGCATTTATCCCATTTACATTTAAGGTTAATATTGTTATGTGTGAATTTGATCCTGTCCTCCTGATGCTAGCTGGCTATTCTGCACACTTACGTGGTTGTTTCATAGTGTCATTGATTTGTGTACATCAGTGTGTTTTTGTAGTGGCTGGTAATGGTTTTTCCTTTCCATATTTAGTGCTTCCTTCAGAAGCTCTTGCAAGGCTGGCCTGGTGGTGATGAATTCCCTCAGCATTTGCTTGTCTGAAAAGGATCTTATTTCTCCATCACTTATGAAGCTTAGTTTGGCCAGATATGAAATTCTGGGTTGGAAATTGTTTTCTTTAAAAATGTTGGACATTGGCCCCTATCTCTTCTGTCTTGTAGGGTTTCTGCAGACAGATCCGCTGTTAGTCTGATGGGCTTCCCTTTGTAGGTGACCTGGCCTTTCTCTCTGGCTGCCCTTAACATTTTTTCCATCATTTTGACCTTGGAGAATCTGATGATTATTTGTCTTTAGGCTAATTTTTCTCATGGAGTATCTTACTGGGGTTCTCTGGATTTCCTGAATTTGAATGTTGGCCTGTCTTGCTAGATTGGGGAAGTTCTGGATAATATCCTGAAGTATGTTTTCCAACTTGGTTCTGTTCTCCCTGTCTCTTTCAGGTACCCCAATAAGTCATAGGTTCAGTCTTTTTACATAATCCCATAGTTCTTGGGGGTTTTGTTTGTTCCTTCTCATTCTTTTTACTATAAGCTTGTCTGCCTGTCTTATTTCAGCAAGATTGTCTTCAAGGCTGAGATTCTTTCCTCCACTTGGTCTGTCCAGCTATTGATACTTGTGGTTGCACTGTGATGTTACTGTGTTGTGTTTTTCAGCTCCATCAGGTCATTTATGTTTCTCTCTAAACTGATTATTCTGATTAAGAGCTCCTGTAATGTTTTATTGTGGTTCTTAGCTTTTTTGGATTGGGTTAGAACAAGCTCCTTTCACCCAGCGAAGTTCATTATTACCCACCTTCTGAAACCTACTTCTGTCAGTTCATCCATCTCAGCCTCAGTCCAGTTCTGTGCCCTAGATAAAGAGGTGTTGTGATCATTTGGAGGAGAAAAGGCACTCTGGCCTTTTGAGTTTTCAGAGGGTTTGAATTGATTCTTTCTCATCTTTGTGAGCTCATCTACCTCCAATCTTTGAGGCTGCTGACCTTTGGATGGGGTTTGTGTGGGGTCTTTTTTGTTGATATTGTTGATGTTATTACTTTCTATTGTTTGCTTGTTTTTCTTTTAACAGTCAGGCCCCTCTTCCATAGGGCTACTGTGGTTTGCTCGAGGTTCATTCCAGACCCTATTTGCCTGGGTCCCTCCCACACCTGGAGGTGTCCCCAGTGGAGGCTACAGAACAGCAAAGATGGCTGCCTGCTACTTTTTCTGGGATCTCCATCCCAGAGGGACACTGACCTGATGCCGGCGGGAATGCTCTTTTACAAGGTTTCTAATAACCTCTGTTGTGGGGTCTCACCCAGTCAGGAGGCACAGTATCAGGGACCCGCTTAATGAAGCACTCTGGCTGTCCCTTGGCAGAGTGGGTGCACTGCGTTAGGGGCACATTCCCTTCATCCAGACTGCCTGGACTCTTCAGAGCCACCAGGCAGGAAAGACTAAGTCCACTGAACCATGGAGAACGTGGCCACCCCTCCCCTCAAAGGGCTCCATCCCAGGGAGATCAGAGTTCTGTCCGTAAACCCCTGGCTGGAGTTGCTGAAATTCCCACAGGGAGGCCCAGTCTGGTGAGGAGGGTTGGATCTGGTTCCCACCTAAAGAAGCAATCTGGCCAAGATCTGCCATAGCCGCTGTGCTGTGGGGAATTCCTCCTGGTCCAAACCGCCCAGTCTCCCTGGTACCTGCAGGGGAAATTGCTGACTGGAGCTGCAGTGATGGCGGCAGCCCTTCTGCTCCGGGAACTCAGTCATCTTAGGCAGTCTCCAGCCTGCTGCCTAGAGTCTGCATAGCTATGTACTTGGGACCCAAGGTCCTGGTGGCGTGGGCTCACGAGGGGATCTCTTGATCCACAGGTTGCACAGATCTGTGGATAAAGTGTGGTTTCCCAGGCAAGGTAGCACAATCACTCACCGCCCCTCTTGGCTGGGAGTGGGAGCTTCCCTTGCCCTGTGCAGCTCCTGGGTGGGCTGTCACTCCACTCCACCTGCTTTTTCTCACTCTCCATGGGTCCCACCAACCACCTAGTCAGTCCCAGTGAGAGAACCTGGATATCCCAGTTGAAGGCACAGGATTCATTCGCCATTTTCGTTCTTCTCCTATTTATTTTTAATTGAGAATAAACATTGTACATATTTATCACAAACAGCATTATATTTTGAAATATATACATTGTGGAATGGCTAAATGAATTTAATTAACATATGCATTACTTCACATACTTATCTTTTTTTTGTGGTGAGAACACGTAAATTCTCTCAGCAATTTTCATAACTACAATACATTGTTACTAACTATAGTCACCGTGTTGTGCAATATATCTCTTGAATTTGGTTGGTTCTCTAATCTAACTGAAATTTGTATCCTTTGACCAATGTCTCCTTCACCCTACAACCATCCCATTCCCCAGTCCATGCTAACCACCATTCTACTCTCTATTATAAATTCAACTTTTCTATGAGTTTTGGGTCTTATATCTAAGTCTTCAACTTTTTTGGATTCCACATGCAAGTGAGATCATGTGATATTTCTCCTTCTGTGCCTGGCTTGTTTAACATCATATCCTCCAGGTTCATCCATGTTTTCCCAAATGATAGGATTTTCTTCTTTTTAAAGCTTGAATAGTATTCTATGCTGTATTTTCTTTATCCACTCATTCATTGATGAACATTCAGGTTGATTCCATATCTTGGCTATTGTGAACAATGCCACAGTGAACATGGGAGTACAGATATTTCTTCAACATATTGATTTCATTTCCTTTGGATGTATACCTAGTAGTGTGATTGCTGGATCATATGGTAATTTTATTTTTGATATTTTGAAAAACCTCCATACTATTTTCCTTAATGGCTCTACTAATTTACATTCCCACCAACAGTGTGTAAGAGTTCCGTTTTCTTCACATCTGCTCCAACACTTCTTATCTTTCACCTTTTTTTATAACAGCCATTTTA
This sequence comes from Homo sapiens, assembly GCF_000001405.40. Classification (NCBI taxonomy): domain Eukaryota; kingdom Metazoa; phylum Chordata; class Mammalia; order Primates; family Hominidae; genus Homo; species Homo sapiens. The sequence goes on from NC_000004.12 coordinate 51,974,863, forward strand.
ACTTGTGAGAGGTGATGTCTTTTAATTTAGATTTCTCTGCTGATGAGTGATGCCGAGCATTTTTTCATATACCTATTAGCCATTTGTATGTCCTCTTTTGGGAAACGTCTATTCACATTTTTTGCCCATTTAAAAAATTGGGTTGTTTTCTTGCTATTGAGTTGTTTGAGCTCCTTACGTATTTTGGATATGAATCCATATTGTCTCTTCTGCAGGTTGTTTATTCACTCTGCTGATTGTTTCCCTTGCTGTGCAGAAGCTTTTTAGTTTGATATAATCTAATTTGTCTCTTTTTGCTTTAGTTGACTGTGCTTTGGGTGTCATATTAAAAAAATCACTGCCAAGACCAATGTCGTGACATTTTTCCTCTAAGTTTTCTTATAGTAGTTTTATAGTTTTAGGTCTTAGATATCTAAGTCTTTAATATGTTTTGAGTTGATTTTTGTATATGGGAGGAGATAAGGGTCTAATTCATTCTTCTACAAGTGGCTATCTGATTGTCCCAACACCATTTATTGAAGAGACTGTCGTTTACCCATTGTGTTTTCTTGGCATCTTTGTTGAAAATCAACTAACCATAAATGTGTGGGTTTATTTCTGGGCTCTATTCTGTTCCATTGGCCCATATGTCTGTTTTTATGTTAGTACCATGTTTTTATTATTGTTATTATTATTATTTTTCTCAAGATTGCTTTGGCTATTCAGAGTTATTTGTGAGTCCATCATATTTTAGGATTGTTTTTCTGTTTCTGTGAAAAATATCCTTGGAATTTTGATAGGGATTGCATTGACTGTAAATTGCTTTGAGTAGTATGGACATTTTAACAATATTAATTCTTCTCGTCCATGAATATGGGATATCTTGAGACCATGAACAGGGCCTCTGTCTGTTATCCAGGCTGGGGTGCAGTGGTAGGATTGCCCCTCACTATAACCTTGTACTCTTGGACTCAAGTAATCCTCCCACCTCAGCCTCCTGAGTAGCTAGGACTAGAGATGCATGCCACCATGCCTGGCTAATGAAGTCATTTTTTAAAATAAAATGTCTGGCATACAGGCTGGAATGTATGGGATAATTGGAGCAAGTTAGTAATCTCTCTCTTCATGTGGCTTCTCCACGTGGCTAGATTGGGCTTCCTTGTATATGGTGGTCTTAGGGCAATTAGACTTCTTACATGGTGACTGGCTTCATCCAGAATGAGCATTTCAAGACACCCGGGTGGAAGCTGCAAAGCTTCTTATGACAGTCTCAGAAGTCCTGAAGTGTCACTTTCTCTGAACTCTATTGGTTAAAGCAGTCACAGGTCATTCCTCACAGAAATAGAAAAAAAATTTACAAATTAATATGAAACCACAAAAAGACCTTGAATAGCCAAAGAAATCCTGGACAAAAGAATAAAGCTGGAAGTATCACGCTAGCTGACTTCAAAATATACTACACAGCTATAGTAATCAAAACATCATAATACTGTCATAAAAGCAGTCACAGAAGCCAGTAGAACAGAACAGAAAACCAAGAAATAAACCTACATATGTACAACCAACTGATTTTAGACAGAAGGGCCAAGAACATTCACTGGGGAAAGGAAAATCTCTTCAATAAATTATGCTGGGAAAACTGGATATTTATATGCAGAAAAATGAAGCTAGCCCCCATCTCTCACCGTATATGAAAATTAACCCAAAATGGATTAATAATTGAATGACTAGAAGACTTAAATGACTAGAAGAATGACTAGAAGAATTAAATAACTAGAAGAAAACATAGGAGAAATGCTTCAGGACATTTGTCTAGGCAAAGATTTCATGGAGAATATCTCAAAAACACAGGCAACAGAAGCAAAAATAGACAAACGAGATTATAACAAACGAAAAACCTTCTGCAAAGCAAAGGAAACAATCAACAGAGTGAATAAACAACTTGCAGAATGGGAGAAAATCCCTGCAAACTATTCATCCAACAAGGGATTAATATTTAGAATACACAAGGAACTCAAACAGCTCAAGAGCAAAAAAACAAATAACATGATTAAAAGTGGGCAAATTAGCTGAATAGACATCTTCAGAAAGAAGATATACAAATGGCTAACAGATATATAAAAAATACTCAACATCACTAATCATCAGGGAAATGCAAATCAAAGCCACAATGAGATATCATCTCAGCCCAGTAATAATGGCTGTTATCAAAAAGACAAAAATAACAAATAATAGCAAGGATGTGGAGAAACAGAAACTCTTATGCACTGTTGATGGGAATATAAATTAGTACAGCCATTATGGACAGCAGTTGTAGAGGTTCCTCAGAAAACTAAAATTAAGCTGAGTGCAGTGGTGTGTGCCCATAGTCTCAGTTACTCTGGAGGCCGAGGTGGGAAAATAGTTTGAGACCTTCAAGTTGGCAGTGTGCAATGATCACATCTGTATATAGCCACTGCATTCCACCCTTGAGTCATATGGCAACATAGTGAGAACCCATTCTTTAAAAAAAATAACAAATAAAAAAATAAATAGAACTACAATATGGATAAAGAAATTATGGGGACTGGGTGTGGTGGCTTATGCTATAATCCCAGCACTTTGGGAGACTGAGGCAGGAGAATCACTTGAGGCCAGGAATCCAAGATCAGCCTGGGCAAAAAAGTGAGACCCCATCTCTTCAAAAACAATTTAAAAAATTAGCCAGGCCTGGTGGCATGATGTACTTGTAGTCCCAGCTACTTGGGAGGCTAAGGCTGGAGGATGGCTTGAGCCTAGGAATTTGAGGTTGTAGTGAGCTATGATCACGCCACTGCACTGTAAAAAAAAAAAAAAAGAAGAATTGAAAAGAATTTGTGGCACATATACACAGTGGAATGCTATTTAGCCAGAGAAAAGAACAAAAATGTCATTCATGGCGACATGGATGAGCTTTGAGGACATTGTGTTAAGTGAAATAATTCAGGTACACAAAAAAAGATAAATACCACATGTTCTCACTCATATGTGGAAGCTAAAATATTCGATTCATTGAAATAGAGAGTAGAATGGTGGTTCCTAGAAGTTGGGAAGGGCAGAGGATAGTGAGGCAATAGCTAAAGGTTGGTTAATGGAGGAAGAATCTCTAATGTTCTATAGCACTACAGGGGGACTATAATTAACAATTTTATTTATTTATTTTATTACATAAATTAACCCATTTATCATAGACTAGTGATGTCTCAAATGGTGGAGCTTCTGCTGGTCTTCCAACTCCTTCAGTCTTCTGATGGCAACTTTACTGTGATGGTGGAAGTGGTGTTATAGGTCCAGGCACCACCAGCTACCATTTCCATCCAGGAGCCACAGTGCCAGATCCCCACAGCACCAGGTCCCCACAGCTTGTCTCTTTATCCGGATTTTGCCACAGAAGGAGCAAGTGTCCTCGGCATGCTGGTGAATTATAATTTTCTTCACCATTTTCTGGAGGGAGGCACCATAGTGGGTCCCATATTTATTGATAATTCTGACTTTCTTGTTGGCTTTAATCATTTCACCACCAACTGGGCCTGAGCCCAGACAGCAACAACAATTTATCATATATTTTCAAATAGCTAGAAGAGCGGATTTTGAATATTCCCAGAACAACAACGAAAAATGTTTGAGATGACAGATATGTTAATTACCCTGATTTGATCATTGCACGTTGTACACATGTATTGAAATATCACCCTGTACCCCATAAGTATGTATAATTATTATGCTAATTAAAATTAATAATAAAAGGGAAAAACAGCAGTCATAGGTCAGCTAAGATTGGAGGTGAAAGAATAACCTCCACCTCTCAATGTACCTTGTATGATCAAAGACAGAAGTAATTCATGATTTCACAAAATGTGTTTCTAGAATCTGATTAGTTCATATGTGAAGAGAGACTGATGTCTATGTAACCGAGAAGTCACATTTGATCAGATCAGGTTTCTCCTAGGCAAGGGGAGCCAGAAGAGCAGGAACAGAATCACAACTTTCAGCTGCTGAAAAGATGTGCTGAAAAATCACCACATCTCAGCTGCTGTTCTGGGACCAGGATTCTTTTAGCTGCATTTTAAGAAAATGAAAAATGACTGCCAGCACCAGGCTCTCTGGGGAGGCCCCCAGAGGTGTCCCAGCCTTGTGCCACTCTTGCTTGGTGCCTGTGCCCTGGGAGCTTCTGGCTTCGAGTTCCTTCGGTGTGCATTGTTCCAGCACCCCCAGCTCTGCTCTCACAAACCTGTGGCCAGTGTTTCCTCTCACTGGTTTACGTGAATTTTTAGTATCTACAGTTGTAGCCTCTAGCCATGCCCAGCTGCCTGTCTGGAGCATCCAAGCTACCAAGGTTTGTTTTTCTTAGTGTTCTGGTTACAAAGTTGACTACATGTTGAGTGGTTTTCCCCACTTCATGTACCCTGTAAGCCCCGTGGCTTTTAGTGTTGATTTTGCAGAATGTGAGGCTTTTCAATAATGTAAATTTTACATGATAGCAGAAAAGTCTGAACTATTTATTCTCCATTAATATAAAGCACCAGTCCTTGGAGAGAAGTTGATTCCATTCTTGGGGTAATATTCTAGACTGGTTTGGAACATTTCTTGCCACAAAGAAATGATGCTTTAGAAATCCTGGAGAAAGATATCGAAACCAGCTTCAAGGAGAATCCTATTGGCCAAGTTCTGATAATTTAAGTATATAAAATAAAATAATTATAGTTAATTAAAATATTTGGGGTCATGAAAAGCCAGAGTCAACAGTATTTAAAGAAAAATGACAGCTTTCTTTTAAAATAACACATGATATACTTGGATAGCATTTCTTCAAATGAGCAAAGATGTTATTCACTTTTAATTGTGTGAATAGTTCAGTATTGTAGATACACACATACACACAAACACACACATACACACACACACACACACACACAGGTGGACAAAATACATGTCAGCCAAAGGCTAAAAAGATTTTATTCCCAGATATGGGATGACCTTGTTCATTATGACAATTGAGGTACGTTCATCATATGTTGAATTATTAAGACAATCTGCAAAGCCTTAAAATTCACCAAAACTTCCATTGCCCATATCCCCTAGAATTTACAGGTAGTAGTAAAACATTAAGGTAGGAATTTGAAAAAAAAATAAACTGGCTTTTTGCAGAAACTAGATTCAGACAGACAGAGGTCTTGTCCTCAAGCTGTCATGAACATGAGATTATCAGGCAGTAGAAAGATGGGACTCTCCCCCTTACTCTTGAGTGGACAAGCTCATCAAAGACTTGCTTTCTTAAGCCTGTGGCCTGCCACTTACATTTATTTGATGGCATATTAATCTAGTGTAAATTACTAATGAAATTCATCAAAACTTTTCACTCATAAGACGTAAGAACCCCTTCTCCCCCGCTACATTTATCTCCCTTGAATCTGAAGGTACTCAAATGAAATGTGTATCCTTGAGTGGAGTGGATTTTGTCTTTTAAACAGACTGAGATACATGGACATCTGCTTGCTGGCATTTATTTGCTGTTTTGTGATTCTAGCAGCTATTCCTGGTTACTCTTGGTTACTCCCTTGATTTTTTACCCTTGCTGTGCATGGTCACCAAAAAGAACTGGACAAAGACTTCCCAGGAAGAAAGAGAGAATCTCAGGCCTCACACCCTGGACCACTGTAGAGGGATAGGGAAAAATTTGTCCATCTGATCCCAAAATGACTTTATGGAACCTGAAGGGTTTTTAGGGAGCAACATTGAAAAGACAATTCATATATGGCATTTGCTGCTCTTCAAGGAGGATAAGGTTTTAACGTTTCATGTTTTGGGTTTGTGCCCAAAGGACCAAGACTTATATAATGGTTTTAGGAACATGTAAAGGTAAATTATACCAGAGATTTTCAAAAAGTATTTCTTGGACTAAAATATACTGATGTGGAATTGTTAGGCTCATAAAAACATGTTTGAGTTACTCTGATAAAGAAATGCAAGGGGGGAATATGTTTTAGTGAAAAAATAAAAAAAATGGAATATGTTTTAAAAGTCATTTGTGTAACAACTAGAGACATAATCGAAACAAGTGAAACTAAAACAGAGGGAAAAACTGGGGTAAAGGGACTCTATAGAACTTAGATAGTTTAAATTTTGAGGCAACTTGAGAGCAGAGTCCAAGGGTGAGACATTTTAAAAATCTGAAAGTGGAAGGCTTCAAATATCACTCACATCAAGCAATTTTAGCCAAGCTTATGGCAGGCATATTGACAAAGATTTTTAAAATTTGTTTTTGCAAGAAACAAGAGGCTTACTGAGAAATCTGCAACACCTACATATAAACTGTGACATTTATGCCATGCTACCAGAAGCTTCTTTTGGAAGTCTAAACAAAACAAACAAAAATAGTGAATGCGGTATATTCCTCTTTTCTCTGTGTTGATGGAATAGGAGGTAATTTTTCACTCTATGAAATACTTACCAGCTCTGAGATGACTTTATGGACTCCACATTGGGAGTAAACTCTTGGCAAAACTGAATTTCACCTGAGTTGGAAGTTGGCCAATAGAAGAGTCTCTAGCAGATCTCAGTAAAGTCATGTGAAGCCCTGTTTCTTCTGTAATACACAAAACGGTACAGTGGAGACCCCAGGGAAGAAGGAAGTGGTAGATTCTACTTGGGTGGAATGAGGTGAGAAAAGCTCATGGAGGAAATAATCCATAAACAGCTTATTCAAAGAAGAGTAGATACTCACCAGGCAGATGAGATGGGACTTGGTGGGGAGGCCAGAGGTACCACCCAGAAAGCAGGCAGCAATACGGGCCAAGACATGGTGAAATGATATAGACTGGTGAGTTTGTAACTGCAAGCAGTTACACTTGGTGCACTGGCATGAACTTTGGATGTTAGGAATGGGGCAAAGCACCATGAAATACAAGCTGGGTGGTAAGCAGGGACAGATGCTAGATGTCCTTGTACACTGTACTAAAGTTTGCTCTTTCATTTATTTAATGAATGCATGTATTAAGAACCTACTCAGTGCCAAGTCTTGGGGAGATAGACACAATTTTTTTGTTTGTGTGGCACTTACAGTATTAAAGGGGCAGACAGACATTAAACCTAATCATATGACTAATTATTTAATTTTACTTGTGATAAGCTCTCCTATAGAAAGGCCAATGCTGTGTAATGACAGAATTTGTAATAGGGAAATCTAACTTAGTGAGGCATCTGAGACGTCTTCCCTGAGGAGGTGACAACACAGCGGAGACCTAAGTGGGAGCGTGTCAGCTAAAGGAGGGCTTGTTTGTGAAAAAGCGCTTTGGGCAGGAGGAACATGGGCAAGGGCGGGGAGATGGACAGGCATGTGTATAACCAAGTACCCCCTCTTTTCTAAGAGAAAAAGAATGGGTTATGTTTTATTGTTTTCCTTCTTTTCTCTTTCCCCCTTTTCCCTTGTTCCTCACTTCTTAGCTCTTTAGAAATGAAATTATAACCTTTACCTTCCCTTCGCCAGACACTTCCTACAGAGCAAGCTTATCTATTAGGTTGGTGCCAGAGTAATTTGGCAAAAGTAATGGCAAAAACAACAATTACTTTTGCACCAACCTAATAACTATGCACCAGAGAGGGAATTCTCCCACCAGGAGATGGCCTCAAGAGACAACAGTCAATTTACAACCTGAAGTGCCCCGCAACAGAGCTCTCTTTCACCTGGAGTGGATCTCAAGACAGTGGCCACCTTACAACCTAGCTCTGCCCACGATGGTGCCAGCTCGGTAGTTATGGCATCAAAGCGAGTCATGCAGACCCTACACCTGCTTTCTCCCTCTCCTGCATGCCATTCATGCCAAGTCCCTGCTTAAAAGCCTCTGCTTTCTGCCCAAAAGTAAAGTGATATCCTTAAAGGCAGGAGCCTGTACTTCTTCCCCTAAGCTATGCTGTGGAATAATGTCACTTTCTTTATACCAGACTCAATCTTGTTAATTGGACTCTGCAGGTGGTGAGTGACCGAACCTGTGTTTCAGTTACATGTGGAGCTTTAGGGAAACAGAAAAACCTATAGCCAATGGATGGACTCTACTCAGGGAAGCCACATAATCATATTTGCATTTTAGAAACCACCCCCTGGCTGCAGTGTGGGGAATAGTAAAGGGATGTAGGGCAGGAGGTGTGATCGTCAATTTTATGTGCCTACTTGATGGGTAAGGGATGCCCAGATGGCTGGTAAAACATGGTTTCTGGGTGTGTCTGTGAAGGTGTTTCTGGAAGAGATTAGCATTTGAGTCAGCAGCCAAATAAAGCTTTCTCTCACCTATGTGGGTGGGCAGCACCCAATCCATTGAGGGCCTAAATAGAACAAAAAGGTGGAGAAAAGAGGGCTTTCCTCTGTCTTATTGAGCTGAGACATTATCTCCTCCTGCTCTTAGACATCAGCACTCCCGGTTCTCAGAGATTTGTTTTCTGTTGTTGTTGTTTGTTTGTTTGTTTTGTATACAGGTACCCAGTGTGGTACACAGATTTTTATTTTTTATTTTTTTATTTTATATATATGCATATACTTTATATACATATATATTATTATACTTTAAGTTCTAGGGTACATGTGCACAACGTTAATGGTGTGCTGCACCCATTAAGCCTTCATTTACATTAGGTATGTCTCCTAATGCTATCCCTCCCCCTTCCCCCAACCCCACAACAGGCCCTGGGGTGTGATATTCCCCTTCCTGTGTCCAAGTGTTCTCCTTACTCAATTCCCACCTATGAATGAGAACATGCAGTGTTTGGTTTTTTGTCCTTGCAATAGTTTGCTGAGAATGATGGTTTCCAACTTCATCCATGTCCCTACAAATGACATGAACTCATCATTTTTTATGGCTACATAGTATTCCATGGTGTATATGAGCCACATTTTCTTAATCCAGTCTATCATTGTTGAATATTTGGGTTGGTTCCAAGTCTTTGCTATTGTAAGTAGTGCTGCAATAAACATACGTGTGCATGTGTCTTTATAGCAGCATGATTTATATTCCTTTGGGTATATACCCAGTAATGGGATGGCTGGGTCAAATGATATTTCTAGTTCTAGAACCCTGAGGAATCACCACACTGTCTTCCACAATGGTTGAACTAGTTTACAGTCCCACCAACAGTGTAAAAGTGTTCCTATTTCTCCACATCCTCTGCAGCACCTGTTGTTTCCCAACTTTTTAATGATCACCATTCTAACTGGTGTGAGATGGTATTTCATTGTGGTTTTGATTTGCATTTCTCTGATGGCCAGTGGTGATGAGCATTTTCCCATGTGTCTTTTGGCTGCATAAATGTCTTCTTTTGAGAAGTGTCTGTTCATATCCTTTGCCCACTTTTTGATGGGGTTGTTTTTTTCTTGTAAATTTGTTGGAGTTCTTTGTAGATTCTGGATATTAGCCCTTTGTCAGATGAGTAGATTGCAAAAATGTTCTCCCATTCTGTAGGTTGCCTGTTCACTCTGATGGTAGTTTCTTTTGCTGTGCAGAAGCTCTTTAGTTTAATTAGATCCCATTTGTCAATTTGGCTTTTGTTGCCAATTGCTTTTGGTGTTTTAGACATGAAGTCCTTGCCCATGCCTATGTCCTGAATGGTATTGCCTAGGTTTTCTTCTAGGGTTGTTATGGTTTTAGGTCTAACATTTAATTCTTTAGTCCATCTTGACTTAATTTTTGTATAAGGTGTAAGGAAGGGATCCAGTTTCAGCTTTCTACATATGGCTAGCCAGTTTTCCCAGCGCCATTTGTTAAATAAGGAATCCTTTCCCCATTTCTTGTTTTCGTCAGGTTTATCAAAGATCAAATAGTTGTAGATATGTGGCATTATTTCTGAGGGCTCTGCTCTGTTCCATTGGTCTATATCTCTGTTTTGGTACCAGTATCATGCTGTTTTGGTTACTGTAGCCTTGTGGTATAGTTTGAAGTCAGGTAGCGTGATGCCTCCAGCTTTTTTCGTTTGGCTTAGGATTGACTTGGCAATGTGGGCTCATTTTTGCTTCCATATGAACTTTAAAGTATTTTTTTCCAATTCTGTGAAGAAAGTCATTGGTAGCTTGATGGGGATGGCATTGAATCTATAAATTACCTTGGGCAGTATGGCCATTTTCAGGATATTGATTCTTCCTACCCATGAGCATGGAATGTTCTTCCATTTGTTTGTATCCTCTTTTATTTCATTGAGCAGTGGTTTGTAGTTCCCCTTGAAGAGGTCCTTCACATCCTTTTTAATGATCACCATTCTAACTGGTGTGAGATGGTATCTCATTGCAGTTTTGCTTTGCATTTCTCTGATGGCCAGTGGTGATGAGCATTTATTCATCTGTCTGTTGGCTGCATAAATGTCTGCTTTTGAGAAGTGTCTGTTCATATCCTTCGCCCACTTGTTGATGGCATTGTTTTTTTTCTTGTAAATTTGTTTGAGTTCTTTGTAGATTCTGGATATTAGCCCTTTGTCAGATGAGTAGATTGCAAAATTGTTCTCCCATTCTTTAGGTTGCCTGTTCACTCTGATGGTAGTTTCTTTTGCTGTGCAGAAGCTCTTTCATTTAATTATATCCCATTTGTCAATTTTGGCTTTTGTTGCCATTGCTTTTGGTGTTTTAGACATGAAGTCCTTGCCCATGCCTATGTCCTAAATGGTATTGCCTAGGTTTTCTTCTAGGGTTTTTATGGTTTTAGGTCTAACATTTATGTCTTTAATCCATCTCAACTTAATTTTTGTGTAAGGTGTAAGGAAGGGATCCAGTTTCAGCTTTCTACATATGGCTAGCCAGTTTTCCCAGCACCATTTGTTAAATAGGGATTCCTTTCCCCATTTCTTGTTTTTTTCAGGTTTGTCAAAGATCAGATAGTTGTAGATGTGTGGTATTATTTCTGAGGGCTCTGTTCTATTCCATTGGTCTATATCTCTGTTTTGGTATCAATACCATGCTGTTGTGGTTACTGTAGCCTTGTGGTATAGTTTGAAGTCAGGTAATGTGACGCCTCCAGCTTTGTTCTTTTGGCTTAGGATTGACTTGGCAATGTGGGCTCTTTTTTGGTTCCATATGAACTTTAAAGTAGTTTTTTCCAATTCTGTGAAGAAAGTCATTGGTAGCTTGATGGGGATGGCATTGAATCTATAAGTTACCTTGGGCAGTATGGCCATTTTCACGATATTGATTCTTCCTATCCATGATCATGGAATGTTCTTCCATTTGTTTGTGTCCTCTTTTATTTTGTTGAGCAGTAGTTTGTAGTTCCCCTTGAAGAGGTCCTTCACATCCCTTGTAAGTTGGATTCCTAGGTATTTTATTCTCTTTGAAGCAATTGTGAATGGGATTTCACTCATGATTTGGCTCTCTGTTTGTCTGTTGTTGGTGTATAAGAATGCTTGTGATTTTTGTACGTTGATTTTGTATCCTGAGACTTTGTTGAAGTTGCTTATCGGCTTAATGAGATTTTGGGCTGAGACAATGGGGTTTTCTAGATATACAATCATGTCATCTGCAAACAGGGACAATTTTACTTCCTCTTTTCCTAATTGCATACCATTTATTTCTTTCTTCTGCCTGATTGCCCTGGCCAGAACTTCCAACACTATGTTGAATATGAGTGGTGAGAGAGGGCATCCCTGTCTTGTGCCAGTTTTCAAAGGGAATGCTTCCAGTTTTTGCCCATTCAGTATGATATTAGCTGTGGGTTTGTCATAAATAGCTCTTATTATTTTGAGATATGTCCCATCGATACTTAATTTATTGAGAGTTTTTAGCATGAAGGGCTGTTGAATTTTTTCAAAGGACTTTTCTGCATCTTTTGCGATAATTATGTGGTTTTTGTCTTTGGTTCTGTTTATATGCTGGATTACATTTATTCATTTTCATATGTTGAACTAGCCTTAGTCCCAGGGATGAAGCCCACTTGATCATGGTGCATAAGCTTTTTGATGTGCTGCTGGATTCAGTTTGCCAGTATTTTATTGAGGATTTTTGCTTCGATGCTCATCAGGGATATTGGTCTAAAATTCTCTTTTTTCATTGTGTCTCTGCCAGGCTTTGGTATCAGGATGATGCTGGCCTCATAAAATGAGTTAGGGAGAACTCCCTCTATTTCTATTGATTGGAATAGTTTCAGAAGGAATGGTACCAGCTCCTCCTTGTACCTCTGGTGGAATTTGGCTGTGAATCTGTCTGGTCCTGGACTTTTTTTGGTTGGTAAGCTATTAATTATTCCCTGAATTTCAGAGCCTGTTATTGGTCTATTAAGAGATTCAACTTCTTTCTGGTTTAGTTTTGGGAGGGTGTATGTGTTGAGGAATTTATCCATTTCTTCTAGATTTTCTGGTTTATTTGCATAGAGGTGTTTATAGCATTCTCTGATGGTAGTTTGTATTTCTGTGGGATCGGTGTTGATCTCTCATTTATCATTTTTTATTGCATCTATTTGGTTCTTCTCTCTTTTCTTCTTTATTAGTCTTGCTAGTGGTCTATCAATTTTCTTGATCTTTTCAAAAAACGAGCTCCTGGATTCATTGATTTTTTGAAGGGTTTTTTGTGTCTCTATCCCCTTCAGTTCTGTTCTGATCTTAGTTATTTCTTGCCTTCTGCTAGCTTTTGAATGTGTTTGCTCTTGCTTCTCTAGTACTTTTAATTGTGATGTTAGGGTGTCAATTTTAGATCTTTCCTGCTTTCTCTTGTGGGCATTTAGTTCTATAAATTTCCCTCTACACACTGCTTTGAATGTGTCCCAGAGATTCTGGTATGTTGTGTCTTTGTTCTCATCAGTTTCAAAGAACATCTTTATTTCTGCCTTCATTTCGTTATGTACCCAGTAGTCCTTCAGGAGCAGGTTGTTCAGTTTCTATGTAGTTGAGCGGTTTTGAGTGAGTTTCTTAATCCTGAGTTCTAGTTTGATGGCACTGTGGTCTGAGAGACAGTTTGTTATAATTTCTGTTCTTTTACATTTGCTGAGGAGTGTTTTACTTCCAACTATGTGGTCAATTTTGGAATAGATATGGTGTGGTGCTGAGAAGAATGTATATTCTGTTGATTTGGGGTGGAGAGTTCTGTAGACGTCTACTAGGTCTGCTTGGTGCAGAGCTGAATTCCATTCCTGGATATCCTTGTTAACTTTCTGTCTCGTTGATCTGTCTAATGTTGACAGTGGGGTGTTAAAGTCTCCCATTATTATTGTGTGGGCATCTAAGTCTCTTCTTAGGTTTCTAAGGACTTGCTTTATGAATCTGGGTGCTCCTATATTGGGTGCATATATATTTAGGATAGTTAGCTCTTCTTGTTGAATGGATCCCTTTACCATTATGTAATGGCCTTCTTTGTCTCTTTTGATCTTTGTTGGTTTAAAGTCTATTTTATTAGAGACTAGGATTGTAACCCCTGTCTTTTTTTGTTTTCTGTTTGATTGGTAGATCTTCCTCCATTCCTTTATTTTGAGCCTATGTGTGTCTCCACAGGTGAGATGGGTTTGCTGAATACAGCACACTGATGGGTCTTGACTCTTTATCCAATTTGCCAGTCTGTGTCTTTTAATTGAAGCATTTAGCTCATTTACATTTAAGGTCAATATTGTTATATGTGATTTTGATCCTGTCATTATGATGTTAGCTGGTTATTTTGCTCACTAGTTGTTACTGTTCCTTCCTAGCATTGATTATCTTTACAATTTGTCATGTTTTTGCAGTGGCTGGTAACAGTTGTTCCCTTCCATGTTTAGTGCTTCTTTCACGAGCTCCTGTAGGGCAGGCCTGGTGGTGACAAAATCTCTCAGCATTTGCTTCTCTGTAAAGGATTTTATTTCTCCTTCACTTATGAAGCTTAGTTTCACTGGATATGAAATTCTGGGTTGAAAATTCTTTCCTTTAAGAATGTTGAATATTGGCCCCCACTCTTTTCGGGCTTGTAGAGTTTCTGCCAAGAGATCAGCTGTTAGTCTGATTGGCTTCCCTTTGTGGGTAACCCGACCTTTCTCTCTGGCTGCCCTTAACATTTTTTCCCTCATTTCAACTTTGGTGAATCTGACAATTATGTGTCTTGGAGTTCCTCTTCTCGAGGAGTATCTTTGTGGAGTTGTCTGTATTTCCTGAATTTGAATGTTGGCCTGCCTTGCTAGGTTGGGGCAGTTCTCCTGGATAATATCCTGCAGAGTGTTTTCCAACTTGGTTCCATTCTCCCCATCATTTTCAGGTACACCAATCAGACGTAGATTTGGTCTTTTCACATAGTTCCATATTTCTTGGAGGCTTTGTTCATTTCTTTTTATTCTTTTTTCTCTAAACTTCTCTTCTTGCTTCATTTCATTCATTTGATCTTCAATCCCTGATCCCTTTCTTCCAGTTGATCGAATCAGCTACTGAAGCTTCTTTATTCATCACATAGTTCTCGTGGCATGGTTTTCAGCTCCTTCAGGTCATATAGGGACTTCTCTGCATTGGTTATTCTAGTTAGCCATTTGTCTAATATTTTTACAAGGTTTTTAACTTCTTTGCGATGGGTTCGAACTTCCTCCTTTAGCTCGGAGAAATTTGATCATCTGAAGCCTTCTTTTCTCAACTCATCAAGGTCATTCTCTGTCCAGCTTTGTTCCATTGCTGGTGAGGAGCTGCATTCCTTTGGAGGAGGAGAGGTGCTCCGATTTTTATAATTTTCAGTTTTCCTGTTCTGTTTTTTCCCATCTTTGTGGTTTTATCTACCTTTGGTCTTTGATGATGGTGATGTACGGATGGGGTTTTGGTGTGGATGTCCTTTCTGTTTGTTAGTTTTCCTTTTAACAGTCAGGACCCTCAGCTGCAGGTCTGTTGGAGCTTGCCAGAGGTCCACTCCAGACGCTGTTTGCCTGGGTATCAGCAGCGGAGGCTGCAGAACAGCAAATATTGCTGAATAGCAGATGTTGCTGTCTGATTTTTCCTCTGGAGGTTTCATCTCAGAGGGGTATCTGGCCGTGTGAGGTGTCAGTCTGCCCCTACTGGGGGGTGCACCCCAGACAGGCTACTCAGGGGTCGGGAACCCACTTGAAGAGGCAGTCTGCCCGTTCTCAGATCTCAAACTCCATGCTGGGAGAACCACTACTCTCTTCAAAGCTGTCAGTCAGGGACATTTAAGTCTGCAGAGGTTTCTGCTGCCTTTTGTTTGGCTATGCCCTGCTCCCAGAGGTGGAGTCTACAGAGGCAGGTAGGCCTCCTTGAGCTGAGGTGGGGTCCACCCAGTTGGAGCTTCCTGGCTGCTTTGTTTACCTACTCAAACCTCAGCAATGGCGGGCACCCCTTCCCCAGCCTCGGTGCCACCTTGCAGTTCGATCTCAAACTGCTGTTCTAGCAATGAGCAAGGCTCCATGGGCGTGGGACCTCCGAGCCAGGCATGGGATATAATCTCCTGGTGTGCTGTTTCCTAAGACCATTGGAAAAGCACAGTATTAGGGTGGGAGTGACCCGATTTTCCAGATGTCGTCTGTCACAGCTTTGGTTGGCTATGAAAGAGAATTCCCTGACCCCTTGCACTTCCCTGGTGAGGCGATGCCTCAGTCTGCTTAGGCTCATGCTTGGTGTGCTGCACCCACTGTCCTGCACCCACGGTCTGACAAGCCCCAGTGAGATGAACCCAGTACCTCAGTTGGAAATGCAGGAATCACCCATCTTTTGCATCACTCACACTGGGAGCTGTAGACTGGAGCTCTTCCTATTTGGCCATCTTGGAACCACCAGTTCTCTGACATTTGGACTCACGCTGCAACTCACAACACTGGCTCTCCTGGTTCTCAAGTCTTTGGGTGTAACTGCAACTCTACCACTGGCTTTCCTGGGCCTTGATCTTATAGACAACAGATTGTGGAACCTCTCAGCCTCCATAATTACATGAGCCAATTCTTCATAATAAGTATTTTTCTATCTGTATGTATCCTGTTGATTCCGTTTCTCTGGAGAATGATGACTAATACAGAAAATACAGAAAGCACTGTTAAGATGGATCTCAGAGTGTCAAGGTAAAAGCTTGTCAAGGCAAAAGCTGTGGCAATGTGGACAGACAGGATGGGATACGTTTGGAAGGTACATAGGAGCTAGAATTGGCTGTAGTTAGTGACTAATGAGTTAGATAAGGGAAAGGAGGAGAGAGACATCAAAAGAATGACTCTTAAATTTCTGGATGGAGCAGCCAGGTAGCTAGTGAGATGAGAACACAGATGATCAGATTCTGTGAGTGGGTAGGGTTAGGGGGAGCTGATGGGTTTCATTTCGTATACACTTAGCTTGAGGTGCCCATGGAGATAGCTAATAGGCAACTGGATGTGAATGTAAAGGTCCAGAAAGATTTCAAAGCTAAGAGTTATAGAAAGGGGAAATATCAGCACTTAGCTAGTGGCTGAAGCCATGATGATTGATAGCTTACATGGAGAAAGTGAACTGAGTGAAAAGACCAGAGGGCCAAAGACCAAGCCCTGAGAAACACACATATTTACGAGGTGAGTATAGGAAGAGGGGCCAGAAAAGGAGCCTGAGAAAGAATCACAGAAAGCCAGAAAAATTAGGAGGAAGTGTGCACTGGATATTCTGTTTGCCCCTCCAAATCCACTATCCTTCTCCATCCTGCTCTGTGGCCTGGAAGGCTGATTGCTGTGGACCACATCAACTGCCTCTCTTGTCCTCTGGCTTCAAGTGTTCAGCCACTTGGGGGCACTGCCAGGAGATTGGAGAGTAAGAAGAGAAAGGCTGGGGTGATCATCTTCTGGCTTCTTTCTGCTGTAAATGGATTGTTAGTGGCTATAGTCTGCCAAAGACCAGGGCTTCTGCTGGGCAACCTCACAGTTGCAACTTGCCTTATCTCTACAGGCCTAAGGGTGTCAAGGCTGTCCCCTGTTGCTAGCCTATAGGTCCGTCACCTTCCCTTGCTAGTTTCCCTTAATCCTAGATCTTTACAAATGATTCCTTCATTAAACTCTCTTCAGTCATCCCTATTTCTTGCCATCTGTGTACTCCTGAGACCTCATCTTTACAGAGATGTATCACAAAAGCCACTGAAAATGAGTTTCAAGGTGGGAGTGGTCAACGGTGGTCAAAGATAGGAGCCTGTAGTTCTTCCTTAAGCTAAGCTTTGGGGAATGCTGAAGAGGTTTTCCTTGGTGAAGACTGAAGGGTCCATTGTACGTGGCAATTGGAGGTTGTTGGTGAGCACAGGTTAAAAGAAAGGTGAGCCGAAGTCAGGCTGCAGTGTGCTGAAGAGGCTATGGCAAGTTGCTGACCATCACTTTGAGGCACCTAGCTATGAGAGAAGAAGGTGGCATTTTGAGGGAGCTGCAGGGTGGCATTTTCTTTTAGGGACTTGAGCAGGCTTATCCTGTGGGAAGAATCCATTAGATAGGGGGAGGTTGGAAGAGCATGCAAGAGAAACATGAAAGGACCCATGACCTTGGGTCATGAGAGGACAGGAATGAGGGTAGGTGAGTGAGAATGTTTACAGCTATGGAGTAGGTGAGTGAGGAGCTTCTTCCTAAATATTCTCAGTGAAAATTCAAGGACAGTGAAACTTCAAAATAACAATTGGGGAGAAATTGATAAGGGGCCCAGAAAAGGCCTAAAGCGTTTGCTGAAATAAATAAATGATTGATGTTACATGATGTAAACCAGAATGTAGAATGTGCAGTCAAGTGACAATGTGATGAGATGAAATTGGAAAGGTAGGGTGTGTCTAGATTATGGAATTTTGTTTTTATACAGTCAGTGGGAGTCATCAAAAGTTTTTGAGCAGGAGCATGATGGGTTGGATATAAGATGATTTGGGGTGAATGGGGGTCAAGAAGAAGTACTAAAGGTCACAATAATCTAGGCAATAGACAAGGGATGTGCTTTATTTGGGGATTGAGAGCAGATGTAAGAAAGTTAAGAGTTATTGAGGAGTTAGATCCGGTTGGACTAGTGATGATGCCAACAGGTGGACTAGGGGGCTCTTAAGGCCCTTCCACAGAACCCCAAAACATTCAACCTTAGTCTACCCTAAATAAATATACACTGTAAGTAAAAACAGTGTGCTTTCTATGCAAACAATGGTTTAACACAAATTGGCTAGCCCTCCTCCATATTGCCAGGCCTAAACATCCACCTTTATAGACATTCAGGAACTTCCACTGCACAGAGCTTAGAGGCTGCTCAGATATAGAAAATGAAAAGAAGGAGACAGATAAGTCAGAAATTTTAACTGGGTTTACTGGGTGGATGTTATGATACTGTTGACCAAGAAAGGGAATATGAGAGATTATATTTGTGAAAGAAAATGATGAATTTGGCCAGGCACAGTGGCTCATGCCTGTAATCCCTGCACTTTGACAGGCTGAAGCAGGAGGACTGCTTGAGCCCCAGAGTTCAAGACTAGTCTGGGCAATATAGGGAAACTTTGAGTCTATTATAATTTTATATTAAAAAAACAATGAATTTTAGGTGCTCAGATGACCTATATGAATTTGGGCAACTAGGGTTGGGAATGTGAGTCTGGAGCTTAGATGGGAGGTAGGGCTTACCATGCAGATCTGGCGTATCTGTGTAGAGCCAGTTGCTGAGGCAGTGGGGTTCAAGGAGAAAGGAATAATAAAGAAAGACTAGGAACAAACCAAAACCCTTGAGGAGTGCTGTCTTTAAGAGGGCAAGCAGAGGGGGGATGTCAGGAAGGAAGATGAGAAAATATTGCAAAGCAGAGCATGAACAGGACACAGCTCATGATGGCTAGAGTGTAGCGAGTCACACCAAGGAAGGGCTAGGCAAGGATGTGCAGAGAGTCTTTTTCTTTACAGAAATCATCAATTCTTTTCTTGAAAATTGATTTTTAATTTACACTTTATTCTAAAAAGTGGCCCCTCTTCTCTTTTAACATAACTTATTTAAAAACATTTATATTTACTCAGAACTTTTCCAATTTTGCAGTTTCACGATCAGCCTCCAAAAAGTTGTGCTAGTGTGTGTTCAGAATTCATTAAAATCTATCCAGCATTTCCACTTAAGTGCTTCAATATGTATGAAAAAATGTCATTTGAATTCTCTTTGATGATCAAGTTGAACATCCTTGTCTTTGTCATCCTAAAGCTGTTCTTTTCAGAGAGCCAAATCCCATCAGATTGCTCCAGGTCTGTATTTGAGAAGGAAAGTTAGAACCACTTCGTCTAACTGCAACAGATTCTCTTCTGAATATTTACCCCAACCTATTGATGAAGTGCTCCTGTGTTCTCAGTGAACTGGTTTTGTTTGGAGCTCTTGTAATAATGGTGCATGGTTCTTGGAATGATCTCAAAATATTCCCCTCTTTCTCTTTCACACTGAAGAGCAGGTTCATCCCCATAGGATGTTAACAAGTGTGTTTAGCTTATAACCCTTCTAGAATCATCGCCCTCAAGTGGGCCCACAAAACCCTCATTTGCATCAGTGTCCACTTGGTTGGAATTCATGTTGTCTCCTTCAGGATCTTGTTGTGAAGGCTTTAGTTTTCCCCTGCCATGATCTTTAAAAGAATATTGTTTAGAGCTGTGAATATTTCCTTAATGAAAGATTCTTATTTTAAAATGTCTGAGTCTCTTTCATGGAAGGCAGCCTTATCAGGATCTGAGGGAACTTCAGCAGAACATGGTGGTGTTTGCTGTAAAACGTCCACATTTGAAAATTCTAAGTCTCTAAGTGAGCAATGCCATTCTGCTGCCTTGGATTGAAGAGCTGTGTCATAATCATAAGTGAACATGCCCGGAAACTCATCCCCTAAGGGACTATTCCCTGGTGACCTGGGCCAGGGTGACAGGCCCTCAGATCTATCAGTGTCAGAGGCATTTTCCAGATGAGTCTTGTACATGCCAGAGTCTGGAGCAGAAATGAGAGGTTTTTCAAAGGGATCTTCTTGATTCTTGCATTTCCCTGGAATTGTTTGGAAGGTAACATTTTCCTCAAGACTGTCTACAGCCGTCACATTGTCCTTGCTTGCCCCTGAGCTCTCGTCCTGCAGGGACTCCTCATCAGGCACTGCCTCTTCAGTCTTGCTCCTTGCACTCTCTGAACTTATGGAGCTCAGAGTGAACAGAGACCCCTCATCAGAGTCACAGTCACTCTCCAACTCACAGCAAGTGTCAGAAGGAGTGGATTTCTGCACTGGTTCCTTGTTAGCAGGAGTGACATCCAGGCCACTGTCCCATCTTGGAGGAAAGACTGATGGGCCTGTGTCTCTTGGGTCACCGTATGGAACCTCGCTGTAGTGGGCTGAAAGCGCTTCCTCAGCCCTTGCCCCGGACAGCCTTGGCTGCTGTATGCTCAGCAAATCAATGGATGAACTCACTTGCCTTTCCTTAGAAAATTCCATCTGCGAGTCCCAAAGTGACTGTTCAGTGCCCCCTCTTTCCTTACTATCTCCAGTCCTCTGTGCTTCTGCATGTGTTAGCATTTTACAGAGGGAAGCTGTTATTTCTCCGGAGAGGGAAGGGTCTAATTCATTGGAATCATAACGGCTTGAGCCAGAGACAGCGTGAGACGTGCCAGCTACAGAAGAGACGCCCACTGAATGTGCACTGAGAGGCTCTTCCTGGGCCACAGTTTCATAAGTCCATTCTCCGAGAATATCATTCCTATGGATGTGGTCCTGCGCTGCTGACATTAGTTCACGGTTACCGGCATGTGGATGTCTCTGGAGAATGGAATAGACTGCACCATCATTTCCACTTCCTGCCCCGGTGTTGTCCCCGCACTGTCCTGGGCTCTGCGAACTGCCAGGATCCTTTCTGCTCCTTCCCAGAGTTCTATCAGGAATTACGGTGGCGTGTGGGTGTGGCTGTGTCACCCAGAAAGGGGTCTGGTTCTCGTAGAGGCTTAGATGAGGAAATACTTGGCGCAGATGGGTCTCTGGGTGTGGTGTGTGCCCCGCAGCTTCCATGTCATCGTAGAAGCCCTCGTTTGAATACGCGTTGTCCAGGCCAGGGCTTTTGCTCTGGCACTTTTTTTGCCACAGTCTGTCAACATAAGGCCTTGTGAAAGCCCCCAGGCTGAAGGCGACAAGGAATGTGATGAACACTGACAGGCACACCGCCAGAGCCAGGTCCTGGGGAGCGTCCTCTTTTTTGCCGGCAGCCTGCACATCGCGGGTGCTTCTAACACTCCTTGGCAGCCGTCTCTGCTTCTTCCTGAGACCAGAGCCGGCCTTTGCCTTCTTCCCCAGAGTAGAAATGCCCGTGTGCCTTCCTCCCTGGGGCCTCTCTGCTTTGCTCCTTATGAGGCTTTTCATGCGATGCAGATGAATGGGAGGAAGGCGGGTTTCCCTGGAAATCCTGCTCTGGGGAGTGCCCCCGTTGGCCTCCTCACTCCCTGCAAGTGGGATTAAAAAAATACACATTGAGCGAACATTGAAATAAGATTTCAGGGGTTTTTCTCTTTTTTACAGAATTGAAAAAAATTCAATTTTTTTGAATTTTGAATTCCAGGCACACCCAGCCTGGAGCGCAGTGGCACAATCATAACTCACTGAAGCCTCAGACTCCTGGGCTCAAGTGATCCTCCCACCTCAGCCTCTAGAGTAGCTGGGACTACAGGTGTGTGTCACCACGCCTGGGCTGCTTTTTTTTTATTTTCCTACTTACAGAGACAAGGGCTGTCACTATGTTGCCAAGGCTGGTCTCAAACTCTTGGCATCAAGCGATTCTCCTCCCTCAGCCTCCTGAACAGCTGGGACTATAGGTGTGAGCTGCTGCCCCAGCTCCAGATTCTAGTGGTTTCAGAAGCTTCTGTGAGTCCTCCTCAGTCCTTATCTAGCTATATGTTAAAGGGTACATTACATGATGATAAGCAGTTTAAAAATTTTATTCATTCATTCGTTTTTGTTTAATGCCAACAGCATGTTTATGGCTGTACGCATTTACACATGGCTATCAGGCTGAGGTCTGTTGCTCAGAGGTCCTGGAGGTTGTATGTGCCTTAGGCTTCCTGCCTCACTGCTGCCTGTGGGAGGAAGAAGCCAGACTAGAGGGACAGCCACATGTACATGGCTTCTCCTTTCTCCATAATCTTACCGACTCTGTGTGCTGTTAAACAGCAAAAATATTCAGTTTTCTTTACTGGTTCCTTACATTTTGCTCTCTACCCTCAGAATGCCAGTTGTGGAGTGAAACAAATGTAGCTGATGACATTAAGACTTCTCTCTGATCTTCATGAATTTCCTCTAAACCTGGTAGGCATGGCCATGTTCCTACTTGAATGGCAGTCCTGAATAGAACAGAATCTATGACTCATTTTTTTCATGGACTTTTTCTTTTTCTAGATATGAGGTTGAGATTTAGCCAAGGTAGTTAAGAGTGAAAACAAGCTTCCCAGAATGTTCAGCCCCAGTAACATATTCCAGCACTTTAGGAGAGGGGCAAGGAACAAATTAAAGGAAAATATGCTTTTGTAATATGTGTGTGTGTTTTGCGTATGTAGAGGATCACACTTTTAGAGTGTTAGCAAACATTTAAAATAATGATGTTTCTAATTTTAAAAGTTCTTTCTTTAATAGATTATTTGTTAGGAATTTGGATAAAACTGTGACGTTAAATTTTATTCAATTTTTAATTCTTGTCTAATGCCAACAGCTTGTCTATGGTTCTTGAGAATAAAGTTTGGTGTGTCAGAACAAAACTCACTTCTAGTGGAATTCCTCCTTTTCACCAAATCCAATTGATGCTGAGTGAGTTGAACTGTGTTTCTTTGACCACATGAAGAAAATAATTGATGAACTGAGGAAAATAGTTATTTGACACCAATGATTTTTCTATGACACAGCCCAAGACTGACTAATGCCAAGGATCAGCACTTTTGCTTTCATGGGGACTGTCATTATTTCAAAAAGACTAAAATGTCTATGTGCATTTTTCATTATAAATGGAGCCTTTTCAGAGAGACATTACTGACTTACCTATAGACCTGTTGCAAATGACATTCCACTTTTTCCTCCAGGATTCAGAAATAAAATTTTGAAAGACTGCCACACTATCATCACACTGCCAGTTATTATCAGCCAAGTCAACCACTAGATGGGGAAATTCTAGAGCTATGATCATCATTGGTAGGATGGTAATCAGAGCATTGTTGCTAAGGTCTATGACCTGTTTGAGAAGAAACAAGTTTAGGATGGTCTGTGGATAAAGACATTTACAGATAAAATAAATGAGTTACAGAAAACTACTGTTTATGTCTCTATGGAGGCAATATGGATTTAACACTGGTTTACAAGTCAGGGAATTAGTGGGGTTTTAAGTCTCTGTTCTACCCCTAAAAAGTTTATGAGTCTTGATAAATTGTTCACTTTCTATAAGCCTCCCTCCCAGGGTTGCTGGAAGCATTAACTGTATGTGAAAGCTTTCAGTATCATGCCTATATTTGATGCCTAATCATTTTCTCTTCCTTCTTTCCTGAGTGTAATTTGTACTGTTAAATAAAACCTAGATACTCATGTTATCAAGGTCTAGAATTGGATACCAGGTCAAGAATTTCTAGAACTACTGCAATCTTGAAAGCAGCAGAAAATACTGGATGATGAAGACACAGAACACAGACTTGTGGTTGACCAGAAATCTTATTTATTTATTTATTTTTCTGGTAGAGATGAAATCTCACTATGTTGCTTAATTGGACTCAAATTCCTGGGCTCAAGTAATCCTCCCCAGGCCTTGACCTCCCAAAATGCTGGAATTACAGGCACGCACCTGACCTCAGAGAGAGATCTTTTGAATCAAATATTATCTCAAGAGTAGTAGTACATTTCTCCACATCCATGGCTATTCAGTACATGCAGTATGACTTATTTTTCTAGTCTGATCAGAAATGAAGGGGAAAGGGGAACAAGAAGTATCCAGTGGCTCTAGAAACAGAGAGCAGGATCTGTAAGTGTCGGACACGACAGGAGCATGACATAGCAGGGGAAAGCACAGTTAGGAGGAGCTTTAGCTGCCATTTGCCGAGCCCTGCTGGGTCCCAGACATGCTACTGGGTGCTTCACATACATGATCTCTGATCTCAACAATTTCCTCATTTTCACCTATTCTACAGAGGAAGAAGCTGGGTTAAGCCACACAGTATATCCCACATAGACCCTAGCACCTAGTACATAGCAGGTGCTGTGTAAACAATAGAAAGGAAGGAAGGAATTAATGAAATGGTAGAGCTGAAACCTGATCTGGCTTCACAGCTGTGTGCCTTCCAATGCAGAACATACCCTCTTGGTGCCTGAGCCCCTGCTACACTAGAGTGAAGGAAGGGCTGGGCTGAGGAGGCCTGGGGCAGAGGCACCAGGGTGGCTCATGAGGTTTGGGGAGAGGCACATGGTTATTAGGAGAAGAGAAAATCATAAAGATGAAAATACAGTCCTTGCTTTCAAAAAAGAGGATGATGAATATAATCTAGAAAGGCTGAATGTTATCAAGGCCAATTGCTTTATAGACACCCGTGAAAAATCAGCATTTACATTTTGGGTTATGTAAATTCCTAAAGAAGGGCTTATTCAAGCAAATAATCAAACACTGCCACAAACAAGACCATTACATACAGAATCACAATTTTTTGTGAACTTGGGTAATAAGCGTGAGTTTTCCATTAATGAATAGCCAAGCAGTGTTGACTCTCAAAGGAAGGTTGCCAAAAATTGGAGGTGGGAGACTGTGGGATTGGAAAGAAAAAATACTTAGCTTTAGTCTGGTCTTGGTGACGATCAGTAGCTTTCTTATGTATCGCTTGACAACAGATTGAAATATTCTAATGTTTTTTAGGTAATTATTTTCTTTTTAGTGCATGTCTACATTTATTTTTTGTCCTAGCGTCTTATTATATTACAAATCATGGAACCAGAAGCAAAACTGGAGGGAGGATAGAAAATTAATAAAATTACTCAGGAGGAACAATTTCTGAGAGAGGAGTAAAACAGAATGGTCCAATTTGGCTAAAGAAATACCCATCTACCAGCATTTGAAAGGGGTATACATTATGGAAAGGTTGGGAGAAGCATATGTAATATTGCTTCATAAATCACTGCATTTAAGAAGAATGGGATAAGATTAGGAAAAGAAATGCTAATTTGAAATGTCAGTGAAACTTATTTCATCCCATCAAAGCATGGTGATAAATGTATGCTTTGAAAAATCTATCTGGCTTCTGAAAAGATTTCCACATGGGAAATCACATAGAATAGTGCAAGTATCAAATTCATTGCCCAGAAGAAAACAACATCCATTGTGATATTCAGCTTTTTTGGTACCAAATATGTTCATCATGTTCCAAAACCAGTTTTTAGAGATATTGCCAAACATGCAGAAGGGATATTAGAGGAGAAGAAATGGTATGATTCTGGGGCAGTTACAGTGCATTGAGAATTACAGCTGTATATAAAACATTCTCAAGGTTGATTTTTAGTCTGCCTGTGACATCTATTACCTGTGAGTTGCAGAAGACTCATAGAGCACAATAAAAATGCACAGAAAATACAACAGATGAAGGGCAAATTACATACACAAGGAGTATACTATATACTACCAATTAACTACCAAGTTAAGTGGACCTTTTCATCTGTCCTCATGACTACTGTAGCAGACAGACTCTAGGATGGTCCCCAGTGATCCTGCCTCCTTGGTGATCAGGCCCTTGAGTACTCTCCTTCCCTTGGGTGCAGGCAGGACCAGTGATTTGTTTCTAACCACAGACTATGGAAAACAATGGAATGCCACTTCCATGATGACATTACAAAGAATTATAATGTTCTTGCTAGCAGACTTTCTTCCTCGATGGCTCTGAAGCAAGCTGACATGTTGTGAACAGCCCTATGGAGAGGCCCACATGGCACAGAACTGAAGGCAGGCTTTGGCCAATAACCAGCAAGAAACTGAGCCCTTACTCCAGCAGCCCACAAGGAACTGAATCCTGCCGACGGCCACGTGAACTTGGAAGTGAATCCTTTTCTAGCTGGGCTTTTATGTTAGACTCCAGCCTTTGCCAACACTTTGATTGCAGCCTCTTGAGAGAGCCTTAAGTGGAGGCCCCAGGTAAGCCATGCCTGGATTTCCGTCTCATAGAAATTGTGAGATAATCTATGTGTGTGGTTTTAAGCTGGTAAGTTTGTAGTAATGTATTATGCAGCAACAGATAACTAATACTCCTATCTATGTCCATCACCCATGTATTCATTCCTTTGTTTATTCGATAAGTATTTTAAAATATGTGTTAGGTACCAGGCATATGCTAAGCACTGGAAAAGAAAACAGATATGATGTATGTCCTCAAAGAGCTTACGATAGGGTAGAAGCGTTTGAGGACACAGGCATTAACAACTAATCATACCTAAAACTAAGTAATTTCAGCTGGGATAAGTGCAATGAGAGGAAACGGAAATGTATAGCATGTTATAAGTGTTTATAAAGGGGAATTAATTTAATCTGGAGGCCCAGGGAAGGAATCCTTGAGGAAATAATATTTTAGCAAAACTGACAGGATTAACAGAAGTCGGCTCCAGGCAAAGGATGAGCAAGTGGGGAGGACTTGAGGTGAAAACAGAGGCAGGAGTGCAGGGAGCCAGGGAAGAGGCTTGAAAGGAGGCTGGAGAGGCAGACAGGGGTCAGGTCCTTGCAGTGAAATCTTAGAAGTGTTTTAACCAAGAAGTGGGAGAATCAGATTTCTATGTTAAAAGAGCAGGCGACAGTGGCCACTTTAAAATTTCTATACACAGACTGCATTTATAAAGTACTTACTGTATTCTAAGCACTTAATTCTCACAAAACTCTGAGAGGAACTAAATTATCTTCATTTTTCAGAAGAGAAAAGTGAGACACAGAGAGATTTGGTAACTTGCCTAAGATAGTGTGGCTGGAAAGTGGCCGAGGCTAGGTTTAAGCCCAGGCAGCTGGCTCAAGGCCACGCTCCCCATCACTGCTTCACTAGTCTCCCTTCTACAGAAGAGGGACTCCAGGAGCCATTCTGGTTGGAAGTGGGGAGTTGGAGGCTTATCTTGCAGCTATGCCTGAATAGCACTTTGCAGAACACTGGGAAAACCTCAGTTTTCTTTGTTGACATTGCTTAATATGATAGCCACACCAATAGATGACTAATACACCTATCCATGTCCATCAGCCACTTATTCATTTAACAAGTATTTAAACATATATATCAGGTACCAGGCATATGCTAAGCACTGGAAAACAAAACAGATATCATGTATGTCCTCAAAGAGCTTACATGTAGCTATAGAGCAATTAAAACAGGGGTGGTCCAAATTGGGATGTGTGGTAAGTGCAAAATATCCACCAGGTTTTGAAGACTTACTATGAAAAGGGGATATAAAATATCTCATTAATAATTTCTATATTGATGATGTGTAAAAGATAATATTGGATAAATAACACTTACCACTAAGAAGAAATTCACTTGCTTATTTTAACTTTTTCACTGTAGCTACTGGAACATCTAAAATTGCATGTGCGGCTCACATTCTATGTTTCTATTGAATGATGCTGGCCTATACAAAGAATGGGAGTTGTCGTGGAGGTTATGGAGATGGGGGACTAAGGACTCTTACAAACCATCTAGTAGTGCTACACTGCAGGCCACTCCAGTGTTGCTAAAAGACCACTGAGAGGAGATTTTACAACATTCTCCCAAAGGGAAGGGTGTGGAGAAAAGTGCTTGGAGGAGAAGGGGCTGAAGCTGCCAGACCTGGAACAGGGCTTCAGGAGTTCCTTACCCTTACAGTAGTATAATTGGCACCTTGGGAGATTAACTGCAACGCGCCAGAGACAGGAACTATTGGGCCAAAATGTGACATAAATCTCCCCAATATGGGTTGGACGTTTAGAACTGCATGTGGCACACATGCTATACAAGTATGGAAATATCATTATCATTTTTATTGTTTTGTGTCCAATTTTGAAATGGAAGCAACAGGGTCACTGGGTTTCAGAGGCCCATCTAGTCCACGGTTGTTGACATCTTAGCATCAGCCAGGGTGGTTTAGCGGGGCCTCCCCAAGCGTTCCATATTGCATAAGACCCCTGGGACCTTTGACCAATCTTGTAGCTTAGGGAGACAGCCTCACTAATAACTAAGATTTAATTCCTTGCCAACTGGTAAGTGAAATCTTGGAGTTGGATATAACTTGATTTAGAAAAATAATGTGTCAATTCTTGCTGTTGAGTATTATGTTGGAGTAAAATTCATGTCCCTTATTGTGGCCTTTGATTTTTGAGGCAAGAAAGAGACTTCAGCTCTTTTAAGGGATCTTAAAATAGACTAACAGTTTTTGATTAATAGCCAGTACTACTGGACATGAAGAAACTCTTCAATAGAAATATGCTTCTAATGTAATTGCCCATGTGTCTTCCTTATTCAAATATTATAAAAATGATTTTAGAACCTGTAATTTTTTGAGGTCCTTGAAGGCTTGTGGGGGAATTTTGAATATCTTGTTGCTCTTTAAACAGAGATTCTCCAGTTGCAGGCAGTTGTGAAAATCAGACCACCCTATTTGCAATATCCCATTGAATGACAGATCCAAACTCTGCAATGACTTCAGTTTCCACAGTCCTGTTAAAATGAAAAAGTAAGTTGAAATCTAAACTGGTAAAATTTACTGCAGCACTGTTTGTAATGGTGAAAAATTGGAGACAACATTAAGAGTTCTCAATTGAGGTATTGTTAAACAACGTATGGTATATTAATACTATGAAATAATATGTGGTCTCAAAGGAGAATGAGACAGATCAACATATAAACTGACTGAACTGGAAGAAAAAAGTTAAGTGCAGAATAGTATAAAGTCCAATGTCCTTGGGAAAAAGAGCCATATGCAAACATATACATAGATTTTGAGTGAGCAGGAAAAGGCCTGGCAGGAGATAAACTAAACTACTAACAGTTAGAGTTAGGACTAGGATGGTTGAGTTGAGGGAAGTGAAGAGGGATAAGAAAAGAAATGTTGTTTTGAACACTTTTGAATTCTTTCTTTCAATGAGCATGTACTACTTTCAAAATAAGAGAATCAGTTAAAAATATAACTTTGATTGAAAGACGTGATAAATATTTATTTGTTTGAACTATATAGTAAAACTAAATAATCTTGCTAAACAATAGAGGAAAAAAATTGTTTTGATGCTTTATCTACATGGATGAGTTCTTCCAGTTTTAAGATTTTTCTTATTCTATTTTTTTTTCTGAGACAGAGTCTCGCTCTGTCACCCAGGCTGGAGTGCAGTGGTACAATCCCCACTCATTGCAACTTCCACCTCCCGGGTTCGAGTGATTCTCCTGCCTCAGCCTCCTGAGTGGCTGGGATTACAGGCGCCTGCCACCATGCCAGGCTAATTTCTTTTTTTGTATTTTTAGTAGAGACGGGGTTTCACCATGTTGGTCAGGTTGGTCTCGAACTCCTGACCTCAAGTGATCCACCGCCTTGGCCTCCCAAAGTGCTGGGATTACAGGCATAAGCCGCCACACCCGGTTGTCTTATTCTATTTTGTAGCCATGTCCTTTCTTATAGCTACTTATTGTTGACATTATGACTATTTCCTAGGCATTCTTGTGTTTTCCAAAGGTAGTAAGTTATAGCTAGATTTTGTTTTCCAGGAAAATAATCAAATTGAATTTTGGTCTCTGCCTTTGTATTTCACTTGATTTCAGAGAGTAACCAGGAGGTCCATTTGGCACTGAAAATAAATAAAGGTTGAGAAGGAGGTGCCAGTCATAGCTGTCTCTCAAATTTCATTTCCCATATGGGTCTCAGAAGGAAGTGCCTGCATTTTTACATTTCCTTCTGCACTGTTCTTGCATGTAGCCTGTGTCTTTAATCAACATAACAAGATCAGGTTGGTTCAATTACAGGAGGCTTTTTTCCTTGCCTACTGTCTGCAAGGTACTTATTGTAAGATTGATTATACAGGGAGATGACTTAATTGAAATGGCTGCACCATCAAGGTTGTCATATGTCCATTTAATTGTATACATGCTAAGCAAGAGATCGTCAGGACGACGAATCAATCAAAACATTATGGGCAAGGCAGTCGGTGCTGAGGACAAGTATGGACAGCATAGAATCTTTACTCTTTAAAGAGTTTAATATGGTCCAATGATAAGACATAAACTCGAAGTAAAGTTACTAGTTATACAGAGTAGTTCATCACATGGACCATCCAACCATAAAATTAAGTTTTATTTGTTTGTTTGCATGTCTATCAGATGATCAAGTCCCTTCAGGGCAGAATTCACATCTTTGAATTTTTGCAGTGTTTGATAGAATATAGTATATACTCAGTAGGCCAGAGGCCACCATGTTTGGCCTGCATAGTGATTTAAAAATCATTGTACTGACATTAAAAATTCAATAAAAATTTGCATTTCTGGCTTCTCTTAAGAAAACTGGAAGTTCTAATTGGCACTAGATGACATTTGGCTGGAGCTGAATGAAGGCTGCCTGCTATCAATGGGGGCGTGAGCTTATAGAAGACTATCATTTCTTTGTACTCATGTCTCTATCAAAAACAAGAAAACAGGCTGGGCGCAGTAGCCGATGCCTGTAATCCCAGCACTTTGGAAGCCGAAGCGGGTGAATCACTTGAGGTCAGGAGTTCAAGACCAGCCTGGGCAACGTGGTGAAACCCTGTCTCTACTAAAAATACAAAAATTAGCCAGTAAGGTGGTGCTTGAGCCCGGGAGGCAGGGGCTGCAGTGAGCCGAGATCCATGCCACTGTACTCCAGCTGGGGCAACAAAGTGAGACTCTGTCTCAAACAAACAAACAACAAAAAAAAAAAAACAGGAAAACAAAGGATAGGCCAAGAAGACTTTTTTTTTTTTTGAATGAGAGAGAACTAAGGCTTATAGTCAGCTTATTCTGGTAAAAAATATTTCCATATTGGTTTGGAAATGACCATTGCCCAAGTCCCTGTGCACAGCCCTGCTGCCCTGAGCACTTACTTCAGTCTATCTTCTCCCTTCCCTCAGTCCAGCAGCACCTGGCTCCAGCACTACAGCCAGGAGGCATCCAACTGTGGAGCCCAGGCTGAAGGCCAGTTGTTAAATATTTTGAATATAACCTCTGGAGAAAATGTTTCTTTGTGCATAGAAGCATATTCCTACATCTTTTAATATGGGTCTGTCAGAAAAAATGCAAAATAAGACACCAATATGAAAGAAGCTACAGCTTTCTTAACATTTTCATGATACCTGCCTGGCCTATATAAGGATGTGAACTCATGATTCCTAAAATATCTCAGTGCTTAATTGAATTGAGTAAGTGCCCTAGGAGCTAAGTGGAGGGAGTGATCATGCCTAGCTTTAAAGCGATTCCTCAGGGATCTAGAACTAGAAATACCATTTGACCCAGCCATCCCATTACTGGGTATATACCCAAAGGACTATAAATCATGCTGCTATAAAGACACATGCACACGTATGTTTATTGCAGCATCATTCACAATAGCAAAGACTTGGAACCAACCCAAATGTCCAACAATGATAGATTGGATTAAGAAAATGTGGCACATATACACCATGGAATACTATGCAGCCATAAAAAATGATGAGTTCATGTCCTTTGCAGGGACATGGATGAAATTGGAAATCATCATTCTCAGTAAACTATTGCAAGAACAAAAAACCAAACACGGCATATTCTCACTCATAGGTGGGAACTGAACAATGAGAACACATGGACACAGGAAGGGGAACATCACACTCTGGGGACTGTTGTGGGTTGGGGGGAGGGGGGAGGGATAGCATTGGGAGATATACCTAATGCTAGATGACGAGTTAGTGGGTGCAGCGCACCAGCATGGCACATGTATACATATGTAACTAACCTGCACATTGTGCACATGTACCCTAAAACTTAAAGTATAATAATAATAATAATAATAATAATAATAAAGAAAAAAAAACAAAAACAAAAAAACAAAAAAAAAGTGACAGAAGAAATTATTTTTAAGCTCCTAATTGTGTACTCTTTATGCTCTAAGCATTTCACAGACATCTCTTTTTAATCTTCAAAAAGCCTGAGGAGTTAACAACATTTTACAAATGAAAAAAAACTAAGTTCAGGGAAGTTAAGAACTTGCCCAACAACACCATGGTAGGTGGAGCTGGAATCAAAACCTAGATCTCTTAATCATTACCCTTTAACCATGCCCATCTTTTATTAACTAAAAACAAATAAAAACAACCCTCCCTCAAAACCACAAAAGGGTGGTCTGGGCCATGGTACATAATGAAATTGCCAGATGTATTGGGAGTTGCTTAGTTAATCTGCTTGTGTCACGGAGTACTAGAGTCAGCGCTGGAGTTGAACTTAAGAGACTGAGGTTTATTCCACCTTTATCTGTGACTTTTTGTTTTGTTTTGAGACAGGATCTTGCTCTGTCACCAGGCTGAAATGCAATGGCACAATCATAGCTCACTGTAACCTCGAACTCCTAGGCTCAAGCGATTCTCTTGCCTCAGCCTTCAGAGTAGCTTGGACTACAGGTGTGTGCCACTATGTCTGGCTATTTTTTTTTCTTTTAATTTTTTGTAGAGATAGAATCTCACCATGTTGCCCAGGCTGTTCTCAAATTTCTGGCCTCAAGCAATCCTCCCACCTTGGCCTCCCAAAGTGTTGGGATTACAGGTGTGAACCACTGCTCCCAGCCCTGTTTGTGACTTTTGATGTGAGCCGAAGAAAATCACTTAAGGCCTCCATGCTTGTTACATTCCTTAAAAATTGTTTCTCATAGCTGGAATTGAGATATGTCTTTGATTACTACGATCTTCAAGCTTTTGGAGTCCAGTGGAAGCCAGGTCCATTAGTTTGGATGATTGTTCATCAAATATTCACTGTCTTGTGGGCAGAATACACTTCCCCATCCCACTGAGTTGAGTTTGGCCATGTAATTTGCTTTGGCCAAAGGAATGGCAGCAGAGGTGTTGTGAGCAAAGATCTGAAGCATGCTTATGTGGCAGGGCTTGCTTTCTTGGTTTCTGCTAGTGTCATTTAAATAACATGGCCTGGTGGCCTGCTGATCTGAATGAGGGCCTTGTGGAACAGACTGGGACCCATGTGTAACTTTCAAGATAATAGGGACGAGCCCTTGAGGAATAACAACTAACTATGTTAGAGTAGGGTTAGAGATCTTGACTGCCAATTTTTTTTTTTTAATTTATAGAATCAAAGTTGTTTAGTGAGATCTGGCAGGAGTTCTACTAGCCTCAGGTGACTGTGTGTGAATTATGCTGGATTAAGTTTTGTAAGTACTGACACTATCTTGTGAATGGGCTGCTGCTAGGATGAAGATGAGGACAGAAGCTGTTTGATAGGCTAGATGGCTTCCCAACTCTGGTCTGCAGAAAATCCAGGTCATGATACCTAGCTGGCCCTGACTGGTGGGATGAGATGCTCTGAGATCAAGTTTTCAGAAAAAGAGCTCCTGATTAAATAATTTGACCTAGGTAAATTCCAGAGATCTGCTGCAAACATTATTCTAATCTCCACACAACAAAGTAAATTCCAGTTGGATTATAAGTATAATATGCCTGAAAAATCTTCTCTGACAATTTTGCCATCCATGGAGTTAAGGCACATATAAATAAAAGATTGGTGTAGTTGCACACGGGGAAAGCTGTTTTTTTTTTTAAGATTAAAAGAAGAAATTATAAAGGAAAATATTAATATATTTGATTGCCAAAAATTTAAATTGAGTGTATGTCAGGAACACTATAAAAAGAATAAAGATATGGATGAGAGCAGATTTCTTATCGGAAACAATGCAAATTCAAAATAATGGAGCAACATTTAAACAAACTGAAAATCTTTAAAACGGTCAGCCTAGAATTCTTTATTGAGTAAAAATATATTTGAAAAACAAAGGCAAATAAAGACCTTTTCAATAAAGATTTGAAAGCATTCATCAGGAGTAGACCCAGAGTAGAAAAAATGTTCAAGGAAGTCCTTTAGAGGAAAAAATGAAACCAGATAGAAGTCTGGAGTAAGGAACAAAGAGCTCCAGAAATTTATGTAGGTTAAATATTTTTTCTTATATTTAAATCTCTTTAAAAGCAACATTGTGAAGCAAAGATAGTAAAAACATATTGTGGAAATTATATATAGGGGTAAAATGTAGGACAATACCTGCACAAAGGACAGAAGAGGGGAAAAAATGGGAGAACACCATTGTAAGGTTCTTATATTACAGGCAAGTAGTTTAATACCAAATAAAAATAGACTGTGATCTTAAGATATATACTGGAAATCCCAAAGCTAGAATTCTAGGATATCCACAGATTATTCGATATTCATAACGCACTTCTAAATAACCCATGGGACCAAGAAAAATCAAAATAGAAATAATTTTGACTCAACTAAAAATGAAAACATCACATATCAAAATTTGTGGGACGTAGCTAAAGCCATTTTTAGAGGCAAATTACTAATTTATTATCAAGTTGCACTAAATGTCTATTAAAGAAGAAATGCCTCAAGTCATTGACTTCAGCTTCCCCTTTAAGAAACTTGCAAGAATGAATGAAATTGTAAGTAAGCAGAAGAAAGGAAATCATAAAGATCAGAGAAGAAATAAAGTAGGAAATGTAAAAATAATAGAGAAAAATCAATAAAACCAAAAGCTGGTTCTTTAACAACAATAAAATTGATTTAAAAAGATTTCTAGCCAGGCTGATCAGAAAAGAGAAGATATAAATTATCAGTGTCAATAATAAGAGAGGTGGCATTACTACAGAGTCTATAGATACTAAAAGGATAATGAAACATTGTGAACAGCTTTATGCTAATAAACTACCAATACTCACTCAAAAAGCAATAGATAATGTGAATAACCCTGCATCTATTAATGAAAGTAAACTTGTAATTAAATACCTTCCCATGAAAAAACTCCTGTTCAGATAGCTTCACTGGGGAATTCTATGAAACATTTATGGAAGAAACAAAGCCAATTCTAAACAAACACTTCCAGAAGACGGAAGAGGAATAAATATCTCCCAATTCATTTTATGAGGCCCACATTACTCTAATACCAAAACTAGACATCAACAATATAGCAAAAGAAAATAATAACCCAATATTCCTCATGAACATAGGTGTAAAATTTCTTAAAATTTTAGCAAATTGAATCCAAAATATATAAAAAAGACAATAAATCATGACAAAATGGAATTCATCCCACGAATGCAAAGTTGATTTAATATTAGAAAATCTACACAATTCTCCAAATTAACAGATTAAAAAAGAAACCCATATGATCATCTCAGTAGATCCAGAAAAGGTCTTGGGCAAACTGGGAATAGAGAGAATTTCATCAACCTGGCATAGAGCATTTATGAAAGATCTAGCAGCTTTATTTTTAATAGCCAAAAAGACAATCTAAGTGTCCATCAACAGATAAATGAATCCACATGATGGAATTCTACACAGCAATGAAAAGGAATGAACCTTTCCCCACAGTTCACAAAATTTTTTCTTTTTGTCTTATTTTTTAAAATAATGTCAACTTTTATTTGCGAGTACATGTGCAGGTTTGTTACACAGGTATATTGCCTGATGCTGAGGGTTTGCAGTACAAATGATCCCATCACCCAGGTAGTGAGCATAGTACTCAATAGGTAGTTTTTCAGCTTTAGTCTCCCTCCTCCCACACTCCTCCTCCTTCTAGTGGTCCCCAGTGTCTATTGTTCCCATCTTTACGTCTGTTTGAACCCAAGATTTAGTTCCCACTTATAAGCGAGAATATATTACTTTGCTTAGGATAATGGCCTGCAGCTACATCCATGTTGCTGCAAACGACATGATTTCATTCTTGTTTAGAGCTGTGTAGGAGACCATGATGTATATGTACCACATTTTCTCTATCCAATCCACTGTTGATGGGCACCTAGGTTGATTCCATGTAGTTGCTATTGTGATTGGTGCTGTGATGAACATATGAGTGCATGTGTCTTTTTTGTAGAATGATTTATTTTTCCTTTGCATATACACCCACTAATGGGCTTGCTAGGTCGAATTGTAATTCTGTTTTTAGTAGGAATGAACTTTTAATATATACAACGACATGGATAAGTCTCAAAATAATTATGCTGAAAAAAGACGTTAGACCAAAAATAAAAGTACATATTGTATGATTCCTTTTATATAAAATTATAGAAATGCAAGTGAATCTATAATGAAACAGAAAGGAGATCAGCGGTTTCCTGGGTTGGGGAGAAGGGATGGGTGGAAAAGACAGATTACAAAGGGGGATGAAGAAGCTTTTGCGGTGACAGACATTACACTTAGTAAATACTCCCTCTGTACTATGAACTTCTTAAGTGCTCTCCCAAGTATGATAACCTGATAACATAAAACAATATTCAGGGATTATGGCTTTTAGTCCAAAGAGCAATAAGAATTGGAATAGAGTCTAGAATGGTCCTGGGTAAGATATTTGATTCATTAGGTCAGATCTTATTGTGGTCAAATTATGTAGGTGAGCCAAAGGCTCTGCCTTCTTAGTTGAGTATCTTATATACTTTTTGTTTTAATTATCTTGATAGTGGTGATGGTTTCATGAGTCAGTGTGGTTCAGAGAGTCAGAGGACAGATCAAAAAGTGCTCTGAAAAAGGAAGAGCAGAGGCTTCCAACATTATGCAGACCTATATAAATATGAACAGAGGCACCCAGACTGTTGGTGAATACTCTAAACATCTGAAGACAGAGAATGAGAATCCCCTTTAATTATCTATTGTGCCTGAAATCAAGGAAGTTACCGTTACAGCAAAGACCAGGGCAGGAAATATAGAATTAAAGACTCAGGACGATCAAGTGGCACTAAAGGGGAACTAATGCTTTTGAACACCTGCTGTGTGCCAGGCACTATGAGAGATGTTTTACATGTATCATCACTCTATGTGTTATAGTCTTGATGCACACTGTCTCTAAACCTTATACCTACCCTATACATATACTTATTCTCAGTTAAAGATAAGGACCAGGAAGCTTTTTTAGGTTAAGTGACTTGTTTAAGGTCAACAAACAAGTAAATAGTGTAATATAAGATGTGTAAAAGAATTACAAGTAAACAGGCTGAGAACGGTGACTGATGCCTGTAATCCCAGCACTTTGGGAGGCTGAGGCAGGCGGATCACTTGAGGTCAGGAGTTCAAAACCAGCCTGGCCAATATGGTGAAACCCCATCTTTACTAAAAATACAAAAAAATTAGCTGGGTGTGGTGGCAGGCACCTGTAATCCCAGCTACATGGAAGGCTAAGGCAGGAGAATCTCTTGAACCCGGGAGGTGGAGGTTGTAGTGAGCTGAGATCATGCCACTGCACTCCAGTCTGGGTGACAAGAGTGAGGCTCCATCTAAAAACAGAAAAAAAAAAGGAGTAAATAAAAAGAGTGGGACCCGAACATACCCAAGCATGTGGGGAGAGGGTGATTTTGATTTTGAATGCAGTTATTAGAGAATCCTCTTATTTAACTCCCCTCATAATATCAAGCTGAGATTTTCCAAGAGGAAGGTAAACTTCTTCTGGAGATGAGAATAAAGACCAGGAAGTTCAGTTTACACCTCCTGAATGAAAACTTTTCCTTTACTTTCAATTTTAGATAATTAAGATTTTATTTTTTTAAGGGAACTGGTACAGACCTGGTTTGTATAGCGTCTCTCAGGATGGAGTTGGGAAATTTAAGAAAACTCTTGCATGGTACTTGACTGCACTTCTCAATGGGAAAATGTATTCTTTTAATATTTTTGCTTGGTAAGCCAATGTTCAGAGGGTAGTCAAATGAGTGAAAAGAGGCTGTATGGTGCATTCACGGCTGGGGCTTGGACATCAGGGGTACATTTTATACTTCAAGAGAGGAGAGTTGAATGCTGGGAGGAAAATATAGAGGTACTCTGTGGAAAGGGAATTATTTATTGAACTGCTTTCTAAAGATTACAAAGGACACACTAGGCAGGAATTTTATTAGCCTTTGCATTTAAGTGGCCAGAGGCAGTTTTATTATTTCCAAGAAATGACCTGTCTCTCAGAAAAAAAGGCCACAGAAAGGATACTCAGACATTACACTTAGTAAATACTCCTTCTGTACTATGAACTTAAGTGCTCTCCCAAGTGTGATAACCTGATAACATAAAACAATATTCAGGGATTATGGCTGTTAGTCCAAAGAGCAATTAAGAATTGGAATAGAGTCTAGAATGGTCCTGGGTAAGATATTCGATTCATTAGGTCAGATCTTATTGTGGTCAAATTATGTAGGTTAGCCAAAGGCCTTGCCTTCTTAGTTTAGTGTCTTATATACTTTTTGTTTCTTTAGAACCTGAATTAGTTTTGAGTACATTGCTTATTGATAATTCCATAATCCAGTAGCAATCAGGATGAAATCTTTAATTTTCTATGAATAAAGGAACACAATATACTTTAGTTTTTTATAATACACTGTGTATTTTTTTTAATTCCCCCAGTTTCAAATGTTAGGTATTATTTTATCTTATTTCTAACACATTTACCTCTTAGGTTCTAGAACTTAGTTGGTTAATGTGAGGCTGCTACATTTGGTCTATCAACCTAACTGGAATCCCAACAAGATGTTGTTCCTGCTGCATTTCCAGTTACTCTGTGAGCACTCCAAAAATACTGCTTGATGAAGGTAGGACAGATTAACCAGAGACTGATCCCATTGTTTTCATGTTTTTAAACTAGTTTTTCAATTATGAATGCTGTATTCCAAAAATATGGGAGGAAGGTAGAAGCATCATTAAAATTAAATTCATGGCTGGCTTCTGTTTTATAAATTGCATTGGCCAGCACCTCTTTTGGGCATTTTCCCAACATGAAGCTTATTGGTGACACCACAACTGACTCTGAAGACAGGGTTAGTTCGTGTGATATCTCACCCTTACACAAATGGGCTTTCCTGAGTGAAAGCAACTTTTCATTGGTTCTAGAAATAGTCCCCATTTTAAAATATGTGGTACATAGTTACAAAGGTTGCTTGATTGTTGCTTTCTGAGATCTCTCTAATTTATTATTATTTTAGATGAATGCAAGTGCCTATATAGTCAGACACAAATAATTATCTGCTCATGAATTATAGTGGGCTACTACTTCAATAGTTGTTGAACATTTTAAAAAATAACTTGAGGCCGGGCACGGTGGCTCACGCCTCTAATCCCAGCACTTTGGGAGGGTGAGGCCTGCGGATCACCTGAGATCAGGAGTTCGAGACCAGCCTGACCAACATGGAGGAGCCCCGTCTCTACTAAAAATACAAAATTAGCCGGGCTGGTGGCACATGCCTGTAAACCCAGCTACCTGGGAGGCTGAGGCAGAAGAATCGCTTGAACCTGGGAGGCGGAGGTTGCGGGGAGCCGAGATCGTGCCATTTTTCTCCAGCATGGGCAACAAGAGTGAAACTCTGTCTCAAAAAACAAAAAACAAAAAAAACCTTGAGATTTAGACAAAAATTAATTATTTGTTTCTAAATATACTGTTATTCTCAATTTATGCCAAGAGAATAATAAAAACTAGTATTTGCAAGGTAAATCTTCAGACAAGATTCTGAAGTAGTTTTCATATATTTATATTGTGACAGTTTATTATGCCAAATACCATGTTAAGTTAGGTCTTTGAGATACATTTTTTCATTTTATCCTTACAATGATCCAATGAGTAAATCTTATATTATCCAGATGTCACCTATAAATAGACTTAGAGTGAAGAATTGAAGAACAAAGAAATAGGCCAAAAATAGGGCATGCCCTAGGCAGCATCTCTCTCACCAGCAGTTCCCCTCAAAATGGGATTTCAAAGTCAGAGCAACTCAGCCATAGTCACAGAATCATAAAATAGGAAAAATTGTTAGAGGAGACTCAACCTAGTGAAAACTAATATGATGATTATGGGAAAATAATTTAAATCACAAAATACTATGGATAAAAGGACTCTGAATTATATCCAATCAGATTCATGCCTTACACTGAACTTCCACCGTCTATCTCTTTTCATTCATCTCTCTATGTCTTCATTTGCTAGAATTTTAATAGAATTTCAGATACAGAATTTGCTCACTTCCCTTCTTTTTTCCCCCTCCTCTTCAAGTTGAACATTTTTCTTGATCTTTTGGGAGGCAAAAGCTTAACTCAAAAAAAGAAGATGGATCTGTATCTGCATTTATAGGGATATTTGGTCTTTAAGTGGAACTGTATTAGTCCTAACCCCCAGTTAGCTCAGGGGAATTCATCTGCCTTAAGGAGAGAAACTCAGCACTTCCTATTTACTCTTGTGGTGGGGTAATATTTTGACATGTTAATCTCTTACTTCCCTATATTTTCCTCTTGCTCTTTCTCTCCATTCACACAGAAAGTAGGCTCCACGTTCATTGTCCCAGGGAAGGCATATGGCAAGGCAGAAAGTAGCTGAGTCTACAAGTCTTTCTGGCTTTTGTTTTCCAAAACCCTAACCCTTTAGAAGAAAGTGATTTCCAGACAGAGGGTTTTGAAGAAAAAAAAAAGGGAGAAGAAATTTTCTCCAAACTGAAGAGGCTGAAAAGAAATATTATCTGGGTAGCAGGGGTAAGGAATGCTCACCCCTCGATGCCTTGTTAGAGTATACGATTCGATGCCTTGTTAGAGTATACGATTTGATGCCTTGTTAGAGTATACGATTCTCAAGCTGGGTACAAATCCAGGCAAAGGCAGAGGAAAGCTGATGAAAGACTGATGTTAAGTATCCCTACAACTCCCCCTAATGGGGGCTCAGAATCGGAAATTATGTTACTACAGACAACAGAAGGTTATATCTCTAGTACACTTGAGTTTGTGGATTGAGATCACATCTACCATACCAGTTAAAAATTTTTGTTATATTATATGGATATATGTAGCTATAATGACGTCCATCAAAAAACAAAACCTGGAAATAACCTAGTGCTTGATTAAACCAATTATGATATACGCATATATAAAAACCAACTATTTGAAATATTTGTGAGATTGCTTAATTATATAAAGTTATTAAAATATTCTATGATATGAAAATACAAATTAGAAATATGGACAGTATGATCCAATTTTGAAAGAAAAAGGTACAAATAGGCATAAATAATAAACTTGAAGAACATATATAACATGAATGACTTTAATTTTTCCCTTTAAATTTTTCTTCAGTTGTTAAATGTTCTATAAGTAACAGGTATTCTTCTTGTAATAAAAATAATACAATAAAAATAAAATAAAATGCAATTCATTTACACTGAAAATATGACATACTACTTTTATGGAGAAGGTCAGGGAGATAAGACGCCCACCCTTCTCAAACAATTCTGCTGACATGGTGACTGTAATAATTCCTATACCTGCTAGGCTATTATTGCCAAAATGATGCTTAAAGCAAAGCTGGAGAAAGAGCATGAAGATAAAAACATGAAATGTCAGAACTGGATAATAAGAAAAACTAAATATGCACAATTTGGAATGGAGAAAGAGAACAATAACCTTATACATTTTTTTGAATAATGTCTTATATAAAGGAGGTGCTTAGCAAAGAGTGAACAAGCCTGAAAACAAACAAGGAAAGGAAATTAATTGTCTAGCACTCTGGAATATAAAAAGGGCAAAGGAAGTTTTGCTTTATGAACTTGATATATTTTCCAAAGAAAACATTGGTGTATCCGTTAAGGAACTCCAACATATAGACTATTGAATGTCAGATGAGAATTTATGATAATTGGAGGCTATCTGGAGTACCCTGTTAGAAACTAGGATAAGGAATTCTGATTTTGACTTGATAATCAGAAGGTTTACATACCAATATATAATATTAGGATACTTCTGCTGTAAGTTTGGAGGACAACTAGATAGACTGAGGCAAAATGTACTCAAAGAAGAAAAATATTATAATATGGCAACATTTAATTTGAATTGTATTACATATTAAATGTATTTGAACTAGTTATTGCTCAGTGCTTTTCTATATTAACTAATACATGATAATTAAAGTAGGTAACTTACAATCACTCATTATTATTTAGCACTTAAATACTTCCTAGTGTCTCGATAACCGCACATAACATTAATGTCAGATATACTAATGGGAGACTAAATTTCATTAGCTGTAAATTCCACACACTATAACTTCCAATGCCACTAAGAAACATTATTATAT
Organism: Homo sapiens; assembly: GCF_000001405.40. Taxonomy (NCBI): domain Eukaryota; kingdom Metazoa; phylum Chordata; class Mammalia; order Primates; family Hominidae; genus Homo; species Homo sapiens. Next base: position 52,016,993 of record NC_000004.12, read on the forward strand.
GTGCTCTGATCAAATTGCTTTACTTTCAGCTGTCCCTTGAACCTGAAAACAAATGTGGAATTCTTATGAACATGAAACAACTCCACGTAAGCATTGTTTCTCTGCCTAGTTAAAATTGTACTCACCCTTGGGAGTGTCACTGAGTTTATTTCTTTGAAGAATGAGCACCTTCAGCAATGGAAACCTGTTTCTGAAGCTGCTTCTGTGGCGTTTCACCCATGAGGACTTAGGACTGAGTAGATCCAATGAGAGGGAGTGGATGGCATTGTTGCTGAGGTTTAACACTTCCAAAGCATGTAAATATGCAAAAGGGCTTAAGGTTATTTTTGATATGAGATTGTTACTGAGGTCCAGATGTTTTATTTTCCACTCTTCTTTTTTCGTGTGAGACTGTAAGAGAACTCTAAAGAAATTGAAACTTACATCCACAGTGGCTGCTGTCTGTGATATGTCCACAGGTATATCACACTTTCCGGTAAAAGAACAATTTGTCAGAATATATTCATTCCATTGGCATTCAGAATTGAATAAAATATTGCTTTTTCTTGATGCATTTGTCATTATTCCAGTAAAATAAAGACCTATAACTATGGTAATGACTCTGAAATAGAGGTTTTTCATAATGCCTGGAAAAAGGAAAATGAATTGACTTATTCACAATAATATATAAAAACTAACAGCAATAAGCAGCAAATTTAATTTTCAATTTAAGATTTCGGAAAGTTATCTTGTCTTGGTTGCCAATTTAAGCGAATGTTTGATTTCTTACTGGGGCATGAAAATGTAGCTACCAAAATGAAATAGCCATAGTATAAAATTACATTTATGTCACATTTTAAAGAAAGGACTCCCCTGATTTTTCAGAAAATACATATTCAGTTAGGCCTCACCTCTGCATCTGCTTTTCCAGTAGTTTTCACTCCACAGTGTGCTTTGGGATGAATGAAACCTTACCAAGATTAAAGACTTCCCTGTTTCTTTGCAGGCCATTAATACAGAGCAAAGTCTATTATGCTTATCTACAACATAGTAATCAACCATGTAGTTTATTACATAAATGACAACCAGTTACACTAAACCGTGACCCTCCATAACTCTATGAGTAAAAAGTTTAACTCACAAAAGAGGCTCTTACTTTTCATGACTAGAAGAAATACAAGTTTTGCTGTGTGGCTTGTGTGACTTTTCAAATCATTATGAAATCATTTAGATACATACAACATAATGTGTTATCAAATACATGTTCTGGCTCCAAGCCATGAAGATGTAATACGATACAGAAACATTGAGTATCTTTTGTACCAAACATTTTTGAGAAAAAATTCAAAGTTTTTAAAAAGAAGTGTGTACAAATTACAATGGCTGAATGTATCACAAAAATAAGTTTAAAAATGGGTAATTTTTGTGATTTGTTTTAAACTAAATTCCACTTAAAAGCCACTGTGTGTACAAATAATCACATTATTGAGTATATGAGTTTCCAAGAAATTGTCCCTTCCTTTCTGTTCTAATGGCACTCAGTTTAGTTTTCATCACTGCAGTCTGAAATACTAAAATGGCTTAACTGACTTTCTTGCCTCTGCCTCTTGACTTTCCTTCTTTGTGATCCATCCTAGGTGACTCCAAAGGATTATTTTCCTACAATAACGTATTTCCTATATTATTCCTTCATTTGAAATCCTCAAAGGGCTCCTTATTGCCTATAGTCCAAATCCCTCAGGTTGGTATTCAAAGCCTGTGTTATCTAGGTAAACTTAATGACCTAGCTTGATAAGTTCATGTGGAGCCACTACAAGATGTGGCTTCTGCAAAGAATGATCTATGCATATCGCATACTGAAATTCACTTTCAGTTCATTCCCAGTTCCAAGTTCAATGCCTTTTCCTCTTAGCCACAGTCTTAAGATGGAGTTTCGCTCTTGTTACCCAGGCTGGAGTGCAAGAGCGCCATGTCAGCTCACCACAACCTCCGCCTCCCGGGTTCAAGCAATTCTCCTGCCTCAGCCTCCCGAGTAGCTGGGATTACAGGCATGTGCCACTACAACTCACTAATTTGTATTTTTAGTAGAGATGAGGTTTCTCCATGTTGGTCAGGCTGGTCTCGAACTCCTGACCTCAGGTGACCCGCCCACCTTGGCCTCCCAAAGTGCTGGGATTACAGGCGTGAGCCACCACACCCGGCCAGCCACAGTCTTGTGTATCCTTCCAGATTCATCTCACATCTTATGGCCTGGTCATTTTTCCTGCTTTAGCCTCCAAATTTGTCTTTATTCTTACAGAAATCTTTCAGTAAACACTGAAGGAATTGATACACATTAGTAACATTCAGCGTTGCTATTGTTTTGCTTTGTATCTGTTCTGAACTCCCAAAAAAAAAAGGAACATTATCTATCTATCTATCTATCCAATGTTTTACATTTTTAATAGTCTGCAGTCTGTCACTGGGTTATGTTGTTTGTGTGTAAATGAATGCATGGAGTGAAGTGAATGAAATTTACAATGTAACTTTAAAACTTTTGTTTCATACAAGGTCAATCCTCCCATATTTTCAAGGGCATTTAAATTCAGGTACACATGGCCATGAACAGCAAAGGTAGCCTACAGCATGGAGGAGTGATTTATTTTTACAGTGTGCTTCTTATGCAATACTAGAAATTGAATTGATTTGCCCAGGAACAAAGATATTTTTTCTACGTTCAAAGCTGAGATCATTATATATACAATGGTGCACCAAGCTAATGTAACAAAATCAGCAACAAAAAAATATAGTCACCATTCACAGGTACATTACTTTGTAGTGCTGAAGAGAAAGACATGGTTGAAAAATACTTTTTCTTAAGGGGACATGAATTAAAATTGCCCTGGTTCTTTTTAAGCTGAAGAGATTTATACATGTTAGGTTTGAGTTCAAAACAGCTAGACAAGGAATCTTATATCTTAAAGTGAAAGGTATTAATTTGTTAAAAAAATCATACTATTTATAAATTTATATGTATTAGGTAAGGAACCACTCAGAACTCCAGAAAAAGTTGCTTAGAAAACTGGAAACAATTAGGCAAAATGTAAATTTCAAAATGGAAATAGTCAAGCTGAAGTAGGAGGAAGCAGTTAGAAATACTGGGTGTGTACATTTGTGAGTCAGCAAGTGAAAGATAGGAAGAAGGCAGCACAAAAAAACAAAGTATTATAGAAAGGAAATGAAGAGTTCATTTATACATAAAAGAAAGGGTGGCAAAACTGAAGGAAAAAAGCAACAGAGGCTATTTCGGGTAAGGACAAGACCTGGAAAGTAATAATGCCTCTAAGACATACCTTCGTATCCTAAGTGGTTATCAAATGGGTGGATATCTGGATCAAGCCAGGTAGGGATTTAAGACCTGAACCTTTGAGGCTCCACCCAACCTGCCATCAAGGCTGCCCAGTGGCCAGCCCTCACCCTTTCATCTCCGGCTTTGGCCTCCTGCCATGGTGACAGTGTGCACTTTCCCCTAGGACACCAGGGAAGCACCACTGGAGAGAGGCCTTCTGCAATGCACAGAGAGGAGGGCATTCAAAACTTGGAATGTACAACTTTCTAACTTTGAGTTCTAGGAGTCCAGAGAGATTACATAAATACTGACAGCGTCCCATTCTCAAGCCATATTTAAATTCATCACGTTCGCATGACTAAGTAGAAAACAGTTAATATATAACCCTTAAAAAATTAACAGCAAACAATTTACAGAATTTTTATTGTAAACAGAAGCTCATTACTAGTTATTACAAACTGAATCAACTGAAACTCAAGTTAGCAATGTGAAACACATTTATAGGCTTATTTTTGTATACCATAATTGGTAATTTTTGCCCCCTCAATACTTTTAAGAAGACTGTTAAAATTTTCAGCATTTCAATGATCTCTTATTTGTCAGGTTTAGCACCATGACATTCTCATTCCCTTAAAAAAACACTCATTCAAATCTAGGTAGAACTTCCACCTTTCATCATCAAAATTATCACACAAAATTTATTTTGTTTTTTTCACAATGCAAAAAGAAGACAAATAAGTATATTTTAAAATATTATCAGCAGTCCGTTTTGTGTGGTTTTACATTTTTCTGTCTGCCCATTATTAAGAAATCTTGCATTGATTTCATTTGCCCCCCTTGTCATTGCAACCCGTCTCTAGAATACTGTGGTAATTGAAACTAGCATGTACCTGCGCCCCCTCCCGGGGTCCTATCTTTGTCACCCACCTCCCCCATGGCTACTGCTTGTCATATCTGTGCTCAGTGCAGGGATGAGCATACAGCAGGAAGAGGCGAAGTCAGCATTTCATTTACAGAAAAATACTATCTGGTGGAGACAATGAGTTGCTGAAGATTTACTGTGGATAAAAATAAGCCGGCCAGGCGTGGTGGCTCACACCTGTAATCCCAGCACTTTGGGAGGCCAAGGCAGGCAGATCACGAGGTCAAGAGATTGAGACCATCCTGGCCAACATGGTGAAACCCCGTCTCTACTAAAAATACAAAAATTAGCCGGGAACTGTGGCACATGCCTGTAGTCCCAGGTACTCGGGAGGCTGAGGCAGGAGAATCGCTTGAACCTGGGAGGCAGAGGTTGCAGTGAGCCGAGAGCCGAGATTGTGCCACTGCACTCCAGCCTGGCGACAGAACAAGACTCTGTCTCAAAAAAATAAATTAATTAATTAAAAATTAGAAAAGCCATAAGTAAAATGGAGAGTTTGCCCTGTTCTGCTTTCTAATAGATTTTCCAAGCTTATGTTTCAGGGAAAAAGCCAGGACTACCTGTAAAGTATCATAAAATGCTATGGCTGTTAACCTTCAGTTGTATAAAAACATCAAAATAGCCTCTCCTCTCAAAAGAACTTCATGGAGATGTATCAAAAACACAAGTATTTCCCAAAAAAGAGTAAAAATAGATTATTTCCTGAACTACATTTAATAAATAATATTTTGTAATACAGTGTTTTCTGGTTTTTATAAAAATATTTACTTAAATAAACTTTTAAAATAAATCTAAATAGAGCAGATAAGTAATGAATATGCAATTTAATTTATGGACCATCTGAATAAAAATTTCGGCATTTTTTTCTGAATTCAGACATTAAATGATACTGAATATATTCAAATGAGTTCAAATATCACTGCAATAACACTCAAGTGGTTATAAATCTCATTCTTTTCATTTAAAAACAGCGCTCAGTGTTAGGTAGTAAGTCAATCCAATTTCAGTATAAATTAATGACTTCATAATCTCTAAGGTATTTGATTTTTCTACCAGAGAGAAATGTGACAATATTGAATACAAATTGTTTTTTGTATTGGTTTTCTTATGTGCACAATTCAAAGTGACCCTGACAGAATGCTGTTACACTTGAATGCAGGGTTGGGCCCATGCCACAACTCTACTGCCTATTTTACAGCAAACTCCTTTGGGGGCCCTGTCCCTGATTCTGTGTGAGTCTTAATAATACCAGAGAGTTCTTTTCCAATCAAATATATTAAAAATCAACTGGCTTGAGGGTTATAAATAATTACAATGGGATAGTAATATTAGGAGCAGAGATAAATTATTATCCTTACCTAAAAATTATGTGTATTATTTCCTGCATTAGCACTCTTTAGTCCAGTGCTTCTGGACTTATTTTCGAGGCATGGTGTACTTACTAGGCCATGCCTGGCCCAAAGAACTTGTTTGGGTCTATGGCCTCCCCACTTTCCACTGTGTTGCCCCGAGTGCTGAGGGTATAAATATCTTGGCAACTCTGTTATGTATTGTTACTCCAGTGTGCCAAGGTCCATTGTTGGGAAACTGAGGTAACTCAGAAGTAGGTAAATTTGACCTCTCCATCGTATAATATTTTGGAATTGGCCCAACATAGCTTACAATCGGACAGTGATTGGTCCTTTCTGGGTCTGACATGAGATTTATTTTCTTTTTAACTAGAGTAAGCATATCTGTTTTGTTTGATTCTCATCTTCTTAGGTAAGTTTAAATTAACCTTTGTTCATCTTTCTAGAGTTTTAAATAATTAAAAAGTCAGTGCAGAGAGTGAAAACAACATGGCATTTGGAATCAAGTACATCCAGGTTTGAGTCATGCCTGAATTCCAATCCCAACTCTGCTACTTACTATATGATGTTGAGCAAGTTTCTTAACTTCTCTGATCTTCAGTTTCTTAATGGGTAAAACTTGGATAATACCACCTACTTGCAGGGTTGTGGTGAGAATTGGGGATATAAACATGCAATGCCTAGGACAATGCCTAGGATGTAGAAGATGCTCAATAAAGATAGTTATCATTATTATTTAAAAGTTAAAGCTGAGATGGTGTTTTAATTTCCACCACATTGTGAACAATTGATAGTTATCATTATTTCAAATAAACATTCTTTTACAAAATATTTTCTTCCCAGTGCAAAACTAAGGAACCATTGTTTCTATCTCACATATGTAAAGTTCTTTAATGACTTCACTTGCATGTGAGAATATGGCTCAGGCTTAATGCACTAGAAATCTGCATCTTTCCTTTTAGAAGCTAAAAGGCAGAGCATGAAACGCTGATGCCATACCTTTTTAAATATCTTAAGTGGGTCTATCCCCATTAGAGTTACCAAAGTTTACTTACAGTGAATCTAAACAGCTGCTTCAGACCTTTAACCTTTAGAAAAGGGATAGTGGAATTTTAAAAACACGTCTTTAAACATGACTTTTGATTTTATTTGCTTCTCATAATTATTTTAGAGAACAGTAAATATGAAGATTAGTATAAATTAATAAAATGTATTAGAATTTAGGCTCTCTGAGAAGATTTTAACTATGTAGACCATAAAACAGATACAGCAGTGCTCTGCCATTAAAATAATTATGAGTTATCACAAACTCTGTAAAAACAATGATTTGCATGCATAAAAAAGTCAAGTCAAGATATAAACATGTTGGTGACCTCTGGGGTTCTTTTAATGAGTGTTTCCACAGGGGTTGTCTGAGATTTGGCAGCCCATGTTCTGGCTGGTTACTTGCACCTTGAAGAGCGTCCCATCAGCACACATGCAGAGCTTGTAGCGTACCCAGTCACCACTACCCAACTGGTCTCCACTGGAGGAACTGGGTAGGCGGGTGGTGCTGACCATCACAGATCCATTTAGGATGATACTGTTTTCCTATTAGGAGAATAGTAATATGATTTATTTACCTCCATGAGGGGGTACAGAACAAAGTCAGTAAACAAAACTTCCTGAAATATCAATGAGAAAAGCAAGCAGTAAGAAAGAGTAAAGTCACAAACAAAACAACAACAGCAACAATAAAAAACAAAATATCAGGATTCAATGAGTGACTTCTTCACTTCATATATCCATAACATATGTAAATAAATCTGCAACATAATTCCTCTATTGTTAGTTAAAATTACATCAGAATTCCTAAGTTCATAATAAAATTGATGTTGATAAAGTTTCAGATCATTTTCATTTGTAAGTCCTAAGAGAACTATAACAAAGGTACTGATTGGTAAGTTTGTGATCATGAGTACAAAAAGACTTTTCCTGGCCAAGCGCGGTGGCTCATGCCTGTAATCCCAGCACTTTGGGAGGCCGAGGTGGGCGGATCACAAGTTCAGGAGATCGAGACCATCCTGGCTAACACGGTGAAACCTCGTCTCTACTAAAAATACAAAAACTTAGCGGGACGTGGTGGTGGGCACCTGTAGTCCCAGCTACTTGGGAGGCTGAGGAAGGAGAATGGCGTGAACCCGGGAGGCGGAGCTTGCAGTGAGCAGAGATCACACCGCTGCACTCCAGCCTGGGTGACTGAGCGAGACACTGTCTCAAAAAAAAAAAAAAAAAAAAAAAAAAAAGACTTTTCCTCCTAGAGGGAATTAATTTTAATTTCCAATGTTTTTGCAACACTGCAAATGAAGATTCAAACCATATAATTTGAAGACCAGGCACTCTAGTCTGGAGGTTCTTCACGCCCACTGTTCCAGAAACATTCTCTTATTGTAGTTCCTTAAAATCCTTCTTTTTAGTGACTCTTAGGACTCTCTTGCTTTCTCCCTTTCCTCCTTTCTTCTTTTCATTCACTCAACAAATAATTACTGAGTGCCTGCTGTATGCCAGACACTATTCTAGGTGCTGGGGAATACAGCAGTAAGTAAAACAGGCAAAGCCCAAGTTCTTATTGAGTTGATGTTTTAATGGGGTAGGGGGAGACAATAAAAAAAATGAACAGTAAAACACATAAGACATCAGGTGGGATAAATGCTATGAGGAGAAATAAAGCAGGATAAGTAGAGAGTGAGCAGATGGGGACTGAGTTTTACACAGGGTGCTCAGGAAGGACCACCTGTGGTTTGATAAGGTCACACATTCCAACAGAAACTAGAGGAAGTGAGGGAGGAAGCTGTCTAGGTAACTGGGGAAGGGTACTCAAAGCAGAGGTAACAGTGTCTGCAAAGGCCCCGAGGTGAAGATGTGCCTGGATTCCAGGGACAGCTATGAGGCCAGTGTGGAAGAAGCACGGAGGGTGAAGGGAACAACCAGTAGGAGATGAGTCAAAGAAATAACTGAGGATCAGACATGTAGGCAGGGAATAGACTTTAGATTTTATTCCAAATTATACGGGAAGCATTTGGAGGATTCTGAATACAGAAATGACTTGATCTTTTTAAAATGGCCACTCTGGCTGTTGGGTAGAAAACAGACTATGGGAGTGAATACTTGGAAGTAAGAAGATCAGCCAGGAGGCTGTTCCAACCATCCAGGCAGGGAATGATGGCAGTTTACATCAGGGTGGTGATGGCCGAGGTGGTGAGAAACAGCAAGACTCTGTATCTTCTGAAGGTAGAGCCAGAAGGCTTTGCTATGGACTGATGGGTGTCATTTAATGGTACAAGAATACTGAAAGAAATGCATGCTTGTGGGGATGGAGAATCTAACTTTTCAATTGTTAAATGTGAGATGCCTATCAGATATCAAAATGGATAATGTTAAGCAGGCAGCTAGATATGTAACTCTTAGTTCAGAGGAGAGGTTAAAGCACAATTCCAAATTTGGGAGGCATCGGCTTACAGAGGGTATTTAAAGCAAAGAGAGAAAATTGGTTATAAATAATGGAGATGGTTAACTGATTATGCAGTGGTAGTATATGGAATAGACAGTAATTCTTAAGTGACTAGTTTTCCAATTTGTTCCAATGCTGCCATCTTGTGGTCATTTAATTTTACTTTCTTTAAATTGTTTTTTGTTGTTGGTTTTTTTTTTTTTTTTTTTTTTTTTTGAGACGGAGTTTTGCTCTGTCTCCCAGGCTGGAGTGCAGTGGCGCGATCTGGGTTCACTGCAATCTCTGCCTCCTGGTTTCAAGCGATTCTCCTGCCTCAGCCTCCCGGGTAGCTGGGATTACAGGCGCCCGCCACCACGCCCAGGTAATTTTTGTATTTTTAGTAGAGACGGGGTTTCGCCATGTTGGCCAGGCTGGTCTCGAATTCCTGACCTTGTGATCCACCCGCCTTGGCTTCCTAAAGTGCTGAGATTACAGGCGTAAGTCATCGCGCCCGGCCTAAATTGCTTCTTAAACAGCTTTTTCAAAAAAGCAGTTTAATTGATAAAATTATTTCTAATGATTGGCTTATACACTTTAGAACTAACCACTGATATTAACGAAGTTATAAAGCTAATTATCTTTTTAATACTAGGTTATTTTCCTTTAACAGTAGAGAAACTGATATGTGTATATGTATATTTCAAAGTATTTAAATATTTGTCATATTAACTACAAGGTAGAATGGGACAAGAAGTGGCAGGTAGAAAAAAATAAAAGGTTTGGTAAGTTGCTAATGGTCTCTAAACAAATCTCTTGCTTCTGTGACTTTCTACTGCTGAGAACAGCAGTTGTACTGTGGCTATTCTTCAACAGTGTTCTTAGAAGAATGGCTTCTTACACCACAATATACATACAAATTAACTCTGTAGGCAACTGAGTTTCTGGCAAGAATTACATTTTATGTCCATCTTTATTATTTAGAGATGGGATTATGTGTTCTGGGGGAAAAACTGCTTATAAAAGTAAAACAACTACTTTTAAAAAGTATTTTTCCCAGGAACTATGAAATTGAAATTTTTTTTAATAAGAAAGAATGATAAGTCCCTACGTTTAAGTTCACTTTTGTCATGTAATACTTGGTAAGACAAATTTAATTCGCTTTAATTAAATAGCATATTGCAGGTACCCAAAGGCATTTTGAATAAGTATACTTTGACCAGAATTGTGAGACATTAAAAAGTTTTTGGACTTATGGCACATGAAATACCATACCTGTTAAAGTTCAGATTTAATCTGTTAAGCACAAAGAAAATTCACTTTCAACAGCCACGATAAAGACAAAAACCTCTTTCCTTTACAATTAATAATAGATTAAAAATACATTTTTAATAAAAATATCTAAATAAAATAATTTTATAAATTTGCTAATTGTTTTTTTTCACATCATTGGATATGAAACTCAGGGAGGGATGTGAAAAATCTTTAATTAAAAACAACAACTACAAGGCATGAATATTTACTTTGATCTTCCAGAATTCTCTTTTAGAAGGTTTTTTTTTTTGCCTTCTAAAACAATACAAGTGATCATTATACAAAAAAAAAAAGAGAGAAAGAAACAGAAAATACAGGCTAGTAGAAATAAAAATAAAACAAATAATCTGTTATCTTGCTATCCACAGCTAAACATTGTTGACATTCTGGCACACCCTGCTAGGTTTTTATAAACATACATATGTTCTGAAAAATAAAAATAATGAATTTCACAAATTGTTTTGTAACTTTCTTTTACTTCACAACCCACTTTGAACATCTTTCCATGTCAAAAAATAGACAATTATATCATTTTCAATAATTGTATACTATTCCACATATGGATTTATGTACCCAAGAACCTAATAATTCTCTTAAGCTCTTAAAAGAATACTCACCGCCTTTAACTCCATATTACCACCCATGTGAAATTCAATGGTTTTGCCCATAATGAATACACCTTCATTTCCACGCACAATAGCACGCCCATCAACTTTTATATTTAAATCACTGGTAGCATTGCTGGTAATCTGAAAATTTAAAAAACAAGTACTAAAAAGAGTTTCTAAATTAATGTGAGAATTGTTATCAGAGATAGAGAAATAGAAGCTTCAGTCATGAGAGATGAAAGTCAAATGTTTCTATTAATGTTTTAGAGATGTGGAAATTGAGATAAAGATGACTTGATAATGATCACACAAGCTAGTTAATTACAAATCTAGAATTAATCCTTTCCGGTGTTCTGGAATATATTCTTTTATACTACTTTAAAACAGTATAACTCTCAGCCGGGAGCGGTGGCTCACGCCTGTAATCCCAGCACTTTGGGAGGCCGAGACGGGCGGATCACGAGGTCAGGAGATCGAGACCATCCTGACTAACACGGTGAAACCCCGTCTCTACTAAAAATACAAAACTTAGCCGGGCATGGTGGCGCGCGCCTGTAGTCCCAGCTACACGGGAGGCTGAGGCAGGAGAATGGCGTGAATCCGGGAGGCGGAGCTTGCAGTGAGTCGAGATCGCGCCACTGCACTCCAGCCTGGGCGACAGAGCGAAACTCCGTCTCAAAAAAAAAACAACAACAGTATAACTCTCTTCCCACTTTATAACTCTAGAGAATAATTCTCTCCCATTAGTAAAACAAAGCCAATAAATCATACCCTTTCAGTAGATGCCTTTTGAACATTCAAACTTTTCACTCCACTTGGCAAATGAAACTCATGAGTTTCATAGTCTGTGCTGAATAAGATATTTTGAGTCCTCGGGTCAAAAAACTGCATGCCGATGTCACTTGTAATAGAAGTTTTGTTGTTTTCTACACTGAGCTTTGTTGTCCCTTGCTGAAAAACAATCTTCAAAAAAAACAGTTTATTGTGAATATATTTTCAAAGAAGACTGCAAACAAAATTCCTGAACAATATATTTTAAAAATTACAAAAATTACAGAAATTTAAAAACCCCAATAACAGACTAACTTCAAATACGTTTAACTCTGTCTGTTCTCCCTCCATCCACTTGGAAGAAGAGTTCTTTAGAATGAAGGTTTATACATTTATTTGCTCATTAGCTCTGCAAAAATGCATGAGTCATGGAGGAACATGGCCCAAGGCCTAAGATAGGCAGGGGTGGTGGTAAGAATACCTCCTTGAGGTTTTATTCAGTTGAAAACTATGTTTTCAGCTCTTGGCATGGGATGCCACTGACTAGATTGGCATATTCTCTTCAAGAGCCCCCAAAACTACAGAGTATTCTCACCTGGGAAAGTGCTTTCTTAATGGCTTCCTCATATGGAGGAGAAAAGAGTAACCTATGTATTCTCATACAAATTACATCTGTCATAGAAAATGCTACCATTGAACAAAATCTCAAATATTAAGAAATCATCTAATTTTAACAGATGATAAAAGCAATAGTATTATTAAATATTAATATTTATGGATGTTTTAAACTGTATTCACTATATTCATACATTTATAGATATATTATAAATATACTAATTTTTCTAAGGGAAAATATCTCTTTCCAATAATCAACTAGGTTTTTGCAAAGTATTTTTCTCTAATGCCCCTCTCCTGTTTGCATTTCTTTCAGTTAATGTGGCAACTTACAGGCTGGTTGTTGCCAGTGATGACCAAATTTTCATTTCGCCTTCCTCCTACTGTGCTTTTATAAAGAGGGTGGATCACTCCCATGTCAGATACTTGCTTAAATCGAAGCAGGCCACTTTCATGAAACTCCATACTATCACAGCCATTTGGTCCAATGCGAATCACGGCCCAAATAACAAGTGTTATCTGAAAAAGAACACAAGTCCACTGTTGGTAGGCCGCATACATTTAATGTAATTGGAAAACAAATAGAAAATATTATCACCAAAATGTTAAAGACCTCCTAAAATGTTTTATCAGTGAGGTAAATATATCAATTAATTTTCCACTTATAAACAAAACGAATTTTATTTTTATTAAGGTATTACATGCAAATAGCTAAAAGTCAAAATGTGCTAAAGGTCTATAATTTAAAATGAATAGTTTCTTATTTTTTCTACCCTCTCCACATCTCATTCCCAGGAACAATCACTTTCAACAAATTTAGCTATTTCATCTAGAATTTATCTCCTTATTTCTAAATATATGTATTTCTTCTAAACATATATTTCTAAAATATCTAACAAATATTTCTTCTAAATATGTTATTTCTTCATTTATCATAATTTAGGTTTTATTATTAATTTTCTATTTTAGCAGATGATAAATTTAGCTCATTTATATCTCTTTTCTTTTCCAGCTCCAATCTCAAGTTTTAATTAAATCCAAGGTCATTATTTTCAGTATTACAACCATATAAATATTGTTCATTACCAAACCAAATATGTCCTATAATGGCAGTTTCTTTCCTGTACCTTGTCTCTCAGAATTTAATACTTCATTTTCCTTAGTTTCTTTAAAAATCTAATTAATCTCAAATCCTCCACTATTTCTGTAAAATCTCTCAATACAATTTTCTGTAGGTCTGAGCCTCTCAGATAATATATTAGTTCTATTTTTCTCTCTCAGGAAATCTTTCTGGAACCTGTATCTTTCTGGTTTGGTCTGCGTGGGCTGGACTGGTCTGTATGGGCCCCCTGCACAGCTGTAATCATAAACTTTCCCTTACGTTCATGCTGAACTTCCTTTTGTCTTTCTCTTCTGATAGACACCCAGTTTCCTGTATCCTCATCTTTCTTTTGGTAGAGCACATCCTCCAGTGGCTTCTAAGCAATGTATGAGAAGTAAAATTTTTTGGAAAGTGTGCATGGCAAAAATACGTCTTTATAATGCTTCATATTTGATTGCTGGACTGGCTAAGTATACAATTCTAGATGGAAAATTATTTTCTTTCTGAATTTTGAAAGCCATTGCTTTATTGCCTTCCAGGTCCCAATGCTGCTTTTGGGAGGTCCTATTCCATTCTGATTTTGTATTCTTTATACATAACCTGCTTTTTTGCCCCCTCTGGAAGATATTAGGATCTTTTATTACTGGTTTTCTTAAATTTCATAATAATGGCCTTGTTGTGTCTTTTTATGCATTACGCTGGACCCAGTATGGTAGTTTTCAATCTGTTCTAGGAAATTTTCTTGACTTATGTATTTGATCATTTCCCCCCCAGTGTTTTCTGTGCTCTTTCTGAAACTCCTATTAACAGCATGTTAGAGCTCCTGAGTTGATTAATTTTGTTGAAATTTCTGGAAGAGTTTTTTTATCTTCTAATGTCTTCTGTCTATCTACCTACCTACCTACCTACCTACCTATATCCATCTACCCACCCACCCATTCATCTCTGTGTGTGTGTGTATGTGTGTGTGTGTGTGTGTGTGTGTGTGTGTGTGTGTGTGTGTGCACGCGCATATCTATGAGTTCTTAATTGTTCCTTTTAATTTTTTTTTTTTTTGGTAGAGACAGGGTCTCACTTTATCAGGCATGAGCCACTGTGCCTGGCTTGTGCCTTTTAAATGGCATGTTATTCTTGTTTCATTGATGCAGTATATTCTTATTTCTCTGAAAATACTGAATTTAGGGCTTTTGTTTTTTTGGTAGTTTTTGTGGCATTTTCTCTATTCCATGAGTTTCTATTTTTTCCATGGTTTAGGAGTTTTCATCTCTATCATTTTTCAATTCTTGGCACTTTCCTCAAAAGTCTATTGATCCCTGGCTCAGTATTCATACTTAGTGATGAATTCATAGAAAATTATTTGAGGGGTAGGGCTTGTGACTGACAGGTGTCACAAGAGGGAAATTACATGGCTTTTTCACCGGGACTTGCCAAATGACAGTATCTTCAGATCTTTTTTCTATATGCATCAGGAATCCCAGAGAAGGCTCTTCTGTCTCTTGCCTGGCTGCCAGGGAGCTGGAGGTGGAGAATGAGGAAAAGAGAGCGTGGGAAAGGGAGTCTCAGGACCCAGACTTTCCTGTTTCAGTATGGAAACCCAACCCCTACCCTCCAGTATCCGCAGGCAGATAGAATCCTCTCTGGTCCAGTGTGTCCAGAGACACACTAGTTTTGTATGACATTAGGAGGGGTAGCTGTCTAACTGCTGGCTGGAAGGGAGAGGAGGCCTAGGGATCTCACTGCTTCTTATACAGATTTTCAAATGACTTCTCTGTTTTCAGTTCTTGCCTCACTTCTGCTTTTCAAGGTACTGGAACTTCTAATTCCCAAGGCTTTTTAGGGTTCTACAAGGTACTTCCACCAACATCCCCTCCCCAACAAGCAGATTCTCCTCTCTGATAAGTTATCTGCCATTGTTCCTCCTACTTTGTGTCTTCATTTATTATGATTTAGGATTTCAGTTGCTTCCGACTTTCTTCAAAGATATTTCTGTTTCGTGACATTGTTACTTTGGAACGAGCTTTTTAGAGAAGAAGATAAAAATGTCTTTATGCTGCCATCTTGACCAGAAGTCTCCGATAAAATACATTTATAAAATAAAATGCATTCAGATTTGTGCTCCTAGTAAAAATTTATATATCTAATATGAAATATATAGGAAGAGGTCTTTCTGATTTGAGTGAAGAATTAGACAGAAGTGCTTTGGACATACATAAATACAAAAAGACTGCCTTGCATGCATTAGAAGTAGAAAATAACACAAAAAGAATCACTTCAAAACTGCTGCAGACTATGTTCATGATCAGTCTTAAGTATATCAATAATCATTCCTTCTGAAAATATCTGTACATGCACATGCCAGAGTTTCAGATTTAACCCCAGACAGTCACAACTTCAGATTAAAAGGATTTCTTCATTAAAAAAGCAAATATCTTTGGAAAAGGCATCCTATCAGGTCCTCAGTACTTTAGTGTGAATCAGCCTACCAGATTCTTGCATCCTTTGACAACGGGGACTTAGGACTATAAAATATAACCTTTTACTGCCATCAAAGGGTTTAAAATTTTAAAATCCAGCTGAGGAGGCAACATTAAATGTAGGAAAAGTTAAATGAAAACAGAAAGGATTATATTTTTAAGGAGATGTGAAAGCAATAAAATCATCTTGGCAAAGTTCTCTTCTATTGAGTTGATCCTATCCTTATTAAAAGTCTCATGCTCTACCGATTGAGCTAGGTGGGAGCCTCATAATTCTATCCTTGCTAAAAATTAAGTCCATTAAAGGGATAAACCCATGCACATTTTTTTGTAAATGAAATTAATATATGAAAATATTAGCACACTAGTTTTTTTAATAAAGTATTCATTAAAATTCAGTAAGAGACAAGACATGTATAGAAAAGGAGAAAATAAAGTCTATGATTTCACTATAAAGCAGATAAAAAATTCCCCATGGCAATTAAAATGAGTATTCTTACAAATACTCACTATTAAATTGATGACAGCCAGGATAAACAAGAGGATAATCACACAGATGGCTAAATTGCCCTTTCTTCCTCTCAACCCTGTTTTGTGGAGACGATCTTCATCAATCGGAATGTATCCAGCTTTAAAGTTACTGTTGTGCTCTTTATTGACACTCCTTCTCTCAACAGCCTTCTCACGCATGGACTTCTTTACAGGACCATTGGAACTTTGCTAAAAATGAAATACAACATAATGGAACAGCTATACCCTCTCGTTTTGGTGCATTTATCTATTAGGTGCAAATTCATAGCTATAGCAAGCTGAATTGGTTACTGACACATTTTCCATGAATAAACTGCAAATCACATTGAGTTGCAGTTCCAAATAAGGGCATAACTGTGCTTAGAAGGAAAGTACAGAAGAAACTTCAAGGTCACTATCTGATATTTTTCCTCTCTGCTTTCAACAGTCCCACTGTCAAAGTATACAGCTTGTTTCTGAGCAGAGTTGTCATACGTATCCTATAGTGAGTAACTGCTTTTATTAATAATTTATTAATTTTTTTACGTATACAACTGGCCCTCCATATCCATGGGATCCATATCCATGGATTTAACCACTGTGGATCAAAAATATTTGAGGCCAGGCGCGGTGGCTCAGGCCTGTAATCCCAGCACTTTGGGAGGCTGAGGCGGGTGGATCACGAGGTCAGGAGTTCAAGACCAGCCTGGCCAAGATGGTGAAACCCTGTCTCTACTAAAAACACAAGAAAATTAGCTGGGCATGGTGGCACGCACCTGTAATCCCAGCTACTCCGGAGGCTGAGGCAGGAGAATGGCGTGAACCCGGGAGGCGGAGCTTGCAGTGAGCCGAGATCCCGCCACTGCACTCCAGCCTGGGCGACAGAGCGAGACTCCGTCTCAAAAAAAAAAAAAAAAAAAAAAAAAAAAAAAAAAAAAAAAAAAAAGGGAATGGTTGCATTTGTACAGAACATGTACGACTTTTTCCTTGTCATTATTCCCTAAACAATACAGTATAACAACTGTTTACATAGTGTTTACATTGTGTTCAGTGTTGTAAGTAATCTGCAGATGGATTTAAAGTATACAGGAGGATGTGCAGAGGTTACATGCAAAAACTGCACCACTTTATATAAGGGACTTGAGCATCAATGGATTTGGCTATCCTTTGGGGGTCCTGAGACCAATCCCCCATAGATATTGAGGGACAACGGTATATATTTTCATTTATATGAAAATAAGACCGGAAAGGCTGACATAGTTTGTTACTTATAATTTCACTGACTAGAGCTCACATTACCCTAGATCAGTAGTTTTCAAATGCAGGGTGGGGAGTCCTGGGAGGGTTCCACAAACCCTTTGGGGGGCTGTATTTTTGAAATAACACTGAGATACTGTTTGCTGTTTTTACTCTCCTAGGCCCATGAATGTAAAGGCTACATGACCAATGTGATGGCATCATCACTCAACAGAATGTATGCTTGTATAGCCCTGTACTTTAAAAATTTCTCCATTTTAACTTCTCCTATAGTAAATATCAATGAATATAACCCACATAAACCAAAGCTCTTTGGAATCCTCCATTTTTTAAGAGTGTAAAGAGAACCTGAGACCAAAATGATTTGAGAACCTCTGACCTAGACTATGGTTGAATGACATTTTGGGTAATAATCTTGAATATCAAGAGCACAAAAGAAATGGGCAGAAATGGATACTGTCCTACTTATTTCTTAAAGCTCTGAGAAAATTCAGTTGTTGAATACGCATGTATTAAGCACTTTACGCTTAAACACTAATTCCATAGATAGGAATACAAAAGAACTATAGGAAAGGGTCCTTATCCTCTATGTATTAACAGATATGATTTGTGTACATGTTAACATAAAATATTTAACAATGCAATAAAGCACTCTGTATGTTCAGGTGCCAAAATCAATAGTCTAGGCAATACACACTGCAGAGTTCAAAGGGAGGAGAGACAGGATGACCTGGAGTTGTTAGGGAAATGGGGAGAAGTAGATGGGTCAGATATGGCAAGGCAGGGAAGAGGAAGTTGGAAAAGTAGGGCCAGGTTGTGAAGGTTCTTGGACAGCAGGGTACAAATTCTAGTCTTTATGTTCTATTTAATTGGGAGTCACTGGAGGTTTTTGAGCACAAATTCAGAGTGTTAAAGGTGTGGGCATTTGTACGAGAGAGAAGAAAGAGGAGTACCAGTAAGTAAGCTGCTGGGGATGTTGTAGTAATGGAGGATTGAGGTTAAGAGGACCTAAACTAAAGTGGGATGAAAAAGGAGAGATTAAGTAGATACTTTAAGAGAAGACTTAACAGAATTTGTAGTCAGGTTCCAAAAAAGAACCTCAGGCTTCTGACAGCCCTAACAGATGGGCAACTTAAAAGTGTTAGCCAAAGTTTGAATATAGGTCCACATAAAAGAGAGAAAGGACAAAATTCATCCCTCCTGAGACGTAGTCTTTACTCTTCTCTGCCAAACCATGCACATTACTGTCTTCATCTTGATGCATTTAACATTTATTGAATAGTTACTATAAGCCAGGTGCTCCAAGCTACCAGGATGAACATAGTGTCCACCCTCAAGGAGCTTAATTACAGGCCAGTCAGGTAGACAGACAAGGTGACTAACAGTTCACAAAGCATGACAAGTGCTGTAGTGGAGCAATGCATACAATACAGAAAGGGTACAGAAGAGGAATGCATCTCCACCTAGCAGGCAAGGGCATCAGGGAAAGTTTCTAAGAAAAGCTGAAGGTTGAGTTAACTCTTGAAGGATGGACAGGAGTTAACCAGGCAAAAGAGCTAAGAAGGTCACTCTAGGCAGAGGAAGAAGCATGGAGACTTTGAGAGGCAACCATCTCTGGGAGAACTAATTTTGGTCACTTTATGTGGATGGTGAGAAGGATAGGTGTAGGGATGAAGCAAGAAATACAATGAGAGATGTGCTTAGGGGCCAGTAAGCAACATAAATACCATGACAAGAACAATGGACTTTATCCTGAAGGCAAAGGGGAACTACTGAAGAGTTAAAATAGGTTTCCTATACAATCAGATTTGCATTGTAGTAAAATCACTCCAAAAAGAGATGAACTGGAACTGAAGAGCCTAGAAGTGAAGATATCAACAGCAGGTTTCTCTAAGAGTCCCAATGAGGTACTGACTGAGGTTTGACTTTGAAGCTGAAGTCTGGGGAAAGGTGTTAAGAGGTAGAACTGTCAGGATCTCGTGATTGTTTGGATATGAGTGTGGCACAAAGGGGTCGAAGATGACTCCCAAATAGGACTGGCTATATAATTTGTGGGGCCCAGGGGGAAAAGAAAATGTGGGGCTCACTGTTTAAATCTCAAGCCCAGGACAGCAGAACATTAAACCAAGTGCAGGTCCTTCTCAGCTCCCTTAAAATGGCCTTGGTCCTAAGTTTCTGGCTAGGTTAAACAAGTGAATGGATGGTTGTAGCCTTTTTAATAGTAAGTATGACAGAGTCCAGTTTTGAACATTTTTGAGTTTGAGGTGCCTATGGAAAATTCAGTTAAGTTCAGGGCTGGAGACGTAATGCGTAAATTTGAAGTGGAGACTGAGTAACGGATCAGACTGCCCCACTTATGTGTAAAGCAAAAATAGAACCAGATGGAAAAACAATCATCTGAAACAGAAGCTGATAACTTAGGCGGGAAATGAGGAAAGCCAAGGCACAATTTAAATACCAACTCCAAGAAGTTTTGTCTCCTTTCAGTTTCACTCATTCCTCTATGTTTTATTTTACTGTTACAAATCTGCAGCCTGCCTATTGTCTTTAGCTGATTTTTTCTGCATGTATTTGGCTGTATGACTTTAAGCTCCTTGAAGAGAGATTTTACGTCTTTTATCTTCAGAATGAGCCCTCCAGTGACATATATCTAATAGGTCTCTAAAAAGTTAATTATCTAAGAAAATCGTTCCAAAGGTCAAAACTTGACTCATTTTTTTCAACAATGTTTTAGAATGAGACTTTTTAAAGAGAAACTACTATAATTGTTCAAAGGAAAAGTAAGTTAGGTAAGGGGGAAAGTTACTGAAAATTATCTGTATTACAATAAATCACCCTAGCGATTACGTGTATGTATATATTAACACACACACATATGCATGTACATGTATGCATACGTATAACTAGATTTTGGGGGGATGAGGAGCCTTTTAAACCATTCTAAGTTACAAGTTTACAATGCAGGTCAGGAAATCTTGGATAAATCATTTTTAAAAGTGAACAGGAGATAGTTTTAGACTGGTGACTAAATCTTCAAAAACCAAAGCGTGAGGGGAAATCTGGGATGTCTGCATATTGGAGATGGCAGAAACAAAAAACAAAGATGGCAAGCTGACACCGGGGCAACAGCTGACCCGTTTCTTGTAAGAGGAGCCTTCTCGCTGGGGCTGCGGTTATTTTTATCCAAATCTCTGCTGGCGGCTGAACGGGGTACGTCCCTGGCACGTCCCAGCGCAGGCTTCCAGGCTGGCTCGACCGCCTCCCAGGCTCTCCGGAAGGAGACCCCTCCTCACCCCCTCCGAGGATCAGCCAGGCCGGGCCGAGCCCGAGGCCGCCCCTGGCTCCTGGTCCCTAGCTTGTGCCAGCATCCTCGGCGGGGCACAGCTCCTCCCGCCCCGCCCCGCCCCGATCGGCCCCGCCGAACCCAGACCCTGCGGCCCGCGCCCCCCGCACCCCCGGCCAGGGCTCCCGCGGGCCCAGCCGGCAGGACGCGGCCTCCCCCGCTCCTCCAGCCCGCGGCCGCGGCGGTACTCACAGACCTGTTCTGCAGCCGCCGCCGCCGCTGCCGCCATCTTCCCGCGCCCGCCGCCGCCGAGCTCCCCGCCCGACTGTGCCCGCCCCTCCGCGACCGCACCCTGCGCGCCTGCGCTTGCGCCCTGGCGGGGACTGGGGGCACCCGCTGCTCACACCCTCCCCTCCCCAGCCCGCATCCCTGACGACCCGCATCCCAGCCCTGCGGGCTCAGGCTCTGCGGCGGCCCCTGCACCTAGGACCTTGGCCTGGGGCGCGTTGTATTGCACAGGGGCCAGAAGGGGCCTATGGGGATTCCGCTCCACCCCGGGCCGCCTGCAGATTCCTCAGAAAGGGCACCCTCAAAAATCGAGGACGCTTCTCCCCTTCCCCTTTGTTCCCCATCGCTGAAAGATCGGTGCCATCCGGAGCTGTGAGGCTCTCTTTGTTTCTCGGACCAAGGTCTCCTTGGCTAGGGTGGGAGGGGCCGATATCGAGACCACAAGTGGACGCGGACCGGCGTGGTGACTGCGTGGGCAGAAGTGAACGAGTGGTCACTTAGGTGGCTGGAGTCTTGAAGACTGAGAGTCCTCAAGGAGGACGTTGAATCCTTCGGGCTGCTTGACTTCGGAGGCCTATGAAGTCTGATGTTTTTATCCTGCGATACTGGGGATGGATTTTTCATTTAGTGTTGGAGATAGTGTTACCATGTATATCCTCGGGAACCTAATTGAACGGACATTTACTGAACACCGGGAAGCCACTCAAATGTACGAGTTACTTGAGTAGACATTCATTGTTCCCTGTTGTAGATATAATCCAATAATTATTTTAGCTGAAAAAAAATGCAGTGAAGTCAATAGCAACTGTTCCTCATGTAGCTGAATCACTTCTAATAAGCACCTTTGGGCCCTAGTACTGTCTAATTCAGTGGGAGTCAGTACCTAGCTGGTCATCAGTCTCTCTGCATTTCTTTTTTCCTAAATGCTGGAACCACTTGACTCATATCTCTAGACTCACTCCTCTCTGAGTCTGTGGGACAAACATGCATTTTAGGCAGGAAAATTCTAAGTTAAAGCCCAATGATGCAGGAGTCAGCAGTAAGGCTCTGTGTTAATATTCTGCCTGTGGTCTCATTGATCAATTTGCACAACTGGGCTTTTAACTGATTCTGAGTTCCTATCTTCTAGTCCTTAATTCCTAAGCTTTGCGTTTTTCTCTCTGCTGGGAAAGTTCTTCTTCCCTGGCACGCGCACTCTTATTCATCCTTCAAGAACTATTCTATTCAAACGTCATATTTTCTCTAAAGGCTTCAGAGGCTCCCACAGATCTGTTCCTTAACTGTGTGCCTAGCCTTTTCTAGCACTTCAGATTGCATTGTATTTTTATCTTGTCTACCTGCTGATTTCATTCAAAAGATGGTGTGTTCTATCTGGAAGGTAGGTGTCTTACTCATCGTTTAATCTCCAATGTCTAGCACAGTAATTAAACTTAATAGATATCTTAGAAATCTGCCCAGTATCCCAATTTCTAAGCCCTGACTTGATTTTGCCAACCTCCCTCCCACTTAGGTGGTGAGATACCTGGTAGCCAATTTTCCTGAAACCAAATGCTCCTTTGGCTATTTGAATATCACCTTCTCTTGGATTCTTTCCTCATCGCTGATGTCCATCTCTGACAGGACATCCCACTATTCTTAATGCCAATTTCTATTCTCTTTTAAAGAGATCCAATTCACTCACATGACCACATTTTAATGTGGGTTATTTTCAAATGTACTATTGTCAGCCTTTTTTCCCCTGAAATAATGACATTTAAAGTCAACTCTGTGCCTGGCAATGCCTCTTTTACAAATGAAGAAATCAAGGCTTGTAGAGGTTAAATGGCTGACCATCTTTTCAACTCCTAAAGAGCCAGTATTGAATCTAGGTCCATCTGACTAGTCTTTGCTCTTTCTACCATACATCACAGCCTTTAATTTTGCTCTTTCTTTTGACTGTTGCATGATATTAGCATTTGGAAGCACAAAACACAGGTCCCCAGGGCTGGAGTATGAGTCAGATTATGAAGACACTTACACCTTTGTTCACTTTGCAGTGGTTTGAATAGTGCCCTGCAAAAAGGCATATCCAAGTCCTAACCTCCAGTATCTGTGAACGTGGTGTTACTTTGAAACAGAGTCTTTGCAGATTGCTATAGAATGAATGTTTGTGTCTCCCCTGAATATTTCACATGTGGAAATCTTAGCCCCCAGTGTGATGATATTAGGAGGTAGGGCCTTTAGAAGCTGACTTAGTCCACTTTGTGCTTCTATAACAGACCATCTGAGAGTGAAGAATTTATAAAGCACAAAAAATTATTTTCCCACAGTTCTGGAGGCTGAGAAGTCCAAGCAGGTTCAGTTGTCTGATGAGGGTCTGGTCTCTGTTTCCAGGATGTTACCTTGAACACCTTGTCATCCTGAGGGGAGGAATGCCAAGCCCCTATGACCTGAACAGCTCTCAAAAGGCAACACCACCCAATGCTGTTGCATTGGAGATTAAATTTCCGAACATGAATTTTTGGGGACACATTCACATCATAGAAGGAAATGATGGGTGATTAGCTATCACTATTCATGATTAGTTCTCATGAATAGGATTAGTGCCTTTATAAAATAGATCCAAGAGAATTGGTTTGTTTCTTCCACCATGTGAGGACACAGTGACATCTATGAATCAGGAAACAGGCCTTCACCAGACACTAAATCTCTAAGCATGTTGATCTTGGATGTCCCAACCTCCAAAACTGTGAGAAATAAAGCTCTGTTGTTTATAAGCCACCTAGTCCATATTCTGTTATAGCAGCCCAAATGAACTAAGACAGATGTTTTTAAGGATCTTGAGATCACTCTGAATTTAGGATGAGCCCTTATCCTTATAAGAGGACAGAATGGCAACATACACTAAGATGATATGAACATAGAAGCAGAGATTGGAGTGATCACTCTACTAGGCAAGGAATACCAATAATTGCCAACCGCTACCAGAAGCTAAGAAAGAGGGATGGAGCAGATATACGCTTAGAGCCTCCAGAAGGCTCTGATTTCTTACTTCTAACCTCTGGAACTGTAAGACAACAAATTTCTGTTGTTTAAAGCCACCAAGTTTGTGTGTTACAAATACACACTTCAAGTTCAACACATGAAAAATTTGAACTCAAAACCTTTCTTCCCAATCTGGTCCTCCTGTGTTCCCTTAGTGAATGATATCACCATCTAGTCAGACACCTCAAAGTAGTTCTATACTATTTCTGGAATGATCTTTCTAAAATACAAATCTGATCATGTCACTCCTCACCCTCAAGCTTACCATACTCCAATACCTTTCATGATAAAATTTAAGCTCCTTATATTTGGTCCTTCACCAAATTTTGGTCCTTCACCAAAAGGTTAGAAACTTTTGGTCCTTCTGCCCCTTTCTAGCCTTGTTTCCTGCCTGTCCCACACACACATCCAACGTGACTACAGAGGAGTCAGGGAATCAGAGACAAAGTAATCTATCCCTTTATCCCTGTGCAATATTTGCAGCCCCCATCTGCTTGCCCGAACTCAAGTTCTTAATGGCTCTGTTCCTTTGCATATGTGGCTCTTTCTCCTTTTAATCTAGCTGTCTCTACTTGTCCACTAAAACTCAGATCAAGGGATATCTTTTCTGAAAAGCCTTTCTTAAACCTTCTCCCAATCATACATTTCTGATTTGTGTGGACCTCTCTGTGATCCCCAAGCATGCTGCTATTGTCACATCACACTATACTGAAATTTATTTATTTGTCCATCTGTTTTAGTTATCTGTGAATTCATGCCTCTCCAGATTCTTCCCATTTTTCAGAACCAACCTCAGTCCTACCTCCTCCTGACAATCACAGCCAGTCCTTATTCCTCTTTCCTTTTAACTATTATTGCACTAATTTGCTGTAACACCCATTTGATACTTAGTGCAGTATCTTGTTACTTTACTTTTCATGCATATACAGTTTGCTTCTGATTAGACTGAGTTCCTTACAAAGCAGAGGTAATGTGTTATTATTTTCCATGTTGCTCTAAGTCCTGAACACATTAAGAACCAAGTATATAATACATACTTAATAGCTCTGATGAATATTAAATTAATTTTTTCTATTGGGTAAAAAATATTACTAGCATCTAAGTATCTCTGACATCGGTATCTAATGCTCACCATACCATACCCCAGAGAAGGCCACTAGACTAACCCTCATCTCTGTGTCTTCTAAGTGCTCTTTCAAGGGTCCAGTTCTGCCCCTTCCATACTTAACCTCTGTGACCTCCAATGTGATATAAAAGAGACCCAATCATACAGTTTTTCTATTTACAGCCCTTTGCTGCCTCCCCACTGCCTATGAAATAAAGATCAATTCCTTTAGCCTGATACATAAGACCCATCATAGTTGAAACCAGGACTATCTTTGCAGTCTTGTCTCTGATTCCCTGACTACTCTGTAGTCACATTGGACTACTATTTGTCATTTTCTGCCCCTCCATTCAATTTCATGCCTCTTTGCTATGATTCTTCCTGTTTCAAGTTGCTCTTCTCTTCCTGGTGAACGTCTCTCCATCCTTCCAAAACAGGCTCTAAACATTACCTTTCTATGACTTTCCCTGATCCTTTTTCAGAAGATGGGAAAGGAGGCAAAGGAGGAGTCATTGTTTCCGCAGAACGTTTATCTACTCTAACTGACAACATTGAAGTATGGTTGCTTTTCTCTTTCTTGAATAGATTATGAGATTCTAGGGAACAGAGACTGAGCTTAATTCTGTCCATGCTTAAGGCAGATGGTTGTGTCACACTAGAAATCCAGTAAATGTTTATTAAAAGTGCTGAAAAGGATCTATTTCAACATCACTCATCCTAGGGACTATCTCGTGCTATCCCATATCCCTCTCCTGATGTGCTTAAGGACATCTTGCAAGGTAGACCATATCCACTGTGTCTCTGCAATAGCTTGATATGTCCTGAGCTTACTCCTCCTCGGGGGATTTTCACAGAACCATGACCTTGCCATTGCATTTAGCTAGCAGAGCTGAAAAGATGGAGGGTGAGGACGCCTTCTTTTCTGAAAAACCTATGATGGAAACCTGGGTTGCGATAGGAAAAATATTTTGCAGCTCTCCAAAATCACACTACATCTACCTTGGGTTTTTTCTCCTTCTAATCTGTATTTGTTGCAAATGTTCTATAGTTTATTTAGGGGCTAAGGTGATACACTTGTGATATATTTAAAATTTCCTCTTGTTTTTATAGTTTAATCAATAGTGCACATGAAATAATTGTACAAAAAAATTCTGAACTGCTGCTCTGTGTGGGTAGTGCTCCTTGGTATGACACAGCAAACAGCATTCTTCCTTCTGTCAGTGGGGGAACCTGCCTCCCACTCAGTTCCCAATAAATTCATTTGTTCTCCAATGGGTGTTTTTTAGAAAATATTTTCCTTTCCCTTAATGTGGCAGAGAAAAGGACAAAACAGAACTCCTGAAAGGAGAATACAGAACACTCAGGTTAGAAAACACTTAAGTGGACAAAGAAGTGTTTTGCTACCTACAAGAACAAAGTGCCTCTGAGCACAAAGGGCCTAAGCAATACCTTGGATAAACATTGCATTTAAAGGCAACTTTATGCAAGTGGGTCAGCAAAGACTAAAAGATTTTCTTCAAATAGTAATACAGGCCCTGATCCAAAGACACAAGATCCAAACACAGACAGCAGAAGGAGAAGAATACCGTGGCTCAGCCAGGAAAGGATGAGGAGTGCTTAAAAGAGCATCCAAGCCAAACACAGGTTGTTCTTATCAGCCCCTGGCTAAGGGTTAGCAACTGTCCTTAGTGAAGAAGACTTGAAATTAAGATGAAAATCCTACTGCGTAATATAATCCCCTGTAATTTATTGCATATATTTATGTTTGGTGTAGTGTGAACTAAATATACATAGCTCTCACTTCAGCTCTCACTTCAGGCAGTGGATTCAGCTCATCTTTTGTTGGCTTCTTAAAATGCCCAATTAAAAATCTTTCAAGCTGACTGATGTAGGTAAAAATCCAGGGTAGACAAAATTAAAATCTATTCCAAGGCCGGGCATGGTGGCTCACGCCTGTAATCCCAGCACTTTGGGAGGACGAGGTGGGCGTATCACCTGAGGTCATGAGTTTGAAAGCAGCCTGACCAACATGGAGAAAGCCCGTTTCTACTAAAAATATAAAATTAGCCGGGCGTAGTGGTGCATGCCTGTAATCTCAGCTACTCGGGAGGCTGAGGCAGAAGAATTGCTTGAACTCGAGAGATGGAGGTTGAGGTGAGCCAAGATGATGCCATTGCACCCCAGCCTGGGTGACGAGAGTGAAACCCCGTCTCAAAAACAAACAAAAACCCTATTCCATCTACGTACTTGACACATTATCCTTTCTAGAACAAATCACTCCTGGCTAGGTAGTAGAATTATGACACCGTAAGAACCACGAATTGGCTGTTAAAATTGCCTTCTATCTCAGTGGATTATGACATCAGATACAAAGCAGCCAATCACATCCTTTCCTTTCCAATCTGTTTCCTTTTCCTTCCTCTCTTCCTCCTCCTGGCTCCCAACTTGTTTCTTCTTTCTTATGTGCCAGTTGCTGTGCTGAGGATATGAAGCTAAATAAGCCTCTCTCCTTTTCCTCATGAAGCTCAAAAGCTTAGATAGGAAGCAAATAAATATAATATAGCATGATAATTGCAAGAATATTAACATGTCCAAAAGTTAAAGAGAGAAAGCATAAAGAAGAAAGTGATGAGCTCTGAGGGGTTGAGGTAATTAGGAAAAGTTTATCAGTTTAAGCTGGGTTTAAATTTGTTAAAAGTGCAACTATAGAGAACTTCCTTGACTGGAGGTTAGAAATAGTAGTTATTCTAGCAAGCTGGCAGAATAAATTTTACTAAAAAAGGGAGCCCAACTTTTGGTGATTGGCTAATGCGCCCAAAATCAATGCTTGACCTAAGGTGAACTATGAACCAAAAATTGAAACAAAGATCAAGATTTGCTCAATCTTGAACCTAATCAGTATGGTAAAACAGTATTAAAGACTGTCAGAACTGCAGGGGATCTGGGAGCTCATCTATTCCATATTACTCATTTTATAGATGAAAAAAATGTCTCCAAGTGATTAAAGATTTATATGAAGTCATAAGAATTCACTAATTGGCAGAGTGTGAGATAAAGCAACAGTGTTTATGTTTTGAGTTTGCTGTTCTTTCAACTTCTCCCAAAATTGCTTAATTGGTAATGTCCTAAAATAATCAAATTAGGACAAAATTTGAGCATCAGAATATTCCCCAAAGAGAATCATTACTTATCGGATATTTTCTGTCATATGTGAAAAAAACGAGGCTTATCAACTTTTATTTATTTATTTATTTGAGACAGAGTCTCCTCACTCTGTCACTCAAGACAAGAGTGCAGTGGCGCCATCTTGGCTTACTGCAACCTCCGCCTCTTGGGTTCAAGTGATTCTCATGCCTCAGCCTCCCGAGTAGCTGGGACTACAGATGTGCACCACCTAATTTTTACATTTTTAGTAGAGACAGGGTTTTGCCATGTTGGCCAGGCTGGTTTCAAACTCCTGGCCTCAAGTAATATGCCTGTCTTGCCCTCTCAAAGTGCTGAGATTATAGGCGTGAGCCACCACTCCCGGCCAAGACTTATCAACTTTTAAAATAGAATCTCAGCCATATTGACTACATGCTTATAATTTAACACACATGGACTCTTTAATTAGCAATATAAACTATTTGCACTCTAGGCTTTTGCTCTCTCTTAAATTGATTGCTATTTAGCACCCATCAAAAGCTCTGCAGAGGGGACCATCATTAACGGCATTTACGAAGACATCCACTTATTCCAACAGGTATGCAAGTTCTAAGCTTGTATCAAATAACATCACCTGAGAACTAAAAATGGAGTGTCAATTACTTGGCCTGCTCTTTGATGAGCTGTTCTAGCGTTACTCCTTCAGCATTCATCAAAGGTGGTTTCACAAAACAATAATATCAAGATTTTTTCTACATATTTTTTAAAAAAATTTATTAAGAGATCTTTCATCTAGGTTGTCCAATACTCTTTGGAAATGAGCAAACACATTGTAGATTGGTACCAATAAAATATGTTTTCATTGAAACAGCTAGTATGTGTACTTTAAACATCAATCATTATCATAAAACTCATTTTCCTTTCTGCTTTGGCTTCCACTAAGCCCAGAAAAATAATATAAAATGACGCTCTTAGTACATGGGCGTACATTTTGGGCATATTTGCTTTTTCCTTTAAAAATATTACTAATCTGACAGTATTTTCAAGTGTCTTACTATAAGCCATCTCAGATCCTTTTTTGGAAGTACTAGGGTAGAGAGGGTAAATAATGAATAAACATGTGAAACATTTCCTTTATTTTGATCAGCAGGAGGAAGACCAACGCTTCTTATCATAAACACAAGTTCCTGCTATACACAACACATCCTTGAATTCTAGGGAAGCCAAGATGTACATGAAATGACTGCAGGTCTTAAAGGTCTTGAATCTAATTGTGGCACTGGGGCATATGTAGAGATAAATATCACGTAGCATATGCTAAGGTGATTTCGAAGATCTATTCTATCTTAAGACACTGTAAGTCTAATTATTAAATGAGCAATACAGACATTTAGTCAAAGTGTGTTCTGTTTTGAGGGAGCTGCTTAAATACTGGTATTTTAGCCAATATTTTTCTTTCTGAGGGTTGTAAAATTTGGGGGTAACTGTATTAGTCCATTTTCATGCTGCTGATAAAGACATACCCAAGACTAGGCAATTTAAAAAAGAAAGAGGTTAAATTGACTTACAGTTCCACATGGCTGGGGATGCCTCACAATCCTGGCAGAAGGCAAGGAGGAGCAAGTCACATCTTACATGAATGGCAGCAGGCAGAGATAGCTTGTGCAGGAAAACTCTCCTTTTTTAAAAAACACCAGATCTTGGGAGACTTATTCACTATCAGGAGAACAGCATAGGAAAGACCTGCCTCCATGGTTCAATTACCTCCCACTGGGTCCCTCCCACAACCTGTGGAAATTCAAGATGAGATTTGGGTGGGAACACAGCCAAACCATATCATTCTGCCCCCTGACCCCTCCCAAATCTCATGTTCTCACATTTCAAAAGCAATCATGCCTTCCCAACAGTTCCCCAAAGTCTTAACTCATTTCAGCATTAACTCAAAAGTCCACAGTCCAAAGTCCAAAGTCTCATCCTAGAGAAGGCAAGTCCCTTCCACCTATGAGCCTTTAAAATCAAAAGCAAGTTACACGTTGTGCACATGTACCCTAGAACTTAAAGTATAATAAAAAAAAAAAATCAAATCAAATCAAAAGCAAGTTAGTTACTTCCTAGATACAATGGGGATACAGGCATTGGGTAAATACAGCCATTCCAAATGGGAGAAATTGGCCAAAACAAAGGGGCTACAGGCCCCATGCAAGTCTGAAATCCAGTGGGATAGTCAAATTTTTTTATTTTTATTTTATTTATTTATTTATTTATTTATTTATTTATTTATTTATTTATTTTTTTTGGTGACAGAGTCTTGCTCTGTCACCCAGGCTGGAATGCAGTGGTGTGATCTCAGCTCACTGCAACCTCCATCTCCCAGGTTCAAGTGATTCTCCTGCCTCAGCCTCCTGAGTAGCTGGGATTACAGGCACCCGCCACCACGCTCAAGTAGAGACAGGGTTTTGCCATGTTGGCCAGGCTGGTTTCAAACTCCTGACCTCAGGTGACCCACCCACCTCAGCCTCCCAAAGTGCTGGGATTACAGGTGTGTGTTACCGCATCTGGCCAGTCAAATCTTAAAGCTCCAAAATGATCTCCTTTGAGCCCATGTCTCACATCCAGGTCATGCTGATGCAAGAGGTGGGTTCCCATGGTCTTGGGCAGCTCTGCCCCTGTGGCTTTGCAGGGTACAGCCTCCCTCTGGGCTGCCTTTACAGGCCAGTGTTGAGTGTCTGTGGCTTTTGCAGGCACACAGTACAAGCTTTCTGTGGATATACCATTCTAGGGTCTGGAGGACAGAGGCTTCTCACAGCTCCACTAGGCAGCACCCCAGTAGGGACTCTTTGTGGGGGTTCACACCCCACATTAACCTTCTGCACTGCCCTAGCAGAGGTTCTCCATGAGGGCCCCACCCCTGCAGCAAACTTTTGCCTGGGCATCTAGGTGTTTCCATACATCTTCTGAAATCTAGGCAGAGGTTCCCAAACCTCAACTCTTGACTTCTGTGTACTTGCAGGCTCAATACCACATGAAAGCTCCCAAGGCTTGAGGCTTGTACTCTCTGAAGCCATGGCCAGAGCTCTACATTGGCCCCTTTCAGCCATGGCTGGAGTGGCTGGGACGCAGGGCATCAAGTCCCTAGGCTGCCCTGGAGACATGCCCTGGAGATATTTTCACCATTGTCTTGGGGATTAACATTTGGCTCCTTGTTACTTATGCAAATTTCTGTAGCCCGCTTGAATTTCTCCTCTGAAAATGGGATTTTCTTTTATATTGCGTTGTCAGGCTGCAAATTTTCTGAACTTTTATGCTCTGCTTCCCTTTCAAAATGGAATGCCTTTAACAGCACCCAAGTCACCTCTTGAATGCTTTGCTACTTAGAAATTTCTTCTGCCAGATAACCTAAATCATCTCTCTCAAGTTCAAAGTTCCACAAATCTCTAGGTCAGGGGCAAAATGCTGCCAGTCTCTTTGCTAAAACATAAAAAGAGTCACCTTTGCTCCAGTTCCCAACAAATTCCTCATTTCCATCCACCTCAGCCTGGATTTCATAGTCTATATCATTATCAGCATTTTGGTCAAAGCCATTTGACAAGACTCTAGGGAGTTCGAAACGTTCCTACATTTTCCTGTCTTCTTCAGAGTCCTCCAAACTGTTCCAACCTCTGCCTGTTACTCAGTTCCAGAAAGTTACTCAGTTCCTAAAGTGCTCCACATTTTTGGATATATTTTCAGTGGCGCTGCAATCCCCATAAGAATTTACTGTATTAGTTGGTTTACAAGCTGCTGAGACGGGGCAATTTACAAAAGAAAGAGGTTGAATGGACTTACAGTTCCACATGGCGAGGGAGGCCTCACAATCATGGTGGGAGGCAAGGAGGAGCAAGTAACATCTTATATGGGCGGCAGCAAGCTTGTGCAGGGAAAATTCCCTTTTTCAAAACCACCAGATCTTGTGAGACTTACTCACTATCACGAGAATAGTACAGGAAAGACCTGACTCCATGGTTCAATTACCTCTCACTGGACCCCTCCCACAACACGTGGAATCCAAGATGAGATTTTGGCAAGGACTCAGCCAAACCATGTTAGTAACTGTTTGGGGTAACTTTTTTCTGAATAAGTTTTCATACAAACAATTCATATTCATGATAGAAACTTGAAAAAATCAGAAAAATATAAAAGAGCAATTAAAATAACCCACAATTATACCTTGGGTTCACATTGTGTAATTTAACACAGTGTATACAATTTAGTGTTCTGCCTTTTTCGTTATAGTGAAAATTTGTAGATAGTATATATTCTACAACAACAAGATTTTTAGTGTGCAACATTTCATTATTTGCTTAACCATTACCCTATTGTTGGAGGTTTAGATTGTTTACAACTAGTTTTCTTTATTAAATATAAACATACTAATCCACATTCTTAATAATAGCAAATGTAGGCCAGTATTAGTTTATATTTAATAAACAGCAATTACTAGAGCAATTGCTACTGCATTTTGCCAAGCATTGTACTAAATACATGAATTATCTTACTAAGTTTCATAATAATCCTATGAGAGAATTATTTTCCTTTTACAGATGATGAAACCAAGGATTACAGGCTAATTAAGGTGCTCACAGCAAGGAAAAATCCTTTACCTCTAATTTATCTGACATAAATGTTCCAATATGGGTTTTTATGAATAAGTAAATGGGACTGTTCAAAGATTCCAAATGCCTGTAGAAATATGTAATTATTAGGTCCAAATTGAGAAATTTGAAGTTTTTCTCAATTCATTTTACATATATATATATATATATATATATATATATATGAAGTTGTTTAATGAATATTTAGCTGTTTTGTTGAGTGGGTATTTTTAACATTAGAAATTATTATTCTACTCCAATCAAATAACATGTTATACCCCTATAGTCCTTATTTTGTGGTCTACAGAAAATAGTAGGAACACAGGCTCCAAAACTGAGCCTTTCATTTTCATTAGCAGATAGTAAAGCCACTGTAATCAAGAGAAATAAAAAATGAGAGGTGGTGAAAATTCTTGATTTTACAATACTTGAATATATGCAGTGTTCACAGATTTTCAAGTACCTACAGAGATGAAACTAAGTTAAACTAGCTAGCTAACCAGCTGAGGCTCTGCTCCCCACCGCTGTTTTAATGAATGGATAGGAATGATTTATAATCAGCACATTTTTTGATGGTATATAAAAGAGCTTGCTTCGAAAGCGCTTAAAGATGGTCGAAATGGTTTCCTAAGTAGTTGAACCTGTTTCTGTAGCAGAATACACACTTTTGAAATAGTGCCAAACTAGGTCAAGAAAGTCCCAATTAGAGAATTCAGAATTAAATGAAGCTTTAGAGTGCTCAATGACTCTAAAAAAAAAAGTACTAAAATACATACTGCCAAATCTTATCCAAACCTGAGGGATTAACTTTAATTTGTGAACATCCTGGAGCTAAACTCTATTAACTTGGGTACCCACCCAGTGGGTCAAGGAACAAAGTAAAAGCTAGAAGTAAGAAGTACTGAAATTTTAGTTACAAGTTTCATACAGGTAAACCCAAGGCGCTACAAATGAAGAATTAAAGGAATGAAAGGCGAAAGAATAAAGGGGCCAAAGAGGTGATCTCCTGAGAGCCTAGCCCCAAACTTCTATAGAGACTTAACTTCTGCTTTTCTGGACACGCGTGGGCACCCAGAACCCCGAATGGGGAGGAATGCTGTAGACGCCCTGCTGCCCTCCAGCCCGCGCGGCTGCGCGTCTCAGTCCACCCCTGGGGCGCGCGGCTGTCACCCAGGGCGGGGCGGCGCGGGCGTTGCCACGACGCGGGCCGCGCGCGTCCCTGGCAGCCAACCCGTCCACGTCAAGGTTTGTTTAATAATCGCCAGGGTATCTATGGCCGGGCTCAGGCGGCTGCTGGGGAGCCAGGAGACCGCGCGGGACGGCGGATGAGGCGCGGCGGCTGCGGCCCAGGGCACCTCCCCTCTGGCTTCCCGAACCCGGCCAGGTCCGACCCGAGGGGGAGGATGGAAACACCTGCCGCGCTCTGAGCCCCCCAGAAGAGAACACCCTTCCCGCCATATCACCCCACGGTCCTGCGGAGGCCACCGCCTGGTCCCCCCAAGTCTCCATCGCGCAGCGTGGGGCCGAGAGGAATAGTGAGCGATGGCGGAAAACCTGAAAAGACTGGTCTCAAACGAAACTTTACGAACGTTGCAGGAAAAGCTAGACTTCTGGCTGAAGGAGTACAACGTGAGTCTGGGTGAAAAACCCCCGGGGTTCGCCCTCCCATAGGTTCCAGCACAGCCCTTGTCGGGGATTTCTTAGGGCTGGAGTTGGTGGCCACTTTGCAAAGCCTCCGCGGTTGCGATTCCTAACCAGGATCTCAGCTTTCGACCGGGATCGCTGGGGAAGGAAGGACATGTGTGTACATGCCCTTGTCTCAGAGCTTCGGGAGGCGGCGCGCAGGCGGCCTGCGGAGCGCAGCACTAGGCTGCGGAGACTGGAGAGTGCTTCCAATCAGTGGTAACTAAGGACGCCGGCGACCTAGCAATAGGGAAGCCCTGCTGTCCGCGGCTGGTCTGGTCATGCCTGCCACTCTTTCCCATCCCCCTTGCCAGCGCAATCCACACCGCCTGCTTCCCCAATCCCGAATTATTTTTTACTACAACCCTCTCCTGCCCAGGGTTTGTATCAGAATGGATTTGTATAAACACACACCCAGGAGTTATTTACCCAGAAATCAGCGAAACGGACACTTGTTAACGTTGCGGGTTTCACTTGCGTGCTGGTGGGCCTGGAAATTGAGGCACAGTTCCAACACCAGGGCGGATTCAGGCCTTTTTCCAGGCATTTGTGAGAAGCCAGTATTCTGTCACCAAACCCATGAGCACTTTTCAAATCTCATTAATCCCTACTCGCACCCTGCCTCCCCATAATTCCCCCCTTCCCCCAAATAGAACGGTGAGTGTTGAATTTGCTTTACATTCGGTCGGTCCGTCTTAAATAGGGATTTCCCCTCTTACATAATAAGTGGAGCGGCCAGGCAAAAGAACTGTGGACCGGAAATTAGCCCCCCCTTGTTTCTACATTTGGCTCTGCATAGAACTAGCTGAATGACGGAGTCAAATTATTTAACTTCTCTTGGTCTTAGTACCTCATCTGTGAAATAGCAGAGATTGGTCTAGATGATATGTAAATTTCCTGTTCAGATTTTAAGTTTTTGAGCCTAGATTAGCTTGTTTCTGAGATCCTGCCTGTTATGAGGTCCTTAGGCTTCCCCATTCACCCTTTAACCAGTGCTCCTGAAGTGGAGGGGAGCTCAAAGAGCAGCTACAGCTTTCTCCTTAGCCTTCCTTTCTAGTGCTTCCTGTTCAGTCCTTTGCTCCCTTTTAAAGAACAAGCGCTGACCATTCCTTCTCCATTAAGAATTCTGGAAAGTTAAAATGACCTCTTTATCATAAAAGACTTGGGTTCCCCCCAACTAATTTTAAAAGTACCTACTACTTAGTCTCAGGAGGTTGAGAATAAGAAATTCTAACATGTATACAGTATTTACCCCTTTTTTTTTGCCCAGTGGCCTAACTAAACTCTGAATTTTAAAAAAACATGTTGTTTGTCACAATGTTTATTACAAATAACACTAGGATTTGTCTGGAACTAATAAACAATTATTTTAGAAACTCCCTGTAAGTGATGAGAAGTGCCTTAGTTTATTACATTTTCCTGTCTTGATAACATCCCATTCTCTGCTCTCATTAAAACCATTTCCATCCAGCTGTTTTCCCTTCATCTCTCTACAGTAGAGGCTGCACTCACAGCCACCAGTGTTTTTCATACCTTGTGGCCACTCCCCAGGTTCCATCATTTCTCTTGAGTTTGCAGGCATCATTATCACATTGGAATGTTGACACCTGTATTCTTCCCCCTCCACTCCTGCTTCATCTGTTACAAGTATGCTGATGAATCTTATTTCTATAGGATGTGTTCCCATCTGAGCTCT
Organism: Homo sapiens; assembly: GCF_000001405.40. NCBI lineage: Eukaryota > Metazoa > Chordata > Mammalia > Primates > Hominidae > Homo > Homo sapiens. The sequence goes on from NC_000004.12 coordinate 52,053,542, forward strand.
CACTTCTCCAACTGCCCATTGGACATCTTTCAATAGTGAATGCTATTGAAATGCTCAGAATGCTCAAAGTCAAATCTGTCCAAAATGGAATTTAGCCTCTCCCATGCCCCAACCACAGGTCTCATTTTTCTAAGTCGTCTTCATCATTATATACTCCACTCCCTTTTCACCATCATAATCTGTTGGTTCTAACTTCAAAGTTCATACGGAATCTAAACACTTTTCACCACCCCCACTGCTACCACCCTTCTCCATCCTTGATCATCTTTCACCTGGATTATTACAAAAATAACAACCCAAAGAGATGCTTCTAAATGTCAAGTCAGATCAAGTTACTCTTTTTGCAAGACACTCCAAATTTCCTATTTCAGTCAGAAGAAGCCAAAGCTCCTACAGTGACCTTCAAAGTCCTACACAATTGTGCCCCTTTAAGCTCTTTAACCTTATCTGTTACTCTCTCCCTTGCTCAGCCCACTCCAGCAGTACCAGCTTTCTTGCTCGTCCTAGAGCAATGCTGTCCAATAGAACTTTCTATGATGATGGACAGGTTCTATATCTGCATTGTCCAATAAGGTGACTATTGGGCACTTGAAATGTGGCAAGTACACACTGAAGAACAGAATTTTTAATTTGACTTAAGTCCAATTTAAATTCAGATAGCCACATGCAGCTCATGGCTGCTGTCTCAGACAGCACAGTTCTAGAGATGTGGACATGCTTCTGCTTCAGGGCATTTGCACTCACTGTTTTCTCTGCCTGAAAAACTTTTCACCTGTTGATATTTGAGTGAGATAGTAACATCCTCACTTTCTTAGGAGAGCTTTATTTCTTAGAAAGGGTAGCAACCTGCAGGCTGGGAAGCAGGCCCCTGCTGAAACCAGAGGCAGGCACTTGGAGGTAGGAAAGGTAAGGCAGGAATTAATGATGAATGGGTTGGCCACATGTATACATATTCAACAGGTAATATTCACGAAGGGGGAACGCTCACAAGCATAGTAAGCAAACATGCATGTTACGTTCATCCTATATTCATTTTGGGGTAGAAGCTTAACATTTAAATGTATTACAATTAGGCCCTATACATCAAAGGTGGAGGCAGGGACATGAAGGAACTTAGTGTACAGCCTCTGTGGACCGGCCAGAACCAGCCTATGGTCCGTGATCTCTTATCAAGAGAAAGTTACTGAAATCAGTCTCTTATCCAGTTGAAGTTGCAGTTATGGACTGTGGAACGGGAGGGGATCAGTTAGTCAGAGTCTGGTGGTCAGTGAGTTGCAATTGTTTTAACATTGTTTATCTCGAGGCCAGTACTTGCTTAGCTACTAGATAAAAAGAAAAAACCTTTTGACAATTAGAACATGGTTGATTCTTTATGTGTAGGGGTATGTGACTTAATCCTTGCCTGGCATGACCTTAGGTCTTTATCTTATTGCTGTAAAGAGTCTGTTATATTAGTCTTAAGATCTCTATTTTAACAGTAGCTTCATGCAGTCCAGAAAATTTTGCCTGTAACAGAACTAGCAGTATTTTTGCAGCAATCATGGTAGCCAAAGGAGGCTCTTAGCCCATATTTGTGTGACAGGGGTTAGTGACTTTAAAAGAACATGTCTTTATGTTAATAATGTTGGTGGTTGTATTCCTGAATATTTTATTCTTTTCTATTAACTCTTGCTTTCCTGTCTGCACAAAGCCATTAGAATGTGTTTGAAGTTTACTTATTTCAGTTCTACACTTATAACGTGGAAACTTCTTATTCATTTCCCTGCCTTCATTCATGCCCACTTCCAATCCAACTTTGATACAGCTGTTTGAAGCATCATTTTTATGGCTCTCATTGCCAATACTAGTGATTCTCAACACAGGCAAGGCATTGTCCCCTAGAACATTGTTTTTAAAACTTACCTACAGGACTCAATGCATTTTACTTCACAATATAGCACACATAAACCCTTATACTTAAAAACTCAAGTTTCATTAATAATTCTTACCTTTACTCATTGTGGTGTGTTTCTCTATTTTCTTTTTAGTATTATTTGCTGTTTGAGACTCACTAAATTGGTTTTGTTACCCACTAATGCTGTGGTTATCAATCTTCATTGCATATAGGAATTGTCTAAAAAGCTTTTATGTTTCCAATGACCAGGCCCCACGCGAGAGCAATTAAATCAATTTCTAGGAGTGGGAGCCCACAAAGCTCCTCAGGCAAAGGCTTTCCTGAAACTTCGTGGCCCTTACCAGCTTCTCTTTTGAGTTTTACCTCTGAAATCTGGACCAATTTTTATTATAGTAAGTAGCATGTGTTTTTGCATTTATTTTCGTGTTTATCTTAGACTCTAAATTCCTCCAGGGCAGGAGACATTGTGTCCCTAGCATCTACTGCATAGTGGCGTCTCCATAAAATTTCTTGAGAGTATAAATGCATGAATAAACCATGCCCTTCTGCTTCTTGAAACCATCTGCTTCTTCGGCCTCCTTATTCTTCTTCATCTTGCTTCCTGGGTGTCCTCTCATTTCTGATTGCTCTTGTTTTGTTTTTTATTCACTGGCTCTTCTTACTCAGACCACTTCTGACATAGCAAAATTGCCCCTCATTCTGCCCTCAGCCCTCTCCTCACTCTTTCCTCTCCCTGGTAATCTCATCTGTGCATGTGGCTTCTGCACTCTCCCACTTGCTGAAGCCTCCCAAAGCCACACCTCCCAGTCCTGTCTCTCTTCTAAGCTCCAGACTTACTTTCCATCTGCTTTGGGGAAAGCATTGTGTTTGAGAGCTCAGCTCCAGTGCTGGAGGCTGCAGGAATGGGTCTCCACCATTGTCTCTTCAAATTACTTAATTTGTTTTTCCTCAGTGGTGAATTTTGGATGATGATGGCATCCCATTTGTAGGATTGTTCTGAGGATTAAATGGAGCCATGTATATAAAGCTCTTAGCACAGGGCCTGGCTGGCATATAGTAGGTGATCAGTAATTATTAGGTACCACTACTGGACATTCCATCCGAAGGTCCTGCAGGCCCCCTGACTTGTTCAAACCCAAACTCAGGATCATCCCTCTCATACCTCTTACTCATTTCTAAACTCTCTGACCTTCTTAGGTAATGCTGAAATCGGTGGGACCTTTACTGGCACAGGTGTAATTTGGGGCTGGGAAGGACCTTTGGGAGACCCTTAGTATGTCTATAGCCTCCAGCATCTCTCAGCTAGATGGTTATACCCATCTACCTCCCCACCAGACTCACCCTGTGACCCAAAGTCTATCTGGTCTGCTTTTGCCAGACAGATTTTTGTAACATGCAAAGCAAATATGAGCATGTCACACCCACCTTCCTCTGTTGCATCCTTAAACATTTTGATGATGGAATAAAGCCCAAGACCCTTAATGTGGCAAGTCAAGTCTTTCAGACTTGGTCTCTGGACCCTGTACTCACTTTCCGCTAATATGCCTTGGTGCCTTCTGTTCCTCCTCTTGAAATGCCCTTCCCTCTTACCCTTCACACCTCACCAGAGGTTATTTTTCTGCTCCTATAGCTTGTTATCCACACAGAGCACTTAATATAAACTCTAAGGTAATTATTTATCCCCTTGTTCTTATCTTGTTCTCCATCTCACTTCCCCATCTAATTAGTTCACTGACTGCAGGCAACTTTTTTTTTTTAATATAGCTTTGTTTCCTGAGCTTTGTTTCCAGGGCCTTACATATAATAGAAACTCAATGATTTATGAATGAATAAATCTGGAGAGTCTGTGCTTTGGAGACAGTATAATTAGTCCATATCTTTGCTCTGGTTGTCTTGTGTGGGTATGTAAGTATGTGTTTACTAGAATAATGTGACCCTATTGCAACTTGATTATCTTGTGCAATGCTTTGTGTTTAGAAGTTGCAGCATGTTGTAACATGTCTTGGGAAGGGGAACTGTGTGGCATAGGATATTCTCTCCTGTTATTTAAGATGTGTTTAAAAACTCATTTGACCACCATTCCTCTGGGTACCCAGTATGTACCAGGCACTGGGCAAGGCATAGGAATAGATAGTAATGATACCACAATAATACTTCTAATTATTGTGTACCTCTTTTATGCTAGACTCTGCTCATGAGATCAGCTACCTCCTAAACAGAGGGAAACAGAGCCTCATATTTAAATGTCTTTTCTAAGGGAATGCAGCTGATAAGTTGAGAACCAGATTTGAACAAAGGTCTGCCTTATTCCTAAGCCACTGGCTCCTTTCAATACTGCATGCTACCTCATAGGTGCCAATTGATGAACACCTTCTGTGTCTGAGGTGCTGGGCGTGTATTATTTTGATTTAATTCTAATGCTCCACAAGGCATTATTATCCCCATTGCATGGGAGAGGAATGGGCTCAGAGAAGTTAAGTAACTTGTGCAGGGTCACATAGAACTGTGGCAAGCAGCAGAGCTGAGATACTCAGGTTTGCTTGACTCCCAAGCTCATTCTCCGTCCACTTAGCACATGGAATGATCTAGCCAGAGGGCAAAAGGCTTGTAAGCAGGTAATTGAAGTTCAGTGTAATAAGTGCAGGTATAAAATGGCCAGGGCAAGGAGCTGCTGAATTAACGAGGAAGAAATGGAGATAGCTGTTCAGGCTATGGGTTTTAAATGCTCTATCATGTCAACATTACACTGTTAAATTATTCATTCATCAACGTTGTTTAGACCCTTCAATTTGCTAGGATACTAGTGGCAATAGATACAAACATGAGCAAAGCAATATCATTTTTAAAAAGAACTCATGATCTTTTTGGGAGGAGAGATTAGATGGATGAGATGGAGAAAAAATGGCTGCAGGAGAAATCAATGCTACAACAGAATTAGTCATCAGGTACCATTTACCAAGCATGGAAATTAACCCAGCTGCCCTCTCAGTTACAAGTCCATCCCATCCAAACTCCATGCCAGGTGCGAAAGGCTCTCCAGGTCAACTTGCCCTGCCAACCTCTAAATGTCCTTCTGTGCCTCTGCCACATTGACATATTCAAGGTTGCCAAACTTGTTCCTGTCACAGAACCTTTGTCCTTGCTGTTCCCACTGCCTGGTAAGCTCTTTCCCTAGTGGTGTGCTTCCCTGAATCTTATAACCCAGGAATACTCAAGGGTCCCCTCCACAGAGAAGCCTTCCCTGGATGCCCTCCCCATTCACTCTTGGTTGCATCATCCAGTCCTCCATGTACTCCCAGCAAGAATCATGATCTAAAAGTCAGTATAGTTTAGTAGTTAAGAGCATGGGCTCTGGAAGCTGGGCTGCTGGGGTCCAATCTCAGCTCTGATAATTTACTAGCTGGGTAGCCAAGAACCAGTTACTTAACCTCTCTGTGCCTCAGCTTTCTCATCTGAAATGGGAATGATAATAATAATTCTTCTAGCTCCTATTGTACTAGTGAGAGAATTAGCTGAGTTTATATATGTAAAGCACTAATAGAGCCTGGCATATAGGAGAGATATAATAAATACAAAGTGAGTGAATCATCTCATTTATATGCATCCATCCAATACACAATGATTCTGAATACAGGGGCACTGTAGAATGCAGGGGTGGGAATACAACAACCAACAGGACAGGCCCAGTCTCTGTCCTCAAGGAGCTTCTGCCTGTCTGAACCATTTCCTTGGTTGATGCAGATGTGCTTTTGACTTGTAAACTTTTGCCTAGAGATTATCTCAACTTTTCTCTTACTCCACTCCTAGTTTCTATCTGCCTTGTACGCTGTTTTCTGTTCTGGGATTTGTTGTGTCCAGGAGGCACCAAGGACCGATGCCTTATTGAGCCCTGAGGTGACACATAAATCGATGCATTTTTACAACCACATGATGTTTGTTGCTTGTAGTTGTATTCCTTCTTCTAATGTTGGAGTCAGTTAGAGATTTGGCTTATGTTGAAATGGTAGAATCTTTCAAAGGAATGAGGAAAGCAGAATAATAGCTAAAAGGTTCACTTCTTGGCCTCCTCATGTTTTGTTCTCATTGCTTAGAATGTTTCACAACCACTGGAACCACTTCCTTTTCCAAGTCTGGCTAATTTCACCTTGGACTAGATTTCACTTCCTCTTGGAAGCCTTCCCAGACTTTCCAAGACAATGGACTCTTGGGTAGAGCTTGCGCTCATCTGTGTAGGTAAGACTTATTATTCCGCTGCAGAGTAACTGGCTATTCATCTGTCTGCCCCACGAGTCTGCAAGTGCCAAGTCCCTTATATCCTCAACCCAGCAATACCTTCTTGCTGTTAAGAAGTAATGTTCTCTATGCATATATAATATATACAAATTGAATTTATGTAGAGGACAGGAACCAATAAAGCAGGTAAATTCGGCAGTCATTTGTATTGTCTTATAACAGGTCTATTTACTTTTTAAATGTATTTTTGTAGGGTTTTACTGAGTAGGATTATTGCTATAAAAAACAACCTCCAAATCTCAGTGGCTTACACACAAACCAACTTTCTCAACCATGTGACAATTCAGTGCAAGCATTCAGTCAGCAGCCTTGCAAATCTTGTGGCTCCACCATCCCTTATGCCCTCAGCATCCTCTCTTGGCTCTTCTGCATTCAGTTGGCAGAAGGGAAAAGAAAAAAAAGTCATTCAAGAGGTTCTCTTCTGGGCCAGGCCCCAGGCATATATCACTTCCCATCCAGTTAACCAGAATTCAGTTACATGGCCACACGAACTGCTAGGGAAACTGTGAAATGTGGTCTAGTTTTGTGTCCAGGAGGAAAGGGAGATAGGTTTTGGTGACTACACAGCAGTCCTGCCACAAAAGCATACCAGAGCCAGGCAGCTCGTGGGTCAAGTGAGGCCCTGGTCTGTCTGCAGTGGGTCCCAGAGTGAAGTAATTACCCTGGTTATCTACTGTTTTGCCCTTGCAGACAAACACGTGTGATCAAAATCTAAACCATTGCCTTGAACTCATTGAGCAAGTTGCCAAGGTGCAGGGACAACTCTTTGGGATCCTCACAGCAGCAGCCCAAGAAGGTGAGAATGGCCTGTAATTTCCCATCCAGTTCTGCTTGCCTTTCTCTCTTTTCTTGGTGCTTTTTTGTGTTCTTTGACTGTTGGTGTGGTTGGGTTTCTCTCACTGACCTGATGACCTGATGTGTGTATTCTCTCTTTTTTTTTTAATTATACTTTAAGTTTTAGGGTACATGTACACAACGTGCAGGTTAGTTACATATGTATACATGTGCCATGTTGGTGTGCTGCACCCATTAACTCGTCATTTAACATTTTAGGAGGACGTAATGATGGTGTGGAAACAATCAAGTCACGCCTTTTGCCTTGGCTGGAGGCTTCCTTTACTGCTGCTTCCCTGGGAAAATCTGTTGACAGCAAGGTCCCCTCTCTGCAGGTAGGGATGCTGAAGGATAACCCTTGACTTTCTGAACAGTGAGATAAAACGAATCAGAAACCTCCAAGAGAAGAAGAGGACTTGATTTTGGTAGACTGATAGAGTGTCACAATTTGTGATGGATATTGGTGGTTTCCATGGGACGGTGTTAGTTTTTGAACAGGTAGAGATCAGACTAGAAAGAGCGCACATACCTTGCTTAAGGCATCCACATCATTACATCTGGGCAACCAAAACATTAGTTACTTTACTTTGAAACATTTATATGGATTTACCTATAATCCTTTCTAAAACAGAAGCATTTAGAAAGCATTTAGTCTGTTCTGAGAAAACCAAACATCACATGTTCTCACTCATAAGTGGGAGCTGAACAATGAGAATACATGGACACAGGGAGGGGAACAACACAGCAGGGCCTGTTGGGGGATTGCAGGGGTGAGGGGAGAGAGAGCGTTAGGACAAATAGCTAATGCATGTGGGGCTTAAAACCTAGGTGACAGGTTGATAGGTGCAGCAAACCACCATGGCACACGTATACCTATGTAAAAAACCTGCACATTGTGCATGTGTATCCCAGAACCTAAAGTAAAAATAATAATAATAATAATAATAATAATAATAATAACAGAAAGAAAGCATTTAGTCTGTTCTGAGCAAGAGCATTATAAGATAGTGGCTGAAGGATCCCTGCTTGGAGATCACTGAGCAGAAAACCAGTCCCTCTTTTATGGCCCTGGGTAGGTATCTAAACATTTATGTCTCAATTTTCTTATTTGCTGAATGGAGACAATGGTTTTGCTGATCTAAAAGGTTCATTTGTGAGAATTAAATGTGATAAGCACACTAAACAAGTTACACAGGGCCTGACACATGTTAAGTACTTTATAGACTTCAGTTATCATTAAGTAATTTTTTTTCCCTGAGAATTTATGGACGCTTCTCAGGTTTTTATCCTCTGTGTGGGTGTTATTCTAGGTATAAAGATGTAGAATTTCAAACTGTTTTTGGAAATTGAGGTATAATTTATATTCAGTGAAATCCATAGATTGCTATTTCAGCAAATGCATATACCTGTGTAAATTCCCATCCCTATTGGGATATCAGACATCTCCATCACTCTAGAGCATTTCTTGCACCTTCCCCAGGGCAACCATCTTCTGATTTTTATCACTCTAGATTAATTTTGCCTGTACTAGAACTTCATGTGCATGGAGCCGTGCATAATTGTGCTCTTTTGAGTTGGGCTGTTTTTTAAAAATTCATCCATGTCATTTAATGTATTCAGACTGTTTTTTTTTTTTTTTTTTGGTGTATCTTTCCAGGACACGTTTGATAGGGAGAGACATAAAGATCCCAGTCCTCGGGATCGGGATATGCAACAGTTAGACTCTAATTTGAACTCAACCCGGAGTCAATGCAACCAGGTTCAAGACGAGTAAGAGGAATGCAAGTTATCTTTTTCCAAAAAGAATTGTTTTCAATTTAATTAAGTTTTAAATTCGAAAGGAGAATAATGGCTCATGTAAAATGTGGGCATTTGCAAATAAGTAATATGATTGTGTGTGTGTCTGTGGGCATGTGTGTATGACAGAGAGAGAGGGAGAGAGAGACAGAGAGAGAGAGTCAGTGGTCAGTGTCTGTGGATTTGGGGACAGGATATATTATGATACATGGTCCCCTGGTTCCTTCTTTGGAGTTCCTTCTTCATAGGCACATCATCAGCCTATATTGACAAACAGGTAAAGATTGTTAGACAAAAATCTACCTATTGGGAGAAAAATTTTTAAAAAGATGTGAAAGGGAAAGAATAAAAGAGAGTGAACAATCAGGCAAAGAGGAGAATTAAGAGAAAGACAGCAAAAGTCAAATGAAGCAGGCTGCATCTATCAGTCCATTATACTCATTTAGGGGTGTATGTGTGCTTCTCTGAATCTGAGAGAGTCAGAGTCTTTTAAGAAAGGAAGAATTCAAGATTTTGCAATATCTATTAGGTATAAGAATGTATTTTTTAAAAGTTAAGCAATTCCAGGCAACAACACATATCAGATGCATGTTGTGGGCAGAGCCAGGGTAGCAAGCTTAGGGAATCACTGCAAAGAAAATTGTATGTGGACTTTGGGTTTGTACTTGAGGCAGGTAGACAAATATGTATGAAACTGTGTTTGACATACCTAACAAAAATCCATCAATGGGAATTTCTCCTACCACAGCATTGCTTCATTGCTGACATAAATGGGACAGAAAGGAAATCTTTTTTTAAAAAAAATTAATAACTAGTTAAGGCTAGGATGGAATAATGTGTGGTGCTCTGCCTTGTTCCCTGATGACATTTCCATTTTTCTAAGGAAGAAATCTCTATTGATTTAGTTTTGCCTGATTATAAAAGTAATACAAATTTCTTTCTCAAAATGCATACAACAAATAAAAATTGATGAAAATCACTTGTTTTCTTGTCCCCATTAACATTTTGGTATATTTTACTCCAGACATTTTTCTTTGTGCCTGCACCTCCACACATATCCATTCATATTTCCAACTGGAATCATAATCAATGAGCAGTTATATACCTGAAGCAGTCAAAATTTATAAATGTAACATGCAAAAAGCATAAAATATATAATTTATTTCAACCAATGTGAGCTCATTTTGAAGGATTCTTCAATAAGCCACTTCAAGGTCACACAGTCATTTTTGGTTTATCGTAGTCCATTTTCTGTAAACATTCAGCTCATTCCAAGTGCAAACATGCATTAAGAGCTATTTTTGCCCTCTCATGGGGTCTCCCTTCCCCTCATCCTTTCTAGGGAAGGGATGCTTGTATACTCTCCTGGTGACGGACATGAGGAGTTTTTGGTCTTATACTGCCCTCTGGGTTCTTGCTGGCCTTAATTTCATGTAGGCACTAGTGTCTCGTGCTGATGGGTCCTGAGTTGTGCATGTCTTGTCTGGGGAGGTATCCTGGGACATTAGCTAGCAACGGCTGCAGATGACCCTCCATTTTCCTCTAGTTGTGAGGAAGGGCATCAAAACTTTACTGGTTCTTGATGGCTGTCAGCACCAGTAGGGGCCAGGGTTTCCCACTTCTCTTTCTTGTTTCAGTGACACTGTTGTTACCTATAAGGGGTACCATAGATCAAGAAACTTAATGCATGCTTTAAAAAAACTTTTCATTTGAAAATAATTTCAAACACAGCAAATCTGCTAGAATAGCGCTAAACATTTCCATATGCCCTTTCATATGCCTTTTGCCCTATATGCTTTATCACGTATGTGTTCCTTCTCTTTCTATATATATATATATATATATTCTCTCCACCAACCATTTGGAAGTTGCATACATGAAGATGCTTGCTGCTTTTCCCTGGTTTTCTTAGTTTCTATTTTTATGTTATTTCAATAGATTTTGGAGAACAAGTGGTATTTGGTTACATGGATAAATTGTTTGGTGGTGATTTCTGAGATTTTGGTGCACCTGTCACCTGAGCGGTATACACTATAGCCAATATGTAGTCTTTTATCCCTCACCCTCCTCCTTCCTTTCCCTCCAAGTCCCCAAAGTCCATTATATCATTCTTAAGCCTTTGCATCCTCATAGCTTAACTCCCACTTATAAGTGAGAACCATATGGTATTTGGTTTTCCATTCCTGAGTTACTTCACTTAGAATAATGGCCTCCAGCTCCATCCAAGTTGCTGCAAAGGCCATTATTTCATTTCATTGTATGGCTGAGCAGTATTCCATGGTGTATATATACCACATTTTCTTTATCCACTCCTTGGTTGATGGGCACTTAGGTTGGTTCCATATCTCTGCAATTGCGATTTGTACTGCTATAAACATACATGTGCATGTGTCCTTTTCATAAGATGGCTTCTTTTTCTTTGGGCAGGTATGCAGTAGTGGGATTGCTGGATCAAATTGTAGTTCTACTTTTAGTTAAGGAATCTCCACATTGTTTTCAATAGTGGTTGTACTAGTTTACATTCCTACCAGCTGCATAAAAGTGTTCCCTTTTCTCCACATTTACTCCAACATCTATTGTTTTTTGATTTTTTAGTTATGACAATTCTTGCAGGAGTAAGATGGTATTGCATTGTGATTTTAAATTGCATTTCCCTGATAATTAGTGATGCTGAGCATTTTTTTCATATGTGTATTGGCTGTTTGTGTATCTTCTTTTGAGAATTGTCCATTCATGTCCTTTGCCCACTTTTTAATGGTTTTTTTTCTTGCTGATTTTTTTTTGCGTTCCTTGTAGATTCTGGATATTAGTTCTTTGTCAAATGCATAGTTTGTGAATATTTTCTCCCATTCTGTGGGTTGTCTGTTTACTCCGCTGAGCAGAAGTTTATTTTTGTTTCTTTGTTTCTTCTGCTGTGCAGAAGCTTCTTAGTTTAATTAGGTCCCATTTTATTTATTTTGGTTTTTGTTGCATTTGCTTTTGGGTTCTTAGGCATGAATTCTTTGCCTAAACCAATATCTAAAAGAGTTTCTGGTGTTATCTTCTAGACTGTTTGTGGTTTCAGCTCTTAGATATAAGTCTTTGATCCATCTTGAGTTGATTTTTGCATAAGGTGAGAGGTGAGGATCCAGTTTCATCCTTCTACATGTGGTTTGCCAGTTTTCCCAACACCGTTTGTTGAATAGGGTGTCCTTTCTCCACTTTGTTTAGTTTTAACTCACCTGTAGTTCTTATTCTGTTTTTAAATTTAAGGTATCACTAAAAGAATTTGTTCTCCACATTCTATGGTAGCCAGCTCTCTCTTCCCTCCCTTACTTTGCCTACTTGTCTCTTAAGCCAGGGTGCTGCCCACGATGGAATGAATGGGCCACCCAAGGAGGTTCCCTATGTCTAACCTTGTAGAGACTGCTTTGGTTCTGACTTAGTTCCAAAATGCAAATTCCAATAATTATGGGCAAATGGCCACAAGTCTGCACAGGTTTGATGAACCCCCAAGCAAGGGAAGATTTTTAGATTTTATGCCTGGATTCTGGTTATGAATCTTGCTTTTCCTCCTCTCCTATATCCAATCTATCAGAATGTCCAATTGAATCTATCGCCTAAACTTTCACACTTGCCCCTTTCTTTCTATTCCGCCACCCCTGCCCTGGTTCAATCCTCTGACATCTCTTTCCTGAACCAATTGCCTTCCTTCTGACTGGCTTCCCCACTTCCATTCTTGGTCAACCACCATCCGTTTTCCACTTAGCAAATATGTATATGTTTTATTGTATCAAGTCATCCTTCTTTTTTGTTTTTGTTTTTGTTTTGAGACAGAGTCTCGCTCTGTCACCCAGGCTGGGGTGCAGTGGTGCGATCTCGGCTCACTGCAAGCTATGCCTCCTGGGTTCATGCCATTCTCCTGCCTCAGCCTCCTGAATAGCTGGGATTACAGGCACCCGCCACCATGCCTGGCTAATTTTTTGTATTTTTAGTAGAGATGGTGTTTCACCATGTTAGCCAGGATGGTCTCGATCTCCTGACCTCATGATCCGCCCACCTCAGCCTCCCAAAGTGCTGGGATTACAGGCGTGAGCCACGGCGCCCAGCCATATCAAATCATCCTTCTGATTAAAAGCCGTTAGTCTCCTCCTTTTAAAAATATTATATTTTATTTTAAGTTCCGGGATACACGTGCAGGATGTGCAGGTTTGTTATATAGGTAAACGTGTACCATGGTGGTTTGCTGCACAGATTAACTCATCACCTAGATATTAAGCCCCACATGCATTAGCTATTTATCCTGATGCTCTCCCTTCCCCCAACCCCCAACAGAGCCCAGTGTGTATTGTTCCCCTCCCTGTGTCCCTGTGTTCCCGTTGTTCAGCTCCCACTTATGAGTGAGAACATGTGGTGTTTGGTTTTCTGTTCCTGCGTTAGTTTGCTGAAGATAATGGCTTCTAGCTTCATCCATCTCCATGCAAAGGACATAATCTTATTCCTTTTTTGGCTGCATAGCATTCCATGGTGCATATGTACCACATTTTCTTTATTCAGTCCATCATTGATGGGCATTTGGGCTGATTCCATGTCTTTGCTATTGTGAATAGTGCTACAGTAAACATACATGTGCATGTATCAATAATAGAATTATTTATATTCCCTTGGGTATATACCCAGTAATGGGATTGCTGGGTCAAATGGTATTTCGGTTCTAGATCCTTGAGGAATCACCACACTGTGTTTCACAATGGTTGAACTAATTTATATTTCCACTAACAGTGTGAAAAAGTTCCTATTTCTTTGCAGCCTCGCCAGCATCTGTTGTTTCTTGACTTTTTAATAATCGCCATTCTGACTAGCATGAGATGGTATCTCATTGTGGCTTTGATTTGCATTTCTCTAATAATCAGTGATGTTGAACTTGTTTTTATATGTTTGTGGGTCACATAAATGTCTTCTCTTGAGAAGTGTTTGTTCATGTTCTTTGCCCATTTTTTGATGGGGTTGTTTGTTTTTTTCTTTTAAGTTTGTTTAAGTATTCTCTTCCCTTTATACTTAGAAAAAATTCTAAATTTCTCACCAGGGCTCTCATAACACCCCTCCTGATCTGGCTGTATTTCTGCTCCAGTGTCATCTCCTGTCACTTTCCCCTGACCCAGTCTACTGTCTACTTCCTCACTTTGAGGCTTTTGCCTGTGCTCTTCCATTGCCTGAAAGAACTTTTCAGTCTTCCACTGGCTCTTTGCATGCCTGGCTCTTTATTATCCTCCAAGTCTCAGCTTAAATGTGCCTTTCTCAGAGTCCTTCTGTGACCACCATACGTTGAAAGGTCTTTCTTCTCTCCTTTAATACTCTTCCATGGTGATCTGCTTTTCTCATAATAGCACTTATGAGAAAAGTTAGAGAGTGAAGTCACAACTGGGAACTTAAAAAAATAAACTTGCTTGCATATTTATGATCTATCTCCCCAACTAGCCTGGAAGATCCAAAGGGTTACTGTCTTGCATTGCTGAATTGACACTGTTGTATCCCCAGTACTGAGCATCATGCCTGGCTCATAGTAAGTCCTCAATAATCTGCTCAATGAATGATCAGATATGCAACAAAACATTTAAATAGAACGTCAGCCTGATTAAAACAATTGTTAGCATATGGATGTACTTTTCTTTCTTCTTTCTTTATGTCATCCAAGCGTGTGAAATTAGCATGTATGTTTGCTTATATGTGCATCCGCTTGTATGTGTTAGGAGAAAAATACCCAAGTTCTTCATTCCTGCTTGTATTTTCCTCCTTTTCTTGATCCATTTTCTACAGTTCATTTTCTCTTGATAAAAATGTTCATTTTCACATATTTACTTTTAAGAACTTGTTACATCTTATATTTGAATTAAATATATTAGTTTCCTTTCAATCTCCAATAGCCATATTATGAAGTTAATGCTATTTTTTGCTTTCTTTTCATTTTTAGACATTTCATTCATTCATTCATTTCTCATTTAAAAAATATACCGTGTGACAGGAACTGTTTAGGTACTGGGGATAGAGATGAATAAAATAAAATTATTGCCCTCAAATAGTTTATAGTGTGAATGCAATGAGGTAAATGGGAATGGAGTGCCGAGAAGGGGAAACAAAGTTTTCTTGGGAGAATTGGGGATACTATGTGGAAGGCCCTTGCCGAGTGGGCATTTATTAGAGGAGGAAGCAGGTGGGGGATGGAATTTTCGGTGTCTGGTTAGGATCTGTGGGATTGACAGGGATGCTGTTAGCACATTATTTCTTAGGCTGCTTCACTCTCTAAGTGAAAATCCCAGTGTTTTGCCTTCCACTGTTCTACCATCTAGAGGGAAGGATAAAGGCTGGTGTGAGTTTGGAAGGCAATTGCACTATCTTAGCCTCAGGACAAGTGCTATGATATCTGGCAGGGTCAGAGAAGTCAAGAAGACTTTGTCAACTCAAGTCTCACTGTTCTGGGGCAACTTCATTGAGGACCATTGGTCTTCATTCAGTATCATCTATCTCACTTCCATTTTTTTTTTGGAGACATGTTCTTACTTTGTCACCCAGGCTGAAGTGCAGTGGCACAGTCATAACTCACTGCAGCTTCAAACTCCTAGTCTGAAGAGATTCTCCCACCTCAGCCTCCTGAGTAGCTGAGACTACAGGCACACACCACCACACCTGGCTAATGTTATTTATCTATTTTTTATAGAGACAGGGTCTCACTATGTTGCACAGGCTTGTCTTGAACTCCTGAGCTCAAAAGATTCTCCTGCCTTGGCTTCCCAAAGCGTTGGAATTACAGACATGAGCCACTGCACCCAGCCTCACTTATTTTTTAAACTAGATAGACCTAAATAACATGATTTATTATGATTTGTCTACCATGAAGAGGATTTGAAGCTAACTATGACAGAGATACAGTGAAAACTCAGAGAATTTGTGCTCAATAAGTAGTAGAAGTCAGAGGCAGGAAGACATGAAGTACTTGATTGTCAAGGGTGATTGTGAGGACTTTATAGGTGGGCACATAATTTTTTTAAATATTGAAGAAGTCTGCAGCCCCACAGTCCAAAGCAATAAAAATCGATGTTGGTATATTATAGAAAAGTGGAGATTTTGTAGAGAAAGCCAACTTGGGGCTTTGATGTAATTAGAGCAGATGAATTAGGCAGGTGAGAAGGAGAAATTGAACAAGTTTCTTTGTCCTTTATATTCTAATACTAATAGTCTTTTGGGGGTAGTAGCTCTATAATTTCCTAGTGTTTGACATTGAGCAAAGGATGTTAGCATGTTTTAGCATACAAGTCCACCACAATATTTGCAATATTACCTGATTGAATGCAGATGTCTTTTAATTTGATCTTGTTTATGTTGAACTATGTCATATACCAGAAGTTCCTAAGTGAGCCTCTGCCTTGATTTAGAAAGTCTGCCAATTTTGAAAAATCTATCTTTAGTTACTGATTTATCTTACAGTCTGGTTGAAACTGAAAAGAATCTTGAAGAAAGCAAGAACAGATCGGCCATATCCCTTTTGGCTGCAGAGGAGGAAATAAATCAGCTGAAAAAGCAGTAAGAAAAAAATTACAGGATTATTGCAGCCTAAATCATTGAATTTAGCTTTTTTGGTGCTCCATTACAACATGAAAGAATCTGTTCACTATCAGAGAGAAAATGCAGAAATATTTTTATTAATTATATATATATATATATTTACTACAAAGATATTACTTATCTACTATAGAAAACTTCCAAAGTACAACGTAGTATAAAGGCATATAAAAACCCTTTCATAATTGCAGAGCCAGTGACTGTTACCATTTTACATTCTTTCCAATTAATATATTAAAAATAGAGTGGAGACTACAGAATAAAATGTATAAGTATACAATTTTGGATCCTAACTTTTCACCTGACATTGTTTTCTCTATCACTAAGAAAAAATACTGCAGAAGTTAGTTTTAAATAGGTTCATTATGTTCCATCATTTGGGGATTTCCCTCATATTGAATATTTACTTGTATACTAATTTTCAACATGGGAAATAATATTGGGATAATTTTTGTGGAAAAATATCAGTTGAACTGTCAGATTATTCCTTAAAGATAAACTTCTAGAAGGGGAAAATAAACATTGATCTTTTAAAGTTATACCTTCCTGAGGGGAACATCACACTCTGGGGACTGTTGTGGGGTAGGGGGAGGGGGGAGGGATAGCATTAGGAGATATACCTAATGCTAAATGACGAGTTAATGGGTGCAGCACACCAACATGGCACATGTATACATATGTAACTAACCTGCACATTGTGCATATGTACCCTAAAACTTAAAGTATAATAATAATAAAATAAAAAAAGAGTGAATTCACATTCTCAAATATGTATAAAACATTCATAAAAACTGACCATATATTAGCCTGCAAAGGCAAACTTAACAAATTTCATAAAGATAAATAAAAACAGCAATCTCATAAAAAAATAAGGTTATACCTTCCTGGATCTTAATTTTGATCTCCCCCTCCCAAAAGAGTAAGTGGGGGGGGGGGTGTTTTACACACACACACACATACACACCCCTTTTGATTATCTTCGCATGTGTTCCAATGGTTCTGATTTGGTCAGGAACACCCACAAATCTTAACTAGGAACACTGTTCTATTTTCTACTTCTGTCTTCCCCTTCCTCATCATTTTAATCTCTAATTTCCTATTTGTTATACCTTCTCAAATCCATCAATCATATTACTCATCAATTACCTATAGCACCAATTCTGTTCTTTACTGTTTGTAGTGCAGCTTTTCATTCTATTATATCTTTAGCTTCTTTGCATCCTTCTTAATCTTACTAACTTTCTTATCTTCTTAATCTTACCTTTTCATTTTACACCCTTGTCATTTTCATCGTAGCATCTTCTCTTCTCCTGGCTTTTGCTCTTGTTTTATGGTGGCCATGCCACTTTGTATCTTGATAAGGATGCCAATTTTATTTCTAAAGATTTTTTTGTTTGCTACATTATTTTCATAGGTTCACACTTCTAGCTAGTTTTGTGGATGTTATTCAATTTCCATTGTAGTTTTCTCTCATATTCCAACTGTTCAGAGAATCAAAGATTCTAATTAATATTAAATATTCCAATTAATATGTTAAAAATAGAGTTGAGACTATTCAGAGAATCAAAGAACTAATGAGGGTAGGAGATTGTATTTTAGACCAGCTGCCTGAATAGCTTTTGGAGGTCAAATAAGCATGCAGTTAAGATCTGTCCAACATGGGACAGTATGACTATGGGTCCAGTGTTTTTGCTAGAGGATCTGCATGAGTGTCCTTTCTTTAGGAACTTTTCCCCATGCAAGCTGCAGACATGGAGTGGCACCCTGGCCCTGGCAGTTCTGCTCCTTGCTAATTTGTTCATTCATGTGTATTTCCATCAGAGTTTCCCAATGCAATAATGGCAGGCTGAGTAGCCTCTGTTGTTAAGCATGCCAATTGCTGCTTATTACCTTTCCTTCCTTCCTTCACTCCCTCCCCTCTCCTCTCTTCCCTTCCTCTGCCCTCTCTCTTTGCTGTTCAGGCTTAAATCTCTTCAAGCTCAGGAGGATGCCCGCCACAGAAACACAGATCAGAGGAGCTCAGAGAATAGGCGGTCAGAGCCTTGGAGCTTGGAGGAGCGGAAGCGTGAGCAGTGGAACTCACTCAAGCAGAATGCAGACCAGCAGGACACAGAAGCCATGTCCGATTATAAGAAACAGCTCCGAAACCTGAAGGAGGAGATAGCTGTTCTGTCTGCTGAGAAAAGTGCACTCCAAGGAAGGTCAGACAAACTCTCAAAGATCTTCTCATTTAGGCTCTTTTTGCTGAGTTAAGGGATCGGGGAGGAGGAAATAAGTAAAATGATAAAATGATACCCTGAACCAAAACCTCAGCAATCTGCCAAGCTTTGAATTGTAAAGGGATTGTTTTCTTAACTGCACCCCTTCCAGAGAGAGAAAATACCTCCTGAGTTGCCAGCACTTGGACACTAATTAACTTTGGGCTGAGAGATATGGAGAAGGAAAGTTCTTTTTTTTTTCTTTTTGAGACAGAGTCCCGCTCTGTCACCCAGGCTGGAGTGCAATGGCATGATCTCGGCTCACTGCAACCTCTGCCTCTTGGGTTCAAGTGATTCTCCTGCCTCAGCCTCCCGACTAGCTGGGATTATAGGCATACACCACCATGCTCGGTTAATTTTGTTTTTACTTTTAGTAGAGATGCGGGTTCACCATGTTGGCCAGGCTGGTCTCGAACTCTTGACCTCAGGTGATCTGCCTGCCTCCACCTCCCAAAGTGCTGGGATTACAGGCATGAGCCACCACGCCCGGCTATAAGGAAAGTTCTTTGGCTTGAAACCAGATTTGTGCAGGCCTATGGTGCAAGAGGTGGTACCCTCATGGAAAAAATGTTCTGTAATATGAGGGGTCATTTTCTCTGATGCCTGGGAGTCCTCTCTCCAGGGATACTGTCCATTTCACTGCAGGGTATTTCCCTTTTATATCTGACTTTGATGGCATGTGTAGGTGAAGTGTTCTTGTGAAATCCCTTTCTACTTATGGACAGATTTTAAGACAGGTCATCCAGACAGTGTTAAGTAAGGACAAAGTAGGTGTTTCTCTGGAGTCTCTGCATTTCCCTTATTCTTTTTAACAACCCCCCTCAAGCCCCTAATGTGTTCTGCTCCAGGCTATGAGAGCCCCCATTCCCATTCTCTAAATGTCACCACAGTCTTTAATTTTGGGGAATCATTCTGTCAGTGTTGTGTTTGTGCCAACTTGTATTGGCTTCCAATAACCTATTCTGTGCCTGTTTGACATGGTGGTAGTATTTACACCATGGGAATTGGAAAACACCATAAGTAAGTCTTGCCTTACCCAACCCAACCTCCCTGACTGTTGTACTCAGTTTTGCAATACCTTTTGCCAGGTAGTTTCTTCTGTAAAACCTCCCTTTATGGAGACCCGTTTACTTCAGGCTAGCTAGTCTGATAATTTACTTCGTACTTGAGGGCAATATAACTTTTTACTGATACAGTAGTTTACAATATACCCAGTACTTCCACATGTATTTGCTCATCTGACCTTCCAATCCCCACCTCCACCCTAAAATAGGGCAAAAGTTATGTGTGTGAAAACTGGGAATTCCAGCTACTTGGGAGGTTGTGGTGGGGAAGATTGCTTGAGCCCAGGAGTTCTAGACAAGCCTGAGCAACATGGCAAGAACTCATCTCTAAAAAAAGTTAAAAAAATGAATAAATTAGCTGGGTATGCCTGTGGTCCTAGATCCTCTGGAGGCTGAGGCAGGAGGAACTCTTTAGCCCAGGTGTTTGAAGCTGCAGTGAGCTATGATTGAGCCAAGGGATTTTTGGAAACCAGTCAGTAAAGGTTCTGGCCCAGTTTTTGTTACTTTGGGAGAGTGTGTTTAGCCATTTGGCTTGTTTGAAAATTTCTTGGACATGAGTTTCCACTTTTCCAGACACATTAATGTAGATCAACAGGTTTTACTGATGACAGCAACTTGTTCAGCTAGGAGATAATCTAGAGCTCGTCTATTTCAAAAACCATTCCTGCTAGTGAGCCTAAAGACTTTTCTAGCAACGATAGACTTGCACCAGTATTTGCTAAGGCCAGTATTTGCCAGTATTTCAAGGGAGGTGGTTAAGTTCCCGTAGTGATTTCATGGTAAGTAAAACCTCCCCAAGGGGCAAGAGTTGCGATAGTTCCCACAACTCTGGCCACAATAAATCCTAGGGTCCTTTTTCTTCTAGAATGGGATTCTAGATTGGAAATTATGTTCAGGACAGTGATTTGGGTGGGAGCTATTGTACCCGGAGTACAAACATCATAATGAAGAGAATTATGAAGATAGAATAAAGCCAAAGCTTTAAAGGAGTTTAAATAATTTTTAGCAGTGCCACAAAGCCATAAGAGCCCAGGAGTGGCAGCCAGGTAATATGGTGTTGATTGGTTTGATTAAAATGTTGGAAACAAAGGAAAGGGGCCTCATGACAGTTTTTGAGAGGCCCCATATGAGAGGAAAAGTCATGGTAATGTCCCAGCTGGTTGGGTGAGTGGGGGGCGCAGCGGTGGTGTTCAAAACCAGGGAAGCATATGTGCAATGGATAGGATATAAGTGGCATGATGGTTTTTTCCGACATTGGTTATATCATTCTAGTAACATACATGAGTGGTATTAGGAGTGCAAGGGGTGGTGTATACTGGAGGCCTTACTATACTGGTTTGTCTGAAAGGCTTAAAAATGGGCAGTGATTAGACAGATTCAGAGTTTTGTTGTAAGAGCCTCAAATGGGTTAATGTTACCCACAGGAGTACCATTATAACAGGGTGTACATCCTAAAGTAACATTACAAATTAAAGAAGTTCCAATGATATTATAAGTATGAATGGTGGGGGGAGTACTAAGATTACACGAAGGTGGAGATATTTCCCATTTTACCAGCATGGAGAGAAATGGTTGGGGTAGGAAGGTGTGATAAGAAGACTTGCTCAGCCGCAATTAGATTTACCCAAGGCTCATCCATAGAAAAGGAAAAGACAGGAGCCTGGAAGGACTCAAGGCCCCAGCAGTCATCTAGAGGATGACTTTGAGAGGCTTGGTTATAATCCAGGAATAAAGTTAGAGTTGCATGTCCTTCCCCTTGTCCTTGTTCTGCAGAACCCCCTTGTCAGGTATGTTGGTGAGGTTGTGGCTGTGATGGCTTAGGAGAAAGAAGTGCCCCTCTGTCACAAGGGAGGGAGGGGCACTCATTTTTCTGATGATGCTCTTGTTTGCAATGAGAACAGGGTCCTGGGGGTGGCTTGTAATCTGGAGGTTTTGGACATTTTCTTCTCTAGTGTCCTGGATTTCTGCAGTGATGACAGGCCCGTGTTCTGTTAGTGTTATGGGGACGAGCCTTGGGGTTATTGGCTAATGAAAAAGAATGTGCCAATGCTGTCACCGTGTAATTAGTGTGGTGCTGGCATTTTTCCTCCTCCAATGGAACTGTTTTTGTTTTGGATATTTCCTCCTGATTATTGAAAATCTTAAAGCCTACATTTAATAAAGTAAGAAAGGGAGTTTGTGGGCCATGCTCTAATTTTTGGAGTTTTTGTCTGATGTCTGGGGAAGTCTGACTTATAAAATGTATGGCCAGAATTGATAGGCTGTTAGGGATTTGGGGGTCAAAACTTGTGTATTTATGCACATCCTCCACCAGTGTAGCCTGGAAAAGGATGAGGCTCTCAGATGGCTCCTGAGTGATTTCTTGTAATTTAGAAAAATTAACAGGTTTTATTACTGCCTTTTTCATTTCTTCCAACAAAAAAGAGATCATATAATGTCATCTGCCCCTGCCTCTCTTTGGGCCGGCATCAGCGGCCCGGTATTGCCAATTGGGTTCTGGGTCAGGGACAGCTTCTGCCCCGGCTTTATCATTGTTAGGATTATGGACATGAGCTTCATCTGCCCAAGCTTGACCATATGCGTGACCTTTCTTCATGGGAACAACAAGTAGTTAATACCACAAATATATCTTGCTAGATTCAATCAAAGGCAATAGTTGAAGCCTAAAATTCTTGAATGAACTTAGAGGGATCCAGGCTAAATGAACCCAAACTTGGATTAAATTTGTGAAAAATCAGACATTAGAAAAGGGACATGAACTTGGATTGCTCCTAAATCTCCATTAGCTACCTCACAGAGAGGCAAAACATTTTGGGATTTTCCGAGGACTCTGTACTAGTGGTATATGTAACTCCTGTGTGAGTATCTGACAGGGATAAAGTATATGGACATGGGGATGTTTGATTAGGGGATGGAGCAGATGGGGAGAGCGTAGGTAAAGCAGGAGCAGGCTGAGGACAGAGTGATAGGCAAAAGGGTCATCTAAGACACCAGACTTGAGGAGGTAGGAAGTTTCTTGGAAGGATACATGAAAATTTTTATGTAATTTTGAGTTTTGGGATAAAGCCAAAAAGACCTGAACATATGGGATAAAGACAAAAAGACCAGAACATATCCTTTTTGAGGGTCTGGTAAAATGCATCTACTTGTAAAATAATATTGTGATGCAAAGTTCCATTAATAGGCCAATTTGATGTATTAGGGATTACAAAAGAAAATTACATGCTTCTTTTTGAGCGTTTATGGGTCAAAATCGGACTGATTTTTAAGAACGCATGCATTCTGGAGATGTATAGAAATTCTAGTTGCTTATAAATTTTTGGGACAGAAGTCTGGTACCAGATGCTGGAGTCAGATAATAGGGAAGTCTAATCACTTCTGAATTCCTCAGATAAGGAGTTTTGCCTCCGGATGGTCGGATTCATTGGCCACCAGATGATCTTTGCTTTACTTAAGAAGCAAATCAAAGGATTTCCCTGGCTGATTCTCGCTCACCAACAGGTCCTCCAGGAGCCGGTCTCCCAGCCCTGCCCCTCGCAGCCGTAGCTGCAGCCGCAGCAGATCTGCCAGCCCCTCCACCGCTGTCAAGGTCAGGAGACCGTCCCCAAACCGCTCCAAGCTGTCCAATGTGGCGCGCAAGGCTGCCCTCTTGTCCCGGTTCAGCGATTCCTATTCCCAGGCCCGCCTGGACGCGCAGTGCCTGCTGCGGCGCTGCATCGACAAGGCTGAGACCGTTCAGCGGATCATCTACATCGCCACAGTGGTATGTGACGCCTGCGGGACTCCCGGCTCCTTAGGGCAGCCGGGAGACAAGTTCTGTAACGTGAATGGAACAACTTACAAAGACTAGTGGATCCTGAGGTCACTGAAGTGGGGGAGATTCCAGTCTCCCCATCTGTCTCCTTCCTTCTCTTTCTTCCTCCTTCCCTTTCTTCCTCCTTTCCTATTTCCTTCCTTCCTTCCTTGTTCCCTCCATCCCTCCCTCCCTCCCTCCTTTCTTTCCTTCCTCTTTGTTTCTTCCCGTCTCTCTCCCTCTCTCCTTCCTTCCCTCCCTCCCTTCCTTTCTCTTTCCCTCCCTCTCTCCATCTCTTCCTCCTTCTTTCCTTCCTTTCTCCCTTCTTCCTCCATTGTTTCCTTCCTCTCTCTCCTTCCTTCCTTCCTTCCCTTTCATTACAAATATTTGGGGGATGAATCATCTTCACAATCGATAACTATTCATATATATATGAATAGTTATATAATATTTATTTATTTAGTTGGTTATATTGACCAGGCATTTGTTTAAGAAGTATCCGTAAACGCAGGACTATCTCAAATGGGTTTATACAAAGTAGATTTGCACTGTACCTTTTGTCTAATATGAGCATATGCACACACAGTGGATATATTATTGCTAATGGCTGTCATTTGGTTTACTTTAGTTCTTAAACAAATGAGAAGGCTGTGATTGTATTAATGCTTCTGTTTGTTTAATTAAGAGTAGTTATTAAAACTGCTTACATATCAGCTATTTGAGCATGACAAATTTTAAAAGTGCACATATGTATCCTTAATTTCCAAAACAAATATGTTTGTTCTATGGGTTAGTGTCATACTAAGATACTGAGAGTTCATGAGGAGAATTGTTAAATATTAAGAAACAAAACAAAACATTGGTATGAGAGCAGAATTATCAGAAATACTGAACTTTATCCTGTATTTATTCATTTAAATCAGGGTTAGCAAACCATGATCTATGGACCTTATCTGGACCTGGCTCATATTTCTAAGAGAAATACTACTGTCTGAAAGCTAAGAATGTAAGAATGTTTTTAGATTTTTAAAGGGTTGTAAAAAAAAAAAAAGACAGAAACTGTATGTAGCTCAACATGCATACAATATTTGCTGTCTGGCTCCGTATTGAAAAACGTTTGCCATCCCCTGGTTTATATAATTAAGAACCACTTACTGAGTTAGTTAAAGCTCTGTCAATGTACAGACCACATCTTCCTTGCATAACGGAGTTTTCCCAATGCTTACCACACCATAAGCATTTAATAAATATTTGTTGAATTAACATATGCCAGGACACATGTCTGAGTCTGGATATGTGTTTATAACATAAACACTAGACTGATAATGTTCTCTTATTTCTTGACCAGTAATGTGATATTGCTATGGGCTTATAGCAGGGGATTTATTTCCTTCAATTTCTGCACTGTCCTGCTTCCTGCACTCAGAATTTCTAGAATAATAGTCAACTGTCTTGATGTTAGTGAGCATGGATTATTATATGTTTATGTACTTTTCAAAGTTAGAGATGTATTTTCTTCCAGACTAAAAATGTTTTTGATCAACTGTGTTTAGTTATCAGAAGACCAATATGATGTTGAAGCTCGGATTCTTTCTAATTCCTTGTTTTGGATCTCTTCACCTACCTCTTTTCACCAAATAAATTTGCTGCATTTTTATGTGCAGGAGGCATTCCATGTAGCAAAAATGGCATTCAGACACTTCAAGATCCATGTGAGAAAATCGTTGACACCATCTTATGTGGGGTCGAATGACTTTGAGAATGCTGTCTTGGATTATGTCATTTGTCATCTTGATCTATATGATTCTCAAAGCAGTGTCAATGTAAGTGTTGAGTCTTTTATTAGGACTGGTTTGCTGCTGCTGCTGCAGTTTATATTGAGTACTAATAACTCAGAAATCCATCCAGTATTTAGTATTAATTCTATGTAATGAAAAAGAAGAAAGGAACAGCATTCAATTTACTTGGTAGCACCTGCCATTATTGACTGTTTCTTCCTTAAACATATTATAGGGAAAAAATGTCTGAGTTTCTTTAGATAGGCTGTTATGATCAGGAGATGGAATATCATAGTTCTTAAGAGCAAGGATTTGGGGAAAAGTATGTATGGATTTGCTTCCTGACTCTGACACTTACTAGCTGTGTGATCTTACACATTTACTTAATCTCTGTATGCTTTAGTTTTCTAATCCTTAAGTGGGAGTAACACTGTTCATTACTCCATAGAGTCATTGAGAGCATTAAATGAAAGAAAGTAGGCAATTTGCTTAGCACAAGACATGGCACATAGTTAACACTCAATAAAAGCAAACTATTAATAATGATTGTTATGGATTATGAACAATTCAGAGTTCTGTGTTGGCACATCATACCCTTGCTCAGAATAGAAAAATAAGGATATGATAAATAAAAGCCACAGAAGGTTTTTTTCCTTGCTTTTTTAGGACTCTCTTGGCTTTTACTGTGTCATTTCTACTCTGTGTCCTCTTTCCTTCTTCCCTGTGAATGGGTGGCAACATCTTTCTCCTTTTAGCACATTCACTGTTTTTCTGCTTTAACTTGCTTTGGCTCACATTCTCTTTTCCCACCTCCCATCAATCCTAATATTCTTAGGATGTCAGAGTGTTTTTGTCACAGGCTGGTAACAAAGTGATGCCATCTTTTGTTTTTCAGGATGTGATCCGAGCCATGAATGTCAATCCCAAGATTTCATTCCCTCCTGTCGTTGACTTTTGCCTTCTCAGTGACTTCATCCAGGAGATATGTTGCATTGCCTTTGCAATGCAGGCCTTAGAACCACCCCTAGATATTGCATATGGAGCAGATGGAGAAGTTTTTAATGATTGCAAGTAAGAGACACAGGAGCAGAAGCTAAGGGATTTATCATGAATACATTGTCTTGTCTGTTTCCTGAAAACAATTTAAGGAAAAGAACTCTGGGTGGAGAAATTAACAGACACTACCTGATTTTCAGGCCCTACCATATACTTCTCTGTACTCCAGGGCAGGACCCACTCCTAGAGTTATTTTCCATTGAACATATTGGTCTTTGGGAGAGAACTAATGAGGACTTGGAGCCTATCTAGAACACTTTTTTAAAGATGCTCTATAAATACAAATGTGCATTACTTTCTATTGGTTTTTATTGCATTACTCAGGCCAGGCTTCTCAAAGTATGATGTGTGGATCACCTGCATCAGAATTACTCAAGGTACTTGTTAAAAATACACATTCCTGGATTACATTTTCTGACATTTTATGCAGTAAGTCTAAGACAGGGCTCAGGAATCTGCAATTTAACAAGCACCCAGGTGTTCCTTGTGCACACTAATGTTTGAAAATTAATGCTCTTGACTCTTTTGTCTAGGACCAATAGATTGCTACCAACTTTTACAGGATAAATATTCCCCTTATAAATTAAAATACATTAAACTAATTTAAAACATTGTATTGTGATTTCTTGAGATCACAGGATATAGCTGGAGATTATCTGGGAAGAAATCAAGCTAGTGGTTAAGAACACAAGCTAGTGGTTAAGAACCTAAGCAGCCTCAAGCTGCTTAGGTTCAAATTTCAGCTCCATCACCTATTAGCTGTATAATGTTAGGCATGCCACTTAATTTTTCTATTTCTTAGTTTCTTCTCTATCCAATGGGGGCAATAATAATGCCTACTTCCTAGGGTCGTAGAAGGTTAGTTGAGATAATTCAGACAAGGCACTTAGGATGCTGCCCAGCATGAAGTGGGTGCCCAGGAAATATTCACTCCGGGTTTTTGTTCAGGTTGTAAAGTTATGCCCAGCATTCCTGAAAGCTTGTTGATGAGGGAGGATGGATAGTACCACTCAGAATCATTCACTTTCTTTCACTTATGCAAATCACAACAATAATGAACTTTCCAATTGCCTTATAGCATGTAATATTTTCTTGCCATTGTCTTGCTTCTAGTTTCTCCAACATGGATCAACTCATGGAAGAGCTGATACTAGGACATTACACTGCAGTTGGGTCTTTTTGGTTCCACAGAGCACATTATCTTCATTTGTCTCCCTTTATTCCTTTCTCCTTTAGAGGATGGAGAGTGCCATTCAGAACCATTCACCATTTTAGTTTATGGAATCTGCACATGTCAAAGACTTCTGTAGGGCCTCTTGCTGACATTCCTTTAACCAGAGGGAATGTGCAGCTTCTAGGGCATTCTCTGGCCTGTGTGCCTGGACATCTGTGCAGCTGGAATTGGATTTTCTAACAATGATTGGATTTAGTTCTACTTCTAGAACTTCACAGAACAAGGCTAACCCTTTTTCACCCTGGCAGCCTTTTGTACATTTGAAAGCAATTACTCAAACCCTCCTCCTTCTGGCCTCAGGGCTTCAGGGTTTCTTCATATGAAGTAGATTTGGGACTTCTTGACAAATAGATTCATTGTCTTGTTCTTGATCTGTGCACCTTTTAAAGAAAGTGAACTGACTGGCCTAGAGGGACTAACACCCTTTTTATTCTTATTCTCCATTAATTCAGCTAACTTACAGTAGTTTTTCTTTCTTTTTTAGCCTTCTAACAGTGTTTATTCATTTTGAATACAACTGAAACCTGCTGTATTTTTCTTGTACTGTGACTAAACCATATATCTCCTCTATTTGTGAAAATGCTTTTTAGACTCAATTATAGGACCTCATATTTATTCACATTTTATTTTATCTTATTAAATTCAGCTTATTGTTCCAGCCTGTTGAGCTGTTTTTAATCAATGTCATCTTTTTTTTTTCCTAACCACCTGCATCTTTGAGCATGTTTTCTATATTTCATACAACTCATTCATAAACATGATGACTTATCATGGGATTGAGAGAGAGCCCTCAGCATCTTCCTTCAGGTTTCTGTCGATCCATTAATTACCCCTCTTTGGATATGATCATTTAATTAGTTTCCAATCCACCTACTTAAGTTAATCATCCTCCTATATTTCTTTTATTTTGTCCACAAAGACAGCATGAAAAATTCTATGGGAAGCCTGATGGGACTTCAGATGCTAGTCTATGTCTTTAGAATTCCCCTGAATTGCAACTCTTGTAATCCTGAGAAGAGAAGGAATACAATTAGTTTGACACGATTTGGTCTTAGCATATCCGTGCTGGGTCCCAGTTATCATTAGTTCCTATTCTAAGAGGCCACAAAGATTCTTAAATAACAGAATTTGACCTATATTTACTCAGATCTGAGCATAATACAAAATGAGAATTCACACTGATGTTTTCCCCTAGATATGCTCCATAATTGCTTAACTTCTCTTTCTTTTTTTGTATATTGAAAACAGATACCGCCGCAGCTACGACTCGGATTTCACTGCTCCCTTAGTCCTCTATCACGTGTGGCCTGCTCTCATGGAGAATGACTGTGTCATTATGAAGGGAGAAGCTGTCACCAGGAGAGGGGCTTTTGTACGGTGGCCTTGCATAGTGACAATTCATCCCAAGTGTTTGATTCACAAGTTCGAGAACATTTATAAACCCAGAGATTCTATAAAAGAAGTTTATAAAGAGTTGATAAGATTTCATACAAAGGAGAGGTCGGAGATGATCTCAAGAAGAACTGATTCTTTTCTTTGATTCTTCCATAATTCTGCATAATTTCCTGGCAGTAATTTCTTTACTTCTTGCTTTATTTAGGAGATGGAATCAGTCATATTTACCTCCTCCATCTTAGAATTATTATAATATTTTAAAAACAAAGCCCTTTGAAGTTATCTTGTAGGAGGATTGCCATAATCCTAAGCACTTAAAATCAATTAACTCTCAGGAAACGATTTGCCAAATTTTTACTGACGATTTTCTGTTTTGGGAAACTGCCAATGTGCCCTGTTTTTCTCTCCTTGGTATGATGTGTATGGAGGGGAGGGATGGAGACAAAGAGGGCAGAGGAGGTGGGAGAGAGGAACCAATCAGTTTGGGAAGGTCGCTTCCTATATCCATTGGTTATAGAATGTTTTGAACCTACAGAATGTTAAATACTTGAACAGCCTTTAAAAAAAAGGAGTCTTAGGTACCGTATGTGAGCATGTGGGTGTGTACGTGTTGTACTGGGGATTGGGTGATGGAACTGGTAGTGCTTGGATATTCTGCATAGTTTATGTTATGTAGTTTTTACCCCTGCCTTTCCTAGAAAGAGTTAAATGAAGCCCCTTAGTCCAGGATGATGCCCACAGCTGGCTGATCTCTGTTCCTGTTCTCCTTGAACTGAAGAATAGGGGAAGTGTTTTATGGCAGCTTTCACACATACAGTGGAGAAGGGGAATATTTTATTTTAAAAGAACTGAAGAAAAGGGTTTTTGTAGCTTAAAAATCCCATTACAGTGAATACTATCTTAAAATGTTTTGTTCCATAAATGTTGAGCCCTTAGCTGGGCATGGTGGCCCACACCTGTAATCCTAGCACTTTGGGAAGCCAAGGCAGGAGGATTGTTTGAGGAGTTTGAGATGAGCCTGGGCAACATAGCGAGACCTCATCTCTACAAAAAATAAACAAATTAGCTGGGCATCGTGGTGCATACCTGTAGTACCAGCTACTTGGGAGGCTGAGGAGGGAGGATTGCTTGAGCTGGAGAGGTTGAGGCTGTGTGAGCCATGATTGTGCCACTGCACTCCAGCCTGGATGACAGAGTAAGATCCTGTCTTTTTTTTTTTTTTTTTTGAGATGGAGTCTCGTTCTGTCTCCCAGCTGGAGTGCAGTGGTACGATCTCAGCTCACTGCAACCTCCGCCTCCCAGGTTCAAGCGATTCTCCTGCCTCAGCCTCCTAAGTAGCTGGGATTACAGGTGCATGCCACCATGCCCAGCTAATTTTCATATTTTTAGTAGAGACGGGGTTTCACCATGTTGGTCAGGCTGGTCTCAAACTCCTGACCTCATGATCCACCCACCTCAGCATCCCAAAGTGCTGCGATTACAGGCATGAACCACCACACCCGGCCTGAGATCCTGTCAAAAAAAAAAAAAAAGATATTGAGTCCATAGAAATAGAAATTGGGTTTTATTGATCCAACAGCTACACATGTTCTACAATAAAACATACTTCTTGCTCCTACAGCAGTCACACTCTGTTAAGAAGATCTTATCTGTTGCGCAGTTTGGAAAGGAGGGAGAAGAAATACCCATTATTCTTACGTTTTACATCAAATAGCCATTGCCTTTTAACTTCCTTCTTCTCTCCCATCAAGCATATCAGGAACATTTGTCCAAGCTTAAACCCTAAAACAAAATAATAGGAAGTTCTTCCTAAAAGAAAGAACTTGGAAAAGAAAGGGGTTGAAGTAGGGAAATTTCAAGGATTTTACCAGTAAAATCTCATTTTAGTGACTATAGCTTTCTTCTTATTCATTTAGTTAGAAAGCAGATAGGCAGTAGTGGTGTTTTATTCATTCATCCAATGATATTTATTTATTCAATAGTTATTTATGACCCAAACACTGTATTTATGTGCTAGAGATTTAGCAATAAATAAAACAGATACAAATCTCTACCCACATGGAGCTTACATTCTCCAGCACTAACAAACTCCTATGTAATTTCCAATAGCTTACTCATAAAAAACATTCTACTGGCATCAAACACCAGAATATCCCAAGGTTCATTGTAATGGGATTATATTTAAAAAGTACCTGAAGTTACTGCCAAATATTGGGCAGCTATAGGAGGTGAACGGAGTGTGGCTTGTGCAGATGATCAGTAATGGGCAAGTGTAATCACATAAGTAAAACTCTTATTCTGTGGGATATGCATGTTGTTTTGAGCCATGACAGTTTTCACAAACTCCTGACTATGTCTCTCTCTTTCTCTCTCTTTTTTAAGTGGAATTCGGTGCGATCTGTAAGTCGTTGTCGAAGCAGGAGTTTAAGTCCCATTTGCCCCCGTAGCCAAATTGGTTTAAACACGGTACATATCTATCTAATCATTTTTACACAAAATTCATCTATGGTTGGCTTTTTTTTTTTTTTGCTTCAGCAATACAAAAGAGGTGATTATAAGTCTACAGGTGGAAAGAGAACCTGTTGCAATAATGCTAGCTCCAAATTGATTTTTATACTACTGTGGGCTAAATAATTTATTATTCTAGAAAGGAGTAGAGTTTTATCTTTCTTTCTTAGTTCAAGGAATAGTAGATTTTATGTATTTCATAGTTTTATTTTTATCTTGGATGAAATGGGCTATTAGAGATCAGATAGTGGACTGAAGAGTGAATGGGATACCATAGTCAACTGATCTTGGCACAAGTCCCTGGTTCCTCTAGAAATTTGTGTATGAGTTTAGAGAAATTACTCAAATGGTCTGGATTTCAATACCTTATAAAGGGCATTGCAGGTATTAATGTGTCCTCAACTTCAAATTAGAAAAAATAAGGTTTTTTTGTGTGTATTAGTTTTTGGAAAGATTGCTAATACTTCTGTTAAAGAAAAAAATAACAGCAAAAACATCATGAAAACTATGAAGATAACATCCCTAAAAACATTATTATGGGCTGGGTAGGGTGGCTGACACCTGTAACTCTAGCACTTTCAGAGGCTGAGGTGGGAGGATTGCTTGAGCCCAGGAGTTTGAGACCAGCTATGGCAACATGGGGAAACATTGTCCCTATAAAACAAAACAAAAATCCTCCCCCAAATTATCTGGGTATAACAAAAAATTCCCCCCCAAATTAGCCAGGCATGGTGGCATGTGCCTGTAGTCCCAGCTACTTAGGAGGCTGAGCTGGGAGGATCATCTGAGCCCAGGGAGGTCGAGGCTGCAGTTAGCCGTGATTGTACCACACTGCACTCTAGCCTGGGTGAGAGAGTGAGATCCTGTCTTAAACAAAAGAAAACAAAACTCCCCAAAACATTAAAAAAATTATGATTCACCACTATTCATTTATTCAACACATATTTAGTCAGTGTCTTTTGAATACAGGGCTAGACCAAGACATGTGGACACCAAATAGGCTAACAATGTGCTGTTCCTCCAAATAATAATTATTTAAATATTTGTCCAACCTTGTTTAGAGAGAGTGGTAGAGAAGGAGAATCACATCCGGCAACCCTACACACTTTTCTGAAATTGCCTCTAGCATGCAGCTGTAGCCCCAAAGTTGCAAAACTTCCTCAGCAAAACAAAAACAAAACCAAAAACCCCTGCAGTTGATGAAACCCAGCTTCCTTACTGACTTTTTTCTTTTATACTTTAAGTTCTGGGTTACATGTGCAGAACATGCAGTTTTGTTACATAGGTATACACGTGCCCTGGTGGTTTGATGCACCCATCAACCAATCGCCTACATTAGGTATTTCCCCTAATGTTATCCCTCTCCTAGACCCTCACCCCCAACCCCTGACAGGCCCCAGTGTGTGATGTTCCCCTCCCTGTGTCCATGTGTTATCACTGTTCAACTCCCACTTATGAGTGAGAACATGTGGTGTTTGGTTTTCTGATCTTATGATAGTTTGCTGAGAATGATGGCTTCCAGCTTCATCAATGTCCCTGCAAAGGACATAAATTCATCCTTTTTTATGGCTGCATAGTATTCCATGGTGTATATGTGCCACATTTTCTTAATCCATTCTATCATTGATGGGCATTTGGGTTGGTTTCAAGTCTTTGCTTTTGTGAGTAGTGCTGCAATAAGCATATGTCTGCATGTGTCTTTATCGTAGAATGATTTATAATCATTTGGGTATATGCCCAGTAATGGCATTGCTGGGTCAAATGGTATTTCCAGTTCTAGATCCTTGAGGAATCACCACACTCTCTTTCACAATGGTTGAACTAATTTACACTCTCACCAACAGTGTAAAAGCATTCCTATTTTTCCACAACCTCTCCAGGATGTGTTGTTTCCTGACTTTTTAATGATTGCCATTCTAACTGGTGTGAGATGGTATCTCATTGTGGTTTTGATGTGCATTTCTCTAATGACCAGTGATGATGAGCATTTTTTTCATATGTCTGTTGGCTGCATAAATGTCTTCTTTGGAAAAGCGTCTGTTCATATCCTTTGCCCACTTTTTGATGGGGTTGTTTGTTTTTTTCTTGTAAATTTGTTTAAGTTCTTTGTAGATTGTGGATATTAGCCCTTTGTCAGATGGAGAGACTGCAAATATTTTCTCCCATTCTGTAGGTTGCCTGTTCATTCTAATGACAGTTTCTTTTGCTGTGCAAAAGCTCTTTAGTTTATTAGATCCCATTTGTCAATTTTGGCTTTTGTTACCATTGCTTTTGGTGTTTTAGGCGTGAAGTCTTTGCCCATGCCTATGTCCTGAATGGTATTGTCCAGGTTTTCTTCTAGGATTTTTATGGTCCTAGGTCTTACATTTAAGTCTTTGGTCCATCTTGAGTTGATTTTTGTAAAAGGTGTAAGGAAGGGGTCCAGTTTCAGTTTTCTGCATTATGGCTAGCCAGTTTTCACAACACCATTTATTAAATAGGAAATCTTTTTTCCCCTTTGCTTGTTTTTGTCAGATTTGTCAAAGATCAGATGGTTGTAGCTGTATGGTTTTATTTCTGAGGCCTCTGTTCTGTTCCATTGGTCTATATATCTGTTTTTGTACAAGTACCATGCTGTTTTGCTTACTCTAGCCTTGTAGTATAGTTTGAAGTCAGGTAGCGTGATGCCTCTAGCTTTGTTCTTCTTGCCCAGGATTGTCTTGGCTAGGAGGGCTCTTTTTTGGTTCCATATGAAATTTAAAGTGGTTTTTTCCAATTCTGTGAAGAAAGTCAGTGGTAGCTTGATGGAGATAGCATTGAATCTATAAATTACTTTGGACAGTATGGCCATTTTCACGATA
The DNA here is from genome assembly GCF_000001405.40 of Homo sapiens. NCBI lineage: Eukaryota > Metazoa > Chordata > Mammalia > Primates > Hominidae > Homo > Homo sapiens. The sequence continues at coordinate 52,087,882 of NC_000004.12, forward strand.
TTAACTCTTCCTATCCATGAACATGGAATATGTTTCCATTTATTTGTGTCTTCTCTGATTTCCTTGAGCAGTGGGTTTGTCGTTCTCCTTGAAGGGGTCCTTCACATTCCTTGTAAGTTGTATTCCTAGGTATTTTATTCTCTTAGTAGCAATTGTGAATGTGAGTTCACTCATGATTTGGCTCTCTGTTTGTCTGTTATTGGTGTATAGGAATGCTTGTGATTTTTGCATGTTGATTTTGTATCCTGAGACTTTGCTGAAGTTGCTTATTAGCTTAAGGAGGTTTTGGGCTGAGACGATGCGGTTTTCTAAATATACAATCATGTCATCTGCAAACAGAGACAATTTGACTTCCTCTCTTCCTATTTGAATCCCCTTTATTTTTTTCTCTTGCCTGATTGCCCTGGCCAGAACTTCCAATACTGTGTTGAATAGGAGTGGTGAGAGAAGGCATCCTTGTCTTGTGCCGGTTTTCAAAAGGAATGCTTCCAGTTTTTACCATTCAGCAAGTATGATATTGGCTGTGGATTTGTCATAAATAGCTCTTATTATTTTGAGATATGTTCCATTGATACTTAGTTTATTGAGAGTTTTTTAGCATGAAGGCGTGTGGAATTTTATTGAATTTATTGAATTTTTCTGCATCTATTAAGATAATCATGTGGTTTTTGTCATTGGTTCTGTTTATGTGATGGATTACGTTTATTGATTTGCATATATTGAACCAGCCTTGCATCCCAGGAATGAAGCCAACTTGTTCATAGTGGATAAGCTTTTTGATGTGCTGCTGGATTCAGTTTGCCAGTATTTTATTGAGGATTTTTGCATCGATGTTCATCAGGGATATTGGCCTGAAATTTTCTTTTTTTGTTGTGTCTCTGCCAGGTTTTGGTGTCAGGATGATGCTGGCCTCTTAAAATGAGTTAGGGAGGATTCCCTATTTTTCTATTGTTTGGAATAGTTTCAGAACGAATGGTACCATTTCCTCTTTGTACCTCTGGTAGAATTCAGCTGTGAATCCGTCTGGTCCTGGACTTTTTTTGGTTGGTAGGCTATTAATTACTGCCTCAGTTTCAGAACTTGTTATTGGTCTATTCAGGGATTCGACTTCTTCCTGGCTTAGACTTGGGAGGGTGTATGTGTCCAGGAATTTATCCATTTCTTCTAGATTTTCTAGTTTATTTGTGAAGAGGTGTTTATAGTATTCTCTGATGGTAGTTTGTATTTCTGTGGGATCAGTGATGATACCCCTCTTATCATTTTTTATTGTGTCTATTTGATTCTTCTCTCTTTTCTTCCTTATTAGTCTGGCTAGCAGTATATCTATTTTGCAGATCTTTTTTAAAAAAACCAGCTCCTGGATTCATTGATTTTTTGAAGTGTTGTTAATGTCTCTATCTCCTTCAGTTCTACTCTGATCTTAGTTATTTCATGCCTTCTGCTAGCTTTTGAATTTGTTTGCTGTTGCTTCTCTAGTTCTTTTAATTTTGATGTTAGGGTGTCAATTTTAGATCTTTCCTGCTTTGTCTTATGGGTATTTAATGCTATAAATTTATCTCTAAACACTGCTTTAAATGTGTCCCACAGATTCTGGTAAGTTGTCTTCGTTCTCATTGGTTTCAAAGAACATCTTTATTTCTGCCTTCATTTCGTTATTTACCCAGTAGTCATTCAGGAGCAGGTTGTTCAGTTTCTATGTATTTGTGTGCTTTTGAGTGAGTTTCTTAAACCTGAGTTCTAATTTGATTGCTCTGTGATCTGAGAGACTGTTTGTTATTATTTCCATACTTTTGCATTTGCTGAAGAGTGTTTTACTTCCAATTATGTGGTCAATTTTAGAATAAGTGCTATCTGGTGCCGAGAAGAATGTATATTCTGTTGATTTGGGGTGGAGAGTTTTGTAGAGGTCTATTAGGTCCACTTGGTCTAGACCTGAGTTCAAGTCCTGAATATCCTTGTTCATTTTCTGTCTCATTGATCTGTCTAATATTGACAGTGGGGTGTTAAAGTCTCTCACTATTATTGTGTGGGAGTATAAGTCTCTTTGTAGGTCTCTAAGAATTTGCTTTATGAATCTGGGTGCTTCTGTATTGGGTGCATATATATTTAGGATGGTTAGTTCTTGCTGCATTGTTCCCTTTACCATTATGTAATGCCCTTCTTTGCCTCTTTTGATCTTTGTTGGTTTAAAGTCTGTTTTATCAGAGATTAGGATTGCAACCCCTGCTTTTTTTTGCTTTCCATTTGCTTGGTAAATATTCTCCCATCCCTTTATTTTGAGCCTATGTGTGTCTTTGCACGTGAGATCAGTTTCCTGAATATAGCACACTGATGGGTCTTGACTCTTTATCCAGTTTGCCAGTCTGTGTCTTTTAATTGGGGCATTTAGTCCGTTTACATTTAAGGTTAATATTGTTATGTGTGTACTTGATCCTGTCATTATGATGCTAGCTGATTGTTTTGCCCATTAGTTAATGCAGTTCCTTCATAGTGTCAATGGCCTTTACATTTTGGTTTGTTTTTGCAGTGGCTGGTACCGGTTTTTCCTTTTCATGTTTAGTGCGTCTTTCAGGAGCTCTTGTAAGGCAGGTCTGGTGATGGCAAAATCCCTCAGCATTTGCTTGTCTGTAAAGGATTTTATTTCTCCTTTGCTTATGAAGCTTAGTTTGGCTGGATATGAAATTCTGGGTTAAAAATTCTTTTCTTTAATGAACGTTGAATATTGGCCCTCACTCTCTTCTGGCTTGTAGGTTTTCTGCAGACAGATTCACTCACTGTTAGTATGATGAGCTTCCCTTTGTGGTTAACCCAACCTTTCTCTTTGGCTGCCCTTGGCATTTTTTCTTTCATTTCAACCTTGGTGAATCTGACGATTATGTGTCTTGGGGTTGCTCTTCTTGAAGAGCATCTTTGTGGAGTTCTCTGTATTTCCTGAATTTGGATCTTGGCCTGTCTTGCTTGGTTGGGGAATATCTCCTGGATAATAACCTGAAGAGTGTTTTCCAGCTTGGTTCCATTCTCCCCATCACTTTCAAGTACATTTTCAGTCAAATGTAGATTTGGTCTTTTAACATAATCCCATATTTCTTGGAGGCTTTGTTTGTTCCTTTTTATTCTTTTTTCTCTAATCTTGTCTTCTCTCTTTATTTCATTAAGTTAATCTTCAATCACTGATATCCTTTCTTCTGCTTGATTGATTTGGCTATTGATACTTGTGTATTCCTCACGAAGTTCTTGTGCTGTGTTCAGCCCCATCAGGTCATTTATGTTCTTCTCTACATTGGTTATTCTAGTTAGCAATTCGACTAACCTTTTTTCAAGGTTCTTAGCTTCCTTGCAGTGGGTTAGAACATACTCCTTTAGCTTGGAGTTGTTTGTTATTACCATCGTTCTGAAGCCTACTTCTGTCAGTTCATCAAACTCATTCTCCATCCAGTTTTGTTCCCTTGCTGGCTATGAGTTGTGATCCTTTGGAGGAGGAAAGGTGTTCTGGTTTTTGGAATTTTCAGCCTTTTTGTGCTGGTTTTTCCCCATCTTTGTGGAATTATCTACCTTTGGTCTTTGATGTTGGTGACCTTTGGATGGGGTCTTTGAGTGGACATGCTAATCCTTTCTGTTTGTTTCTTTTCCTTTTAACAGTCAGGCCCCTCTGCTGTCAGCCTGCTGGAGTTTACTGAAAGTCCACTCCCAACCCTGTTTGCCTGGGTATCACCAGTGGAGGCTGCAGAGCAGCAAAGATTGCTGCCTGTTCTTTCCTCTGGAAGCTTTAACCCAGAGGGGCACCTGCCAGATGCCAGCCAGAGCGCTCCTGTATGAGGTGTCTGTTGGCCCCAGTTGGGAGGTGTCTCCCAGTCAGTATACACAGGAGTCAGGGATCCACTTGAGAAGGTAGACTGACCCTTAGCAGAGCTCGAATGCTGGGCTGGGAGGTTTGCTGCTCTCTTCAGAGCCATCAGGCTGGGACGTTTAAGTCTGCTATAAGCCCCTGACTGGGGCTGCTGCCTTTTTTACAGAGATGCCCTGTCCAAAGAGGAGCAATCTGCCAGTCTGGCCACAGCAGCCTTGCTGAGCTGCAGTGTGCTCCACCCAATTTGAACTTCCTAGCAGCTTTGTTTACACTGTGGCTGTAAAACCGCCTACTCAAGCCTCAGCAATGGTGGACACCCCTCCCCGACCAAGCTTGACCATCCCAGATAGATCTCAGATTTCTGCTGTGCTGGCAGTGAGAATTTCAAGCCAGTGGATCTTAGTTTCCTGGGCTCCGTGGGGATGGGACCCGCTGAGCCAGACCTCTTGGCTGCCTGGGTTCATTGCCCCCTTTCCAGGGAAGTGAACGGTTCTGTTTTGCTGGTGTTCCAGGCGCCACTGGGATATGGGAGAAAAAAAAAAAAGCCCCTGCAGCTAGTTTGATGTCTGCCCAATTGGCTGCCCAGTTTTGTGCTTGAAACCCAGGGCCCTGGTGAGGTAGTCACTGGAGGGAATCTCCTGGTTTGCAGGTTGCAAAGACCATGGGACAAGCGCAGCATCTGTGCCAGAGTTCCTCAGGCTCAGACCCTCACGGCTTCCCTTGGGTAGGGGGGAACATTCTCTGGCCCTTTGCACTTCCCAGGTGAGGTGATGCCCCACCATACATTGGCTTGCCCTCCATGGGCTACACCCTCTGTCCAACCAGTTCCAATGAGATGAACTGGGTTCCTCAGTTGGAAATGCAGAACTCACTTGCCTTCTGCGTTGATCTTGCTGGGGGCTGCAGACCAGTGCTGTTTCTATTCAGCCATCTTGAATCTACTCCCCCTTACGGACTTTAATGAGCATCTATTGTGACTCCTGCATGCTCCTTATCATACATTCTTTCTGGATCTGATGGATGCTTGATTTGGGAGGGACACAAAAATGACAAAAACATGTTATCTTCTCTGAATAGGTCTTAATATAGGAAGATCACGAGACCATGTCCTTTGCAGGAACATGGATGGAGCTGAAGGTCATTATCTTTAGCAAACTAACACAGGAACAGAAAACCAAATACCTTTCTCACTTATAAGTTGAAACTAAATGATGAGAACACATGGACACAAAGAGGGAACAGCAGACACTGGGGACCACCAGAGAGTGGATGGTGGGAGGAGGGAGAGGATCGGGAAAAATAACTAATTGGTACTAGGCTTAATACCCAGGTGATGAAAATCTGTCCAGAAATCCCCCATGACAAGGTTTTACCAATATAACAAACCTGCAGATGTACCCCTAAACTTAAAAAGAAAAATAAAATATAGGAAAGAGAAAGATTATTATGATTTAAACAGATTAGCTGAATGTGATACAGTCAACAAACCAATACATCTATAATATGATACAATATGATAGTCAATAAAAGAAGCAGAAAGGGCTAGAGTCATCAGATGAGATAGAGATTCCTCCCAGATTTGGTCATGAGGAAGGCATTCAATGGGGTGGTAGTATTTAATTTGGTGTTTTAGAATGGGTGGAATTTCAATGGGCTAGGAAATTGGGAAGGAATATTCAGGTGAAGAAAATGACCTAAAAAATGATAGGGAAATGGAAAAGTCATGCATCTGGCACAATCCTTTTGCTCTTAGAGATTTTCATATAGCATCATTATCTTTTTTCATGAATAAGTATTTATGGTAAGTAAAAGCAAAACAATAGTGCACTTAGTAGACTGGTAAATAAAAAGGAAACATTGGGAGCATGATACTGAGAGAACCAGAATTCCTCATTCTAAGAGGAAATGGCATATAAGAAGAAAATACTATTAGACAGTTATTGTGCAACAGCCATGGCAAATTGTAACTCCGGACTCCCATCAAAAGGCTTATTCATGGGCAATGTCCTCTGTGAGAATCCCCTATACCTTCTCTTTCTTTCTCATGTTGTGCTCAGAAAGAACACATTAATTTAAACTTTAGATGAGAATAAAATCTAATCTCAAAGGTATCACTGCAGTCAACTTTCTGTCTGTTTCCATCATCCTCTTGCCACAACAAAACTGGGTATACCTGCAAAATAAAATACAAATATTTTTGGTTAGTTGGGTTTATTTTTGCCTATGTGGGGGTCTTGATTCATCCAGAATGGATTCCATCTTTATCAGCATCTATTTATCTAGAGTGTTTGAAAGCTCAGAGCAAGGATGATGCTTGTAGCCAGTTACGCCTGACCGGCTATGTCACTGACTTGTGGTTCCGGTGCAGTACCTTCTACTTAGTGAAAGTAAAGGTGAGATTTGAAAGATGAAGATTTTCTGGTTGCCTGGTGACCCTTCTTAATAGAGCAGAGTTTATGACTTATAATTTTTATAAAGGATCTCCCAGATATTGTATCATCATTTTAGCTTTAATTTGTGAGTTTTAATAAATATTTTTATTTTCTGGAAAGCACTGAATTCAGTATGGCTGCTCTTAGGCTACTGAACCCAGCTTTTAACTAATAATATAATTTAAACCAATACTTCAGAAGTCTAAAAAGAATCACAATAGTCAACCTTAGGGTGAAAAATCATAGTGCTAAAGTGCCTCAGAGAAAGCTATTTGGTTGGTTTTAGGGAAAAAAAATATGTCAAAAGAATTCATCCTTTGAGCTCCGTCTACTATGTAATTCACATTATTCTTTTATATTTTCCAGATGTCTCGAAGTCGGAGTCCTTCTCCAATAAGATGTGGATTGCCAAGTAAGTGGGATTAGTTCAGATGGATCAAATTTTCTGCTTTTTAATACTCCTTCTAGTACTTAGCACTGAGCAGCAAAATGAATGCTTTGCTTCCTAGAGAGCATCTTTTTCTTACTCCTCACACCTTTCATGTCTGGGCCTCTGGCTGATGGTACCCAGGCAGGTCCCATGGGTCATGTAGAAGGAGCTTCCAACCAAGAGGCTTCATTGCCATAAACCTAGATTAACCGCCTCTTTCATTTAGGTGCTTCCAAAAGAAAATCGAAGAAAGTGACCATAATAATGAACTGTCTATTTTTCTCCCTAGGATTTTAAAAGCACCAGACCTGCTCCTTTGACCCAGTGCGTGGAAACAGCTGCTTTCTCCAGTGCCGCCATCTGTCTTCTGTGTCTGCCTCAGACCTCACTTAAGATAATGTCAAAAGGCAATTCTGTGTATCACCCCACACAGAGAGTTAAATGTTTTGGCTTGGCGCATTTGTAACTTTAGATATATTGCATTCTATTTTATTTTATAGATACTAATTCCATTAATTTCATAAAAATGATTGTATAGGCATTTAGGATCATATTCATTCGAAGCAAAGTCCGTTACAAAGGTTCAAGATTTCCATCTCAAAACACTACGCTCTTTTATGGGAACTGTGTGAACTGAAGTGGAAAGCATCTACCATGCTGAGGCTAAAAGAAAAGATGAATCATTTTAGTTTGCAGATGGATCGTAAATATAATTGTTGGTATCAGCTTTAGCTCAAAACCAATATTAGGTGTTTTAATTTCCTTTTAAGGTTTGGAAGACAGCCCTAATCTCAGGTTGGGGAGCTCATGTTAGTAGCAGTGACTTAAGGCTAAGTGTAGAAGATAATTTAAGATACATTTTCTTTATATATTAGCCAACAAATTATATTTATTGGTTGGCTTGCTTTTCCGTTCTGATTTTGAGAGTGCCCAGTTTGGTTTAGTTGACCAATGAATGTCAAAGCTACTTAGTTGAGAGAATTTCCTTGTTCATAAATGTAGAGCAGTGATTTGATTAGAAGCCAGCTTTGAGATAAATGTTAATTACCTCATGCATATCTCCTGGGAATATTTCAAACTGTTTTAATGCATGTGTTATATATAAAAGTTTCTTGGGACATGCTCTTCACCTGTTCTACCTAGTTATTTGCAAATTCAGACCTCCTATTGAACTCTGTCTGACCAAAACTACTTAAACTCAAGGCCCAAAACTAGGGGCACCATTTACTGATTTTAAATTGAGTATATATCCCTTGACTTCTTCACTGTCAAATACTTTTGAAACTTCACGTTCAAGATAAGAATGGAATGTTGCTTTCTTGCAATAAGTAATGTTCTTTCTGCCTTTTTTTCACTTTTAAGTCAGCCTTAAACACATGCCTCACAAACATCTACTTTCTCCACATACCTTTGAGAGAGACACTGAATTGGCCTCAGCTCAGTTTTGCATAAGCTTAGTGCCAGAACCAGCACCTGATGCTTTTCAGGTGAAAATAAAACAAACAGCTTCTCTAAAGCATCTTACCCCTGTGCTGGAGGTTTGAGGGACCTCTTCAGTGCCTGCCCCTTGAGTCTAATGGTCACCACCTCATTCTGAAGTATGAGTTGAATTTTTTGCCCTCTTTGCATATTTACATTAGTCATCACTTTGAAGCAATGCAGTGTGCTGGAAGGAGCACTATCTGCCTAGGTAACTGCTAGTCATGACTTGGTCATCAGCTTGCTTTGTGGCACTGAGCAAGTTACTTCACTTCTCTGAGCCTTGGTTTTATCATAGGGTGAGGAGGTTGGATACAATTAGTGCCCCTCTTAACCCTGCAGACTCAATGTTCCCTTTTATAACAAGTATTTTATTCTGAATATGAAATGAAAATTAAAGTTAATATAATCATCTATGTGCATGTATAATTTTAAGCAGTGAACATAGTACCCTAACTATAATATAAAGCAGAAAAAAAGGCAACTTTTAATAAAATAAAATGTATTTCAATAAAAAAGCTTGGGTATAACCACCCTAGAAGATAAAATTAAGTCATTAGATGGCTGAACCTGCATGTAGAGCCACCAGCTACAAATGAAAATCAATGTGTGTATTGGCAACAGAAAATCACGGTGTTGTCATTGGATGTGACTTTCTGAAGTGGTGGGCAATTCTTGTTAATGTTTTAAACAAAAAAAAAAAAACCTTACAGTCTTGCCCTGATTTACACAGCAGTCACATTCCTGGAAAATTCAAGTGTTTATTAAAACTATGCAACAGTTACTGTGTGTTATACGTTGAAAGGTCTTCACTAATATCTCACTAAGTAATGAGAATGCCTACATATCAGAATTTTTTTTTTCAGGAGCCAAGCACATATACTGATTTGGAAAAAGGCACAGGTAGCTCAGTTTATTTGCTTTCTACCCTGCCTGGCCACTTGCTGTTTCTTCAGTTTCTAATTTGAGCTGTAACTACACAAGGAAAGCTAAATAGTCTGGAAAATTTTTGGAAAGAATCCACAAAGCCAAAGGAGACTGGCCTATACTCATTTTATCTGGGGATGTACCTTACCCTTAGAGACTTTGAAAAATGTGAAGCTCTTATTTTGTAACCTGGGTAAATGTTAGTTTCTAGATTTTCGGCTTAACATCTAATAATAACATTTAAAAAGTGCTTTTGTAACTATTAGTTATTTGCAATAAAATGCTTTCCTTCTACAGTCCCAAGTTCAATGATGTCCTTTACCCATCTATAATCTCTGTATTAGTCCATTTTCACACTGCTATAAAGAACTACTTGAGACTGGGTAATTTATAACGAAAGAGGTTTTTTTAATTGACTCATAGTTCTGCATGGCTGGGAACCCTCAGGAAACTTACAGTCATGGCAGAAGGTAAAGGAGAAACAAATGCCTTCTTCACAAGTTGGCAGCAGAGAGAGCGCAAGGAGGGAACTGCCAAGCGCGTTTAAACCATCAGATCTTGTGAGAACTCACTATCACAAGAACAGCATGGGGGGAACTGCCCCCATGATCCAGTCACCTCCCACCAGGTCCCTCCCTCGACACATGGAGATTACAATTTGAGATCAGATTTGGATGGGGACACAGAACCAAACCATACCAATGTCTGTGGTCCAAACCAGGACCATAAATTCATTCAGAAATACTTACTGCACCCTGCGCTGAGGAAGACCATGGGATTGCTGCAATTCCATATGGTAGCCTTAATTGCTAGCTTTATTTTATTCACAGCTCATTGTCATGTTCAAGACACTCTCTCTGAGTAGTGCTTTACCATTTTGTGGAGCTTTCACTTACATTATTTCACTTACCATGGCAATCAAGGTGTGTCAACTTTATATGTAAGGAATCTGTTCATCCGATACACTATTCAGTCTTGTTCCAAGACTGACTTTTATTTCAGAATAAGATTCTGTCCTGTTCTTTTTGTTTCTTCATGACATACATTATCAGTTTTTCTGTTTATTGATTGTTCATTTATTCATTCATAATCTTATTGAATACCTCCTCTGTGCTACCCATAATACACACTTCTAGGGATATAGTGGTGGACAAGGCTCTGGTTTTTATGAGTTTTATGTCATGTTCAGTTGCATTCCTTGGTGATTTTTGTGTCGTAGAGAGCAGATATGAAGGAAGAAATCAATAAAATAAGAGTACAGCAAAATTAAAAGAGAAAATGTTATATATCAGTTGAAGGATTTAAATACATGAATTTATGGAGCAAATACCTGTACATAAAAAAAACTTTGAAAGGTAATAGTAGAAAAGTAGTATGGTGAAGTACAAAATAGAGTGTAACTCAATTATGTCAGCCACAGGTGAATTACTCAGTCCTTTAACAAAGATTTATTAAGCCTATAATCCTAGGATTATTAGTAATAAAATGAGTGTGGGGAGAAGGATGGGCTCATAAGATCAATTCTTGCACCTCCCATGACCATAGCTGGGTGCTCCACCTGCTGTATTCCTAAGTAAAGGCAATTTGCAGGCCATTCTAATTTCCTTTTAAGTACCCCACAAATCCTTCATGAGGTGGATTGCTGCCAATAGCATTCTATAACATTTGGGTTGAGTGGAAGATGTCTTAGTAGTATTGCTTTGAATAATTTCATACCTATAATTAAAGGCAAGAGGCTATGGAGCTTTTAAGAAACTAATGTTACACACCGCATGAGGTCATTGAAACATGAGCCCAGGAGCCCTATAGATAAGTGGCATTCAGTATATGCCACTTAAATACCAAAGCAATGAAGTGCATTGGTCTTACTTAATACAGTGTGGGCAGAGGCCTTAAAAATAAAAGAGGAACTAATTTTCTTATTTCAAAATGAAATGCAATGGGACAATTTTACTCTTAAAAAACTGCATACTGGGTGTCAGCATGAACATCATACTTTCTATAATATCATTGACAACTGCCTATCAACACCAAGCAGCTATCTCTATTCTTTGCTGGGTAAGCAACAAATGAATGTAATAAATGGTTATGTTACAGGTTTATTTCAATGTAGTTTAAGCCATAATTTTGGAGATACAGTGGAAATAAGTGTATTAAAATGTGAGATAAAATATGTCTTACAAAACTATTTAGTAATTGGACAACTGTCTGAAGACCTTGAGTGTCATTTGATGAATCAGACACTTCAACAATTGATTTCTGGGGTTGGGATGCTGAGGATTGAGCGTGACATTTTCCTCCTATTTATTTCTGTTTTCTTAGGTCAGGGAACACGTTTCAGAACCATGTCTTTAGAATAATAGACTTAGGATTGGGTCACAAATTTGAAGTTGGAATGGAAAAATGTTATTTGTTCATTCATCATTAATTCATTTAAGAAGCACTTGCTGATGCTTTGTTAAGTAGTGTTCCAGGCACTGCATTAGACCCTGAGGACACAGTGGTGAGCAAGACTTTCAGTTATGGAGAGAGTGCTCTCAGCACTCCTTGGCAGTGTGTACCTATGGGATAGATCTGTGATCTTTCTGAAAGATGGGGCAGTGGCTGTTAATGACATCTTGTTTGGGAGATAATAGTAAGTCCATGATGTTGATAGAGGGTTGAATCAATCTTTCCTGGCACTGTCACCTGGAAGCCCAGACTTAGTAATGTGTAATAACTCATTCAGGCTTCAAACAGGAGGTTTCCCTGCCCGGTGTAACATACAGTGAGAATGGATCTGAGAAAATCCAGATGCTGCCTGAGTAAAGTGCTGAAAATGCCAAACAGGGCCCAAAGGACCTTGCATGCACCCTTAGAAATAAGGCTTTAGAACCAGAGCAGACACAGAGGTTGGAGAATCTACTTTCCACAGAAGTACTTGTAGGAGCTCTCCCTAGGAAGACCTCCCCACTCCACACTTTATTAGCAAATTCCTGACATTTCACTTTTAGAATTTTACTCAGACTGAAGTTGAAGGATGTTAGAATGCAAATGCACATAATTCAGAGCAGTAACCCCATAGCATGAATGAGGTTTTAGATTCTTCCTGAAAGTCATATGGGTAGAGGGAGCAATGCAGACTCGTAGGGCCCTTAGTACATGATCAGGGTTGGCAGGTTTTGTAAGGAAGGCTTTTTTTTTTTTATCTGAGCTGGATAGTCAAGGGCAGGAAACCAGGTTTCGCCTATTCCACTGTTGTGTTTGGCATGAACACAGTCTTACTGGCCTGTGAGAGAGTTGTGGTTTTCTAAGGCAGCTTCACCTTAGAAATGGTTATCTTTGATCCAAGATCTATTTATGTCTATACTGTTCTATTTATGTCTAGACTGTTGCTTATGACACCTCCTTGCTGCAAATCATTGACTTGCTGTGATGTGACTAATTTATGTTTTTTCTTAGTTTGATTTGAAATTTCCTAACTGGAAAAAAAAAGTTTGTGGAGGAGGCAGGGAAGGAAAAATAAAAGAAAAACTTGCTAATTTTCTTTGATTGGAAAAATATATTTCTTCTAGATGTTCTAAGAATGATGGCATAATTTAGTACTTTTTATTGATAATTTGGCAGAAAGCTTAGGATGTTCATAGGTTTCCCAAAATATCTTCTGAAAGATAACTAATAACTGGTACTTAATCCAGCATTTACCATGTACCCGACATTGTGCCAAAACTTTACATTATTAAACCCATTTCACACAGGGAGAAGCTGAGGCTTAAGGTTATTATTAAGTAATCTGCCTCAGGTCACATAGCTAGTAAATGTTGGAGTGAAGGTTCAAACCCAGGTTTTCTGATATTCAACCCACCCTCTTGTCAATAACTCTATAGGATGTTAGTAAGATTTAGAGTGAAATGAGTCCTATGGTCAGACAGGCCTGGAAAACACTGAGGTAAGAGTGAGTTTAACAGGTCTTCTCCTAATCCTCTACTGTGCATGAGAATCTTTAAGAAGAAGAATGTAATATGCAGCATTCTCCAAACTGATTTCACCAAGGAACCCCTTTCTTCATGAAGCTCTTGCCACTGTACTGTGCCAGAAGATCTGTTTTAGAAAATGCTTCCTTGGGACCTGTTTCCTTCGAATTAAAGATGTTGCTGACCATTTGGAGTTATGTTTTATCACCAGATAAACAGTTTTCACCCAACAAATTATCTACTAAAGGCCAAAACCTTTTACAGAAATCTCTTCTTTATATCTATGTTTCCCTTTCGTCTATTCTATCTTTTCCTTTCATCTATTTTCTACACCCTTCTATTAACTGTATCATAAAATAAAATTCACTTGAGCCCTAATATTTATGTCAGTGTTGTTTTTCCTGTGTTTCTATTTTTCCTTAAGTCCCTTACCCTATTGTACCTTTTCATCTTCACTTCTATTTTTTCTCCCTGCTTCTCTTATAATTTCTTTCTTTCTCATGGTTTGAGTTTTCCTAATTAATCTCCCTGATGCAAATCCATTTATGCTTCTTAAATACAGGCACCCATAAGCCAGATGCAGAAAGACAAAAATATCACATGTTCTCACTCATGGGGGAGCTAAAAGTAGTTGATCTCATGGAGGTAGAAAGTAGAATGATAGTTACTAGTGGCTGGGATGGGTGTGTGTGTTTTGGGGGGATTGTGGGGAGATAAAGAGAGGTGAGTTAATCAGTACAAACATACATGCAGATAGAATAAGTTCTAATGTTCAGTAACACATTAGGGTGACTACAGTTAATAACAATATATATTTCAAAATAGCTAGAAGAGAGGGTTTGCAATGTTCCCAACACAACAAAATGATAAATGCTCGAGGTGATGGATATCCTAAATACCATGACTTGATTATTACACATTCTATGCATGTAACAAAATATGATATGTACCTCATAAATATGCAGAAATATTAGGCATCAAAAAATTTATGAAAAAATACAGACACCTAATCTTAAATGGAATTATGAGCCAATGAAAGTGACAAATACACATTATTCAAAATTAGGACACACTAAATAGCATTTCATGTGAAGATTCATTTATATCATAATTCATGAATGCATTTTATGAACATTTCAAATTATGTTTCACATTTAAAAAATATATGGGTTATTAAAAAGTGACAAGTTTTAAGATGAATTACACTTCCAATAAGTCTGAGCTTTGAATATACTTAGATTTTGAGTAACTTCAATGAAAATGTTGACTAGTATTTTCAAAGTTTGTTTGATGATGAAAATCACTTGGCTTGATTATTAGAGGTAAACTCTTGGATCCCACCTCAAGCTCCCTGGATCAAAGTCTCCAGGGACATCTGTATTTTCAACATCAGTAGCCAAGTGTGAAAAACACTAGTCTGGACCATCCTTAATGCCCGACAAGGAGAATATTGCAAAAATAAATTATTGCATATATGATGGGGCAGCATCATACATGCAATAGATGGAAATTTCTAAATGGAAAATGATGTCTCCGTTTAAAAGACTCTCAGAATGTTATTTGCTACAATCCAGAAATAGATAATTTACTGAAAATTCATATGTAAATAGCTAATTATGGGCTATGCAATTAAATTTTCAATAAAAGGAGAAGGATGAGAAAGTATAGTACTTCTGTCTTCCCTAGAGGTAAAAATTTGCTTATCTTGTGGTTTATATTTGGACAGCTTCTTTGTTGAACTGACAGAATATGTTTTCTTACTAAACTTATAAGTCATTTCCTTCCATCTTACAAGTCTGTGTTCACTATGTGTCATTGAGATTTGCAGTCATAGACTTAGAATAATGAGTCCCTATTGGTCATTGTTTGATTAGTCATGGTCATCTGCCAAATAGAGCTAGATGTCACCTGGATGATTCAGATTTGGGAACATCTTTATAGTTATTCATATGAGTCTCTAGAGAAAAATCTAAAATGGAGTGAAACTGACATTCAAATATTAGATCTCACAGGTGGCCTACCTCAACTAAAATTTTCGCAAACACTGAATAGAAAAATTTGGCTTTTTCTGTTTACTTGGCAAATGTTCCAAAGATAATACTTGAATTGAACTTGTTGCAATTTCCATTCATGAAAATTGAAGCATTTTTCTTCTTTTCAAGTCTGGGTATAATTTCTTATCATTACAGTATCTTAGTGTTGACAAGTACGTTCTGAAAATCTCCAGGAAAGGGCCAAAAGTAACTCCACTTGGAGTGTGCCAGCGTTTCAAATACATTGGCTAATAGATCTAAGAGATGCCTTGGTGGCAATGACAGATTTTCCTCTTTGTGTTTTCCTTGACTGAATTAAACTTTTCTTCATCAAATAGCCAAAGGTGATAATGTAAGATAAAATGACACTGATTACTGGAAACCAAAGTTGTACAATTTCCTGGGATGAGCTCTCCCTCTGTAACCAAACTTGATCGACAATTGGAGGAAATTCTAGGGACATAAATCAGTTCCCATCATTGATCCTATTAGGGTCTCTCTAGTTCACCTAGGCCTGGTGTTTCCCTGGGAAATGTATGGAGTTAGCCATGAGATGGCAATGTTGCTTAGGAAATGAGAGGATACCAGCAGTTAGTAATAAGATTCAAATTGGGAAACAAATAGCAACTCCTCAGATAAAATTTATAACTTAATTACTGGTCTTACTGCTCTCCATGAATTTGGATAATAAATTGATGGAGGGTAGCCAGGGATAAAATAAAAAGTGTGATAGAAAATTTGAAGTGTTAAATAACTATATATGTAATAAAGGATTTATGCATTTGATCCCATTAAGGCAATTAAAAAAAAAAGAGAGAAAAAAATAAAAATAAAAATAAAAAATAAAAAAATGTGAAAAAAAAAGAAAATGTGGAGTGTTAAATAACTGTATATGTAGTAAAGGATTTATGCATTTGTTCCCATTAAGGCTCAGGAGGCAACTTTTCTGCTAGAACATTTTTTTTTGCTACTTTAAAAAAATCCCCTTATGCAAACCAATACCATCATCTTGTCAACTTGGAGTTCTTATTGCAATTTGTTAACAAATGTTTTGGATGTAGGTCTTTGCTCTTAAACATGGAAAAAAGGAGAAAATAATGGTTTCTTTCATGATCCTCTATGATTTCCAAGATTTTCAAATGATTAATATTTTACATGACCCAAACTCAATTTCAGAAACTCTTAGGGTTATTTCAAGTAAGTGTTTTAGTTTTCCCCTAAAAGATGGAATAATATTGCTAAGCAACTCTCAAAGAAATTGTAGGAACTTGCCAGAGTGAAATTCCTAGAGTACTTGAAAGAGGCACAATTCTGTATGAAGGCAAAAAAAATATAGTTAATAATAATTTTTTTTTAAAAAAATCTCTGCAGAAAGAAATATTTCAACTCTGTGGGTTTTATTGAGAGTAGTGAGTGTGGTATCTACTTTATTATTTCTCTAGCCATGCTTTGAGGGCAGCAGATTGTGGATGCTCTGTGCAAAGTTCAGGACTCCAGGTAATGAAGTCTGCAAGGTATGGCTGAGCCAAAGGTACTGCGTTTTCACTGGGCTGGTTCCCCTCAGGTTTAGACCAACAGACCTTCCAGGACTGGCTTAAGGAGTGTGGGATTGAGTCCATTCTGCACGAACACACAGACGTGAGCACACACACACACACACACACACATTACCACAGATACTGTCAAACTGAAAAGGCCCAAGATGTGGCTGTGGGCAGTTTTACTTTGAATATGTAAAATATTCCAGCTAGAAAGCCTGTTTTTTTTTTTTTTTTTTGAGAGGGAGGGTTCAAAGAGAGAAGCTACTCACACCTTGAGTCTTAAAAGAAAAAAATCACTCACTCATGAAGTAAAATATCTTCCCCTTCTTAGAGTAGTGTCTGAGTTGAGTTGATGCCAACTTTAAAATAACCCTCAGGCCAGAAACTTCAGAAGAAGGACCCTGGAGATCTTATTTCTGTAGAGGGATGTAGGGCCTGTAGGGAGACTTGTGTCAGGAATAAAAGGGTATAGAAAAAAGACCAGAAATGACTCCCTGAGGTTGACCCTTGTTAAGGTGCCATCTTGCAGATATAGGGTGTTGATCTGTCTTCCTTACCTTCTCTCCCTTCTCCTTTCCTCCCTACTTGGATTTTGCCCTAACTGGGAAAAATCTCTCACTGCAACCAGACTTTCCTACCAGAGGTGGAAATTCTCTCTGAGCACTGGAAGGAAGCAGAAATTGATTTGGGTGGGCAAGAAAGAAGGCTGTAGATGAGTCAGTGTGAGGGGCGTATTTGAAGTGGAAAGAGACAGGGGAGAGAGAGAGATACTGGAGTAAATATAGGTACATTAGAAGGATGGCAGATAACTGGGTTATCCCATCCCCATTCTCCAGAATTGCTGAGCCCTGCATAGCTCTATTACTCAGGGAGAACCAACTCCTGACCCGCCGAGCCGCATGGTCAGGCTGTTTGTTCTGTGGAACTAGTGCCCAAGCCTTGGATTCAGGCCATTGAGGTGAGAACTTCTGCTCTGCCCATGGCTTCCTTTGTGAACTTATGTGAGTCACTTAACTTCCCAGAGACTCACTTTCTTGATGAACAAAATGGAACATCTGTGGGAGCTGAATTTGAAACAATACAGAAGATGTGTTAAATAAGCAGGCTGAGAACGCAAATTTCTATAGAACGTCAAAGAAGCAGCTATAAAGTGACAAGTTGTTTCTTGCTGGAGTTGCTGAGCATTTCCCTGCTCTGTGGACCTACCCTCCCCAAACCCAATCCCTTTCTCCCTTGTAGCCACTGCTCATTTCTTTGAGTTCCCTGGGCCTCCAGCCTTCAGTTCCTGGGTATGGACCATCATGGGCATTTCCAAGAATCCTGGGACTTTACCTGGGAGAAGCTGCCAGTGAAGGCAGGACACTATGTTAGCCAAGGAAAAACATGAAGAGTGTACAGGTTACCAGGGCAGGCCTGGTTCTCATACCAGCTGTGGTGAAAGCACATCGTTGCTGTTTCTTTTGAAAGTGTTAACATTTTTGAAAAGAACTAATTAAGAGCCATGCATAAGAGAAAGAAGTAAAATTATTTTAACAGGAAGGGGAGCAGATAGCTCTAAAAAACAGAGTACGCTGCTGTAATAATACTCTTTCTACTTTGAAATATTTCACATTATTATCAGAGACAAGCAAAAGTGTATGAAGTAAGGAAACTACCTCTAAAGCTTTTTTTCTCCTACAACATAAAGAATTCATGACCATTTAAGACAAAAATCCATGCACCAATTCATCCTGTAATGAGACTTCTCTGCAAGGCTCTCTCCTTCCTATATCTGTAGAAGTAACCAGAATAATTTATGGTCTGGTCTGGCCTGGAGCTCTGATGACAGGAAGAGAAGCTCCATTTCCTCTTTGTATGGCTAGTTCTTGCATCAAATGAAAGTGTTTCCTAGGAGAAGTGTTTTGTCTGGTCCTAACGGAATTCAAAAGCTAAAGGCATTATCTTTCCCACTCTGCAGATGCAAAAGCTTAACAAAATGAGAATGGTCACAGCTTCACCCCTCCTTTGCTATTAAAACATATGACAGCAAAGAGTCCCACACTAATTGTGTTTGGGGAAACTTTAGAAAAAATTTGCCTCAGTCATGTGCTATTTTAATACTTAGTTTGCTAAATCCCTTGCCTGACTGGACTCACTTTTAATAATTAAAAACTCAATTAACTCAAATATATAAGCACAGGCACTGTGCAAGCTCAGATTTCATTTGGAGCCCAAACTGGAGGAACAGCAGACAGTTTATGGGCTCTGCCTTTTTTTCAGCATGAACCTGCAGGGGCTTGTTACCCAGCCTCCGTCTCTCTGCCTGCCATATGCTTTCCTCACAGTGACTTTAATCAAGACCAGACTTAGCCTGATGTGAAATAAGATCTGAAGGCCCCGAGAAGTCATCCTAATGAAACTCGAGCCACTGGAGCACACAGCCCAGGAGAAGCTGATTTAGAAACATTTTAATTCCAGATTTCCAGCCCATCTTAAAGGGAACACAGCTCAAATTTTTGGACGCTAAAAAGTTGCATAAGATCTTCGGGCTTCTTGTGAACTGGAACCTGGCTACATAACCATTTCAGGAAGTCAGAAGACGTTTTGGAGGATCATAAGTTTGGGTTTGCAATCAATAGGTTGCAATGGGGTTTATGCATGCTTTTCCAGTAAATAGGTTTGCCCTGGAAAATGGTTTATGGAGACTTATCAATGTAGATATTATTCTGATTAAAATATGTAGTGAAATAGTCTTTAGTGTCAAGAACTTGGGATTTAAATTTCCACCAGGTCAAGATGACAAAAAGGCTCTTATTTAGAAGACATGCTTTTGAAAGTAAATAGTTCAGTGCAAGTTAAGAATTTGTGTTATTCATACCTCATCTAGAAACCTCAGATGGATTCTATTTTTTTTTTCATACGACTACTTTACAAATCTTGAATCGCAAACTTCTGTAAATTGCAGAGGCTGCTGGGAAAATACACACACTGTGGCCCACATATTCATTCTGTCTGGACACAAGTTCCCTCTGATAGGGTCAAATACCTGTGGTTTGTATTCATCTGGGGGCAGGGTGAATGGAACCAGCTGGGAGGTTTTGGTAGGAAATTCTGGATTAAACACAATGGTTGTGGAATTCAGATCTCATCTGGAGTTCCCTGGACTTTTATAATCTAGATAAGAATGGCCCAAGCCCCCAAATAAGGACCAGGAAAGTTCGATGCCCAGCCAAAATTCTGAAATTCACTGTCACCTCTGGCTCTGAGTTCCTGTGTCCTCTGAAGTTTTGTTTTATACTTTGCATCTTAAAGCTGTTTCAATGTTTCTTCCCCATATTACCCCAAACTTGAGGTCTTCTTGATTTTTCTCCTCCAAACAATTGTTAAGTACACGGCTGTAGACTGTAGCAGGACTTTTACCAAAGTTCTTCATGTTACCAGGAGGGGGCTTCATATCACCACACTGCATGGGAATCAGCATAAAATTATATATTAGATACAGCTGACCCTTGAACACTGTGGATTTGAACTGCATGAGTTCACTTATACATGGATATTCTTCCACCTTTGCCACTCCTTAGACAGCAAGCCAACCTCTCCTCTTCCTCCTCCTTAACCTACTCAACATGAAGACAAGGAGGATAAAGAACATATTTAGATGATCCTCTTCCACTTAATGAATAGTAAATGTATTTTCTCTTCCTTATTATTTTCTTAATAATATTTTATTTTCTCTAGCTTACTTTATTGTAAGAATTAGCATGTAGTACATATAACATACAAATTATGTGTTAATTGACTGTTCATGTCATTGGTAAGGCTTCCCATCAACAGTAGGCTTTTAGCAGTTAAGTTTTTGGGGAGTTAAAAGTTATACATGGATTTTCAACTGTGCAGGAGGTGAGCATCCCTAACTCTCCTGTTGTTCGAGTTAACTGTAGTCTTATTCTTAAATGTTGTTTTAAGACATCCAGCACCATCATGATGTCTCACTAGCTCTGCCACCACCATGGACTCTGCATAATGCCTATGCTTCTTGCCACTTTGCTAGCTCCTCTTCCAATTTTAATTTGTCTTCTTAATTTCCTTTTTCTTTAATTTCCACTTATCTCCCAGATTGCTCCCAGGGATTCTATATTTCTCTAACTCAGTTCTCTCCAATCCTTATTCCCAACTTAGATCCAGGCCTACCTTTTCATGTCCAAATTTCACATGGTGTTTGGTTGAATAAAAGTGTCATTCCTTTCACTGGACCCTGGTCCTTACAAGGCAGGGGAGGTATTTTTCAAAGCATTTCTTCCTTCAGGTATACCTAAGAAGTCACAGTTGAAAGCCATTCCTCAAAAAACTGGGAATGAAGCCAATTAGTGTTTTTATGTTCAAAACCAACAGCAACTAGAAGCTGATGGGTCACTTTCTTAGGAAGCCAACAAAGGTACAATGGACCTGATCACTGAATACCAGAAATGGCAGAAGAAGTGATAAAGTGATGGAACTCTTGAATGTTGGAGTATGTTCTCAAACAAAGCTAAGAAAATTGCTCCCCAGAAGCTTTTAAAATGAACAGACTTTTTATTTTTTATTTTTTATTTTTTCAAGATGGAGTCTCACTGTTTTGCCCAGGCTGGAGTGCAACAGTGTAATCTCAGCTCACTGCAATCTCTGCCTCCTGGGTTCAAGCAATTCTCCTGTCTCAGCCTTTTGAGTAGCTGGGATTACAGGTGCCCGCCACCATGCCCGGCTAATTTTTGTATTTTTAGTAGAAACAGAGTTTCACCATGTTGGTCAGGCTGGTCTGGAACTCCTGACCTCAGGCGATCCACCTGCCTCGGCCTCCCAAAGTGCTGAGATTACAGGCATGAGCCACCACACCCAACCAAAAAGAATAGACTTTTGACTGCAGGGAATGAGTTAGGGACAGATAGATGGGTCGCTCTGAAGAGACCTTCTCAGAGACCAGAGATTGGCTATGCTGGCCCCTTGGCCTCATCATTAGGTCAGAGTCAAGGTGTCCTGGTGGTCTTGTTGATGCTCAAAGTAGAGAGGCCCTTATGAACTCAAAGCACTTTGGGAGGAGTTTTCAAGCTGAAAAGCATCAACCCAGGGAACTGCCTAGTTTAAGGTTCTCCACATTCCAGGTCAGGACTTCCCATATATATGTTCAGCACAGTTCTGAGGCAGCAAGATATTTTAGTCACCATTGTATTTTAAGACCTAGCTGAGCTGTTTCATATTTACTGCTGAACTCCACACTTCCCCTGCAAGACTCCTAGCCAGGGCTAGGGGCATCTCTGGGAGGG
This sequence comes from Homo sapiens, assembly GCF_000001405.40. Classification (NCBI taxonomy): domain Eukaryota; kingdom Metazoa; phylum Chordata; class Mammalia; order Primates; family Hominidae; genus Homo; species Homo sapiens. Next base: position 52,109,803 of record NC_000004.12, read on the forward strand.
AGTACAGTAAAATCTCAAATACTTCTGGGGCCAGAGAGATAATGTAAATAAGGAAATTGGACCAGGTTCTATACAATAAGGAGTAGTGAGGACTCTGGAGAAGTGAAATTTTATGCCCTAATGGAACAGCTGCTACCTCACTTTAGCCAATCATTGCTGCTATGGATTGAATGTTTGTGTCCTCAGCAAAATTCCTAAGTTAAAACCATACCCCCCAATATGATGGTATTTGGAAGTAGGGCCTTTGGGAGTTAATTAGGTTTAGATGTGTTCATGCGGGTGGGACCCCATGATGGGACTGGTGTCCTAGTTAGAAGAGGAGGAGAGACCAGAGCTCCCTCCCTCTGCCATATGAGGACACAGAGACAAGGCAACAGCTGTTGCCAGCCAGGAAGAGAGTCCTTACCAGAAACTGAATCTGCCAGCACCTGGATCTTGGACTTCCCAGCCTCCAGAACTGTGAGAAATAAACATCTGTTGTTTAAGCCATGCATCTCTAGTATTTCGTAGTATCAGCCCAAGCTGACTAAGACAATTGCCCTGTGGGAATGCAGGCCTACAATTGCCACACACTACAATTTTTAAAGAAAGGCTGAAATGTTCTGGTATTTACACTAGGTGAGCCAAATGTAACAAAGCTGTAGGCTGAATGTGGCCTCTGCCTCACCACTTTGCAACTTTTCCCATGGTAGTTAAGAGTTTAGGCTCTAAAATAAGATAGGCCTGAGTTTCTCAAACCCCAGCACTTACCATGTGTCCTTGGGCCAATTAACTTATCTTCTCTGAGCTCAGTTCTCTCATCTATATAGATGAGCATAATAGTAGCTATTTGCTATATACTATATAGCATATATATATATATATATATATATATATATATATGCCATATACTGAGCATAATAGTAGCATCCGACTGGGTTAAAGGAGATAATTTAGGAAATGTAACACAGTGCTAGACACATAGAACATGATAAAATGAGCCAATCTGTAAAAGCTATATACCATATGATTCCAACTATATGAAGTTCTGGAAAAGGCAAAGCTGTGGAGGTTCTAAAAAGGTCAGTGGTTGTCAGGGATTCATGGGGAGAGGAAAGAAGGATGAATAGGTGGAGCACCAGGGATTTTTTTAGGGTAGTGATACTATTCTTATGATTCTATAACATGAATACACGTCATTATACATTTGTCAAAACCCATAGAATATACAACATGGAGAATCCTATTGTAACTAGGGACTTCATTTAATAATAATGTATCAATATTAGCTCATCACTTGTAACAAATGTACCACACTAATGCAACGTAGTAACTTAAGAGAGAGGGAGTATGTGGGGAAAATGTGAAAATGAATGATAGTTATTGATGATGAAGATGGTTATGATGATTATGTTTGTACTAGTTAGTTATTGCTGCATATCAAGGCACCCTAAACTTTAGTGGTTTAAGACAATAAATATTATTACTCACAAGTCAATGGGGCCAGTCAACTGGGTATTCTGATAATTTGAGCCAGGTTTGGCTGATCTCAGCTGGGCTGCACATGTGTCGCCAGTCAGGTGCAGATCAACAAGCTCATCTTGGTGGACTTTGTCACATGGGGCTCTTGTACCATGTACCACATGTACTGCATGTACCAGCTCAGGTCTTAGTGGTACAGTGGGGCTGGCTGACCCTGGAACCCTTGTTCTGTCATTCTCCAGCAGCTAGCCTGGGTTGTTCACAAGGGTCAAAGAAAGGACAAGCGTGCAAGGCCTAGCACACTGTTGCTTCTTCCATATTCTATTGGCCAAACAAGTTACAAGCCCAGTCCAGGTCCAAGGACTGGGGTGACAGACCACGCCTCTTGATGATAGGAGCTGCAACATTGCACTACAAAGGTCTTGGATGCAAGGAGGGGAATAACTGCTGCCATTTTCACTCAGACAATCTACCAAACTGATGATAATGAAAGTTTTCTTCTTACCCATCCCTGTGAGGTTAATTAGGGCCTGTGGACTCTTTTTCCAGAGCATAATCACTGGCACCTTTTCTTTTATCTAGTTAAAGGTTTGTATTAGAGATTGAATTTGGCCAGAGCATAGGATTTTAATCCAGCAAGACAAAGAACATTAAAAAATATCATTCAAGTTGACATACAAATCTGTCCTGGAAAAACATGAACCTTAAAATATGGGGTGTCACAAGCCCTTTAGGCACATGTCAACAACTCTAATTTTGTTGTATCAAATGCAGTGGGTTTGTTGCTCAATAACATTGCAAAAAGAAAATTTGACTCTATTTACCACAGTTTATAAAGCCTCAAGACACCCAAACATGACTCATGACTTTGCTGGTGGGAATAAGAATAAAAGCTTCCCTGGGAATAAATATGGCACACACATTGTGCTTAACTTGGCTTCAGAAATTCAGTGACATTTGAAGAAGAAATGTTCTTACAACTCATGCTCAGAGAGCCATAGTTTTCACCATCTGCCCTTAGGCTGCTGTTTATGTCTGTGGACGAGCAGTGTGCAATTTTACTGGAAAAATATTTAAAAAGAAAAACCCAAATACCCACATTATGGGGAAACAGCATTGAAAAAATTCCAGTTTTATAGTAAAATTTATGTTCTTAGCCCTAAGAAAATATTCAAAATCATCTTCATTGGCTCAGTATGAGACTTGAAATGTCCCAAGGGAAGAACTCTAAACATCATTAGTTGTTGAATGCAAGTGTCGAGCCCACCTCTGCCTCAGTGTGCAGCCAACATACTACATGCTGTCTGTCTGTTCTCAACCCCAGTCTCTAGGACTCTGAGTGAGTTGAAGCTCTTTCTATCTCCTGGGAGTCTATGAGTGTAATGTAAGTCATATACAGTCAATGCTATATACTCCAGCATTTCTCTCCTTATCTTCTCTTACTTCTTAACTTCTGCCAGAGAATTGCTAATTTTCCACAAAGTCTCATCTCTCCAATACTCAGTAGCCAATTGTAAGCAGATTTTCTGCCAGCAGGGTCTAGGGCAAAGGAAGAAGTACCAAAGGTGCTGTCTCTCTCCTCCGGGGGCTTTCAATCTTGGCTGATATTACATTGCAGGATGATTCCAGAATGTTTTCCAAAGTGTATTCCATGAGACACAAGTTCCATGATATGCTTCTTAAAAAAGGGTTCCATGGGATAGCTTTGAGAAACAATGCAAGCCATATTTCTTTCTTGGAAAGCTGCAATGAGTATTAGCAGATAAAAGCTGTGAGAAGTTTTTCAGTAAAGATACATTTAAGTGTTTCTTTTATAATCCAGGGTTACCCACTTGTTTTCCCAGGAAATCTTTTTAAGAATAATAATAATGACTCTGAACAGTTTGAGAAATACTGTTATACATCAAAATGGGGCTCGTGAAAGGTGTTTTGGCCACTTATATTCCTGTCTCATGAAGGTGTGGGCATCCCCTTTCCTCAAAAAGTGCTTTCAGAGGGAGTAACGCCTTCTCACGTCAGGCAGGAGTCTCTAATGCCAATGACTCTTTGCTATGAATGATAGTAACATGTTATGATTAAAACACAAAACAAGAAAACCAAACACACATGCAAACACATGCACACAACAAACAACATGCAATTAGTTTCTTAAATTCACCCAATTTGCCCATTAGCCATATTACTTTGTCAAAGAATCCTGGTGACAGCTACACAAATGAAAGTAGAGGTTGTTGTCCCGCCACTCTAAAGCGGGGCTTCCTCTGGGTCCCTGTAGCTAGGATTAGGTCCCTGTAGCTTTGGGTCGAGGTGGGTGGGATTTTGGGTGGGACTGAGTTGGGGCAAAATGTGGCTTTGGTAACATAAAAAATAAGAGGATTGGACTAGATCAGATATTTTCACACTCTTTTTTTCCCTCCCTTACAATATTTTCCTTAAATAAGCCTTACTTAAAAATCCTAGACAAATAAAAAATAGGATCAAAGCAGATCCTATTTGGTTGACACAGGAAAGAGGCAATGGGGTTGGCAGAGGGGTTGAGATGGAGGAGGCCGAGTTCCCTCTTGCCCTTACCTGACCTTTGCAGTGACCCCTGAGGGGGCTTCTCAAAGTACAGTTTGAGGAATCCCAGATGAGATGATTTCTAGGGTTTCTTGTAGAGTGAACATTGTAGTTTTTAATCCCTTTGGTGTTGTGAGAATAAATAACTTCTGAAGTGTGCAAGAATAACCTGATCAGTATTTTTCTCATATTTTCATGGAAATATCTAACAACATAAGAAAGAATTAACATGCAATCCTGCTACATTATGATTGCGTAGTCTGGGAGGGTAGCTGAAAGCATAGTTTTAAAGCATGAAACTTTCACAGCTCCTGCTTTATCTTAAAAACCAAAAAACAATTCCTACTTGCCCTGCTGGTCAGTGGAGGAGATGTTATATTAAGTGTATAAATGTGGGGAACTGGGTTGAATTGAAGAGAATTGACACTGCCTAGCAAGTCAGCATCAGGTGGTTTTTCTGCTTCCTTTCTTTATTTTTCTTTTTCTTTTTTTTTTTTTTGAGACAGTCTCCCTCTGGTGCCCAGACTACAGTGTAGTGATGCCATCTTGGCTCACTGCAGCCTCCACCCTCTGGGCTCAAGCGATCCTCCCACCTCAGCCTCTCAAATAGCTGGGGCTACAGGTGCACACCACCATGCCCAGCTAATTTTTGTATATTTTGTAGAGATGGAGTTTTGCCATGTTGTCCAGACTGGTTTTGAAATCCTAGGCTCAAGCGATCTGCCTGCCTTCGCCTTCCAAAGTGCTGGGATTACAGGTGCAAGGCACTGAGCCCAGTCAGTCTGGTTTTTCTACTTTCTTGATGTCAGATTTAGATAATCCAGATTCATATACATGAGGAGATATATATGACAAATCTGTGTTTTCCTTCCACATCTCTGAATGAATCAATGCTTTGAGGAGATGTCTTCCTGAGGCTTCATGTACTCATAGTATACCTTCAATTCCTGGGGAGTATGCATCTACCTGATAATTGGGCATAAAGTGATTCAACACTATATGAAACACACAACTGTTAAGGGATATTGTGGTTATAGGAAGAGGGTGTTTCATGGCATTGACCAGAAGTGCTGCGTGTTTTTACAGGCAGCATCATTTTTAGCTTGGACTCTCACTGGTGACTGACTCCTGTCGACGAAGGTATTTAAATGTACGTCCAAATTTATATAGGACTCTGGAAATGCTGTACCCAGGAGAGAAAGCAACCAGAGGGAACCCAGACACAATAATGCTCAGGGTAGAGGCACAGCGAGCTGCAGCATCATGACACTGCTGTCAATATTTTAGAGGATGTTTTTATTTAAACCAATCTTGACAGAATTTTATTATTAAATATAAAAGAGATTCTACTATACCATATTAATATATTGTCTGATGAGCAGATTGACACATTTACAAAAAGGGGCTTCAGAAGGAATTAAAACACTGATATTTTATAAAACTGAAGAATTGCATTTTAAGCAGTGTATATTATTGCATCTTATTAAAAATATTTGGAAAATACAGTGTTTCTCTAAAAAGATTTGTCACACTTGTCAAAATAAAGAAAAGCTCTATCATGCATATATCCTAAGTATTTGTGTGCTTTACAAGGATTAAGTATCTATTTTGAGTGTAGTATAGAGCTTCAATTAGTATACATGTACATATAGCATAGTAACTTTAGACAAAATCACACATTGAAAACAACACAAGTTATAAAATCTGAAATGTGGAATTTCAAGGAACTGGGATTATATTTATTACTTTTCTATCAAGTACCACATACTTGTTTTTTTTGTTTTTTGTTTTTTGTTTTTTTTGAAACAGGGTCTCAGTCTGTCGCCCAGGCTAGAGTATAGTGCCTTGATCTTAGCTCACTGCAGCCTCTGTCTCCTGGGCTCAAGCCATCCTCCCACTTCAGCCTCCCAAGTAGCTGGGACTACAGGTACATGCCACCAAACCTGGCCAATTTTTGTTTTGTTGTGTTTTTTGTAGCGATGGGGTTTCACCGTGTTGCCCAGGCTGGTGTCAAACTCCTGAACTCAAGTGATCTGCCCACCTTGGTCTCCCAAAGTGCTGGGATTACAGGCATAAACCACCATGCCTGGCCTCCACATAAGTTTTTAAATGCATTTTTTTAGTTAATTAAATTAAATTTACTTAATTTTTTAACTTTTATTATAGGTTCAGGGGTACATGTGCAGGTTTGTTATATAGGTAAACTTATGACTTGGGGGTCTGGTGTACAGATTCCTTTGTCACCCTAGTACTGAGCATAGTACCCAACAGTTTTTTTTTTTTCTGAACCTCTCTCTGGAGGATTTTAGAAGGAAGTAAAGACTTTCTTCTTGATGAGCACCTAAGTACAGAGTCAGAACTGTCTGTCATTGGAAAAAAGGATTAAGAAGCTAGAAATGGATATTTCAGTACAGTCATCTTGGGACCCACAGGAGTTAGTCCAGATTGAACCAGATCATTTTCTTAGTCCTTGGTTAAGGGATATAACAATTCCTCAGAGAGGTGGAAATACAGAATGATGCTAGAATCCACTGTATCCCTTCTACACTTGTTGTCTATAAGTAGAATAGTAGTATCCCACTAGACTGTAAGCACCTTAAAGGCAGGCACCATAGTTTTTTCTCCCCTCAGCAGGCACTTCTAGGTATCCAGAATCTAGCACAACACTTGGCATGTAGCAAGTGTTTGTTTTACATATGAAGAAAACTTTGTCTAATATTTCACTTTCTAGTAAGTAGTAGAGCCAGGATTTAAAGCCAGGTCTGCAGGATACAGAATTCGTAGCCACCAGCCTTTAGTGGACATATATTGGCAATCCCGTCCAGCACCTTCAGTTATATTCTCTCCAGTGAGTATTTATGCTACACCTTCTTTACTTTAAAAACACTTTAAGTAAATCACTTAGCACATAGACATTTGGCCTTGAGTTATTACCATGTCTTACAAAATGGAAATTCCTTTCTGCTCTTTGTTTTTATTCATAGACGCTGACTGCCAAATTTTACTACCTTTCTTGCCTGAAAAATACTAGTGTCCAGAAGCTGGTTTCTCCATTCCTGACAGAAGGCAAACTAATTAGAAGTCTGGTGGAGCAAGTTTTATGGGGAAAATGCTTTTTTAGTTTAGCCAAGGAACTGAACCCATCTTGAATAAGAAGTAAAAAGTAAGAGTGTTTCCTGGGTTAGCAAATACATGAACTAGAAAATCAACATTACACCTCCCACATGCACTGATGGTAATGTGGATGCTCCCAGAAGAATTAAAATGTGACCCTTTGCTCTGCGGATATACTGCAGGTGAGATATTTTGTCGATCAAAGAAGTGAGTCGTCCTATAAATTCTGCTAATTAAAACACCTATAGTGTACCTGTTACTCAATCAAGTCCAAAACTTAGGGGCAAACAGAAGAGACAGAGATGCAAAACAGGTTTGGCTTTATAAGTTCTTGGGGGTAGAGCTGTGTTATGGAAGCCAGGTGATTCTGAAGTTCCCTTTAAACAGTATTCACTGTTTTTAGCATAACGGTCTCTGCAGTCAAATTGTCTGGGATCTAATTCTGGCCCCACAATTACCAGTGATTTTGGGCAATTTCATTATCCTCTTTGTATTTTAATTTCTCCATCTGTAAAATGGAGCTAATGATAATACTTATCTTGTAGTGATGTTTTTCAAGGCTCAAAAAAGTTAATACCCATAAAGTTCTTCTCTATTACTATTATTATACCACATAGGGCTCATGATACTCTTTCGTTTAAGCTCTGGTAATTGATTACATGAATTGCACAGGACCTGCTACATAATTTGGGGGACTCAGTACAAAATGAAAATGTTACCTCGTTCAATAATCATTAAGAAATGTAATATGGCAACAACAGAGTATCTTAAATTTGGAGTGGGAGTGGGGTCCCTGTGCAACTAATAGGTCACACACCCAGGAAGCTCGCCCTGGAACTGAGTTATAGAAACTAGAATTTTAGGAAGAATGCATATACAAAAGCAATTGGTACAATTTCTCACATTAGAAGAAGCCAATGAAATTTGTTTGCTTAAAAAGGGAGAGGAGGCCGAGTGCGGTGCCTCACGCCTGTAATCCCAGCATTTTGGGAGGTTGAAGTAGACAGATTGCTGAGCACAGGAATTCAAGACCAGCCCGGGCAATGTGGTGAACCCCATCTTTGCAAAAAGTACAAAAATTAGTGGGGTGTGGTGGTATGGGCCTTCAGTCCAGGCTACTAGGGAGGCTGAGGCAGAGGATTGCTTGAGCTGTACTCTGGCCTGTCCAAAAAAAAAAAAAAAAAAAAAAGCTGGGGGTTAGGAACATTTATGAAAAATAAACTCATCTAAGAAAATAAACTCAGAATTGTTTTTGGGCATCTAGCTGACATGTGGCAATCTCCACTAGACTTACAGAGAAAATAACAACATAAATGTTAATAAAGGGATGATTCTTCCAGGTTCAAGGTTTGATTTTTCCATTGCAAATGAATTGAGACAAAGTAGTGATCTTTTCCCAAAAATCCCATTAAGGCGAAAACAACGGACAAATTTGGTTTTTACTTTTGCTTCCTGATTGTTGGGAGATAATCCTGGCTTGACTTTCTCTATATCATTGCATGGCTTTCCAATAAAATAGATTTTGAGCCAGAGGAATAAAAAAAACAAATAAATTACAAATAATAGCTTTGGTGAGTGGCTAAAGAGGAAATCAAAGTTCTATTTATTTCTTGCCAAATTCATTAAGTTTTAGGATATAATAAAGGCCACAATTATTTGAAACTTATTAGACAGATCAAGGCAACTGAGAAAAAATTGAATCCCCCATAAAAAAATGGGTCTATGCCACTGGAGTATTGGGAAACATATGAATACAAACGTATATAAAGTTGTGTATATATTTAAATACATGCACAATATTTTGAAAAATTATATTTAGAAAGTTTTTCATCCACTGTTGCCTAAAATTCTTCGAAGGCCACATCTGCTCACAGGGGAGCAGCCATCTAGGGGAAAATGTTTTTCAGCTTAATTGTGTAGATTTCACTGTACTGTAAATGAGATTTAATATTTCCTTTATTTCTTTGTGTGTGATGCTTTCAATATCTTTTCTTTTTTCACATAATAAGATGAAGCACAGTTGACCACTCATTTTCACATGGGTGAAATAATCCTTGTTTGAAAAAACTAACAATGATTTTATTTCTTTATTTGCCTGGCAGTGACTTTTGACATTTACTGTTTAATGTTTCTTCTAGAAAAAGAGAGAACAGAGGCTGGGAAAAGGGAGAAAAGCAGAGAAAAAGAAGAACAAATAAATGTCTCACAAATGTCTTAAAAGTTGATCATTATCTTTTGGGAATATAGCAATAAAAAGAATTTTAATTTACATTATAACATTATCGCTAGTTTTAAGATAATCATGTGGTTTATGTCTTTGGTTCTGTTTATATGCTGGATCACGTTTATTGATTTTCGTATGTTGAACCAGCTTTGCATCCCAGGGATGAAGCCCACTTGATCATGGTGGATAAGCTTTTTGATTTGCTGCTGCATTCAGTTTGCCAGTATTTTATTGAGGATTTTTGCATCAATGTTCATCAAGGATATTGGTCTAAAATTCTCTTTTTTTGTTGTGTCTCTGCCAGGCTTTGGTATCAGGATGATGCTGGTCTCATAAAATGAGTTAGGGAGGATTCCCTCTTTTTCTATTGATTGGAATAGTTTCAGACGGAATGGTACCAGCTCCTCCTTGTACCTCTGGTAGAATTTGTCTGTGAAGCCATCTGGTCCTGGACTTTTTTTTGTTGGTAAGCTCTTAATTATTGCCTCAATTTCAGAGCCTGTTATTGGTCTATTCAGAGTTTCATCTTCTTCCTGGTTTAGTCTTGGGAGAGTGTATGTGTCGAGAAATTTATACATTTCTTCTAGATTTTCTATTTTATTTGTGTAGAGGTGTTTATAGTATTCTCTGATGATTGTTTGTATTTCTGTGGGATCGGTGGTGATATCCCCTTTGTCATTTGTTATTGCATCTATTTGATTCTTCTCTCTTTTCTTCTTTATTAGTCTTGCTAGCGGTCTATCAATTTTGTTGATCTTTTCAAAAAACCAGCTCCTGGATTCATTAATTTTTTGAAGGCTTTTTTGTGTCTCTATTTCCTTCAGTTGTGTTCTGATCTTAGTTATTTCTTGCCTTCTGCTAGCTTTTGAATGTGTTTGCTCTTGCTTCTGTAGTTCTTTTAATTGTGATATTAGGGTGTCAATTTTAGATCTTTCCTGCTTTCTCTTGTGGGCATTTAGTGCTATAAATTTCCCTCTACATGCTGCTTTGAATGTGTCCCAGAGATTCTAGTATGTTGTGTCTTTGTTCTCATTGGTTTCAAAGAACATCTTTATTTCTGTGTTCATTTTGTTATGTACCCAGTAGTCATTCAGGAGCAGGTTGTTCAGTTTCCAAGTAGTTGAGCGGTTTTGAGTGAGTTTCTTAATCCTGAGTCCTAGTTTGTTGGCACTGTGGTCTGAGAGACCGTTTGTTATAATTTCTGTTCTTTTACATTTGCTGAGGAGTGTTTTACTTCCAACTATCTGGTCAATTTTGGAATAGGTGTGGTGTGGTGCTGAAAAGAATGTATATTCTGTTGATTTGGGGTGGAGAGTTCTGTAGATGTCTATTAGGTTCACTTGGTGCAGAGCTGAGTTCAATTCCTGGATATCCTTGTTAACTTTCTGTCTCACTGATCTGTCTCATGTTGACAGTGGGGTGTTAAAGTCTCCCATTATTAATGTGTGGGAGTCTAAGTCTCTTTGTAGGTCACTAAGGACTTGCTTTATGAATCTGGGTGCTCCTGTATTGGCTGTATATATGCTTAGGATAGTTAGTTCTTCTTGTTGAATTGATCCCTTTACCATTATGTAATGGCCTTCTTTGTCTCTTTTGATCTTTGTTGGTTGAAAGTCTGTTTTATCCGAGGCTAGGGTTGCAACCCCTGCCTTTTTTGTTTTCCATTTGCTTGGTAGATCTTCCTCCATCCCTTTATTTTGAGCCTATGTGTGTCTCTGCACATGAGATGGGTTTCCTGAATACAGCACACTGATGGGTCTTGACTCTTTATCCAATTTGCCAGTCTGTGTCTTTTAATTGGAGCATTTAGCCCATTTACATTTAAGGTTAATATTGTTATGTGTGAATTTGATCCCGTCACTATGATGTTAGCTGGTTATTTTGCTCATTAGTTGATGCGGTTTCTTCCTAGCCTCGATGGTCTTTACAATTTGGCATGTTTTTGCAGTGGCTAGTACCAGTTGTTCCTTTCCATGTTTAGTGCTTCCTTCAGGAGCTCTTTTAGGACAGGCCTGGTGGTGACAAAATCTCTCAGCATTTGCTTGTCTATAAAGTATTTTATTTCTCCTTCACTTATGAAGCTTAGTTTGGCTGGATATGAAATTCTGGGTTGAAAATTCTTTTCTTTAAGAATGTTGAATATTGGCCCCCACTCTCTTCTGGCTTGTAGAGTTTCTGCCGAAAGATCCGCTGTTAGTCTGATGGGCTTCCCTTTGTGGGTAACCCGACTTTTCTCTCTGGCTGCCCTTAACACTTTTTCCTTCATTTCAACTTTGGTGAATCTGACAATTATGTGTCTTGGAGTTGCTCTTCTCGAGGAGTATCTTTGTGGCATTCTCTGTATTTCCTGAATCTGACTGTTGTCCTGCCTTGCTAGATTGGGGAAGTTCTCCTGGATAATATCCTGCAGAGTGTTTTCCAACTTGGTTCCATTCTCCCTGTCACTTTCAGGTACACCAATTAGACATAGATTTGGTCTTTTCACATAGTCCCATGTTTCTTGGAGGCTTTGTTTGTTTCTTTTTATTCTTTTTTCTCTAAACTTCTCTTCATGCTTCATTTCATTCATTTCATCTTCCATCACTGATACCCTTTCTTCCAGTTGATCGCATTGGTTACTGAGACTTGTGCATTCATCACGTAGCTCTCATGCCTTGGTTTTCAGCTCCATCAGGTCCTTTAAGGACTTCTCTGCATTGGTTATTCTAGTTATCCATTCGTCTAATTTTTTTTCAAAGGTTTTAACTTCTTTGCCATTGTTTCAAACTTCCTCCTTTAGCTCAGAGTAGTTTGATATTCTGAAGCCTTCCTCTCTCAAATTGTCAAAGTCATTCTCCACCCAGCTTTGTTCCATTGCTGTTGAGGAGTTGCGTTCCTTTGGAGGAGGAGAGGCGCTCTGATTTTTAGAGTTTCTGATTTTTCTGCTCTGTTTTTTCCCCATCTTTGTGGTTTTATCTACCTTTGGTCTTTGATGATGGTGATGTACAGATGGGGTTTTGGTGTGGATGTCCTTTCTGTTTTTTAGTTTTCCTTCTAAGAGTCAGGACCCTCAGCTGCAGGTCTGTTGGAGTTTACTGGAGGTCCACTCCAGACCCTGTTTGCCTGGGTATCAGCAGCAGTGGCTGCAGAACAGTGGATATTGGTGAACCGCAAATGCTGCTGCCTGATGGTTGCTCTGGTAGTTTTGTCTCAGAGGAGTACCTGGCCATGTGAGGTGTCAGTCTGCCCCTACTAGGGGGTGCCTCCCAGTTAGGCTACTCGGGGGTCAGGGACCCACTTGAGGAGGCAGTCTGCCGGTTCTCAGATCTCAAGCTGCGTGCTGGGAGAACCATTACTCTCTTTAAAGCTGTGAGACGGGACATTTAAGACTACAGAGGTTATCGCTGTCTTGTTTGTCTGTGCCCTGCCCCCAGAGGTGGAGCCTACAGAGTCAGGCAGGCCTCCTTGAGCTGTGGTGGGCTTCCCGGCTGCTTTGTTTACCTACTCAGGCCTGAGCAATGGCAGGCACCCCTCCCCCAGCCTCGCTGTCACCTTGCAGTTTGATCTCAGACTGCTGTGCTAGCAATGAGCGAGGTTCCATGGGTGCAGGACCCTCCGAGCCATGTGCGGGATATAATCTCCTGGTGTGCCATTTGTTAAGCCCATTGGAAGAGTGTAGTATTAGGGTGGGAGTGACCCGATTTTCCAGGCGCTGTCTCTGATACCTTTCTTTGACTAGGAAAGGGAATTCCCTGACCCCTTGCACTTCCAGGGTGAGGCGATGCCTCACCCTGCTTCGGCTCACGCATGGTGCACTGCACCCACTGTCCTGCACCCACTGTCCAGCACTCCCCCATGAGATGAACCCGGTAAGTCATTTGGAAATGCAGAAATCAGCTGTCTTCTGTGTCACTCACCCTGGGAGCTGTAGACTGGAGCTTTTCCTATTTGGCCATCTTGGCTCCACTGCCAAGATTTTTTTTTAATAGACCATCATGATTATGCCATCTGTGAATAAAGGCGATTTTGTTTACTCATGTTAAATTTGGATGCTTTTTTTTTCTTTCCTTGGCTAATTGCCTTGGCTAGACCCTCCAGTATAATGACTGAGTAAAATAATGACAGTGGATATCTTCTGTTCCTGATCTTGAAGGGAATGCATTCAGTTGTTCACCAGTAAGTATGGCATTAGCTATAGGGTTTTGTAGATAATTTTTTATCAGGTTGAAGAAGTTCTCCTGTATTTCAAGTTACTGAGGGTTTTTATCAGAAATTAATATTGGATGTTGGGATTTTGTCAAATGCTTTTTCTTGATCTGTTGGAATAATCGTATACTTTTTTTTTTTTTTTTTTTACAGAGTTTCAGTCTGTCGCCCAGGCTGGAATACAGTGGCACAAACTCAACTCACTGCAACCTCTGCCTAAGGCACGAGAATCAAACAATTCTCGTGCTTTAGCCTCACAAGTAGCTGGGACTACAGGGGTGTGCCACCACACCTGGCTAATATTTGTATTTTTAGTAGAGATAGGAGTTTCAATATGTTGTCCAGACTGGTCTTGAACTCCTGACCTCAAGTGATCTGCCTGCCTTGGCCTCCCAAAGTGCTGGGATTACAGGCATGAGCCACTGCACCCGGCCAGTTGTACACATTTTTTGTTATTGTTTGTAAAAATGGTAAATTACGTTGATTGATTTTGAATGTCAAACCAATCTTCATTCCTGGGATAAATCCCACTTGGTCATGATATATTATTCTTTTTATATATTTTTAGTTTACATTTTCTGAAGTTTTACTTAGGATTTTTGCATATGTCTTCATAAAGGATATTCATCTCTAGTTATTTTTTTCTTATCATAGGTTTGGTTTGGGTAATAAAGTAATGCCAGCCTCATAAAATAAGTTGGGAAATATTCTTTCCTCTGAGAATTTCAGCAAGAGTTTGAATAGCATATTATTTCTTCCTTAAGTGTTTGGCAGAATTTTCCAGTGAAGCCATCTATCCCTAGGATTTTCTTTATGAGAAAGTTTTTGAACTACAAATTCAATTTTAATTATAGATATAGGGGATAGTCAGGTTATCTATTTCTTCTTGGGTAGCATTGGTAGTTTGTTTCTTTGAAGGAACTTGTCCATTATATCAGAGTTAAATTTATTGCATAAATGTGTTCATATTTCCTTATTATTCTTTTAATTGCTGTAAGATCTTTAGTGATGTCATATTTTTCATTGCTCCTATTGGTAATCTGCAATTTCTCTTTTTTATTCCTCCAAAATCTGCCTATAAATTTATCATGTCATTACCTAATATGTTAATTAAGTTACTTGGTATAATTAAGTTACTTGTAAACAGTTTGATCCTCCTGGGACTTGCTTTTCAGCTTTCTTATGTGGTATCAAAGCAGCATTTAGTTTAGGGCTAATTTTATCTCATTATTGAGGCAAAATCCTTCTAAATACTTTACTAATGCCCAAGAATTATGAGATTTTTCCATTCTGGCTTGTGGGGACAAGAGCTATCCCTGACCTGGTGTGATCTTTGGGATTGTTCCCTCTAATCTTTCTCAGTAGTTGTTTTCCTGCTTTGGGTAGCTTCCTCACATGGATGTGCTGGTTGAAACTCACCTGAGACTCCTTTAGAACCCTCTTCAGGCCTCCAGGTATCTCACTGTCTGGGTTTCGCTGCTCCAGTACTTTGTCCTGAAACTCTAGCCTCTGTCCCCTCCCTAGATGCTCAAACCTGCATCCTCAACTCAGAGAGAGAGCCAGGGTGCACTTGGGGTCCTTCTCCCTGCTCTGTGCTCTGGAAACTTTCCAGGTAGTAAGTTGAGGTAATCACAGGGCTCACTTCATTTGTTTCCCATCTGATAGAGATCACTGTCCTTCCTTGCTTGATGTCTGATGTCTTGAAAACCTTTGCTTCATATATTTTGTCTGGTTTTTAAGTTATTCCAGGAAAGAGGGTAAATCTGGTTCATGTTACACTTTCCATATTGGCTAGAAGTAGATATCTCCCAGATAGATATTTAAAGGCCAACATTTATTGAGAACTATGTTCCAGACATGGTGCAAGGTACAATACAATATCTTAGTTAATCCTCTAAAACCAAACAGAGAAACCAAAAATTGAAGAGCAAATAACAAAAAATAGAGCTAAGAAAAGGTACTATTACAATTCCCATCTTATAAATGAGAAAATCAGGATATAGAGAGATTAAGTAGTTTCTTCAAGGTCTAATGAGGCTAATATATGGTGGAATTGGGATTTGCTTCCAGGTGCGTTTGCTGCCAAAGGCATGTTCTTAACCAGCATATTCCCACACCTGCTACATCTATCTCTTGCTGCTTAAAGGAAACTGGGAACAATGATTTGCTTTGTTTTATGCCCAGTATTGTAGAGTTTACCCTCTGCAAAAAATTCATTCTTAACTCTTCATCTTCCCTCCAAGGAGTGCCAGATGGTGAGCTCTACAGGCTTCACGATATTAGCGACTGATTTCAGATTTTCCTTTCTTACAGAATATCAGTTTATTTGGGATCCTGCCTTTTTTCTTTTCTTTTCTTTTCTTTTTTTGAGATGGATTCTCACTCTGTCACCCAGGCTGGAGGGCAGTGGAGCCATTTCGGCTCACTGCAACCTCCGCACCCCTCCTCCTGCCTCACCCCCGCACCGGGTTCAAGCAATTCTCATGTCTCAGCCACCCTAGTAGCTGGGCTTATAGGTGCCTTCCACCATGCGTGGCTAATTGTTTTTCATTTTTAGTAGAGACAGAATTTTGCCATGTTGGCCAGGCTGGTTTTCAGCTCCTAACCTCAAGTGATCCACCTGCCTCAGCCTCCCAAAGTGCTGGGATTACAGGTGCGAGCCCGGCCAAGATCCTGACTTTTTACTGCTGCATACAATTAGGCAAATTTAGGTTAAGCGTTTATAAAATTATAAATTTGCATCAGAAATATACTAACTTTGGTCAAATGATTACAACTTCTTCGAAATAAGGAGAGAAAAACATAAACAATAGCTGTCTTTGAGAGCTATGTGAGGATGTCCCTAAAGTTTGAATGGAAGGAAAAATGAAGCCCAAATTTTAAGTTGGCTTGCAACTTTTATGTAAGAACTGGCATGAAGGTTTCTCTATTGAGAGATCTACTGATGAAGGTGTTTACAGTGGTTCCAAGAATCTTCATTAAAATCCACAGAATGAAAAGACACTCATGCAACAATTGGAAAGACACTCAAGCCAACAAAACTGAAACAAAAATAGACACAAGCATATTACGTATCTCTTGAGGGGAATATTAACACATAATTTGGCGGGGGTAGGGGTGATTCCTGGGCAACTTTGAGTGTGTTATAATTCTGAAGTTCCCAACAAATGAAACGAATAAGATTTTGGCTGTGTTCTATCAGTGGTGGAGACTCATGAGCTTTAATCTAGTACTTATAAATAAATCTTAAACTCTCAGTATTAGGATTTCAACTTGTTTCCCAGTATCCTTTTTCTCTTTTTCATACTGAATTCTAATCATACAATTAAAACCTGTTTATTGTTCAAAAGTGGGAAACATTAATAAGTAGAAAGAAAAACATAATCTACAATTTTACTACTAATTAATAAGCACAATGGACATGTAAGTGACTATCTTGATGGTCTTTGCCTTCCCTCTGGATAAAATAAAAGTATGTGTCTTTGTGTGTATATGATGTGGGGGGGTGTGTGTAATTTATAATTCTAGAATAGTTTATAATGCCATGAGGCTGAGATCTCTAAAGTATTTGAGATCATGGCACAAGGTGGGGAAAGGCTTAATACCTTAGTTGAAATCTGGGTTGCAGGCGTCCCTGCCAAAGCATGATACGCTCTTATAAACTGGCTTTTCTTCTCTATCTAAATCTCCCGAAATTTTGACATTTGAGACATCCCCAGAGATGAGATGCCTGGACCTGTGATTGGAGAGAGTGATCCTTTGCATGACAGTCCCAATGGTGACTCAGGCTTCAGGCCTAGGCTGGAAACAATAACATTTCCCAGACCCACAGCTGTGCAGGTTACAATCCCTAGAGGCTTCTGGCCATGGTGATTATAGAGAACAGTTCACTCTCGATGAATCACGTGAGTACTAGAAAGGCTAGATTTTTCATTTATTGAGAATAGTCTTTTAAAGGAGCCTAGCTAGAGGCAGTTAGCAGAAGAGAAGGGTTTACATTACATAGTTTAATGCCATTCAGCTAATTCACAGACCATTGAAGTGTTTTCTGTTTTTGTTTTTTTTGCATGTGGTATATACTTAGCTGCATGCTAAGAGAAATCAACTCTGATTGATTTAAGCAAAATAGAACATTGTCAAAAGGCAATTCTGGCAAGGTGAAAGAATGAAGCTTAGAAAGTAGGTAGCAGTGATACTAGGCAGGTAGAGAATGTTAGCAAAACCATGCCCCAGAAATGATATGCTGAGAACCCAGCTGTTTGTCGTGTCTCTGCATCAAAGGCCAAGCCTCCCTCCCCAACAATTACAGGGTCTGTGGCAAGAGCACAATGGAGGCACAATATCATGTGTTTAAATATTTAAAAGTTACAAATAAATTGTACATCAGATGAACAATCTGTTAAATCAAATGTCATATCCTCTTTGCTGAATATACTTTCATAATAAGCTGAAAGATCAAGTTCAAACAGAGAATTTTTGACTCCTTAGTGAATACTAAGGATAAATCCAGCCCCTTGCCCTGCTCCCTAGCCCCGAGCACATCCTCTTTCTTGCTACTTCAACTTGAATGTAGAAGCATCATCTACATCTCCTGCAGAGGTCACCTCTTGACCTCCCTTTGGGTCTAGAGGTGTGAATGGTCTGCTCCCAGGGGGATAAACACAGGGAAGAAGATTACATAGGTCCTGGAAGTGATCCCAAGGCTCATCTGCGCAGGGAATTCACAGTACTTGGTTACCAAAAGTGTAGTCAAGAAGTGGTCATGAAGTTCAGGCTCTGAGTAGGCACGTCCTGTTGGACTTGTAGACTCCTGGCTCCATGGGGAGGAACTCAGGCAGGAGGGCCAGGCAGGCCTCCCTAATTTGGGGTCTCTCTCTTGCCTGAATCTAAGGACAGTGCTGCCAATGCCAGATCTGCTGGTGCTGCTCTGTGAACTGGATATGGCTGCCCATCAACCACAGCATGACTTTTCCCCTGAGCCCGCTCCAGCAACCCAGCTGGAGTGTGTTAATGGCTGAGCCAAGACTTTGCACCCAGCTTTAGCCCACAGTGGGTAAGATGGAGGTGGAGAGCTGTGGAAAACAGAATATGGTCAAAAAATGGCAAATGCCTACTATCCCCAGACTGAAGGCACCACTTCTATTTTGTTTTTTATTTTTTTAATGACACATTCCAAATCTGAGAATAAATGAAGCAGTTCTAAACAAGTTCTACTCCCAAGCTGTTAGCCCAGAATCTGCACAATTGTTTGAGAAAAAAATATAAATGGGATCATTTTTGTTCAAAGTGGTCAAAAAAGAAAGGAAGCATGGAATTATCAATTATCTTCTACTGGAAGCAAATGAAGAAGTTTGTTGTTCCTATTCATTTTATTTCTGTCTTTAGGCCTGGGCCATCTTCTCACAGGCTAGGAGGAGTGAGATTTTTCTACATCTTAGCCATAAGTCAGTGTGGTAGACATTTGCTGCTTTTGCCCATCCAACATCTGTCTCTTCTTTCTCTGCTCTTCTGTTCTTCTGGAAACAGCTTTCAGTTTTTTTGAGTGTGGTTGACCAACTCCCGATCTAGAAGTAGGCGTTCGACCCATTAGTCTCTCCCATTCAGAAGATCATACACTTATGATCACAGTAATTGGTTCATGGATGTTTGAATACTTTCAAGAGCATAAGGCATTCCTAACCTGTAAATATTTAAGGTGGAGATATTTAAGAAAGAGGAATTTTTGGATGGAGGCCAGGAGAGGTAAGTAATTAGAAGCTCTTTCTTAGATCCCAGGACTTGCCTGGGCCGACCCCCTCAGCCTTAACATTAAGCCAGAGCCAAGTGCCCTAATTCTTCCTGCTGATGGCAAGAATGTTGTTACTTCTGTGTGCTTGGTTCTTTTTGGATGGAGTTCTCAGATAAAGGACACTACCCAGTTGCCTGCTTTTCTAGGTCCTTTTTTCTCCAGTGAAAGAGACTTCTTTGTGGACAGTGTAACTCTGGGATGCAACACACTTGAGTTTGAATCCTAGTTCTATTACTTCGCTGCATGCCTCAATTTCTTCGTCTGTAAAAGCGGATGATCTTCAACCTGGGAAGGAAAATGAAGTCCTAGGTGTTGAGGAGGGTTTTTGATGCTCCTGGGAATTTTGTCTTGCAACAAAAAATGGGCTTGGAGTAGATTAAATGTGAAATAAGACTGTAAAGCAACTGATCTGCTCCCACCAACCACACAAGGAAGTCTGCCTCTTTGTTTTCTAGTTGCACCTTCTACATGTTTAGCAGAGTTCATTGTGCATGGCATGTGCTCAGAAAATAGTTATTAATTGATTTATTTTTGTTGTTTGATTCAATTTAATTCATTGCGATGTTTGATTTGATTCAATTCACACAACAAATACAAGTTATTATACCTGGTGCTGTGAGGCATATGTGTGATGAGACATCACTGCCCTGTAGAATGTACTAGAACGACTGAGATAATCCTGAATGAACAAAGGCAGCACTGCTAGCCACATCTTCTTATTGGGGAAAATGGATCTGCTTATGTCTGCAGCTTTCTTTTAATGGAAGTTTGTAATCCTTGCTGTTTTTCCTCTGGCCAGCACCCAGGTTGCTACTGAAACTTCCCCACTGAGGGTTTTCCTTTGACTTGTGAGTGAGCAACACTCTTAGTTTGACCCAATTTATCTCCCAGCTAGGACCTGCCTGGGGTTTATGCTCCCCTCTCTTCCTGCACCTTTTCTACTGGAGTCTCAGGCTGCTCTCCTGTGTCCTGGGGTCCCCACCCCTGCCCTCCTGGCAGGGAGTGAGGCTGCAAAGGGACACTACGCCAATTTACATGGACTAGACTGTGTGTGGCTCTCACTCTTGGGGAGACCCTTCTGTGAATTTTTCTTTTTCTTTGCCTTGGCTGAGGTTTGGAGAGGTAGAGCAGTGGCAGGGGGTAGAAAGGCAATGAGGCCCTTAGGTTACTTCTTCTAGGCCTGGTGGGGTTGACTGCAGACCAGAAGATCTGGCCCCTCTCCTGGATTCTGGGCCCAAGTCAAGGCCAAAGTCAATTCAGCAGCTGCCTTGGCATCAATAGAAGTTTTCATGGCAGTGCTGGAGACTTCAAGGGCATTAGCTATCTATTTCTTTTGGAATCATCAAAAGAAAAGAAAACTCTTCCTTGCTGTTAGACACTGCCAAACTCAATTATCCTTAGTAAGGGAGAAAGAAGGGACACTCATTTGTGCTTTGAGAGAACTTATGACAAAGGGATGAGCAAACACATTATACTCTGGATCTAAACAGCAACCAACACATTCATTTCTTTAAGTACCATCCTGCATCTAGTATTATGATGAAATATAAATTCAAGATCCATCCACACCAGGGACTTGCTGTTCATTGAGCATGTATCAATGAACGTTTATTCAGAATGAGCTACACAAAATGCTCTGTTCTGAGCGTTTAGTTGATGGAAAGGTCTCTTGGGAATTGACTAAGGTTATTTAAGTTCTTCTGTTCTAGCACCTCTGGGGCACCAGCAGAATCACCAGCAGACTCTCCTGTGGGGTGCTGCCCCAGTGGTGCTCAGTGACTGGTCTGGGTGGTTCCAGCCTTTGCCTCAGGCTCCCTTCTGGCATCCCTTCTTTGAGTACTGATGATTAGTTTACAGCGCGTGTTTCAACTTTTCGGTGGCATCGAGCACAGAGAGCCCAGCACAGGTCTCTGCACAAGGGTTCTGACTTGCTGTGGAAATTGGACAGATGTGGCTCTCCTTAGCACTCCCCTTCCCTGGGCCACATTCACCTCTTGCACTAAATTCTATGCTGATCACTGGTCTTGGTGAGTTGAGTATTGGACAAAAAAGTTTTAACCTAGTGAGCTCAAAGAGTACCGTCTTTTGCTCCTTCTTTCACTGCTTATGCCATTTTCATCCACCTCCCATTCTATCGATCTGTTATTTTTTTCTGGAGTGGGTATGAGTATAATTGTATAATTGATGATTGTAGCTATTTAATATGGTTTAATATAGAGAAGTCCGATCATGTGATAGAATTTGTTAGTAGTCTTTCAAAATCCATGCTCACCTTCTTTTCTTTTTTTTTTTTTTTGAGATGGAGTCTCCCTCTGTCACCAGGCTGGAGTGCAGTGCAATCTTCGTCTCCTGGGTTCAAGTGACTCTCCTGCCTCGGCCTCCCTAGTAGCAGGGACTACAGGCACATGCCACCACACCCAGCTAATTTTTGTATTTTTAGTGGAGATGGGGCTTCACCATGTTGGCCAGGCTGGTCTCGAACTCCTGACCTCAATTGATCCGCCCATCTCTGCCTCCCAAAGTGCTGAGATTATAGGTGTAGGCCACCGTGCCTGGACACCTTTTTTTTATACTAATAGAACCCTCAATTTTTAGGTGGGCATCTGAATGCCAACAACAAAAACTGCTTTTCCCAACCTCTCTTGAAGTTAAGTGTGGCCATATGATCATGACTTCCCCAGTGGACCGTAAGTGGAAGTGGTGTGCTCAATTTTTGGGAAAAGCTGTTTATGGAAAGGAGTGTACCCTGTTTCCCACCTCTTCCCTTTTCCTCCTGTAAACATATTTGGAGCTTAGCAGCTATTTTGTCCTCAAGGTGGACAGAGGAACAAGATGAAGGAGATGGGTTTTCTGGTACCATGAGGGCCTTCTAGGGCCGTACCCCTGACCTCTGGGCCATGCTTACTCAAGAGAGAAACAGTCTTTGATTTTACTTTTGCCACTGTTATTTTGACTGTTCTATTACTCTGAACTCAACTTAATCCTGACTGATATAAACTTTATAATTGTTTTTGACAAAAGCAAATCCTATTGTGGTTCCTATGGGACTTATATTACATTTATGTGTTAATTTAGGGAGAATTGACTTCCTAATAATTCTTTCTATCCAAGAACCTGTTCTGTGCTTTCATTTACTCATGTCTTTTAAAATAATATTATAAGCATTAAAAAAACAAAACATAAAACTTTGTTGTTTTCTTTGTTTTCCATATTGTGCATATCAAGCATATACTACTCTATAAAATTCTAAAATTAATATAAAACCAAATAAAGCACTACAGGGCAATGCATAAATGTAAGCCCAAGGTGAGCCTAAATAAAGGAAAATAATCCTTCTCTAAGTTGAACTTTTTTGTCTATTTGAAAATTTTATGACATTTCTCCTTCCATATTTGATTTACAGAAAGCAAGTTGACTGTTGAACACTCCAATGTTCATTAAAGCAGCCTTTTGAAGCATAATTGCTTACCAGAAATACTTAGAAAATCATTTGTACTTCATGTTTCTATTTGGGTGCTTTATTTCTTAATAGAATCTCATCCTTGTTATCTAAGAGTGGTGTATAAATTGGGGGAGCATATAGGCAGTAGATGAAATGCAAAAGCTTTCATGAAATATCAGGCTTCACAGCTGAGAACACAGCTTGGTATTTGTAACCAGAGGAGCTAGATTTGACACTGGGAGTAAGTTGTAGAAAGGAGTAGATGTAAGACCGTGTACAGGTCACTTACCATCTTACCATCTTGAAACTCCAGTTTCCCCATGTATAACTTGGGAATGATAAAAATACTTGCTCAAATTTTTCTTTACAATGTTGTAAAGGTTGTTAAAGATGATGGGTGCAAAAATGCTTTATACATTTTAAAATCTGTTTAAGAATGAGTGATATGGGTTGGCTATTTGTTACCTCCAAATCTTATGTTGAAATGTGATTCCCAATGTTGGAGGTGGGGACTAGTGGGAGGTGTTTGGGTCGTGGTGGCAGATCCCTAATGAATGGCTTGGTGGCCTCACTTTGATAATGAGCCCATACAAGACCTGGTTTTTTGAAGGAGCGTGGTGCCTCCCCCTCTCTCTTGCCCCCTCTCTCATCATGTGACATGCCTGCTTCTGCTTTGCCTTCCGCTATGAGTAAAAGCTCCCTGAGGCCTCACTAGAAGCCAAGCAGATACTGGCACCAAGCTTCCTGTTCAGCCTGCAGAACTATAAGCCAATTAAACCTCTTTTCTTTATAAATTGCCCAGCCTCAGGTGTTTCTTCACAGCAATGCAAGAATGGACTAACACAGAAAACTGGTACTGAGGAGTGAGGTGTGAGATGTTGCTATAAAGATACTTGAAGATGTGGAAGTGACTGTAGAACTGAGTAATGGGCAGAGGTTAGAAGACTTTGGAGGGCTCAGAAGAAGACAGGAAGATAAGGAAAGTTTGGAACTTCTTAAGAGACTGGTTAAATGATTTTGACCAAAATGCTAATAGAAATATGGATAGTGAATACCAGGCTGACAAAGTCTCAGATGGAAATGAGGAGCTTCTTGTGAACTGGAGTAAAAGTCACCCATGTTATGCCCTAGCAAAGAAGGATCGCTTTTTTGTTGCAAGTAACAGAAACCTCAAAAGATGTTGGCATAAACATGAGGGAATAAATTAGGTCATAAACAGTGTGTACAGAGGTTAGACAGGATTCAGGCTTGGTTGATTCAGGATCCAGGTTCTTTGCACCTCCCTTCAATGCTGGTTTCTTTCTCAGGTAGGTAGCAAGATGGCTGCAGCAGATCCAGCACTCACCTCCAGACAGGGCAATGTTCAGGAGAAAGAGAAAATGCGTTGTTAACACTCTGCTTTAGGAACAAGACACTTTGCCCAAAACCCCTCATCTGTCCTGAAGAACTCTAACCACACCTTACTGGGCAGACCTAAATTGCATATGCATTCCCGAAATCACTGTGAATGTCGATGAGATATGTCAACCTGGCCCATCTTCAGAACTGGAGATGCCTCATTCCCCCAAGGCAATGGTGGTTTTTGAGAGAAGTGGATACCTGGACAAACCCGGAGTTTGTTGAGTGTATCAGAGGCGATTAGTGACCTGCCCTTATTGTCTTGTTGTGCACTGTTTCTGGTGCACACTGGTAACTTCCTACTGCAAGTATCTGTGACTCTCTTTCTGAGGAATTTCTCTGGCTATGGGAGCTTGCATGGTCTGCTTGGAGTAGGCTGAAAAGTGCTGAGGAATTAATGTTCCTGGAAGGAGCCCTCAGTTGGTGATAGATGAGAACTGAAGGACAGTACCGCAGCTTCCTTGTCCCTTGGTGGAAAAACTCTAAGTTATGTTCTACTCCATTTCACACAGGTTCCCAGTGGTATGGAGTTCCAGTTGCCCACAGAGATGATTTGCTCATTAATATAGTCTGTGTTGGCTTCTTTTCTTTCCTGGATCACTTCCTCACACGCTTACCAGTATTTCCTGGTATCACCTCTCAACCAAACAACTTGTACCCAAGTCCTTGCTGGAGGGTCTGCTACTGAGGGAGCTCAACCAAAGTTGGTAGGAGGAAGAAGGGGGAAAGAGTTCTGTGTAGGAAATGAACAGTGTCCTCTACTGGCACATGTCCTCTACTGGCACATTCAGGAGCCACTTGTAAAACTTCCCAGGGTTTGTATTTATCGGTCTGCCAACTACAGCCTCCCAAAATGAATCCAAAACTAAGATTGAGCCTCAACATTCCCAAACATATTTATAAACCTGAAAACTTTCTGATGAAATGCAAAATTGTAGGCTTTCTGCAAACTTGATGCATGTAATTAGTAGACATAAAGTCTTCTGAATAAACTTATGAGGCTTTATTTAGCTAGAATGTGTCAGATTGAACATTTTAAAATACATGTTTTCTTTCCAGTATACCTGTCTTTCCCCGCAGATGTTGATTTCTTGAGGATTTTGGTTATTTGAAATTTGGATTGTTTTCCTAAATCTGCTTTGTAGAGATGTGGGAGATTATTTAGTGTGGAATAATATATTTTTTGAAAATTTATTTATTCGCATAAAGTCTTTAGCTCATTAGTTTATAATATTCTTGGAGTTATTATTTTAAAACTTGTGGTTCAAAGGGGATATAACAACTAGATGGATAGGAAAAATTGAAAGCTTGATTTTTCCTCAGCTAAAATTGGAAACCAGAACTTTATCACTCCTATTTTTACAGATGCCATGTGGCGGGAACCTTGGCCAACTGGGATGTGGGTGGCTGAGTCTTTCTTCAGCTTCTTACTGGAAACTGTGGCGTTTTCTTGACAGCAGTAATAAATCAGACATCCACAGGAAGCAAAGAGATCATTGAAATGAAACATAAGCTGTAAAATGTTCTGCCTCATATTATGACAGCCCTTTCCTTGGTGGGCTCTCTCTTTGGACCCATTAGAGAAACAGATCTCCAATTTACAGGAGGATGCATAAATTGGAGATGTAAAAATTACTAGATTTTATGGAAATATTGATTTGTTCACAGTGCACACAGGTCTAAGTTAACTTAAAGAGCACATCCCATAAACTCTATTAAGCCTAACTTGTCTTAGGCTATTACAAATCTGTGTATTGTTGGACTTTCTGAATTTATATTTTTGACTTTCTTTAATGTGAGCATCCTTCAACAGGTATCATAAACATTCAAAAGGGATTTACTGTAGTCATAGGAACAAAATGACTATTCTGAGAATTTCATTCTGGCAAACTGAATGATGTACTGCTAGTTATATATGTCTATTGAACCATGACTCTTTCCATAGGAAAACTCTGAGATTACTATCATCAGAGTCACCATATCCATAACCAACTGAATGCTTCTGATGTATTTTAATCTGGTTTTGTTGATAGTGATAAAACACTGGCTTGGCTCTATTTGGACTGAGTAATTTAAAAATATTTTACATTGATGAAATCATATTTTAATAATAAAGTTAATTAAATATATTGACTTTTTCCCAAGTTTAGAGGCAGCAACTATTTCACAAAGAGGAAAAAATGTTGTCAATACTTACATAAGATTATTTAATTTCAGTTGATTCTTGTACGAAGAACTATAGAAATAGTTGATCTTTCTTCTTTTTTCGAATTAAAATGAGCAGCCTCTGATTTTCCCTCCATTCCTCTCAGGGCCATCTCAACCAGCTTGTTGAAACCAGAATGCACTTGAGGAGGCCAAATATCTCCATATAATAGTGGTTGCATAACCAATGAAAATGAAATATTTTAAAAATCAAATGGGCAGAATGATTCCCTTAGTTGTGGCACTCTTTTAAGCATAATCACACCGGAAAATAGATTAGAATGGAGTTGTGAAAATTTTGAAGTACCACACATTCATTATTGTTACCACCATTGTACACCCACATATTGACTTAAACAAAATATTATTTCTTAAATTTGAGGCATAAACACTATTCCACTTACTGGCTTGAATTTAGGATTTTTGAGCTTGTTTAATGTGTTTAAAGATTTCTTAGTGTTTTTACATAATTCATTGCTATTGTTAAGTAAAATCACCATAATTCCACAGTAGTATACCCCTACAATATTTCAGAACTTGTTTTAGACAAAGAGAATACATCTCTTGTTATTCATAACCCCTACCCCACTTATAGAGATCTAGGAAGTAGAAATCTAGGGGACACTACTGCTGGAATACCCAGCATTTATCCCCATCACTTTCCCCTCTGATAGAACCATAATTCTAATTAGTCAACTGCTTTTTCTCTGCACTGCTTGGAAAGTGACTCCCATCTTGACCTCCAGTGATGTAATCTGATTATTTTAAGCCAGTTGTAGTAATTCTTACAACTATGATTGGTTCAGGAACTAAGGCAAAAAATTTCTGTCTTTTGAAAAGCAATTGCAACAAAAGCAAAAATTGACAAATGGGATCTAATTAAATGAAAGAGCTTCTGCACAGCAAAAGAAACTATCAACACAGAACACAGACAACCTACAGAATGCGAGAAAATGTTTGCAAACTATGCATGTGACAAAGTTCTCATATCCAGCATCTATATGATACCCTAACAAATTTACAAGAGAAAAACCAACAGCCCCATTAAAAAGTGGGCAAAGCACACGAACAGACACTTCTCAAAAGAAGACATACATGCAGCCAGCAAGCATATGAAAAAAAGCTCAATATCATGGACCATTAGAGAAATGTAAATCAAAACCACAGTGACACCATCTGACACCAATCAGAATGACTACTATTAAAAAGTCAAAAAATAACAGATGCTAGTGAGGTTGTGGAGAAAAAGGAATGCCTATACACTGTTGGTGGCAGTGTAAATTACTTCAACCATTGTGGAAAACAGTGTGCTGATTCCTCAAAGACCTAAAAACAGAACTACCATTTGACCCAGCAATCCCATTACTTGGTAAATACCCAAAGAAATATAAATCGTTCTGTCATAAAGACACGTGTGTGTTTGTGTTCATTGCGGCACTATTCACAATAGCAAATTCGTGGAATCAACCTAAAAGTCCATTAGTGGTAGGCTGGATAGAGAAAATGGGACATGTATACACCATGGAATACTATGCAGCCATAAAAATGAATGAGATCATGTTCTTTGCAGGAACATGGATGGAGGTGGAGGCCATTATTCTTAGCAAACTAACACAAGAACAGAAAAACCAAATACCATGAGTTCTCACTTATAAGTGGGAGCTAAATGATGAGAACACATGGACACATAGAGGAGAACAACAGGCACTGGGGCCTACTGGAGGGTGAAGTTTGGGAGGAGGGAGAGAATCAGGAAAAACAACAAATGGGTATGAAACTTAATACCTGGGTGATGAAATAATCTGTACAACAAACCCCCATGACATAATATATAATCTATACATCAAACCTGCACTATATAACAAAACTAGCCCTGAACTTAAAACAAAAGTTTTAAAAAAAATAAATATCTACCTTTATCTTTATTGGTAGTTGGGTTCACATCAAAAGTGATACAATTAGATAATAAGGAAGAAATTTTCTTCCGTGGTTGAAGAAGACTTTTTTTTCTTTCCAACTTGCTGAATACAAAGCAGAAAGCCTGTTGTCCTATTGCTATTGGCCACTGGCTTGAGACTGTGAGGGAAGTGAACATAGGAACAAATGGATACAGGGAAAGAGCAAAGAAAATTTTAGAGCAAATGGAAGCCTGATTGTCCTATATCTAGATCCTCTCTACTTCTCAAGTTGAAGATGGAGCTTGTGTACTTGAAGCTCATACTATTCTAACTTACAGGATGTGAGCATCCAGAGATCTATAGATTCAATGAAATCCCTATCAAAATGCCAATAATTTTTTTGTAGAAATAGAAAAACTCATCCTAGTTCACGTCCTTTGTAGGGACATGGATGAAACTGGTAACCATCATTCTCAGCAAACTATCACAAGGACAAAAAACAAACACCGCATGTTCTCACCCATAGGTGGCAATTGAACAATGAGAACACTTGGACACAGGAAGGGGAACATCACACACTGGGGCCTGTCATGGGGTGGGGGGAGGGGGGAGGGAAAGCATTAGGAGATATATCTAATGTAAATGACGAGCTAATGGGGGCAGCACACCAACATGGCACATGTATACATGTGTAACAAACCTGCACGTTGTTCACATGTACCCTAGAACTTAAAGTATAATAATAATAATAATAATAATAATAATAATAATAAACTCATTCTAAAATTCAAATGAAATCTCAAAACAATCTTGAAAAACAAGAAAAAAGTTGAAGGGATCACAATTCTTGATTTCTAAACTTACTACAAAGCTTCGGTAATAAAAACAATGTGGAATTGGCAAGAATACAGACATACAAACCAATGGTATCAGCTAAATAGCCCAGAAGTAAACCCTCACATATATGGCCAAATGATTTTCAACAAGGGCGCTAAGGCCAGTTGATGGGGAAAGAATAATCTTTTAAAAAACGATGCTGGGAAAATGAAATATCCACATGCAAAAGAATGAAGTTGGAACCTTATCTTATACCATATACAAAAAATAACTCAAAATAGATCAAAGACCTAAACATAAGAGAGAAAATGACACAGCTCTCAGAAGAAAACAGAAACAGAAAATCTTCATGTGATTGGATTTGGCAATGATTTCCTGGATATGACAACAAAAGTATAGGCAACAAAAGGAAACATGCATAAATTGTACTTCATCAAAATTAAAAACTTTGGTATATCAAGTGACCCTACCAAGAGAGGGAAAAGACAATCTACAGTGTGGGGAAAAAAAAAGTTTGCAAATCATATATCTGATAAGGGGTTAATAGCCAGAATATAGGAAGAACTCCTACAATTCAACAACAACAAAACAATCCAATTCAAAAATAAGAAAAGGGGCCAGGCGCGGTGGCTCATTCCTGTAATCCCAGCACTTCGGGAGGCGGAGGCAGGTGGATCACGAGGTCGGGAGATTGAGACCATCCTGGCTAACAGGGGGAAACCCCATCTCTGCTAAAAGTACAAAAAGTTAGCTGGGCGTGGTGGTGGGCACCTGTAGTCCCAGCTACTCAGGAGGCTGAGGCAGGAGAATGGCATGAACCCAGGAGGTGGAGCTTGCAGTGAGCTGAGATCATGCCACTGGGTGACAGAGCAAGACTCTGTCTCAAAAAAAAAAAAAAAAAAAAGAGAGAGAGAGAAAAGGACTTGTACAGATATTTTTTCAAGACATACAAATGGCCAATAAGCACATGAAAAGATGTTAAACATCACTAATCCTTAGGGAAATGCAAGTCAAAACCATAGTGAGATGCCACTTCACACCCATTAAGATGGTGGTAATATGCAATTTCATACTCAATTGCCACAAAAAGAATAAAATATCTAGGAATACAGCTAACTAGTGCAGTAAAAGATCTTTTCAAGGAGAACTACAAAACACTGCTCAAAAAAATCAGAGACGATACAAACAAATGGAAAAATATTCTATGCTCATGGATAGGAAGAATCAATATTGTAAAAATGGCCACACTGCCCAAAGCAACTTACAGATTCAATGCCATTCCTATTAAACTACCATCGAGATTCTTCACAGAACTAGAAAAAGCTACTTTAAAATTTATATGGAACCAAAAAAGAGTCTAAGAAGCCAAGGGAATCCTAAGCACAATGAACAAAGCTGGATGAATCACGCTAGCCGACTTCAAACTATACTAGAGCCTACAGTAACCAAAACAGCAGGATACTGGTACAAAAGTGACATGTAGACAAATGGAACAGAATAAAGGATCCAGAAATAAGGCCACACACCTACAACTATCTTCAACAAGCCTGACTAAAACAAGCAATGAGGAAAGGATTCCTTATTCAATAAATGGTGCTAGGGAACTGGCTAGCTATACGCAGATTGAAACTGGATCCCCTCCTTACACCATATACAAAATTTAACTCAAAATGAGTAAAGATTTAAATATATAACTGAAACCCTTGAAGACTCTGCAAGACAATCTAGGCAATACCATTCTGGACATAAGAATGGGCAAAGATTTTTATGACAAAGACACTAAAAGCAATTGCAATGAAAGTAAACATTGACAAACGGAATCTAACTAAACTAAAGAGCTTTTGCACAGGAAAGGAAACTATCAACAGACTGAACAGACAGCCTACAGGATGGGACAAAATGTTAGTAAACTATGCATCTGACAAGGGTCTGACATCCAGCATCCATAAGAAACTTAAATTTACAAGAAAAAAACAAGCAACCCCATTAAAAAGTGGGCAAAGCACATGAACAGACACTTTTCAAAAAAAGACATGTATGCAGCCAAAAAGCATATGAAAAAACGCTCAACATCATTGATCGTTAGAGAAATGCAGATCAAAATCACAATGAGATATCATCTCACACCAGTCAGAATGGCTATATTAAAAAGTAAAAAATAACAGATGCTGGTGAGGTTGTGGAGAAAAAGAAAAGCTTTTACACTGTTTTGGGGAGAGTAAATTAGTTCAACCATTGTGGAAGACAGCGTGGCAATTCCTCAAAGACTTAAAGCAGAACTACCACTCAACCCAGCAAATCCCATTAATGGGTATATACCCAAAGAATATAAATTGTTCTATTATAAAGACACATGCGTGCATATGTTCACAATAGCAAAGTCATGTAATCAACATAAATGTCCATCAATGGTAGACTGAATAAAGAAAATGTGGTACATATACACCATGGACTACTATACAACCATTTAAACAAATGCTATCATGTCCTTTGAAGGACTATGGATGCAGCTGGAGGCCATTAACCTTGGCAAACTAACATAGGAATAGAAAAGCCAAATACCACATGTTCTCACTTACAAATGGGAGCTAAATGATGGAATACATGGACACCTACAGGGCAACAACACACATTGGGGCTTACCAGAGGATGGAGAGTGGGAGCTGAGAAAGGATTGAGAAATGTGGCTAACAGCTACTAGGCTTAATACCTGGGTGGTGAAATAGTCTGTACAACAAACCCCCAATGACTCAAGTTTACCTATGTAACAAAACTGCACAGGTACCCCAGGACTTAAAATAAAAGTTAAAAAAATGGCCATTTAAATAAAACAAACAAGAAAATCAACCAAAACCCAAGAAAGTAACATGAGTTGGTTAGGATGTGGAGAAAGTGGAACCCTTGTGGATTGTTGGTAGAAATGTAAAATGGTGCAGCTGCTATAGAAAACAATATGGCAGCTATCAAAAAATTAAACAGAATTACCATATGATTCAGGAATTTTGCTCCAGACAATTGGAAGCAGAGACTTATACAGATTGTTGTACAACAATATGCATTGAAGCATTATTCACAATAGCCAAAAGACAGAAACAATCTAAATGTCCACTGACAGAGGAGTGGATAAGCAATATGTTGTATACACATTCAATGAAATATTATCCAGCCTTAAAAAGAAAGAAAGCCAGGCACAGTGGCATGTGCCTGTGCTCCCAGCTACTCAAGAGGCTGAGGTGAGAAGACTGCTTGAGCCCAGGAGTTTGACACTAGCCTGGGCAACATAGCAAGACGCCATCTCAAAAAAAAAAAAAAAAAAACCAGAAGGAAAAAAGGAATGCAATTCTGATACATGCTACAACATGGATGAACTTTGAAGACATTTTGCTAAGTGAAGTAAGCCAGACACAAAAGGACAAATACTGTGCGAATTCCACTTCCATGAAGTACCTAAAAGGTCACATTCACGGAGACAGAAAGTCAAATTGTGGTTATTATGATCTGGGGGTAGAAAGAAATGAGGAGTTACTGTTTAGTGAGTATAGACTTTCAATGTGGGACAATGAAAATGTTCTGGAGATGGATGGTGGTGATGGTTGCACAGCAATGCAAATGTACTTAATATCACTGAATTGTAGACTTAAAAGGGGTTAAAATGATAAAAGTCATGTTATATATATTTAACCACCAAAACAAAACAAACAAAAAAACAAAAAGGACAGAACTGTGATACTAGAAATCCTGGGAATTTCTGTGAAGGTTTTCTGTTATCAAAAGGTGGAGCCTTAGAGTAGGTTTTCCTTTGTTTAGTAGAGCATAATAAATGGAGGTGTTTGGATATGCAAATATCCAAAATGCAACTTACACAAAGAATAATTGTGTGTGTATATATGTGTGTGCTGTAGAAGAAATGACTAAGGGATATCCAATATGTTGTTTTTTAAAAAATTTTGATTTTTGTGGGCACATAGTAGGTGTATATAATTATGGGGGGTATGTTAAAAGAAAAATTTCAGCCAGATTAAATTTTAAAGAGTTTAATTAATTGAGCAATGAATGATTCATGAATGGGGCAGCCTCCCAAGCCAGAGTAGGCTCAGAGACTCCAGCGCAGCCACATAGTGGAAGAAGATTTATGAACAGAAAAAGGAAAATGACTCACAGAAAATGGAAGTGAGGTACAGAAACAGCTGGATTGGTTACAGCTTGGCATTTGCCTTATTTAAACGTGATTTGAACACTTGGCCACCTTTGACCAAAACTCAGTGATTGGCACAAGAGTAGGCTACAGTCTGTTTACAACTCCATTTAGTTTATAGTTCACGTGGAAAAAGAAACCTTTAGGCTGAACTTAAAATATGTAAGGAGGCAGCTTTAGGCTAAACTTGATTTAACAGATACATGAGATATTTTGATACAGGCATACAGTGTGTAATAACCACATCAGGGTAATGGGGTATGCATCACCTCAAGCATTTATCCTTCATGTTGCAAACAATCCAATTATACTTTTAGTTATTTTAAAATGTCCACTTAAATTATTATTGACTATAGTCACTCTGTTGTGCTAGTAAATACTAGATCTTATTCATTCTTTCTAATTTGTTTGTTGTTTTTTGTTTGTTTGTTTTCGGTTTTTTTTAGACAGGCTCTTGCTCTGTCACCCAGACTGGAGTGCAGTGGCAAAATCTCAGCTCACTGCAACCTCTGTCTCCTGGGTTCAAGTGATTCTCATGCCTCAGCCTCCTGAGCAGCTGGGATTACAGGTGCCCGCCATGACACCCAGCTAATTTTTGTATTTTTAGTAGAGATGGGGTTTCACCATGTCGGTCAGGCTGGTCTCGAACTCCTGACCTCAAGTGATCAGCCCACCTCATCCTCCCAAAGTGCTGGGATTACAGGGCTGAGCCACCAAGCCGGGCCTCTAACTATTTTTTGTACTCATTAACCACCTCCCCTTCTCACCCACACCCCCACTCCCCTTTCCAGTCTTTGGTAACCATCTCGTATGTAGTTTCAATTGTTGCCTTTCACTGCGGTGTGTTGTAATTTCCCTATTTCTCCAACTTTGAATCAAAACATATTGCACAACAACCCTGGGTTAGGGGTAGAGAAGTGTTCAGCATGGCATAAAGTGGGCCAGTGAGAGAGGGTGACATCTGCAGTGCTAACATTGTAGGGATCACAAAGAAAGCTGCAGGCAGAGGTTGGTCAAGACAATGAGAAGCCCCACCCCCTCCCCAGTAACCCCTGGTGGGGAGGACAGGGAGGCATCCCACAAAACCTGGAATGGGTGTTCCAGTCATTTCATTTGCATGTTAAGGGGTGAGACCAGAAACCTATGGCATTTGGCGACACCAAGGTTACAAATGGCATCCAATTCATTATAATACGTAAATTCAAACATATCTTTGTGGGTTTGCTGGAGTAATTCTTTTTTGTTTTAGTCCTTTGACATTTTCTTCCCTAGAAGATACGCTTTTGTTGAAATTGATAATTTACTACAGTCACGCACTAAGGCTAAGGTTTGCTGCCATACGTCGCTTATCATAGGAAGTACAAAGGATCAAAGTCCAACAGAACATTTTGTATTCTGCGTGTTCCACAGAGCTGTCTTGTTATAACTTTTTTTTTTTCCATTAACACTGGAGAGGAAAATAAACTGATGTCAGCTGTGGACATTGCCAAAATAGACATTTGATTTCTGTTAGCTTCGATCCCCCTCTCCTGGGCTTGCCACGTCTCACAGTGGGCTCTCAGGGCCTGATCTGCTGTGTGTAGGGCTTCCAGTGACAAGCATGGGAGAATCTCCTGTTCAGAGCTCAGCTGTCCTGTTGGAGTTCTTTCTCTTCCTCTTTGTGGAACATCTGGGAGACTCAATCAGAGACTGCTGAGCCCATCCCATCCTGAGATACAAATTTTAGGCACAACAATGTGGCTGACATGTGCAAGACCAACAGGGCTTAGCTTACAACATCTATGTTTTAGAAAAAGCTATTTGTGTGTTCAATATGGTCTCCAGACATGGCCCATCTGAGCTACTGAAGGGAAACAATGGCCGTAGTGCAGGAAGTGGAGGGGGAAATGCAGCTTGCATTCCTGTTCTCTTTCATGGAGTGGTGAATGCTGCAATGAGACCTCTTGGGATCTTCTCAAAACTGTGTCCCACATGGCCCATCAAGGTTGATCCTGACAGTCTCTTTAATACGGACTTCCAGGAGAGTGAAATTGAATTTGGGCAGGGAGGAAGGGAAGATCATATGATGGTTACAGTGCTGCTTAGGATCTGCAAGATCAACAGGCTACTGGTGCAGAAAGGAGTCACTGAGCATCCAACTCTGGGAAGGCAGAGGACTGACTGTAAGGAAGCCCTAGGCAGCTGGGTTACTGTGGTTCACACATGTGTATGGTGTGCGTGTGCATGGGGTA
Source organism: Homo sapiens (assembly GCF_000001405.40). NCBI lineage: Eukaryota > Metazoa > Chordata > Mammalia > Primates > Hominidae > Homo > Homo sapiens. Next base: position 52,145,340 of record NC_000004.12, read on the forward strand.
CACATGTGATCGGGGGCTTGGAGATTCTTGGGACCTTTTCCTCCTTCCCCATTTTTTCTTTATTGAGGTAAAATTCACATAACATAGAGTTAATCATTTAAATGTGTACAACTCAGTGGTATTTAGTACATTCACAGTGCTGTGCAACCATGACCTCTATCGAAATATTTTACCACCCCCAAAGGAAGTCCCTATACTGATTAAGCAGTGTCTCCTGCATCCCTCTACCTCTACATGGTATAGCATAGGCTCCCATATAGCCTAGGTTTGCAAGCCCCTGGCAGCCACTAATCTACTTTCTGTCTCTATGGCTTTACCTATTCAAGGTATCTTATGTATAGTCACATAGCAATGTTTTGGTCAACTGCATATACAACAGTGGTCCCATAAGATTATAATGGAGCTGAAAAATTCTTATGCCTAGAGATATCATAGCTATCCTGACATTGTAGCACAACACATCATGCACGTGTTTGTAGTGATTCTGGTGTAACAAAACCTACCGTGATGTCAAGTCATATAAAAGTCTAGTATATACAATCATTTACAATACATAATACTTGATAATGATAATAAGCAACTATGTTTCTGCTTTATCTATTTACTATACCATGCTTTTTATCATTACTTTAGATTGTACTCTTACTTATGTATTTAAAAGTTACTGTAAAACAGCCTCAGGCAGGTCCTTCAGGAGGTATCCAGAAGAAGGCATCATTATCATGGAGATGACTGCTCCATGCCTGTTACTGTCCCTGAAAACCTTCCAGTAGGACAAGATGTGAAATTGGAAGATAGTGATATTGATGATCCTGACCCTGTGTAGGTCTAGGCTAATGTGTGGGTTTGAGCCTTAGTTTTTTTTTTTTCTTTTTCAGATGGAGTCTAGCTCTGTTGCCCAGTCTAGAGAGTGGCTCACTCCAACCTCCACCTGCTGGGTTCAAGGGATTCTCCTGCCTCAGCCTCCTGAGTAGCTGGGATTACAGGCATGCACCACCACACTCAGCTAATTTTCTGTATTTTTAGTAGAGACAGGGTTTTTCCATATTGGCCAGGCTGGTCTCAAACTCATGGCCTCAAGTGATCCTCCTGCCTCAGCCTCCCAAAGTGCTGGGATTATAGACATGAGCCATGACACCTGGCCAGGATTTGTGTCTTAGTTTTTAACAAAAAACAGTTTAAAAAGTAAAAAACAGTTAAAAATTTTAAAAATATGAAAAGCTAATAGAATAAGGATATAAAGAAAGAAAATATTTTTGGACAGCAGTACTATGTGTGTTTTAAGCTAAATGTTATTACAAGGGTCAAAAAGTTAAAAAAAATTTACAAGTTTATAAAATAAAAAGATACAGTTGGCTAAGGTTAATTTCTAATTGAAGAAAGAATTTTAAAAATAAATTTAGTGTAGCCTCAGTGTGCAGTATTTATGAAGTCTACAGCAGTGTACAGTAATGACCTGGTCCTTCACATTCACTCACCACTGGCTCACTGACTCACCCAGAGCAACTCCAGTCCTGCAAGCTCCATTCATGCTAAGTGCCCTATACAGGTGTACTATTTTTTTGTCTTTTATACTGTATTTTTACTATATCTTTTCTGTGTTTAGATATGTGTAGATACACGAACACTTACTATTATATTACATTTACCTATAATATTTAGTACAGTAACATGCTGTACAGGTTTGTAGCCTAGGAGCCATAGAATATACAATATAGCCTAGGTTTGCAGTAGGCTACTATACATTTAGGTTCACATATTAGGTATATAGTGTTTGCACAAGGATGAAATCATCTGATGATCCATTTCTTAGGACGTACCCCTGTCATTAAGCGACACATAACTGTAAATGGAATCGAACAATATGTGATCTTGGTGTCTAGCTTCTTCCATTCAGCATAATATTTTAGAGAGTCATTCATGTTGTAACACATACCAGAACTTAATCCCTTTTTATGGCTGAATAATGGTTCCATTGTATAGATATGTCACAATTTGTTTATCCATTCTTCAGTTGATGGCACATTTGGTTTGTTTTCAATCTTTGGTTATTGTGAATAATGCTCTATGAACGGTTGTGTACAAACTTTAGTTTGAAGTCCTCTCCCCCATTTTTTTTTTTTTTTGAGATGGAATCTCACTCTGTTACCTAGCTTTTAGTGCAGTGGCACTATCTGGGCTCACTGCAACCTCTGCCTCCCAGGTTCAAGCCATTCTCCTGGGCCAGCCTCCTGAGTAGCTGGGATTACACCTGCCACCACACCCAGCTAATTTTTGTATTTTTAGTAGAGACGGGGTTTCACCATGCTGGTCAGGCTGGTCTCAAACTCCTGACCTCGTGATTCACCCACCTCAGTTTCCCAAAGTGCTGGGATTACAGGCGTGAGCCACCATGCCCAGCCCTGTCCCCCATTTTATACTCTGCCTTTCTCAGTGTGCTAAAGGCAAAAAATATTACAAATGTTAAATGCAACATAATCATACATGAAATTAGTTCTATAAATTGTGGAGGTTCTACTGGTTCTACGACCACAGATGTAAACATTAGAACATATTTATGGCTACAAATGAAAAATAAAGTATAATTATGTGTGTAACAACAAAGGGGTAGGAAAAATAAAAATTCAAAAATTCTATACTCCAACAAACAGGGAAGTATCTTTAAGTTTCTGTTCATCTTTAAAGAATTGAAGTTGGGAGTAGCAGACAATGCATTATGGGTACACTTCATGCCAGAAGCATTTTATAGATCACTAAATAATAAGTTCTCACTGAAATAAAAGCCCTCATATTACATATTGATAAATCATATATGTATATATTGAATATATGATTAGTACATAATGTATTGTATGTGTACAATTTAAATTGTAGATTTACATGTTTTAAGTTGAAATAAAGAGTGTATAATTTAGAGAAAACCATCAATCAGACAGCCATTAGCTTGTGCTCACTTCCCCTTTCTTCCTAGTTATGGACGATTGACAGTTTGTTTCTCAGGCAGGAATGTGCTGAGGAGAGAAGAGAGGGAAGATGGAGAGGAAACTGCTGAGCTGAAGCAGGTGGACACTCTAGTTGCATCCAGGAATCAGGAGAAAGAACGACAGTCCCCCGGCTCTCCAATCCTCACCACACAAGCTGGGAAGTGTCATTAACACGCTCAGAGACAGAGGTCCTTCTCAGAGAGCCCTTGAGGTTCTGACCCTCAGGGGCTGCTTTTACAAGCAGGAGGGAATTACAGACATGGCACCACATCCAGCTAATTTTTGCATTTTTTGTAGATATGGGGTTTTGCCATGTTTCCCAGGCTGGTTTCAAACTTCGAAGCTCCAGCAATCCACCTACTTTGGTCAGCTTCCTCCCCTGGGGTGGAGCATGGTACATTTATTTGTGGAGGTAATTTTCCATCTGAGAAAGGGTCACCAGCAGATATCGTAGTGAGCTGATAAGGTCTGATTTCACTATTTTGCCTACAGCAGCTGTGGGTGACACAGGAACATCCTTTATTCAGTGGCAGCAAAGCTCTGCTTTCTTCTCAGGAGTTAAGGGGACCTATGGATTTCTAGCTCCATATAGGTAGGAGACTCAGCTAACAGCCAGCACTGAATTTCAGCTGCCACTGTATAGAAAGGAAGCTGACCATCACTGGTCAGATTGCTGCTCAAAAAGTGGGATTCTCTGAATACTTTGATGCCTCCCAGGCAGTCCTGCGTCTGACTCCAAGTCTATCATTTTGGTGGCTTTCTAAAGGAAAGATGAAATATCTGTAAAAAGATGGCAAGACATTCAATTCTAGAGTAGAATTAAGAAAAAATCCCTTAGCTCCCAAGACCAAAAATGTTGTAAGCCAAATAAAACTTTTTTTCTTTGAGATAGGGTCTCGCTCTGTTGCCCAGGCTGGAGTGCAGAGGTGTGATCTCTGCTCACTGCAGCCTGGATCTCCCAGGCTCAAGCAATCCTTCCACCTCAGCCTCTTGAGTGGCTGGGATTACAGGCACTTGCCACCACATCCAGCTAATTTTTGTATTTTTTGTAGAGATGGGGTTTTGCCATGTTACCCAGGCTGGTTTCAAACTTCTAAGCTCCAGCAATCCACCTACTTTGGCCTCCCAAAGTGCTGGGATTACAGGTGTGAGCCATCACACCTGGCCTAAAACTTTTTCATCTAGCCTTTTACCCAAGTGTCCGTAATATTCCCTTTCCCTAAACCTTTTTTTTTTTGACAAGCCTCACCTGGGAGTCCCTAAGGTCAAAAGACAAACTGAAAGAAGTGTTTACTAAATAATCTGTAATTCTCAAAACCTGAAAATGCCTCTGAGCAGTTATAATGGAGATATTTGTGAATATCTCTTTGGATATATATTCTTTGAGTTGGTTAACAGTTTTCACTGTCTCAGACAAATGAATGAGGCCTGGTTTGATATTATAGAAAGCATCCCAATTACTGGGCATGGAGGGGTTTGCACTTGTTAGAAGCACAGGGGCTCAAGGGTTTGCTGTCTGGCTTCAAGATTGAGAAGGCACTGAGTTTGTGTGTGTGTGTGTGTGTGTGTGTGTGTGTGTGTGTGTGTGTCTGTGTATAAGTAACATTTTCCTTGCTGAGTATGACTCAAGGGAGGGCATTATAGAATCCAACTGGGGTCTGCTTGCCCAGGCCAGTAAAACCAGATATCCACACTGAGGTTGCAGTGGTAGAAAGGAAGGCATTTATTTGCAAGGTGCCAAGCAAGGAGGACCAGGCAGCAAATGCTTACATCTTGACCTCCCTGATGGCTTGCAGGTAAGGGTAAAGGCAGGGTAAATTTCAGGAAAGCAGAAGCTAGAGGGCAAAATTATAAATCAATACATGGAGTTAAACTTTGGTTTTGGCCTAAAAGGCCAAAATATCTTGAAGTTGTAGGGCATGAGGGAGCTTACGGGTAGTAGGTACGTTCAAAGATTTTCTGATTTGCAATTGTTTAAAAACTTGGGGTTAGCAGAAAAGAATATTAACTGGCTTGAAAATGTGACTCCCTCTAGGCCCCTCTGGAAGACATTTAGAGCAAAGAACCCTGGTCAAGTTTTCAGTCTTCAGTTCCCCCTTATTTGAGGTCTGCGGATCCAGTGAGAGGGGGTCCAAGTTTCTGAAAGACAACTCATGGACATGTGTTAAGATGTTATCTTTAAGTAGGGAAACCAAAAGCCTCCAGACCCCAACTTCCTTGGCTATTGTTTTAGGCTACTATTACCTTCTTGCTTATCAAGTTACTTACGTACTTCTCAGGGTTAGCAGGTGCCTGGAATTTCCCTTGAAGGAACTCAGAATTTTCCTTTATTTCCATGCTTGGGGGCCTACAGGTCTCCAAATAGGGGACACTGCTCTGTCTCAAGGGTATAGCAATTCCTTTTCAGAATCTAACCCTATAGATAGCCGGATGCCTATGGCTGCAAGTACCCTTGGATTACAGAGTCATTTGACATGGGGGCCATAGAAGCAGCACTGGACCTCTAGTCAGGAGGCCTGGCTCAGGATCCAGGGCTCTGCCACTTGCAGCTGAGTGACCCCAGACAAGACCCTTGACTTCCCCTGACTTCTCTGCCTCCTCTGTAAGAAGGGGGTCTGTACGGGTTGGTCTCCAACGGGTTCCCTCTGGTTCTCACAGCTATGATCTTTTGTTGTAATCAAGGCCTTGGCCCATCTACAGACAGCTGGTTTTAGAGGCTCAGTTTGTCAACAGCATCTGCATAATTTACCACTTCCTTCAGTCCCAGTATTTCTCAGCTGCTCAATGTCCTGTGGAATCTAAAGTGCTTTCCAGCTGAATGGGTGGGCAGAGAAAGAGAGGAGAAGAAAGTATGTAAAATATTGAAAGTGTGGGATTCCTGGGCAAGATGGCCGAATAGAAATAGCTCCGGTCTGCAGCTTCCAGCAAGACCAATGCAGAAGGCAGGTGATTTCTGCATGTCCAACTGAGGTACCCAGTTCCTCTCACTGGGACTGGTTAAACAGTAGATGCAGCCCATGGAGGGTGGGCTGAAGCAGGGTGAGGCATTGCCTCACCCGGGAAGCGCAAAGGATCAGGAAACTCCTTCCCCTAGCCAAGGGAAGCCATGAGGGACTGTGCCGTGAGGGATGGTGCACTCCAGCTCAGATACTATGCTTTTCTCATGGTCTTCACAACCTGCAGACTAGGAGATTCCCTTGGGTGCCTACACCACCAGGGCCCTGGGTTTCAAGCACAAAAGTGGGTGGCCATTTGGGCAGACACTGAGCTAGCTATAGGAGTTTTTTTCATACCCCAGTGGCAGCTGGAACTCCAGCAAGACAGAACCATTCACTCCCCTGGAAAAGGGGCTGAAGCCAGGGAGCTAAGTGGTCTAGCTCAGCAGATCCAATCCCCACAGAGCCCAGCAAGCTAAGATCCACTGGCTTGAAATTGTCACTGCCAGCATAGCAGTCTGAAGTCAACCTGGGATACTCAAGCTTTGTGTGAGGAGGGTCGTCCGCCATTACTGAGCCTTGAGTAGGCAGTTTCCCCTCACAGTGTAAACAAAGCCACCGTGTAAGTTTGGACTGGGCAGAGCCCACCACAGCTCTGCAAAGCCACTGTAGCCAGACTGCCTCTCTAGATTCCTCCTCTCTGGGCAGGGCATCTCTGAAAGAAAGGCAGCAGCCCTAGTCAGGGGCTTATAGATAAAACTCCCATCTTCCTGAAACAGAGCACCTGGGGGAAGGGGCAGCTGTGGGTACAGCTTCAGCAGATGTAAACATTCCTGTCTGCAGGCTCTGAAGACAACAGCAGATCTCCTACTCAGTGCTCAAGCTCTGCTCAGGGACACACTGCCTCCTCAAGTGGGTCCCTGACCCTCGTGCCTCCTGATGGGGAAACACCCCCCAGCAGGGGTCGACAGACACCTCATACAGAAGAGCTCTGGCTGGCATCTGGCGGGTACCCCTCTAGGATGAAGCTATCAGAGGAAGGAGTAGGCAGCAATCTTTGCTGTTCTACAGCCTCTGCTGGTAATACCCAGGCAAACAGGGTCTGGAGTGGACCCCCAGCAAACTCCAGCAGACCTGCAGAAGAGGGGCCTGACTATTAGAAGCAAAACTAACAAACAGAAAGCAATAACATCAACCTCAACAAAAAGGACAGCCATGCAAAAACTCGATCTGAAGGTCACCAATAGCAAAGACCAAAGGTGGATAAATCCACAAAGATTAGGAAAAACCAGCTTAAAAGGCTGAAAATTCCAAAAACCAGAACGCCTCTTCTCCTGTAAAGGATCACAACTCCTCACTAGCAAGGGGACAAAATTGGATGGGGAATGAGTTTGATGAAGTGACAGAAGTAGGCTTCAGAAGGTGGATAATAAACTCCTCCAAGCTAAAGGAGGATGTTCTAACCCAGTGCAAGGAAGCTAAGAATCTTGAGAAGAACTTAAATGACCAAATGGAGCTGAAAAACATAGCTCAAGAATGCCATGAAGCATACACAAGTATCAACAGCCAAATCGATCAAGTGGAAGAAAGGATATCAGTGATTGAAGATCAACTTAATGAAATAAAATGTGAAGACAAGATTAGAGGAAAAACAATGAAAAGAAATGAACAAAGCCTCCAAGAAATATGGCATTATGTAAAAAGACCAAACTTACATTTCACTGGTGTAACTGAAAGTGACAAGGAGAATGGAACCAAGTTGGATAACACTATTCAGGATATTATCCGGGAGAACTTCCCCAACCTAGCAAGAGAGGCCAACATTCAAATTCAGGAAATGCAGAGAACACCACCAAGATACTCCTCGAGAGGGGCAATCCCAAGACACACAATCGTCAGATTCACCAAGGTTGAAATGAAGGAAAAATGTTAAGGGCAGCCAGAGAGAAAGGTCAGGTTACCCACAAAGGGAAGCCCATCAGACTAACAGTGGATCTCTTGGCAGAAACCCTACAAGCCAGAAGGGAGTGGGGGCCAATATTGAACATTCTTAAAGAAAAGAATTTTCAACCCAGAATTTCATATCCAGCCAAACTAAGCTTCATAAGTGAAGGAGAAATAAAATCCTTTACAGACAAGCAAATGCTGAGGGATTTTGTCACCACCAGGCCTGCCTTACAAGAGCTCCTGAAGGAAGCACAAAACATAGAAAGGAACAACTTGTACCAGCCACTGCAAAAACAAACCAAAATGTAAAGATCACTGACACTATGAAGAAACTGCATCATCTAAAACTCAAAATAACCAGCTGGCATCCATAATGACAGGATCAAATTCACACATAACAATATTAACCTTAAATGTAAACAGGCTATATGTCCCAATTAAAAGGCACAGACTGGCAAATTGGATAAAGAGTCAAGACCCATTGGTGTGCTGTATTCAGGAGACCCATCTCACGTACAAAGACCCACATAGGCTCAAAATAAAGGGATGGGGGAATATTTATCAAGCAAATGGAAAATAAAAAAAAAGCAGGGGTTGCAATCCTAGTGTCTGATAAAACAGACTTGAAACCAACAAATATCAAAAAAGACAAAGAATGCCATTACATAATGGTAAAGGAATCAATGCAACAAGAAGAACTAACAATCCTAAATATATATGCACCCAATACAGGAGCATCCAGATTTGTAAAGCAAGTTCTTAGAGACCTACAAGGAGACTTAGACTCCCACACAATAATAGTGAGAGACTTTTAACACCCAACTGTCAATATTAGACAGATCAACGAGACAGAAAATTAGCAAGGATATTCAGGACTTAAACTCAGCTCTGGACTAATCAGATCTAATCGAAATCTACGGAACTCTCCACCCCGAATCAACAGAATATACATTCTTCTCACCACCACACAGCACTTATCTAAAATCGACCATATAATTGTAAGTAAAACACTCCTCAGCAAATGCAAAAGAATGCAAATCATAACAAACAATCTCTCGGACCACAGACAGTCTCGCAATCAAATTAGAATTCAGGATTAAGAAACTCACTCAAAAGTGCACAACTACATGGAAATTGAACAACCTGCTCCTGAATGACTACTGGGTAAATAAGGAAATAAAGGCAAAAATAAATAAGTTCTTTGAAATCAATGAGTACAAAGACACAACATACCAGAATCTCTGGGACACAACTAAAGCAGTATTTAGAGGAAAACTTATAGCACTAAATGCCCACAGAAGAAAGCAGGAACGATCTAAAATCAGCATCCTAACATCCCAATTAAAAGGACTAGAGAAGCAAGAGCAAACACATTCAAAAGCTAGCAGAAGACAAGAAATAACTAAGATCAGAGCAGAACTGAAGGAGATAGAGACACAAAAAACCCCTCAAAAAAAACAATGAATCCAGAAACTGTTTTTTTTTTTTAAAAGATTAACAAAATAGATAGATTGCTAGCCAGACTAATAAGAAAAGAGAGAAGAATAAAATAGACACAATAAAAAATGATAAAGGGGAGATCACCACTGATCCCACAGAAATACAAACTACCATCAGAGAATACTATAAACACCTCTACACAAACGAACTAGAAAATGTAGAAGAAATGGATAGATTCCTGGACACATACCCACCCCCTCCAAGACTAAACCAGGAAGAAGTCAAATCCCTGAATAGGCCAATAACAAGTTCTGAAATTGAGGCAGTAATTAATAGCCTACTAACCAAAAAAAGCCCAGGACCAGATGGATTCACAGCCAAATTCTACCAGAGGTACAAAGACGAGCTAGTACCATTCCTTCTGAAACTATTCCAAACAACAGAAAAAGAGGGATTCCTCTCTAACTTATTTTATGAGGCCAGCATCATGAAGCCAGCATCATCCTGATACCAAAACCTGGCAGAGACACAGAAAAAAAGAAAATTTCAGGTCAATATCCCTGATGAACATTGGTGCGAAAATAATCAATTAAATACTGGCAAACCAAATCCAGCAGCACATCAAAAAGCTTATCCACCACAATCAAGTTGGCTTCATTCCTGGGAGGCAAGGCTGGTTCAACATACGCAAATCAATAAACGTAACCCATCACATAAACAGAACCAATGACAAAAACCACATGATTATCTCAATAGATGCAGAAAAAGCTTTTGATAAAATTCAACACCTCTTCATGCTAAAAACACTCAATAAACTAGGTATTGATGGAACATATCTCAAAATAATAGGAACTATTTATGACAAACTCACAGCCAATATCATACAGAATGGGCAAAGCTGGAAGCATTCTCTTTGAAAACCGGCACAACACAGGATGCCCTCTCTCACCACTCCTACTCAATGTAGTGTTGGAAGTTCTGGCCAGGGCAATCAGGGAAGAGAAAGAAATAAAGCATATTCAAATAGGATGAGAGGAAGTCAAATTATCTCTTTTTGCAGATGACATGATTGCATATTTAGAAAACCCCATCATCTTAGCCCCAAAACTCCTTTAGCAAAGTCTCAGGATACAAAATCAATGTGCAAAAATCACAAGCATTCCTATATACCAATAATAAACAGAGAGCCAAATCATGGGTGAACACCAATTCACAATTGCTACAAGGAGAATAAAGTATCTAGGAATACAACTTTCAAGGTATGGGAAGGACCTCTTCAAGGCTCCAACTACAAACCACTGCTCAACGAAATTGGAGAGGACACAAACAAATGGAAGAACATTCCATGCTCCTGGATAGGGAGAATCAATATCATGAAAATGGCCGTACTGCCCAAAGTAATTTACACATTCAATGCTATCCCCATTAAGCTACCATTGACTTTCTTCAGAGAATTAGAAAAAACTACTTTAAATTTCATATGGAACCAAAAAAGAGCCCATATAGCCAAGAAAATCCTAAGCAAAAAGACAAAGCTGGAGGCATTCATGCTACCTGACTTCAACTATACTACAAGTATGCAGTAACCAAAACAGCATGGTACTGGTACCAAAACAGATATATAGGCCAATGGAACAGAACAGAGCCCTCAGAAATAACACCACACATCTACAACCATCTGATCTTTGACAAACTTGACAAAAACAAGAAATGTGGAAAGGATTCCCTATTTAATAAATGATGTTGGGAAAACTGGCTAGCCATACACAGAAAACTGAAATTGGACCCCTTCCTTACACCTTATACAAAAATTAACTCAAGATGGATTAAAAACTTAAACATAAGACCTAAAACCATAAAAACCCTAGAAGAAAACCTATGCAATACCATTCAGGAGATAGGCATGGGCAAGGACTTCATAATTAAAACACCAAAAACAATCACAATGAAAGCCAAAATTGCCAAATGGGATCTAATTAAACTAAAGAGCTTTTGCACAGCAAAAGAAACTATCATCAGAGTGAACAGGCAACCTACAGAATGGGAGAAAATTCTTGTAATCTCTCCATCTGACAAAGGGCTAATATCCAGAATCTACAAGGAACTTAAACAAATTTACAAGAAAAAAACAAACCCATCAAAAAGTGGGTGAAGGATATGAGCTGACACTTTTCAAAAGAAGACATTTATGCCGCCAGCAAACATGGAAAAAAGCTCATCATTACTGGTTATTAGAGAAATGCAAATCAAAACCATAATGAGATACCATCTCATGCCAGTTAGAACGGCAATCATTAAAAAGTCAGGAAACAACAGATGCTGGAGAGGATGTGGAGAAATAAGAATGCTTTTACACCATTGGTGAGAGTGTAAATTAGTTCAACCATTGTGGAAGACAGTGTGGTGAGTCCTCAAGGATTCAGAACTAGAAATACCATTTGATCCAGCAACCCCATTACTGAGTATATACCAAAGGATTATAAATCATTCTACTATAAAGACACATGCACACATATGTTTACTGCAGCACTGTTCACAATAGCAAAGACTTGGTACCAATGCAAATGCCCATCAATGTTAGACTGGATAAAGAAAATGTGGCACATATACACCATAGAATACTATGCAGCCATGAAAAAGGATGAGTTCATGTCCTTTGCAGGGACATGGATGAAGCTGGAAACCATCATTCTCAGCAAACTAACACAGAAACAGAAAACCAAACACCACACGTTCTCACTCATAAGTGGAAGTTGAACAATGAGAGCATATGGGCACAGGGAGGGAAATATCACACACTGGGGCCTGTCGTAGGTTTGGGGGCAAGAGGAGGGATAGCATTAGGAGAAATACCTAATGCAGATGACTGGTTGATGGGTGCAGCAAACCACCATGGCACACGTATACCTATGTAACAAACCTTCATGTTCTGTACATGTATCCCAGAACTTAAGTATAATAATAATAATAATCAGAAGAACTAGAAGAAGAAGAAGCATCCATGATAGTAAACACACACACAAAGAAAGTGTAAACTGGTAAAATGAGACAGCTATGTTGCTTTTAGAAGAGTCAACTCTACTGCCTTCCCTCTGGCCCATATTTTAGACACATTGACCCAGAGTGAAGCAATAAAAGGAACACACTGCTCTTTCTGGCTTCAAGTTGGCTGAGGGGAGTGAAAAGTAGCTCCTTTCACAATATTATTTCCTTGCACCCCTGAGAGTGTCTCCTTCAGCTACTGAAATGGAAGACCACAAACCAAAAGGCCATCTCAGAAACTGGAATTCAGAGAAACTGGGAAGGGAACCCAACAGGAAGTCAACACGGAGGAACAGGAATGCTCCTTGAGCCAGAGTCAGCAAAGGAAACAAGAGTGTCTGTGACTACAGCAGGCATGAAGAGAAACAATCACTCTAGCATCTTAGGTCACAGACACAGCACTCTGCAGATGTGAGTTTGACTCTTCTTCAGGGAGAGGACAGGAAGAGACAGTGTCTGCTGAATGATGGCTGCCTTCCCAGCAAAACAATGCAATTTGCTCAGAGCGGGAGAGATGCGGTTTTCTCTTCTGACTAGCTGCTGGATTTATCTGTTGTCCATTCAAGTCCGTAGGCTTCTCCTGCCCTTCCTGTATTGCCCCAGATTGCCTGTATTTTTCTTCCTGTACCCTTCCCTCAGTTTTGGCTCTGGGACAGCTTTTGACTTTACAACTGGAGAATAGAATTACTCCATTTTCCTCTCATCTCAGGGGATGAAACTCACTGAGATGCCTTTGTGAAGTCAGATATACTATAAGAGGCCAAATACTCTGGTTTCTTAAGATGAGTTCTCGTTTGAGACTGAGCAGAAGCTTCTCTGTACAGCTTGTGTGGAAGAGTGTCTAGGAGGATGTAGCTTTGGGAAATGTTTGGACTAGCTCAGTGTTTGCAGATATGAAGTTTTTGATCTTGGGGTTTCCTTCCTAATATCTATTAGTGTGCCCTTGTAGCTTGTGGCTCTTCTACTGTTAACTTTTTTATACTAATAAAAATTTTAGTAATTGTAAGTGAATACTTTTTCTCATTTAGTATTTAGCATAGATACCTTAAAATATTAAAATTTGAAACAAAAATAATTAGATTAATGCTTAGTAAGATTTTATTTTGCCCCAAACTAGACATCCCTCAATATTTCTCCAAAAGTTATTTTTAAAATCCTGCTAGCTTTTCCTAGGATATACACATTTTTGGAGAAATTTGTCCACCGGTGATTTCAATCCAGCTTAGGTTAGATTTAAGAAATATTTTATTAAATTTATATTATAGTGTTTGGGAGTTCTAATCTACATGGCAAAAACCATTGTAAACAAAGTCAGAAGACCTAGACAAATTATATTTGCAACTCACATTTCAGAAGGCTTATTTCCTCAATAAAAAAGTTTTCTCCTTTCCTTCCTTCTTCTCTCCCTCCTTTCTTTTCTTTTCTCTTTTCTTTTCTCTTTTCTTTCTTTCTTTCTTCTTTCTTTCTTTCTTTCTCTCTTTCTTTCTTCTCTTTCCTTCTTTCTTTCTCTCTCTCTCTTTCTTTCTTTCTTTTGCTTTCTTTTGACAGGATCTTACTCTGTTGCCTAGGCTGGAGTGCAGTGGCACAATCACAGCTCAATGCAGCCTCAACCTCCTAGGCTCAAGCAATCCTTCCACTTCATCCTTCCAAGTATCTGTACAAGTCCTTGGAAGTGTACTGTACACTCAGCTAATTTTTTGCATTTTTTTATAGAGACAGGGTTTTGCCATGTTGCCCAAGCTAGCCTCAAACTCCTGGGCTCAAGCAATCCTCCTGTCACTGTGCATGGCCAAAAAGTGTTCTTATATGTCAGTACAAGGAAGACCAACTGCTCAGCAGAAAATTGGGCAAACGCATTAAGATAATTCACAGAAAATAACATTTTATATAACTCTTAATATATTAAAAGATTTTGCCTTTACTCATGACAAGAGAAATGCTAGATACAACTAAAGTGAGACATCTTTCACCAATCAGATTGGTAAAGATAAATTTTTTATAAAACACTGTTGTTAGTTTAGGGAAACAGGGGACTTGATGGTGGGAGTATAAGTTGATAAAATCTATGACAAAATTAAGTTAGCAATATCTATAAATAGCACACAAATCCTTGACTCAACAATTTCCTTTTCCAGGAATTTGTCTTAAGATATCGTCACACATGTGAAATGTGTATACAAGTATGTTCACTACAGCATTTTTTACTAGTAAAAGATAGGCAACAATGTAAATGTACAAGTTAAAAATTGTAATATTTGTACATATAGACAATTGACTATCATCCAGCCATTAAAAAGTATGAGGGAGGTATATTTGTACCAGAATGGAGAATTTCCAAGATACATTTTAAAGTATTAAAAGGGAAGTAGAAAAGAATATGCAGAGTATACTACATTAAAATAAAAATTACATATGTATAAATGCCTATCATTAAGCTACATATAAGCATATGGAGTATAGCTATTTCACCTGTATCCTACTGATGGATATATATCTATGTGTATATATGTGTGTATGTATATATATTTATAAATGCATAGAGTATCTCTGAATGGATACACAAGAAATGGGTAATAGAGGAAAGGGAACATTATTCTCATTATTCTTGTTTTTTTTTTTTTGCATATATTTACGAGGAATTATTCCCATTTAAAACTATTAATAAAATATATTTTTAAAAGGACCAAATGTTAATTTCTTTTAATATTCTGAAGTTTTTACATTTATCCTGTGGCTTCCAGAAGCCAACACCTCTGTCTCTCAAATACAATCATCAACAAGCTGAAGAGGTCCTCCTCCAGTTTGTGGGTCACCACTCCTCCATTTTTCCTTCTTAAAATAAAAGGCCTCTCGAAGTTTATTTAGCCAAGATCCAACGGTGAATCTGGAAAACTTACTGAGTTCTTTCCTACCCTGCCTGATTGTTGGATTCCAGGTTCTCTTCTAGATGGTTACGTTTCTTCTTTTTCCAGGCAAATCAGGACCTTGCTTTTCTCTCCTTTTTTTCATCTGAATAATTATCATGTGCCAAATACTGTACAGATCTCTCTGCTTGCATTGGTTTATTTAAATCATTACAGCAAACTTATTACAGCTCCATTTTACAGGTGAAGAAATAGAGTCACAAAGAGGTCAAGTCCCTTGCTCAAAATCATACTGCTAATAAGTGGCTTTTCACTAGACAGAGAAATTAACAGAAAATAACACTATGGTATGGAAATAATTAAATTGGAATGAGACATAGAATATTTAATACAAGTTGTCAGTTTGGGGGTGTTTAAGAAATTGCTTAGAAATGGCTGGGCTCTTCTGTTTGTGTTTCTCCTGGCAGGGAAACATATAAAACGGTTTGCAGATAACAATCTGGGTGGAAAATTAACGTGACCTGAAAACACTGCATGTCCTGGGGACGATCTGGAATTCTACCCCAGCATACTGAATCAGTCAAGGTTCAATGAGAGAAGCAGAACCATAGATGTGTGTATATATATCTATAAAATGTATGTGTGTATATGCACACGTTTAAATATATTATACATATGCCATATTTGCATATGAGATAGAGCTTTGTGTTTGATGCTGGAGCATCAAACAGTCTTCTTGTCTGATGTGTAAACTTGAAATCCACAGGGAAGGTAGCTGGAAAGGGAGGATAGGTACAAAGTGGAAGAGAGCAAGGGCATGTTGGAACCTTTGAGGACCAGCTGGAACCCAGTTCAGTTCTCACTGCTTCCAAACCTTGAGGATGTGGAATCTTGCAGGAGAAACTGGTGCCCTTCATCAAGGAATTAAACATACATCTGGCCCAGAAGTTGAAAAAGCTGAAAGAAGATCCAGGGGAAGGAGGCACAGTTGCAGATCCAGCTGCTGCCAGAAGTCAGGGAGGTGGGCCCACAGATAAAGTGGGCTTGATACAAAAGCGCCTCACAGCGCAGGAAACAATATGGCTGCCACTTTACTTTTGCCCTCTTAATCTCACACAAGGAGCTATCTTGCGGCCCATCCCAACCCCACACATACAGGAAGGGGAATGTGGGGAGAGGTAGTTCAATCAAGCTGACACACTGCAAAGCTACACCAAACATGTTGAAGGAAGGCAGACCACAGTTTTTGGGGCTCAGGTGTCTCCAGGCAGGCAACTTTAGGGGCAGCCTCCTCTCCCACCTCCTCTGGAGCCTGGGTTCCTCTTCGCCTACTCTCCTATCTTCTAGGGCAGAGGCGAAGGAAAGAAGGAGCTCAGAAGCATCCACTTTTCTCCTCTGTCTCCTGTCGTTATTTTTTGAAGGTGAGGTACAGTGACAAGGTGATATTTTCTTAACAGAAAAAAAGGTGAATTCCTGGTTACCTTCTGAGGAATGTCTGAGTATAGGAAAGTTTTCTCCTGGGATAACCTCTAAAGCTCTGGGTACCTCAGCACCATGACCCTTATCACAGAAGAGACTGGTAGTGCTGTCTGTAACATGGTGGCCTTCCCACACCTGCAATCTTGAGAATGTTTAATGAAAGACTTAACTCCTAACCGATGCAGCGTTCACAGCAGGACAGGGCCTGAGTCTGGCTTTGCTGCATGTAAAACCTTCCCCCATGTTCTGTCAGACCCTAGGTTTTTCTTGTATGCTATATGGCCATTCCCCTCAGTCACCAGAGAGTATCTCTTCTTGAATCTCTTTCTTTCCTTCTTTTCCCTCCCTTCACTACAGATTCTCTGTCTTTTGTTTATTCCATTGTTTTCTCCTCCACTAACATGTAGCCACTTCCCAACATTATCAGCCAATTCTTCTCTCTGGTTGGGGAGGAGGCTTCAGATCTTGAGGTGGAGGACAGGAAGGGCTGACACCCTCAGAGTGGGCTGGGCTCAGGGTAGGGGATCTACAAGTCTATCAGACCCTTTGGCTAAGAAGTTTGGACTCCTGCTGTTCTGGTTCAGGTAGGTCTTTTTGCTCCTTGGGCTTCATTACAACTGCTCCCTTCTATTCCTTAGTTTCCCCTGATTTTCAGCTGGGGTTGTGGACACTTATCCAATGCAGATGACGTGCCTTGCTGACAGCTCAGGGTCTTTTGCCCAGCTTTTCCCCCAACCCTCCTCTCTAAGCTTCTGGGATCCTAGGGATTTATCCTGTCGTCTTATGGTGGATCCTGGCTCTCTTTTTTGGATTGCCCATTCAAATGGGATTGCCTTACGCTTTTTGGATTGCCCATCTACCCATACTTGGATGATCTGGCCTCTTCACTATCCCTGAACTCAGATTATGCTCAGCCCCATACTCAAGGCTCATAGGTCAGTCGTGCCCCACCTTGTGCTCAGGCCAAGAAACTATAACCCCATTTGGTACCCAGCACTTACACTTCCCTTTCTGGGAAGAGAGTTCATGCATCAGGCTGGGCCCTGGAGCTTTTGAAGGGCTACTGAAGATTCAGCTATGGGATAGAAGGAGAGGTGGGTACAGGGTAGGAGGAAGGGTCAAGCTTTTAAGATACCAAGCAGTCTTAACACAGAGCCTTGATGGAACCTTCCAACTTCAAGAGCCAATAATTATGTAGTAGAGCCAAGAAGGGAGGGTTGGGTGACCTGTATGAGCAGAACCTAGGATCATGAGAGAATGGGCACCAGTATTATGGAAAAAGTAGAAAAAGAAGGATACATGAGAGAATGGGCACCAGTATTATGGAAAAAGTAGAAAAAGAAGGATAAATCTTTCTAGAAGTAAATTGAGTTTTATTCTCTTCCCTGGGCTAAAATAAGAAGGAACTTTTTTTTTTTTTTAACACAACTTAAGCCAAGGAAAGAGCTGGAATTCCAGTCACGCCCTGGTGTGTAAGATCTTTCTATGACCTCACATAGATGGTTAAAAAGTTGTATTATCAGTGGTGGAGAACTCACTTTGATTTTTGGTGAGCTGTAATTCTCAGCAAATTCTTTTATGCATTAGGTTAAAACTATCTTCCCAGTTATTGTTAATTTTCATAGGTGTGAATAATGATAATGTAATTATGTAGGAGAAAGTCCTGTCACTGGAGATACACTTTAAAAATGGTATAGAAAAATAGCATGTATGTGTGTGTGTGTGTGTGTGTGTGTGTATATATATATATAAAACAAATATGACCAAGTGGGTAGGTATATAATTGCTCATTTTACTATTCTCTCAACTTTTATCTATGTTTGAAATAATAGTTAGAGGAAAAAAGTCAAATTTCCAGTAATTTTTATCATTAGTCCTTATTGTCTTCTCTGGACCACGAGGGAGCTGACTTATTCCTCTCTCCTTTTGACACTCCTTTAAATGTTGGACGACATCTTGCCCAAAGGAGCCACTTGCCAACTGGAGAAGGTACAAGCAAATGGAAACCTCATTGCCTCTGAACTTTCTTTTTTCCTGGCTAACCATCCCTGGTTCCATATCCATGACTCCTTTAATGAGAGTTTGGGTCACTTAATGGTCCTAAGACCTCAAGTGTCCCCCATAACTTCTCTGCTGAAATGTGGGGTAATGGAACTTGTGATGGAATGTGGTGGGAAAGGAGCTATAAAGCCTGGGCAACAGCTTGCAGCAGAAGTCCATAGAACCCATGGTCTCCATGGAAACATGGCAGTTAGAAGCTGTTGTAGTTAACTGCATCTACTCAAGTCAGACTGCCTGAGGGTGTGGTTCCCAGATCCATCACTCATCAGCTTTGTGACCTTAGGCAAATTACTAACTTCCCTTTGCCTTAGTTCCCTCCAACGAAAACTGGAGGATAGAACCAGAATCTACCTCCTTTGACATAGAATTAACAAATTGATCCATGTAAAGTACTCAAAATACTGTCTGATACTAGCAGCTCTCAATAAATGTTAGCTATTATTATTATAATGACAATTTCATTCTCTAGAGTTTTTATGTTAATTTTGCCCTTCAATTAATTAATTCAACAAATTGTTATTGATCATTTGCTATTGTATGTATCTTGTGATGGAGGTCCAGAGAAAAATGAGATTTTGCTATGCCCCAAAGGAGGTTAAAGGTGGTAAACAGGACCCAAAACCACTGGCATCCAGGACAGAAGGTTTGGAGATAAAGGATCTCTATTAAGGACAAGTTCAGTTGTTTGTCTCAGTTGCCCCTTCCTGAGGGTTAACGAACTCCTGGCTATTGTTGAAAGTGGGGTATTGAAGTCCCCTATTATTATTGTATGACAGTCTATCTCTCCCTTCAGATCTTTTAATATTTGCTTTATATATTTCAGTGCTGTGATGTTAGGTGCATATATATTTAAAATTATTATATCCTCTTGGTAAAATAACCGCTTTATCATTATATAATGGCCTTCTTTGTCTTATTTTACAGTTTTTGACTTCAAGTCTATTTTGTCTAAGTATGGTTACCTGTGTTCTCTTTTTTTTATAGAGCAAAAAACTTTATTGAGAAAATTTTTGTGTATCTTTTTCAAAGACAATTACATATTTTATATTAAGTAACTCCCATCTGTTCACTTTTAGCTAATTACATTGGTGATTCTTTCTTTTTTTTTTTATTATACTTTAAGTTCTAGGGTACATGTGCACAACATGCAGGTGTGTTACATATGTATACATGTGCCATGTTGGTGTGCTGCACCTATTAACTCGTCATTTACATTAGGTATATCTCCTAATGCTATCTGTCCACACTTCTCCCTCCCCCCACCCTCCCCCCTCACACCACCCCATGACAGGCCCTGGTGGGTGATGTTCCCCTTCCTGTGTCCAAGTGTTCTCATTGTTCAATTCCCACCTATGAGTGAGAACATGCGGTGCTTGGTTTTCTGTCCTTGCGATAGTTTGCTGAGAATGA
Source organism: Homo sapiens (assembly GCF_000001405.40). Taxonomy (NCBI): domain Eukaryota; kingdom Metazoa; phylum Chordata; class Mammalia; order Primates; family Hominidae; genus Homo; species Homo sapiens. The sequence continues at coordinate 52,165,503 of NC_000004.12, forward strand.
TGGTTTCCAGCTTCATCCATGTCCCTGCAAAGGACATGAACTCATCCTTTTTTATGGCTGCATAGTATTCCATGGTGTATATGTGCCACATTTTCTTAATCCAGTCTATCATAGATGGACATTTGGGTTGGTTCCAAGTCTTTGCTATTGTGAATAGTGCTGCAATAAACATACGTGTGCATGTATCTTTATAGCAGCATGGTTTATAATCCTTTGGGTATATGCCCAGTAATGGGATTGCTGAGTCAAATGGTATTTCTAGTTCTAGATCCTTGAGGAATTGCCACACTGTCTTCCACAATGGTAGAACTAGTTTACCGTCCCACCAACAGTGTAAAAGCATTCCTATTTCTCCACATCCTCTCCAGCACCTGTTGTTTCCTGACTTTCTAATGATTGCCATTCTAACTGGTGTGAGATGGTATCTCTTTGTGGTTTTGATTTGCATTTCTCTGATGGCCAGTGATGATGAGCATTTGTTCATGTGTCTGTTGGCTGCATAAATGTCTTCTTTTGAGAAGTGTCTGTTCATATCCTTTGCCCACTTGTTGATGGGGTTGTTTTTTTCTTGTAAATTTGTTTGAGTTCGATGTAGATGCTGGATATTAGCTGTTTGTCAGATGGGTAGATTGCAAAAATTTTCTCCCATTCCGTAGGTTGCCTGTTCACTATGATGGTAGTTTCTTTTGCTGTTCAGAAGCTCTTCAGTTTAATGAGATCCCATTTGTCAATTTTCACTTTTGTTGTCATTGCTTTTGGTGTTTCAGACATGAAGTCCTTGCCCATGCCTATGTCCTGGATGGTATTGCCTAGGTTTTCTTCTAGGGCTTTTATGGTTTTAGGTCTAACATTTATGTCTTTAATCCATCTTGACTTAATTTTTGTATAAGGTGTAAGGAAGGGATCCAGTTTCAGCTTTCTACATATGGCTAGCCAGTTTTCCCAGCACCATTTATTAAATAGGAAATCCGTTCCCCATTGCTTGTTTTTTTCAGGATTGTCAAATATCAGTTGGTTGTAGATGTGTGGTATTATTTCTGAGGGCTCTGTTCTGTTCCATTGGTCTATATATCTGTTTTGGTATGAGTACCATGCTGTTTTGGTGACTGTAGCCGTGTAGTATAGTGTGAAGTCAGGTAGCATGATGCCTCCAGCTTTGTTCTTTTGGCTTAGGATTGTCTTGGCAATGTGGGCTCTTTTTTGGTTCAATATGAACTTTAAGGTAGTTTTTTCCAATTCTGTGAAGAAAGTCATTCGTAGCATGATGGGGATGGCATTGAATCTATAAATTACCTTGGGCAGTATGGCCATTTTCACAATATTGATTCTTCCTATCCACGAGCATGGAATGTTCTTCCATCAGTTTGTGTCCTCTTATTTCATTGAGCAGGGGTTTGTAGTTCTCCTTGAAGAGGTCCTTCACATCCTTTGTAAGTTGGATTCCTAGGTATTTTATTCTGTTTGAAACAATTGTGAATGAGAGCTCACTCATGATTTGGCTCTCTGTTTGTCTGTTATTGGTGTATAAGAATGCTTGTGATTTTTGCACCTTGATTTTGTATCCTGAGACTTTGCTGAAGTTGCTTATCAGCTTAAGGAGATTTTGGGCTGAGATGATGGGGTTTTCTAAATATACAATCATGTCATCTGCAAACAGGGACAATTTGACTTCCTCTTTTCCTAATTGAATACCATTTATTTCTTTCTCCTGCCTAATTGCCCTGGCCAGAACTTCCAAAGCTAAGTTGAATAGGAGTGGCGAGAGAGGGCATCCCTGTCTTGTGCCAGTTTTCAAAGGGAATGCTTCCAGTTTTTGCCCATTCAGTATGATACTGGCTGTGGGTTTGTCATAAATAGCTCTTATTATTTTGAGATACATCCCATCAATACCTAATTTATTGAGAGTTTTTAGCATGAAGGGTTGTTGAATTTTGTCAAAGGCCTTTTCTGCATCTATTGAGATAATAATGTGGTTTTTGTCTTTGGTTCTGTTTATATGCTGGATTACGTTTATTGATTTGCATATGTTGAACCAGCCTTGCATCCCAGGGATGAAGCCCACTTGATCATGGTGGATAAGCTTTTTGATGTGCTGCTGGATTCGGTTTGTCAGTATTTTATTGAGGATTTTTGCATCGATGTTCATCAGGGATATTGGTCTAAAATTCTCTTTTTTTGTTGTGTCTCTGCCAGGCTTTGGTAGCAGGATAATGCTGGCCTCATAAAATGAGCTAGGGAGGATTCCCTCTTTTTCTATTGATTGGAATAGTTTCAGAAGGAATGGTACCAGCTCCTCATTGTACCTCTGGTAGAATTCAGCTGTGAATCCATCTGGTCCTGGACTTTTTTTTTGGTTGGTAGGCTATTAATTATTGCCTCAATTTCAGAGCCTGTTATTGGTCTATTCAGGGATTCAACTTCTTCCTGGTTTAGTCTTGGGAGGGTGTATGTGTCAAGGAATTTATCCATTTCTTCTAGATTTTCTAGTTTATTTGCATAGAGGTGTTTATAGTATTCTCTGATGGTAGTTTGTATTTCTGTGGGATTGTTGGTGATATCCTGTTTGTCATTTTTTATTGCGTCTATTTGACTCCTCTTTCTTTTCTTCTTTATTAGTCTTGCTAGTGGTCTATCAATTTTGTTGATCTTTTCAAAAAACCAGCTCCTGGATTCACTGATTTGTTGAAGGGTTTTTGTGTCTCTGTCTCCTTCAGTTCTGCTCTGATCGTAGTTATTTCTTTCCTTCTGCTAGCTTTTGAATGTGTTTGCTCTTGCTTCTCCAGTTCTTTTAATTGTAATGTTAGGGTGTCAATTTTAGGTCTTTCCTGCTTTCTCTTATGGGAATTTAACACTATAAATTTCCCTCTACACACTGCTTTCAATGTGTCCCAGAGATTCTGGTATGTTGTGTCTTTGTTCTCATTGCTTTCAAAGAACATCTTTATTTCTGCCTTCATTTCATTATGTACCCAGTAGTCATTCAGGAGCAGGTTGTTCAGTTTCCATGTAGTTGAGCAGTTTTGAGTGAGTTTCTTAATCCTGAGTTCTAGTTTCATTGCACTGTGGTCTGAGAGACAGTTTGTTATAATTTCTATTCTTTTACATTTGCTGAGGAGTGCTTTACTTCCAACTATGTTGGCAATTTTGGAATAAGTGTGATGTGGTGCTGAGAAGAATGTATATTCTGTTTATTTGGGGTGGAGAGTTCTGTAGATGTCTATTAGGTCCGCTTGGTGCAGAGCTGAGTTCAATTCCTGGATATCCTTGTTAACTTTCTGTCTCGTTGATCTGTCTAATGTTGACAGTGGGGTGTTAAAGTCTCCCATTATTATTGTGTGGTAGTGTAAGTCTCTTTGTAGGTCTCTAAGGACTTGCTTTATGAATCTGGGTGCTCCTGTATTGGATGCATATATATTTAGGATAGTTAGCCCTTCTTGTTGCATTGATCCCTTTACCATTATGTAATGGCCTTGTTTGTCTCTTTTGATCTTTGCTGGTTTAAAGTCCGTTTTATCAGAGACTAGGATTGCAACCCCTGCCTTTTTTTGTTTTCCATTTGCTTGGTAGCTCTTCCTTTATCCCTTTATTTTGAGCCTGTGTGTGTCTCTGCATGTGAGATGGGTCTCCTGAATACAGCACACTGATGAGTCTTGACTCTTTATCCAATTTACCAGTCTGTGTCTTTTAATTGGACCATTTAGCCCATTTACATTTAAGGTTAATATTGTTAGGTGTGAATTTGATCCTGTCATTATGATGTTAGCTGGTTATTTTGCTCGTTAGTTGATGCAGTTTCTTCCTAGCCTCGATGGTCTTTACAATTTGACATGTTTTTGCGGTGGCTGGTATTGGTTGTTCCTTTCCATGTTTAGTGCTTCCTTCAGGAGCTCTCTCAGGGCAGGCCTGGTAGTGACAAAATCTCTCAGCATTTGTTTGTCTGTAAAGGATTTTATTTCTCCTTCACTTATGAAGCTTAGTTTGGCTGGATATGAAATTTGGGTTGAAAGTTCTTTTCTTTAAGAATATTGTGTATTGGCCCCCACTCTCTTCTGGCTTGTAGAGTTTCTGCCAAGAGATCAGCTGTTAGTCTGATGGGCTTCCCTTTGTGGGTAACCTGACCTTTCTCTCTGGCTGCTGTGAACATTTTTTCCTTCATTTCAACTTTGGTGAATCTGACAATTATGTGTCTTGGAGTTCCTCTTCTCCAGGAGTATCTGTGTGGTGTTCTCTCTATTTCCTGAATTTGAATGTTGGCCTTCCTTGCTAGGTTGAGGAAATCCTCCTGGATGATATCCTGAAGAGTGTTTTCCCGCTTGTTTCCATTCTCCCCATCACTTTCAGGTACACCAATCAGATGTAGATTTGGTCTTTTCACATAGTCCCATATTTCTTGGAAGTTTTGTTCATTTCTTTTTACTCTTTTTTCTCTAAAGTTCTCTTCTCTCTTCATTTCATTCATTTGACCTTCCATCACTGATACCCTTTCTTCCAGTTGATCAAATCGGTTACTGAAGCTTGTGTTTTCATCATGTAGTTCTCATGCCATGGTTTTCAGCTCCATCAGGTCATATAAGGACTTCTCTACACTGGTTATTCTAGTTAGCCATTGGTCTAATCTTTTTTCAAGGTTTTTATCTTCCTTGCGATGGGTTCGAACTGTCTCCTTTAGCTCAGAGAAGTTTGATCATCTGTAGCCTTCTTCTCTCAACTCATCAAAGTCATTCTGTGTCCAGCTTTGTTCCATTGCTGGCAAGGAGCTGTGTTCCTTTGGAGCGGGAGAGGTGCTCTGATTTTTAGAATTTTCAGCTCTTCTGCTCTGTTTTTTCCCCATCTTTGTGGCTTTATCTACCTTTGGTCTTTGATGATGGTGATGTACAGATGGGGTTTTGGTGTGGATATCCTTTTTGTTCATTAGTTTTCCTTCTAATAGTCAAGACCCTCAGCTGCAGGTCTGTTGGAGTTTGCTGGAGGTCAACTCTAGACCCTGTTTGCCTGGGTATCAGCAGCAGAGGCTGCTGAACAGCAATTGTTGCTGCCTGATTGTTACTCTGGAAGCTTCATCTCAGAGGGGTACCCAGCCATGTGAGGTGTCAGTCTGCCCGTACTGTGGGGTGCCTCCCAGTTAGGCTACTCGGGCATCAGGGACCCACTTGAGGAGGCAGTCTGTCCATTCTCAGGTCTCAAACTCCATGCTGGGAGAACCACTACCCTCTTCAAAGCTGTCAGACAGGGACATTTAAATCTTCAGAGGTCTCTGCTGCCTTTTGTTGGGCTATGCCCTGCCCCCAGAGGTGGAGTCTACAGAGGCAGACAGACCTCCTTGAGCAGAGGTGGGCTCCACCCAATTCAATCTTCCTGGCTGCTTTGTTACCTACTCAAGCGTCAGCAATGGCGGGCACCCCTCCCCCAGCCTTGCTGCCACCTTGCAGTTAGATCTCAGACTGCTGTGCTAGCAATGAGTGAGGCTCTGTAGGTGTGGGACCCTCTGAGCCAGGCATGGAATATAATCTCCTGGTGTGCCATTTGCTCCCTTGGAAAAGCACAGTATTAGGGGGGAAGTGACCCGATTTTCTAGGTGCTGTCTGTCATGGCTTCCCTTGGCTAGGAAAGAGAATTCCTTGACCCTTGCGCTTCCTGGGTGAGGTGATGCCTCACCCTGCTTCGGCTCTCGCTCGGTGGGCTGCACCCACTGTCCTGTACGCACTATCTGACATGCCCCAATGAGATGAACCTGGTACCTCAGTTGGAAATGCAGAAATCACTCGTCTTCTGCATTGCTCATGCTGGGAGCTGTAGACTGGAGCTGTCCCTATTTGGCCATCTTGGAACCACCCCTGTGTTCTCTGTTGGTTTCCATTTGCATGGAATATCTTTTTCTTCTATCTCTTCAGTCTATGTGTGTGTGGGTTGTGTTTTGTTTTGTTTTTTTTAGAGACAAGGTCTCACTGTATTTCCCAGGCTGATCTCAAATTCCTGAGCTCAAGCGACCCTCCCACCTCACCCTCTGAAAGTGCTGGGATTACAGGTATGAGACACTGTGACCAGCAATAAAAGTTTAATTGTTAAGGAAAAAAAAAATAATTCCTGGATCCAGAACACTGCACTTCCCTTGGAAAAGAATAAGGAGCCCTCTCAAGCTTGAGATGATGGCATGAAGAAATAATATTTTTGAATGTTTTTCTTGAAGAAAAAAAAAGTGAACTGTCTGATCTACCTAATAAAACCCAAAGAATCAGAGTATTATTCATGTTTGCTTTTTCAAGTCCTCATATTTAATCAATTAATTTTAAAGGTCAATAAAATCATGACTATACACAGGAAACAGATAAAAATAAAGTTAATGTGAGCCAAGGCACATCAAGTTAAGTCTGGTGAAAACAAGGGAATATTTAAAGAAAAATGTTTAGTTTTGCAAAATATGTTCCTTTTGACAAGTATTTGTAGTTCATATATGAATGAGTCTAAATCACTGATCACACCAGCAATAAAACAGGTTCAAATTTCTGGTTGTCATCTATTCATATGAATCAAAGTTCATATATTTTAAATGGTCTTCCCTCCCACCCATCTAAGGGGAGATAAGTGGGTGAGATAAAATGAATTTTATAAGAAAGGGATTTGAAGGTCTCTTGAGACATACTAGAATGCATATGACTGCTAGTATAATAAAGTCCCATCTTCAGTTATAACAAAGCAAAAAGAGATTGGAGTGGGTGCAAAGAGCAGAGCGGGAAAGGGGCTGCAAGACCACAAGTTAAGATTTGTTTCTTGGCTTCATTTTTGCTAAGTGTCTAAGCCAACTTTTCTCTACTAGTTGGTGGTTGTTTCCATTCATTTGTGCCTTTACCAGTTGGGGACTGCCTCCTGCTGGCAAGATGTCTTCCAACATTTAGAGTATCAAAAGGAGTCCTGTGGAGTGACCCAGGTTTTGGTTTGTTGTTGTTGTTGTTTCCTAAGTAAAAACAATTGAACTGATCCTAGTAGCAGTTGCATAAACATGCTGGAAATGTGGGTGCAAACTAACTTATTTAATGTGGGTTTATTCTTAAAGATAATAGACAGTGTACATTTTTCAACTCTTTTTCTCCCAAGATGCAAACTTTTTTTGCAGGTGAATTTCTTGAAAACACATTAGCTCTAAATAAAAGGTCAGATGAGTTCCTTTAATTTGAAGCTTCAGAAAGTTTCTATACAGTGGTTAATTCTGTAGCACTTTAACTTGCTTAGGGAGAGATTTTGACTGATGGCTATCTACCATTTTCTTTCATTGGTTGATTCCTTTGACCCTTGAAAGCAACAGCTTTAGAAGCAACTCATAATAACTCTTTAGATTGTGGGAGGTCGTAGTCTATAGATCTTGTGTTTTATGTGTTTGAATGTGCAGGAACAGGGAATCATTTTTTGATTCCAAGACTCTCATTCTTACCAAATTAAAAGGAATATCTTCAAATAGAAATGAAGCATTTTTTGGTCTTTTATAGTGGGCTAAGAGGCTTTATGTTAGCCCTAGCTTCCTGTTTGTCCTTTGTGAATAATTTCAGAAGTTGGGTGGTAAAATCTTTAAGCAACAGAAGTTTAGGGAATCTATTCACCTAAGAACTTTGAAGTTTTATGAATGAGTGTGTGGAAAAGGAAAATTCTTTATTATTAGCCATTGTGATGGCAGACATTTCCTAGATTTCCTTCACTGGTAAGACTGTTATCTTACATCTATTTATAATGTCTAGAAAATAATGTTCCTTGAAGGAGTAGAGTAGAATGTAGTTTAGTTGTTGGTGTTCTTGTCCCATTTTATTCATTTAGCTAATAATTATTGGCCATTCTCTGAGTCCCATGCACTTTCCAGGCTACTTTATTTCTTTATGCTTCTATATGGCCTGTTATGTCTCTTCTTTGCCTTTCTAGCCCCTGCTCATTCCACAAATGCAATTTAAGCATCACTTTCTCAAGGGACCCTCCTGTGACTCTTTCTATGTGAGTCGCATAGCCTTTCCTAGGCTTCCCTTGAGCTCCATGCATCCCTCCAACACAGTTCTATATCAAAATTGTTGACTTCTTTGTAGCTGTACCCCCAAATCCCAATAGGCTGTAAGATTTTTGAGGCAGGATCTGTGTTGCATTCAGGTTTTTGCCTCAGCACTTGACAGCATGTCTGGCACATGGTAGAAGCCCAGTGAGAATGAATGAAAGCATGTGTTCTGCCTTCCCCACCCTTGGGTAAGTCTAAAGAAAGATGAATTACATTTGAGATTTTATTGTATAATTAAATTACACTGTCAAAATAATTTTTAAAGCTGAAAGGAAATTCAGAGATCAGCTACAGGAAATTGAGGCCTAGTGAGGTGAAGAGAGTTGACTAGGGTCATGCAGCTGCTTAGTGGCAAACTGGGATCGAAGCCCAGATCTCCTGCTGGCCAGCCCTAGCCCAAATATGGAGAAGCTTAGCTGCTATTTCCTCTTAAAAATATTTTGAAATCCAGGCAAAAAGACTTAGCAATCTAAAAATGCCAATGAGGAGATAGCAAATTAAAACTGTTACAGAATGAATCTAACAACAATTATTCAAGGCTCTCTGGGAATGCCAAGAGGAGCCGTCTGAGGTGGGCTCAGGGCTGATTTCTTCCAAAGGGGCCATTGGTTTTCTAACTAGTGTTTGCTGTTTTAACTTTGACAAAGGTGGGTGTCCACACACCTCAAATTTAGCATAAGTTCAAAAAAAGCTAATCAATGTGTTTATATCCCTAAGTTTATCAAACAAGTGATCTGAAATGTTTCTCACTTTTAATGTTCACCAATGATGGATGTAAATAGATTATTTTTGCTTCCTGCTTTGTGAGATCAGAAATCAATTGAGCCTTTTTCTAAAACAGGTCACATGAAGCATAAAAATCTGATTTTTGGATGTGCTTCGAGCTAGAAATTGACTAAGTAATGGCTAAGCATAGGGAAGATCTCGTGAGTTTAGTAAAAGTGTGGCAAACTGGTATCAGTGATCTAGAATTCACCTGTACATTTGATTGGTTTGGCCAGCTCAGTGTTTTGAAATTTCAGAAATTGTTAACATTTAAAAATAAGGAGATTTTACATCTAAATTTCTGCCTTCTCTTAGGTGAGAAAATTCAGTACGTTAGATTTACTTTCACATTAGTTTCCTACGGCTTCCCTAACAAATTAACATAAAATGTGTGGCTTCAAACAACAGGAATCTATTCTGTCACAACTCTGGAGGCCAGAAGTCTAAAATCAAGGTGTTGGCAGGTCTGTGCTCACTCTGAAGGTTCTATGAGAGAATACTTTGCCAATCCCAGCTTCTAGTGGTTGCAGGCTTTCCTTGGCTTGTGCGTGCATAAGCAGGGTATTATAACTTCTGTGGTATTAAATCCTAAAGTACTAATAGCATTTCAACTATTAAATCTGATTTTCATGAATTTGAATTATTTTTTTTCTAAATTTGAAGGGCATCCTAAACTTAAAAAAAGTTTACATGTATAAGAATACTATAATTTTGGATTTGATAATAAAATAAGGATAGAAATAAAATATATCTAATATATAATTTTTTTTTTCACTAAAGAGCTAAATACATGTTTAAGGTCAATCAAAAATGAAGCCAGCAGGTTTGGTGTCTGGTAAGTGCCCTGTCATTTTTTGGAGATGGCAGGAATCAGGCATTCTTTTAAGACACCATGATATTAAAAATGACTATATGTGCCTGGTCAGATTACAGGTGGCTTCCTTCTTATTTTTATTTTTGGGTAAATTAAATAATTTATTAACCATAAAGTATATTATTTTTATAATCAAAAGTGAAAAGTTCTTTAAAAATTTGGAAGAATCTACCGTTACATTCCAGATACTAATTTTGCACCCTTTAGTCCTCAATTTGTCCAATATTTTCAATTGCTTGAGAAAGCAAGATTTATTGCCATAAAACACAGCTTTTCAAATAGGCATGAGAAATGAACAGTGAGTTACTAAACATGCAGTCATGCCAGAAGTCACTAGGCCATATTATTCATCACAGTCTGACACCATGTTGTTTCTTTTAGAATGGATTTTTGAGTGAAGACAGACATGCTATCGTTGCATGTATTGGAATACAGTTGATCCTTGAACGATAAGGGTGTTAGGGGTACTGACAGTCAAAAATCCATGTATAACTTTTGACTCTCCAAAAACTAAACTATCTGTAGTCTACTGTTGACCAGAAGCCTTACCAACAACATAAATATTTGATTAGCACATAATTTGTGTGTTATATGTATTAAATACTATATTCTTACAATACAGTAAGCTAGAGAAAGGAAAATGTTATTAAAATCATAAGGAAGAGAAAATATATTTACTCTTCATTAAGTGGAAGTGGATCATCATAAAGGTCTTCATCCCCCTCATCTTTACATGGAGTACGCTAAAGGGGAAGAGAAAGAATAAGCATTGGTTTTGCTGTCTTCGGTGGCAAAGGTGAAAGAAAATTCACATATAAGTGGATACACACAGTTGAAACCAATGTTGTTCAAGGATCAACTGAATTTGCTATGAATAAATCTAGGAGATCCTGTGAGTTAGAAATTCAGTTACTCAAAAACTTCTACAGAAAATGACTGTTGTTAGAAGTAAACTGAAAAGGACGCTTAGTATTTTTGTTTAATCTCATTTTTGAGTGATCCTAAACATGCTTTTAGTTCTTGAGTGAAAAAAACATTTTATATATATATATATAAGATATATTTTACCTCTTGAGATAACTATTTATATTTTATTTTAAAACCTAAATTTTTATTTATCTTGTATATTTGAACTTCTTAAAATTTAGGGTGCCCTTACAAATTTAGAAAAACACATAGAATCAGTTCAAATTCATGAAAATCAAATTTTTAATTTTTGAAATGCTATTATTACTTTAGGATTTAATACCATCAAAGTTAATAATAGTGTGCTTAAAAGAATACCAGATTTAATAAACTGATAAAAAATAACTTGTCAATGACATTTTATGCCTTTACATAGATTGTCTTTGTTTTGTGTGGCTATAACAGAATACCCGAGACTGTGTAATTTGTAAGGAACAGAAATTTATTTCTCAGAGTTCTAGAGGCTCAGGAGTCCAAGATCAAGGTGACAGGAAGTTTGGTATCTAGTAAGGGCCAGTCTCTGCTTCCAAGATAGCACCTTTAATGCTCCCTCTCTGGTAGGGAGGGGAGAACACTGCTCCTAACATAGCAGAGGAGCAGAAGAGCAAGAGAGAGCCCACTCCTACAAGCCCTTTTTTTTGTAGTGACATTAATTCACTCAGGAGAACAGAGCCCTCATGACTTAAAGACTTCCCAAAAGGTCCCCACCTCCAACACCACTATGCTGGGCATGAAGTTTTCAATGCATGAATTTGGGGGATACATTTATACCATAGCATGGATCATGCTATAATGACCTTGAAAATGCTTAGAGACAGTGTTAGAGTAAATTAAAACATCCTACCTTGTTTGCATTATTAATTTGCTTAGGAAAAAATAGTACAAAATTTTCATATGACTAAAGTGCTGGCATGGACTTGAGAGGTAAGAAAATATCACCACTTAATAGCTGAAATACATACCTAGAAGTTAAGTATTCTGACCAGGCTCACACAGTTAATGGATAGCAGATCTGTTACTAGAATGGAATGCTAGTACCATTTCATTTTAGGAAAAGTAAAAAGAAAAATAAACATTTATTAAGCATTTATTATGTACTCTTGCATGTTTTCTCACAAATCTTTTGAGTGAAAACCAAGACTTAGGAAGACAAAGTATCTTGCCCAAGGTCACATAGCTGACTAGTGTTGGAACTATGATCCAAAATCAGGACTGTCTCAATAGTAAAATTTAAGAGATTACTAAGTGGAGAAGAGATACACTTCCTGAATGGTGAAGTAGGGACCTCCAAAAATCTATTTCTCAATAAAAGCAACAAAAAAAATTGCAAAAATTATCAAAATTAACTTTTGCAGAACTCTGGAAATTAAACAAAGCTTAAGCTATCTGAGGAGTGTTTATTTAAGAAAAATAGTTGAATCTTGTTAAGAACAGAAAGATTTGTGGCATTTTAACTAGCCTTATTTTCCTTCCCCCATCCCCAACTTCACAGTAGCCTTGAAGGTAAGCAGCTTTGCAAGCACAGTAACTTTGAAAGCCAGCAGCCTAGTGGTCCCTGGAGAGGGCAGATGGCTCTGGAACTTCCCCAGTGCCCATGTCCAGAGATTTATTATGATTTGACTTGTCTGACAGCTCCTTGAAAACCCCATTCATAGAGCTTGTTTTATTTAACCTGACACATATCTTGCTTAGTAGGAAAAGCCATTCCCTTTTCCCAGGATGTTTGTTGAAAATAATCAGTGGCAATTGCTTAGCATCACAGTTGTTGGAGGCAATGGTACCAGATGGGTGCCTCAAAAAGGAAAATCTGAAGAATGAGAGGTCAATAGGGGACTTTGAAAATCTTCAACATTTTCCTGGGAGTCTAGAAGGCCATGCACATGTGCATGCCCAGGAAAGATCTGAGATGGCCCTACTCTCTTGCCTCTGACTGACCTCAAGACTCTGTATAAACAAGCAGTGAAGATGAAGGAAGAATTGTAAACTGCCAAAGTGTTGACATCATACTGCAATATACACACAGAATCCCTCAGAAAAGGGTGGAAAATTTGTTGATTCAAGTCATTTAGGAAAATCTCTGTCAAATCATTAGCTGACCACTAAGCTAATCGAGAAGGTACTTCTGTGGCTGCAAATAAAAAACAATATAGATTTTACATAATTAGTCAGCAAAGTGACTAAACAAACAGCAGCAACAACAAACTCTGGGGAGAGGGGAGAATCTTATTTCTGGGATCACCACATTATTATTTAAAATATCCAATTTCCAATAAAAATTATGAGACACACAAAGAAATAGGAAAGTATGACACACACACAGGAGAAAAGAAGAAGATAGAAGCTATCCCTGAGGAAGCCCAAATATAGAACTGACTAGACAAGGACTATAAATCAGCCATTACAAATATGTGCAAAGAATTGAAGGAAACAGTGTCTAAAAAGTTAAAAGAAAGTATGAATGCAATGTATTACCAAATACAAATATCAATAGAGTAATGGAAATTATTAAAAAGAACCAAATAGAAATTCTGTAATTGAAAAGTTTAATAACTGAAATAGTAAAAAAAAAAATTGACTAGAGGAGCTCAACAGCATATTTAAGCTGGCAGAAAATAAATCAGTGAACTTGAAGATAAGTCAATTGAGATAATCCAATGTGAGAAATAGAATTAAAAAAATAGTAAAAGAACAGAACCTCAGAGAACTGAGAGATATCATCTAGCATACCAGCATATGCATAATGAGAATCCCAGAAGGAGAGGAAAGAAAGACAGAGGCTGAAAGAATATTTAAATGAATCAGGCAAAAAAATTCCCAAATTTGATGGAAAACGTTTATCTACACATCCAGGAAGCCCAATGGACTCCATGTAGGAAAATTTCCAAAAGACCTACACTTAGAAACATCACAGTCAAACTATTCAAGCCAAAAAAAAAGGGAGAGGGATCTGGACAGCAGCAAGAGGAAAGTGACTCATCACAGACAAGGTGTCCCCAATAAGGTTGGCAGCTAATATCTCATCAAAAACCACAGAGGCCAGAAAGCAGTGGGATGAAGTATTCAAAGTGTAAAAGAAAAAAAAAAGAGCCAAGAATTCTCCATCCAGCAAAACTACGCTATAAAAATGAAGGAAAGGAATAGCGAGTTTTGAGGAGCATTTGGCAGTTTTTTTTAATGAAGATAAACAAAGTCTTAGCATACAATTAAGCCTCATGCTTCTTGGTATTTACTCAACTGGTTTGAGAGTTTACATCTACACAAAAACCTGCATGTGAATGTTTATAGCAACTTTATGTATAATAGCCCCAAACTGGAAGCAACCATGATATCCTTCAATAGGTGAATGGATAAACAAAACTGTAATACATCCATATAATGGAATATTATTCAGTGATAAAAATAAATGAGTTAGAAACCATAAAAAGACATGGATAAACCCTAATGCATATTGCTAAGTTAAGGAAGTAAGTCTGAAAAGGCTATATACTGTTATTCAAATTATATTACATTCTGGAATAAACAAAGCTTTTGAGACATTAACAGTTCAGTGGTTCCCAGGGATTCAAGAGGAGAAGAAGAGATGAGTAAGGGAAGCATAGTGGATTTTTAGGGCAATGAAACTATTTTGTATTATACTATAATGGAAGGATACATGACATTATGTAATTTCTTAAACTCATAGAGCTTTATAGCACAAAGAGTAAACCTTAATGCATACAAATTTAAAAAGCATTTAGGAGATGGAAAATAAAAAGTATTACAAGGAAGAAACAGTGATTTTGACAAGATAATCTAACTATATTACAAGTGTATGAAACAATCTCAGAGAAAGGAGTGGAAGAAGAAGATGGTGACTAAGTAACTTTGGACCTGGGTAGAGTTTGTAAGACTAAGGGCAAAAGAAACTTAGCATGAGCATTGTACTGTAATTGATGAAGTTCTTTGCCACAGTGGTACAGGTTAATATGTACAGTATACCTATGTGTATACTGGAATTGAACAGTTAAATGAATAGGTAGTGAATGGTTGGAGCTGGATTTCTCACTGTTGGAGTGGGAATTTACCAACAAGCAAATGGAAGAGGATAGAATGATTCATGTGTAATGGAATCAGCATCAGTGTGAACTCATGTTAATATGAATACGTGTATACACAAGGGTTAGAATACCACCACGTATTTCCTTGCTTTCTTAGCTGAGAGGGCCTGGCAGCAACAACACCACAGGAGCAATGAGCACACCTAGCATCCAAGTCTTGATTTCTAGTACTATTCTCCAATAAATGGAACCAGGGCTCCTTGGATAAATAACTGGTTCTAGGAATGGAGCAGTTAAGTTACAAGAGTAGCATCTCAGTGCCAGGAAGTAAGGAGATGCTGAAACAAAAACAAACTTACCTTTTTGGGATATCTCAAAAGGACAGGGGGGCCAATTGAAAGAGCTCAAATGGCCAAAGTGAAAACAATTTCCACAAGATAAATAAAATAGTATTGGATTATGATATGGTTTCACTCTGTGTCCCCACCCAAATCTCACCTTGAATTATTATAATCTCCACGTGTCAAGGGTGTGGCCTGGTGGCCCCATGGAGGCAGTTTTCCCCATACTGTTCTTGCGGTAGTAAATAAGTCTCATGTGATCTAATGGTTTTATAAATGGGAGTTCCCCTGCACACTCTTTCTTGCCTGCCACCATGTAAAACGTGACTTTGCTCCTCCTTTGCCTTCCTCCATGATTGTGAGGTCTTTCCGGCCATGTGGAACTGTGAGTCAATTAAACTTCTTTTCCTTTATAAATTACCCAGTCTCGGGTATGTTAAAGATGTAGCAGCATGAGAACAGACTAATACAGATTATAACCCAAAGTATAAGATAAATTTCCATGAGTCCATAATCATATAAAGAAACAATTGAATAAATAAATAAATGAGGAAAAGGAAAAATTTCCCTTGCAGAAGAATTTTAAGTAATTTATGTGGATATTCTGCCGTCTTGGAGAGGGAGCATAGATCCCACTCCTGAAGGACTTTCTTCCAAATAGTATAGTATGAAACGGGTGGGGGAAGAGTAACTTTATGGAAAAGTCTGCAAAACACTATGTTAGCCAGATGATCAAGGTCAATATCAACAGTGATAAGTCATGTTGATAGTGTGTACCCTTGATGTGATGTGATGAAAAGGGCACTTTACTTCTGTGGCCTTCCATCCAAAAATCCATTAGCCCAGTCCCATCATGAGACAATTTCCAATGGAGGGAAAAATAGAAAATAGCTTACCAGTAATTTGAAAACCTGTCAAGGCCATAAAAAACAAGGAAAGCCTGAGCCAAGGAGAGTTGACCCAAAGCTTCTTTAGGACTGAGCCACAGTCATAGCCAAGAGGAACTGAAGGAGGCATGACAATAAAATGTACTGTGATGTCCTGGATGGGATCCTGGTACAGGAAAAGGACATTAGAGAAAAACTAAGTAAATCTGAATAAATGATGCATTTTAGTTAATAATGTATCAATACTGGTTTATTTATTGTAACAAATGTCCCATGCTAATGTGAGATGTCAGTATTAGGGAAACTCTCTGGGGCACATGGGAACTCGCTGTACTATCTTAATTTTTTTGTAAATGTGAAACTTTTTTAAAAGGCAATTTAAAAAAAAAAAGGGGGGGGGGATTTTCAAAATTTTCAAATAAGATAGAAACTTACAAATAAGCAAAAGTTAAATGAATTCATTATTATCAGAACTGCCTTACAAAAAATACTAAAGGGAGACTTTCAGACAGAAATGAAAAGACACTAGACAGTTACTTATACCATATGAAGAAATAAAGAGCACTGAAAACAATAACTACATAGGTAAATATAAAGGACAGCATACAAATGTATTTTTAAGTCATCTTCTTCTACTATTGAATTTAGAAGACAATTGCATAAAGCAATAACTACAAAATGATGTTGATGGGCATATAATGTATAAAGATGTAGCTTGTATGACAATAACATCACAAAAGAGGAGGAAAGGAACAGAGCTATACTGGAACTAAGGTTTTGTATGCTAGCAAAATTAAGTTTGTATGAATCCAAAGTAGGTTGTTTCAGTTAAGGTGTTAATTTAAATCCCCAGAGCAACTGATAAGAAAAAAATTTCAAAATACATAGTAAAATAAACAACAAGGGCATGAAAATGGTGCTGTAGAAAATAACTATTTAACTACAAAGAGAGCAGTAATAGTGGAATAGAGAAACAAACAAAAAGATATACAACGTATAGAAAACAAATACCAAAATCACAAATGTAAACCTTACCTTATCAGCAATTACATTAAACATAAATGTATTAACCCTGCCAATCCAAAGGCAGAGACTGCAGAATGCATAAAGAAACTGGATTGTCACATACAAAAGAATGAAGTTGGACCTTTACCTCATAACATAGGCAAAAATGAACTCAGAATGGATTAGAGACCTAAATATTTATGGAAGTATTTATGACCTAGGGTTAACCTATGGCTTCTTAGATATAACACCAAAAACATAAACAATAAAAGAAAAAAATAGATAAACTGGATTTTATCAAAATTTTAAAAACTTTTGTACTTTAAAGAATGCCATTAGGAAAGTGAAAAGACAGCCCACAAAATGGGAGAAAATATTTGCAAATCATGATCCGATAAGGGCTTTCCCAACCCCGCAACAACAACAACAACAATAACAACAATTTAAAAATGGACTAAGGACTTGAATATACATTTCTCTAAAGATATGTAGACAGAAAAGAAAATGAAAAGTGCTGAACATCATTTGCATTTCACTAGAGAAATGCAAATCAAAACCACGATGAGATACTATTTCACACACACTAGGATGGCTAAAATAAAAAAGATAGACAATATCGAGTGTTGATGAGAATATGGAGAAATTGGAACCCTCATACATTGCTGATGGGATTTCAAGATGGTACGACCACTTTTAATAAGTGTATCAGTTCCTCAAAATGTTAAACATAGAGCTTCTATATGACCCAACAATTCCACTCCTTGGTATATAGCCAAGAGAAATAGAAATATGTCTACACAAAAACTTGTGCATGAATGTTTATGGTAGTGTTATTCATAGCAACCAAAAAGTAGAAATAATCCAAGTGCTCATCAATTGATTAATAGATAAACAAAGTGTAATATATCCATACAATTGGATTTTTTTAGCAATAAAAAGGAATGAACTACTGATCCATGCTATAACATGGATGAACCTTGAAAACATGCCAAATGAAAGAAGCTAGAAACAAAAGACCACATGTTGTATAATTCCATTCATAGTAAATGTTCAAAATAGGCAAATTCATAGAGATGGAAAGTAGATTAGTGGTTGCCAGGGTTTGGGGTGAGAAGGAATGGGAGAGTGACTGCTAATGAGTCTAGATTTCTTTTCTGGATTGATGAAAATTGTTTATGTTTTGTTTTGTTTTTGAGACAGAGTCTCACTCTGTCTCCCATGCTGGAGTGCCGTAGCGCAATCTCTGCTCACTGCAACCTCCACCTCCCAGGTTCAAGTGATTCTCATGCCTCAGCCTCCCAAGTAGCTGGGACGACAGGTGCACACCACTATGCCTGGCTAATTTTTGTATTTTTAGTAGAGATGGGGTTTCACCATGTTGGCCAGGCTGATCTTGATCTCCAGACCTCGTGATCCACCCACCTCGGCCTACCAAAGTGCTGAGATTACAGGGGTGAGCCACCGCGCCTGGCTGAAAATGTCCTTATAATTAGATGGCGATGATGCTTGCAGAGCCATGTGAATATAATAAAATCCACTGAAAATGTTCTTATAATTAGATGGTGATGATGCTTGCAGAGCCATGTGAATGTAATAAAATCCACCAAATAGGTCAGGCACAGTAGCTCATGCCTATACTCCCAGCACTTTGGGAGGCCAAGGCAGGCAGAGTTTGAGACTAGCCTGGGAAACATGGTGACTAGCCTGGGCAACATGGGGAAATCCCATCTCTATAAAATATACAAAAATTAACTGGGCATGGTGGTGCATACCTGGAGTCCCAGCTATTTGGGAAGCTGAGGTGGGAGGATTGCTTGAGCCTGGGAGGTGGAGGTTGCACTGAGCTGATACTGCACCACTACACTCCAGCCTGGGCAATGTAGTGAGACCCTGTCTCAAGAAATAAAACAAAATTAAATTAAATCCACCGAATCATATACCTTAATAGGGTAAATTTTATATTATGTGAATTCTGTCTCAATAAAGCTGTTATAAACATTCAGTCTATTTTTAAAAAATATGTCTATTTTTAAAAAAACAAAAAAACCTGTATTTTATGCATAAATCATTCATTTAGATTTAAATGTCTGTTTAAACATATCTTGACATAGTCTTACCATTGATTTTACATCTAATTACTGAACTGTCAGGTTGAACATATAAAATAATTTATTTGAACATAAGAAACGAATGCTATCAAGGAATCAAAGTATTCCAATGTATCTTTTTAGAAATGTAACAATGCTTTTCTGAATTCCTTCATCCTATCTTGCTTTATGTCTGATGTCTTCACTTTCTAAGCACATTTGTCTATATTTTTGAAGTTGTGAGGACTCTGTTCTGTTTCCCATCTACATCCTAACATTTAATTAAGTATTTAAAAGTTAATTCTTCAGGCAAAGTGACCTTTTCTATATGCCCTGCCTCCACCTGCCCCCCCAGTCCCATCCTCACCATCCTACAGGCCCCTTAGAAATTTCCATCATCCCAATTCAGCAATATCTGTATAAATGAGTTTATAAGTTGACATTTGGGCCTAGAGTAAGCTTGAAGAGATGCCAAAGGCACTTGGTCCAATTAAAATCACAATATTAACAAGAAGACTTTCCTAAGGATTTCAGGCTTCACTGACAAGACCTCCAGACTTATTATGGAGAATTTTTTATTTATTTTTTATTTCTTTGTTTTAGGAAATGGCTGTGTGATGATGAGCCAAAATGATACTTGCATGATTAAGGGAACTTAGGTTAGGTTGAAAAAAACCTATAGGTTTTACTCTCTCCTCCATCCTAGCAAATTATATGGAAATTAAATGGGCTTTAGTAAACATTGGACACTTTTTAAGGAAAACAGATTTTTCAATCTGAATAGAAATTTTTCAACCATTTGCAGTTTTATTAAAATGTATAATTTGCATGCTACAATTTGTTAGAATCCAAAGAAAGTTTCCAAAGGTCCCATTTGATTGAAAGATAATTATACTTGTAGAACATGGAATACCAGTTTTTTGGACCAAGTTTTATAAATATGGGCCAAACTTCTATAAATATCTATATTAAGGTTTTCAGTATGGAAAGGAATGTAATCTAGGATCACATGCAAGAAGAGAATGAATAAACAACTGAAGGGAGCCAACAGACTCGAGGATTCAGAAAGGCTAAGAACCTCAGATAACTATCACCGCCACAAGACACGCACCTGCAGAGGAAGGGAATGATGCTGAGGTCAAGTCTGTCCACTCCTGGGCCACAGCCAGAGTTTCTGACATGACAAAGCTTGAAATTAAATTGACATGTGACCACATAAACATGCAAACTCCTATTCTGGTCATGGGTTTTTTAAATAAGCTCATCAAGGTTGGAGAAAAAGCCCTTTTTCTCTGTACTTTGAGCTGTTAGTCTTGCTGCCAAATGTGATGTCTCTGGTTTAACTTGGGGGAAGATGGTTTACAGACTTCTAGTAGTATCTCAAGAAAGTCAACAAGGTCAAACACAGACTTTTGTGGGGACTTTAAAACCTTACCTGAGGAAGCATATTCAACCCTCCAAGCAGTTTACACATTTCATGTTGCATGTTGATGATGATATCCGTGTAGAATGTTTTAGAATCTACCCAAAATTTTTACAGACAAAATTTTATTTATTCTCCACAACAAACCTGTGATGTATTCAGGGCAGGTGTTTTTATCTTCATTTTACATTTGGGAAAACCAAGACTCAGATGAGTTGAACACTGTGCTTGTGCTTAACCAGGCAATTGTTGGTTGATTGAGGCCTAAAACCAGGTCTCTTGACTCCAATTTCAGAACATGTTGCACAACCATGTTCTCAGCTTGGGATGCACAACAAAATCACCTGGGTAGTATTAAAAGAAAAAAAAGTCTGATGCCCTGGCTGAACCCAAAACAAATGAAATCAGAATAACTGGGTGTGGGATCCAGGCAACAGTATTTAACTCAGCTCTTCAGGTAGCTCCAATGTATAGTCAAGTCTGAGAATTATGTCCTACGATATGTTTTCTCAAACAAAAGTGGCATTTGAAAGCTGTAACATGCAAGAGGCCAAAATGTGACAACGCAAAGGTTTTAAGATTTTCATTGTTTTATCCAACAATTATTTATTCTTCTATGTGCCAGGTATTATTCTAGAAGGTGGGAACACCATAGTGAATAAGATAGAGTTTCTGGCAGTCTGGTTATCTCATTGGCATGACCATTGGACCTTCTCTCATGCTGCTAAACCTTCCTCACTCTTGCACCCCTTCTAAATTTGACCCTGATGCTGATCACTTTCTTCCTACACAGGATTCAGAACAACATGAAAGAAAAGGTATGCATGAACACTAAGAAATCTTCTGGTGCATAAATAAACGTGAAAAATTCCAGTCAGGGCTCAGTGTAAAAAAAAATTTATTCTGTTACATGATATACTTTGTTCTTTTTGACTTGCCTGCTAGGAGGCTCAGAACTAAATGTCATGCACAAGTCTAGTTGGTTTCCTTCACTGCATCTCTTCCTGCACATTTCCCTCTGTATGAGTCCAGGTCCAGGCAGCTCTCCTGGTTAGAGAGAAGCGGTCCACTTGAACAAGGTCATTGTGGAGCGTTCAATAAAGGTGTGAGGAGGGTTAAGGGAAACCAACATGTTTTGGTGGAATATCCTGGAGCTAGCTGTTGCTGGAAGCAAGTCGTTCCTGTCTGGGTCTGCGGGAGAAAAGAGAAGAAACAGTGACTGGACAAATGGAAGGAGCTCGCAGCTGCCAGAGAGGGCTGCCCAAGAGGGGCTGTGGCCATTAATGGAGGACCACAACCACTGCCAATTGGTGTAGGAAGGAGCCTGGACCAAACATCCCAACGTCTTTCTCATCTTTCTTTTCAATCTCCTGTCTGAGATCTCTGTTAGCTAGAACAGTCAGAAACCAGAGGATAAAGGGGCACAGTTGACGGAGTCTCTGGAGGACAATGTCCAGGGTGCAGCTCAGAATGAAGGATGGAAGGGCAAGTGGAGACCATTCGGCACACTGTCCCACCTTCCTCACTAGGCAGTGAGTCTTGCATTTCGTGTAAGTGGGTTTTGTTACAAATGTGTTATTTATGTTTGCTGCTTCTTATATTTTTTTAAATGTAAAATTAGGTTGAGAGGAAGAAAATGAAGGAGTAGAGGTTTAGAAATAAATGGAGCAAACCTTAAAATAACAGTACTTCTTGTGGTTGAAAACACATAAGGGAAATATAAGATCATCACTATCTTCCCTCTATCCATATTCAGATTTTTGCAATTCTTGAGGGAAATAACTGGACACTGTCATTTCTATGATTGAATCATATCTGTTTGTCTTTCTCACAGTTGTATGCTCCATCCAAAAGTCTTAGGAGAAACTAGAGGGTGGAGTTTTTTCTGACAGATCTCTGTGTTGCTCTTTAGGGATTTGACTGGAGTAAATCCTCCTGTCATGTGTTTTAAACTCAGCTACAAAAATTTGGAACTCCATGTGCCTCTTTTGGGTTTGTTTTTGTTTGTTTTATTTTGTTTTACATGCTCTTTGTTTAAGATTTTGGAAACAGAAAGTGTTAAGAAGAAAATAACGATTCCTGAAAACCCCCACCTAACAGTAACCACTGTAAACACTTGAACATGATTTCTTTATGTCTCTACACTTATTTATTGGTTTCTTTTAAAATAATCAACAAACCACCACCACCACCACATCTAGCAATTATTGAGCACTTATTAAGAGTTTGGCATTATTCTAAGCACTTTACTATATGAAGCAGATATTCCTGTGAGCTTAATTGTATAGATAAGGAAACTGAGGCAGACAAAGGTTCTATGATTTGCCCAAAGTCACATGGTGAGTAAATGGCAAGACTGGGATTTGAACAAGAACACTGTGGCTTAAGTGCTCACGCTCCATGTCACAAAATACAGTGGCAGGACAGCAGTTAAAAACAGAAGCCGCTGAAGGAAGAACAAAGGGGAGACCATAGAATGGATTCAGGAATTTTCAAGAATTGATTAAAAATTCCTAACCACAAAACCCTTTTTCCTTGCTTCTGGTAACTCCACAAAACTGGCTCTAAGGTGTGTGTGGGTTTTTTTGTTTTAGCTTTTATCTTAGTTTCAGGGGTAGATGTGCAGGTTTGTTCTGTAGGTAAGTTGCCTGTCATGGAGCTTGGCGTACAGATTATTTCGTCACCCAGGTAATAAGCATAGTACTCAATAGGTAGTTTTTCCATCCTCACCCTCCTCCCACCCTCTGCCCTCAGGTAGCCCTGGTGTCTGTTGTTCCCTTCTTTGTGTCCGTGTGTACTCAATGCTTAGCTCCCACTTATAAGTAAGAACATGCAGTGTTTGGTGCTGTAAGTTTTGAAGCCAGCAATTCCAAAAGGGGAGCCTGGTCAGTTACAAATGTTTGGTGTTCATAGATTAAAAACAGATAAAATGATCAACAAAAATACTGCTATTTTTGATATGATGACCAGGCAGAGGTAATCGTATAAATACTTGGCCATGGTATAATGTAACTGATGATGCTATTTGTTCATCTATTTAAGGGTTCATTCCTTTTAAGCATCTATTATGGGTCAGGCACTGTTTTAAGTGTTAACAATACTCTGGTGAGTAAGAGTGAGTGAGATGAGTTTTTGACTTAGGAATCTGACAGATGATAAGTAGGTAAACACATTTTTTAAACACTTTATTGAAAATAGGGGGAGAGGATTGAGAGTACCAGGGTGCAGAAAGAAATGCTTATCTCACATGGGGCAAATGATGAATTTTGTGGGTTGTGTCTTGTTGCATTCTCTCAATAAAGACCAATGTCATTTCAGCCAAGGGGAATTAGGAAAAGACAGTTACATGGGGACCAGCACAATCTTTCATCAAGGATTGACCTGCAGAGGTAGATTTTAGATTGTAAGAAAAAATAGAAGGACTTAATATTCTTTAATCATCTGTAAATATAATTTTAAGATGTTTTTTCTCTAAGGACTGGTAAGAATTGGGTAGTATGCTGGTGAGGTCCACCACTAATGATCACTTGAAGTAAAATATGGACCAGTGGTTCTGAAACATGAGCTTACATCTCAGTCCCCAAGAGGGCTTGTGAAAACTTTGATTCCCTGCCCAGCCCATGAGTTTCTGATTTAGAAAGGTCTGGGGTGGGGCCCAAGAATCTGCATTTCTGACAAGTTCCCAGGGGCTGCTGCTGCTTCAGGGATTACTCTTTGAGACCCACTGATGGAGATCCATGGACCTTATGAGAAAGTTTGGGTGATGGCTGTGGTGAGGGTTGAAGGGGTGGAAGTAGAATCCTTGGAGGAAGGTTTAAATCCTCTTTTAAAAACAGAGTGGTCTAACCTAACCTGTCCTTTTAGAAAGCCGTTCAATCTCCACGTAGAAGGGAGCTAAAGAAGTGCTTGTCCCAAAGTAGGGCCAGGCACTTCCCTGGGGAAATTGTTTTCAAAGGCCTATAATGTTTAAACAAGTTCTATTTCATTAGCTTGGCCAAAACTGTTTTAGCTTGGAAAACCTTCGGGAACATGTAAACACTTTTTGTCAGACATATATTTTATGTTGGTAAAAAAAAAATCACAGATTAATAAAATTGTATTTTATACTGTTAAAACCCCTTACATTACACATGAGATTTTCCAAATCAATGAAAGGCTGTTTGTAACCATTATTTTAACAGGTACATAATTTTCCAGCATGTGGTTATTCATAATTTACTGAATTATTTCCCTTTTAGATATTTCTAGTGTTTTTACTCCTATAAATGATGGTATAATAAATAATTGCATACATGGATATTTGCTCACATTTCTAATTATTCCAAATTGCTAGAAGCAAAATTACTGAGTCAAAATGAACATTTCTTATGTACTAGAACGTATTTTCATTTGCCATTTCTAGTTAAGAGACATTTAAATTTAATATGAATACTGTTGCAAAGACGTTGTTTGCCATTTGACTATCACTAAGCCTTCTTGTTCTCAAAAATAAGGAGCAAATGATTCATCTAGAAGGAAAAGAAATTTCACATCAATGTCTTGAAAGAAAATTTGTGAAAATCACCGTGAAGAGGCAACAAACAGAAAACACTGCCACACAACACACAGCAACATTTCTGAAAAAGCATCTTTAAGCATCTCTTTGTTCTTGGTGTTGCATCTTTATAGCAGCTGCTTCTCCCCACGATTCTCTCTCCCTCGTCTCTGTTTTTCCTTCCAACATCAGCTCATTTCTCTCTCCTTGTACTCCTGCCTTCCAGGTCCGGGTCTATACTCCTCTTACACAAAACCCCTAAGCCCTTCTGTCTTTTATGCCTTAATTTCAGTCAGACCCTGTTTAGAGCAGTGAAGGCCCAGAGTCCGGCTGAGTCAAAAATTCTCTTTAAGCGTCTTTGGAGAGGGAGCCCTGTGAAAATTGTGGGAACATACTGTAGGTTGGCTTTGGCTGAAAGCTGCCATTTAGCTTCAGTGTCAGCCTCTAACTTTGGAAGGCAGCATAGCCAATTCTTCCTTCAGTCTCATTTCTGGCCTCTCTGAACTTGTGTCAGCTCAGTGATTTCAGGATTGGGTAAGTTACAATCACAGCTATCACATCTAGTCATCTTAGCAAAGTCAATCATATAAACAAAGGATGTCAGTCAAATTATTTAATGTCTGAATACTGACTTTCAAGTGGAGGTGAGCATTCTTGATGTAACTTGGAGTAAAAATCTTTGTGTGTTAATATATTTAAATTATATTATTTATCTGAAGTATGTATACATTTATTAATTACAAGCATATGATATTGCAATAATTTCTGATTATTGTAAAAGGTGTTTATTCTATGTATTAAAAACAATAAGAATTTCTGTTAAATAGGTAAATCGATTCACTATTATAGAAACATTAAGAGACTGTGTTAGCTAGATGACTTAAGGGAGAGCATTATGTCCTTTTCTAGCCAACACATGCTTATAAAACTTAAAATAGTAATACAAGGCATAATAATAGAGGTCTGTTTTCATGACAATTTGAGTGTTTGTGAAATCATTTTGAGTACTAGCATTCCTAACTTTAAACAAAATAACCTTAAATCAACTATTTAATTTTGAGTAATTTTATCTCATTTAGGCTGTGATTCTTTTAAGAAAAGGAATTTTTAGAATTTCTGTGAATGAATTAAAAGCAGAATGTCAACTTTTCTATCTCAAAAATTTTACTGGGAGGAAAACCCTCATAATCAAGTACAGCAGCATCCATGGTAAAACTTGGATCCAGATGTAAGAAAGAATTATAAACTCTGATGAAAACAAGGAAGTGCTAGAGAAAAAGAAAGTACCTAGAAAAATTCTCCCTACTGATCTGCCATCAGTTTAAAGTGAGTGACTATTTAATACAGCCAACAGGCAGTTAAGTGACAATGGGAGCAGTCTACCAGCTGACAAAACTCAGAAATTGTTGCTCCTTTATCTTAACGGCAAACTTGTAAAACTTAGCTAATAAAAGATTTAATAATAAAGTCATAATAATCATTATAATAAAAATTTACATTTAGTATTGTTTTCTGGAAGCATGTTCTCTGATTGAGATACTTGGCTTTGGATAAATATTGATTTTTTTCTAACCAGATATTTAGAATTCAGTCAAATAGGAATTTGGCACATCTCTAATACACTTTAATATTTCTGATCCTGTCAAAGCTCATTAGCCAAAACTGCTGTTGACTGCCGCAGCAGGAGATTAGTCCAAAACAGCCTTGTTGAAATGTTCCTGTCTGAATATGCATTTTTCAGCTCTCTTCAATGAAGCATTCAATTTACAAAAGCACATGTTTTATATTATCACAAAAGTTTTTTTTCTTCCTCAACACTCTTGCAAATCTTCAAATACCTAACTTATTGTTTCTAATTTAGACATGATATTTGCTTAGTAGACAGTAAGAGGATGCAAGTCCCTGTTTTCTGCTGAAAAAAAAATGCATATCGATGTTCATAATGGCAAGGGGCCTGAGAAGCCATTATATCAAGAAAACAGGGTTAGGGAGTGGGCGAAGGAATAGGATCAGGTGCAGCAGTGGCTAACTAGGAAGACTAGGAGGAGGATCCTATCTCTTAAGATGCAATCTTGCTTTTGATCCTGAGAAGCAAAGTTCTCACCTTTCAACCTATCCTTTTTCCTCCTTCTTAGTGCCAGTTCCTCACCAGAGTAAAGAAATATCTTCTTTTTTCCTTCCCCAATCTATTCATGTTTCAACTTTCAAGCACTAATGAGACAGAGCCTCTTTGATCTCTAAGTATTTCCTGAATATTTCAACCTGTTGTCTCATGGGTTTAATGAGCATCACAGATGATCCATTGATGTTTCCGGCTTACTGAACCGGATTACTGAACCGGATTACTGAAACATCCATTGATGTTTCCGGCTTACTGAACCAGTGATTATTACGAAATGCATTTTGGCAAACACCCTTTCCTCTTAATTTTTAAACCCATGTGTATTCTAAGGGAAATGTAGTCCATGTGTTTTTGACTCATTTGTGCCCAGGTCATTAGAATGTGGTTGATCAGAGCTAACTCAACTCTAAGTAGTGCTCTGGGCCCTCTCATAATACACTCATGGTCTTAGCTTCTGCAGGACATCACCAATCAGATTTTGTGTGGTTCGTGTGCAACTCCAGCTATTCTAAGTTGATCTATGACATACTTCCATGCACCTTTTCTTAATTAATTCCACATCTGTGTTGCTGTTTTCCTTGGATGCCCTACGTGAGACTGAGACAAGTTTGAGTACACGCTCTTTCTTCTAGAAAGGATCTAGAAATAGTAACAGAAATAATAATACCCAATATTTATTGAATATTTGCTATGTACTAGGCACTGTAAAACTACATATGTTTAATTCTCACAATGACCCAATGAGGTGGGTAAGATTATTATTTCCATTTTACAGATTAGATTATTATTTTCATTTTACAGACTGTTTTACAGATTTTACCTACATGTAAGGTCACATCTAATATCTGTATACAACCACAGATAGAAACTAATCAGTCTAGCACCACAGCCAGTGCTTTTGACCACTACATAGTCATTACATGAGGTTGTGACTCTATGTCGATAATAAATTGTATTTCCTTATAGTGGATTTGAGATACTTCTGTGAATAGGCCTGCCATTGTTAGCTTTCTCAGACAGCTACCTCAGTGACTTATATATGTTAAGATTTGCATCCATTAGATATACGGCTATTTGTGAAAACGCCCATACAGATTTCCCCTTTTTTTTTTTTTTTTTTTTTTTGAGGCAGAATCTCTCTCTGTTGCCCAGGCCGGAGTGTAATGGCACAATCTTGGCTCACTGTAACCTCTACCTCCTGGGTTCAAGTGATTCTCCTGTCTCAGCCTCCTGAGTAACTGGGTTTACAGGCACCTACCACCAGGCCTGGCTAATTTTTTGTGTTTTTAGTAGAGACAGGGTTTCACCATGTTGGCCAGGCTGGGCTTGAACTCCTGACCTCAGGTGATCCACCTGCCTCGGCCTTCCAAAGTGGTGGGATTACAGGTGTGAGCCACCACTCCCGGTCCCATACAGATTCCTTTGGGCAAGAAGACAGCAATTGGAGCCAGATCCATCTGCTTGTATTAGATATCTTGGGGTGTAATCTGATCCCAGAGGATATCTCAAAATGATGTGCAGTTCAAGGTGAGAGATGCTGCTCCTGTCAAGGGGACTTGCCTGTGTGCTCTTCATATGATGAAATGCCCAGGAAGAACCAATGTCATGCACCTATGAGACACATGCCATGGACATACTGAATTGAATATTCAAACCCAGAAACCTAATTGGAAGATAGCAGGATGAACAAGATTGTACCTTTATAGGAATTTTATGAGCAGGACCAGCTTGTCTTCAAGTGAAGATAAAGTCCTGTCCTCATAGCCCATGTCCACATTCATCTGCACCTTAAATTTCTTTGTGAAAATCTGGGTCAGGGAGACAGTTATATTTGTTGTGCATCTGCTCAGCCACATCTCTGGCCTTTCTCTAAATATTAGTCAAACCAAAATATGTTTGGGGAAGAGGTGCCCAGAGAACCAGGGGACAGCCACTGTCTCTGAACCATATAGAACCAGTTATGGATACTTAAGGTTGTGGCAGATTCCTATCCCTGAGTTTGTGGCTTACCCTCTGCTCACATTTTAGCCACACAACCTTAGGCCTCAAAGACATACTTAACCTCATAATTAAACTCCATAAAGAAATTTTTTTTTAGGTTTTCTAATCGAAGCCTTAGCTAACCTACATCTTCCTTTTTATTTATTTTCTTATTGACAGGGTCACCTGTTACCCAGACTAGAGTGCAGTGGTGTGATCATAGTTCACTATAACCTCAAATTCCTGGGCTCAAGCAATCCTCCTGCCTCAGCCTCCCAAGTAACTGGAACTACAGGCATGCAACACTATGCCTGGCTAATGTTTTGACTTTTTATTTTTTTGTAGGGACAGGGTTTGTTGCCCATGTGGATCTTGAATCCTCACCTCAAGCAATCCCCCTGCCTCAGCCTCACTAGGTGCTGGGATTACAGATGTGGGCCCCTGCACCTGGCCTCTATACCTTCTTCTTGCATAATCTCATCAGATCATTTGGCATCTATATTTTGACTCCTAACTCCCAGCCTCTAGTCTACATCTCTCTACTGTGTTTATGAACTGCACATCCCTTTGCCTGCTAGACTTCTCTTTTCAGAGGTCTCATAGGTATCTCAAACTCAATGTCTCAAGTAGAATTTATCATCCCTGCTTCTTCTCAGCTCCCATACAGGCTGCTTCCCTTGTATTCCCAGTCTACAGTAAAAGACTGTAAATTTCCTCTCCTTCCTCATCTCCTTTACATCCAATCTATCCAGTTGTGACAATTCTACCTCTTTCAAATGTCTTAAATCAGCACATCTGCTTTGGCTGCTCTTCTTTCACAACTCTTCCCCTGCAACTCCTCTGTCAGGCTACAAACATCACTCACCTGCATCTCCATCAGATCTATCTGCCCCCAATTCACTCTCCACCCTCTGTATGTATGATTCTCTCTTCAATGGCTCTCTATTGCCCTTCGGATAAAATCCTAACCCCTTACCAATGTGTCTTTCTGTCTAGATTGTGAGTTCATTGAGAAAAGGGATGCTAGTCCCTAAATTCATAATTAAATATTCATCAAATAATATTTGTTAAATGAATGAAAGTGCCTACACTGGTTCTACATGATGACAGAACTAATCTTTTTCCTGCAAAGGTGGTAAGAAAGGGATGGAGTGATAATCTCTGCCTCTCTTGACCCACATCTTTCAAATAGGAGAGAAGGACATTGACACTGTTTGGCATACTCTAGTTATGTGTCCCTTAAAATACTTTAAAGGGATAAGCTCATTGCATCCCAGCAGGTACCTTGTAAGTATCATCATCTTCATTTTACACATGAGAAAACTGAGGTCCAGTAAAGAACGTGCCCAAGCTCACACATCTTAGTAATTGGCCAAAGCATCATTCAAAACTTCGTCTATCTAACTCCAAAGCTGGGCCTCAATCAATCATATAAAATTCAATCCGGGAACTAAGTCCAGTAACCTTGTAAATGAACCATCTCAGATCCAGGAATCCTGCCCAGCTTCCCTCAATGTGGCCAACACACTCATTCAAACTTCCATTCCACCCACAAAAGCTCCCCAATCACAGTCCACAGGCTCCAGCAGAGCTCAGAGTTTGCCGATCTGGTGTAGAGATAAGGAGTCGCTCACATAACTTTTCTGATCCAATCATATCCACTTTATTTTCCTGGACCAGATAGAGAGTTTTAGTTAAAATTCTTATCTGTTACTGCTTAAAGACAAATTTCTCATTT
Source organism: Homo sapiens (assembly GCF_000001405.40). Taxonomy (NCBI): domain Eukaryota; kingdom Metazoa; phylum Chordata; class Mammalia; order Primates; family Hominidae; genus Homo; species Homo sapiens. Next base: position 52,196,291 of record NC_000004.12, read on the forward strand.
TTGCAGGTTCTGATACTTCAGAAGAATGAGGAGCTAATAAAAATAGCCAGGGTGCAAAGAGGAAAGTGGATTTCCTGCATCACACTTTGAAGCTTTCAGAATTTTGGACCTAGTTGTTCATGTGAATGAAGCAACTTGAGCATTGTAAGATTTAACACAATTCCTTGAAGAGCAAAAATGTCTGAGTGAGGAAAACAGTAACATAGGGTCATAAGCTCAGGGAAAACTGGTATAAAATGGGAGCTAATATCTGACTCAATTCATTTTAAAATTCAGCCACATTCACGAGCACTTACTATGTACCTAGCACTGGATACAGAAATAAATCAGGCTCAGCCCCTGCTGGTGAGCTCACAGTCTAGCCAGGGAGACAGACACAAAAACAAATAAGTAACAATTTATGATTATAATCAAATGAATAGAATTACCTAAAAGAGAAAGGATAAAGAGTAAAAAAAAAAAATGTTTGGGGAATCCTAGGAAACGAGATTCTCAAAGGAAGTGACATCTAAGTAGGGTTTTGAAGGACAAATAGGAGTTCATTAGACTGAAAAGTGAAGAAAAGTACTCTAGGCAGAGAGGAAAGCACAAGCAAAGTTGAGCAAACAAACAAAAAAGTCCATGGAGTTTATGAGTTAGTGAGTTGGACAAAAGGAATCTAGCTCATTAGTGTCCTTGTTAAAACATAATCTGTGTTTGCAGCAGAGACTGAAAGTTGCTACTCATCCTCCCTCTCTTCCTTAGAAATGCCACCATGAGACTGTATTTCCAAGTTCCCTTCAATCCAGAGTGGTCTGTGAGATATAAGCAGACATTGTAGGGTGGGGCTTTAAGAGTTGTCAATGTCAGGAGAACCACCATTTCCCCCTTTCTTCATTCTTTCTGTTTCCTTCTTGGAATCTAACCTGATGGCTGGTGCTCCAATAGCCATCTTGGATGATGAACCAGCCTTGATGATGGAAATCATGCACTAAAGAGGGAGGTTAAGAAGGAGCCTGCATCCCCGATGACATTGAAATCTTGCATTGTAGCCATTAACTGCCTATTTCTGTACTTCATATTATATAAAAGAAAAACAAACCCCTAAATCTTGTTTAAGCCTTTGTTATCTGGGTTTTCTATTATATGCAGCTGAATACAATTCCTAGTGGAAACAATTCATTTCCTTCTACGTATATCAACTTTTCCCAAACAGCAGGGAATGCAGCTGCCAGCAGCTCCAGAGAAAATATTCATAATGGTTAACAGCTGAGAGATTCAGGAGACTGCCTGACTCCACCACTCACTAGCTTGACCATGAGCAAATTCCTTAACTGCCTTTTGCCTCTGTCCTCTTTTTAATTTTTTTGAGGCACAGTATCTCCATGTTGCCTAGCCTGGTCTCGAACTCCTGGGCTCAAGTGATCCTCCTGCCTTGGCTTCTGGAGTAGCTGGGACGACAGGTGAGTGCTACTGCACCTGGCTCTTCTTTTTTCATAATAGGGATAATAATAGTACTTCTAGATTGGTTGTGAAGATCAAGTTAAGGAAATAACCCATGTAAAATGCTTTAGGTGTGCCCAGCACCTAATAATCAAGCAGCAAGTATGTTGTTTGTTATTATTTTTAATTTTAGTTCTGTGAATCGAGAAGTTACCAGAAGAGAAATCCCAGGAGAGGACTGGGGCTGTTCCAGCTTGGGTGAAGGTCCAGGTGGCCAGGAGTTTGGAACACTAAGATTGGCCTAGCCTGGGTCCCAAGCCCACGTTGGTGGTGGGGATGATGCGGCTCGGGAGGTGTCGATCAAGTGTTACCAGAAAGTGGCAAGAAGGTGAGTGCTGGGCAAACAAAGACAAAGGCTGCTCTATACACCTTATTTGCCTCTTGAGGATATTGAGAAAATATGTGTCTACTAAGCTCTCAAACTTTTTTTACTGATGATTTAAGGAATTGCTATCATCAGCATTCTCATCAGTCTTGGGGCCTTTTTTCTTTCCTATCAGACTTAACACCAAGTTGAGATCTCACTGTTCTCTCAGTGCTGAGGCAGCTCCTGGAAGACCCTGCAAACCTCAGCCCCTGCCTCCCCTCCCCTTCCATCACTAGCCAGTGATAGGAACAATATGTATATGCAGAGACAAGGCAGCAACATTCACTACTGAGACTGTCACTGTCAGGGGAAAAAGCAGTCTATAGAAGAAACACAAAACAGCCCAGAAACTAAACAGCTGCCTGGTGTGTGCTATTATGCTGCAAAATGTTCCAGCTCTGATGACATTGCTCTCTCTGTGTGTGTGTGTGTGTGTGTGTGCATATTCATCATGTTTTTTTTATTTTCTGTATTCTGATGATTTGACATCTGAGCCTTGCTGACCCTGGAGAAACTGCCTTCCCAGGGTTAGCTAATTCCTAGAGATAGCAAACAACTGGTCAAGGAGCATGCCTTTGAAATGCAAACCAACCAATCCAGACTCCACACCCTCTACTGGACTTGCCCACACCAAGCTACTGTCTACCTGCCTTCATCATGCCAGGCCCTGGTACCAGACAACTGGGGAAAGCCCTTGTGTCCCATAGCTTCCTAAAATTATTTAGACTGGCTAATCCTAAACCAGTTTACCTTGCCCTTTCCTTCCTGCAAAAAAAAAAAAAAAAACACACAAGAAAACCTCCTGCTCATGTTTCCCCCTCATTCCCTGTGCTTCCTGGTTGATCTGGGTGCTTCCCCACGTGGCCCTGCATGGCGTGCTGTGCCTCCTGCATCTAGGGATCTGTGCCTATACAAACTTCTTCCAGGCTGGGCATGGTGGCTCATGCCTATAATCCCAGCGTTTTGGGAGGCCAAAGCAGGAGTATCACTTGAGTGCAGGAGTTTGAGACCAGCCTGGGCAACATGGCCAGACATTGTCCCTACAAAAAATAAAAAAAAATTATCTGGGTGAGGTGGCTTATGCCTGTAGTCCCAGCTACTCAGGAGGCTGAGGCGAGGTGGGGATTGCTTGAGTCCAGGAGATCGAGGCTGAAGTGAGCCGTGATTGCAGTACTTCATCCAGCCGGGGTGACAGAGGGAGACTCCACCTTTTTTTTTTTTTTTTAAAAAAAGATCTTTCTTCTTGACAGTCATTTCCATGTCTGTCTTACCATACGTGATAAATACAAATTAGCCAGTATTACGTGATAAATACAAATCCCAGATACTGTTTAAAACAGTGTGTGGAGTGTGTGTGTGTGTGTGGGGGGCATGTGGTGTGTGTGTGGTGTGTGTGTAGGGTGTGGGGTGTGGTTGTGTGTGTGATGTGGTTATGTGTGTGTGTTGTGTGTGTGGTGTGTTTGTGTGTGTGTTGTGTGTGGTGTGGTTGTATGTGTGTGGTGTGTGTGTGTGCTGTGGGGTGTGGTTGCATGTGTGTGGAGTGTTGTGTGTGGTGTGGTTGTGTGTGGTGTGGTGTGTGTTGTGTGTGTGGTGTGGTGTGTGTGGTGCGGTTCTATGTGTGTGGTGTGTGTGTGGGGTGTGGTGTCTGGTGTGGTGTGGTGGTGTGTGTGTGGTGTGTGTGGTGTATGTGTGGGGGTGTGTGGTGTGTGTGTGGGGGTGTGTGGTGTGTGTGGGGGTGTGTGGTGTGTGTGGTGTGCGTGGTGTGTTGTGTGTGGTGTGGTGTGTGTGTGTGGTGTGTGTGGTGTGTGTATGGTGTGAATGTGTGTGGTGTGGTGTGTGTGCTGTGTGTGTTGTGTGTGTGTGTGTGTGTGTGGTGTGTGTGTGTGGTGTGTACACACAAGCATATGCAAATCTACAATGTTTAGGAAAAGCAGGCTTGGACTTAGCTTTTCTTAAGCTCCAATTTTCTCCGGAACTTGCACAAGAGATGCCAGGCTTTCTGATGCTGGTGATGGCCCTGTTTGCCAAGTGTTTATCTCATGAATCATAACATTGGCCTTTCATTTTATTTTATTGGACCAATTCTCCTGGGAACATATTTTGTATCCAAGGAAATGATATTAAGAATATCCAATAAGCCAATTTCAATAAGCCAACAACTCAGAAATTTCTCAAATTCCTGAGCTCAAGTGATCCTCCTGCTTTGGCCTCCTGAGTAAACAGGACTACAGGCATGCACCACCATGCCCGACTCATTTTTTAATTTTTATTTTTGTAGAGACCAGGATGTCTCTATGATGCCCAGGCTGGTCTTAAACTCCTGGGCTCAAGGGAAGCTCCCTCTTTGGCCTCCCGAAGTGTTGGAATTACAGGAATGAGCCATCTCACCCAGCCAATCTTAGCATCTTAAAGCAGAAATCTACCAGGCACATCTGAAAGTGTGGGGGGAGGACTGTGATCAGTAGTAAATGACACCTTGAGGACACGCTGGGGTTGGCAGAATGATGGGCTCTGTCTAGGAAAAATGAAGTGAACCTTCCCTAAAATCCAAAAGACACTGACGAGCTGATTTTGTTTCAAGCAGATGAGTGAAGGAGGAAATTTGACATGAGAAGAAAATCTTTACCCTTTAAAGAAGAAAAATAAGGATTAAAATAATTTAAGTGTTCATTTTGCCAAGCTCTTTGCTTAGTTCTTACAAACCACCCAAGGTTTGTAGCCAAATACTTTGAAGCTCCCCATCACTGTCACCAGAAGTTCCTGGAGAATGGAGTTGGTGGACCCTGTATGGCTTTTCTTTTCTTTTTTTTTTTTTTGAGATGGAGTCTCCCTCTCTTGCCCAGGCTGGAGTGCAGCGGCCCAATCTCGGCTCACTGCAACCTCCGCCTCCCGGGAGGTTCTCCTGCCTCAGCCTCCTGAGTAGCTGGGACTTCAGGGACACACCACCACACCTGGCTAATTTTTGTATTTTTAGTTGAGATGGGGTTTCACCATGTTGGCCAAGCTGGTCTTGAATTCCTGACCTCAAATGATCCAGATAAGATTGTTTTAGAGGTTTATGGGAGGTCTGAATCCATGTTCATGTCACAATGTGGTTCTGTGATTAAGTTCTTGATGACAACTGTCTTGTTAACTACGATTATTGAGGGCAAAGGTCAAAGTTCAACATAGCGGATGACAGCTCCATTCTTTCTCCACTGTGAAGACTGGTGGAGGAGAAAGGAAACTAAAGTTTCCTAGAGGTCTGATTTTGCTTCCTACTCTACACACATTATTTCATCTAAAATTCTCAGAATGGCTGGACATTGTGGCTCATGCCTATAATCCCAGCACTTTTGGGGCCCTGTATGGCTTTTCTCTTTTTACTCTTAATTCTTCTTTATATCCCTGGGGCAAATTAGTGTTCAATAAATGTCTGTTAATAAAGGACAGCTTGATCTCCAGTTGTAATTAATACATGTCATCTGTTATAGGCAGAATTCTGACCCCCCCAAAGATATCTACATCCTAATTCCCAGGGCATGTGAATACATTAGATTGCATGGTAAAGAGAGAATTAAGGTTGGAAACAGAATTAAGGCTTCTAATCAGCTGACTTATAAATAAGGGAGATTATTCTGAGTTATTGGGTAGGCCCAATATAATTACAAGGGCCCTTAAATGTGGAAGAGGGAATCAGAAGATAGAACCACAGTGATGTAGTGTTAGACCTGGCCCATCCTTGCTGGCTGTGAAGATGGAGGAAAGCAGCCACTAGCCAAGGAATGTGAAGAATGCAAGAAAGACAGGATCTCCCCTATAGCTTCCAAAGGAATCCAGCCTTGCCGACACCTTGATTTTAGTGCAGGAAGACCCATTTGGACTTCTGCCCTGCAGAACTCTAAGATAATAAATTTGTGTGGTTTTAGGTCACTAAATTTGGGGTCATTTGTTGCAACAGCAATAGGAAAGGAACATGCCATCTCTGACTCCATTATCACAACCAATGTAGAACTGGCTCTTTTTCATTATTTAGCCTAACTGCCTCAGTCTCCTCTTCCTATCACCAGTACTCTACCCAGGCTGCTAGGACACAGAAAAGAATTGTCCACCTTCAATTATCATCTGAGAAACAACTCACAGAAACGTGCTTAAAGGTCTTCAATTCAAGGTCTAGGTATAATTCAGCTTCTCAAGATAACGGCACTTGAATCCTAAAGAGTGGATGAGCTGTTCATGTGTTTCCTTTGAACTCAGCCTCTGTAACTCACCAGGGGAGGTGTGAGGCAGCAGCCCACAGGCAGAGTTATTCAGCAGTCCTCTCTCCTGAGGGGCTCTTCTCCCCACCAGGCCCATCTGTTTGCATTCTGTTGGGCAGGAACAACTCAAAAGGGATTTAGCCTCTCCTTTATGCCAGCTTCAGGGAGAGCCAAATGTGGCTCTGTCAACAAGTAGGAGATCAAAGAGCTACCACTCCTCACCCCTAGCCAAGCAGAAAGGAGGCCACGTGGAGTACCTCTCTCCCTCTAGGAGGGCTGCAATGACCATCTCCTTATATGTTGTGTTACCTTGGCCTCTCGGAATTTAAGTGAGACCTTGACCACTACAGAGTTTTCAGTTTATTAACACTACAGGCATATCCAGATGTGTTTTAAGAAACTGTATATTTTAAATGTTTACATTTAATAGATTAACACATTTAACCCATAAAAAAGCAATGCCATGTAATGATGCAATTCAGGACTTATAAAAAAATTAATTCATAGTACACTACAGGCACTGTAGATTGCTAATGGGGTATGTAGTAAGTTGAGGTAATGCAACATCATCTTTGAATTCTGTCCGTTCATTTCTGTGACTCTTTGGAGTTGATGATTTGGAGAGAAAGTTGAGAGTATAAACATGAAACTCACTGTGGGTGGGAGGCCTCAGCCAAGTAGAACTCCTGCCCCACACCTCTCCACATCAGCCCTGACATCCACCTCCCTTCCCTGCTTGAAGTGATCCCAAACATTCCTGTCTGCACTGGGAATGACAGTGAGTAATTTAGTGATGAGACATCAGAGGCTTCAAGAAGCATATAGGAAAAAGGAAGAAGGGGAGCTAAGCTGAGATGGATATGTGGCCTTCATGACTGCAGAATCCAAAATATATTCTCTCCAGCTGGTCATTCATTTCAGGAAACAGTTTGTATTAGGAACTTAAGCTTGCAAAAACATAACTCAGGGAGAATTTATGACTTTTTAAGTGTAATTTTAGTTCCTGCAAAGAGGCTAATTGCTGAAGGAGAACTCTCTAGCACTGGAGAGGAAGGAAGTGTACCCTATCTCTTTATGTTCCATTTCTTTAGGAATATCTGAGCTTAGGGGGTGGTGCTGTCAATGGACTCCAATGACCCTAGAGAGGCCTAGGACTCATAACAGAGCTATGGTCTATTTTTAAGCCTGACTTAAAGGTCTGGAAGTTATTAGAGCTTTGCTAAATGGGCTAACATGAAGTTGAGAAGTCTCTCCTCTGGCCTCTACCACCACACTAACTATTTGGCTGTCACTGAATATTTTTATTAGCATGGGCAAACAGGTGATAATACAGAAAATTGTCTATTCCAACATTGGCGACATTCTCTGGTCTGAAGTATTTATGATTTTCTTTTCCAATTGCATAAACTGTAGGAAACCACTTTTACATTCCAGAGTTATTGCTGCACAAGAGAACTGAAGATCTACTTCTTTATTGTTAGTGGAGAGGAAGTTATATGTAAATGAAACCCCAACTTCAAGTATAATAAGCCTACAGCAATGGTCTGAGACAAATTTCCTTTCTGTTCTTCTTGCTTCCTGGCTTCCTTTCTTCTTTCTTCCTTCCCTTGCTCTTTTCTTCCCTCCCTTCCTTCTTCCCTTTATCCTCCCTTCCTCCCTTCTTTCCTCCTTCTCTGGTGGTGTGGCTCAGGCCATGCTTATAGTTTAAACCCCCTTAAGTCATTTATTATACCTGGAACATAAAGTGTGAAGTATGAAAATGTGGGGAGGGGCACTTTTGAATCACGAGGAGAGCTTTAAACATACTGATTCCCGATCCACTTGCAGAAATTCTTATTTGATTGGTCTAGCAGGTGGCCTCGGCACCAGGATTTATAAAAGCTCCATAAGTGGTTCCAATGTGAAGTCAAGGCTGAGAACTACTGGTTGAAGGAAAATCAATGCTGATTTGGTCAAATGATTGGTTTATGTGCTTCCTTGTCGACAAAACTGGCTAAATAAAATGATTGTGTTGGAGTTTTTGAACGGACATGACCTCAAAGTGATTTTTTTAAAAAATTCAAAATGAGGCAGTGTTGGCTTGAAATAATACAATTCCAATCATATTCTTTCATGTTCTATCCTCCAGTCTGTGGGGCTGCTTCAAACTTGCTAACCCAATACAGGCAGAGCTTCACTGTAGGCTGATGAAGTTTTTGGACCGTGATGTCTGATTGTACAGCACAAATTCAATTATAATCCTAACATGACCACTGGCCAACTAGCCCAATGCGGAGAGCGTGAAGTCGGTTCCCAGATCATCAACAGGATGCTGTCCTTGACATCTGGAACACCAATCTAAGATGCAAGCAAATAGTTTTGAAATAAAGTTAGGTCTCTTGACCAATTAGATATATGTGTTTGACAGAAACCCTGTGCAATTTATTAGCTATCCAGATAGTTTCCAGCAGGTATGAATTTCTAGTGATTCTGGGTTATTGATTGTTTCATGATCAGGATGGAAGCTGAAAGGTAATGTGGCATGAGTTCCAGCTGGAGATAGTTGAATAACAATGAAAAAAAAATGTATGTGATTAAGCACCTGTGAGCAATTACTAGTGGTGCCTTTGGATGAGCCAGAACCCAGGCCTGGTACTCTACTCTTCTTTCCTACCAAGACTGTGGCATACAATGTCTGTTTTAAAGCTGTACTGTAGTGCTACTGGCTATTACAGTACAAAGGTCTCACCTATGTACTGGAAGGCTCCAGACATTACAAAAGCATGTTTACATGTGCGTTGAGTTAGAGCAGGGTTTCTGAACCTCGGCATTGCTGAACTTTTGGTCTGGGTAATTCTTTGTTGTAAGGTCTTGTTCTGTGAATTAAATGTAGGATATTTAGCAGCACTCTGGCCTCTACCTACAAGGTACCAATAGTTGTGACAACCGGAGATGTCTTCAGACATTGTCAAATGTCCCCCAAAGGTGGGGGCAGGGTGGGAGGTGAGGACTGGGTAAAATTGTCCCAGTTGAGAATCAGTGAGTAGTTCTCTTGATTTTATAGTATAAGAAAAGTAAGGTTTTTTTTTAATACAAAGCCAGAATGATGATTCTAAGCCACTTCTGAAATTTCATTCACGGCAAATGAATCTCCTTTTTCTTTATTTGTCAAACCCAACAGTTTTGATTTTTCAGTCATCTTTGTATGCTCCGTGGTGCTCAACATAATGTTCTATTCACATAGTTGGTCCTTAGCAATGCTCTCTGAATGAGTAAAAAGATCCATTTTTCCCCTACTTCTGTCAACATGTTCTGGGTGGGCTCCGGGAATTTAAAATTGGCCTAAGCCAAGCCAATCGGACCACTCCGTTTCTCTGGACATAGTAATAGGTACCAGGCTCACACATACCTGAGCCAGCTTTATGAAAGTGAATCATAGGACTTGATGGGAATGTTGGGATCAGCACACTCAGTTTAGCCTTTTGTCGTTGCTACTGTTCTTCCTGCTGGTTTTGAACTTGGAAGGATGTCACCCCTAGAATTCTGGCAGCTTTGTGATGCTACAAGCTCTTATAAGAGGAGAGCCTGTTGGAGAGCTAACCAGTAAAGATGGAGCAGAGCTGAGAGATGAAAAGAAGGACATCAGATCCTGATTTGTACCTCTGGATCTGGTGGCTTCTCGCTGTGGTATTTCTAGCCATGACCGTCTCTGGACTCATCGGTTGCTTGAGCCAATATTTTCCTGCATATCTATCTATTTCCATTTTTCTTATTTTTTTGTTTAAGCCAGTTTGAGTTAGGCTTTCTATCACCTGAGATTAGAAAAGTCCTCATTTAGGCTGGATACGGTGGCTCATGCCCGTAATGCCAGCACTTTTGGAGCATGGATCCCCTGCTCAGGTGGGTGAATTGCTTGAGACCAGGAGTTCAAGACCAGCCTGGCCAACATGGCAAAACCCCATCCCTACAAAAAAAATACAAAAATTAACCGGGCATGGTGACAGGCACCTGTAGTCCCAGTTACTTGAGAGGCTGAGGTGGGAGGATCACTTGAACCTGGGAGGTTGAGGCTGCAGTGAGCCATGATGGCACCACTGCACTCCATCCTGGGCAACAGAGTGAGATCCTGTCTCAAAAAACAAAACAAAGCAAAACAAAATCTGTGAAGAATGACAATGGTAGTTTAATGGGAATTGCATTTAATCTACAAATTACTTTGGGCATATGGCCATTTTCATAATATTGATTCTTCCTATCCATTAGCATAGAATGTTTCTCCATTTGTTTGTTTCCTCTCTGATTTCTTTGAGTAATGGTTTCCAGTTCTTGAAGAGGTCCTTCACTTCCCTTATTAGTTGTATTCCTAAGTATTTTATTCTTTTTCTAGCAATTTGGAATGGGAGTTCATTCATGATTTGGCTCTCTGCTTGCCTGTTGTTGGTGTACAGGAATGCTAGTGATTTTTGCACACTGATTTTATATCCTGAGATTTTGCTGAAGTTGCTTATCCGCATAAGAAGCTTTTGTGCTGAGATGATGAGGTTTTCTAGACATAGGATCATGTCATCCGCAAACAAAGATAAATTTGCTTCCTCTGTCCCTATTTGAATATGCTTTATTTCTTTCTCTTGCCTGATTGCCCTGGCCAGAACTTCCAATACTATATTGAATAGGAGTGATGAGAGAGGACATCATTGTCTTGTGCCAGTTTTCAAGGGGAATGCTTGCAGCTTTTGCCCATTCCATATGAATTGACTGTGGGTTTACCATATATGGCTTTTATTATTTTGAGGTATGTTCCTTCAATACCTAGTTTATTGAGTTTTTAACATGAAGGGATGTTGAATTTTATCAAAAGCCTTTTCTGCATCTATTGAGATAATCATGTGGCTTTGTCTTTAGTTCTGTTTATGTGATGAATCACATGTGTTGATTTGCAAGTGTGGAATCAACCCTGCATTCCCAGGATGAAGCCTACTTGAACCTGATGAATAAGCTTTTTGATACGCTGTTGGAATCCACAAACAATCCCATTACAAAGTGGGTAAAGAACATAAACAGGCACTTCTCAAAAGAAGACATGAGTGGCTGACAAGATGGCCAGTCTGCGGCTCCCAGCGAGATCAACACAGAAGACAGAGGACTCCCTCCCCTAGCCAAGGGAAGCCGTGAAGGACTGTGCCATGAGGAATGGTGCTCTCTGGCACAGACACTACACTTTTCCAACCGACTTCACAAACTGAAGACCAAGAGATTCCCTCAGGTGCCTATGCCACAAGGGCACTGGGTTTCAAGCACAAAACTAGGCGGCCATTTGGGCAGACACCAAGCTAGCTGCCGGAGTTTTTCTTCATACCCCAGTGGCACCTGGAAAGCCAGTGAGACAGAACCATTAACTCCCCTGGGAAGAGGGCTGAAGCCAGGAAGCCAAGTGGTCTAGCTCAGTAGATCCCACCCCTGTGGAGCCCAGCAAGCTAAGATCCACTGGCTTAAAATTCTCGCTGCCAGTACAGCAGTCTGAAGTCGACCTGGTATGCTTGAGCTTGGTGGAGGGAGGGGCGTCTGCCATTACTGAGGCTTCAGTAATTGCAGGGGTCGACAGACACCTCAAACAGGAGAGTTCCGGCTGACATCTGCCAGGTGCCCTTCTGGGATGAAGCTTCCAGAGAAAGGAACAGGTAGCAATCTTAGCTGTTCTCCAGCCTCTGCTGGTGATACCCAGGCAAACAGGGTCTAGAGTGGACCTCCAGGAAACCTGCAAAAGAGGGCTCTGGCTGTAAGTAGGAAAACTAACAAACAGAAAGCAATAGCATCAACATCAACAAAAAGGACGTCCACAGAGAGACCCCGTCCAAAGGTCACCAACAGCAAAGACCAAAGGTAGATAAATCCACAGAGATGAGGAAAAACCAGCTTAAAAGTCTGAAAATTCAGAAAACCAGAATGCTCTTCTCCTCCAAAGGATCACAACTCCTCACCAGCAAGGAAACAAAACTGGATGGAGAATGAGTTTGATGAATTGACAGAAGCTTCAGAAGGTGGGTAAAAACAAACTCCTCCGAGCTGAAGGAGGATGTTCCAACCCAATGCAAGGAGGCTAAGATTCTTGAAAAAAGGTTAGATGAATTGCTAACTAAAAGAACCAATTTAGAGAAGAACATAAATGACATAATGGAGCTCAAAAACACAGCATGAGAACTTTGTGAAGCATACACAAGTATCAATAGCCTAATCGATGAAGCAGAAGAAAGGATATCAGAGATTGAGGGTCAACTTAATGAAATAAAGTGTGAAGACAAGATTAGAGAAAAAAGAATGAAAAGGAATGAACAAAGCCTCTAAGAAATATGGGCCTACGTGAAAAGACCAAACTTACATTTGATTGGTGTACATGAAAGTGACAGGGAGAATGGAATCAAGATGGAAAACACTCTTCAGGGTATTATCCAGGAGAACTTCCCCAACGTAGCAAGACTGGCCAACATTCAAATTCAGGAAATACAGAGAACTCCATAAATGCTAATTGAGAAGAGCAACCCCAAACACATAATTTTCACATTCACCAAGGTTGAAATGAAGGAAAAAATGTTAAGGGCAACAAGAGATAAAGATTGGGTTACCCACAAAGGGAAGACAAACCATAAGACTAACAGTGGATCTATCTGCAAAAACCCTACAAGCCAGAGGAGAGTTGGGGCCAATATTCAATATTCTTAAAGAAAAGAATTTTCAACCCAGAATTTTGTATCCAGCCAAACTAATCTTCATAAGTGAAGGAGAAATAAAATCTTTTACAGACAAGTAAATGTTGGGAGATTTTGTTACCACCGGGCCTGCCTTACAAGAGCTCCTGAAGGAAGCACTAAATATGGAAAGGAAAAACTGGTACCAGCCACTGCAAAAACATACCAAATTGTAAAGACCATCGACACTATAAGGAAACTGCATCAACTAATTGGCAAAATGACCAGCTAGTATCATAATGACAGGATCAAATTCACACATGACAACATCAATCTTAAATGTAAATGAGCTAAATGCCCAAATTAAATGACACAGACAGGCAAACTGGATAAAGAGTCAAGACCCATCAGTGTGCTGTATTGAGGAGCCCCATCTCACATGCAGAGACACACATAGGCTCAAAAAAAAGGGATAGAGGAAGATTTACCAAGCAAAAGGCAAGCAAAAAAAAAAAAAAAAGAAAAGAAAAAAAGAGCAGGAGTTGCAATCCTAGTCTCTGATAAAACAGACTTAAACCAACAAAGATATCAAATTGTCTCTGTTTGCAGATGACATGATTGTATATTTAGAAAACCACATCATCTCAGCCCCAAATCTCCTTAAGCTGATAAGCAACTTCAGCTAAGTCTCAGAATACAAAATCAATGTGCAAAAGCCAAAAGTATTCCTATACACAAATAATAGACAGAGAGCCAAATCATGAGTGAACTCCTCTTCACAATTGCTAAAAAGAGAATAAAATACCTCGGAATACAACTTACAAAGGATGTGAAGGACTGCTTCAAGGAGAACTACAAACCACTGCTCAAGGAAATAAGAGAGGATACAAACAAATGCAAAAACATCTCATGCTCATGGATAGGAAGAATCAATATCATGAAAAAGGCCATACTAACCAAAGTAATTTGTAGATTCAATGCTATCCCCATCAAGCTAACATTGACTTTCTTCACAGAATTCGAAAAAAATACTTTAAAATTCATATAGAACCAAAAAAGAGCCCATATGTGGCATAGTGGCACACCTCTGTAATCCCATCTACTCAGGAGACTGAGGCAGAAGAATTGCTTGAACCCAGGAGGCAAAGGTTGCAGTGAGCTGAGATCATGCCACTGCACTCCAGCCTGGGTGACAAAGTGAGACTCTGTCAAAAAAATAAAAAAATAACAGCTCATATAGCCAAGACAATCCTCAGAAAAAAACACAGCTGGAGACATCACACTACCTGAATTTGAACTGTACTGCAAGGCTACAGTAGCCAGAACAGCATGGTCCTGGTACCAAAACAGATATATAGACCAATGGAACAGAACAGAGGCCTCAGAAATAACACCACACATCTACAACCATCTGATATTTGACAAATCTGACAAAAACAAGCAATGGGGAAAGGATTCCCTATTTAATAAATGATGTTGAGAAAACTGGCTAGCCATATGCAAAAAACTGAAACTGGACCCCTTCCTTACACCTTGTACAAAAATTAACTCAAGATGGATTAAAGACTTCAACGTAAGACCTAAAACCATAAAAGCCCTAGAAGACAACCTAGGCAATACCATTCAGGACATAGCTGTGGGCAAAGACTTCATGACTAAAACACCAAAAGCAATAGCAACAAAAGCCAAAATTGACTAATTCCGACTAATTAAACTAAGGAGCTTCTGCACAGCAAAAGAAACTATCATCAGAGTGAACAGGCAACCTGCAGAATGGGAGAATATTTTTGCAATCTACCCATCTGACAAAGGGCTAATATCCAGAATCTATAAGGAACTTAAACAAACTTAGAAGAAAAAAACAAACAACCCCATCAAAAAGTGGGCAAAGGATATGAGCAGACACTTCTCAAAAGAAGACATTTATGCCACCAACAAACATATGAAAAAAAGCTCATCATCACTGATCATTAGAGAAATGCAAATCAAAACCACAATGAGATACCATCTCACGCTAGTTAGAATGGTGATCATTAAAAGGTCAGGAAGCGACAAATGCTGGAGATGATGTGGGGAAATAGGAAACCTTTTACACTGTTGGTGGGAGTGTAAATTAGTTCAACCATTGTGGAAGACAGTGTGGTGATTCCTCAGAGATCTAGAACCAGAAATACCATTTGACCCAGCAATCTCATTACTGGGTATATACATAAAGGATTATAAATAATTCCACTATAAAGACATGCACACA
Organism: Homo sapiens; assembly: GCF_000001405.40. Taxonomy (NCBI): domain Eukaryota; kingdom Metazoa; phylum Chordata; class Mammalia; order Primates; family Hominidae; genus Homo; species Homo sapiens. The sequence continues at coordinate 52,211,291 of NC_000004.12, forward strand.
TATGTTTATTGCAGCACTGTTCACTATAGCAAAGACTTTGAACCAACCGAAATGCCCATCAATGATAGACTGGATTAAGAAAATGTGGCACATATACACCCTAGAATACTATGCAGCCATAAAAAAATGAGTTCATGTCATTTGCTGGGACATGGATGAAGCTGGAAACCATCATTATCAGCAAACACAGGAACAGAAAACCAAACACCACATGTTCTCACTCATAAGTGGAAGTTGAACAATGAGAGCATATGGGCACAGGGAGAGGAACGTCACAGAGGGTGGGGGTGCTGGGGGAAGGATTTCATTAGGAGAAGTACCTAATGTAGATGAAGGGTTGATGGGTGCAGCAAACCACCATGGCACATGTATACATATGTAACAAACCTGCATGTTCTGCACATGTATCCCAGAACTTAAAGTATAATAAAAAAAGAAAAAGAAAAAGAAGACATACATGTGGTCAACAAACATATGAATAAAAGTTCAACATCACTGATCAGTAAAGAAATGCAAATCAAAACCACAATGAGATACAATCTTACACCAGTCAGAATGGCTATTATTTAAAAGTAAAAACAAAAAAACAACAACAAAAAAAAAACAGATGCTGGCGAGGTTGCAGAGAAAAGGGAACACTTTTATACCATTGGTGGAAGTGTAAGTTAGTTCATCCATTGGGAAAGACAGTGTGGTAATTCCTTAATGACCTAGAAGCAGAAATACCATTTGACCCAGCAATACCATTACTGAGTATACACCCAAAGGAATATAAATCATTATATTATAAAGACACATGAACATGTATGTTCATTGCAGCACTTATTCACAATAGCAAAGACATGGAACCAACCTAAATGCCCATCAATGATAGACTGGATAAAGAAAATGTGGTACATATACACCATGGAATACTATGCAGCCCTAAAAAGGAATGAGATCATGTCCTTTGCAGGGACATGGATGGGGTTGGATGCCATTATCCTCAGCAAACTAATGCAGAAACAGAAAACTAAACACTGCATCTTCTCACTTATAAGTGGGAGCTGAATGATGAGAACACATGGACGCATGGAGAGAACAACACTCACTGGGGCTGTTGGAGGGGTAAAGGGAGGGAAAGCATCATGAATAAAAGGAATGGATGCTGGGCTTAATACCTAGGTGATGGGATGATCTGTGCAGCAGATCACCATGGCACACGTTTACCTATGTTACAAATCTGCACATCCTGCACATGTAGCCCTGAACTTAAAATAAAGGTTGGAAAAAAAAAAAAAAAAAAAGAAAAGACATGGCTCTACATGAGGGCTGGCCCAATAAGGAACAAATAAGACTCAGTGCAAATATTAATTTAGGATTGCATAATCTTAGCATTGAGGAGATCTTAAAAGTAAGGGCTTGTGCATCACCTGACATTGGGGGTCCTTTTACCACATCGTTGTCAGAAGAACTCTGGGCCCTGCTTGAATGTTTCGGGAAGGTCAGAGCTTGCCAAAGTCTCTGCATTTCTCTGTGCAGCAGCTCTGGCTATTAATAAATTCCTACTATTAAGCAAAATCTGCTTCCAAGAAACTCCTCCTAGGAGCTAAGTCCATAGCTAAATAGAACAAAAAATGTTTTGTTTTGTTTTTTACAATGAAGACAGATACCATGTCTGTTTTTAGCCAAATCTTCTCCATCTCAACCATTCTCAAGTGCTTCCAGATCCTCCTGAAAAATCATGATCCAAATCTTTGTAATTGTAAACAGACTTTGGAGAGCTACAGACGTCAGGTTGTAACCCATCTTCATAGCTTTTCAGCTGTGACTTTAGAAAAGTTACTTATAGTTCCCTAGTAACTATGTTTTCTTTTTTTCTCTCTTTTTTTTATGATACTTTAAGTTCTCGGGTACATGTGCACAACGTGCAGGTTTGTTACATATGTATACATGCACCATGTTGGTGTTCTGCACCCATTAACTCGTCATTTACATTAAGTATATCTCCTAATGCTATACCTCCTTCCTACCCCAACTCCACGACAGGCCCTGGTGTATGATGTTCCCCCCCCCCGTGTCCAAGTGTTCTCATTGTTCAATTTCCACCTATGAGTGAGAACATGCAGTGTTTGGTTTTCTGTACTCGTGATAGTTCGCTCAGAATGATGGTTTCCAGCTTCATCAATGTCCCTGCAAAGGACATGAACTCATCCTTTTTTATGGCTGCATAGTATTCCATGGTGTATATGTGCCACATTATCTTAATCCAGTCTATCATAGATGGGCATTTGGGTTGGTTCCAAGTCTTTGCTATTGTGAATAGTGCTGCAATAAACATACGTGTGCATGTGTCTTTATAGCAGCATGATTTATAATACTTTGGGTATATGACCAGTAATGGGATGGCTGGGTCAAATGGTATTTCTAGTTCTAGATCCTTGAGGAGTTGCCACACTGTCTTCCACAATGGTTGAACTAGTTTACACTCCCACCAACAGTGTAAAAGTGTTCCTATTTCTCCATGTCTTCCCCAGCACCTGTTGTTTCCTGACTTTTTAATGATCGCCATTCTAACTGGTGTGAGATGGTATCTCATTGTGGTTTTGATTTGCATTTCTCTGATGGCCAGTGATGATGAGCATTTGTTCATGTGTCTGTTGGCTGCATAAATGTCTTCTTTTGAGAAGTGTCTCTTCGTATCCTTTGAACACTTTTTGATGGGGTTGTTTGATTTTTTTCTTGTAAATTTGTTTAAGTATTTGTAGATTCTGGATATTAGCCCTTTGTCAGATGGGTAGATTGCAAAAACTTTCTCCCATTTTATAGGTTGCCTGTTCACTCTGATGGTAGTTTCTTTTGCTGTGTAGAAGCTCTTGAGTTTAATGAGATCCCATTTGTCAATTTTGGCTTTTGTTGCCATTGCTTTTGGTGTTTTAGTCATGAAGTCCTTGCCCTTGCCTATAGCCTGAATGGTATTGCCTAGGTTTTCTTCTAGGGTTTTTATGGTTTTAGGTCTAACATTTAAGTCTTTAATCCATCTTGAATTAATTGTTGTATAAGATGTAAGGAAAGGATCCAGTTTCAGCTTTCTACATATGGCTAACCAGTTTTCCCAGCACCATTTATTAAATAAGGAATCCTTTCCCCATTTCTTGTTTTTTTCAGGTTTATCCAAGATCAAATGGTTGTAGATGGGTGGTATTATTTCCGGGGGCTCTCTTCTGTTCCATTGGTCTATATATTTGTTTTGGTACCAGTACCATGCTGTTTTGGTTACTGTAGCCTTGTAGTATAGTTTGAAGTCAGGTAGTGTGATGCCTCCAGCTTTGTTCTTTTGGCTTAGGATTGTCTTGGCAATGTGGATCTTTTTTGGTTCCATATGAACTTTAAATTAGTTTTTCCCAATTCTGTGAAGAAAGTCATTGGTAGCTTGATGGGGATGGCATTGAATCTATAAATTACCTTGGGCAGTATGGCCATTTTCACAATATTGATTCTTCCTATCCATGAGCATGGAATGTTCTTCCATTTGTTTGAGTCCTCTTTTATTTCATTTAGCAATGGTTTGTAGCTCCTTGATGAGGTCCTTCACATCCCTTGTAAGTTGGATTCCTAGGTCTTTTATTCTCTTTGAAACAATTGTGAATGGGAGTTCACTCATGATTTGGCTCTCTGTTTGTCTGTTATTGGTGTATAGGACTGCTTGTGATTTTGCACATTAATTTTGTATCCTGAAACTTTGCTGAAGTTGCTTATCAGCTTAAGCATATTTTGGGCTGAGACGATGGGGTTTTCTCGATATACAATCATGTCATCTACAAATAGGGACAATTTGACTTTCTCTTTTCCTAATTGAATACCTTTTATTTCTTTCTCTTACCTGATTGCCCTGGCCAGAATTGCCAACACTATGTTGAATAGGAGTGGTGAGAGAGGGCATCCCCGTCTTGTGCCAGTTTTCAAAGGGAATGCTTCCAGTTTTTGCCCATTCAGTATGATATTGGCTGTGGGTTTGTCATAGATAGCTCTTATTATTTTGAGATATGACCCATCAATACCTAATTTATTGAGAGTTTTTTGCATGAAGGGCTGTTGAATTTTGTCAAAGGCCTTTTCTGCATCTATTGAGATAATCATGTGGTTTTTGTCTTTGGTTCTGTTTATATGCTGGATTACATTTATTGATTTGCGTATGTTGAACCAGCCTTGCATCCCAGGGATGAAGCCAACTTGATCGTGTTGGATAAGCTTTTTGATGTGCTGCTGGATTCGGTTTGCCAGTATTTTATTGAGGATTTTTGCATCGATGTTCATCGATTTTAGTCTAAAATTCTCTTTATTTTTTTGTTGTGTCTCTGCCAGGCTTTGCTATCAGGTTGATGTTGGCCTCATAAAATGAATTAGGGAGGATTCCCTCTGTTTCTATTGACTGGAATAGTTTCAGAAAGAATGGTACCAGCTCCTCTTTGTACCGCTGGTAGAACTTGGCTTCAAATCTATCTGATCCTGGCCTTTTTTTGGTTGTTAGGCTATTAATTATTGCCTCAATTTCAGAACCTGTTATTGGTCTATTCAGGGATTCAGCTTCTTCCTGATTTAGTCTTTGGAAGGTGTAAATGTCCAGGAACTTATCCATTTCTTCTAGATTTTCTAGTTTATTTGCATAGAGGTGTTTCTAGTATTTTCTGTTGGTGGTTTGTATTTCTGTGGGATCAGTGGTGATATCCCCTTTATCATTTTTTATTGCATCTATTTGATTCTTCCCTCTTTTTTTATTATTCTTGCTAGCAGTCTCCCAATTTTCTTGATCTTTTCAAAAAACAGCTCCTGGATTCATTGATTTTTTGAAGGGCTTTTTGTGGCTCTATCTCCTTCAGTTCTGCTCTGATCATAGTTATTTCTTGCCTTCTGCTAGCTTTTGAATATGTTTGCTCTTGCTTCTCTAGTTCTTTTAATTGTGATGTTAGGGTGTCAATTTTGGATCTTTCCTGCTTTCTCTTGTGGGTATTTAGTGCTATAAATTTCCCTCTCCACACTGCTTTAAATGTGTCCCAGAGATTCTGGTATGTTGTGTCTTTGTTCTTATTGGTTTCAAAGAGCATCTTTGTTTCTGCCTTCATTTTGTTATGTACCCAGTAGTCATTCAGGAGCAGGTTGTTCAGTTTCCATGTAGTTGAGCAGTTTTGAGTGAGTTTCTTAATCCTGAGTTCTAGTTTCATTGCACTGTGGTCTGAGAGACAGTTTGTTATAATTTCTGTTCTTTTACATTTGCTGAGGAGTGCTTTACTTCCAACTATGTGATCAATTTTGGAATAAGTGTGATGTAGTGCTGAGAGGAATGTATATTCTGTTTATTTGGGGTGGAGAGTTCTGTAGATGTCTATTACGTTCACTTGGTGCAGAGCTGAGTTCAACTCCTGGACATCCTTTTTAACTTTCTGTCTCATTGATCTGTCTCATGTTGACAGTGGGGTTTTAAAGTCTCCCATTATTATTGTGTGGTAGTGTAAGTCTCTTTGTAGGTCTCTAAGGACTTGCTTTTTGAATCTGGGTGCTCTTGTATTGGGTGCGTATATATTTAGGATACTTAGCTCTTCTTGTTGCATTCATCCCTTTACCATATGTAATGGCTTTCTTTGTCTCTTTTGATCTTTGTTGATTTAAAGCCTGTTTTATTAGAGACTAGGATTGCAACCCCTGACTTTTTTTGTTTTCCATTTGCTTGGTAGATCTTCCTCTATCCTTTTATTTTGAGCCTATGTGTGTCTCTGAACGTGAGATGAGTCTCCTGAATACAGCACACTGATGGGTCTTGACTCTTTATCCAATTTGCCAGTCTGTGTCTTTTAATTGGACCATTTAGCCCATTTACATTTAAGGTTAATATTGTTATATGTGAATTTGATCCTGTCATTATGATGTTAGCTGGTTATTTTGCGCGTTAGTTGATGCAGTTTCTTCCTAGCCTTGATGGTCTTTACAATTTGGCATGATTTTGCAGTAGCTGGTACTGGTTGTTCCTTTCCATGTTTAGTGCTTCCTTCAGGAGCTCTTTTAGGGCAGGTCTGGTGGTGACAAAACCTCTCAGCATTTGTTTGTCTGTAAAGGATTTTATTTCTCCTTTGCTTATGAAGCTTAGTTTGGCTGGATATGAAATTCCGGGTTGAAAATTCTTTTCTTTAAGAATGTTGAATATTGGCCCTCACTCTCTTCTGGCTTGTAGAGTTTCTGCCGAGAGATCCGCTGTTAGTCTGATGGGCTTCCCTTTGTGGGTAACCTGACCTTTATCTCTGGCTGCCCTTAACATTTTTTCCTTCATTTCAACTTTGGTGAATCTGACAATTATGTGTCTTGGAGTTGTTCTTCTCGAGGAGTTTCTTTGTGACGTTCTCTGTATTTCCTGAATTTGAATGTTGGCCTGCCTCTCTAGTTTGGGGAAGTTCTCCTGGATAATATCCTTCAGAGCATTTTCCAACTTCATTCCATTCTCCCCATCACTTTTAGATACACCAATCAGATGTGGATTTGGTCTTTTCACAGAGTCCCATGTTTCTTGGAGTATTTGTTCATTTCTTTTTACTCTTTTTTCTCTAAACTTCTCTTCTCGCCTCATTTCATTCATTTGATCTTCAATCACTGATATCGTTTCTTCCAGTAGATCAACTCGGCTACTGAAGCTTGTGCATGAATTGCGTAGTTCTCATGCCATAGTTTTTAGCTCCATCAGGTCATTTAAGGTCTTGTCTACACTGTTTATTCTAGTTAGCCATCCGTCTAATCTTTTTTCAAGGTTTTTAGCTTCTTTGTGATGGGTTCAAACATCCTACTTTAGCTCCAAGAAGTTTGTTATTAGCAATTGTCTGAAGGCTTCTTCTATCAACTCATCAAAGTCATTCTCTGTCCAGCTTTTTTTTTTTTTTTTCAGGTTACATCAGATTTTTTTTTTTTAATTTTATTATTATTATACTTTAAGTTTTAGGGTACATGTACACACTGTGCAGGTTAGTTACATATGTATACATGTGCCATGCTGGTGTGATGCACCCATTAACTTGTCATTTAGCATTAGGTATGTCTCCTAATGTTATCCCTCCCCGCTCCCCCCACTCCACAACAGTCCCCAGAGTGTGATGTTCCCCTTCCTGTGTCCATGTGTTCTCATTGTTCAATTCCCACCTATGAGTGAGAACATGCAGTGTTTGGTTTTTTGTCCTTGCGATAGTTTACTGAGAATGATGATTTCCAATTTCATCCATGTCCCTACAAAGGACATGAACTCATCATTTTTTATGGCTGCATAGTATTCCATGGTGTATATGTGCCACATTTTCTTAATCCAGTCTATCCTTGTTGGACATTTGGCTTGGTTCCAAGTCTTTGCTATTGTGAATAGTGCTGCAATAAACATACGTGTGCATGTGTCTTTATAGCAGCATGATTTATAATCCTTTGCGCATATACCCAATAAGGGGATGGCTGGGTCAAATGGTATTTCTAGTTCTAGATCCCTGAGGAATCGCAACACTGACTTCCACAATGGTTGAACTAGTTTACAGTCCCACCAACAGTGTAAAAGTGTTCCTATTTCTCCACATCCTCTCCAGTACCTGTTGTTTCCTGACTTTTTAATGATTGCCATTCTAACTGGTGTGAGATGGTATCTCATTGTGGTTTTGATTTGCATTTCTCCGATAGCCAGTGATGGTGAGCATTTTTTCATGTGTCTTTTGGCTGTATAAATGTCTTCTTTTGAGAAGTGTCTGTTCATGGCCTTCGCCCACTTTTTGATAGGGTTGTTTGTCTTTTTCTTGTAAATTTGTTTGAGTTCATTGTAGATTCTGGATATTAGCCCTTTGTCAGATGAGTAGGTTTCAAAAATTTTCTCCCATTTTGTAGGTTGCCTGTTCACTCTGATGGTAGTTTCTTTTGCTGTGCAGAAGCTCTTTAGTTTAATTAGATCCCATTTGTCAATTTTGGCTTTTGTTGCCATTGCTTTTGGTGTTTTAGACATGAAGTCCTTGCCCATGACTATGTCCTGAATGGTAATGCCTAGCTTTTCTTCTAGGGTTTTTATGGTTTTAGGTCTAACGTTTAAGTCTTTAATCCATCTTGAATTAATTGTTGTATAAGGTGTGAGGAAGGGATCCAGTTTCAGCTTTCTACATATGGCTAGCCAGTTTTCCCAGCACCATTTATTAAATAGGGAATCCTTTCCCCATTGCTTATTTTTCTCAGGTTTGTCAAAGATCAGATAGTTGTAGATACGCAGCGTTATTTCTGAGGGCTCTGTTCTGTTCCCTTGATCTATATCTCTGTTTTGGTACCAGTACCATGCTGTTTTTGTTACTGTAGCCTTGTAGTATAGTTTGAAGGCAGGTAGTGTGATGCCTCCGGCTTTGTTCTTTTGGCTTAGGATTGACTTGGCGATGCGGGCTCTTTTTGGTTCCATATGAAATTTAAAGTAGTTTTTTCCAATTCTGTGAAGAAAGTCATTGGTAGCTTGATGGGGATGGCATTGAATCTATAAATTACCTTGGGCAGTATGGCCATTTTCACGATATTGATTCTTCCTACCCATGAGCATGGAATGTTCTTCCATTTGTTTGTATCCTCTTTTATTTCATTGAGCAGTGGTTTGTAGTTCTCCTTGAAGAGGTCTTTCATGTCCCTTGTAAGATGGATTCCTAGGTATTTTATTCTCTTTGAAGCAATTGTGAATGGGAGTTCACTCATGATTTGGCTCTCTGTTTGTCTGTTATTGGTGTATAAGAATGCTTGTGATTTTTGTACATTGATTTTGTATCCTGAGACTTTGCTGAAGTTGCTTATCAGCTTAAGGAGATTTTGGGCTGAGACAATGGGGTTTTCTAGATATACAATCATGTCATCTGCAAACAGGGACAATTTGACTTCCTCTTTTCCTAATTGAATACCCTTTATTTCCTTCTCCTGCCTAATTGCCCTGGCCAGAACTTCCAACACTATGTTGAATAGGAGTGGTGAGAGAGGGCATCCCCGTCTTGTGCCAGTTTTCAAAGGGAATGCTTCCAGTTTTTGCCCATTCAGTGTGATATTGGCTGTGGGTTTGTCATAGACAGCTCTTATTATTTTGAGATATGACCCATCAATACCTAATTTATTGAGAGTTTGTAGCATGAAGGGTTGTTGAACTTTGCCAAAGGCCTTTTCTGCATCTATTGAGATAATCATGTGGTTTATGTCTTTGGTTCTGTTTATATGCTGGATTACATTTATTGATTTGTGTATATTGAACCAGCCTTGCATCCCAGGGATGAAGCCCACTTGATCATGGTGGATAAGCTTTTTGATGTGCTGCTGGATTCAGTTTGCCAGTATTTTATTGAGGATTTTTGCATCAATGTTCATCAAGGATATTGGTCTAAAATTCTCTTTTTTGGTTGTGTTTCGGCCTGGCTTTGGTATCAGGATGATGCTGGCCTCATAAAATGAGTTAGGGAGGATTCCCTCTTTTTCTGTTGATTGGAATTATTTCAGAAGAAATGGTACCAGCTCCTCCTTGTACCTCTGGTAGAATTCGGCTGTGAATCCATCTGGTCCTGGACTCTTTTTGGTTGGTAAGCTATTGATTATTGCCACAATTTCAGATCCTGTTATTGGTCTATTCAGAGATTCAACTTCTTCCTGGTTTAGTCTTTGGAGGGTGTATGTGTTGAGGAATTTATCCATTTCTTCTAGATTTTCTAGTTTATTTATGTAGAGGTATTTATAGTATTCTTTGATGGTAGTCTGTATTTCTGTGGGATCGGTGGTGATAACCCCTTTATCATTTTTTATTGTGTCTATTTGATTCTTCTCTCTTTTCTTCTTTATTAGTCTTGCTAGCAGTCTATCAATTCTGTTGATCCTTTCAAAAAACCAGCTCCTGGATTCATTAATTTTTTGAAGTGTTTTTTGTGTCTCTATTTCCTTCAGTTCTGCTCTGATTTTAGTTATTTCTTGCCTTCTGCTAGCTTTTGAATGTGTTTGCTCTTGCTTTTCTTGTTCTTTTAATTGTGATGTTATGGTGTCAATTTTGGATCTTTCCTGCTTCTCATGTGTGCATTTAGTGCTATAAATTTCCCTCTACACACTGTTTTGAATGTGTCCCAGAGATTCTGGTATGTTGTGTCTTTGTTCTCGTTGGTTTCAAAGAACATCTTTATGTCTGCCTTCATTTCATTATGTACCCAGTAGTCATTCAGGAGCAGGTTGTTCACTTTCCATGTAGTTGAGCAGTTTTGAGTGAGTTTCTTAATCCTGAGTTCTAGTTTGATTGCACTGTGGTCTGAGAGATAGTTTGTTATAATTTCTGTTCTTTTACATTTGCTGAGGAGAGCTTTACTTCCAAGTATGTGGTCAATTTTGGAATAGGTGTGGTGTGGTGCTGAAAAAAATGTATATTCTGTTGATTTGGGGTGGTGAGTTCTGTAGATGTCTATTAGGTCTGCTTGGTGCAGAGCAGAGTTCAATTTTTGGGTATCCTTGTTAACTTTCTGTGTTGTTGATCTGTCTAATGTTGACAGTGGGTTGTTAAAGTCTCCTATTATTATTGTGTGGGAGTCTAAGTCTCTTTGTAGGTCACTCAGGACTTGCTTTATGAATCTGGGTGCTCCTGTATTGGGTGCATATATATTTAGGATAGTTAGCTCTTCTTTTTGAATTGTTCCCTTTACCATTATGTAATGGCCTTCTTTGTCTCTTATGATCTTTGTTGGTTTAAAGCCTGTTTTATTAGAGACTAGGATTGCAACCCCTGACTTTTTTTGTTTTCCATTTGCTTGGTAGATCTTCCTCTATCCTTTTATTTTGAGCCTATGTGTGTCTCTGCACGTGAGATGGGTCTCCTGAATACAGCACACTGATGGATCTTGACTCCTTATCCAATTTGCCAGTCTGTGTCTTTTAATTGGAGCATTTAGTCCATTTACATTTAAAGTTAATATTGTTATATGTGAATTTGATCCTGTCATTATGATGTTAGCTGGTTATTTTGCTTGTTAGTTGATGCAGTTTCTTCCTACCCTTGGTGGTCTTTACAATTTGGCATGATTTTGCAGTGGCTGGTACCGGTTGTTCCTTTCCATGTTTAGTGCTTCCATCAGGAGCTCTTTTAGGGCAGGCCTGGTAGTGACAAAATCTCTCAGCATTTGCTTGTCTATAGAGTATTTTATTTCTCCTTCACTTATGAAGCTTAGTTTGGCTGGATATGAAATTCCGGGTTGAAAATTCTTTTCTTTAAGAGTGTTGAATATTGGCCCCCACTCTCTTCTGGCTTGTAGGGTTTCTGCCGTAAGATCCACTGTTAGTCTGATGGGCTTCCCTTTGAGGGTAACCTGACCTTTATCTGTGGCTGCCCTTAACATTTTTTCCTTCATTTCAGCTTTGGTGAATCTGACAATTATGTGTCTTGGAGTTGTTCTTCTCAAGGAATATCTTTGTGGTGTTCTCTGTATTTCCTGAATCTGAATGTTGGTCTGCCTTGCTAGATTGGGGAAGTTCTCCTGGATAATATTCTGCAGAATGTTTTCCAACTTGGTTCCATTCTCCCTGTCACTTTCAGGTACACCTATCAGATGTAGATTTTGTCTTTTCACATAGTCCCATATTTCTTGGAGTATTTGTTCGTTTCTTTTTACTCTTTTTTCTCTAAACTTCCCTTCTCATTTCGTTTCATTCATTTCATCTTCCATCACTGATACCCTTTCTTCCAGTTGATCTCATCGGCTCCTGAGGCTTCTGCATTCTTCACATAGTTCTCGAGCCTTGGCTTTCAGCTCCATCAGCTCCTTTAAGCACTTCTCTGTATTTGTTTTTCTAGTTATACATTCGTCTAAATTTTTTTCAAAGTTTTTAACTTCTTTGCCTTTGGTTTGAATTTCTTCCTGTAGCTTGGAGTAGTTTGATCGTCTGAAGCCTGCTTCTTTCAACTTGTCAAAGTCATTCTCCATCCACATTTGCTCCATTGCTGGTGAGGAACTGCATTCCTTTGGAGGAGGAGAGGCGCTCTGCTTTTTAGAGTTTCCAGTTTTTCTGCTCTGTTTTTTCCCCATCTTTGTGATTTTATTTACTTTTGGCCTTTGATGATGGTGATGTACAGATGGGTTTTTGGTGTGGATGTCCTTTCTGTTTGTTAGTTTTCCTTCTAACAGACAGGACCCTCAGATGCAGGTCTGTTGGAGTTTGCTAGAGGTCCACTCCAGATCCTGTTTGCCTGGGTATCAGCAGCGGTGGCTGCAGAACAGTGGATTTTCATGAACCACGAATGCTGCTGTCTGATGGTTCCTCTGGAAGTTTTGTCTCAGAGGAGTACCCAGCCATGTGAGGTGTCAGTCTGCCCCTACTGGGGTTTGCCTCCCAGTTAGGCTGCTCAGGGGTCAGGGGTCAGGGACCCACTTGAGGAGGCAGTCTGCCTGTTCTCAGATCTCCAGCTGCATGCTGGGAGAACCACTGCTCTCTTCAAAGCTGTCAGACAGGGACATTTAAGTCTGCAGAGGTTACTGCTGTCTTTTTGTTTGTCTGTGCCCTACCCCCAGAGGTGGAGCCTATAGAGGCAGGCAGGCCTCCTTGAGCTGTGGTGGGCTCCACCCAGTTCGAGCTTCCTGGCTGCTTTGTTTACCTAAGCAAGCCTGGGCAATGGCGGGCACCCCTGCCCCAGCCTGGCTGCCCCCTTGCAGTTTGATCTGAGACTGGTGTGCTAGCAATCAGTGAGACTCCGTGGGCGTTGGACCCTCTGAGCCAGGCGCTGGATATAATCTCCTGGTGCGCCATATTTTAAGCCTGTCGGAAAAGCATAGTATTAGGGTGGGAGTAACCCGATTTTCCAGGTGCCATCTCTGAACCCTTTCTTTGACTAGGAAAGGGAACTTCCTGACCCCTTGCATTTCCTGAGTGAGGCAATGCCACACCCACTTCAGCTCATGCAGGGTGCGCTGCACCCACTGACCTGCACCCACTTTCTGGCACTCCCTAGCGATAGGAACCTGGTACCTCAGATGGAAATGCAGAAATCACTCATCTTCTGTGTCGCTCGCGCTGGGGAGCTGTAGACTGGAGCTGTTCCTATTCAGCCATCTTGGCTGCCAGCCTAGATCCCAGCTTTGTTCCATTGCTGGTGAGGAGCTGTGTTCCTTTGGAGGAGAAGAGGCACTCTGATTTTTAGAATTTTCAGCTTTTATGCTCTGGTTTCTCCCCATCTTTGTGGTTTTATCTGCCTTTGGTCTTTGATGATGGTGACGTACAGATGGGATTTTGGTGTTGATGTCCTTTTTGTTTGTTAGTTTTCCTTCTAACTATCAGGACCCTCAGCTTCAGGTCTATTGGAGTTTGCCAGAGGTGCACTCCAGACCCTGTTTGCAGAATGGCAAATGTTGCTGTCTGATCCTTCTTCTGGAAGCTTCGTCTCAGAGGGGCACTGGGCTGTATGAGGTGTCAGTCGGCCCCTACTGGGAGGTGTCTCCCAGTTAGGCTACTCGGGGGTCAGGGACCCACTTGAGGAGGCAGTCTGTCCATTCTCAGATCTCAAACTCCATGCTGGGAGAAGCACTACTCTCTTCAAAGCTCAGTTGAAAATGCAGAAATCACCCATATTCTGCATCGCTCATGCTGGGAGCTGCAGACTGGAGCTGCTGTTATTTGGCCATCTTGGAACCTCCTCCCTAATAACTATGTTTTCATCTGTCACATGGGGACCACATTAGCTCTTTTATGGGGTCATGATAAACATTCCATGGAATGATGCTTTTAATGGGTTTTTTAGCTCTTTATTCAATACCTGACACATCTATGTGCTGTGTTCCATAAATTATCATTTTCTTTTTCATCTTGTTGCTATCCTTGGGAACACAACTTTCAGGTATTCCCTTAAAATATGGTGTCCAAAATTCAACCCACTATTCCAAATGGGATCTGACCCTTCTAATATTTTGACATCTCTATTTGGTTTATTTGAGATGTTTTATCATTTTCTTTAGTCATCCAAATTGGCATGGGTGGTCCTAATAATAACATTGTCAGGGTCTTAAAGAGTGCAGGTTACATGCCACTGTTTTTCTTGCCATGCTGTAGATAGAAATCCACGTCATCAGGAAAGTGATCTTTGCCCAGGGAGCATCAACCCAGAGGTCTAGCCTCTGAGCTCCTGGCTGCCTGAAATCAAGGTTGTAGCTAAGTGCAGTTCAAGAGGCCTGTTTTTCCTTTCCATAGTATAGCTTGTTGGCCTGAGGGAAGAGGAAGCTGTTGTTTCCATTGGCAGATTGTAACTCCCAAAGAATGAAGCAGACCAATTGTGTAATAGGGAGACATCCAGGAAGATAAGCACAGGACAGTGCTCTCTGGCCACATGGGTACTTTCAAGGCTAAAGCAAGCTCTTTAATATCCAGACAATGTTTCTAGTCTATGAGAGAACATGTTAAAAGTCTGATTGGTTGCACTTTATCTTATAAGGAAAACTTCCCTGATTATTTGTATATGGCACATACATACCTTTGATAATCAACAATGTTTTTTTTAGCACCTACCATGTGTTAACACTTACAGTAGTGTAATAGTATAGTTATTATAGTAACAGAATAAGAAGAAATAATAGGATCTCCCATTGTTGGACAACTACAACTCTTGTATTATTCTCTCCATTGTACAGATTATACAGCAAGGCTTAGGGAAGGTTAGTCACTTGGCCAAGGTCATATAGCTTAAGAAGCAAGGTCATCCAAATCTAGAGCTCAACAGTTAATCTTCACATTCTATTATCACTTTGCTATCAACAAGAAGTCTAGACAAGCAAAGGGCCTTCAATAACAACTCCTCCCTTTCAGATTCAGCCAAAGACTAAGCTCTCTCTCTTATGTCCATGGCTCTGGGAATTTCTTTAAATTCTGTTTTCTGACATCCCTAACTCCGTCTTGCCCATTCACCGTTGAGGATCTTCTCTTTAGGTTCTAATCTTGCTTTCTGCTCACTCCCATGAGTTTCATTATTTATATCTTCCCTTGTTATTTGCTTCTTCTCCATGAAAGATAGGGACACCAGTTCCTTCCATTCTCCCAATCTTTCTTTCTTTTCCCCACAATTTGATGGTGCCCCCACAAACATGTAGATACAAACATGTAGACTGGGCAGGCAAAGCTCCTGTCTAGGGAGTAGAGAGACTGGGCATTAAGTTACCAAACACAAAATCTCTGCCCTCAGTAGGTTTTGACTCATTATGCAGCCTCTGATCATGAGATTTCAGATTTTTTACATCCTGAGAAGGAGATCCAGTAGAGGAAGCAGGGGAAAGATAGTATATATGTTGGAGGAAAGAAAAGAGAAGGGAGAGAAGGAAGATAGGAAGGAGGAAGAAAAAAAGATAAGGAGGAGAGAAACTGAGCCTGGTGCAGTGACCTCAGAGGCATGTTAAAACAATTTGGTGGTGTTTGTGATTAATTAGCAATTTGTTATAGTAGGAGCAGAAAACAGGTCTGCAGGTGCTGCCTGGTGCTGCAGAGGGAATATTGAAATATCATTTACCGTGAGCCGAAGAAAAACAGCATACAAAGAGAAATTCTCAGTTTGTAACAAAGCACGGGCCTTTCCAACTCTCCAGTTTAAATTTGTCTCCAGGGGAACTCCAATCTCCCCCAAAACTAGTAATAAAAATAAAGTGCTTGGAAGATGTATTTGAATTTCCTGTCAATTAAAACATTTGTTAGTTCAAAGTACTGAGAGTTGAGGGTAAAGGGAGCTATATTTTCTTGCTGAGCATTTTTGATGGTGGTAGCGTTAAACTGTATTCTCTTCTCATTCAGCGGCAGTTGGCTGAACTGAGGGTTTATGGAGTACTACAACATCCCTGACATCGTTGAGACAGGATGGCAATGCTGAAGCAGGAGATATAATCTATACCAGCAGGAGCTCAGCATCCATGGGGAAATTTGGAAAACAAGATCAGATTCCCTCCCCATTAAACAATGGAAAAAGATACAGCACAGTGTAGTGTTAAATATACTTCTATTTAGAGATGGTACTTATTCCTCCTTTCATTCCAAGTGCGAACTTCATTTCCTTAGGAAGGCCTTCTCTGACCTTCCAGGGTAGATCAAGTCACTTGTTTTTAGATGCCTTGTAGTTTCCTTTTCAGCATTAACCACAGTTTTTAATTATACGTACTCATATATTGTATTATAGAAACTTGCACACAAATTGTGTGTGTACATATATATATATAGCAATTGTATATATTTATTTACATGATTTAAGAAGAAATTCATCTCTCTCCATAATGGCAAGATTGGGCCTGTTCTGCCTACTATTGTATTCCGCAGTATCTCATACACATTCCAGGTACATAGTAGGTATTCAATAAATATTTCTGAAATGAAAAACCAAAGGAACATGTTGAAAGTCTGAAGAAAGGGAAGAGCATTGTTATTGGGCTGGTGAGGGAGTTTCAAAAGACAAAGCTGACTTTGACCTAGCTTCCTCTTATAAGGAATTACAGGAGAAATTTCTTTCAGGTCTTAATAGCAAGAAAGACTGAATTTTCACTGAAAAATAGGTCTGTTTTTAGGCTTATGGATTCTGTGAGTGATATATATCAAGGTATTTTTGTTTGCTTTGGCTGCTAGGAAGCTTAGAGCCAATTTTGTTACCTATTTCCAGCAACTGAATTATATTTTAATGTACTAACCTTGCACTGGATTTCAAATATTTTCCTAACCTTAATTTCCTTTTATTACTTTTTCTACATTTATTTACATGGTAATAACGTTGTATTATACCCCTTTAAAATGAGATTTGGTGTAAAAATCAATGCTTAAATGAATAATGGCTACTGATGCCGAAATTAATCTATGACAAACTTTATATAGCGTTGATGCTTTAAAATGGATGTGGGCATTCTTAACTTATCTTCTGTTGAAGATCCTCTCCAGAAATTATTTAATATAAATACCTGGGGCGAGGTGGATCATATGCCTGTTAGAGTTAACATTCCAGCCAGAAACAGAACCGTACATAAGATGACCAAAGTCTCTACCACCATGCTTTGAATTTTGAGATATTATCATAAAAAATATTTAAACCTCGTAAAAATTTTGGCCAAGATAAATTGATTTTAAGTAACTTCTTTACCCTTCATGCTTTAGTCTCATGTCACCAACTCATCTGCTGCCAATGAATCTGTTACACATCGGTTGATCTAATTGGGAAAGCCATATTGATATTAAGTTTGAGTTATGATGGAATAAAAGTTGTTATATTATCTCAAGGGAAAATTTTTTTAAAAGTTAATGTCCAACTACTCTCTGTCACCCCCTTTTGGGCCCAAAATGAAAAGAATAATTTAAACGCTTATGTTCACCCTAACCAAATAATCACAATGTGCTTTGACTGTATGATTCTATAATTGAGTTACTTTTAAGAAATACAATAAAATATATTATGCAGTATTGTTTTTGTATTTTACTATATTAAGCCATTCCAGGTAGTGACTGAACAACACATTTTTGGAGACTCTTTCATTTATTTTCTCCAGCTTAATAGTTATGTAGCAAAGCTTTTGGAATATTTTATATTATTGTCTGCTTTTGGCACTTTACCCAGTAATTGTTTACTAAAACCACGCCTAGTAATTCTATTTGGGTTAAAATATCCAGCAAATATTAATGTGCTCCTAAAGAAGATGTTAATGCTCATTTAAGCTATTATGGCAAGGAGTGGCAAATTACTAAAGATCTATAATCATGGTCAAATTTACAGTTTGTTTGAAGGTCAATAAGAATTTGGACAGACCTTCTGAATATGAAATACACATCACCATGGTGATAACTGAAAAATTGCTTGTAATTATAAAAGTCTTCAAAATTAAAAAATAGATATTCAAGTATAGTGGGTTCATAAGTGTATCCTAGTGCACACATTTCACTCTTGGGGTCTCTGGGACATTAGGCAGGCCATCAGAGTCCTATGTGCTTAAAGTCCCTATAGGCATCCTGGGAAAATACTGAAGAAATGGCGCTAGAAATATGTACTCAAACTTATTCTCAAACAAAGAGAACTGGCCTCTGCCCCCACCAATGATGAAGAATCTTGGAGGTTTAAGGAACTCACAAGTGTATAAGACAGTTACACATGTACTCCTTTCTGAGGTTGGTTTTTGGTCTATGGGGAAAGAACTTAATGCAACCATGAAACAGGGACTGGCCAGTTCTTTTAGAACATATCTCAAAGTGGAAGGCTGTGAAAACTGAGATGATTAACATTTTGAGAGCAACTATAGATGTGTTCACTGGTTTGAGTGTCATGAGCAGGTCAGCCTATTATCATAGCCTGATTCCTCATAAAGAGGTTACTTACCTCCCCACTAGTGTTATCTCTCATGATTTCCTGGTTTAAAATTTTCAAGTAAGCCATTGTCTTACCATTCATAGAATGCTTCTTGCCCTACTCTGCCTATAGAATTACTCCCAGAAACTCAGGAATGGGAGAACCTGGAGGTGAGGGTTTGGGATTAGAGCAGTGACAAAGATTGATGACGGTGACAGCAAACATTGATTGAGAGGCAATGGTAGTGTTGCTTTGTTGTCACTATGTGCACAGACCCGGGAGCCAGACTGCTGTGGCTTTGAGTCCTGGCCCTGACACTTACAACTTTGGGCAAATTATTTATCTCTGTTTCCTCATTTATAAAACTGGGATAATAATACTGCCTGACTCCAAGGGTTGTTAATATTTGTAAAGCACCTAGAACAATACCTGGAATATAGTCAGTACTCTGTACTTGCTTGTTAAATAATTGGAGTAGGTAACACATGCTCTTTGGCTATAGAAAGGTAGAAAGCATTAAATAATATTCTACCAGCTATAGCAACAGTGATTTAAAGACAGAAGAGACAAGAAGGTACAAGAACAAATTAGCAGTGGGAGTCCTCAAACATGAAGTATTGGGGCTTATTTTACAGTGGCAGCTTTAGAAAGGAAGAGATTTGCTGGGCCTTGTGAGAAAAACAATAGGCAAAAATATGATGATAGATTGGTTTAGGAGGAAGAAGCTGGAAAGAAACTTCTAAATTTATAATCTTGAGGGATTGTAAAGATGATGGTACTGTTGACAACAATGGAGAAATTTGGAAAGAGATGCCTGTTTCTGCAGGAAAGACAGGAAACTTAGGCTGTGTCAATATGGAAGCAACAAATTGGCCATGAGAGCTGAGCTCACTATGGCCTGTGCATTTGACAGATGGGCTGCAGCTGAATCAATCGTGATGCTTTGTGAGGATATTAGAGGTGTCTGAGATGTCCCGTGCCATGGTCTAATGGTTTTGCCACCAATGAACACACCACCATTTAGTTTGGGTTTGTTATTGGGGTTCTGCTTCATCCTACCGGCATGTCATGTGTGAATAATCTTGGAGAACAAAATGATATATTGAGCTCTCATACATATACATCTCCAAAGTTTAAATCAATATGTACTTTCATAAGAAAATAGAACTTGGCTGAAAAACGTGATGGTTTTATTTTGATTTGTATCATCTAATATCATGAGATAATAACTTTAGCCAACATTTATATAGTGATTGCCAGGGATTATTATAAGCCCTTTATGCAGGCTAACTCACTTAATCATCACAACAACCCTATGTGGTAGGTAATATTATCATCTTCATATTAAGGTAGAGAAAATTGAGACACTGAGGACACTAGCGGTCTCAGGTTGGATTCAACAGGCTTCTGAGACAAAGAATTGTGTGCAAATGATTTATTAAGGAAATCCTCCTTAATAAAGGTGCATTTTAATAAAGGGGTGAGGACGGGACCAGTATAGGAGAGGGGAGAACAGAAAAGAGAAGAGGAAGAAGGCAAGTAAGGAAGCAATGGTGACAAAGTCTTGCAGAAGGGAGTGTCAGTCTAATCCTGCAGGGGAGCTGTAATGTGTAAGTTATACCTCAAAGTCACCCCATTCCAAAGTAGGAGAGCTAAGCTTTCATGCCTGAAAGTCATTAGTTAAGAGTTGTCTGCCCCAGGAGGATGTACCTTTGGCTTTTTGCACCTATTGGCAAATTGGCTCCAGTTGGTCTAAAGCAATTCTCCAAAGAAGGGCTGCAGATACTGCCTTTTGGATGCAAAAGCACAGTGAAGGTGGAGGATGGATGGGGGAGACATTGCTCAAGAAGGGTAAGGAGGAGACAGACTCTTGCAGAGGATGACACTGTTGGCCTCACCAAAGCTTCAGGGTCCCAGCAATATCTGTCACATAGTTCTAGGGGATCAATCAACCAGACTGATTTTTTTTGTTGTTGTTTTAATTTTTCAGTTTGACTCATCTTCATACATGCAGATGGATCTAAGATGTGTAAATCCATGTGTGTACACACACATAGACATAAGCACATACATGCGATACATATGCACTGAGAAAATGCAGAGCTGATGCAGCCCAGATGTTATTTGTCAGATATCACAAACTGGTATGAGTTGAATGCAGCCTACAGCCATTCTTGATTTGGCCCTTTCGGAGTTCTTAGAAAGTTGAATTAATAGCCAATATTTTAAAAGTTGGGAGATGTCAATCAAAACTCCAGATTCCTGACTTCTCCCCACATTCATGCCTCACATAATTTGCTGGAAGTGAGTCGCAGATGATGCCTCTTGGAACAGGGCATGTGCTGCCCAGTTTGCCACATTCTTTATGGCCCCTGCTTATCATTCAGACATCATCACTCTACTTGGCTTCTGTGAACATTTAAACTCACAACTCTTATTATATGCAATTTCTTGAGCATTTCCATTCTCATTTGTTTCTCGAGACCAACAACTCATGCCAGATAGTCATAACTTCTTTCTCATTTCTATTTCTAGGTTTTGTGCTAGGTTTTGATACACTTTGAGGGAAAGTATACTATTAGGTTAATTCTGTCAATGTAGACAGCAACCAAACCAGGTGGCTGTTTAAGCTAGAATGACCTGGGTTGGCTTCTACATTGATGAGACTAATGCAGCAATTGCCAAACTATTCCTTTGCTTATTATGCCAGGACTTCTATTGGCACAAAAGACAAATGTTAAGCATAGACAACATTTGTAGATGACAAATTCCAGTTGTTTACTGCTCAGATAAAGATGCCCTAATCAATCTCTCAGCAAGTTCTAATATGTTCATTTTCCATGTCAAAGGCTATGAAATAGATATGAAAATGAAATCCTGAGTTGGATGGGAGTTTAAGTAAATTATAATTTTCTGGGAGTTTAAGTAAATTATAATTTTCTGGTTAAGCAAATAATTATATTGTTTCAGCAAATCATCATTTCCCCTGTATTAAAGCCCTTTTTCTTTGCTTTTAGCATTCCAATGAAAACATGTCTTAATGGGTCAAATATTAAAACTGAATGCCTGGAAATATCATAAGTTCTAAACACCTTCCATCGCAATCTCATTTTAAATTTTCTGGAGTGTTCTTTTGAACATTTTTTCTAACCAACTCAACATAAAATGATCAGATTTTTTAATGAGCTATTAAAAAATTTATTTTTCTTCAGGATGTTGAATGCTGACTACTGGTCAAGGAAGAGCAAATGTCTGTTCTCTTTGCTTGCTTTTTTTCTGAGACAGAGTCTAGCTCTGTTGCCCAGGCTGGAGTGCAGTGGCACGATCTTGGCTCACTGAAACCTCTGTCTCCCGGGTTCAAGCGATTCTCCTGCCTCAGCCTCCTGAGTAACTGGGAGCCAACCACCACGCCCAGCTAATTTTTGTATTTTTAGTAGAGAGGGGGTTTCACTGTGTTGGCCAGGCTGGTCTAGAAATCCTGACCTCGTGATCCTCCCGCCTCAGCATCCCAAAGTACTGGGATTACAGGCGTGAGCTACTGCGCCTGGGCTGCTTGCTTTTTAAGTTTTAGTTAAAGGAGCTGAGATTATATTTTTTAAAATATATGAAAGTAGACTAGGTGTGGTGACTCACACCTATAATCACAACATTTGGGAGGCCAAGGTGGGAACATAATTTGAGCCCAGGAGTTTGAGACCAGCCTGAGCAACATGAGGAGACCCTGTCTCTACAAAAGAAAATTAGAAATTAGCCAGGCATGGTGGCAAGCACCTGTAGTCCTAGCTACTCAGGAGCCTGAAGTGGGAGGATCCCTTGAGTCATTTGGTCTGGTCAGAAATCTGAATTGGAACTGCAGTTATCCCTAAATAAATCCTTTGAAACCCAAATGAAAACAAACATTCTCTCCCATAAAGTTATCTTCACTCCTTAAATGCAAAAATAGCTTTTTCGCTGGGCGTGGTGGCATGGCCCAGCTAGTCAAGAGGCTGAGGTGTGAGAATTGCTTGAACCCAGGAGTTTGAGGCCAGCCTGGGCAATATAGCAAGCCTCATCTCTAAAAAACAAACAAAGAAATCCCCCAAGATGCTGTCTCCCTGCAGTTATTCTTCTTGTAAATTATTCACTATTTGTTTGGATTTATTTGAACTCCTGCTTTTTGTTTGTTTTCTGTTTTTGCTGTTAAATGGAAAAACTTAAAATCAGATGCTTGGTATCTGCTACCAGCATAAAATAGACTAAGGAGAAAATCCTAAGACACCCTTTTGGATGTTTGTTTTCTAAAATCTATCTATCTATCATCTATCTATCTTTCCATCCATCCATCTCTCTGTATGTAGACTTGTGTGTGTGGGGGGGGGAGGGGGGTGGGTGTTTGTGTGGGTGTTTTTTTATTTGTTCAAAAAAGAAGGAAAAGGATATCAGGGACTCTGCAATGCTTTCCTAGTTGGAGTTCTTCCCTTTTGTATTTACTTCCAACTACCATTTTTGCTAGGGAACTTGATATTCCTAATTCGTGGTTTCATAGGCCAGTGTAGCATAAATCCAGAGAGACATTCAACTCTAATTTCTATGGGGTTAAGCTAAGACCCTGCCCCTTTCTCCTTCCCTTCTCCCAAATGAGGAGGATGTCCACATTTACCTTTGGAGGAGTCTTTCAGTGTCCTCTGAAGCTGGGAAGGCAGAACTGTGGGTGGAGAGGGGAGATTTGCAGGGAATCAAGGTCTGAGATCATAGAAGACTTGTTTTTGTCCTGATTCTGCCCTCAGTGGGCATGTCATCTTAGGAAAGTCACTAAACCTCTTTCTCTAAGCCTCTGTTTTCCCCTCTGTGAAATGAGATTGATAATAATGTTTCTGTTTTGCTTGCAGGGTTACTGTAGAGAGAATGAAGGAAGATGTTATATAAGAAAGCCCTTTGTTAAAGGACTTACTTGCTATGGTTTCCCTTGACCAATAACGATACATACATAGTTGACTTTTTAGGACATGTAATAAAAGACAGTAGGGTATCGCATTTCATAGATGATCATTATGCCTTTCTGCACTAGATGTCAGTAGAGCTCTATGATTCAAAAGGCTCCACTACCTGACCAGGAATAATCTGTTCTTGGAAAATTTTCCAAAGCAAACTCATTGTGTTTTTGCTTATTTTGCATTTCTTACCTAATGGCCATGAATTTGTGTGTCCTCGCCCTGCACCCACCCTCATCCACCCAACTAGAATTCCTCTTTCAGCACAATTTTCTGCTGTGTTGGAGCTTCTCTTTCTTCATTTTCTAGGGAAATTTCTACAAAAACCATTCTTTTTCAAGAGTTTGTTTAGACAATGTGAAAGCCAAAACAGAAAGTCCGAAGGCTATAGGGCAAACTCACAAAACAATTTAGAAGAGTTATTGCAGATGGATTTAGTGCTTTTAAAATTAAAGGTCGCTTAAAAAAAAAACTGTCTGCATTCATGTTTTTTTCACCATCCTGTTGTTGTTGCCATATTTTAGTTTTCCAGCTATGATTTATAATTTAAAAATAGAGCTGAAATACAAGAGTGGTGCTTTCCCTTACCCAGAAATGCTTAGCAGAAGAACCCTCTGTTTTTCAAAATGCTGACTTGTCTCTATAGAGAAGAAAAATAAATCTCTGAGAACCATAGCTCTTTTTGCTTCTTGGAAATAGCTAAAAAGTTCAAGCTAAAGCCTGGCTTTGGACCCATGTCCATCCTTTGGGGACAGTTATGTTCTTTCCAAAAAGTGCAAATTTACTTATGAAGCAGGTCCATGTTTTAACTGGCTTATTCGATCACAGCAGAATTCACTAATTTAATTGCTTCTTTGACTTTCAACGTGAAAATCATTTACCAGCATAAAAATTTTAAAAAGTGCAAGTTGTTGTTAGGATTTTTATCTAAGAATGAAAGGAACTTAAAGTGTCCAGTGTCTGAGATTTTCCAAGATGATCTCTGTTTTACATTCAAACATAGGGATTTAAAAGTTAAATTGCTTTGAAGTGAGACTGAACACCTGATTTATTTTCAAATGCCACTTTAAAAAAATCATTGACATCTATTTACATAAGGCTATTGCCAATTTAAAGAAAGACACAGAGGCAAAATTAATATAGAGTTGATTTGGGCCAAGGTTGATGACTTACCCTGGGAAACACTGGGAATTGCTTCAAAGAACAAAGGAGAGACTCAAGTTTTCAAAGAAAAAAGGACAAATCAGGAGAAGGGTTGATTACAAAACTTGTTTTTTAGGAATTCTCATTGGTTTACAGAAATAACATTGACTCCTGATTGGCTATACATTGTTGAACTATAGGGTGTGAATTATGATGTCCAGCACATAACATTGTTGGGTTAATTTATGGCTACTCAGTGGCGACGCTCAGTCTAGAGCCCATATAGCAGGGAGATTACTTAGCTCCAGGGTGAGGAGTGAGATGTGACTGCTGTCACATTTCATTGCCCCTCTGGGCCTGATCATTTAAAGGGGCTCACATTCTTTAAATAAAAAGTTTCTTTTATTTCTCACTTTTCAACAGTTTTATGTTCCACTCTGTGCAAATTATTGTTTTTTGAATGAAAATGAGTTAATCATTTTTATTGAGCATCTATTATGAGATAGGTACTGTGCTAGAAGTTGAAGATAAATAATGAGCAAACCTAGCTGTCTTGGAGCCTACAGTCTAGTGGGGAACAAAAATATAATCCAGTAACCACAGAAACAAATGAAAAATTGCAAATCTAAGCTCCCTCATCTTTGTTTCTGCTTATTTATTTTTAAGTACTTATCACCCTCTGACATTTATATTTATTTGTTTTTTTTTATTGCCTGTTTCCCATCGTAGAATGTCAGCTTCATAAAAGGAGAGATTTTGTTCTGTTCAACAATGTTTCCTGAGTACCCAGAACAGCATCTGACACAGGTGCTCCATAAATATTAGTTGAACGAAGGCATTAATAAGAAGTACTCAGTGTTATGAGATCCTAGACTAGAAGAAGTTGATCACATCAGCGAGGTTAAGAAAGGCTTAACTGCAGAAGGGATGCTTGAGTTGAGAAGTCAGCAATGACCAGGCTGAGAAGGGAGAGAAGACCATTCAAGGCAACATGGGCAAAGACCTCATGGCAAGGGGGAGCATGAAAAAGATAAGAAACAGAAAGAAGGCTTGAGAGGCAGAAGAAGAGAGACTGAGCAAAACAGGATTGCAAAGTGAAATAGGAAAGGAAGGGAGGGGCTAGACCTTGCAGATTCTCATAGGCAGAATTAAGAAGTTATCCTTATTCTAAAAACAATGAAAAGTCATTTGAGTTTTTTAAGCGGGGATGAGGGGTGGAAGGTGATGACTTAATTAGATTTGAAAAGATTACTCTGACTTCAGTGTGGTGAATGGACTGGAGGGTGGTCCAGAGTGGAGGTTGCAAGCCTGGCTAAAAGGCAGTGGTTGAATTGAGTGATGGGAGTAGTTTGAACTTGAGTGCTGGTGGTGAGGATTGGAATAGGTGGATGCAGAAGTCGATGAGTCCATAGCAATTTAAGAGGTAAAACCAATTAGACTAGGTGAAGTGTTGGATAAAGAGTGAGAGAGAAGGAGGTATTAAGGTTGAGCTGAAGTTTAGGGCTTGGACAATGTGGGATGGTGGTGCCATTCAATGAAATAGGAAACCCTGGAAAAATATGAGGTTTGGCAGGAAACATGATGAGCTCAGTCTTAGTTCAGTTTAGATAGGTTTCTTTGGGGCATCCAAGAGGATATATTAAGTTGAAGATGGTCTGAAGCTTGGAAAGCCTGGGCTGGGGCTACAAATACACGATCATTCCACAGATAGTAATTGAAATCGTGGGTTAGAGACTAGACTGGAAAGTGGAGAGGATTGTTTGATATAAAGATATCTGGTTTTAAAGAAAAGGATGAAAACACAGAATGCAGACAGATAAAGCTCTGACGTAAGTGAGTAGGCCTGGGCTATCCATGCCCACAGCTGAAAAGCATTAAATGAGATTTGATGCTAACTTGGTAGAGCATTCAATGAGCCACAGAGAGCAACCTATTAGACCTATCGGACCTTTCTAGATTCAAGCATCCCTGAGAATCAACTTCCTCTTCCTCATGAGACAGAAGACAAAATCTCATGGTATTTTCACCTTGATAAAGTACTTTTACCAAGCCCGTATTTTAAACATTATTTCTTTATAGTATGTGTATATATATTAAAAAATAGACCCACTGTTGTATTTAATCATCTATTAATTTTTCTTTCTTTTTTTTCTTTTTTTTCAGATTGTGATTTAGGTCTATTCTATTATTATTATTATTATTATTATTATTATACTTAAAGTTTTAGGGTACATGTGCACAATGTGCAGGTTACATATGTATACATGTGCCATGCTGGTGTGCTACACCCATTAACTCATCGTTTAGCATTAGGTATATCTCCTAATGCTATCCCTCCCCCCTCCCCCCACCCCACAACAGTCCCCAGTGTGTGATGTTCCCCTTCCTGTGTCCATGTGTTCTCATTGTTCAATTCCCACCTATGAGTGAGAACATGCGGTGTTTGGTTTTTTGTCCTTGTGATAGTTTACTGAGAATGATGGTTTCCAGCTTCATCCATGTCCCTACAAAGGACATGAACTCATCATTTTTTATGGCTGCATAGTATTCCATGGTGTATATGTGCCACATTTTCTTAATCCAGTCTATCATTGTTGGACATTTGGGTTGGTTCCAAGTCTTTGCTATTGTGAATAGTGCCACAATAAACATACGTGTGCATGTGTCTTTATGGCAGCATGGTTTATAGTCCTTTGGGTATATACCCAGTAATGGGATGGCTGGGTCAAATGGTATTTCTAATTCTAGATCCCTGAGGAATCGCCACACTGACTTCCACAATGGTTGAACTAGCTTACAGTCCCAGCAACAGTGTCAAAGTGTTCCTATTTCTCCACATCCTCTCCAGTACCTGTTGTTTCCTGACTTTTTAATGATCACCATTCTAACTGGTGTGAGATGGTATCTCATTGTGGTTTTGATTTGCATTTCTCTGATGGCCAATGATGATGAGCATTTTTTCATGTGTCTTTTGGCTGCATAAATGTCTTCTTTTGAGAAGTGTCTGTTCATATCCTTTGCCCACTTTTTGATGGGGTTGTTTGTTTTTTTCTTGTAAATTTGTTTGAGTTCATTGTAGATTCTGGATATTAGCCCTTTGTCAGATGAGTAGGTTGTGAAAACTTTCTCCCATTTTGTAGGTTGCCTGTTCACTCTGATGGTAGTTTCTTTTGCTGTGCAGAAGCTCTTTAGTTTAATTAGATCCCATTTGTCAATTTTGGCTTTGGTTTCCATTGCTTTTGGTGTTTTAGACATGAAGTCCTTGTCCATGCCTATGTCCTGAATGGTAATGCCTAGGTTTTCTTCTAGGGTTTTTATGGTTTTAGGTCTAACTTTTAAGTCTTTAATCCATCTTGAATTAATTTTTGTATAAGGTGTAAGGATAAAAAGATGTATAAAGTGATATTATTTCTTGAGCATTTAAATAAAAATCTTAAATAGGCAGTTGACCAGACACTTTAAAATTAACATTTATAATCATAGCATACATTAATTGAGGGGTTACTATGAGCCAAGTACAGTTCTAAGGGCTTTACAAGAATTACTTCTTTATTCCTGTGTAACCCTGGCAGGTAGTTAATATCATTCCCATTCGACAGATGAAGAAACCAGCACAGCAAGGTCAGGTAACTTGACCAAGGTCACACAGATAACAAGTGGTAGAGCCATGATCTGAACCCAAGAAGTCTCCTTTGGAAGCAATGTTATAACTACTGTGCCAGGCTTTATCAAAAATTTACCATGTACATGTTTTGTTTTGCATTTTGGAGAAAACACAGAACCTTTAGTAAGTCTCTTATGAACCACTTGGTGGTTTGCAGATGCTGGTAAGCATTAAAAATCTATTTAGGCCTGCAACCTGGTACCTGACTCAAATTCCCCTTGGATTGTCTGGGATGAAACAGCCCAGAAAGGCCCTGGATCCATTGTGGCTTGTGGAATAATACGTGATACCTTGACTGAGTTTTAATATAATGTTTTGGGGCCTGTTAGTCATAGTCGAGAGATCATTTTCTTGACTCAAAACAGGGGTGTGTCCAGACATGAGGGCACAGGAAAAACATTTAGTAAAATTCCCCTTAAAAAATGAAGGTGGAAGATTTGATGGTTTATGTCATTTGGCCAAACTTTGGAGTAGATGTTGCAGCCAATGTTTAAATAACACCTCCAATCCTAACAACCAAAAGGGCAGCGACCCTTTTTCTGATACCACTACTCTCAGGTGTTGATCTGTAGCCCTCCTCTGGGCACGATGGTGACATCATGCACTCTCGGGAGGCACAGGAAACCCACTGATCCTGCTCCTTTTCTCTGTGATTTTTCCTTTGGTTCCTGTTTCCTGCCACACTCCCTCCCCTTCATCACAGCTCTCAAATCCTGCCACGTCTGCTCACTCCTCCAGCCGCAGTATTTGGCAAGGAAACGAAAATGGAAATTAATTTGAATTTTGATTCAGCATAAGGACTTCATTTCTGATTTCTGGTCACTCATCATCTGATGAATGGTAGGAAGAGAAGACAGAAGAGTTTCTGAACAGTAGGCTAAATTTTGAGAGCAACCAGGATGACCTAAAGATTCTGTAATTCATTCCTAAATTTGTTCTAGAGCCTTCCCAATTCAGTAAAAATAAAAACTTTTAAAATGATAATAAAGGTTAATATTGATCGAGTGCTTACTGAATGCTAGGAACACCTGAATGTTTAATAAGTATTATGTCTTTTAGTCTTCACAATATCCCTAGGAGGTAGGTAACATGGTCTACCCTCCACCTCCTTCTTTTTCAGTTGAGGAAACGAATGCAGGGACAGGTTAAATAATTTGTCCAAGTTCATGAGGCTAGTTAATGTTGTCAAAAGACAAAATTACAACAAATGTAGTGTAAATATCTCAATTGGCTTTACTTGCAATTCTAGAATCAGGCAACATTTCATGCCACAACATAGAATAAGTGTTCCTTCCAATGAACTGGGCTAATGGGGTTGACATCAGGGCTGAAGAAAATGGAAGTAAAGAGCAAAGAGTGTATCAGTTCTTTCAAAGCTACTTTGCTTGCAAGTGGGGAAGAGGAAGACAGAACAATAGAAAAATAACTGATTAGTTAATATCAGGTTACTTTAGGCCACCTAAAATGTGTAAGGATTAAAGCAGAGAGAACATCACTGCCATGCAGACTGAAGATTTTAAACTGGCCTGTTTGAGAAATTGGCTGTTATTTCTCCTCATAGCATTAGATAACAACTTACTTTCTTTTTGGCGATGTGGAATCTCACCATGGGTGACTCCATTTTTATTTTTAGTCTTGTCTGTTGGGGCCTCTTGCAGGAGTTTAGTCCAAAACAATGGCATTCTATAATTTTTATGTGACAATATCTAAGCCACAATTTGCACACATGAATTTACACAATTCACACTTCAGAGTCTGGCCTCCTGACCACTATGAGTGTTCACTTACAAACATGTGGACCTGAAAAGACACAATTCACCCTCTTCTCACAAACCCTAGGGAGGAAGGAGTTGGTCAGAACATATGGCGCACCCAGTGGGCCTTGTCCTAGTCCACTTGGGCTGCTGTAACAAAGTAGCATAGACGGGGTGGCTTATAAGCAACAGACATTTATTTCTCAGTTTTGGAGGCTGGAAGTTCAAGATGAGGGTCCCAGCATGGTCTGGTTGGGTGAGGACCCTCTTTCAGGTTGCAGACTGCCAACTCTTTGTTGTATCCTTGCCTGGTGGAAAGAGAGAGCTCCCTGGGGCCTCTTTAATGAGGGCACTAATCCCATTCATGAGGGCTGCACCCTCATGACCTAATCACCTCCTAAAGGCCTTACCTCCTACTACCACGACATTGATGGTTAGGATTTCAACATAGGAGTCTTGGGGGAACACAAACATTTGGATCATTGCAGATCTGAAGTGCACAATAAGAAATAACTAAGAGTAGGGGGCAGGATAGAGGGAACAAAGGAACCAACACTTCTTGGAAGAAATAGTGGGCAGTGCTGACTCTACTGCAGGTGAGGTAGAATGGTCACATTTTGGGATAGTTTGCCTAAATTTCACAAAGTTTAATTGAGTGAAGAATGTTTCACGGGCAGCTCCCAGAACCAGAATATGCTCAGACAGACTGCAGCACTATCTTTTGGTGGGAGTGGATTTATGGACGGAGAAAGCAAAGTGACTTACAGAAATCAGAAGTGATGGGCAGAAACAGCTGAATTGTTTACAGTTCAGCCTTTGCTTTATTTGAACACAATTTGAACAGTTGGCCACCTGTGATTGGCCAAAACTCTGGGATTGACACAAGAGTAGGTTACAGTCTGTTTATATATCCAGTTAGGTTACATATCCAGTCTGTTTACACATCCACTAAAAATATGTAAGGAAGCAGCCCTAGGCTATAAACTTGATTGAGCAATTCCCCTCTTTTGGTCAACCTCTCAATTTTGAGGTTGACCAAAACTTTAGGCATCATCTCCATCATAAGTGGACTTGTTTGGTCTCAAATCTCATTGGGAAATAAAACAGTGGGTTTTGTAAAGCAGGAATAAGAAAACAGAACAAGAGAAAAAAATGATTACTTCTGGTTACTTTTTTGTAAGGGTTAGAGCAGAGGAAACTTTATTATGAAATTATCTGTCTTCAGGAGACAAATAAACAACTTGTCTGTGTTGAGATCTATCTGCTTCCTTAAAGTTTCAGTTTGACTATGTTGCATTTAGCATGAGTGGCTGCATTTTGATTTGGTCTGTTAGGGCCCAGTACAGGAGCTCAGTCCAGAACAGTGGCCTCCCATAATTTTGTTTAACATTTGTACATTATTTCCCTTCTTCTATATATGGGTTAGAAGATCATATGATACCATCTTTGAGGGAGGGAGGGGAAAAGAGGTTACTCACTTGACAATAGGAGCAATCTTATCCCCTACTAAGAGAGATCCTGAAGTACCCTACCCACTCTGAACTGTTCTGTGGTGTCTGGGGGTGCTGAAATCTACACTTATCATTTCCAGATACAAGATACCCAGTTAGATTTGAATTTTGGATAAGCAACAAATAATTTTTAAGTACAAGTGCATCCCAAATATTGCACAGGACATACTTATGCTAAGAATTATTCATTGTTTGTCTGAAATTCAAGTTTAACTGGGTGTCCTGTATTTTTATTTACTAAATCTGGCAAATCTACCCCCACTCACTGTCCTGCTGGAGCCCCAAAGTATGTAATTATGAACTGAGTAACACAGGCCTGTATGGCTGAGTGGGAGGACCCATCTCCTGGATGAAGCAAATGCTGTGGGAAAGGGGTGGAACCTCCCAAGGCTTGGTTAGATGATATCCAGCAGTGGTTAGAACCTGGAGTTGTTCTTTCAAGAGGTGACTAGAGGCAGAGGACAATGAAGTAAGGTCAGAAACCACGTTATCCTGTGAAATGTTGCTTTCTTGAACCGGAATAGAGTCCATATTTATGTCACGTTCTAGCTTTTTTCTCCTATCATGCCGTTTTCTCTAGCTTGCCTGTAACACAGTCCTAAGGTCTTATGTTGGTAGAGCGTGGAGAAGAAAGAACAGGGCAGTGAAGGAAAACGGTCCTGCCTCATACCCAACATGGTGCTTCTGTGGAGGGAGGGCTTTTCTCCCTAGGGGACTAGGTTTAGAGGTCCCAGGCACACAGGTTCAGGTCGTGACTGGAGGCAGTGGGGCAGAGAACGTGATGCACAAGGAATTCACTGGAGCATCTGCTTGGTGAACTCCATGTGAGGGACATAAGATAAACCATTCTCTCTCTTAATTACCATAAAAGAATACGGCATGTGGCTGTGGCTTAGATTATCTATGCCTTTGAAATCTGTACTGTGTAAATCAAAGGGATCTTATCAAGGCCACTTTCATTGTGGTAACATCCAATCCTGGCATTATAAGCTCTCAGAACAGGATCACGCCAAATCTCTTCTATGAACACACCACCTGCCCTGTTTTGTTCAATCCATCTCTCTTGATCCTTTGTGCGATGTTCTTCCTGTAGCTGGGGTAGGCTTAGCTTGGTGCTCCATTCTCTTGGCTTTCTCTCATGAATAAGGCAGATTTTTAAAAAAATTTTGTTTTTAATTTTTGTGGGCATGTAATAGGTGTATATATTTATAGGGTATAAACAAGCACATAATGTATAATAATCACATCAGGGTACATGGGGTATCCATTACCTCAAGCATTTATCCTTTGTGTTACAAATAATCCAATTATATTCTTTTAATTATTTTAAAATGTACAACTAAATTATTATTGACTACAGTCACACTGTGGTTCTAGAAAATACTAAGTCTTATTCATTCTTCTATTTTTTGTCCCCATTAACCATGCCCACTTCCTCTCTCCCTCCACACTACCCTTTCCAGACTCTAGTAACCATCCTAGTTACTCTAGTAACTCTCTGTCTCCATGAGTTCAACTGTTTTCATTTTTAGCTCCCACACATGAGTGACAACGTGAGAAGTTTGTCTTTCTGTGCCCTTCATGGTAATCTGACTTTGAATAAGGCAGATTTGAATGGGCCTGATGTTTATCTCAAGTGGAATTTTGCTTTGTCTCTGGCATATAATAATAAACTTAATAAATCCTTCTCCCTGTCTCTCTCTCTCACTCACTCTCTCTCTCTCTCCCTGTTTCTCTGTGTGTGTGTGTGTGTGTGTGTGTGCGTGTGTGTGTGTGTTTTATGTGTAAGTAGATGAATGATAGAATCAAGGGTAGAGTTCATGGCATATCTCAAACCAAACCACAGGACATTTACTTTCAAGATGCTAATAGCCTCCATTAGGCATAAGTACATCCAAAAATCATGGGAACATTCTTACGAATTTAGTCCACCAGTATTTCTCCCCCGAGTACTGTCATGATGGCAAACACTAACTCCTTGTTTTAAAGGTCAGACATTCTGAATTGCCCTTCACAATCATGAAATAGGACATAAACGTTAGGCATTTGAAAAATTATTCTGTTTTAGAGAAAAACAACCAGATTGTGCACCTTTGCCCTTCGTCGGTGCATTTTCAAGTGGAATATTAAGCTGCCCACTGGACTGCATCCTAAGCACACCCACTTAGATTATAAACATTCAGAAAATTGCAGGCTTTTACCATCTAATTGGCAGTGCTTTTCTGAATAAAACTATATCAGGCCACATGCCACGTTCACTCCAGTTGGCAAGGAATCAAAAGGCAGAAACACTCCCAGCAGTGACCACAGCTCTGCTCCATTAGGTGGAGAAATGGGATTTCCTGATGACCTTTTGTTTCCCTAAGCATCTCAGTTGCAGTCGGGCTGATTTCATACACCAGGTTATTCATCAGAATGGAAAGATTTCATTCTTTGATGTGTTCCTGAAGTGTAGCCAGCATCATCTGATGCCAAGAAGAGAAATTACCAAGTTGGAATTGTGCACTCAGCAGGAACAAGCCTCACTGAGTGTGGGTCTCCTGTCACAGCCAATACTTTCTCCAGGTCCTTTGTTCTCGCAAATCCTACAGCTTAGGTTCAGGCATTTTTTTCCCTCCCAATCGTCACTCAGTAAAAATATATCATGTGTCAACTGACAAGCAGATATGGGGAGATGATCATGATAAACTGTTAAATGAGAAAAGCAGGTTATAAACATTATGCAGTGCATGATGCCAAATTTGCAAAACAAACACATCAATATACACAGAAGAAAAGCTGTTACTAGAGATTATCTCTGTGTGGTGATATTTATTAGGTTTTTGTTTGCTCCTTTTCTCTTATTGGTATTGTCTACATATATTTGTTTCTTTATAACAAGTAAAATAAATTAATTAGCAAAAGTGGAAAAATCTGCTATCCTTGTAGCCAGTTTCAAATCTTACCTTTTCCCAGAATCTTTCAAGATATTCCTAACTGGAAGAAATAATGCCCTTATCTAAACGTAGAGAGAAAACATGTAGGATGCATGGAATTGCATCTATGCCTCTGTAACAATACTTGCTACTTTCTCCCTTGAAGTACAGTGTGTAAGTATTGTCTCCCATAGTAGACTGTAAGTACTTGGATAACAGGAACTATGCCGGAGACTTTTTCTACCTCTTACAACATCTAATGTCCAACTCCACACTATGCCTGTTGTAGGCAACCATTAAATATATTTTGATTGAATGATTACACATATTTTGGAGCACAATCTGTGTTTCTGAAAGATTCCATCAACATCTATTCTCTCAAAATTAAAAATGCAATTTTTTAACAAAATAACTTTGAGATTTAAAAACATTACATAGGTATTTTGCTGTGGCTAATTTATGCAAAAATAACAAAATCCACGTTACTAAATATAAGATGCATTGGTATTACCTCTGAGACTCCAGAAAATAGTCACTTCGAGAATTATAGGTTTTTTAAGGTTTATTTCTGGATTTCACAAACCACAGATACTGCTTTTCATTTCCCAAAACTCTTAATAGTTCCTGAAGTGCTAAGAAATATGTCAAAAATTCCAAAGAAAAGCCGAGAAAGGATGGAGTGAAATTTACTGTGTAATTATTTTTTATAAAGGAATCATGATCGGTGACTTATTTAGTGTGTTGGCTTCAACCTAGCAGAATCCCTAGAAGACAATCACAGATTTATCTAACATGTGCATGGTAAGACATAGAAACAGGCCAAGGCATTTATGTGCAGGCTTAGCAGAGGGGAAAGATAGGCTATGATCTGTGTTTTCCCATAATGAGGCAAAGACTCTCTTGCTCAGATTTCGGACTGCTCTCCTCAACATGCACATGAATCCTCATTAAATTTGCATTTCAATTAGCTCCTGAGAGCTGCAGAACGTGTTTCAAATATTCCTTCATCACATCACTCTCAATCCAGCCTACCTACCTCTTTGACTCCCAGCTCCAGCAAAGGTGGATGTAACTTTCTCAACTCAAGTATTGTATTGAAATATCAGACGGCAAGTTCTGATTCTTTTATAATTTGTATTTATTCACAAACTCAACAAACACACATGGAATACCTATGTGCCAGGCTAGTTGTTATGGATAGAGCAGTGAACAAGGCATTATACCTGCCCTTAGACAGCTTCCAGGTCAGCAAGGGAAAGCAGATATCCAAGTAAATACCCAAATAGATATTCATCACCATTGTCATAAGCCCTATGAAAGAAAAGGATGCTAAGGAATTACAGTGAACAATTAACATTTCTGAACCAATCTGAGGAGTCAGGGCAGGCATCTCTGAGGAAGCCAAGCCCTTCTGGGTGAATTCAGAATATCCTATGTGGAAAACACAGCACATGTGAGGGCTCTAAAGCCAAGAGGGTGGAGCATTCTAGGAACTGAGAAGGGCTGGTGAAGTCATCTGAAGCCTTGCAGGTCACATAAGAGAGCAGGAATTTATCTACAGAGCATTAGAAAGTCCTGAAAGGCTATGTAGCAAGACAGAGTAATGCCTCCAGATTTGCAGCTTTTAACCAGGAAACGAGGGGCTAGAAGGCCACTATGTGGGAGACTGTTTCAGTTGTTTGCAGTCATCCAGGTGAGAGGCTGTAGGGCTGCAAGCAGCTTGTAGTGTAGTGGAATTAAAGATGGAGGGAGGTGAAGGATTCAAGATATGTTTTAGAAAATGTTGGCAAAAACCAAAGTCAGAATTTATGTCACCATCTGTAAGATGTGAAGTTAATGCTGGGCAAAATAAAATATTTCAACCATATTTTTGTTCATTTTAATTTCATGAGTTTATGAGACTATAGACTTCCCTGAATATAAGTATATATTCCATAGCTAGTCTTCAAAACCCTCTAGGAGGACACTATAGATAACCACTACTAGAAGTCATGTTTTTAAGTTAAGTCAGTGGTGTTGAGCCCCAATTATGTGGAATGCCCTCTGTGATATTAAAAAAAATATGTGATCGTTGTCCTCAAGGGGCTCTGACAGTAAATGGGATCTCTTTGAGACAGAAGCCATAAATGCCAGGAACTGAATCTGGATATCATGCCATAATTCCCAAATGGAATTAGAAAGAGGAACTAGAAAAAGGAGGCCCAAACAAGCAGTTGAAAAGATGAGAAGAGAACCAGGTATTACCACCCAAACTGGGAGGACAGAGCTTGAAGATGCAGAGATGGCTACCAGAGCCTTAGGCTGAGCTGGCAAGGAAAAAAGTGAACAAAGCCATTAGGAAGAATTTGGTGACTTAAGACAGATTCATGACAAGAGAACAGAGAAGACAGAAGCCAGTGCAGTAAGCCCAGAGAGAGGAGAAGATGAGGAAATGAACACAATTGTGGACTAATCTTTGATTGATTCATTCATTTACATTTGCCTTGTTCCAGAAAGATTTAAGGAGGCTTCCAGGGATTCAAATATACGGAGGAAAATGTAAATTAGAAGAGGAATAAGAGGAGAAAGAAAAACAAATGTGGTGTTCTAAAATGAAGCCAAGATTAGGAATTAGGTCAAAGAAAATGAACTCAACAGCTGCAAAGGGCTACACAACCCCTTTATCTAGCCCTTACTCTCTTTACTCTATTGTTATCTTGGTTTCTTTCCATTTTAAAATTCAGATTGTGCTCCAAACTGCATCAATTAGTCCACACTTCATGTGTTTCTGCTATTTGAAAGGCATCCTTAGTTATAAGATGGACAGAATTAGCATTTAGTCTTCATGTAAACTCATCATCATTCCTTAAAAGGCAAACAAAGCTTATGCCCCTCAAACACAGGTCACTACCGCCTCCTGTGAAAATAAAGGGTGGCACATTTTGGGGGTAATATGCAGTTCTTCAGTAACCAGAATAGGATGGGAAGTGGAGTTGTTCTATGTCTAAGTAACAATCTGAACTTAGACCAAAGAAAGAAAGCCATGGAGAAGGAAGAGCCACAGCAGCACAACATGGCAATCCTTGCCATGTGGTTCCTGCATGCTGCCCCAACAGACTGCAAAATCTCTTAAAAGCTCAACTGTGTTCCCTTCCTGAT
Source organism: Homo sapiens (assembly GCF_000001405.40). Classification (NCBI taxonomy): domain Eukaryota; kingdom Metazoa; phylum Chordata; class Mammalia; order Primates; family Hominidae; genus Homo; species Homo sapiens. The sequence goes on from NC_000004.12 coordinate 52,248,693, forward strand.
GCCTGGTTTGTGGAAGGTTTGCAAAACAAATATATATTGAACAGTAGAAAGAAAAGTGTGCCTTTTGGCTCCAATGAGCCTTTAAATAGTTGTGAATGTTGAAATGAAACATGTAGCTTCTCCAGGATTCAGTTTTCTTGTCTGTGAAAATAGGGTGTATGTAACAGAAATTGCTAATTGTCAGGCAATATTCATGCTCATCTTGTAATGGATGAGATGAATGTTATTCTAAGGTTAATATGCCTCTCCTCCTAGCTGCTCTCCTGGGATTTTGTGGTCTGACTCATCAGAGAATTCTGCCTTAAACTCAAAAAGAGCCTCAGGTTCACACTGAATCCTACAGTTAGGAAGGGGTGACAGCTCACCAATACTGAAGGTCAGGTGTGCAACAACAGATTAACCACATATGAGTAACTAAGAGCTGTCCTGGCACAGGCAACCTAAGTTTGTAACCCTTGCTTTAAGCAACTTGCTAACCAGAGCTACTTGGAGAAGAAATAGCTGGTATGGTCAGCTTGTAGTGCTCAGGACATAAAAGGGACTTCATAGCTTTACGAAGAGATGTTGAGGAGTAAATTAAAGAATATTGTCATTAATTATTATATCAATTCTTTAAAAACTGTCCTTTGATATTTTGTTCTTTGAAAATGTCCTTTGAAAAATATTATGATACAGAGTGTACCCTTAACAAATGATAAGAAAAAAATATTGTTATTTTGAAAAAAAGGGAAGGACTTTATAATAATAACATCGAAGAATCTTGATTTCAATAAATAAAAAGATTGTCCACTATTATAGTGGAATATTTCTTTCACCCAAGGAATATAAATATTTTTTCTCCCAGACCCACCACACAAAAGGATCTACAAAGTATCCTTTCAAAAACATATTGCCCTAATGTTTATAAAATACAATTCAATGTACAGAAGTTAAAATTGAAATACATACTACCTATCACAATGTCCAAAAATGAATGAATAACTCAAAGTACTTTTCTAACTAACATGAGTAAGCTATTTACATGATTTATGAAAAACTACATACCATGTGAAAGAACTTGACCTTATATGGCTAGCTATTTGGTGTGAAAACCACCACCACCAACAGCGTTTTCAGAACCAACCCTCACTGCAGATTATTACATGCCCTGTGTGAATCTCAAATTTCTCCTGCAAAAGCAAGAGAGTTTTCACAGTTCTGAAGGGGGATATCTCTCTAGTTACCTACTCCAATAGATAGCATTAAATACGTACACACCTTCCTCAAGATTAGGGAATGACCAAAACCAACTTAACTGGAATGAATTCCCTGTTAGGTGGAGGCTCAGCCAGCCATTTAGGAGCCAGGTGAATGATACTGGGCATCTGTTAAATGAAATCAGGGTCAGGTGTTTGTATACTTACCTGTGTTATCAATGCTTATTCAAGATGTTGTGAACTCTCAGCAAAATCATTCCATTCTTAGGAGGGTGCAGCTTTGAAAGCATGTAAACACACACCTTGGTCTTTTCCAGTCTTTCCTATTCACCCTGAGTTAGCACTAGCTTTTGGCTTCTGCTCTGTGTAAAATTTGGCTCTCAAGCCAGAGATGAAGTCATGCTACTGGCTTTATAAGCTATTGCAGCTGCACAATGTCCCTAGAGACCCTCGTTCCCTTTCAGAGTGAGAACATGTGTCTGCGGAGCTGTGAGCTACACTAGTCAGTTCTTAAGGTGCTAGAGAATGGCCTTCTTTCCCAGTGGCAACCTTCATTCTTCACAAAGGTTGGTCTCCAGGCTTCCATGCCAGCAGGGTGCTCCAAAACCACCCCAGGGTTTTTCTTAAGGCCCCACTCTGTGTGGTTTTGGAGGCAAGGTTAGCACTTGTTCCATCTGTATCCTGTTAATTGCTCTAAAGCTGGAGCCTCATGGGGCTAGGTTCCCAATGAATGAGACATGCACATAAGTGCTCACATAGAAAATGAGTTTGGGATTCCTCCTGGTCCATTCTGTACCCTCAGTTGGAAGGCAAAATAAATCTATTTTTCTCCTGTCTTTGAAATTAGTCAATTAATTACTATAAAGCAGTGAACAAAGTGGTCCTCTGGAGGAATTCATGTAGCAAAAGAAGATGAAAGGACTGGGATGAGATAAGGACAATGGAAGAGGATGACAAGAGTCATCTTCATAATAGGACAAAATGTTATAAAGCTTTGACAGAGAGCTATTTCCTTAAGTAGCTATTAGTGTCACACAACTATTAATATGGAATTAAGAATATACAGCTGTAAACATGTGACATTATAATATACTAATGTAATTTAAATTAAAACAAAAATGGAATTTTAAATATATTAATAGAATATTGGTTTTAAACATGTCTACTTATACACTTGTTATATTGTTCTATATATTTTAAAAGACTGTACACTTAGAGGAATCCTTAGATGATTTTCAAGTCAGTGTGCTTCCTCTCTGCCACTTCTTTTTTTTTTTTTTTTTTCTGACACAGAGTCTCACTCTGTCGCCCAGGATAGCGTACAATAGTGTGATCTTGGCTCACTGCAACCTCTGCCTCCCGGGTTCAAGTGATTCTCCTGCCTCAGCCTCCCAAGTAGCTGGAATTACAGGTGCCCACCACCACATTTGGCTAACTTTTTGTATTTTTAGTAGAGATGGGGTTTTGCCATCTTGGTCAGGCTGGTCTCAAACTCCTGACCTCAGGTGATCCACCCACCTCGGCCTCCCAAAAAGCTGGTATTACAGGCGTGATCCATCGCGCTTGGCCTCTCCCACTTTCTTAGGGTCTAATTTTATGAGGTAAATCTCTTTCAGAGATAACCCTCCTAGGAAAATGAAAGAAGGAGGAAAGAGATCAAGAAGCAGTGGGTCTAAGAGGAACTGAAAAGTAAAGTTAACTCGCCATTGCCTTCCTCTTCTCTCAGGTATGGGGTACAGAGATCATGGAAGAAGGAGCCAAATGTGACTTATCTGAGAGCTTGTATGACTATTCCTTCTCACCCTTTAAATGATTAGTAGGCTATAAAGGAGTGTGCATTTTGGAGTAGGCTTTTTTTTTTTTTTTTTTTTTTCACTAAAAAAGAGCACAGAGAAGGAAGGATAAGGCTTAATGGGTGTGTTACCAAAACACCAGGAGTTTGGTCTAGGTCCTACTGCTGGCTTCACAGAAAGACAATCACTGAGGCAATGAGTATTGCAAAGGAAGAAATCTTTAATCAGGTCCTGTAGCCAAGGAGATGAAAGATCAGTCTCAAATCCATCTCCCTGCCTGACTAAAATTGCGGGTTTAAATAGCAGGGAAGAAATGTAACCATGTGTGGGAAGACAGGAATAAGGGCAGGGTAAGGAAGAGGAGTTGGTCAATAGGAAGCAGATGGTCAGTTAGGCAATCATGACGGGTGAGGGATCTGATGTCTCATTGTCCAAATGCAGTGATCTAATGAGTTTCAGCTCCTTGATACTATCTAGGAGTCCTGATGGTTGGTTTTCTGAGAAAGGAACTCAGATAAGAAAAATTAAGCTTTCTTAAGTTTTAAGACTGGGAGGATCAATTTCTATGTTTATTCAAAGGAATCATAACCATCAGTTCTATGGGACATGAGTTGGTTTCAGATTTATTATCAAAGAAAGGGCAGATAGGCAGGAAGGTGGTTTGGTTGGACACATTTGGGCTTTGGGTGGAACTGGTCTTAGGATGTTTCCAGAAGAGATTAGCATTTGAGTCAGTAGGTTTGAGTAAAGAAGATCTGCCCTCACCAAGGTAGGTGAGCATCAACCAATCTACTGAGGACCTGATAGAGCTAAAGGCAGAGGAAGGGCACATTCTCTCTGTCTCTCTCCCCTTGAGGGGGCCTCTTCCATCTTTTTCTGCCCTCAGACATCAGAACTCCAGGTCTTGGGCCTTTGGCACTGGGACTTACAGCAGCAGGCACCCCAGTTCGCAGACCTCCTTATACCATCAGGTCCCCTGGTTCTCAGGCCTCTGGTCTCAGACTTAATTGTACCTCTAGCTTCCCTGGTTTTCCAGCTTGCAGATTGTGGGACTTCTCAGCCTTTGTAGTTGCATGAGCCAATTTCCATAATAAATTTCCTCTTATATCTATAGTCAGCTGAAGAATGACAAGGTTCATAAATAAAAGGACAGCTTTATTTTTCACAAAGGATGGCAGCCTGCAGGGTGGTCGTTCTGACAGGCTGGGAAGTATATGCTCCAGCTAGGAGCCAAAAACAGGTACTCCGAGGTTGAGAATAAGACAGAGATTAATTCTGAGCAGGTTGACAAAAATATGCATATTCAATAAGCTACAGGAGGAGTCACGAATATTTGTGAAAGGAGACATACATGCATGCATAACTGAGCTTCCTGATCCTTCATGGGTCCCATGTTCAAACAATGGTGGCATTAGCATGATCCCAGCGTGGAGTTTTCAGCTGTCTGATGTCAAAAGGTGAAGCAGAGGACATGAAAACCCCCACTGCACATCCTCCGTAGACTGACTAGAAAGTCTCGGTGGTTGTTGGTCTCTTACCAGGAAGAAATGCTGGTCAGCTGTGTCCAAACCACAGAAGAGAGGAGAAGTGGCAGGAGGTTGGTTGATATCAGTGGTGAAGTCTTTTGAAAGGACCGATTTCTGTTTAGCCTTTGGAGAAAAACCTAAATGGAAGTGAGGGAGGGAGGGGTATGACGAGATGTATCTGACCTCCCAACATGGCCAATAACTCAGTTTTCAGGGTTACTCTGTGGTGCCCTTGTCTAAGATGGGATTCATTCAGTTGGTTGGGGGGCTTAGGATTTCATTTTCATTTTTCTCTGTCTATCTATCATCTATCTATCTATCTATCTATCTATCTATCTATCTATCTATCTATATCTATCATCTATCTATCTTTCTAACTATCCTGCTGGTTCTGTTTCTCTGGAGAACCTTGAGTAATCCAAGGAAGTCTCTGGGACTAACTTCATGGGCTCAGTTGGCCACCCCAAAGATGGTCACATCTTTAAGGTGTATTCCATATTCTACCTGTGTTCTTCCAAAGATACTTTGAGATCCTTCAGGAGCTCAGCCTCTTGCAAGAGGGGAACTGGCAACAGATACCATCAGCAGTGTTCATCTGAGCTATAACCAGGAATCACCAAAAGTTTGACTATGAGGATAACTGAAAATCTGCAAAGAAACACACATCCTCTATGACTGGGGGACTGGGAGTTTACTGTCTAATTGACAGGAAGATGCACTAGCAGCAAACATTCTCTTTATAAGAAAAATGCAAAGGCCAGGTGTGGTGGCTCACACCTGTAATCCCAGCACTTTGGGAGGCTGAGACAGGTGGATCACCTGAGGTCAAGAGTTCGAGACCAGCCTGAGCAACATGGAGAAACCCCATCTCTACTAAAAATACAAAATTAGCCGGACGTGGTGGCTCATGCTTGTAATCCCAGCTACTCGAGAGGCTGAGGCAGGAGAATTGCTTGAATCCGGGAGGCGGAGGTTGCGGTGAGCCGAGATCACACTATTGCACTCCGGCCTGGGCAAAAAGAGTGAAACTCCATCTCAAAAATAATTAAATAAATAAGCAAATGAAAAATGCAACTACTTGGAAGAATTTAGTTATCATCAGGCTGAAGCATATGAAATAATGTGGTAAAAGCCATCTTGCTTCAATACCATTTTACACTGAAATAACGTAACTAATACTCCAAAAGCATTTGACTCCAGGCAAAAACGAAGACATCTACTATGCCTCATTACTGGGAAGTATAAATTGGACAGCCTTTTAGAGGACAAGTTGTCAATACAGATCACAAACCTTAAATAACATATCTGTAGCCCTTGCCCCGTTCTACAAGAATGGATGCTGTAGAAATAACCAGACATACCCACAAAGATTTATGGCAGTGATGCTCCTTGTAGTGTGATTTGTAATGCAAAAAAAAAGGCAAAAAATATCTAAATGTTCCAATAATGGAGGATTGCTTAAAAAATTATGATGTACCTGTATATTAGAATGTTAGGCAGCCATATGTTAAAGAAATTAATATAATTATTATTTCAATAAAAATTGTTTTAAATTATCAAAAATAATTTTATAGGAAAAGATGTTATCAGATGAAATAATGTTCTTGATACAGTGTTAAGATTTTATAGTAGGTCACAAACAGTATATAAAGTATGAACCCACTTTGGGGAAAATATCCAAACTATATATTCACTCATTTATGGAGTATCTGAATAGGGAGGATAAAGAATTAAACAAGATAGAGATAAGAAGTCTAATACGATTACGACAAGTTGGAGGAAATATTTAAAATATTAATAGTGATTATTCCTGTGCCATGATATTGTTAGTATCTTTAGTTTTTCGTTGTCTTTCTTATATTTTCCAAAATCAAAGTAAAATGAACATGTACTATTTTAAAGTCAGAAAACAAAGCTATATATTGTTTTACATTGCATATTCAAGAATTCAAAACACAAGAAAAGCACTAATTTATGGGAAAAGGGTAATAGTGGTTTCTTAAAAAGCTTAATATGTCTTTAAACTCCTGGATTGTTTATCTATTTAGTTATTTAATGTGACAGAGTTCTCACCATGTTGCCTAGGCTGGTCTCGAACTCCTGGGCTCAAGCAATCCTCCCACCTCAGCCTTCCAAAGTGCTGGGATTATACCACACCCAGACTCAATACTTCCTAAACTTCTTTGGTTCAGTGGCACACACGGATTCATCTTCTTTTGGTTCCTCAGTATTTCCAGATACTTTTCCCTCTGCTGGAGTGCTCTTCCAGGAATAGAGAGAGATGGTGTCAGTGGGAGGAGAGAAGTGGAAGCAAAGGGCCGCTCTGTAGTCCTGATAGCCAGGTTGGAAGGACCCCCTTCAGACCTAGGTTGGAAGAGGGAACTTGAAATCCTAAGTACTCCTCTCACTCCCATTTCTGTAGTTCATTCCCTCTACCATTTCTTGGGCCCTGTTTCCTCACCTGTAATCAGGGGCTAATAGTCCCTCTCACCCAATAAACTGGTTGCTCTCTCTAAAATACTTTGGGATCTCTCAGTAAATAGTGATGAAAGAAAGCACCATGGGAAGTGATGATGTAGATACCATTTAGCTTGGGCCTCTGGGAACTTTGAGAACAGATACACATATAGATGAGTGAGTGAGTGAATGAATGAATGAATGAATATGGAGTTATCTAAAGAATGTCAAGAGCAGTCACCACTAGAAGAAGAAAATAATGCTGAAAAATATTTTTAGATTCATAAAAACATATTCTTCTTGGTAAGTGGCAGAAATGTATTAAAGCTAAAGCTAAAACAAAGTTTTCTGAAAGGGCAGTTACTAATAAAAAGATAAGCTCTGTGGGTTCTATCGTTCTTTTATTTTCCCCCTCCATTTATTCATCTATTCAACAAATATTCTGGGGTGGTTTTTCTGAGCCCGGCACTGTGCTGGAGCACTGTTTCAAGAGTACAGGAGGCTGAAGTGGCCAGGTTGAGAAGGACTCAGCCATGCAAAGAACTAGAGAGGGAGCACTCCAGGCCAAGGAAACAGCAAGGGCAAAGGCACTGAGGTGGAGACAGGAAGGAGGCTGGTGTGGACGGAGCATTGGTGGAAGGTGCACTGGGCCTCGTCACTTGGGGCCTTGTGAACTAGGGTTCGGGTGGGCTGTTGAGGGACAAAAGAGTCCCTCAGTGGGATGGGTCTGATTTATGCTACTCTTGGGAGAATGGAGGAGGTGTAGAGTGAGCAAGAGCAGAAGCAGAGAGACCTGAGAGGAGGCTTCTGCCACAGCCTTGGCTAGATGACGGGGGCATGAGGTGAAAGTGAGTTAGCCAGAAGACTTGGGGTAAAAGCAGTGGGAAGGCTTCTGGATAGAGGGAATAATCTGTGCAAATAAGAAGAATGCACAGACAAAAGCAATTACAAGGGTTGTAATAAATCCTTGAGAACTCTGGTGAGGATTACAATAAAAGATTTAAATGGTAAATGTACCGAGGATTACATTGAATGCTGTAGGAGAAAGTGGCTCCTGGCAGACACTCAGTCTTAACTTCCTATCCTTTTGTTCCTTCATGATCCCTATCCTGAGTACACACTTCCAAAGTACATTCCCTAAGTATTTAGTGTTAAAAATAACTAGCCATTGATCCACTTTAGATTACATCTCTACTTCATAACACTTTGAATAAGGATATAAAGGAACGTAGATAAATACTGGAGAAGAATTAATGGCATTGCCCACTTCCTTAGAAACTGGAGATAAAAAGTTGGCTGGATCACCCATAAAATCAGCATTTAAAAATTCAATAAAGAAAATAAATGTCAGTTAAATCTCTGTTAGATGAAATTCTATTGAATTTCAAGCTCCTTGAAAGTATTAGAGAAAATTGAATGCCAGGACTACAAAGATAATTCCACCCAGTTAAGATTGTGCATTGCATGGGTGGCAGGGATGACTCTGAAATTCAGCTGATCAATCTCTTACCTAAAACCCTGGGCCAGGTGTGTTTCAAAATCAGAATTTTTCAGATATTAGAAAGGTAACATGGTGAATATGCTGTATATTATATACCACCTCTGGTCTTGGTGTTGTGTGTGGGGCAGCACTTAGAAATCAAACACATTATTATTTCTTTAGAGAAATATAACACTGTTCACACCAAGTGACACAATTAGAACCCATAAAGCATTTCAGTTCAGTTTAGGGGAGGTTTTCCTACCAGATGAGTTTATGTCCAAAATAGCTTTTCTTGTTCAGATGTTGAAGACGTTCAAATTGTTTTTAAGGGGTTAGGAATCTAATGTGTTTTCTCTGGAATTTCTGCACCCCTGAGACCATCCCCACTCCTGTACAAGGCCCATAGGTGCTGGGGAGAGACTGGATTATGGTGGGCTCAGACTCAGTATCTTACTCAACCCAGAACCTCTGACCCCTGGACCCTGCTGCTGAACTCAGCCCAAGCACTGGAGTCTTCCTTAACTCATGGTGCCCTGGACTTGCTCCCTGAAATCAAGCCTTGACTCTGACCTGCCCCTAACCCTGTCTACCACTCATGTCTGAATTTCAGTTAGACATGGTGCAAGTGTCCTTCCTTGGGACTCCCAACATTCAGGTAAGTCTTCTGTGACAGCTATGTGATTTTTTTCTTGTTTGCACAGAAAACCTCTAAGGTAGGGTAGAAAGTAGCTTACAGCATCAGCTTGCATTTTCTAATCACAGCTCCAGAGCTTCCAAGACAATTTTATATGTACATTTCAGGGTGAGAGAATTTTTTCAGCCTATACTCAGATGTGCAGAAAACAAAACAAAACAAAATGTGTAGCTTATTTATTAGTTGATGACTTGATCTGAGTTTCCCCACAAGCTCCCTATCCTGCTGGGTGGAAATGGGGGTTAAATAAATTTAGCCCAATTTGACCAACTCTTCTTATATTCTGGGCATTTTGTTTAGATAACAGGGCCCCCTGTGGATCTATACCCAGTTTTTCAAATATCTGCCCCAGGGAGCTCTCATCCCTAAGATAGCAATCAGGGTGTGAGGGAAGGTTACTGTGAGCTTCAGGCAGTGTAGTGATGGGTCCTCAGAGCTGTGCTTGTGGTGTCCCTTGTCAGCCTTGCTGCTGCCCACCCAGCTTGGCTTTGTAGTAGACATTGGCAGCTGGTATAACCTGGGTTCTGGTGTCTCTGAGCTTGATCATGAACAATGGTATACTTCGGCTGTGCTGGTCTCATTCCATCTCTCACTGATTCTATAGACCTTTCTGGATCTAGGTGATTCACATTTTGCCTCTGCTGTGAAAGTCACTTCACCCCTACTTATGGTGCCTGAGGGCAAATCCATGGCTGTCAAACCCATGGCTGCTTTCAAAGAGCCTTTTATGTGCACACAGGGCCCCATCTGTGCACACAGGGCCCCATCTATGACACTAGGTGTAGAGGGCAACTAAAACCTGTTCTCCCTTTGTTCTATAATAGAATTGCTATTGTTGGGCAAATATGGCTCCCCAGTGATATTGAATTTCCCCACATTCTTTGTGGTTAGGTTTGGTCATATGACCAAGTTCTAGCCAATAAAATATGAGAAGAGTTCATGTCTGCCACTTTTGGGCCAGAGTCTCATGATATTGAGTGTACTTCCTCCAGCCTCTCTTTTCCCTTACTACCAAATGGAACCCAGATATAGTAGTCCCGTATGGTTGATGACAAAGGCCCTTGGACTTGTAGCACAGCAACTACTAGGAAAAGAATCTGAGTCCCTGAATGAAGAAGAGCTGACCACCAGCCTGGAAAATCACCTCAGATTATTTTAGGAGAGAACTTCTTTGTTCTTCAAACTACTATGGTTACAGCAGTGGTTTTCTAATAGCAGCTACAAAGAACTAATTGCAATCAGGGAAATCCACACCTGCCTTAAGCTAAGTAACCCAGATGCATCGCTTGGGCAGAAGTCCTCCATCCTTGGGTTCCTTTCATCCTATCTGACATATGCCTCTGTCTTAGGGCAGGAAGGGTGAGCTCTGCCCATCCTTATCTTGCCTCTTTCTCTCTCCATAATTTATGTATACGTGAATGTGAGAATTTTGGACTTTTTCTCCCCTATCCTATATCTCCCCCCTTCTCTCAGTAGCAAGCCTGATAGTTATCATAGGAAAAAGGAATAGCTTCTCTGTCTTTATGGAAAGAACTCTATATGAGTTTTTTAGGCTTGTTCTTGATAGCTAAAAGAATTTAGAAAATCCTCCCTCTCTGGACAGAACCTAGCTTTCAGGCTTACTGTCTGAAAAAGCCTATTTTGATTCATGAACATGGAAACAAAAGAGAAATGCTCATTTATAGTTTTTGAAGAATTACCTCTCATTACATAGACCAAAAAAAAAAAAAAAAAGATTTACGTCAAGATGTTTGCAGTGGTTATAACTATATGATAAAATTATGCAATTTTTTTCAGCCTGGTATAGTGGCTTATGCCTGTAATCCCAGCACTTTGGGAGGCAGAAGTGGGCAGATCACTTAAGGTCAGGAAATCGAGACCAGGCTGACCAACATGGTGAAACTCTGTCTCTACTAAAAATGCAAAAAAAAATAGCTGGGCATTGTGGCACATACTTGTAGTCCTAGCTACCCAGGAGGCTGAGGCAGGAGAATTGCTGGAACCCAGGAAGTGGAGGTTGTGATGACCCGAGATCATGCCACTGCACTCCGGCCTGGGTAAAAAAATAAATAAATAAATTTTTTTAAAAATGTGATTTTTAAAAAATTCTTCTTGTTTTGACTGTGTTTTCTGACTTTTCTACAATGAACATGTACCACTTGACTAAAATTAAAAATAAAAACAATAAAAGTTATTTTTAAAATATGTCTGTAGCACTATCAGTTGGGAGTTACTGATCTGTAGCAGGTAAGAACTCGAGGCAAATTACAGTCTCTGTGGGAGCTGATTTAAACTTGTCAGAGCAGTTAAATTAATTAGGTCTTAACTGACATTTAACAGCAAGGGTGGCAGACCTGATATCACACAGCAAGGACTTAGAAAATTAGGGATAATGACATGCAGATTGTATTTCTGCAAAGCATGCTCAATTCAAAGTGCATCAAGTAGTGTTCGTAAAAAATGCCTCTGTATTTTAGGTTATTCTTTTCCACGAGAGTTGCATGGGTGGAAATATCTAAGATGAAACACAAGCCTATTTTTGTTGGTACTTCTCCTTTGTATATTTTTGACAAGGGAAGTATTTCAGGCTTTGCTGGAGCTCATTCACATATGGATCATTGTTAATAAATCCTGCAGAACTTTCCCCCTGTAACAAAGAGGGATAAAGAGCTCTCTTCTTTGGTAGGTAATTGTTCTTGAAAAAAAAAATAATAAGTTACAAGAGTTAGATTTGTAATGTCCAGGAGAAAAGACGAACTTCAGAGTTTCCAGGGAAGTGTGAAACAAACTTCCAGGCTAGAAGGCAAGAGAGAGGCTTAGTTGCCATCACAGCTGTTCACTTGGCCTGGCCTGGGACAAAGCTGGGTGAAGGGAGGAAGTGAGAGCAGACGAAGGAAAGGAACCACAGCACGCCTTGAAGAATCAAGAACAGTGCAGCTGACCGTCCCAAGCAAGAAACTTAAACCCCAGCCTTCAGGAAAAGAAAAAGGTTAGCAGGAAATCCTAGACTCTATTTTTGCTTCATATTTCCTTTGCATATATGAGGCAAACAGAAAGAGCCCCCATCTCCAGAGTAAAGAAACTAGCCAAGAAGTTTTCATTTTTCACTTGGAAACCTCCACAGCCATGTCAGACACTGAATCAAAATATAACAGAGTGGGTTTGCCAAACACTTCTAGGGCAAAGGTTTCTTTCTGCAGCTCTACCAATCCCAGACTATTACCTGTCTACGGCCTCCTAGGCTGGGCCTTAATCACTTCCAGCTGTGCTGGCTCCTGTAGTCCCTTTAGCCCCTCCCCGTCTGGCCTCCCTGCACTCTGCCTCTCATGTAGGAAAAATTAAGTATTGCACTTAAATCCCCCCTTAGGACTTAGGGGTCCTGAGCAGGAGCCTCACCACAGTATCCATCTCCAGCCACAGATGACAGGGCTGTCTTGCCTCATGTAGGGGTGTCTCCTTTCTGCCCCGAAGCTGAGCTCTTTTCCTGGCTCCCTACTAATCGGTTACAGCTATGCACACAAAGTAAAGGAGGTAGAGCACAGCTCCACTGGAGAGAACCTCTGCCCTCAAAATCCCATCCTGGTACCCACATACCCCAAATTCATAGCCAGTGATGTCCTGATGGCACCAGCTGCAGGGATTGGTTCCTTAGGACTAAATTTGTTCCCTAGGGCTCAACCGTCTCCAGGCAGTCATCTTCTGAAATATACATCTTTCTGCCTGGATGGTATCTGCATTATATCAGTTTAAGCCTTGGTGATTTGCAGGGACTGAAAATCTGTGGCTAGAATTAGAATGGAAAGTGCCTGACACCGGGCAGCCATTACCCTATCTCTTACATGTCATTAATCAATTATGGGGCAAATTATCCTGATAACTAAGACTGAGGCTTCATTATCTTCAACACCTCATGTCAGGTAGCCACTAAACTCTGAAAAGAATCGGGAAATTCGGTGAACTCTCTTTGCCATCTTTGGGCTAAGTCCTAGGCTGCATCTTGGGTTTAGTGGGCAATGAATCTGGGCCAGTGGGCAGTGATTGCCTATATCGGTGTTTCCTAAACTTGACCTTACATCAGATTCATCTAGAGGGCTTTTTAAAACACAGATTTCTGGACCCCACCCCCAGAGTTTCTGACTCAGTAAGTCTCAGATGAGGGCCTAGAATTTACATTTCTACCTTGTTACCCAATAATGCTGCTCCAGGCCTGGGGACCACATTCGAGAACCATTGTTTTACATCACAGCAAGGAACTTGAACTTTACTCATCAGGCAATGTAGGATCCTTGGAGGGTTTTAATGTAGGTGGGAGGGGGTCATGGGATCAAGTTTACAATTCTGAAAGCTCAGGTGGCCGCAATATGGAGTATTGACTTGCAGGGACTGCAGCTGGGAGAGGACGGCTAACCAGAGGCTATTGGCAGAATCCAGATAATTTTCACTATGAGGTGTTTCATATAATGTTACAGTGTGAGATCCTGGCAACAAAATTGCAGTGATTAGCCTCCAGGAGCCTGAGAAAGGTAGAAAGTTGAGAGAGATGATTTAGAAGAAAGATGAAGGCTGGGCATGGAGGCTCACGCCTGTAATCCCAGCACTTTGGGAGGCTGAGGCAGGCAAATCACTTGAGGTCAGGAGTTCAAGAACAGCCTGGCCAACATGGTGAAACCCTGTCTCTACTAAAAATACAAAGATTAGCCAAGCGTGGTGGTACACACCTGTAATCCCAGCTACTCAGGAAGCTGAAGCAGGAGAATTGCTTGAACCCAGGAGGCGGAAGTTGCAGTGAGTCAAGATTGTGCCACTGCACTCAAGCCTAGGAGACAGAGCAAGACTCTTTCAAAAAAAAAAAAAAAAAAGAAAGAAAGAAAAGAAAAAAAGAAAAAACTCTCTAAAATATAGATATAGGAGGCCTGAAAGATAAATGTCGGCCATTTCACAGTTTTGCCAAGGGCCAATCTGGTTCCCAGTGGGCACAAGAGACTGGGACCTTGCAGAGAGGTCAGAAGTCACACTCACCAGGCGGACCTCCTAAATAGGTACTGGCTCTCTCCCTTCATTCCTCCCTCTCTTTCCTGTGGAGTAATATTATTAGGGTGAATGGTGTGTAGAGAACAGATCATAATTACTAGGAGACAAGCAGTTTCCCAGCTTCATTTTTCAAAGTCTCAAAAACACAGACTTGGAGTGCAGGCTTTCCTGGTTCAGTTCAATAATGTTTGGCTAAGCCTGGTCCTTCTGGCTGAGTGTCTGAGGTATAATTTTGGAAGGACATTAAAAATAATCTATACTCTACCAATAGTGCTTTTCTAAGGAGGATAGGCCTATGGTTATTAGCATACACATGATAAAAGAGAATTCAGAATTTTACTATACATTCCAGATATGTAAGTGAAGCTACTGTAAGGTTTGGACAAATCATCATAATACCCACAAATGGCATCATGGAAGACCCTGCTTGTCAACTTTCAGTGGATTCATGTGGCTTCCAACATCCCTTGACTCAGCTACAGGCTACAAAATTGGTTAGATTGGCCTACTCTGAATCTGCTTTGCTTGTTTTCATCTTTGCTTCTGCCCAGAAAATTCTTCAGCTGTGAGATTCCTGTCTCTTTCCTCTCTAAGTTCTGACCTAACCTTAAGGTCTCTCTCAAATTTACCTTCCTTCATCACTTTTCTTCAAACACACCAACCCATTATCATCCCTCTCCACTCTGAAACCTTATGGCACTTACAGGCTAAGCTTATCCTTTGGTCCTTGGATATTAGTTCCCTTCTTAGGAGTAAAAGTCTTGGCTTCCCAGACTGATAGTAAATTCTTTGGAGCCTGGAGTAGTTGAGTCCCATCTGTCTAAAAATGAGCCATTATACTCACATTATACTCTCATGGGTGACATGGGGAATGTGTTGGCTCAGTTCCTAAATCCTTGGGCAATGAGGCCTGCAGTTGGGCCTCAGGCACAGCTAGAAGCAGGGACATAAACACTGCCAGCTCATGATCTCTTCCTCTCCAGCTCTTGTTTCTGAAACCTGTTCTGTTCTCTTAAACTGTATCCTCAGCAGTGGTGGGAATTTGGCCATTGGCAGCTCTCTGACTCACATTTGACAGTCAAGCCACCAGAGAGGGCATGGCTCCCTTCCCTGTTTACAAGTTCAAAAAAATCAGATTGGCCTGGCTTTGGGACATTCCTAGCCTTGGATCAATTAATGAATGATGGCCAGTGGGGAGGCGGAGAGTCCATTTCATGCCCCATTCTCCTTTCCAAAGAAGCCCAATTTTGTTATCCTCCCTTTGGTGTATGGTTTCAAGGGGACCAGCTTCCGGTGTAGCCTCGAGGGTGGGTCTGAAAAGTCCAAGCTGAGGGTCAGCAAACTTTTTCTGGAAAGCACCAAATAGCCAATATTTAGGCTTTGCAGGCCATATCTCTATTGAAACTGCTCAACTCTGCCATTGCAGTCTGAAAGAAGCTATAGACAATATGTAAATAAATGACAGTGTGGTTGTGTTCCAATAATATGTTATTTACTTATGGACACTGAAATTTGAATTTCATATAATTTTCAAATACAGTGAACTATTCTTCTTTTGATTTTTTTTAACCATTTAAAAATGTAAAAACTATTCTGATCTCTGGTTTAAGCTCATCCCCTGCCAATGTCTTGGATTGGACCAGAACATGTGATACAACTCGGGTCAGTAGTGTTACTGGTGGTGAATCGTTATGGCTCTGCAGCAACCTCAATTCTTGCCTCTTCAGAAGAAAGAATTTGACCTAGGGACAGACCGAGAGTGAGAGACCAAGGCAAGGTTTAAGGCAGGAGTAAAAGTTTATTGAAAAGTTTTAGGGCAGGAATGAAAGGAAGTAAAGTACACTTGGAAGGGGACCAAGTGGGCATCTTGAGAGATCAAGTGCATGGTTTGACCTTTTGACTTGGGGTTTTATACGTTGGCCTGCTCCTAAGATCTTGTTACTTCCCCCCTGATTCTTCCCTTGAGGTGGGCTGTCTGCATGAGCAGTGGCCTGCCAGCACTTGGGAGGGGCCTCATGCACAATGTGTTTACTAAAATTGTGCACATGATCACTTGAGGCATTCACTTACCAGTCGAGTGTTCCCAAAGGAAGGTCACAGACCAGTTAAATGCTACCATTTTGCCTCTTAGTGTGCATGCTCAAGCCCACTTGCCCAACTCCTGAGATCTTATTGGGAAGCTGCTGATCACCAGTTTCAGGTTTTTCTATTGGGAGACTGCCTTTCCATGGCGCTGGCTGTGGCCAAATACTATTTTAGAGAGACAGCTTAATACCACCTGACTATTACCTGATGGTTGCCTGACATTCCTGGTTGGGTGGGGTTCATCTCCTGCACTGCTCATGTCTGACTAGTTACCTACTGGAACAGCAGGATGTGAAGGGAAGTCTGCTGGGACAGTCTGGGGAAAGATTTTCTCACACTCAGAAAGAAGCATGGGCTGGGCACAGTGGCTCCTGACTATAATCCCAACACTTTGGGAGGCTGAGGTGGGAGGAAGAGATAATCTCCTTTCTGCTTCTGGACCCTGCCTAGTCTAGATATGGCTGCTGGAAATCCTGGGCCCATCCTTTCACCAGCAGCGGAGCTGGGCTGAGAGCAAAGCCCTCACACCGATGCTGGGAGAGCTGAGAGACAGGAAGAACCTGGTCTGTCATGAAGTCTGAGCCACTGAATTAACTACCTTGACACAGCCCTCCCTGCAGTCTTCTTGTGTGAGTGTATAAATATCTCTGTTATTTCAGCAATTGAGCTGGAGTTTCCTGTTAATTGGCTGCAAAGTGAGTGGGGAGCAAAACACTCAAAGAATAGTCTGGAAGCCCATTTTATATGTCCTCATACCTTTATGAGGTATACCTTTATGAGGTATAACATCTTCAGTATACCACCTGACTGACTGATCTTCACTCTCTCCCTCAAACCCCATCTCTTCCACATTCTTCTTAGTACAACATTTGTATTTCTAGTTCCTTCTAAGGACTAAAATATTCCCTGAAATTGCACCAAATGCACATCTGAAGAAACTTCAGGGAGAGGCTCATTGCGACCTTGGGTCTCTCCTCGGCTCACTCACCAAAGTACAGCCGAGAGTGTTTCCTCATATGACCTGTGGCTTGAATCATCATTCCCTCTGCCCTTCCTGATTCCAGCCTCACACCCATGATGAATTCACCTCTTGAGTTAAACTTCTCTTCCCACAGTTCTGGCCACCCTCCCACCACATTCCTCCCCCCAGACCACCCTCTTGAGCATCTCCCCTCGCACCCAGGTGCTTGAATGTCAAGACAGGGAAGTTGTTGTTACCCAGCGTCTGACCACAAGAGATGGCACAGGCTCACAGCCCAAGAAAACACCCTGCTTTGCCCTCAGACACAGATTTGGCTAGCAGGTTACCTCCCTGTTTGCTTTTCAGGCAACTATGCAGCCCAGTCGGCTGCCTGCATTTTTTCCACCAGCAGCTGCAAACCCCTATTCCTTTCTCTGCTTGCTGCTTTTGTCACTTTCTTCTCTGTATTTATTTTCTTTGCTTGCACACCTTGTTTTTCTTTCAGGGGACCTGCCATATGGTTCTCCTGTACACAAAGTGTGGAGTGTGCAGAGGCAGCTGGTGGGGTCCCTGAACATGCTGGTCTATGCAGGTGTCCCTTGGAGCTCGAGCTGCCACCCAGCAGAGAGAGGCTAAGCCCCAAATGTGGAGAGGAGAGGAGACCAGAAAAAGGCCAAGGCAGGCCACACAGCTCATTAGTTCATTTTGATTAGTTGCTTTTATCCAGTTGTGAGGAATGGTGAACAGTGATAGATGCAGACAGTCCTGAGATTTTTATCCCCTGAATTACTTACAACTTGGCAAGATTAGATAAACCATGGAGATAGCAGATGGAAGTTGATGTGTGTATGACCAGATTGACTTGTAAGATTTATAGAAGATAGCCTGAAATCCTGATTCTACAGCCTGGAAAGTCTTCTAGGGGGCTTAGACTTTAATAGCTTTCTTTGTCTTTTGCCTCCTTGTTCATTTGTGCTGTTTTTTTCCTCATCAACCTGGGCTGAGAGCCAGGACAGCTGTTCATCTGGACACAGAACCAGGTTAGACTCTGGGCAAGGTGACAACTAAATCCAGCTCCAGATCAGCATTCCAAGGAGAGTTTAGAGAAAGGGGTGTTTTAGGTGATTCCTCCACCCAGAGGGTACACCAATTTGTAATTTATTTCACCTGAGGGCCTTTTCTAATTTGTACAAAGATATCACATAGACTAGCTGAGGGTCAGACCTTAGTCCCTCACTGACTCCTAGGAGGGAGTATCTGCTCACACCAGACACAAGTGAGTTTCTTGTAAACTACAGATTTGAGGGGTCTTGGGCAGAAGGTCTCTTTGCACAATGTACAATCTCTCTCTCACTCTCTTGTTCTGTTCCTTTGTCCCCATCTCCTTCCCCAGAAGCTTAGTGTCATCCTTGTTGCTTAAATAGGCCATTGGAAGTCTTGCTCTCCATCTCCAATGAGTTATCAAAGTATTTATTTCAAATAAATGCAAAGCTCTCCCTGCAGGGATGTCTAGTGAATAATATTACCTCTACCTCAATATGTTGTTGATGACCAAAACAAAACAGTTTTTCTTTGCTAAGCACTAAATTGTTAAACATTGTTGGTTGCAGAAGTAGAGCTCATAAGGTCAAGAGCAGAAAGCAAGCAATCAGTTATTCTCTCTTTACCCCCTCCCCTGACTCACCATTCAAACTTGTTCTGTGGAATTATGCTTTCCTCAGGTCTCCCAATGTACCTGCTTATTTTCGTTATAGTCTTACTTCTGTAATTAAACTGTCTAGTCACATGAAATAGTAAAAACTTCAAATTTCCTTTAAAATGAAGGCTCCCCAATCCTACCAGCTTGGGTCTGCACGATGGTTTCACCTGCCCATGATTCCCTTTCCTCCCTGATTCTCTTTGGGTGGAGAACCAGGGACAGGAGACGTGTGTGTTCCTGGTACCCATGAAATCTGGTGTTGATTCTCTCAGGCCCTGGCAGAAGCTTAAAGCTGAGTTTCTTTGAGCTTGATGAGTGTATAGATCTCTTCCTTTTTCTTGAAGTGTATTTGTGGGCTCTCTGGAGTTTCTCTTGCTGGACCCCTTTGACCATCACTTCAGCTGGCTGCTTTTTTTTTAGACCAAGTCTCTCTCTGTTGCCCAGGGACTACAGGCACATGCTATGACACATGGCTAATGTGCTGAGGTCAAGATTGATCACTGGGTTCAGGTGCTATCAGCTTGATCTAGACATCTGCCTTGGACCTAACAATGCTAGCAGTTATTAATGGTTACTTCCTAGATCCATTATTTCATTAGATGATTAGCCTTTTATACCCACTAATAAAAAAAAAAGTGCATTCTAAATCTAGCATCCTTATGCATTGATTGGCTCAATTGCTCCTATAGAGAGAACTTTTCCTCATTAATTATGGGATATAGTCCATACAGGAAAGGGAGGTTAGGTGTGAGGACTAAGCTCTGATTTTTTAATCTTGCCCCAATTCCCCCCAAGCTGTGTCTTGTGGGGAAAATCTACATTCTATAGAGAATTCCCTTCCCTTTCTAGGTTTTTCTTGATCCAGAAGATAATTAACAGAGTTTGGCATCTTTTAAGTCTGATAAGAAACATTTACACTCTATTCTGTCTGAAGTATGCTATCTGAGGCTTCATCCACATAATAATAACCTTGGCTTCTACAGCTCTTTATCTTGATCTAGACCCTCACTTCTATTGATTCCAAGTCTTTGGATAAATTCTTTTAACCAACTGCCAATCTGAAAATATTTGAATCCACCTACAACCTGGAAGCCCACTGACTCAAGTTGTCCTGCCTTTCTGGATGAAACCAATGTACATCTTCCATGTATCAATTGATGTCTTATGTCTCCCTAAAATGTATAAAACCAAGCTGTAGCCTGGGATCTCCTGGGGCTGTGTCACAAGACATGGTCACTCATATTTGGCTCAGAATAAATCTCTTCAAATATTTCACAGAGTTTGATTCTTTTCATCAACAGAATGAATATTTCAAATATTATTAAAAGATTAAGAGTATTAATGGCTCCCAGTCAGAGAGGGAAGAATAAATTGGGAGGTGGCAACTCAGTAGGTCAACACCAGTAATTTTGTTGTCCTGGCTATTTTACTGAGGACTAAGCTCTGATTTTTTTAAATCTTGCCCTAATTCGTATCTAAGAGATCTATGGAGTCATGCCCTACAATCCATAAGTTCTCATCAGATGGATTTTATTTAACCCTATATATCGTGACTTACTTTCTAATCGGACTCTGGCATAACATTATGTGACAAAGAAGAAAGTCGAAGTATTTTACCCCAAAACATGCTTCTTTGCCATATTTTGAAATGGTCCTGCAAAGCTGTCCTTTGTGGGGGAAAATCTGCGTCTGTAAGAATGTCTATTAACATAGCTAGCTCTTTTTCTTCCAGGCCCCCCAAGTCCTGAAAAGATTAACTAAGAGTCTAGCACCTTTTAAAGGTCTGAATAGGAAACATTTGTCATCTATTGTCTCTAAGGGCAGCCACTATAAGACTTCAAAAGAAACTTGCTGTCTATAATCTTTTATCTTAACCTGAACATTTCCTTTCTATTGATCCCAGGTCTTTAGACAAACTCAACCAATTGTCAACCAGAAAATATTTAAATTTACCTATAGCCTGGAAGCTCCCCCCTACCCCCTGCTTTGAGTTGTCCCACCTTTCTGAGCTAAAACAATGTATTTCTTAAGTGTATTTGATTGATGTCTCATGCCTCCCTAAAATGTGTAAAACCAAGCTGCACCATGACCACCTTGGGCACATGGTCTCAGGACCTCCTGAGGGCTGTGTCGTGGTCCATGCTCTTGGCTCAGAATACATCTCTTCAAATATTTTACAGAGTTTGACTCTTTTCATTGACATTACTATGCCTTGGTTTTCATATTTGAAAATAGTTTGTTCATTAACCACTTTGAGCTTCATTCAAATTTTTAAAAAGGGAGTTATGCAAAGTCCTGTGAAAATTAGTGTACCCTCTACTGCTACTAAAAATAGAAGACAGAAATATGGGGCCAGCTTTAAATATGAAAGTAATTCAATCAGCCCCAGTGCTCATTTGCCATAAATGTAGACATCAAGCAATGGAAATGTGCTGTTTCCTCTTAGCTTTAATGTATATTGCAGGTGCACATATCAGGAGTAATGAAATTCTAAAAGCCCCACAAGAGCCTAAAACCACACTGGATTGACTGCATAACAGAATTCAAAATTGGAGTAAGGGATAGACGAACTATAAAACTGACAGGATTCATTTTCGATATGAAGTTTAAAAGAAACATTCTTGCAACTCAAAGTTTGCAAGCTCTGCAATTTTTATACATTTCAGAATCAGTGTGTGAAATTACAGACATCCTCTTTCAATAAGGCACACCAGGAAAGGTGCAATAAAGCTAAAAATGCACAAATGCTTGCCCAAGGACTCTGGACACTGCAGCCACTCACTCAATACCAGTGCTTTGAGCCACCTATACTTTAAGACATCCCTGGAAACCCTGTTCACCAGTAGAGGGGATTGTCTTACAAGGGAGGGATCTCTTTCTCTCTAATTCTTTCACATATATACATATCACTTCTCTTTTCCAGTCATGTGTGCTCCCTTGCTGTCCCTGGGTTCCCCCTGTACAGATATGGACAGAGAACTCAGTACCTCTTTGAGTTACCCCAAAAGAATCCACTCACCCAAAAGCTTTAAATAAGTAAGGCAGCCTTTGCTAAACACTTTGAAAGAGAGACAAAGGAAAGTGTTTAAATTACTATCCTACAGCAAGCAACTTTAAAATTTCTTTATGCTGTGTATGCTCTCTGAAGTCCTGTTTCAACGTTACTCTCCACTCTGAATGACCTTTTCTCTCTCTCTCTGCTTCTCTTCCATGGACTGACTGCCTATGCAAATGCCTACCTAACCTATCTTTTTACTCTCTCACTCTCAGATTTCCTCAGGAACTTCAAATGTTTCTACCCTTTATTATTAGGCAGATCAAACTAGCTTTCTCTGTTCCTGCCCTCAAATTTGCCTATGAAAACTCATTGCAAAGATTCAGCAAAGTAACAGATTCTCCAGTTAATAGAACCAATACTCCATAGTTCACATATTTAACAAATATTTCCTGTGTGTCTGCCATTTGTCAATGGTTGTCTTAGGAGGTTAGGATATTGCAGTCAGTGACCATCTTTTTCTGTTTGAGCATGATTATGATGTCTCATCTCTACACCAATTTTCTCATGAAAACATTTCTTCCAAACACACATAGTATTCTCTGAAGGGAATTCTGATGAATAAAGTTGTCTACACCTTGCTATATTTATTAATGTAATGCATATATAATGTTATATATATTCATGTTCCAAATACTATATATGAGTATTTATTAATGTTTCATATGTGAATCATGAAGGAATTAAAAATCTGAACAGACCTATAACTAATACGATTGAATCAGTGATCAAAAACCTCCCAATAGAGAAAAGCTCAGGATCAGATGGCCTCACTAGAGAATTCTACCAAATATTTAAGAAGAATTAACACTAATCCTTCTCAAACTCTCAAAAAATAAAAATTAAAGAGTAAAGCTGGGTGCAGAGGCTCATGCCTATAATCCCAGCACTTAGAGAGGCCGAAGCAGGAAGATTGCTTGAGCCTAGGAGTTCAAGGCTAGCCTAGGCAACATAGAGAGATCCTGGCTCTATGAAGGAAAAAAAAAAAAAGAAAAGAAAAATTGAACTGGAGAAAACTCTTCCAAATTCATTCTATGAGGTCAGACTTACCCTGTATTCAACATCAAAGATACTATAACTAAACTACAGGCCAATATCCTTGATCAATGTAATATACCACCTTAACAGAATGAAGGACAAATACACATAAATCATCTCAACTGATAGAGCAAAAGCATTTGACAAAAATCAGTACCCTTTCATGACAAAAACGCTCAACACTAGGAATAGAAGGAATTTACCTCAACATAATAAAGCCCATATGTGAAATGCCCACAATAAAATCATACTTAATGGTGAAAATTAAAAGCCTTTTCTCCAAGGTCAGGGACAAGGTAAGAATGCCCAGTCCTACCACTCCTACTCGGCATAGTTCTAGAAGTCTTAGCCAAAGCAATTGGTCAAGAAAAATAAATAAAAGGCATCTAGATATAAAAGGAAGAAG
This sequence comes from Homo sapiens, assembly GCF_000001405.40. Classification (NCBI taxonomy): domain Eukaryota; kingdom Metazoa; phylum Chordata; class Mammalia; order Primates; family Hominidae; genus Homo; species Homo sapiens. The sequence continues at coordinate 52,272,117 of NC_000004.12, forward strand.
TAAAGCTTTATGACATTGAGTTTATTTCAATGGAGAAAAGCTTTATGACATAGGATTTGTCAGTGATTTATTGGATATGACACCAAAAGCACAGCAGTAAAAGCAAAAATAGACTAATGGGTTTACATAAAACTTTAAAACTTTGGTGCAGCAAAGGAATAATTTAACCCCTTTTCCCATTTGTCCTGAGAATACTCACTGGTGGTGCTTGCAGCAGCAGCATTTACCCTGAGATAACGTTGCCATGAACTATCTTGCTTTTATTATTATTTTCTCATCACTCTAGCTATCGACTTTGGAAACAAAAGACATCATTCAATTTAAAGCATTCGTAGATAGTTAGTAGTGGTATTTCTATTTACAAAACATAGTAATTCTCTACTGCCAAAAATGTCAAATCCTAGAAAATGTAGCATTCCTACAAATAATGTTAACATTGTTGTTGAATAGTTATAGGCCAAAGATTCATTTGATGAATCTGATTTTCCTGAAATGGATGATTCTGATGATCAGACAATTCTTATGTGAGTTCTGTTTATAAATAACTCTAAAGACAGTTTTTATATTTTATTTTCACATTGAAAATCAGTCAGATTTGTATCAGCCTCAAAGAGTGTGTTTATATAAAATTAAATAAGTGCTGGCAGTGAGCTACGCTTTCTTTTCTAAACAGAAAAAAGGTTAACAAGTGAAAAGACAACCTGCAGAATGGGAGAAAATATCTGTCAATCATATATCTCATAAGGGTATAATATCCAGAAAATAACCCCTATAAAGAACTCCTACAACTCAACAACAACAAAACAAATAATCCAACTAGGAAATGAACAAAATACCTGAACAGACATTTCTTCAAAGAAGATATACAGTTGGCCAAAGGCCATGAAAAGCTGCTCAGCATCACTAATCATCAGGGAAATGCAAATCAAAATCCCATTTAGATAATCACCTCACACCCACCAGATGGGCATTATCAAAAATACAGAAAATAATGTGTTGACAAGGATGTGAAGAAATTGGAACCCTTGTGTATTATTGGTGGGGATGTAAAATGGTACAAGCACTATAGAAAATAGTATGAAGTTTCCTCAGAATTTAAAAATTAAAATACAGTTACTGGGAGTGGGGTGTGTGTGGCCAAGATGGCCAAATAGAAGCAGCTAGTATGCATTACTCTCACAGAGAGGAATGGAAAGGGTGAGTAAATACAGCACCTTCAACTGAAACATGCAGGTACACCCACTGGAACTAATCAAGGAAACAACTCGACCCATGGAGAATGGAGAAAAGCAAGGCAAGACGACAGCCCACTCAGGAGCAACATGAAACCACAGGAACCTCCCCTGCCCAGGTAAGTGGTACTGAAAAATCCGAGGTGACTAGGGACTGGAGCAGACCCCCAGCATACTGCAGTAGCCCTATGCAAAATTGGCCAGACTGTCACGTGGGTGCCCATTCCTTTATCTCCTTGCTGGGCAGTTCCTCCAGGCTTGGGCCTCCAGCCACCCCTTGCTGGGGCTATCAAGCCATTAGAAGCTCTATAACTTCCTAGACAAAGCCCCCAGGCACAACTGGAAACCTCTTTTCTCAAGCCTTTGTAGTGGAACTGCCCTTGCTACCCTTGGACTAATGAAGGAGCAAAGTTCCTAAGTGCCTTATCCACACCTCCAACAAGCTGCAGTCAAACCAACGTCCATCTTCCATGGGTCCCACCCATGCCCTACTGCTCATCACCAAACAGAAAACCCCCAGCTTGGGCCCACAGAACAGACCCTCCCTCCTGGGCTGATTGCACTGAATGACTGCTAACCTACATCTCTCAAGCAAAAGACCCTTGGCCACAACCACTACTAATGTCCCTTCTTCTGCTCCAGGTTGGGGAAGGAACATAAACACTGATATCACCTCAGAGCTGCAGTGGGCAGCCCAGGAGTGCCAAGCTGTGAACTACAGCCAGCACTCAAGGGGGAGAAGAGCCAACACCTTCAGAACATTGAGAGGGAACACAGCTACAACTATGAGGAAACACAGGGGAGCCACACAATTGAGCAAGAATCTAGCAATTGACCAATAAGCCTAAGTGCCATCTACTTGATCACACCCCAAAACTTCAGCACTAAAAATACCTTCCTAACATACTCCACTCTGAAATCAAAGACAAGAAGTCAGCTTCAAATACAGACCCTGCACAAAGCCTTGGCTTTGTGAAAACATCCAGAAAAGAAGTCTGTTGATTGCACTCAATCTACCCTGCAGTTAAAGGAACACCCACATGCATAGATAAGAAAGAATCACCATTGCACTCCACCCTGGGCGACAAGAGTGAAACACCATCTCAAAAAAAAAAAAAAAAAAATATATATATATATATATATATATATATAAGAATCAGTGCAAGAATTCCACCAACTCAAATGGCCAGAATGTCGTGTGTCCTTCAAACAACTGCACCAGGTCTCCAGCAAGGGTTCTTAACCAAGCTAAGCTGGCTGAAATGATAGAAAGAGAATTCACAATATGGATAGAAATGAAGACCATCAAGATTCAGAAAAATGGCAAAACCCAATCCAAGGAAACTAAGAATCATGATAAAATGATACAGGAGCTAGAGGACAAAATATCTGGTATATAAAAGAACCTAATGAGCTGACAGAGCTGAAAAATGTAATACAAGAATTTCACAATGCAATCACAAGTATTAACAGCAGAATAGACCAAGCTGAGGAAAGAATCTCAGAACCTGAAGACTGGTTCCCTTAAATGAAAGAGTCAGACAAAAATAAAGAAAAAAGGATAAAAAGGAACGAACAAAACCTCTGAGAAGTATGAGATTATATAAAGGGCCAAATCTATGAATCACTGGCATCCCTGAAAGGGAGGAGGAGAAATCAAGCAACTTGGAAAATATATTTCAGGATATCATCCATGAAAACTTCCCCAACCTTGCTAGAGAGGCCAACAGTCAAATTCAGGAAATAGAGAGAACTCCTGCAAGATTCCACACAAGAAGATCATTCCCCAAGACATATCTTCTTCAGATTTTCCAAGGTCAAAATGAAAGAAAGAATGTTGGCCAGTGATGGCGAGCATTTTTTCATGTGTTTTTTGGCTGCATAAATGTCTTCTTTTGAGAAGTGTCTGTTCATGTCCTTCGCCCACTTTTTGATGGGATTGTTTGTTTTTTTCTTGTAAATTTGTTGGAGTTCATTGTAGATTCTGGATATTAGCCCTTTGTCAGATGAGTAGGTTGCAAAAATTTTCTCCTATTTTGTGGGTTGCCCGTTCACTCTGATGGTAGTTTCTTTTGCTGTGCAGAAGCTCTTTAGTTTAATTAGATCCCATTTGTCAATTTTGGCTTTTGTTGCCATTGCTTTTGGTGTTTTAGACATGAAGTCCTTGCCCGTGCCTATGTCCTGAATGGTAATGCCTAGATTTTCTTCTAGGGTTTTTATGGTTTTAGGTCTAATGTTTAAGTCTTTAATCCATCTTGAATTGATTTTTGTATAAGGTGTAAGGAAGGGATCCAGTTTCAGCTTTCTACATATGGCTAGCCAGTTTTCCCAGCACCATTTATTAAATAGGGAATCCTTTCCCCATTGCTTGTTTTTCTCAGGTTTGTCAAAGATCAGATAGTTGTAGATATGCGGCGTTATTTCTGAGGGCTCTGTTCTGTCCCATTGATCTATATCTCTGTATTGGTACAAGTACCATGCTGTTTTGGTCACTGTAGCCTTGTAGTATAGTTTGAAGTCAGGTAGTGTGATGCCTCCAGCTTTGTTCTTTTGGCTTAGGATTGACTTGGTGGTGCGGGCTCTTTTTTGGTTCCGTATGAACTTTAAAGTAGTTTTTTTCCAATTCTGTGAAGAAAGTCATTGGTAGCTTGATGGGGATGGCATTGAATCTATAAATTACCTTGGGCAGTATGGCCATTTTCACGATATTGATTCTTCCTACCCATGAGCATGGAATGTTCTTCCATTTGTTTGTATCCTCTTTTATTTCATTGAGCAGTGGTTTGTAGTTCTCCTTGAAGAGGTCCTTCACATCCCTTGTAAGTTGGATTCCTAGGTATTTTATTCTCTTTGAAGCAATTGTGAATGGGAGTTCACTCATGATTTGGCTCTCTGTCTGTTATTGGTGTATAAGAATGCTTGTGATTTTTGTACAATGATTTTGTATCCTGAGACTTTGCTGAAGTTGCTTATCAGCTTAAGGAGATTTTGGGCCAAGACAATGGGGTTTTCTAGATATACAATCATGTCGTGTGCAAACAGGGACAGTTTGACTTCCTCTTTTCCTAATTGAATACCCTTTATTTCCTTCTCCTGCCTGATTGCCCTGGCCAGAACTTCCAACACTGTGTTGAATAGGAGTGGTGAGAGAGGGCATCCCTGTCTTGTGCCCCTTTTCAAAGGGAATGCTTCCAGTTTTTGCCCATTCAGTGTGATATTGGCTGTGGGTTTGTCATAGATAGCTCTTATTATTTTGAGATACGTCCCATCAATACCTAATTTATTGAGAGTTTTTTGCATGAAGCATTGTTGAATTTTGTCACAGGCCTTTTCTGCATCTATTGAGATAATCATGTGGTTTTTGTCTTTGGCTCTGTTAATATGCTGGATTACATTTATTGATTTGTGTATATTGAACCAGCCTTGCATCCCAGGGATGAAGCCCACTTGATCATGGTGGATAAGCTTTTTGATGTGCTGCTGGATTCAGTTTGCCAGTATTTTATTGAGGATTTTTGCATCAATGTTCATCAAGGATATTGGTCTAAAATTCTCTTTTTTGGTTGTGTCTCTGCCCGGCTTTGGTATCAGGATGATGCTGGCCTCATAAAATGAGTTAGGGAGGATTGCCTCTTTTTCTATTGATTGGAATAGTTTCAGAAGGAATGGTACCAGTTCCTCCTTGTACCTCTGGTAGAATTCGGCTGTGAATCCATCTGGTCCTGGACTCTTTTTGGTTGGTAAGCTATTGATTATTACCACAATTTCAGATCCTGTTATTGGTCTATTCAGAGATTCAACTTCTTCCTGGTTTAGTCTTGGGAGAGTGCAACCACAATGAGATATCATCTCACACCAGTTAGAATGGCAATCATTAAAAAGTCAGGAAACAACAGGTGCTGGAGAGGATGTGGAGAAATAGGAACACTTTTACACTGTTGGTGAGACTGTAAACTAGTTCAACCATTGTGGAAGTCAGTGTGGCGACTCCTCAGGGATCTAGAACTAGAAATACCATTTGACCCAGCCATCCCATTACTGGGTATATACCCAAAGGACTATAAATCATGCTGTTATAAAGGCACATGCACCCGTATGTTTATTGCAGCACTATTCACAATAGCAAAGACTTGGAACCAACCCAAATGTCCAACAATGATAGATTGGATTAAGAAAATGTGGCACATATACACCATGGAATGCTATGCAGCCATAAAAAATGATGAGTTCGTGTCCTCTGTAGGGACATGGATGAAATTGGAAATCATCATTCTCAGTAAACTATTGCAAGAACAAAAAACCAAACACTGCATATTCTCACTCATAGGTGGGAATTGAACAATGAGAACACATGGACACAGGAAGGGGAACATCACACTCTGGGGACTGTTGTGGGTTGGGGGGAGGTGGGAGTGGGGAGGGATAGCACTGGGAGATATACCTAATGCTAGATAACGAGTTAATGGGTGCAGCGCACCAGCATGTCACATGTATACATATGTAACTAACCTTCACATTGTGCACATGTACCCTAAAACTTAAAGTATAATAAAAAAAGAAAAAGAAAGAAAGAATGTTGAAGTCAGCTAGAGAGAAAGGGCAGGTTACCTACAAAGGGATCTCCATTAGGCTAAAAGAGGACCTTCCAGCTGAAACCCTGCAAGCCAGAAGAGACTGGGGGCCTGTATTCAACATTCTTAAAGAAAAAAAGTCTTCAGCCAAGAATTTCACATCCAGCCAAGCTAAGCTTCTTAAGTGAAGGAGGAATAAGATCCATTTCAGATAAGCAGATAATAGACGGAGTTTGTTACCATCAGACCTGCCTTACAAGAGATCCTTGAAAGGAGCACTAAATGCACAAAGACAACTACCAGCTAATACAAAAACTCAAGTAAACACACAGACCAATGACACTATAAAGCAACCATACAAACAGGCCAGCAAAATAACCAGCTAACAACACAATGACAGAATCAAATCCACATATAGCAATACTAACCTTGAATGTAAATGGGCTAAATGCCCCCACTTAAAAGGCACAGACTGGAAAGCTGGATAAAAAAGCAAGTCCCAATGGCATGCTGTCTTTAAGAGACCCATTTTACACATAATGACACCTATAGGCTCAAAATAAAGAGATGGAAGAAAATCTACCAAGCAAATGAAAACAGAAAGAAAAAAAAAGGCCAGGGGTTGCAATCCTAATTTCAGACAAAACAGACTTTAAACAGACAAAGATCAAAAAAGACAAAGAAAGGCATTACATAATGGTAACAATTTCAATTCAACAAGGCCTAACTATCCTAAATATATATGCACCCAACACAGGAGCATCCAGATTGATAAAGCAAGTTTTTAGAGACCTACAAAGAGATGAAGACTCCCACACAATTATAATGAGAGATTTTAACAATCCACTGACAGTGTTAAATCATCAAAGCAGAAAATTAACAAAGATATTCAGGACCTGAACTCAACATTGGGCCAAATGGATCTGATAGACCTTTATAGAACTCTTCACCCCAAAACAACACAACGTATATTCTTCTTATTGCCACATGACACATACTCTAAAATTGACCAAATAATTGGACATAAAACAAACCTCAGCAAATGCAAAAGAACTGAAATCATACCAGACACATTTTCAGACCACAGTGCAATAAAAATAGAAGTCAAGACTGAGAAAATAGCTCAAAATCATGCAATTACATGGAGATTAAACAAGCTGATCCTGAATGACTTTTGGGTAAATAATGAAATTAAGGCAGAAATCAAGAAGTTTTTTTAAATGGATGAGAACAAAGACACAACATACCAGAATCTCTGGGACACAGCTAAGATAGCATTAAGAGGGAAATTCATAGCACTAAATGCCCATGCCAAAAAGCAGGGAAAAGCTCTAATTAAGAACCTAACATCACAACTGAAAGAATTAAAGAAGCAAGAACAAATCAACTCCAAAACTAGCAGAAGACAAGAAATAACCAAAATCAGAGTTGAACTGATGGAAATTGAGACATGAAAAACTATTCAAAAGATCAATGAGTCCAGGAGTTTATTTTTTGAAAAAAATAGTAAGATGCATAGGCTGCTAGCAAGACTAATAAAGAAGAAAAGAGAGAAGATCCAAATAAACACAATTAGAAATCATGAAGGAGATGTTACCACTGAAGGCACAGAGATAAAAATAAACATGAGAAACTACTATGAAAACCTCTATGCAAACAAACTAGAAAACTAGAAGAGATTGATGAATTCCTGGATACATACACCCTCCCAAGACTGAACCAGGAAGAAATTGATTCCCTGAATAGACCAATAATGAATTCTGAATATGAATCAGTAATAAATAGCCTATCAACCAATAAAAGCACAGGACCTGATAGATTCACAGCCAAATTCTTCCAGATGTACAAAGAAGAGCTGGTACCATTCCTACTGAAACTATTTCAAAAAATTGAGGGAGAGTGACTCCTCCCTAAATCATTCTATGAGGCCAACATTATCCTGATACCAAAACCTGGCAGAGACACAGCAAATAAAGAAAATTTCAGGCCAGTTATCCTTGATGAACATTGATGACAAAATCCTCAACAAAATACTGGCAAACTGAATCCAGCAGCACATCATAAAGCTAATCCACCATGATCAAGTAGGCTTCATCCCCAGCATGCAAGGTTGGTTCAACGTATGCAAGTCAATAAGTGTAATTCATTACATAAACAGAACTAAGGACAAAAAATGCATAATCATCTCAATAGACGAGGCAGAATAGGCTTTTGATAAAATTCCATACCTCATCATGTTAAAACCTCTCAGTAAACTACATATTGAAGGAACATAGCTCAAAATAATAAGATCCATCTATGACAAACCCACGGCCAACATCATATTGAATGGGCAAAAGCTGGAAGCACTCCCTTTGAAAGGCACAAGAGAGGGAATGCCCTCTCGCACCACTCCTATTCAACATAGTGTTGGAAGTCCTAGCCAGAGCAATAAGATAAGAAAAAGAAGGCATCCAACTAGGAAGAGAGGAAGCCAAACTATCCCTGTTTACAGAAAACATAATTCTATATCTAGAAAACCCCATAATCTCAGGCTAGAATCTCCTTCAGCTGATAACTTCAGCAGTTTCAGGATACAAAATCAATGTACAAAAATCACCAGCATTCCTATACACCAACAGCGGTCAAGCTGAAAGCCAAATCTGGAATGCAATCCCACTCACAATTGCCACAAAAAGAATAAAATACATAGGAATAAAGCAAACCAGAGAGGTGAAAGATCTCTACAATGAGGATTACAAAACACTGCTCAAGGAGATCAGAAAAGATACGAACAAATGGAAAAACATTTCATGTTTATGGATAGGAAGAATTAATATCATTAAAATTACCATAGTGCCCAAAGCAATGTACAGATTCAATGCTATTCCTATCAAACTATCAATGACATTCTTCACAGAACTAGAAAAAATGATTTTAAAATTCATGTGGAACCAAAAAAGAGCCTGAATAACCAAGGCAATCCTAAGCAAAAAGAATAAAGCTGGAGGCATCCATGACCTGACTTCCAACTATACTATAGGGCTACAGTAACCAAAGCAGCATGGTACTGATACAAAAACAGGTACATAGACCAATGAACTGGAAAAGAGAACCCAGAAATAACACTGCACACCTATGACCATCTGATCTTCAACAAAGCTGGCAAAAACAAGCAATGGGGAAAAGACTCCCTATTCAATAAATGGTGCTGGAATAACTGGCTAGCCATATGCAGAATATTGAAGCTGTACTACTTCCTTACATCATATACAAAAATTAACTCAAGATAGATTAAAGACTTATATGTAAAATCCAAAACTATAAAAACTCTGGAAGACAACATAGGCAATATCATCCTGGACATAAGAATGGGCAAACATTTCATGACAGACACAAAAGCAATTGCAACAACAGCAAAAATTGACAAATGGGATCTAATTCAACTTTAGAGCTTCTGCACAGCAAAATAAACTATTAGCAGAGTAAACAGACAACCTACAGAATGGAAGAAAATATTTGCAAACCATACATCTGACAAACATCTAATATCACACATCTATAAGGAATTTAAACAAATTTACAAAAAAACACTATGTTAAATAGTGGACAAAGGACGTGAACAGACACTTTTCAAAAGAAGATGTACATGCAGCAAACAACCATATGAAAAAAAGCTCAATATCATTGATCATTAGAGAAATGCAAGTCAAAACCACCATGAGATACCATCTCACACCAGTCAGAATGGCTATTACTAAAAAGTCAAAAAATAACAGATACTGGTGAGATTATGGAGAAAGGGACCACTTATATGCTGTTGGTGGAAGTGTAAATTAGTTCAACCACTGTGGAAAGCAGTAAGGCAATTCATCAAAGAGGTAAAAGCATAACTACCATTTGACCCAGCAATCCCATTACTGGTTATATACCCAGAGGAAAATAAGTCATTCTACCATAAAGACACATGCATGAGAATGTTCATTGCAGTACTTCACAATAACAGAGACCTGGAATCAACCTAAATGCCCATCAATGACAGACTGGATAAGGCAAATGTGGTACATATGTACCATGGAATACTATGCAGCCATAAAAAAGAATGAGGTTATGTCTTTTGTGGGAACACGGATGGAGTTGAAGGCTGTCGTTCTTAGCAAACTACCTCAGGAACAGAAAACCAAATACCACATGTTCTCACTTATAAGTGGGAGCTAAATTATGAGAACACATGGGCACACAGTGGGGAACAATGGACACTGGGGCCTACTGGAGGGTATAGGGTGGGAGGAGGATCCCTCAATAGGATCAGAAAAAAATAACTATTGGGTACTAGGCTTAACACCTGGGTGATGAAATAACCTGTATAACAAACCCCCATGACACAAGTTTACCTATAGAACAAACCTTCACATGTACCCCAAACCTAAAATAAGTTAAAAAATAAAATAAAATAATTATTACATGATCCAGCAATCACACTTCTGAGTAATTATCCAAAACAATTGAAAACAGGGACTCAAAGAGATATTTACACACCTATGTTCATTGTAGCTTTATTCACAATAGCCAAGAGGTAAAATAAACCTAAATGTCCATCACCAGATGATTGGATTAACTAGATATGCATACAATGGAATATTATTCAGCCTTTAAATAGAGGAAACTCCTATTATATGCCACATCGAGGGGAAAACTTAATGTCATGTTAAGTGAAATAAGTCACAAAAACAGTTGACCTTTAAACAACACAAGTTTGAACTGCATAGGTCTATTTATACTTGAATTTTTTTTCAATAAAATTTACACTAAGTATGCCTGCCTCTCCTGTCTCTCCCACTTCCTTTACTTCTTCTGCCTCTCTGAGAAAGCAAGATCAGCCCCTCCCATTCCTCCTCCTCAGCTTTTTCAATGTGAAGACAATGAAGATAAAGACTTTTATGATGATCCTTTTCTACTTAATAAATTATAAATATATTTTCTCTTCCTTATGATTTTTTTGTTGTTTTTTAAAAATATTTATTTATTCTCTTTCCAACTTTTATTTTACATTCAAGAGGTACATGTGCAGATTTGTTACATGGGTAAATTATATGTCACAGGGGTTTGGTTTTATCACCTAGGTAATTGGCATAATACCCAATGGGCAGTTTTCAGTCCTCACCCTCCACCCTCAAATAGGGCCCAGTGTCTATTGTTCCCTATTGTGTCCATGTGTACTCAATGTTTAGCTCCCACTTACAAGTGAGAAAATGTAGTATTTGGTTTTCTGTTCCTCTGTTACTTCACTTAGGAGTATGGCCTCCAGTTCCATCCACGTAGCTGTGAAGGCCATAATCTCTCTTTTTTTTTAATAGCTGTGTTGTAATCCATGGTGTATACGTACCATATTTTCTTTATCCAGTCCACCAGTGATGGACATCTAGTTTGATTCCAAGTCTTTGCTATCGTGAATAGTGCTGAGATGAACATAACATACGTGTGCATGTGTCTAGAATGATTTATATTTCAGTGGGTATATACCCAGTAATGGGATCACCAGGTCAAATGGCAGTTCTATTTTAAGTTCTCTGAGAAATCTCCAGACTGCTTTCCACAGTGGCTAAAGTAATTAACATTCCCACCAGCAGTGTATAAGTGTTCCCTTTTGTCCACAAGCTCTCCAGCATCTGTTTTCGACTTTTTAGTAATAGCGATTCTGACTGGTGTGAGGTGGTATCTCACTGTGGTTTTGATTTGCATTTCCCTAAAAATTAGTGATATTGAGCATTTTTAAAATCTGCTGTTGGTTATGTGTGTGTCTTCTTTTGACAGGTGTCTGTTATTGCCCTTTTCCCATTTAAAAAAATGTATTTTAATAGTTTTTGGGTTATGGGTTGTTTTTGATTACATGGATAAGTTCTTTAGTGGTGATTTCTGAGATTTTGGTGCACCTGTCACCCAAGCAGTGTACACTGTACCCAATATATAGTCTTTTATCCTTCACCCTCCTCCCACCCTTCTTCCCAAGTCCGCAAAGTCCATTATATTATATCATCCTTATGCCTTTGCATCCTCATGGCTTGGCTCCCACTAATAAGTGAGAACATATGATGTTTTCCATTCCTGAGTTAACTTAGAATAATGGCCTCCAGCTCCATCCAAGTTGCTGCAAAAGTCATTATTTCATTTCATTTTGTGGCTGAGTAGTATTCCATGGTGTATACATACCACAATTCCTTTATCCATTTGTTGCCTGATGGGTATTTAGGTTGGTTCCACATTTTGGCAATTATGAATTTGGCTGCTATAAATGTATGTGCATGTGTCTTTTTCTTATAATGACTTCTTTTCCTTTGGGTAGATATGCAGTAGTGGAATTGCTGGATCAAATGGTAGTTCTACTTTTAGCTCTTTAAGGAATCTCCACACCATTTTCCATAGTGGTTTTACTAGTTTTCATTCTCATCAGCAGTATAAAAGTGTTACGTTTTCACCACATCCACGCCAACATCTATTTTTTTTTGTTTTTAAATTATGGTCATTCTTGCAGGAGTAAGATGGTATCTCACTGTGGTTTTAATTTGTATTTCCCTGATAATTAGTAATGTTGAGCATTTTTTCATATGTTTGTTGGCTGTTTGTATATCTTCTTTTGAGAATTGTCTATTCATGTCCTTTGCCCACTTTTTGATGGGATTATTTACTTTTTGTCTTGCATATTTGTTTGAGTTTCTTGCAGATTCCAGAGATTAGTTCTTTGTCAGATGTACAGTTTGCAATATTTTCTCCCAGTCTGTGGGTTGTCTGTTTACTCTGCTGATTATTTCTTTTGCTGTGCAGAAGTCTTTTCATTTAATTAGGTCCCATTTATTTATTTTTTATTTTGTTGCATTTGCTTTTGAGTTCTTAGTCATGAGTTCTTTCCCTAAGCCAATCTCTAGAACAGTTTTTCTGATGTTATGTTCTAGAATTCTTATGGTTTCAGGTATTAGAGTTAAGTCTTTGATCCATCTTGACTTGATTTCTGTATAAGGTGAGAGATGAGGATCCAGTTTCATCTACATGTGGCTTTCTAGTTTTCCCAGCACCATTTATTGAATAGGGCGTTCTTTCCCCACTTTACGTTTTGGTATGCTTTGTTGAAGATAAGTTGGCTTTATGTATTTGGCTCAACTCCTGGGTTCTCTATTCTTTTCCACTGGTCTATGTTTCTATTTTTATACCAGTACCATGCTCTTTTGGTAACTATAGCCTTGTAGTATAATTTGAAGTCAGATAATGTTATGCCTCCCGATTTGTTCTTTTTGCTTGATATTGCTTTGGCTATGTGGGCTCTTTTTTGGTTTCCATATGAATTGATTTTCCTAATAACATTTTCTTTTTTTTAGTCTACTTTATTGTAAGAATATTTCGTATAAAATACATGTTAATCAACTGTTTATGTTATTGGTAAGGCTTCTGGTCAACAGTAGGCTATTAGTGGTTACATTTTTGGGGAACTAAGTTATACACAGACTTTTGTGCAGGGAATTGGCACCCCTACATTGCTCAAGGGTCAGCTGTATCGTGTGATTCCACTTTTATAAGTTATCTAACATAGTCAAACTCTTAGAAACATGAAGTGGTGGTTGTCAGGGGCTGGGAGGAGATGGGAAAAGGAAAGTTGTTTTTCAATTAATATAGAATTTCAGTCTTGCAAGATGAAAAATATGTAGAGATCTGTTGCACAATAATGTGCATATAATTAACACTACTGTATTGTATATAAAAGTTTAAGATAGTAAATTGTATGTTGTATTTTTTACCACAATAAAAAAAATACTGGTAGAAAACCCTCCCTCATGAAAAGAAAAAATATATACATACACATATATACACATTATATATGTAGGTATGTGTGTGAGTTTCTTTATTGTACTTTTTTTTTCAAGTTTTCTTTGATGAGTATTCATTGTTTTCATAAAAAATAATTTGGAAATTTTAGTTCATGAGAGAAATTCTGTCCCAAAACCCTACTTCTTCCATGAAATTATCCTTGTTTAATATCATCCATCTCTTTTCAATTTTCTGCTGATTCCACACCTCTATACGTACTTTCACATTGGTTTTCAATATTTGTGGATATTCCCTATGTATGTTTCAGGATGGACTCCTTATTAGATTGAAAGCTCTTCAATAGGAAAAAATGTGTCTTCAAATTCTTCGATATTTTGTTGCTTACCTATAAACTACCTTTTTGTTGTGTGAATGCTCAGATTAGATTTCAGTGGGACAGCATTTCTCAAATTATGTATCATCGGGCTCTAGCTTCCGGGAGATGCTCCACAAATGAAGAGTTTCCTAAAGAAATAACTTTAGGAACACTTCAAGCTTTCTGTGCCTGTTTAGAATTTACAATGCATATAAGCATATTAAAGGCTCTGAAAAATCCTGCTGTAAATAAACCTGCTTAACTTACTTTAACTCAGCACTTCCCAAACAAATTTGATATAGAGCACTCTTTAAAAAGAAAAAAGAAAACCTATTGACTTCGGCTGCCTTCTGGAATACTTTGTAGAAAATCAATTATTGACCGGACATGGCGGCTCACGCCTGTAATCTCAGCGCTTTGGGAGGCTGAGGCTGGCAGATCACCTGAAGTCAGAAATTCAAGAATAGTCTGGCCAACATGGTGAAACCTCTACTAAAAATACAAAAATTAGCTGGGCATGATGGCAGGTGCCTGTAATCCCAGCTGCTTGGGAGGCTGATCCAGGAGAATCGCTTGAACCCAGGAGGCAGAGGTTGCAGTGAGCCGAGATCATGCCATTGCACTCCAGCCCATGTGATAGCGTAAGACTCTGTCAAAAAATAAATAAATAAATAATTTTTTTTTAAAAAAAGAAAATCAATTATTATCTCCTAGAAGACAGGAGCAGAGATTATATCTTATTCCTCTTTGTACTTGCCATATTGTAATGTTGTCTGACACATAATAGTGTTAAACAAAGTAAGTGCTTTTGTGTGAATAAAGAAGTACCAGAAAGTGAGCTTCTATGAAGCCCACAGTGATATGTGGTTAGATAGCTGTAGGCTAAGGACAGATTGATCAGGTTTTAAAAATACACTTAGCAATTGTTTAAACTGAGTCCACAAGAAGCTGGTCAATAGAAAAATACATGAAAATGTCCCAATTTCAGGATGAAGGCAAAATTATAGGCCTGGAAGATTAGCTAAGGACAGCACAGCTTACATGCCATGAACCACGTATGCACAGAACATTCAGACAACATGCAACATTTAAGATCACCTGGTCCAATTCTTCTCAAACATTTGCATTGACATATCTCTATTGGCCAAAGATAGTGAACACATACTTTGAGAGAGGTCTATAGGAGAAGTCTAGCTGGCCAAATACCAACAGGGAGTTTCATTGAAGTTTTATATTTTATTCCAAAAGAAAAAAATCAGTTATATAATTGTTCCATAATATTCCTGAGTTTAACATAAAAATAATATTTTACATGTATTGGTTGATTGGCACAGTACTTCTGTTGGAGATGCAAAGCCTATTCCAACTCCTCCATTTAACAGTGGGAAAACTAACATCCACAGAGAGAAAGTGACTTTTTCAGGATCACACAGCAAATCTCTGGCAAATCTCATCAGGCCTCCTGACTGCCAGTTCTGTCCTCTTTCACGGCTAGATGCAGCTCTCCCACCTCACAGAAGATTCACAAAATGGAAATTGATTCAGTAATTCACTCCTAGGTACCAATCCTAAAGAAATGATTGCAGACACAAAGAAAAATCCAAAGATGTTGTTTACATTAGCATTAAACTGGAAAGGCTCTAGATTTCTAATAATGGGAACATGGCTAAATAAAATCCATGTGATAGAATATTTTGGAACCATTAAAATGATGCTTATAGGGAGTTATATAGTATTAAATTTAAAAATATGAAAACAGGCTTTCCTACTCTGTAATATATATAATAACTACTATTTTTCTATCTCAAATACAATGCTCAAAATATTACAAGTGACCATTGTTGAGCAGTGGAGAAATGGATGATTTAAATTTTCTTATTTATACTTTTCTGTTTTTCACATTCTCAGCAATGAACATACAACTTTTATAATTAGAATTAAGTAGAGTATTATTTTAAATTTATTTGTAATTTAAAAAATATTTATGGGAAGATAAACACAATGCTTGGCTATTTTAGCTATCTGATGCTGAGTTTCTTTCCAGACCCTTCTTTCTCTGTCTGGAAGAGCTACCACAAGTTGCGTGTTGGTTGCACTGTTTTCACCCAAAGGTTCTGAGCCCACTGGTAAACTCTGGGAAGAAGATAATACAGAATGCTCTCCACAAATGTCTGAGCTGCCAGGATGAACCTTGGACAGAAATACCCTTGCATGTTTGGCTTTGTCCTGATGCTTCTCTTTTCCACCTTTCTTCCCTGTTCCCTTGTTGGATTTTTACTCTAGAAAGAGCTGGCATGCAAGTCGTGCCCAGCCTGTGAGCACCCGGGCAGTTCTTGCTCAATGTAGCATTTGTCAATGAGAAAACATCATCCTTGGAGGCTGCAGACACTTGTGTAATGCCATCAAATGAAGCTGGACTCTTGTTTCCAAAGGGGAGGAACACAGTATCCCGAAAGGAAAATGTCTTGAAATAAACCGGGATAACACATCATTCTAGCACAGTGGTTCTCAAACTCTTGAGTGTGGGTTAGAATAAAGTGGAGGGCTTGTGAAAACATCCAACTGGGTCCTACCCTCAGAGATTCTGATTCTGTATATGGAAATACAGCCAACTGGCTGGGGAGATGAAAATTTGCTTTCTGCCAAGTTCCCAAATAATGCTGATGTTGCTGGTCTGGGGGCCACTCTTTGAGAGCCACTGCTCAGGCAGAATCAAAGGCCTGTTTAAAACCAGGGAAAGGAGGGTCCCTGTGGCTGTGGACCTAAGGCTCTTAGCAGAGGAAACATTTGATTCATGAACTTCTTTCCTTTCTTTAGCCTAATCATTCTCTCCTTCTGTGCCTATTTAGGAGCTGTTCATTTGCTCATCCAGCAACTTAAAGAGCACCCAGAATACACTAGACAATAAAGACGGAGCAATTACCAGGACAGGTAAAGTCTAACTTCAGGGAGCCTCTAACCCAGTGGGAATGGTCAGAATTGATCCAATTCTGATGTGCATTTCCAGTGTTATTTGAGAATGTTCTACTCTATTACAGTAGATGTGAAACTCATGCAATGTGCTAACTGTAGATTACGAGTAAGCAAGCATCTTGTGAGACAGTCAGGATTCATAAGATAAGTAAATATAAGTAAGTAGAGCACATCAAGAGAAATCTGATATTCCTGAGGCACCAAATATTTGTGAAACGCTAAATATACATGAGGCATCTGAGGCATTTAATATACAGTGTTAATTTAGCCACCCTTGGTGAGACTCTGGCCCCATGTGTCCTCTGCCCAAGAAACACAAGTAAAACCCAAAGGTGCTCATCATGCTAGTTGGCCAAAGGTACTTGTTCCTGCATCTTCCATACAGCAGGTATATGGTCAGGGTTCCAGGTATCTTCCACTTTGAGGGGGCCTTAGTCAAATCTCAACTCTGGTCTTTTAACCATACCATCCATGTGAAAGGCTGAGGTGGCAGAGAGAGAAACAGAGCATGTGCACTTGGCTTAACCCAAGACTCCGGCGGTAGCGTGGTCCTTCCACCCTGCTTGCACCCATCCTTTATGTGTTATTCTGTCCCATCCCTTTCCCCTAACTTCTTGCTGTATGTTTTAAATTGGTTCAAACATTTTAGTTTTATCTGTGAGACCTTCTGTTCCATGACCTCTGGGATAGCTTGCCTTGTAATATACAGCATCGATGTAATTTCCTACAACACCCTAATAATCATGCAAACACATTACAAGCACATCTTACTACATTTTCTCTCTGCTTTTGGCATTCCCTCTACCCTTTACCACAGCTTAACCCTTAAGCTTGTCTTTGGAAATAGAATGGACACAAAACAGACCTGGGTAACAACTATCTGGCAGGCTTACTGCAAAAATCAGAATAAGTATGTATGAGTGTCTGGGGAAGGGTCTGGTTTGCAGTGTGTTCCCCACAAAAGTAGCTATTAGTATTACGCTTCTACCCTCTACAAGATAATACTGCCTTCTAAAAAACAATACAAAATCTTAAAAGCCTTCTTCAATTCTTAAAGGATTTTTTTACAAAGCGGTACTAAATTATGCGGCAAAGTCACATCATCTAATGAGCTTGGTCACAGCTTTATTTCTGTTTCTTTCCCCAGAACACAGGGTCTCCCTCACTCTCTATTTTAAGGGACTGTTTCTCACATTGCTTGGGTATAATTACGCTGCAACTCACAAAACAAAGACCATGTCTGGGGTTCATCCATTGACACTATCACTTTGTCCCCTGCTTGCAACTCCTATCACTTAATGACAAACATCATATATTTCTTCTGTAAAATCAATGCTTTGTAATTCATCAGCCCCCAACGAAACAAGCCCCCTTCTCATTTACCGAGAAATCATGGGAACCCCCTTCCTATTTGAAACATTCTATAGCACTGGCTTCCATGAACTCCACAAAACAGCTGTCTGTATCAAGACAGGAAAAGCTGGGACACATTTAATAAGGTTTTGTTCGGGATTTTTAAAATGCAGCCTGGAGGGATCTCCCTTCTGCTAGAGCTGAGAAATTAAGCTGCAGAACCCGGCTGAAAGCAGCCATTCAGAGGAGCAGCTGAAAGTTATTTCACCATGAAGCCGGCCTTGGCTGGCCTCCGACACTCCATATGGTTGCAACTCTGGCCTCCAGGAAGCCCCCAGATCATTCTCTCCCCTTGGTTTGCATTGTTTATAATCCCAGCATGTGTGTTTGAAAGGCAGTTATACAGAAAAGATGCCTCACTCTGAGTTTTTTTCCCTATTAACTTTTAAGTGAATAATCCACTGAACTGTAATTTAATATTTCTTCCATGTATGTATTCTCTGTTCATCTAAGTTGTAAGACAATTAAACATGACTTGAACCAAGAAGGACTCAAGGAAGCAAATGAAGTTGTTACCCTCAAGGGGCTAAGGTGTGAAAAATATGTATACCATCTTAGTCAGTTTGGGCTGCTATAACAAACTACTATAGACTAGGCAGCTTATTAACAATAGACATGTATTTCTCACAGTTCGAAAGGCTGGCAGTCTGAGATAAGGGTGGAGCATGGTTGGGTTGTGGTGAGGGGTCTCCCTTCTGGGCTGCAGACAGCTGACTTGTTCCTGTGTCCTCACATGGCAGAAAGAGGGCTAGTGAGCTCTCTGGAGTCTCTTGGATAAGGGCACTAATCCCATTCATGAGGGCTCCACTGCCATGATGCAATTTCCTCTCAAGGCCGCACTTCCTATATCATCACCTTGAGGGTTAGGATTTTGACATATGAATTTGGGGAGGACACATTCAGTCCATAACATCTATCTCTCTGTGCACTCTAGAGGCCTTAGAAACACCAAGTCCACCTTCATTCCCCAGCTCTCCATTCTGCTTCCCTAGAAAGCTGCACACAGACTTCTCCTTCGGCCCCAAAGCCAAAGCTTTTATGCATAAGAGGTCAGCTCTGTGACCGCATCAGACCCCACAGAAACAAGGCAGTTTCTCTCCTGGCTCAGCCCATGTGAAAGGCACCCTGCTAGCCAAATGCCAATATCATGAATTTGCTTAGAGTGAGAATCTGCTGTCGCTTTTTACCACTTGATGGAAAAGCAGAGAAATTTTATTCCTCCTTCCCTGCTGAGCTCAAGAGTAAGGTTCATGCTGTCCAACAGAAATATAATACAAGCCACAAATGCTTGCCATCTTCAGACATATGCAATTTAAGATATGTTAGTAGCCACATTTAAAACAAGAATTGTAATAATAAATTTTATTTAACCCAATATATCCCCATTCTATCATTTCAACATGTAATCAATATAAAAATTATTAATAAAAAATTAAATTATCTTTTTATAGTAAATCTTCAAAGCCTACTGTGCATTTTGTATTTACAGCACATCTCAATTTGAACTGGTCCCATTTCAAGGGCTCAATTGCCACATGTGACCAGTGGCTACAATATGGGACTATGCAGGTTTAGAGGCTCAAAAACAAAGTGAGTGGCATAAAGAGAACCTCTGAGTGAGAAATTTCCATGGAAATCACATGCTGTTTCACATTTTTGGGAATTTCCTTCTGTCTGATGAGTGCTGCTGAAGAACACTTCCTCTGGGATGAGGCTCACCTGTATCTGTACCAGGAAAGCTTCCTTCTTTACCTGCTCCCTCTACTCCAGAGCATTGCTATACCCACTCTCTGTGCACACAGATCCTCTGGTGCTGATTCAATAGATCTAGAGTCTCCCCTCCTCATTCCTCTCCAATCATGCCCTTCTAATAAGCTCCCTAGTGACTCTGCTCCTGCTGGTCCTTGAACCCCACTTTGAATAGTGAGGTGCTGGATACTGATGCTCTCCAGAGCTGTGCACATTTGATCCAATGGAGGCAGTAGATGTCATGGTGGGAAGAATGTGAACTTGTACTCACACCACCAGGGCATAAGCTTCAGTCCACCATGTGCTAGCTGTGAGCTGGGCAAGCTACTCAACCTCTCTAGGCCTCAGCCTCCTTTTCTATTAAAATGGAGGTAATAGTAGGGCTACCACATTGGGTGGTGCTAGCACATAAGAAATGGTCAGCAAATCTCAGACATTTTAGCTTTACGACATTCAATTCAGCCTAAATTCAGACATTGAGGAAAGGAAGGAATTACATTTTCTTGATTTAAACAGAAATGTGTCTAGCTTAATCACTTCCTGAAGGAAGCCTTCCCTAAATGTCTAGTTTGAAGTAGATGTACAGCCATGCATTGTTTAATGGTGGGGATATGTTCTGATAAATGTGTCATTAAGCAATTTTGTCGTTGTGCAAATATCATAGGATGTACTTACCAAACCTGGATGGTATAGCCTACTACACATCTAAGCTAATAGTTTTGCTCCGAGGCAATAAACCTGCACAGCATGTGAGTGTACTAAATACTATAGGCAATTGTAACTCAGTAAGTATTTGTGCATCTAAACATGTTTAAACATAGAAAAGACAAAGTAAAAATATGATATAAAAGATAAAATAGGATAGAACTGTGTAGGGCACTTACCGTGAATGGAGCTTGCAACACTGGAAGTTGCTCTGGGTCAGGCAGTGAGTGAGTGGTGAGTGAATGTGAAGGCTAGGACAGTACCGCACACTAGTGCAGACCTTATAAACACTGTACACTTAGGCAACACTAAATTTATAAGAAGATTTTTTTCTTTCTTCAATAATAAATTAAACTTAGCTTACTGTAAATTTTTTACTTTATAAATTTTTCAACTTTTAAAAACTTTTTGACTTTTGTAATAACGCTTAGCATAAAACACAAACACATTGTATAGCTGTCCAAAAGTATTTTGATATCCTTATTCTATAAGCTTTTTTCCATTTTTAAATCTTTTTTTACTTTTAAAACTTTTTTGTTAAAACTAAAACACATTAGTCTAGGCCTACATAGGGGCAGGATCATCAGTATCACTGTCTTCCCCTTCCACATCAGGTCTCACTGGAAGGTCTTCAGGGACAATAACACTCATGGAGCTGTCATCTCCTAGGACAACAATGCCTTCTTCTGAGGGACACCTGCCTAAGGCTGTTTTACAGTTAACTTAAAAAAAATAAGTAAAAGTAGTATCATCCAAAATAATGACAAAAAGCATAGTCTAGTAAATATATAAACCAGTAAGATAGTCATTTGTTATCATTATGAAACATTATGTAACTGGTAAAGCGGTAGGTTTTTTTACACCAGCATCACCACAGACACATGAGTAATGTGTTGTGCTGTAATGTGACAGCTATGATAGCACTGGTTGATAAGAATTTTTCAGCCTCGTTATAACCTTATGGGACCACTATTGTATATGCAGTCCGTCATTCACTGAAACATAATTATGTGCATGACTGTGGATGCATCCCCTATTCTCAGATGTGTATATCTCCAGCATAGCCTTTATCACAAATTACCAGTCTTAGTCCATTTGGGCTGCTGTAACAGATTACTATAGACCAAGTGACTTATAAACCACATATATTTGCTTCTTACAGTTCTGGGGGCTGAGATGTCCAAGATCAAGATGCTGGCAGATTTGGTGTCTGGTGGCAGCCCATTTCCTGGCTCATAGGTGGAGCCTTCTCACTGTGTCCTCACAAGGTGGAAGGAGAGAGGTGCCTCTCTGGGGCCTCTTTTATAAGGTTGCTAATTCCATTCATGAGGGCTCTGCCCTTATGATCTAATTACCTCTCCAAAGGCCTCACTACCTAATACCATTGTCTTGGGGGTTAGGATTTCAACATACACATTTTAGGGGGACACAACATTCAGACCATAGCAGTACTATAATTACTAACTTATTTCTCTGTCTCCCCCATAGGAATTTCAGTAGTTTGAAGGCAGCAAGGGCAGCATCTCACTCATTGCTTTCTTATTGCTGGAGAGCCAATGATGGCTTGGCTGCGTAACAATCACTTGGGGAATTTGTTAATGATATCGATTCGTAGGCTCCACCTCCAGATAGTCTGGTTCAGTGGGTCTCATTTGGACCCAGAAATCCATATTTTTTAAAAAAGTACTTCAGAGATTCTGCTGCATAGCCAGGTTTGGAAACCAGTGGATTTTTCCTCTTTGTATCCGTGGTACCCACCAGTGCCTGGCATGTAGTCAGATCCAAACAAAATGTTTGCTGAATGAACACATCAGCCTTTCCATTGATACAGCAAGTCATAATCTCCAAAGGGCTTGCTTATATATAATCTTATCTGCAGGGGTGGATCAGGTTTTGTGGAATCCAACCCTTAGCCAATCTGAGGAGCCTCCTTAAAAAAGAAATACAAAATTAGAAGTGAACATTAATATTTATTTAAAATGAAAAAAATCACAACAAATTACAAACTGAAAAAATGACAAATGCTACATTACAAAAACCACTTACTACCTTTACTAATTAATTGCCTGATATGCCTCTATAGTACTTTTTAGCTTTTTTTTTTTGGAAAGGGAGGAAATACTATTTTATCACCTCTTTATGTATTAATGATTTTATTATGTTATTGATAACAAAATTTTCAGTAGAGAAATAATGACATTTAGTTATTTCTCTAACATAGTTCATCACATTTTGTTTCCCTTAAAATCTGTAGTTTTTTACACACTTGCTATTTGTAGTATTTCTACTAGTGTGTGTTCTACAAACACAGAAATCTTAAAAATTATATTTCTTGTAACTGCCCTAAAAATATGTGTGGATAATGTGTATTTGTGTATTCTCCATTATCAAGTATAATCCTAGCAGAATCTTTCTTAACTAGGTGTTGATGAACTGAATTACCCAATCACAACATCATACAGCAGTGATTAGAATTTTCCACAAACCACCTTCTGGCTGCAAATAGTCCAAACCTTGTTTTTCCTCTTCTACCCACATATTTCCAGTGTCGGGGCTGTAGCAGGCCTCATATCACAGTGTGGCTTCTGTCCCACACCTTTGGGTCACAACACCACATGAGTCAACACAGTGACTACTATGGGGTAGTAGGATGATCCTTGGAAGCCTTTTTTAAACTGGAACAACTTGCAATAACTTTACCGTATCTGAAAATGACTGACAAATCTAATGATTCCATTACACCCAAACTAAATGTATCTCCAACTCAGCTTTCTCTAAGCTGGATTCTCAAAATGCCTTTGTCCAGTCCATTAACAACCAACACAAGGGGAAATACAATAAAGGGAAATACAAACTGGAAAGAAGCAGCAGTCTTAAACAATAGCTGTTAAAATCTTACTTTTGCAATGTAATTTAAAGATATGACCATGTGAACACATTGCCTGAACTCCTCCCAGGGTCGTGTAAGGGACTTATGCACGTAAAGGTCTCAATACCAAGCTCAGAGAGCTTCACAGTCAATCTACCTCTGCCCATTTGATCCTCACAATCCCCACATTAGACAGAGTTCCCTGGTTGTGTGCAACAGAAAAAACTCTGGGTCAGCAGGAAGGCATTTACTGGAAACATATCAGTCCCCAGAACAGAAGGAAAAGCTGAAAAAACATTTCTCTGAAAGCAGCTCTTGGATCCAGGAAGCGAAAACACATCAGTGGGCTTTTCAGATTTTCCCCCTTAGGATAAGTGGGATTCAAATGTTTTTCAGCCACTGCTTCAATAGTTCAAAAATGTGATTCCAGGGACATAATAAGCATGGCTCATGGGCCCACCCCCTTGTCCAGGGAGGAGATGGGTGGCTTAATTGACATTTCCACCAAGACTGGGTCCAATGGGAAGAGGCCTGGTTACCCAACACTGGATCAGGTGCTGCTATCAGAATAAGGGGAACATGGAGCCAGCCTCTCACTCGGAGATAGTGAAGCCCACAGTCTTCTCTGCTATGAGAAGCTCATCAGCCAAAAAGCCTAATCAAAACTGAGTGTGTGCCAGCCGGCAGCATTGCTCCCTCCAGGTGGTTCTCAGTAAGGAGTCTTGTAATAGGAGGTCTAAGTCATAATGACATTTGCTTTCTGCAGCTAGGAGTTGCCTAAGCTCCTTGAAGCATGGCAGAGCTAACAGGGAGAGCCCTGGGATAAAAATCTTGCCAGGAGTTCCCACAGCTGGACCCAAACTAATGCTTTTTCCAAGTGCAGAACAGCAAAATCTGAGTTGTGGCTATCATTGGCAATGGTTGTCAAACAACAGCATGCACTAGAGTCCCTGGAAGGGCTTCTTATGATGCCGATTGCTGTGCCCCATGACTTCAGCAGGTCTAGGGTGGGATTTCAGACTCTGCATGTTTAACATGCTCCCAGAGGATGCTGAAGATGCTGGTCTGAGGACCACATCTTGGAACCTACTGGTTTTAGAGGCTTCTCTGTCTTCTCCACATGATTACTGCTAGGGATTCCACACCCTCTACCTGGCTCAGCTATCAAGGAGAAGCTTTCAAGGTTGGCATCAAAGGATAAGCAGCATATCAAGTCATCCAACAACTGATCACTGGCTTTAAGACACGGCGTATAAGCTTCTGTACACACCAGGGGTTCTCATTTTGGACCAGATAATTCTTTCACGTGAGCGGTGTCCTGTGCACTGTAGAATGTTTAGAAGCATCTCTGGCCTCTACCCTCTAGATGCCAGTAGTATCCTGTCCCTCTACCCATGGCCAGCTGTGACAATCAAAACTGTCTCTAGACATTGCCAAATGTCACTTGGGGAGAGGGGGGAGCAAAATTGCCTCCAGTTGAGAACCACTAAGATATATGAAAACCACTAATATGTATGAGAACATGCTTCTGCAGCATGAGTGGCTTCTAGGGGAGAGCATTCAAGATTTCTCCAGCTGGGCTCTATGCAGTCCCCTAGAGCAAACTGTAAGTTGACATAAATCATAATGATGCCTTTCCTTTGGCGCACACATTTTTAGGGCTATTTCACTTACTCAAGTTCTTCTGATTCCTGACCTGTGTGATTGGTACAACAAATATTACCATCTTCCCCATTTTAAGAATCTCATGGTTTGCTGACTGAGTGAGCTAGCCAGGCGCTCTGTTGTCTCTCTAAAACTCAGAAAGTCTCAAAGAGGTTTCAGATTTGCCCAAGTTTACACAGATAATAAATCTCGGAAAATGACCAGAATACATGCCTTCTAATTTCTAGGCTGATGATTTGTCCATCACATGATGCAATCTGCATTCATTCTATAAACATTTCATAAATAGCACCAGGTAACAGATTTTCATAATTTTTGATGGTCAAAAAGTCAGAAAAGACATGAAAACATTTGTTTGTACAGATGGTGGGCTTTGAAAATCCCAACCAGGGCCAATGAAATCTATGCATTACGGGTTAGTTGTTGTTGTTGTTGTTGTTTTGAGACAGAGTCTCACTCTGTAGTCCAGGCTGGAGCACAGTGGTGAGATCCTGGTTCACTGCAACCTCTGTCTCCTGGGTTCAAGTGATTCTCCTGCCTCAGCCTCCTGAGTAGCTGGGATTACAGGCACCCACCACCATGCCCTGCTAATTGTTGTATTTTTACTAGAGACGGGGTTTCACCATGTTGGCCAGGCTGGTCTCGAACTCCTGACCTCAGGTGATCTGCCCACCTCGGCCTCCCAAAGTGTTGGGATTACAGGTGTGAGCCACCATGCCCAGCCTGTGGCTTAGTTCTAAAGCTCCTCCTAAGGACAAGTTGATAGCCATGGAGACTTCTTGGTATATAGGATCAGGTAAACCTAAAGTTCCCTCGGAAATGTACCTGATCAAGCCAATGAGATTCTTCTGATGGCTAGTCTAGGCCCTGTAGCCATAAGCAGAGCAGGGACACCTTGTCTCAGATTTATCCAAGTTACCTCTACCCTTTCTAATATGTCAAATAATATTTTCAGTGGATAACATCCAGGCCTAAGTCACCACCTATGTAACAATCTCTCTCTCTCTCTCTCTCTCTCACTCTCACCCTGAATTTATTCCAGAGAGGAGTTGAAGCCAAAGCTCATAGTGAAACATCAAGCCACATAGAGAGTTCAATAAATGCTAGAAATTCAGGGTTAAGGCATCTCCACATGTACACAGTATATTGCCACCTCCCATCGTATCTACCAGCTTGCACTGCAGTGTGTGACTCTGGTTTGTTGGAATGAGTGGTTGGGCAAAGACAAACCCCCAGGGGCAACATGTATCCACATGAAATATTTTTCCTATTACTTTAATTTAGCCTCCCTGCCTTTCTAATTTCCTTGTTTACTGTCCTAAAGAGAAAGCAATATCCCCTTGAGTTTGAGCATACAACATGTCAAGAAACTACAGACAAGAACAAACCCAGGAAATTAAGAAGATAGCCCAGTAAAATGTAAGTATGGGAAACAACCCATAGCCTTTATGTTTTTATGCTAATTTGAAAGCATCCCTAGTAAGGGGGTGTGTGTGTGTGTGTGTGACCATTATCAGGGTCTTACTAGTGAGAAGACTAATAAATGCAACACAATTTGTCCGGTTTTCAAAGCTGGTTGTCATTTATGTCTTCTGCCTCTTAGGCTCAAAAAAACCTTTCAATATGAAGTTAACATGGTTGAGGGTTGCTGAGTGAGCCAGCAGGGCTATCCCAGAGAGGGCAACGGACTTCACTCAGTGAGATCAAAACAGAGTTCTTGGCTGGAAAGAACCCCCTAAATAAGCCTTAAAGTAAACTAATAATGAAAGCTTGGATTCCGCCAATCCCACCCTCCCTCTCAGTGTGAGATCGTCACAACGTTCCAGCATGCTGTTGGAGGCTCTGGTGATGCCAGGCAGATGGAGTTACAAAAATAATCGCCCAGCCAGAATGCTCACTGCCATGTGGCAATGAATTCATGTCATGACTGCACATGCCCGAGTGATTTCACCATCCAAACAAGATGAAGTTACTCTAATGGCTCCCACTAGCTCCATATGGCCTCTCGATGTTCTATTCCCTGCAGTGGGATTTTCTTTGGTCTTATTTCTTGCTGTGAAATTTATTAAGAGGAAGAAAGGGAATAATAATGAAACACAAAACCCTTACTTACCCGAGTCTGTCTGAAGAAAAGGAAATTCTATGGAAAATATATGGAAAGAAAGACCAAATGAAACTGTAGCACCTTTTCAGTCTTTGACCACATCTTCAATAAAATAAGAACTTCTTGAACTAAAATTTTATGACTCTATTTTGTTCTGGGTATATTGTGTGTTTCCGTTAATACTTTTGAAGATGGTTGTGTCAACATGTATAGAGATTTGGGGTAATTAATAATATCAATTTCATAAAAAATATTCAAATAATTGAATAGAAAGTTAAAAGCATGGGTATTGGGTTATCTGTTTGTTACTTTCTAGCTGTGGAAGCTTGGGCAAATTACTTAACAGCTCCACTTCATTTTTCTCATCTTTAAACTAGCCATAAAAATGATAGTCTTGTTGAGTTTTATGAAAATTCTATATGTAAAGGGAAAACTAAAGCATGTTATCAAAAGTTGGTGAAAAAAAGTAGGGATGTAGAGTTATAAAGGTAACTATTAGAAACTAAAATTGTTAGTATAAACATCAAGCTTTAGGAGGGCAGGAGGAAGAGGTATAGTGTGTGAGAACTTAATCCTCATTTTTTTATTGAAAAATTAACAAAATGTCATTTGTAGGTGATAGGTTTAAAAATGGAAATTATATAAATATTAACTAAATTTAGTGCAAACTACCAGAAAAGCAAAGGACAGCAATGTTAAAGGTTGATTCTGGGGAGTGGGGCAGGGATGAGTGAGTGTTGTATGCACGACTATTACTTTTTATCATAGTCTCTTCCGTATTCTTTGATTTGCTTCCAAATGCAAATATATGCTTCTATTTAATAAAAAATAAAGCATCTTAAAATTAATAAGAATTAAAAACATAAAGGTTTACATTAAAATAATACTGTGAAAAAATTAACAAATTGTTTCTTTCTTTTTTTACAAGTCTAATATTTTATTAATTGTACAATATAAGAAAACTTTTCAATCATTTTTGATGTGTTATAATTAACCATAGCACATAATTTAAAATATTAATCGAATATGAGGGAAAATACTTCCATCAGATATACATCCACTTATTGACTACCATTTGATGTCTAGGGAGACATATTTCTTCAGATCTATTTTGAAGCATATTTAATATACATTGATTCAGGGAAGCACAAATATAACTATTTCAGTAAACGTAATACACATAGTTATGCAACATTATCTTAAAAAATTGTCTTTTTCTCTAGGCAAGAGAAACTTTTCCAATTATCCTTTAAATTTATAGTCTTAAAACAAGACAAAGTGTTTATTATCTAATGTTGTAATAGTACAGGTATATTATAGGTACATGAGTAGGAGGATGTGATCTGGAACCAGGCTGCATAGCTTCAAAACTTAGCCCCCTATGTGTTTCTGAACAAGCTATTTAGACTCTCTTAGAAACAGTTTTCTTTTCTGTAAAATGAAAATAATATTGACTACCTAATAGAGTTTTCATGAGAATTAAATATATTTAATACCTGAAAGCTCCTAAAACATTGCCTCTCCCTATGCCATTGGCAAGTATCAATAAATGTTAGCTATTATTATTACTACCCACTATTTTCAGCAAAATTTATTTTTTTATTTTTTTAAATTATACTTTAAGTTCTAGGGTACATGTGCACAACGTACATGTTTGTTACATATGTATACATGTGCCTTGTTGGTTTGCTGCACCCATTAACTCGTCATTTACATTAGATATTTCTCCTAATGCTGTCCCTCCCCTATCTCCTCACCCTACAACAGGCCCCAATGTGTTATGTTCCCCGCCCTGTGTCCCAGTGTTCTGATTTTTCTTTTCTTTTTTTTTTTTAAGTTTTTTTTTTTCTTTTATTATTATACTTTAAGTTTTAGGGTACATGTGCACAATGTGCAGGTTAGTTACATATGTATACATGTGCCATGCTGGTGTGCTGCACCCACTAACTTGTCATCTAGCATTAGGTATATCTCCCAATGCTATCCCTCCCCCCTCCCCCCACCCCACAACAGTCCCCAGAGTGTGATGTTCCCCTTCCTGTGTCCATGTGATCTCATTGTTCCGTTCCCACCTATGAGTGAGAATATGCGGTGTTTGGTTTTTTGTTCTTGCAATAGTTTACTGAGAATGATGATTTCTAATTTCATCCATGTCCCTACAAAGGACAAGAACTCATCATTTTTTATGGCTGCATAGTATTCCATGGTGGATATGTGCCACATTTTCTTAATCCAGTCTATCATTGTTGGACATTTGGGTTGGTTCCAAGTCTTTGCTATTGTGAATAGTGCCGCAATAAACATACATGTGCATGTGTCTTTATAGCAGCATGGTTTATAGTCCTTTGGGTATATACCCAGTAATGGGATGGCTGGGTCAAATGGTATTTCAAGTTCTAGATCCCTGAGGAATCGCCACACTGACTTCCACAATGGTTGAACTAGTTTACAGTAACACCAACAGTGTAAAAGTGTTCCTATTTCTCCACATCCTCTCCAGCACCTGTTGTTTCCTGACTTTTTAATGATTGCCATTCTAACTGGTGTGAGATGGTATCTCATTGTGGTTTTGATTTGCATTTCTCTGATGGCCAGTGATGATGAGCATTTTCTCATGTGTTTTTTGGCTGCATAAATGTCTTCTTTTGAGAAGTGTCTGTTCATGTCCTTTGCCCACTTGTTGATGGGGTTGTTTGTTTTTTTCTTGTAAATTTGCAATTGCCACCTATGAGTGAGAACATGCGGTGTTTAGTTTTCTGTCATTGCAATAGTTCGCTCAGAATAACGGTTTCCAGCTTCATCCATGTCGCTAAAAAGGACATGAATTAATCTTTTTTATGGCTGCATAGTATTCCATGGTGTATATGTGCCACATTTTCTTAATCCAGTCTATCACTGATGGACATTTGGGTTGGTTCCAAGTATTTGCTATGGTGAATAGTGCCACAATAAACATATGTGTGCATGTGTCTTTATAGTAGCATGATTTATAATCCTTTGGGTATATACCCAGTAATGGGATCGCTGGGTCAAATGGTATTTCTAGCTCTAGATCCTTGAGGAACCGCCACACTGTCTTCCACAATGGTTGAACTAGTTTACACTCCCACCAACAGTGTAAAACCATTCTTATTTCTCCACATCCTTTCCAGCACCTGTTGTTTCCTGACTTTTTAATGATTGCCATTCTAACTGTTGTGAGATGGTATCTCATTGTGGTTTTCATTTACATTTCTCTGATGACCAGTAGTCCTAAGCTGAGCCAGAGTACATGGGGACTCTAAACGCTCACCCTTCCAACATTCACCCTGTGTGCAGTTTCTGTGGGTACCTGGGGTGAGAAGCCAGCTTAGTATGTGTGCCCCAGGCCTATACCCTGGGAACAGAGAAGACAAAAAAATCTAGAAGATATTTCTCTGGAGTAATTTCTGGGCCATTTTGGGATCCACATATAATAGCTGAATGGGAAATGAGGGAAGGGGCATGCTGCCATTGCTTTGAGGAATTCCGTAAGGCCCCAGCTCAGGAAGCGCCAGAGCCTGGAGGAGGATTGTAATGGGGTGGGGGGCAGGATTTACTGTTTGGTGAGCAGTGGAAGTTACACTCTAAAGTGGGAAAGTGATGCTCCCATGGAGGGTAGAACCACAGTGGCACGTTCCGGAGGGCTCACAGGCCACAGTTGGGTACATGGGACACAGCCCTGCATTACCTGAAATATTTGGGACAACTTTAAGGGTGGTGTTGAAGTTCTGAAGGTTTGTAGATAGGGCTCTGAAATAACAAAATTTAAGAAACCGTTTTAACATGACCCCATTAGTGTCCAGAGGCCTGATGAAAGGTGTATTTCATAAGTACTCCTGACTGAGATAATTATGGAAGCTGAAGCTTGTTCTTCATCCTTCCAACTACAGATGGATTTATATCATCTAATGATGGTTTAAGAGTGCACCTGCCTAGAGACGTTGCTGGACAATAACTTCCCAAATTCACTAATAGTTTCTGTTACTATAATTATGTGGCAACTTCTCCTTTTAAAATGTCTCACAGCCTGTCTTTAAAATGTTGTTGGCTGGGCATGGTGGCTCATGCCTGTAATCTTAGCACTTTGGGAAGCTGAGGCAGGTGGATCATGAGGTCAAGAGATCAAGATCATCCTGGCCAGCATGGTGAAACCCCATATCTACTAAAAATACAAAAATTAGCTGGGCATGGTGGCGTGTGCCTGTAGTCCCAGTTACTCAGGAGGCTGAGGCAGGAAAATCACTTGAACCCAGCCATGAGGCAGAGGTTGTAGTGAGCCGAGATCATGCCACTGCACTCCAGCCTGGCAACAGAGCAAGACTCTGTCTCAAAAAAAAAAAATAAAAATAAAATAAAACAAAATAAAATATTATTGTTCCTGTGTGTGTTAAGTATAAAATGTTTGACAATTATCCAGTCAATAATTGTAGTAAAACTATATATATATATATAACTAATAATTATAGTAAGGCTATACATATCAAGAATCCACAATGCATGCCTACATTTTAAACGTCTTAAAATATGACCTAAACTTTGAATTGCCCTATATATTTATCAAAGTACTCGGGGAATTCTAACAAAATATTTGTTAAGGCAGAAAAGCTATAGTATGTCATTTCAGGAGATGAGAAATCTGATCCCATTGATAGAAAATATTATAAATTGCATTTTAAATTTCTTAATACCTATTAAAAATAAGGAAGTTATGCTTATTTTATTATTATCATTTGGATATATGACAAATTCCCTCAGAGATATGCAGATCAAGTTTGAAGTATATATATTTCAGAAAAAATAAGATTATGTGGCCTTAAGTAAGTTATTTAACCTGTCTTAGCCCCAGTTACCTAAACTAGGCATTCATTTATTCATTTATTTGTTCATTCAACAGATATTGATTGGTTCCTACTGTGTGCTGAGGACTATTTTGAGTATCCTCAGTGAGTACTGAGTACTGAGGATATACTGAGTACTGATGATACAGTCTTTCAAGAAAGACAAGCTCCTTACTCTCATGGAGTTGACATTTCCAATAGGAAAGAGAGACAATTAAAATATTGAAAATTCAATAAATCAAAAATAATGCCTGCTATTGAATAATACTAATAGCTCTTTCTGGCATCCAGATCACAGCTAAAATGTCACCCCCTTAGAAGAACTCCTTGTCCATTCAATCCTTCCCTTTGTATTTAATCTAACTACATTTGACTCAATACAAATAGAAGGATTGAATGACAAGAAAAAGCAAGCCATGAAAATGTTAGGGGAAGAGCATTTGAAATGGAGAGAATTAAATCTACAAAGCTACTTCAATGGAGGAGAGCTTGGTGTGTTCAAGAATGAAAGAAAAATTCTGCCTGGCTGGAGCCTGATAAGGAGAGAAGAGTGTGGTGCTGGAGTTGGCTGGCTGGATAGGTAGATAAAGGAGAATTTGAAAGACTATGATAAAAGAAATTAATTAATTTAAAAAATAAAACCATTAGAGGCTTTATTCTGAATGTCATGGAAAGTTTACATTGTGTAACAAATTAAAGATTGCTGCAAAAGATTTGATGTTTGTCACAAAGCCATTTCTTAATCTTATCATCCTTTGCCATTAGAAGAAGCTGAGAATTTTCAGAACCTCCAAGTCCAGGCTCCTTTTGTTTAAAAGTCCTTCTTTAATCTTATCTCTTTCCTCTTGCTTTTTAATGTAAGCAGGAAGAAGAAATCGGGAGTCACTTTCAACACTCTGCTTGCAAATCTGTCTTAACTAGGAAACCTAGCCCATTAGGCACATTTTCTGCTTTCTACATTATCAGCCAGGCATGATGGCTCACACCTATAGTCGTAGCACTTTGGGAGGCCAAGGCGGGAAGGTCACTTGAGCTTAGGAGTTCGAGGTTACGGTGAGCTATGATTCCACCACTGTACTCCAGCCTGGGTGACAGATACATTAGCACAGTTTAGTGTTGCTAAACTTTCTGTCCCTATATGCAAAGATGATCCTCTGTCCTCTAACTTCCCATACCATTTTCTTGTTGAGTCTTCACCAGTACCTCTTTGAAAGCCATTGGGCTTCTGCTAACAGTCAAAACACCTTACGCTTTCACTAACACACTTTCTTAAAAGTTCTTTCTACTTCCACCCACTGCTGGATTCCAAAGCTACTCCCACAGTTTAAGTTTTTGTTATGGTAGCACCCAGTGTTCAGGTACTAACATCTATATTGCCATGTAACAAATTGTCCCAAAACTTAGAGGCATAAAGCAACAATTATTTTTAATTTCTGAGAGTCAGGATCCTGGGAATAGTTTAGCTGGGTGGTGTTACCTTGAGTAACTCATGAAGTTTTAATCGAGGTGTTAGCTAGTAGGGTGGTAGTCATCTGAAAGCTTGACTGAAACTAAAGTATCCAATTCCAAGATGTTTCATGTAAATAGCTGGCAAGTCTGTGTTGCTGGTTCACCATGATTGGTTGTCATGCAGCCCTCTCCATAGGGCTGCTTGAGTGTCATGACCTGACAGCTAGCTTCTTTCAGAGTGTGTGACATAGGAAGACCAAGACTAAAGTCACAATGTCTTTAATGTTTGAGCACTGAAATTTTCACATAATGAGTTCTATGATATCCTAGTGTTTGTACAGTTCCAACCCATTGAGGGCAGGATGGGAATACACAAGGGCATGAATACAAGGAGGCAGATATTGGGATCATCTTTTTTTTAAGATTCAGGGGGTTCGTATGGAGGTGTGTTACATGAATATATTGCATAATGGTGAGGTTTGGGTTTCTAGTGTACCCATCACTCAAATAGTAAACATTGTTCCCAATAGATAATTTTCCAACCATCACCCCACTTCCATTCTGTTCCCTTTTGAAGTCCCCTGTGCCTATTATTTCCATCTTTATGCCCATGTGTACCCATTGTTTAACTTCTGCCTAGTAAGTGAGAACATGCAGTATTTGATTTTCTGTTTCCGAGTTATTTCACTTAAGATAATGGGCTCCAACTCCATCCATGTTGCTGCAAATTACATGATTTCATTCTTTTTATGGCTGCATAGCATTCCATGGTTTATATATCCCACATTTTCTTTATCCAATAAACGGTTGATAGACACCTTAGGTTGATTTCATCACTTTACTATTATGAATATTGCTGTGGTAAACATACAAGTGCAGGTATCCTCTTTAAAAAATGGTTTCTTTTCCTTTGGCATATACCCAGTAGTGGGATTTCTGGGTTGAATGATAGTTCTATTTTTAATCCTTTGAGAAATCTTCACACCGTTTTCCATAGACATTGTACTAATTTACACTCCCATCAACAGTGTATATGCATTTTCTTTTCCTGCA
This sequence comes from Homo sapiens, assembly GCF_000001405.40. Taxonomy (NCBI): domain Eukaryota; kingdom Metazoa; phylum Chordata; class Mammalia; order Primates; family Hominidae; genus Homo; species Homo sapiens. The sequence continues at coordinate 52,306,911 of NC_000004.12, forward strand.
TCCATGCGAACATCTGTTATTTTTTTTTACTCTTCAATAATCCATTCTGCTTGATGTAAGATGATATCTCACTGTGGTTTTAATTTGTATTTCTCTAATGATTAGTGATGTTGAGCATTGTTTTCATATGTTTGTTGGTAACTTACAGATTTTCTTTTGAGAAATGTTTATGTCCTTAGCCTACCTTTTAATGAGGCTATTTGTTTCTTTCTTGTTGAATTTTTGAGTTCCTTGTAGATTCTGGATATTAGTCTCTTGTCAGAGGCATAATTTATAAATATTTTCTCCCATTCTGCAGGTTGTCTGTTCACTCTGTTGACTATTTATTTTGCTGTGCAGAAGCTTTTTAGTTTAAGTCCCATTTGTCTATTTTTGTTTTTGTTGCATTTGCTTTGGGATATCAGTCATAAATGCTTTGCCTGAACCAATGTCCAGAAGAGTTTTTTTCTAGGTTTTTTTTCTAGGACTTCTATAGTTTCAGGTCTTATTTAAATCTCTAATCCTTCTTGAGTTAATTTTTGTATATGTTGAGAAATATGAGTTCAGTTTCTGCATATGGGTAGTCAATTTTCCCAGCACCGTGTATTGAAAAACATGGGTGCATGTTTTTGTTGACTTTGTTGAAGACCAGCTGGTTCTAGGAATGTGGCTTTTTTATGAGGTTCTCTATTCTATTCCATTGATCTATGTGTTTGTCTTTGTACCAGTACCATGCTGTTTTAGTTACTATAGCCTTGTATTATAATTTGAAGTTAGAGAATGTGATGCCTCCAGCTTCATTCTTTTTGCTTAGGATTGCTTTGGCTATTCAGGTTCTTTTTTTGGTTCCATATGAACTTTGGGATTGTTTTTCTAACTCTGTGAAGAATGACATTGGCAATTGGATAGGAATTATATTGAATCTGTAGATTTCTTTGTGCAGTATGATCATTTTAACAGTATCAATTCTTCCAATCCATGAGCATGGAATGTTTTTCCATTCGTTTGTGTCATCCATAATTTCCTTCATCAGTATTTTGTAGTTCTCCTTGGAGAGATCTTTTATCTCCTTAGTTAAATGCATTCCTAGGGGTGTGTGTGTGTGTGTGTGTGTGTGTGTGTGTGTGTGTTTGTACTGTAAATGTGATTGAGGTTTTTGGTTTTTGGGGTTTTTTTTAAGCACAGTTTCACTCTGTGACCCAGGCTAGAGTGCAGTGGTGCAATAATGGCTCACTGTAGCCTCAACCTCCCAGGGACAAGTGATCTTCCTACCTCAGCCCCCTGAGTAGCTGGGCCTACAGGCACTCACCACCACACCAAACTAATTTTCTTCTTGTAGAGATGGAAGTCTCTACAAGAGACTTGCCCAGGCAAGTCTCAAACTCCTGGGTTCAAGCAATCCTCCACCTTAGCCTCCCAAAATGTTGAGATTACAGACAAGAGTCACCGTGCCCAGCAGAATTGAGTTTTTGATTTGGTTCTCAGCTTGAAAGTTATTAGTATATAGAAATGCTATTGATTTTTATACATTGATTTCTTATCCTGAAACTTGACTGAGGTTGTCTATGAAGTCTAGGAGTCTTTTGAAAGAATCTTTAGGGTTTTCTAGGTATTAAATTACATCATCAGTAAACAGAGATGATTTGACTTCTTCCTTTCCCATATGGAAGCATTTTATTTCTTTCTCTTGCCTGATTGTTCTGGCTAGCACTTTCATTACTATATTGAATAGAAGTGGTGAGAGTGGACATCCTTGTATCATTCCAACTCATAGGAGAAATGCTTTCAACTTTTCCTCATTCAGTATGATGTTGGCTATAAGATTGTCATATATGGCTCTTATCATTTTGAGGTATGTTCCTTGAATGCCTAGTTTGGTGAGGGTTTTTATCATAAAAGGATGTTCGATTTTACAGAATGCTTTTTCTGCATGTATTGAGATGATCATATGGTTTTTGTCTTTATTCTGTTTATATGGTGAAACACATTTATTGATTTGCATATGTTGAACCATCCTTGCACCCTTAGAATTAACTGCAGTTTATTGTGATGTATTATCTTTTTGATGCACTGTTGGATTTGGTTTGCTAGCATTTTGATGTGAATTTTTGCATCTATGTTCATCGGGGTGTTTGCCTGTATTTTTTTTTTTTTTGGTCATGTCCTTTTTTTGCTTGTGTACTGGTTTATTGTCTAGTCTTCTGCCTTCTACTCTTGCCCCTCTACAATCAATTATCCCCACAGCAGAAGGTGAACTTTTAAAGACTCATGTCACTCTCTTGCTTATAAACCTAATGGCTTTTTGTAGTAGCCAGCCTTCAAGATGGCTCCAAGGAAGGCCTATGTTTAGCCTCCTTAAGGAAAAGAAATGGGCTGGGTGCAGTGGCTCACAAGTATAATCACAGCACTTTGCAAGGCTGAGACAGGAGTATGGCTTGAGCTCAGGAGTTCAAGACCAGCCTGGGCAACAAAGTAAGACCCCTGTCTCTACCAAAAAAAAAAAAAAAAAAGCCAACCAGGAAAGAATTTTATGTTCTGCCAAAACAAGCTTTAGAAATGAAGGAGAAGTAAAGTCTTTGCAAGGCCGGAAAATATTAAGAGAATTCATCATCATGAGACCAGCCCTACAAGAAATGCTCAAAGTTATTCTAAACATGGAAACAAAAGGACAATACTCACCAACACAAAAGCACACATGAGTAGAAAGCTCACAGATCCTAAAAAACAATTATACAATTGAGACTCCAAGGCAACCAGCTAACAACACTATGACAGAAACAAAATCTCACATATTAATATTAACCTTGACTCTTACATTGATTTGGGTAATATTTTTATCTTAACAATATTTAGTGATCTAATCCATGAACATTAGATTAAGATGTTTTCTAATTACTCAGGTCTTCTTTAGTTGATTTCCACAATATTTTGTAGTTTTCATGTTAAAAGTCTCATATTTGTTTTATTAAGCTTATTTCTAATTATTTTTTAAATTTTTGATGGCATTATAAATGGAATTGTTTTCTTAATTTTATTTTTGGACTTTTCATTGTTAGTGCATAGGAATAAAATTTATCTTTGTATGTCAGTCTTATATCCTGCAACCTTGCTGAGCTCATAAGTTCTTTTGTGGGTTTATTAGAATTTTCTACATATAAGATAATGCTGTCTGAGAATAGCTAGCACTTTCAACATTATGTTGAATTAGTGGTGAGAGCAGACATCCTTGCCTTGTTCCTGATCTTAGCAGAATATCATTCTTTTTTTTACCATTGAGTATGATGTTAGCTGTCAATTTTTTGTAAATGCCTTATCAGTTTGAGGAAGTCCCCTTCTATTTCTAGTTCGATACATGTGTTTATTATGAAAGGGTGCTGGATTTCATCAGATACTTTTTCTTCATGTTTTGAGATGATCATGTGATTATTGTCCTTTATCTTATTAATATGGTATATTACATTAATTTATTTTTCTGATGTTAAAAAAACAAACTTGTGGGTTTTTTGTTTGTTAAATCCTACGTGGTCAAGTTGTGTAATCCTTGTTTAAATATGTTCTTGAATTCACTTGACTAGAGTTTTCTTGAGGATTGTTGCATGTATGTTTATAGGGAGATTGATCCATAGTTTTTTGTGATTTCTCTGTGTGGCTTTGGTCACAGGATAATATTGGCCTTATAGAATATGTTAGAGAGTATTTCCTTCTCTTCTACTCTTTGGAAGAACTTATGAAGTGTTGGAATTAATCTTTTTAAAATGGCTAGAATTTGATGGGACATCTCATCTGGGCCTGAGGTTTCTTTTTATGTAAGGTTTCAAAATTACTAAGTCAATCTTTTTTTCTTGTTATAAGTCTATGTATTAATACATGTTCTAATTGTTATTCAGTCAGTTTAGGTAGTTTGTATTTTATAGAAATTTCTCCAGTTTGTATAGATAATCTATAGATAATCAGTTATTCACAATATTTCTTTGTAATCCTCTTTATTTCTGTAAGGTCACTATTAACGTTCTCTCTTTCATTCCTGACTTTAGTAATTTGAGTCTTCACCCTTTTGTTCTTGCCAATCTAGCTAAAGTTTTTCAATTTTGTAGACCTTTTCAAAAAGCTAACTTTTGTTTTGTTAGTTTTTTTCTATTGTTTTTGTGTTCTCATTGGGAGAAGCTCAGAGACTCCAAACTTTGCCCTTCAAGAGAGATCCAGATATACAACATCACAATGTATATAGCACTAGAGAATTAGCAATCAATCTATTATGGTTACTCCTCACAGCTTGTATATGAGGTGAAATCTAAAGAATTTGTTTTGATCTGCTCAGAGGTCAAAAAAGATTTTTTAGAAGTCAATGGGAGAAATGAATTTCCATTCCTAACTTCATTCCATGCATCCTGAATGCTCCCAGTTTGTAACAGTTAAATATTTCCAGTGGGAATCCTTGTTCACTTCAAAGTAATAATTTCTCCAGACAATGGCTATAAAGCTCCTCCTAATAAAAATGTAGTCCCATCCACCACTTAAGATAAATTTAACATGAGACAAAGTTTTAATTTAAGATTACCAGGTGCATATTTTAACAGTAGGAGCCAATACACAAAATCTGTGGTGCTGAGAAAATAACTGAAACTGTGATTATCCTTGAAAAAATATTAGCATGGTCACACTTTTTTGCATAACATGTGTTTTTAATTATCTTACCCATTCACAGACTGTCTCTCTGCAGAGTTCATAAGAATTTTTATGACAAAATGCTATCATACTTGCACCTACAGCTTTTGGCTTGCTCTCGTACTCTGATTCCTGAATTGTTAATTAAAACTCTGAAATTTTGTCAGGAGACTGGAACATTTATTCAGCATTTACTGTATGCATATGGGATATTGGATTAGGCACAATAAGAAAGAAACTTTAAATAAATCAAACACTTCAACAATAAATGTAGTGTTTTGGGGAGATGGTGTACTGGAGGATGGATTCAAGATGTGCTTCTCTCCAACTACAAAAAAGGAAAAAGTTTGTAATCCATGGAAGCATCCTAGAACTGTTAAAAGTATATTAAATCTATGAATGCTGTGATACATAAGAACTTGTTTTATTTGTTTCTTCAACAACATGAAAAATACAAATTGTTCTTGGAAATAGAATAAAAACGCAAGGAAACTAGTTGTACTTTGCTATGACAACTCACAATGAAACTTCCTTTGAAACACATTGTGAAAATAACTAGCATTACAACTTCTGACAAGGCTGTGTCCCCTAGTCCTTATTGGCTCCTTCCCTAATCTCCAAATATTTTCATCTCCTGTGCCCAGGATTGTCCCTAGTGTCAACACACATCCCTGGAAGAACTTATTTACAATGCACATTCTTGCTTCAATGCTGTTAATATGGTATAGATCCCAGATTCTGCATTTTAAACAAGTATCCATATTTTTTCTTTTTGCTGGTAGAACTAGGACCACACTTTCAGAAGCTTGGACACATTGTGTTTCTGTTCTGTGCAAGGCATAATCTATCCTGGAGAATCTTAAAATTTAGTCAGAGTTAAAACACAGTAACAAAACAAAACAACCTTTGAAGAAAGAGACAGCAATATTCATTCATTCAACACAATTTATCAAGTGCCTACTATGAATCTAGGAGTTTACCAGAAAAATAATAGGGTGTTTAAACTTTTCTTGTTTCCAGTTTGAGGTTTCAAGATGTGGATACCACATTTTAAAGTGAGACCTGAAACCATCAGTCAGGACTTGCAATAGAAGGTTGTGGGAAACTGGAATTTTCCCATAGCTGATTGCCAATCCTCAGCCTTTGAGGCTGAGGAAAGATTTGGAGGTGTGAGAAAGAGTGTCCAAGAGAATAGCTGGTGGGCTGTGTGTCCCACCCTCTTTTATGGGAATGGAAAGGGAATCTTCCTTTTTTACTGAAAATCAATACAGAGTGACTCTAAGGTAGGTTAATATTGGTCCCCTACAGTTGGGGGACAAGGTGGACTGGTTTCTGACTAATGACTGAGGAATCCGCAGGGTGGGAGGAGAATATCTGGTTTGCCAGAGGGCTTTTCCCATCATACTGCTCTGCCTTTTCTGCCAAGGGGTGTTCTTTGTCCTGACTGAGGTTCATGACATTTTTCAACTAAGGGCCACAAAGTGATTAATTGTTGAACTCCTCAACACCCCGGTGAGGCAGTTAGGTATCATTATCCCTAATGTCCAGCTAGACAAACACAGAAGGTTGGCTGCACTGACCTAAATCACACAGGGGGCACGTTTAGGAAGAGAAATGGGCTGTAGCCTCCTGAAGCCAGAGTGAGAACTTGGTCTGATCTCCCTAGGAAGATTCCCAGTTGGCCGAAATGTTCAGCATGGCTCCTTGAAGTGCAACAATTTGTGGGGCATTTTGCAATTGTCAGTGTCTATGAACTGAGAGCAGCTGTGTGATAAAATATGAGGGAGGGAAAATTTTTCTAAAATACCCAGTTTCCAATTTGTGCCTGACTGGCAGTCAGAGAAAATTGTGCTGATTTAATTGGCAAGGAAAATGTGCACCCAAGGCACTTGCTGGGGTTTCCTTGCAAAGAAGGAAACCCCAGAAAGAATATATATATATACATATATATATATAAAATTATCATAGTATTAATATATTAACATAATATATTAAATAAATATTTATTTTTCAATTAAAAAATATATGTTTTGAATGAGTTCTACACACCTTAGCATGCAAGCCTTTGGCAGCAACAAACTGTTCTCAGAGCTCTCTAGAAATGCTGCCTTATGCAACAGATGCTTAATAACTACAAAACCATTCAATTGAACAAACACTGAATTAGCCTGGGAGCAGATTTGGGAGGTAGGTGGACAAAGAGATAAATATAATACAGTCCCCACCCTCTGGAAGATTACAACCTATCCTGAGAGGTGGATCTGGAAGGTAAAACACACAACCAAATAAACAAAATGCAAAAACAGAAGTTTACAACCTAAGCATTGATAAACATAACAGAGTACCACTCTAACTGGGGTTAGGTTCTAAAATCAGAGAATAAATAGAAAATCTCATTTATTCAAAATTACCCTTGAAAGTTTCATTAACCTGTCCATAAAGTGTTACATATATGGGTCATAAATATAAGTCTGTGCAATAATTCTTGTGTCCTTTAAAATTTTAAGAACTACTGGAGTTAAAATGTAAGGAGCATAAACAAAGGGCATATGCTTTGTGTGAACATTCAAACTTGCCTACCAATGAGATAATTATTGAAGACCTAGCTGGGAATGGAGGTTGGAGTGTAAAATCATATAGTGCATCTGCTTGGTTTTTCTGCATCAGAAACGACCCCAAAACTCAGTGGCTTAATATAACAATCTTGCCTGGGCTTGGCTGTGCCAGTTCAGCTTTGCTCCACTGTTTCCCCATTCTCCCTGTAATACTATTGAGCTATCCTGGGCATGTTTTTTTCCATGGCAATTACAGAAGCTCAAAATCCCAAGCCTGGCCGGGCACGGTGGCTCATTCCTATAATCCCAGCACTTTGAGAGGCTAGGGTGGGAGGATCACTTGAGGTCAGGAGTTCCAGACCAGCCTGGCTAACCCCATCTCTACTAAAGATGCAAAATTAGCTGGGCTTGGTGGCAGTTGCCTGAAATCAACTCAGGAGGCTGAGGCATGAGGATTGCTTGAACCCAGGAGGAGGAGGTCGCAGTGAGCCGAGATCATGCTACTGCACTCCAGCTTGGGCAACAGAGTGAAACCCTGTCAAAAAATAAAAATAAAAAAAAGTCAACAAAACCCCAAGACCTTTCACTCAAGCACCTTTTAAGACTTTGCTTGGTTGGGTGCAGTGGCTTAGGCCTGTAATCCCAGCACTTTGGGAGGCTGAGGCAGGCGGATCATGAGGTCAGGAGTTTGAGACCAGCCTGGTGAAACCCTCTCTCTACCAAAAATACAAAAATTAGCCAGGCCTGATGGTGGGCACCTGTAATCCCAGCTACTCAGGAGGCTGAGGCAGGAGAATCGCTTGGACCCGGAAGGCGGAGGTTGCAGTGAGCCAGGATCATGCCACTGCACTCCAGCCTGGGCAACAGAGCAAGACTCCGTCTCAAAAAAAAAAAAAAAAAAGAGACTTTGCTTACCTCACACTGGCTATGACTAAAGGAAGTCACCTGACAAAGACCAAAATCAAGTGATGGGGAGATAAGTTCTACATCTTTAGTGATTGGAACTGTAAAATCTCATGGCAAGCTGTATAGACACAAAGGAGGGTGGATTCAGTCCATCACTGGAATTTATTTCATTTCACATTTCAGAGTTTGGTCTCTAGCCTTCTTATTCATAAAATGAGCTACTTTCCCATAAGTTCCTTTTCTGCTTGAGTTGTAAACACTGTTAGTTTCTCTTTGCAACCATATATCCCACAAATAAAAATTAAATGTGCATAGCAAGCATAGGGGCAAAGGGGATTTCCCTTCACCCCTAGCAGACCTGAGTCTTTAAGTCTGCTGAAAAAGCAGGAGGAAAAGCATACAAATTTATTACCAAGCATGAGGACATCACAAGGAGGTGAGCACCCAGTAACCCAATGAAGTTCAGAAGCTTAGAGAACCTTCTTCATAGGAGAGAGGGAAGTGGGAGATGTAGGCAATAATCAATGTTAGAGGTGTAATAAATGATTTTTAGGGTAGATAATGGGCCCACAAAACAGAGAGTGGCCTCAGACAAAGTTTATCTGGGCTCTGGGTATAGTGTTTGGTTTTTAGTCTCTTCTTCCACGATTTGTATTTAATCTTCCCTGGTTAATGAAATTGCAGTTAGAAGGTTGAAGGTAATTCTGTTCCTTTTTAGCAGATTTGATCTTTAGGTTGATAAGAGAACTCCAGAGAACAGCCTCATGCAGCATCTACTGATCCCCATGTGCCTTTAATTTTAAATTGTCAGCATACCTGGTTGCTATATTTTGGGGTGACTTTCTTAGGACTTCTTCAGAAGCAGCTCCTCTGCCAGGCAGACTGTGAGATACACATAAAGTGAAATGGAAAGACATTAATTTTAGCAGGGAGAGGACACCCAAGAAGACTTTTTGGAAAAGTTGGGATTTGTCTTGAATTGTGGGGAATGGGTAGGATTTGGATATTCCAGGCTGAAGGGAGGTTTCAGAGAGAAGGTGAAAATCTCACTCTTCTGTTTGGAAAGCAGGTCCTTTTTTGTTGTTGTTGTTATCTATAAAATCACCTGTAGCTCTGGTCTCAAATTATTTCTACAGATAAAAAATAAGAACTTTAGAAATCACCAGTGTGTGCATATAAAGTATCACATCTCCTACAAACATGCCAGAGCTCAGTTCAATCAAGCTTTCCTCTCAAAGCACAGTCAAAGCAGACATCAGGAAGGATCCAATGTGGGACTGAAGGAAAGTAAAGATGGCTTCATTGTACTTAGCTTATGCTGCCCTGAAACACAGTTTAGCTTTCACAGAGCCTCAGTTTCCATGTCTATGTGCTTGACAGTGTTGACTAAGCTTGGTTCATGGGGAGATTGGTTCCCAGAGAGAAACTTCACATCCACCTTCACATCAGAATGGGACCATCTCCAGTTCACAATACTAAGAGTGGAACTAAACTTTGATGACTACAGAATTTAGCTAGACTTTAAACAAGAAGTGGAAAGGGATGATGGCTTTGGGAGATGGGGGGTGTTAGAATAAAAGGATTATTTTTCACTCAAATGGTGAAAAAGAGTAGATAAGGGAGGAAAATTCTAAAGAATGAATACTTAGAAAGTCAGTAGTGGGAATTCATCAAGTTTTGGAGAAGGGGAGACTAAGTTTTATGAAGACCCAAGTTATCTGTTTTGTTCATTGTTATTTTCCTAGTGTCTGGTATATGATACAATTATACAATGCAATAATGCAATACATGAAAGAAAACAATTATATAGATAGACACATACATACACATACATATACATATGTTCATATATGTATATAAACATAGTTCAAAATTTTTACTTATGTCAATGGTATACAAATTGATTCTTCTCTAAAAGTCAAACAATTAAAAAGTATGTAAAGCAACAGTGAAAGCTGTTTTTCACTAATCCTGCAATTTCACTCTCTTCCCCAGAAATAATTGCAGCTATGAATTTGATATGTGAGCTTTCAGATAGTTTTCTCTGACTAGATGGCCTAGAATGTGAAATGTAACTCACCCTCTACTGGATTGATCTAAATTACTGCTTAAATAATGTTAAAAGCAGTACATTTACTTGTAGTCTACGTTCATTCTTTCTTCACCCATTACATGAAACTTTCTCATTCTAAGTGGAGTGCTATGCCAAATTCTAAGAAAGTTGTCTAACTTAAGGTGTTCAACCCCCACTTAAAAGGCCATACCAGAACCATTTAGGCTTTTAGCCAACCATAAACATCGTGTGTGTGTGTGTGTGTGCGTGTGTGTGTGTACTCCACAATTCTTCCTCTTCAATTCAGAAAGAGTTGCTCCCAAGGCAGCTCCTAAATGCTGGAAGTATTCATTTGCTAGGGCTGCTATAAGAAAGTACCACAACTGGGTGGCTTAAACCACAGAAATGTATTGCCTCATAGTTATGGAGGCTAGAAGTCTGAGACCAAGATGTTGGTAGGGTTGTTTCCTTCTGAGGGCTAAGAAGGAGTGATCTGTTGATTACCTCTCTTCTTGGCTTATAGATGGTCATCTTCTCCTGGTGTCTTCACGTTGTCTTCCCTTTGAACACGTCTGTGAAAGTGTCCACATTTTTCCCTTTTATAAGGATATGAGTCATATTGAGTTAGAGCTCACCTTAATGACTTCATTTTAACATGATTACCTTTGGAAAGATTCTAGCTCTAAATAAGGTCACATTCTGACATGGTGGATGTTAGGATTCCAACATATATTTTTTGTAAGGACACAATTCAACCCATAACACTCAGTTACTACGGATTATATTCATAAAACACTGTCTCAGAAATCTTTCTTTTAGTTGCTTTGAATTATTTTATTTGGAGGAAGCCAGACCATTAAAGATCCTGGACCATATTATTGTGGCCACTTTTACATTTGTTGTTGGTGAGGCAGTTCAGGTTCTTGAGTTTGTTGTGCAAAACAATTTGAGAGTGAGTCCAAAGTAAGAGTAGGACAAGAAGTTTATTGCAAAGCAAAAGTACACCTGGAAAGGCAGACCAGGCTGCTCAAAGGGTGAAACAGCCCCTAGTGCCTTAAGGGAAATTCCCTTTATGTGAACTGTACATACATATTCATAAAATACTGGTGAGGTCAAGCATGCAAAGGTGGACCTGAAGCTGATTCATGCACTCAGAATCTACAAGCTCTAACATGCATCACATGCATCATTAGCATCTAAAATCTCTACCTAGGGGTGTGTTTTTTCTATTAAAATGAAGAAAAGGTCACTATAAGCTAAATCTTGAGCTTAGCTGCACAGATGAGACCCAGAAATGTCCCTAGCCTCCCCAAGGCTGGAATTTGTAGCTAATAGCTTCTTGGGATTTTGGTGCTGATTGGCTGGAAATTAGGGGAGCCACATCATGAATAAGGGGCTCTTGCTTTATTTCCCCGGTCATTTTGGGTGTCAGGAGCTTGAAACTATCTGGCAGTCAGTCAGTTGACATCCTGTAGGATTGCTTATCTTGCAAAAGAGTTAGGTGTTGAGGCAGAAGGGTGTGAGGATGGGAGAGGAGACTGCAAGGCTTCACACAAAGGGACAAGTCAGTGTAGCCTCCTAACCTTGCTTGTCCTACCTCAAGTTGGCTTTTATTGACATCTCTCACACATTACCAACATTTTACTTACCAGACCTTTTCATGAAAAATGCGAATGCAGCTTAGCTGATGAATAAACTTAGCAAATAAGATGGGTAGAAAAGCTCAACTCCCCCACTCCCCTACTTTAAGATAGAGAACACAACAATTCTTTGGAAAATAGGGACTACTTCATAGATTCCAGGTGGGCATATTTTTTGGGGTGCCACAACATAACATATTATACTAGCATATGAGAAAGAGGCAAGAGGTGGGTGTGGGATTCAGAAAGGATCAGGAGAGAGTGCTAAAGATCAAATTTGCTGTCATTGTAATCCTGCCTTGGAATTGGAAGCAGCTGATGCACCCTAGAAAACTGCTGCCAAAAGCTGTTGATGCCCCCATTAAGCTACTAGAACTGGCTCGGATGGTTGAAATTAAGTATTCTCTAATTTTACCTAATTTTTTGCATTCTTTTTGTGGCTGAGATGAGTAATTAGCCCTCAGTATCTATTCTTTCCTTCTTTCTTTTAGTAATAGAATCTTCAACTCAAGTATTTTTCATATTTTTATTGTTTTATTTTGTTTTAAATTGCCAAATAATAAATGTACATTTTTATGGGGTAAAGTGTGATGTTTCAATACAAGAATACATTGTGTAATGATCAAAGCAGAGTAATTAGAATATTCATCACCTCAAACATTTATCATTTATTTGTGGTGAGAGCATTCAAAATCCTCTTTTCACTATGTTGAAAAATACAATACATTATTTTTAACTATAGACATCCCATTATGCAGTAGAACACCAGAACTCATTCCTCCAAGCTGTAATTTTGTACTTATTGACCAGCTCTTCCTATCCCTACTCCTTCCTCCCTTCTCCAGTCTGTGGTAACCACCATTCTACTCTCTACTTCTATGAGATCAATTTTTCCAGATTCCACTTATAAGTGAAATCATGTGATATTTGTCATTCTGTGCTTGCTTATTTCACTTAACATAATGTCCTATAGGTTCATCCATGTTTTTGCAAATGGCTGGATTTTGTTCCTTTTTATGGCTGAATAGTATTTCATTGTGTATATATACCACATTTTCTTTTTTTTTCTTTTTTTTAAAATTTATTATTATTATACTTTAAGTTTTAGGGTACATGTGCACAATGTGCAGGTTAGCTACATATGTATACATGTGCCATGCTGGTGCGCTGCACCCACTAACTCGTCATCTAGCATTAGGTATATCTCCCAATGCTAAGCCTCTCGCCTCCCACCACCCCACAACAGTCTCCAGAGTGTGATGTTCCCCTTCCTGTGTCCATGTGTTCTCATTGTTCAATTCCCACCTATGAGTGAGAATATGCAGTGTTTGGTTTTTTCGTCTTGCGATAGTTTACTGAGAATGATGATTTCCACTTTCATCCTTGTCCCTGCAAAGGACGTGAACTCATCATTTTTTATGGCTCCATAGTATTCCATGGTGTATATGTGCCACATTTTCTTAATCCAGTCTATCATTGTTGGACATTTGGGTTGGTTCCAAGTCTTTGCTTTTGTGAATAGTGCCACAATAAACATACATGTGCATGTGTCTTTATAGCAGCATGATTTATAGTCCTTTGGGTAAACACCCAGTAATGGGATGGCTGGGTCAAATGGTATTTCTAGTTCTAGATCCCTGAGGAATCGCCACACTGACTTCCACAATGTTTGAACTAGATTACAGTCTCACCAACAGTGTAAAAGTGTTCCTATTTCTCCAAATCCTCTCCAGCACCTGTTGTTTCCTGACTTTTTAATGATCGCCATTCTAACTGGTGTGAGATGGTATCTCATTGTGGTTTTGATTCGCATTTCTCTGATGGCCAGTGATGGTGAGCCTTTTTTCATGTGTTTTTTGGCTGCATAAATGTCTTCTTTTGAGAAGTGTCTGTTCATGTCCTTCACCCAATTTTCGATGGGGTTGTTTGTTTTTTTCTTGTAAATTTGTTTGAGTTCATTGTAGATTCTGGATATTAACCCTTTGTCAGATGAGTAGGTTGTGAAAATTTTCTCCCATTTTGGAGGTTGCCTGTTCACTCTGATGATAGTTTCTTTTGCTGTGCAGAAGCTCTTTAGTTTAATTAGATCCATTTGTCAATTTTGGCTTCGGTTGCCATTGCTTTTGGTGTTTTAGACATGAAGTCCTTGCCCATGGCTATGTCCTGAATGGTAATGCCTCGGTTTTCTTCTAGGGTTTTTATGGTTTTAGGTCTAATGTTTAAGTCTTTAATCCATCTTGAATTGATTTTTGTATAAGGTGTAAGGAAGGGATCCAGTTTCAGCTTTCTACATATGGCTAGCCAGTTTTCCCAGCACCATTTATTAAATAGGGAATCCTTTCCCCATTGCTTGTTTTTCTCAGGTTTGTCAAAGATCAGATAGTTGTAGATATGCAGTGTTATTTCTGAGGGCTCTGTTCTATTCCGTTGATCTATATCTCTGTTTTGGTACCAGTACCATGCTGTTTTGGTTACTGTAGCCTTGTAGTATAGTTTGAAGTCAGGTAGTGTGATGCCTCCAGCTTTGTTCTTTTGGCTTAGGGTTGACTTGGCGATGCGGGCTCTTTTTTGGTTCCATATGAATTTTAAAGTAGTTTTTTCCAATTCTGTGAAGAAAGTCATTGATAGCTTGATGGGGATGGCATTGAATCTGTAAATTATCTTGGGCAGTATGGCCATTTTCACGATATTGATTCTTCCTACCCATGAGCATGGAATGTTCTTCCATTTGTTTGTATCCTCTTTTATTTCCCTGAGCAGTGGTTTGTAGTTCTCCTTGAAGAGGAGCTTCACATCCCTTGTAAGTTGGATTCCTAGGTACTTTATTCTCTTTGAAGCAATTGTGAATGGGAGTTCACTCATGATTTGGCTCTCTGTTTGTCTGTTGTTGGTGTGTAAGAATGCCTGTGATTTTTGTACATTGATTTTGTATCCTGAGACTTTGCTGAAATTGCTTATCAGCTTAAGGAGATTTTGGGCTGAGACAATGGGGTTTTCTAGATATACAATCATGTCGTGTGCAAACAGGGACAATTTGACTTCCTCTTTTCCTAATTGAATACCCTTTATTTCCTTCTCCTGCCTAATTGCCCTTGCTAGAACTTCCAACACTATGTTGAATAGGAGTGGTGAGAGAGGGCATCCCTGTCTTGTGCCCCTTTTCAAAGGGAATGCTTCCAGTTTTTGCCCATTCAGTATGATATTGGCTGTGGGTTTGTCATAAATAGCTCTTATTATTTTGAGATATGTCCCATCGATACCTAATTTATTGAGAGTTTTAAGCATGAAGCATTGTTGAATTTTGTCAGAGGACTTTTCTGCATCTATTGAGATAATAATGTGGTTTTTGTCATTGGTTCTGTTTATATGCTGGATTACATTTATTGATTTCTGTATATTGAACAAGCCTTGCATCCCAGGGATGAAGCCCACTTGATCATGGTGGATAAGCTTTTTGATGTGCTGCTGGATTCGGTTTGCCAGTATTTTATTGAGGATTTTTGCATCAATGTTCATCAAGGATATTGGTCTAAAATTCTCTTTTTTGGTTGTGTCTCTGCCTGGCTTTGGTATCAGTATGATGCTGGCCTCATAAAATGAGTTAGGGAGGATTGCCTCTTTTTCTATTGATTGGAATAGTTTCAGAAGGAATGGTACCAATTCCTCCTTGTACCTCTGGTAGAATTCGGCTGTGAATCCATCTGGTCCTGGACTCTTTTTGGTTGGTAAGTTATTGATTATTGCCACAATTTCAGATCCTGTTATTGGTCTATTCAGAGATTCAACTTCTTCCTGGTTTAGTCTTGGGAGAGTGTATGTGTCGAGGAATTTATCCATTTCTTCTAGATTTTCTAGTCTATTTGCATAGAGGTGTTTGTAGTATTCTCTGATGGTAGTTTGTACTTCTGTGGGATCGGTGGTGATATCCCCTTTATCATTTTTTATTGCATCTATTTGATTCTTCTCTCTTTTTTTCTTTATTAGTCTTGCTAGCAGTCTATCAATGTTGTTGATCCTTTCAAAAAACCAGCTCCTGGATTCATTATTTTTTTGAAGGGTTTATTGTGCCTCTATTTCCTTCAGTTCTGCTCTGATTTTAGTTATTTCTTGCCTTCTGCTAGCTTTTGAATGTGTTTGCTCTTGCTTTTCTAGTTCTTTTAATTGTGATGTTAGGGTGTCAATTTTGGATCTTTCCTGCTTTCTCATGTGTGCATTTAGTGCTATAAATTTCCCTCTACACACTGCTTTGAATGTGTCCCAGAGATTCTGGTATGTTTTGTCTTTGTTCTCATTGGTTTCAAAGAACATCTTTATTTCTGCCTTCATTTCGTTATGTACCCAGTAGTCATTCAGGAGCAGGTTATTCAGTTTCCATGTAGTTGAGCAGTTTTGATTGAGATTCTTAATACTGAGTTCTAGTTTGATTGCACTGTGGTCTGAGAGATAGTTTGTTATAATTTCTGTTCTTTTACATTTGCTGAGGAGAGCTTTACTTCCAAGTATGTGGTCAGTTTTGGAATAGGTGTGGTGTGGTGCTGAAAAAAATGTATATTTTGTTGATTTGGGATGAAGAGTTCTGTAGATGTCTATTAGGTCCACTTGGTGCAGAGCCGAGTTCAATTCCTGGTATCCTTGTTGACTTTCTGACTCATTGATCTGTGTAATGTTGACAATGGGGTGTTAATATCTCCCATTATTAATGTGCGGGAGTCTAAGTCTCTTAGTAGGTCTCTAAGGACTTGCTTTATGAAGCTGGGTGCTCCTGTATTGGGTGCATATATATTTAGGATAGTTAGCTCTTCTTGTTGAATTGATCCCTTTACCATTAAGTAATGGCCTTCTTTGTCTCTTTTGATCTTCGTTGGTTTAAAGTCTGTTTTATCAGAGACTAGGATTGCAACCCCTGCCTTTTTTTGTTTTCCATTTTCTTGGTAGCTCTTCCTCCATCCTTTTATTTTGAGCCTATGTGTGTCTCTGCATGTGAGATGGTTTCCTGAATACAGCACACTGATGGGTCTTGACTCTTTATCCAATTTGCCAGCCTGTGTCTTTTAATTGGAGCATTTATTCCATTTACATTTAAAGTTAATATTGTTATGTGTGAATTTGATCCTGTCATTATGATGTTAGCTGGTTATTTTGCTCATTAGTTAATGCAGTTTCTTCCTAGTCTCAATGGTCTTCACATTTTGGCATGATTTTGCAGTGGCTGGTATCGGTTGTTCCTTTCCATGTTTAGTGCTTCCTTCAGGAGCTCTTTTAGGGCAGGCCTGGTGGTGACAAAATCTCTCAGCATTTGCTTGTCTGTAAAGGATTTTATTTCTCCTTTGCTTATGAAGCTTAGTTTGGCTGGATATGAAATTCTGGGTTGAAAATTCTTTTCTTTAAGAATGTTGAATACTGGCCCCCACTCTCTTCTGGCTTGTAGAGTTTCTGCTGAGAGATCCGCTGTTATTCTGATGGGCTTCCCTTTGTGGGTAACCCAACCTTTCTCTCTGGCTGCCCTTAACATTTTTTCCTTCATTTCAACTTTGGTGAATCTGACAATTATGTGTCTTGGAGTTGCTCTTCTCGAGGAGTATCTTTGTGGCATTCTCTGTATTTCCTGAATCTGAATGTTGGCCTGCCTTGCTAGATTGGGGAAGTTCTCCTGGATGATATCCTGCAGAGTGTTTTCCAACTTGGTTCCATTCTCCCCGTCACTTTCAGGTACACCAATCAGACGTAGATTTGGTCTTTTCACATAGTCCCATATTTCTTGGATGCTTTGCTCAGTTCTTTTTATTCTTTTTTCTCTAAACTTCACTTCTCTCTTCATTTCATTCACTTCATCTTCTATCGCTGATACCTTTTCTTCAAGTTGATTGCATTGGCTCCTGAGGCTTCTGCATTCTTCACGTAGTTCTCGAGCCTTGGTTTTCAGCTCCATCAGCTCCTTTAAGCACTTCTCTGTATTGGTTATTCTAGTTATACATTATTCTAAACTTTTTTCAAAGTTTTCAACTTCTTTCCCTTTGGTTTGAATTTCCTCCTGTAGCTCAGAGTAATTTGATCGTCTGAAGCCTTCTTCTCTAACCTCGTCAAAGTCATTCTCCGTCCAGCTTTGTTCCGTTGTTGGTGAGGAACTGCGTTCCTTTGGAGGAGGAGAGGCACTCTGCTTTTTAGAGTTTCCAGTTTTTCTGCTCTGTTTTTTCCCCATCTTTGTGGTTTTATCTAATTTTGGTCTTTGATGATGGTGATGTACAGATGAGTTTTTGGTGTGGATGTCCTTTCTGTTTGTTAGTTTTCCTTCTATCAGACAGGACCCTCAGCTGCAGGTCTGTTGGAGTACCCGGCCCTATGAGGTGTCAGTCTGCCCCTGCTTGGGGGGTGCCTCCCAGTTAGGCTGCTCAGGGGTCAGGGGTCAGGGACCCACTTAAGGAGGCAGTCTGCCCATTCTCAGATCTCCAGCTGCGTGCTGGGAGAACCGCTGCTCTCTTCAAAGCTGTCAGACAGGGACATTTAAGTCTGCAGAGGTTACTGCTGTCTTTTTCTTTGTCTGTGCCCTGCCTCCAGAGGTGGAGCCTACAAAGGCAGGCAGGCCTCCTTCAGTTGCGGTGGGCTCCACCCAGTTCGAGCTTCTGGGCTGCTTTGTTTACCTAAGCAAGCCTGGGCAATGGCGGGCGCCCCTTCCCCAGCCTCGATGCTGCCTTGCAGTTTGATCTCAGACTGCTGTGCTAGCAATCAGCGAGACTCTGTGGGCGTAGGACCTTCCAAGCCAGGTGTGGGATATAATCTCCTGGTGCGGCGTTTTTTAAGTCCATCGGAAAAGCGCAGTATTCGGGTGGGAGTGACCCAATTTTCCAGGTGCCGTCTGTCACCCCTTTCTTTGACTAGGAAAAGGAACTCCCTGACCCCTTGCACTTCCTGAGCGAGGCAATGCCTCGCCCTGCTTCTGCTCGCACATGGTGCGCGCACCCACTGACCTGCGCCCACTGTCTGGCACTCCCTAGTGAGATGAACCCAGTACCTCAGATGGAAATGCAGAAATCACCCATCTTCTGTGTTGCTCACGCTGGGAGCTGTAGACCAGAGCTGTTCCTATTCGGCCATCTTGGCTCCTCCCATTTTGTTTATTATTTATCCACCAATGGGCACTTAGGTTGATTCCATATCTTGGCTATTGTGAATAGTGCTTCAATAAACATGGGAGGCCAGATATCTCTTCAACATATTGATTTCCTTTCCCTTGGATATACACTAAGTAATGGAATTGTTGGCTCATATAGTAGTTCTATTTTTAATTTTTTGAGGAACGTGCATACTGTTGACATAATGGCTGTACTAATTTACATTCTTACTGATGGTGTATAAGAGTTCCCCTTTCTCTACATCCTTCCCAGCATTTTTAATGTTTTTGCCTTTCTGATAATACCCATTCTAACTGGGGTGAGATGATATCTCATTTTGGTTTTGGTTTGCAATTCCCTGATGATTAGTGATGTTCAGCATTTTTCCATTATATCTGTTGGCCATTTGTATGTCCTCTTTTGAGAGCTGTCTATTTAGGTTTTCTGCCTGTTTTTTAAACTGGATTATTTCTTTGTTGCTATTGACTTGAGTTTCTTATACATTCTGGATATTAACCTCTCATCGGATGCACAGTTTGCAAATATTTTCTCCTGTTCTACAGGTTATCTATTCCATTGACTGTTTCCTTTGCTGTGCAGAAGATTTTTCATATGATGTAATCCCATTTGTCAATATTTCCTTTTCTTGCCTGTGCTTTTGAGGTGCTATCGAAAAATTCCTCACTCAGACCAGTGTCATAAAGTGATGTTTCCTCTGTTTTTTTTTTTTTTTTTTTTCAGTAGTTTCATAGTTTGGGGGTTTTAAATTTGTCTTTAATCTATTTTGAGTTGATTTTGTACATGGTGAGAAACAGGGGTCTAGTCTTATTCTTCTGCATGTTGATACCCAGTTTTTCTAGCACCCTTTATTGAAGAGACTGTCCTTTCCCCAATGTTTTGCTGCCTTTCTCAAAAATAAGTTGGCTGTAAATACCTGGATTTATTTCTGGGTTCTCTATCTCTTCCATTCATCTGTGTGTCTGTTTTTGTGCCAGGACTATCTCTTTTGGTTACTATAGCTTTGTAGTATATTTTGAAGTCAGCTAGTGTGATGCCTATAGCTTTGTCATTTTTGCTCAAGATTGTTTTGGCTATTTGGGTAATTTCGTTGTTTCATACAAATTTTAGAATACCTTTATCTATTTCTGTGAAGAATGCCATTAGTATTTCGATAGGGATTGCACTGATTTGGTAGATCACTTTGGTTAGTATTAATATATACGTTTTAGCAATATTCTTCCAATTCATGAACGTAAAATACCTTTCCATTTGTGTCCTTGTCAATTTCTTTCATCAATATTTTATAGTTTTCATTGTAGAAATTTTTCACCTCCTTAATTAAATTTATTCCTACTTGTTTTGGTAGCTATTGTGAATGTGAATGGGTTTATTTTCTTGATTGCCTTTTTAGATAGTTCACTGTTAGCATACAGAAATGCTACTGATTTTTGCATGTAGATTTTGTATCCTGCAAGTTTACTGAATTTATTAGTTCCATTAGTTTTTTTGGTAAAGTCTCTAGGGTTTTTTATATATAAGATCATGTTGTCCAAAAACAGGGCTAATTTGACTTCCTGCTATCCAATTTGGTTGTTCCTTATTGTTTTTTTCTTGCCTAATGGCTCTGGCTAAGAGTGTCAGTACAATGTTGACTAGGTAGTAAAAGTTGGCATCCTTTTCTAGATTTATATCTTACAGAAACCTTTCAGCTTTTATCTATTCAGTATGATGTTAGCTGTGGGTTTGTCATATATAGACTATTGTTAAGAAGTACGTTTCTTCTATACCTAGTTTATTGAGGGTTTCTTAATTATTAAAGGGTGTTGAATTATCAAATGCCTTTTCTGCCTCTAATAAAATGATCTTATGGTGTTTTCCTTCATTCTGTTAATGTAATGTATCATGTTTATTGATGCATGCATGTTGAGCTATCCTTGCCTCCCTGGGATGAATCCCATTTGGATGTGGTGAATGCTCTTTTTAATGTGCCATTGAATTTGGTTTGCTAGTATTTTGTTGAAGATTTTTGCATTTATAGTCATCAAGGGTATTGGCTTCTGGTTTACTTTTTTTGTTGTGTCTTTATCTGGTTTTGTCATCAGGGCAATGCTGGCCTCAAACAATGAGTTTTGAAGAATTTTTTCCCCTTCAATTTTGTTGAATAGTTTGAGACGAATTTGTGTTAGTTCTTCTTTAAATGTTAGGTAGAATTCAGCAGTAAAGCTGTCAGGTCCTGGACTCTTCTTTGATGGGAGACTTTTTATTACTGATTCAATCTTGTTACACATTATTGATCTATTCAGATTTTCTATTTCTTCATACTTCAATCTTGGTAGGTTGTATTTGTCCAGAAATTTATTATCCATTTCCTCTAGATTTTCTAATTTGTCAGTATATAGTTTTTCATAATAGTCTTTTATGATCTTTTGTATTTCTGTGGTATCCATTGTAATGTCTCCTTTTTTATCTCATTTTAATTATCTCTCTTATTTTTAGTCTAGCTAAAGATTTGTTAATTTTGTTTACCTTTTCAAAAATCCAACTTTTTATTTGTTTATTTTTTGTATTTTTTTTAGTCTCTATATTGTTTATGTCTGCTCTGATCTTTAGCATTTCTTTCTGACTACTACTTTTTGACTGTTTTTCCTTGTTTTTCTAGCTCTTTGAGGTACTACTTTAGGTTATTTAGTTGAGATCTTTCTACTTTTTTGATGTTGGCATTTACTGCTTTAAACTTCCCTCTTACAACTGCTTTTGCTGTATTCTCTAGGTTTGTCATGTTTCCATTTTCAATTGTTTCAAGAATTTTAAAAATTTCCTTCTTAATTTCTTTATTGACCCATTGGTTATTCAGGAGAATATTGTTTCATTTCATTTATTTGTACAGTTTTGAAAGTTTCTCCTGTTATTGACTTCTAGGTTTATTGTACTGTGATCATGAAAGACATTTGATATTATTTTGATTTTAAAAAAATTGTTGAGTATTGTTTTGTCACCTAACATGTGCTCTATCCTGGAGAATGTCTCATGTGCTGTTGAGAAGAACGTGTATTCTACGCTGTTGGATGGAATGTTCTGTAAATGTCTTTGGTCCGTTTGGTCTAGAGTCTGGTTTATTTCTGATGTTTCTTTGTTAATTTTCTGTCTGGATAACCTGTTCATTGCTGAAAGTGGGATGGTGAAGTCCCCTACTATAATTGTATTGCAGTATCTCTCTCCCTTTAGGTCTACTAAAATTTGCTTTTACATTTAGTCACTCCAATGTTGGGTGCATATATATTTATAATTGTTGAATGCTCTTGCCGTATTCACCCCTGTATCATTATATGGCATTCTTCTTTGTCTCTTTTTACAGTTTTGGCTTAAAGTATATTTTATCTTATGTAAATACAGTGGCACCTGCTCTTTTTTTGGTTTCCATTTGTATGGAATATCTTTTTCCATCCCTTCACTTTCAGTCTGTGAGTATCCTTACAGATGAAGTGAGTCTCTTATAGGCAGCATATAATTGGGGCCTTTGGAAAAAAATCCATTTAGTCACCTATGTCTTTTAATTGGAGAATTTAATCCATTTACATTGAAGGTAAGTATTGTTAGGCAAGGGCTTCCTACTGCCATTTTGTTACTTGTTTTCCAGTTGTCTTATAGATTCTTTCTTCCTTTCTTCTTTTCTAACTCTTTTTCTTTGTTAGTTAAGTGATTTTCTCTAATAGTGTGTTTTGATTCTTTTTATTTTTAATTAAATTATTTTACATATAATTATTTATGATTATTTTAATTATAGATTTTTGTTTTGTGGTTACCACCGGCTTACCAAGAACATCTTATAGTTATAACAAGTTATTTTAAACTGACTAGAACTTAACTTTGGTAACAGAAAAAAGAAACATAAAACCCTGTACAGTTTGCCTTCATTCTCCTTCCACATTTTGAGTGTTTGGCATCACAGCTTGCATCTTAGTTTTGCCTATCTCTTAACAAATTGTCTTAGCTATTATTATTTTTAACAATTTTGTATTGTAATCTTCATACTAAAGATATAAGTGATTTACACACCAAAAATTATGGTGTTAGAGTATTCTGAATTTTTCTGTATATACACTTTTACCAATGAGTTTTATGCTTTCAAATGTTTTCTTGTTACACATTAGTATCTTTTTCATTCAGTATGAAGAACTAGCTTCAGCATATCTTATAAGCTAGCTTCAGCATAGCTTTTGTTTGGGAAAGTCTTTGCCTCACCTTCATTTCTGAATGACAGCTTTGCTGAGTACAGTATTCTTGGTTGCCAGTTTGTGTTTTTTTAGTACTCTAATTCTATTATTCCAATTTCCTCCTGGCCTGCAAGGTTTCTGCTGGGAAGTCTGTTGCCAGACACATTGGAATTTCCTTATATGTTATTTGCTTCTTTTCTTTCACTGATTTGAGCATCCTTTCTTGGTCTTTGACCTTTACAATTTTGATTATAATATGTATTGGGGTAGTTTTATTTGGAATGACACTGATTAGTGAACTTTAACCTTCTCTACCTGGATATTTATACATTTTTTTAGGTTTGTAAAGTTTTCTGTTATTTCTTTGAGTAAGACTTCTACCCTTTTGTCTTTTCCTGCTCCCACTTGAAATCCAGTGACCCAAATATTTGCTCTGTTAATGCAATACCATAGATCCTGTAAGCTTTCTTTGTTCCTTTTCATTATTTTTTCTTTTTTTTCATCTCACTGTGTATTTTCAAATAGTCTATCTTCAAGCTCACTGATTCTTCTGCTTGATTAAGTCTGCTTTTGATGCTCTCTATTGCATTTTTGAATTTCATTCATTGTATTTTTCAGCTCCCAAATTTTTGTTTCATTTTTTAACATTTTAATCTCTCTGTTAAATTTTTAAAATAAAGTTCTGAATCTTTTCTCTGTTTTCTTGAGATTCAGTGAATTTTCTTAATGTAGCTATTTTGAATTTTTTGTCTCCATCTCTTTAGGGTCTGTCGCTGGCACCTTGTTTTGTTCATTTAGTGAAATCCTAATTCCCTGATTGTTCTCATCTTTGCGGACATATGTTCTTATTTTTGTGGGCTTATTTTATGTGACATATGTCAATGTCTTTGCACTGAAGAGTTGGGTATTTATTCCAGTTTTGAAGTTTGCCTTTGTGTTGCTCTTTCTTCAGTGGGCCTGTCCAGAAATCTAAGCAGACTGACTGTTATGAGAGCCCATAATCGCTGAAGCCATTTCAGCACTAGTGGGTATCCTGAACCCATGTTTGCTGTGAGTCTTGCAAGGGCTCTAAGATTGATGCAGCACCTTGGCCTAGATGGACCTGGGGAAGATGCAAAGGGTGTACCCAGGCTGTGTAGGAAAACGCCCAGGGGTCCAAGTGTGAAAGCCTGTACTATTGGCCCAGACAGGCATGCATTTCATGGCAGGTCTCTGAACAGGTGGGACAGTTCTTTGACTGTACCCTCATGATAAACTGTGGGATGGGAATCAGTGGGCTTAGCCTAGTGGCCCTGACGTGTATGCTTGTGAGCATTCTTCTGCTCAGGCAAGGTCTCCTTGATTGTGGAAAGAGAGTGGAAACTGGCCCCTTAGGATCTGCTGTGGGACAGACAACTGTGAGGCTTCTCCAGTAGCCCAGCCAAGTGTGCATTCCCCAGCAGTTCCCCACAAAGTTGGGCGAGCTCCCTGAGTGCAGCAAGCTGAGACTGGCCCCCTCAGTCTCTACTTTTGGATGGAGACCAGAAGGTACATTATGGAGGCTTAGATGGATGTGAAATATGAGTGAGTCTTGCTCTGGGTCCTTGTATGTGCAGTAATAAGTAGGAACCATGCTGAGGAAGCTGAGCCAAGTTATAGGGTAACTGTCAGATCCAGTCTTGAGAGTGATGGCAGGCAGAAAAGCTTTTCTGCTGAGGCAGTAGTGTGCATGATTCCTTCTAAACCTTTGGCAGATGGTTTTGGTGACAAGATCAAGGCCAAACGGGGCCATAGCCAAGCCCAGTGGGGAATGGGTTTGAACCTAGGAGCACAATTGGCAGCCCTGCTACCTGGTTATTGGTCTGCACTCTCAAATCAGCCTTCCTCGGTTTTAGGCTCCACCAGGATCTCAAAACCTCCTACTTAAATTCTAAGGCTCTCACAGAGAGACTTTTTTCTGTAGATGGGTGTAGAATTCTTGTTGTTGTTGGGGGATATGAGCACGTTATATTCTATTCTGTCATCTTGCCAATGTCACTATAGCCCAACCCAAGTTTTAAGAGAGCATATGTCTACCCATCTAAAGACTACAATTCACAGGCCTTTCGAAGCTAGGCCATATGACTGTGTTCTGGTAAATCAGGTGTATGAAAACAAGTATACAACTTCTGCACATAGGACCCACATCTCTAGTAATGAGGATGTGAGGTAAGAAAGAGATCTGAGAGAAGCAGGCAAGAGGTCAGAGATACAGCCAAATGGACTGCACTAAGGTTAGTCCCCAGGGAAAAATTTTAGCTCCAGTGTGGGAAACTTGTGTACTATTAGCAAATCAAGGCAGAAGCCAGATCATAGGCAAGTTCTGGAATAGTAAGACCAATATAATCAGACTAAAACAGTTCAGAATAATTGAATTTAGAAGGCAAACAAAGCTAAAGACAGTAAGATTAATTTCAACACTATGTAGTAGTAGTTCTTGATGCTGGCTTTCATAGGGACTGTCAGACTCTGAAAGAGGATGAAATTGTAGTTCAAAGATGCTCAGGAGAATTGCGTGAGCAACGCTGGGGAGTTAGGGATTGGAAGCACAGGTGAGACTAAAACACAAAGGGAAAAAGTCACCAAAGCCTTCAAACCACTTCTAATGCATTCTATAAGGTTTTATCACCATAAATGCCACTATTGTAAAAAAATAAATAAATAAATAAATAAAAATGGTTTAAACTAGTATTTATTCTTTTTAAAAAGTAGATGTGGGCCAGGTGCAGTGGCTCACACTTGTAATCCAAGCACTTTAGGAGGCTGAAGCAGGTGGATCACTTGAGGTCAGGAGTTCAAGACCAGCCTGGCCAATGGGGCAAAACCCCGTCTATACTAAAAATACAAAAATTAGCCAGGCATGGTGGTGCATGCTTGTAATCCCAGCTACTTGGAAGGCTGAGGCAGGAGAATCACTTGAACCTGGGATGCAGAGGTTGCAGTGAGCCGAGCTCATTCTACTGCACTCCAGCCTGAGTAACAGAGTGAGACTTTGTCTCAAAATAAAAACAAAAATAAATTTAAAAAAAGAAAAGTAAATGGAAGTGATTTTCATGTGTTAAGTTAATATCTGATGGAACACTACCATTGCCTTTTCCCTCATCTTAGGTTTGCTGCCTCATCTGTTTTTCTTTGTGTGAGGCTCAAGTCCTGTTACTGGCTCAGAGTGTGTGAAATTTCATCAGGTAAAGTGCAAAATCATTGCACCCTCTGAAAGAACCTAAGCATTGAAGAAAATAATCTATGATCCATATTACAGATCAGCAGGCCCCAAATCAACTTTCCTCAGTCTCCCAGGGAAGGGAAGCCTTGCTATGAGTCTTGTGTTTTGTAATTGAAAGTAACACATACTTTCTGTTTCCAATGGTTTTAAATCTTAATGAATATTTCGTGTGTGTGTGTGTGTGTATACACACTTTGTTTTAATCTGATGTTTTTCCCCAACTATATTATCATATGAATCAAGAACACATCTGTTTGAGAAACAGAGTCTTGCTCTGTCACCCAGGATGGAGTACAGTGGCACGACCTCGGCTCATTGCAACCTCTGCCTCCTGGGTTCGAGTGATTCTCCTGCCTCAGCCTCCCAAGTAGCTGGGATTACAGGTGCCTGCCACCACACCTGGCTAATTTTGTATTTTTAGTAGAGACAGGGTTTTGCCATGTTGGCCGGGCTGCTCCTGAACTCCTGACCTCAGGTGATCTGCCCGCCTTGGCCTTCCAAAGTGCTAGGATTACAGGCATGAGCCACAGCGCCTGGCCACTTCTCTACTTTATATAGAATTTTAATACTAAAATATGTATGCAGATTTTCCAGGATTAATTATTATGTTAATTTAGAAAACTAAAGCCAAAAATATCAACCTTAAGTAGTCTTTCTTCAATAGTGAATGGATTCAGCCCAAATATGAAATATTACAGTGTCATACAAAGCCAATAACTTTGCAAAAGAGTTTATAATAAAAAAAAATAGGCCAAACATGGTGGCTCACGCCTGTAATCCCAGCACGTTGGGAGTCTGAGGCAGGCAGATCACCTGAGGTTGGGGGTTCAAGACCAGCCTAACCAACACGGAGAAACCCCATCCCTACCAAAAATACAAAATTAGCCAGACGTGGTGGCACATGCCTATAATCCCAGCTACGCGGGAGGCTGAGGCAGGAGAATCGCTTGAATCTGGTAGGTGGAGGTTGCAATGAGCCAAGATCGTGCCATTGCACTCCAGCCTGGGCAACAAGAGTGAAACTCCGTCTAAAAAAATAAAAATAAATAATAAATAAAGTTTCTAAGCAACTAAATTAATCCAAATAAAAACAATAAGCCTATTAGAAAGTTTTTGAGAGAAAAATAAGTTTAGAAATGTAGTAAATGGAATCAAAATAAACCAAACTGTTTTAGTCTCATGTTTGGAAAACATTTTTAATTGTAAAAGTAAGACAATACATCCTTAAAAGTCACCAGAACCAGATGGCTCTACAGGTGACATTTTTTAAAAAGTTCAAAGAATGTGTAAGTCCTCTGTTACAAAAACTTATCAGAATATTAAAAAGAAATAAAACATATTAGCACAGTGTTAAAACTAGCTTAACACTTATTTAAAAACCAGACTCAGTTGGTACAAAGAAAGAAAATAGCTTGGGAGGCCAAGGCAGGTGGATCGCGAGGTCAGGAGATCAAGACCATCCTGGCTAACACGGTGAAACCCTGTCTCTACTAAAAATACAAAAAATTAGCCGGGCGTGGTGGTGGGTGCCTGTAGTCGCAGCTACTCAGGAGGCTGAGGCAGGAGGATGACGTGAACTTGGGAGGCGGAGCTTGCAGTGAGCCCAGATCGCGCCACTGCACTCCAGCCTGGGCGACAGGGCAAGACTCAGTCTCAAAAAAAAGAAAATAGCAAGTTAATCTTACTTTAAATACAGATGCGGAAGTTCTAAATAAAATGTCAGCAAATCCCTATCATAAATAAAGTGTTAGCAAATCAAATTCAGTAGTGTTCTGACCGAATATTACATCATAACTACATAGAATTTAGTCTAAAACTGCAAAAATATGGTTCAAAATGTTAAAAAAACTACCAATTGTGATAATAAAGAATAAAGGCCATATGATTATCTTAATCGCTGCTAAAAAGTATTTACTAAAATTCAGCACTCATTCCTCGTTTTAAACTAACACACACACACAACAAAGCACAAACTAAGAGCAGCAGCAACCACTGAAAAACGGCAGAAAGTCCCATGACGAAATATGAAATATACAAATCAATGATTTTCCTATGTAGCAGCAGTAACCAGTTAGAAGGAAAATGATCCCAATAATAACAGCAACAACAATACAAGTGCAAGATGTACATGAAGGAAACCATTAACTTCACTTAACTTCAATGAAAATTTGATAAGTGAAGTAATATATCATGTTTCTAGAATGGAACATACAATATTATAAATATGTCAATACTCTGAATTAATTTACAAATTGAATGCACTTCCATTGAAAATATTAACAGGATTTTTTTAACAGAAGTTATAAGCTAATTCTCAATTTCATAATAGAGTTTTGGAAAACAGTAATGAGAAAACCTGGACTACCAGATATCAAAATACACTATCAGCACATCAAATTCAAGACAAAATTAAGACACAAATACACAAATAGATTATTGGCCAGACAAAAAGTAAGAAAAACAGATTTGCATATACATGAAAGTGATATACCTAATCAATGACCAAAAATTAGACTCTTCATCATATGGTGTTGCAACAATTGGCTATCCTCTTGGAGAAAAGGGAAAGTAGGTCCTTAGTCTATCCCACTTACGGAAGTAAATTACAGATAATTAAACAATCAAGGTATCAAAGTGTAGCCTCAGTCACCTCAGGGATCAATTGGAGAAAAACCCACATTCAAGATCACACACATCGTTTGTAGCAGGATGTGGCTTCCTGTGGACTGCTGGGATGAGGTCCTCATTTCCTTATTAGCTGTCTTTGCTACTTGGGCCTTTCCAAAAGGCAGCTCACAGCATGGCAGCAGGCCTCATCATAGTGAGCAAATGAGAGACAGCCAGAGAGAGGTCCAGCAAGATGTCACATTTTTTGTAATCTAATCTCAGAAATGAAATCCCATCATTTTGTAAATATTCTGTTTGTTAGAGGTAAATCCTTAGGTTCATCCCAGATTCAAGGGCAGGTGATTAGACTAGGGTGTGGATACTGGGAGGAAAGGATCACTAAGTTCTATTTTAGGAGGTAGCCTGCCACAATAAGCAATGGTTACAAATGGGAGATTCTTAGAAGAGGGAAATGAAAGCCCAGCAAACTTAAAACACAGTAGAGGAGCTCAGATTGTCCAGAGAATTCAAATAAAAACAACATTTCATTTTTCTTCCGTTTAACTGGCAGAATGTAAGCTCTAGGGTCATGTTGCCTGAGTTAGTATTCCAGCTTCACCATTTCCCAACTGTGTTACTTTGAGCATTTGCTTAATTTCCCTGGCATCTATTTCCTCACCTGTAAACAGAAGATAAAAATAGTACCTACCACACAGCAGTGTTTTGATGAATAAGTAAGTTGATATATGCAGAGCACTTAGTGCCTGAGACATAGTAAGTGCTCAATAAATACTTTTAAAATATCATTGTTATCCAAGGCATAGAAAAATCACATACATTGCTGGTTAAGAATATGAATTTGTGAAGTATTTTTGGCTATGATTTGAGAGACTCTTTTATTATACTAGTTAATAGTATATAGTAAACCCTCACTTAACATCATGGACAAATTTCTGGAAATGGTGACTTTAAGTGAAACAACGTATAGCAAGTCGTTGAATAAGATTTCCTTCGGTGATGTTACATTATAACACTGATGAGAAAAAAAATTGGTTTTGTTATATGTTGTTTCCCTTAAAATTGAAGTTTCCAAGAACCTATCAATGACACTGAGGACTTACTGTATTCCCTTCCAAGCAGCGATTCTACTTGTCTAGAGTTATAGTCACACAGTTGCTTGAAAATATATGTTTAAGAATTTTTGTTTGTAATAAAGAAAAATTTTTTATCAAAATGTTCATCAGTAGAGAAAGGGTAAACATAATCTGATGCAATTTCATACTTTGCAATTCTTTACAGCAGTTAAAACTTTTTTTAATGTAGCAATCAAAGGCCTAAAGTTACAAAATATACAGCAAACATTGAAACCTGTCATCAAAGTGCTTAACATTTGTTGAATGAATGAATGATTACATTAAAAAGTAATTCTATATATAGTGAAATGGAAAGGCTGCTAAGAAATATCATTACTGAAAAAAATGAAGTGCAGAATAGTGTTCAGTGTGGTACTATATATACAAATGACCACAATTAACCCATGTGTAGATAAATGGCTTAAACAAGGAACTGGAAAGATTCATGCCAAACTGATAAGGAATATTAGCTCTGAGGAAAAAACTAAGATCTCAGGTTTTGGTGAAGGGAGCCTGTCTATTCATTTATTGTTTGATATTTTACAAATTTTTATGTATTCTATATTGTATAATTTTTAAGTAAATACATATATTTATTATTTAAAGTGTAGAAAATTATTAAAAAAATTAAAATGTCCATAAACCACTGCACAGAGACTTAGCATTTAGTGATATAGTCTAGTTTTCTTTACACATATAACTGTATGTGTGTTTGTAACTATATATGTATGTATGCATATAAGAATCTTATAATTTCAAGAAAAGGTATAAAAGCTCCATTACCACTTTGCTACAGACTGAATGTGTTCCTCCAAAATTCATATGTGAAACCCTAATCCCCAATGTGATGGTATTTAGAGATGTGGACTTTGGGAGGTGCAATGGTTTGAATGTGTCCCCTCCAAAATTTAGGTAGTGCCAATGTGGCAGTATTAAGTGAAAAGTCATTAGGCCATGAGGGTTTCTCCCTTGTGAGTGGGATTAGGTTCCCTTACAAAGGAGCTTGACGGAGGGAGTTGGCCCTCTCTTGCTCTTTAGTCAGCGGCCATGTGAAGATGTTGGCATCTTGGTCTTGGACTTAGCCTCAAGAACTATAAGAAATAAATTTCTGTTAATTGTAAATCACCCAATCTGTGGTATCCTGTTATAGTAGCACAAAACAGATTAAGGCAGAAATTGGTACATAGGGTGTTGCTGTAACACATACCTAAAACTGTGTTAGCAGCTTTGGAATTGGGTAATAACTAGAAGCAGGAACAATTTTGAAGTGAACATGAGGAAAAGCTGTCTTGCTGTGAACACAGCATTAAGGGTGATTCTGGTGAGGGCTCAGAAGAAGAAAGCTCTAAGGAAAGCCTCATTCTTTTTAGAGATGAGTTAAATTATTATAAACACAATGTTGGTAGAAATATGGACAGTAAAGGCCATTCTGATGAGGTCTCAGAAATGAGGAACAAGGTATTGGAAGCTGCAAGAAAGCTCATTCTTGTCATAAAGTGGCTAAGAAAATGGCTGAATTTGTCTATGTCCTAGGACTTTATGGAAGGCAAAACTTAGCAATAAACTAGGATAT
Organism: Homo sapiens; assembly: GCF_000001405.40. Classification (NCBI taxonomy): domain Eukaryota; kingdom Metazoa; phylum Chordata; class Mammalia; order Primates; family Hominidae; genus Homo; species Homo sapiens. Next base: position 52,338,586 of record NC_000004.12, read on the forward strand.
TTGCAAAAGAAAACATTAAGCAATCAAGTGTTCAGGATGCTGTGTGTCTTCTCTTAACCACTTATAGTGAAATGCGAGAAGAAAGAAACAATTTAAAGACAAAATGTATAACCAAAAGGGAAGCAGAATGTAAACCTTTGGAAAATTATCCTGGCCATGTAAAGAATAAAAAACGTGTTTGGGCCAAGGATGTGGCCCAAGTGACCATTTTGTAAAGAAAGCAGTATAGATATATGGAAGCCACATGCTATTCATCAAGTCAATGGGAGAATGACCCTTAAGGCATTTTAGAGAGCTTCAAGACTGCTGCTCCCATCACAGGCCAGAGTGCTAGGTCCTTGAGGGAAGAATGGCTTAAAGGGAGGGGCCCAGGAACAACTGGGGCCTCAGGGCTCACTGCCCAGGGCCACCTCACTGTCTGTTCCCTGAATTCTTGTGCAGTGCTCCTCAGCTGCACCACCTGTGGCTCAAGCAGACCTAGATGCTGCTCGGGTCACTTCTCTGGAATGTGCAAGTGGTGTACCTTGGAAGCATCTACGTGGTGCAAATTCTGCAGCCCCAAAGAGCAAAACAGCTGTGGAGTCATGGCTTCCTCCACTTAGATTTCAAAAGATACCTTGGACAGTTTCGGGGCCCAGGCTGAGACATAGCACCGTGGCAGAGCTGCCACAGAAAGTCCCCATTAGGGTAATGCCTAGTAGAGTTGCAAGCAGGGTTGTCCCTGTACCCCAGACCTGTAGAGATACCAGCATGCAGCAACAACCTGGAAAAGCTGTAGGCATGAAATTTCAATGCATGAGATCTGAAGCATTAGCTGTACTCAGCAAAGCTATGAGGATGGGGTGGGGCTATCCTGGGGACTTGGGGCCCAACCCCTGCCCCAGAGTGTCTAGAAGGTAGGATATGAAGCCTAAGAAGATTATTCTAAGCTTTAAGATTTAATGTTGCCTGCTCTGTTGTGTTTTGGACTTACTTGGGATGTGTTACTCCTTTCTTCTTTTCTATTCTCAATTTTGGAATGGAAACGTCTTTCCTATGACTGTCCCATCACAGTATTTTGGAAACACATAACTTGTTTGATTGCACAGGCTTACAGTTGGAGGGAAATTTGCCTCCAAATTTCCAAATTTTCCATCACCATATAAGGATGAATTACACCTTCAGTCTCACCCATATGATGTTTAGATGAAACTTTGAACTAGGCTTTAAAGTTGATGCTGGAATGAATTAAGAATTTTGGGAGCTATTGGGATTAAATGAATGTATTTTGTATATGAGAAGAACATGAATTTTGGGGTGTCAGGGATAGAATGCTATGACTTAAATGAATCTTCTCCAAAATTCAGGTTTTGCCAGTGTGATAGTATTAAGAAGTGGTACTTTAAGAGGTGATTAGGCCATGAGGGCTCCTCTGTTGTGAATGGGATTAGGTTCCCTTATAAAGGAGCTTGATGGAGGGAGTTGGTTCTCTCTTGCTCTTTTGTCTTCTGCCATGTGAGAATGCTGCATCTTGATCTTGGACTTCTCAGCCTCAAAAACTATGAAAAATAAATTTGTATTATTTATAAATCACCCATTCTATGGTATTCTGTTATAGCAGCACAAAACATGTTAAGACAGGAAAAATTAGAAGTATGGAGCCCTCTTGATGGGATTAGTGACCACATAAGAAAAGTCAGAGAGAGATTGCTTTTTCCCCCTCTCCTCTTCACCATGTGTGGTCACAATAAGAGAGTGACCATCTGCAAACCAGGAAGGGGAGCCCTCACTGGACATCTGATCTGATGGCAACTTGATCTTGGACTTCTTAAGCCTCCAAAACTGTGCAAAATAAGTGTTTGTTGTTTAAGCCACCCAGTCTATGGTATTTTTTTATAGAAGGCTGAACAGACAAAGACATACTCTGAACTAATATGTTTTTCACCTTCTCACTGATGTTTCTTTTGCCTAGAATCATGTTAATTTCCACCATTATTTAAAAATCCCTCCTTGTACCTGATCCCAGCTATTCTCTCCTTCACTCCTTATCTTTGCTGTCACTTGTCCTTCTGCTAATTAAATTATTTTAAACAAAACTTGCCACATTTCAGAAGTTAGCCCTCTCAACAATATTTTGATAGAAACATGCCCCACTTTTTGTATTTGTCCAAGCTTTCATGACCCACATATCTTCTGTTACACATTTATTTAAAAGTTAAATTTGGAGACTTCCTCATAGAGCCAGAAAGGCTTTCTTTACTTTGCTCCTGCTACATCCTCAGTCTTGATGTCCTCTTCATCAAGATTCTTCGTGGCCATCTTTTGATAGGGAAGGTGTCTGAATTAGTCCATTTTCACAGTGCTATAAAGAACTACCTGAGACTGGGTAATTTATGAAGAAAAGAGGTTTAATTGACTCACAGTTCTGCAGGTTTAACAGGAAATATGACTGGGAGGCATCAGGAAACTTACAATCATGGTGGAAGAAGAAGGGAAAGCAAGCACATCTAACCATGGCACAAGCACATCTTACCATGGAAGAGCAGGAAAGATACAAAGATAGCACAAAGTGGGGAAGTTCCACACACTTTCCAACAACCAGATCTCATGAGGACTCACTATCATGAGAAAAGCAAGGGGGAAGTCTGCCCCAGTGATTCAATCCCTCTCACCAGGTCCCTGCCCTGACATGTGGGGATTATAATTAGAGATGAGACTTGAGTGGGGACACAAAGACAAACCATATCATTCTGCCCCAGCCCCTCCCAAATCTCATGTCCTTCTCACATTTCAAAACACAATCATGCCTTCCCAACAGTCCCCCAAAGTCTTAACTCATTCCAGAGTTAACCCAAAATCTCAAGTCCAAAGTTTCATCTGAGACAAGGCAAGTCTCTTCTTCTATGAGCCTGTAAAATAAAATAAAATAAAATAAAATAAAATAAAATAAAATAAAATAAAAACAAGTTAGTGACTTCCAAGATACAATGGGGGCACAGGCATTGAATAAATGCTCCCATTCCAAATGGGAGAAATTAGCCAAAACAAAGGGGCTACAGGCCCCATGCAGGTGTGAAAGCCAGCAGGGCAGTCATTAAATCTTAAAGCTCTGAAATAATCTCCTTTGACTCCATGTTTCACATCCAGGCTCCACTCATGTAAGGGGTGGGCTCCAAGGCCTTAGGCTGCTCTGCCCCTATGGCTCTTCAGGGTACAGTCCCTGCAGCTGTTTGTATGGGCTGACATTGATTGCCTGCAGGCACATGGTGCAAGCTGTCAGTTGATCTACCATTCTGGGACCTGGAGGGCAGTGGCCCTCTTCCCACAGCTCCACTAGGCAGTGCTCCAGTGGGGACTCTGTTTGAGGGATCCAACCCCACATTTCCCCTCCACACTGCCCTACTGGAGGTTTTTCATGAGGGCTCTGCCCCTGCAACAGACTTCTGCATGGACATCCAGGTATTTCCATACATCCTGTGAAATCTAGGTGGAGATTCCCCAACCTCAACACTAGCTTTCTGCACACACACACATACACACACACAGAGAGAGAGAGAGAGAGAGAGACCCAACAGCACGTGGAAGCCACCAAGTCTTGGGGCTTGCATCCCCTGAATCAATGAACTAAGTTGTACCTTGGCCCCTTTTAGTCTACAGTGGGAGCTGGAGCAGCTGGGATACAGGGTATCATATCCTGAGGCTTCACAGAGCGACTGGGCTCTGGGACTGGACCATGAAGGTAATTTTTTCCCCAAGCCTCAGGGCTTGTGATGGGAGGAGCTCAGCAGAGATCTCTGAAATATCCTGGAGACATTTTCCCTATTGTCTTGGCTATTAACATTCAGCTTCTCTTTAGTTATGCAAATTTCTGCAGCCGTCAGGCTGCAAATTTTCCAAACTGTTATGCTCTGCTTTCCTTTTAAACATAAGTTCTAATTTCAGACCATCTCTTTGTAAATACGTATGACTATGTGAACCCTGAGTAACTGAGATAGGTCTCAGTTAATTTAGAAAGTTTATTTTGCCAAGATTGAGAACACTCACCCATGACACAGCCTCAGGAGGTCCTGATGACATGTGCCCAAGGTGGTCGGGACACAGCTTGGTTATATACATTTTATGGAGACATGAGACATCAATCAATATATGTAAAATGTACATTGGTTCAGTCCAGAAAGGCAGAACAACTCAAGTAGGGAGGGTGCTTCCAGGTCACAGGTAGATGAGAGACAAACCGTTGTATTTTTTTGTTTCTGATTAGCCTTTCCAAAGGTGGCAATCAGGTATGCATTTACCTCAGTGAGCAGAGAGATAACTTTAAATAGAATGGGAGTCAGGTTTGCCCTAAGTAGTTCCCAGCTTGACTTTTCACTTTTTAACTTAGTAATTTTGGGGCCCCAAGATTTACCTTCCTTTCACAACTTACACTGATAGGGGCAGTCAGGCCACATCTTCAATGCCTTGCTGCCTAGAAATTTCTCTTGCCAGATATCCTAAATCATCTCTCTCAAGTACAAAGTTCCACAGATCTCTAGGGTAGGGGCAAAATGCCACCAGTCTCTTTGCTAAAGCAAAGCAAGAGTGACCTTTACTACAGTTCTCAATAAGTTCCTTATCTCCATATGAGACCACTTCACCCTGGATTTCACTGTCCACATGAGTGTTATCATTTTGGTCACAACCATTCAGCAAGTCTCTAGAAAGTTCCAAACTTTCCCACATCTTCCGGCTTCTGAGTGCTCCAAACTGTTCCAACCTCTGCCCATTACCCAGTTCTAAAGCCGTTTCCTCATTTTCAGTTATCTTTATAACAATGTCCCACTTTCCTGGTACCCATTTTTTGTATTAGTCTATTTTCACACTGCTATAAAGAACTACATGAGACTGGATAATTTATGAAGAATAGAGGTTTAATTGACTCAAAATTCTGCAGGCTTAACAGGAAGCCTGTTAAGAGGCCTCGGGAAACTTATAATCATGGTGGAAGGAGAATTTTCTTTCCAGACTCACTTTTACTTCCGTGGTCAATTTTAAATTTTTGATTGGCACCAAGTAAACAGTTACCATTTCCCTGATTATTCCTGACTTCTGAGAGAGTTCACATTTTCAACATGGTAATCAAGAATTTGCCTAATAATCTTCGAGCAGACCAAGACTTCCTGCAGGGATCTGCATAGCTGAGGGCCCCCATCACCACTCCTTCTTGCTAATTGTGTTTGTTCATGTGTATGTGCTTAATTTGCATTATAATATCTCATTCATTCTGCTATTTAGTTGGATATCAGCAGTAAACTTCCACAATTGAGCCATTGGGCTTGCTCTCCCCTCATAGCCTCTTTCAAATAATGACCACTGAACTTACAATTTCATATTCATGGATTTACATCCAGATGTACATCTTATTGGCATGCAATGCTGACCTCTGTTCTCCTACTATACATATTTCTTTTGAAGAATACCCAGTCATTTTTCAAAATGGACAATGAAATGTCCTACCCATGGTAGGAAAATGAAATCCTAAGGCCCCCAACAAATTGAATGAACACCATGTTGGCCAAAGGGACCCCAGAGAAACCTTGAAAACTGAGTTCCCAGCCATGATGGGATGGGAGGTCAGACATACCTCATTATATTTTCTCCTTGGGTCTTCCCTAAGAGTTAAAATGAAAGAAACCAGCCCTTTGGAAAGACTTGCTGCATCTCTGATATCAACCAACTGTCTAATGCTACCTCTCCCTTTTGCAGTTTCAACAAAACAACTGACCAGCATTCCTTCCTGATAGGAGGCCAATGACCAGGAGTGCTTCTGGCTGGTTAATGGAGGATGTGCAATGAGGGTTTTTGTGTCCTCTGCTTCAAGCTTTGATGTCAGAGGGCTGAAAATGCCTCCCTTGGATCATGCTACAATTGCCATTTTCTTTTTTTAACACGGGTCCCAAGGAGAGGCTTCAGCTCAGTTGTAAATGCACGCTTTTCTCCTTTCATAAATATTCATGATTCATCATGTAACTAATTGAATAGGTATATTTGCTCACCTGATTCGGCATAAATCTCTGTCTTATTCTTCTTACCCTTGAGGTGTCTCTTTCTGGCTTCTGGCCAGAGGCTACACCACCCAGCCTGTCAGAATGGCCACCCTGTAGGCTCAAACCCTTATTGAGAAATAAAGTTCTTTTTTCCAAATGTATAAACCTCATTCTTCAAGTGACAGTCATATTATAGTTACTGTTTTGGTCCTTAATACAGATCATAATTATTTCCTTGTGTTAAGATTTTAATGTCATTTTGTCATGTTATGCCACTTATTTCCAATTTGTTTTATATAATGATACACATAGCACATGATACTCATTTATAATACACACAAACAGGAGCATATTGAGATTCTGACCCAACACCTCACTTTTGTGGGAGAAGTAGAGGCTTGTAACAATTTATAATTGTTGTAACTCTTAAAAGAAAGGGGTCCCAATCCAGACCCCAAGAAAGAGTTCTTGGATCTTGCGTGAGAAAGAATTCAGGGCAAGTCCGCAGTGCAAAGCAAAAGCAAGTTTATGAAGAAAGTACAGTGGTGAAAGGACAGCTACTTCATAGACAGAGTAGGACGTACCTGAAAATAAAAGGAAGAACAAATCCACCCTAGGTACAATGCTTGTATATATGGGGAGATGTGCTCTGCTACAAGGGTTTGTGATAAAAAAAAATTAGTTTTCTTAATTACTATATTTTGCAAGAATTGATATTATTATCTTTAAAGCAAAATTAGGTATGCCTTCATTCTGAAGATATTGGGATATTAGGACACTCCCAAGTCCGGGTCTGTTTAGTAAACATTATTAATCTGCTCCCTTAACCTTAAATATCTAGAGGCTAGGAATACCTTTTTTTCTGAGAATGCAGCCCAGGAAGCCTCAGCCTCATTTTCCTAGCCCTCACTCAAAATGGAGTCACTCTGGTTTGAATGCCTCTGACATATCTCCCCCTCCCTTTACAAGAGGATCCTTAATCCTAAGGGTTGCAGAGGGATGAAGATCCATCTTCTGTAACTTCTTCAGGCTGAATGGGGGCGATGATATTCCTGCCTAACTATTAGGTTCTCTTGCATTCAGGGTAGAGAGAAGCTCAGTCAGAGAGTGTTGGTATGGTGAAGGTCATTCATAACGCCAAGTTCTGACAAAAGGTGATATCTGAAAGATTAATAAGTGTCCAATTTAAGAAAGCATTGAGTGAGTGTGTCTTGCATTCCTACACAAAGAATACAACTGCAATATATTCCACAACAGCAAAGCAAAATAAATAAAATCATTCCAAGTAAACTAAACAGAAAGGCTTTCCAAGAACTGGGCAGTTGTTGGAACCAAGCATATACAGGGTCAACTGATAGTGCATCAGTGGCAGAGATATGAGTGTCTACAGCTTTCATAGCCTGGGTAATATTATGTGAATAGTTTGGAGCATACACACAACATTCAGTTTTGATCAAGGAACAAGTTCCCCCTTGGGCCACTGTTAAAATATCCACATACCCAACAGTTTGTCTGATTATGTAGAGAGGCTAAAGTCTATGCCCATCAGTAAATAAGTTACTGTCTGCATGATTCCAAGTTATATCCAAAGGTGGAATGCCAATCCATATCTTTATGTTACCCATCCCTTTCATTTTTTCTGAACGGGAGTCGGAGATCACTGATTGGCTCATAGGAATAAACAGAATCAGTCTCTTGTGTTCCGTTGGCCTGTGGGACTTCATAAGAGACAGGTTTAATTTGAGATAAGTGGACCCAGCTGTTTATTCCCAGAAGTTTAACTGCAGTTGGGATGCTAAGGAGAACTTGCTGGGGTCACTCACATTTTGGGGAAAGCTGATCTGCTGGCATCCTTCCTTCCAAGTTTTTAATAGGACACAGTCTCCCAGCTGGATTGTAACCACCACCTTAGTTCTTCCTTAGTGGGGAAGGGAGTCTTTGATTTCCATATTCAAGGAGTGCGTTTTTCACTTGTCTTGAGTTGATCACATAATTCTGTAGCTTGAAATTATCTATGTCTATTAAGAGGTCTGTAGTTAAGAAAGGCCTTCCATACATTATTTCGAAAGGGCTGAGCTGCAGATTTCCCTTACGGGCCACTTGAACCTATAATAAGGCTACAGGTAATAAAGACAGCCTGGTTTCTGATGTCTCTTGGCGTAGTTTAGCAAAAGTCCTTTTTAGAGTTTGATTAGCTCTTTTTCCTTTTCCCAAAGACTGTGGCCTCCATGGTGAGTGAAAGCGGTACTGAATTCCTAGGGCTGAAGATATGTTTTGGATAATTGTCACTGTGAAAGATAGGTCATTATCACTCAGTAAGCTCCTAGGCAGCCCAAATCTAGGAATTATTTCCTTTAGTAGGAGTTTAGAAACCTCATTTGCCTTTTCAGACCGGGTGGGAAAAGCTTTGATCCAACCCATAAAGGTGTCAATGAATATTAATAAATATTTAAACCCTTTACATGGGGACATCTGAGTATAGTCTGTTTACCAATCTTCATCAGGGTATGTTCCCCTATGCAGAACAGGCCTTACTAGAGGAGGAGGTAAAGACTGATTATTTAGGTTATTCTGGGCACACAGTTCACAGGCCCGAGTTACCCACTTTACTGTTTTAAGTAAGCCTTTTCTTATAAAAAGCTGGGACATTAATTGAAACAGGGAATCTCTTCCCAAATGAGTACAGTCATGAAAATGTTAACTATTTTTCACTGACGAGCACCTGGTATTAACTGTTTGTTGTCATGGATAAGCCAGCCAGAAGGATCTTGCATTAAACCCTGGCCTTTAGCCCATTCTTGTTCCTCTTTAGTATACCTAGGTTCTGTCATTATCCTGGCTTAGGACATTAGCATGCGGACAAGTCCAACTAGCTCCTTTAACGCTGCTGCCTTAGCAGCTGCATCTGCAAAAGAATTTCCCTTAGCCACACTAGAGTCTCCTTTTTGATGTCCTCTGCAACCGATTACAACTTCTTCCTTGGGCAGCAAAACAGCACCCAATAGATTTAGAATTTCTAAGTGATGTTTTATAGGAGAACCCTTAGCAGTTAGGAGTCCCTGTTCCTTCCAGATAGCAGCATGAGCATGAAGTACCAGAAAGGCATACTCAGAATCAGTGTAAATGTTAATTCTTAAGTCCTTTCCCAATTGCAGGGCTCTAATAACAGCTATTAATTCTGCCTTTTGAGCTGAGGTAGAAGCTGGTAAGGCCTGAGATTCAGTTACCTGTTATTGACTGACAACAGCATACCTAGCTTTCCTGTTTCCCTGGTGCACAAAGCTACTTCCATCTGTAAACCATTCTACCTCAGGATTATCTAGAGTCTCATCCTTTAAATCTGGATGGCTGGAGTAAACTTTCTCCATAACTTGTAAACAAGAATGATCTAGGGTGCCTGTGGGTTCAGGCAAATAGGTAGCTGGATTCAAAGTTTGACATACTTTAAGTCTTATATCAGGAGTGTCTAGCAATAAAGCCTGATATTTATTCACAGGAAAGGAGAAGGAGGAATTTCTTGTCTGCCTCCTGATTTCCAAAAGATACCACTGTTTGCATTTGAGTCAACAACAAGGGAATGGGGCATTCAGGAGAAAACCAAACTCCCTGAAGATCAGCTTAGAGGATAGGTAAAGTGAAGTCTATGGGCTTGTCCATCTATCCCCTTGACCACACAGTTTTGGGGTGACAGAAGCCCATTATAATGGGTCAAAACAAAGTAAGCAGTCCAGAAGGAAGTTAATGTTCTTACCTGCCATGTCAAGCGTTACCAAGGCTCCTCTGGATATATGTTGTCCAACAGGAGCTGTGATGGAAGGTCTTGCTTCACAAGACCTTGTTACTCTTGTTACTCTTGGGCTTGCCTGGCTATTTTGGCCATGATTGGTTTGGGTGCCGATGGCTCCCTTCAGAATCTGGGCAACCCCTCTTCCAGTGGCCAGTTTTTTTACAGTGTGTACACTGATTTATGCTCAAGGTGCAGTGACTTAGATGCCCAGCTTTGGGCTTCCCACCTTTCAGCTCCCCTTGTTCAAGCCAAGAGCCAGGAGGGTAACCCCATGTAGGAAGTGAGCTTAAGGCTGCAGCCAAGAGCTGCACCTTGTGGGAAGTCCTTCTTTCTCTTTCGGCTTCCTCTGCTTTGTCCCTGTCATTAAAAACTAAAAATTCCATGTCCAAAAGCTGTCCTATAGGAGTTTGGGGACCCATAGCTGCTTTTTGTAGTTTCCTATGAATATCAGGGGCAGACTAGGTTCTAAAATGTGCTCCCAAAAGGGTCTGTCCTTCCCTTGAGGCAAGATCAGTGTTAGTATATTTCCTGATGGCCTCAACTAAACACCCTTGAAACAAAGCTGGATTCTCATCTTTGCCCTGAGAAACTTCCTTAACCTTTTAATAGATAACAGGCTTTTTCATACATTTCTTCATCTCTTCCAACAAACAAGTGACCCTATGATTTCTCCTCTCCAAGTCCTCACTGCTCCGTTAAGAGTTCCACTCTGGATCTTGATCTAGAACTCCTGTACCTCCTGCTTAATATATTGTATAGTTTGGGTTGCAAGCCAATACCTCAACTATGTGGGTCCTAGCTGTCCCCAAAATGCATTGTTTCCCTTCCACTGTACAACACAGAGACAACAAAACATTCAGATCCTGCCAAATTAAACTATAGGTCAGAGTTAATTTTTCAAACTTATATATGAATTTTCTTGGATCTTCAAATAAATGACCAAACTTCTCTTTGCATAGAGCCAAATCAGACATGGAAAAGAGAACATGTACCCTCACAGTGCCTTCTTCCCCATTTGCCACCTCTAAGTGGACAAAGGTTTCGCTTTGGAGGTTGATAGGAGGCTCCACTATGAGTAGTACTCACTGGGCTAAGCTCCTTAGGGAGTGGTGGGTGTAGAGTGGGACTACGTGGGTAAGAAGGAGGGGGCGAATTGTTCTCAATACAACTTTCAGGTGGACTAGAGGGAGAAAGGACCAACACATCTGAACCTTCAGAGTTGACAGAAGGAAGTGTTGCTCCACCCGAAACTGCCTGCCAATTCCGGGGCAGGGGGTGGGAGGTGGGCAGGGGATGGCGTTGCATTAAAGGATCATCTAGTATGTCTAGATCTTTTTCTTCTTTTCCTCTCATCAAACATGATTCACATTGCCCATATAATATTAGTGAGCTGAGACATGAATCTTAAATAAATCACAAGGTCTTTGAAAAAAAGGTTGAATAAGGCAAAGGAAATGAAGAGGATTTAGATGGGAATGACCAGAGCAAGCAGCTTCTGGCCAATAGTGGCAGTGTGGATTGGACAAGTAAAGCCAGTTTGCCCGAATCCAGGAAAGGAAAGAAGTTTTTTCATGTGCAAAATGAGACAAAACAGCAAAGAGAAAAGTTCCCTGATTTCCATCCTAGTGCTTCTCGATCACATGTAGTCTGCATAGCAGCAACAAAACATAGCTACATCTATCTAATCTTATTGCTCATAGCTGTTAAATATCGATCTCAATCAGCAATTTTAGAGATGGAGCCTTCAATGATTTTTGTTCCCAATGTTTCACAAGCGAGTGGACAGAAATCGGGAGGCGCATAGGAAATGAGTAAGGTAAAATTCCTAAGACTAGTTAAATAAAGTCTCCTGAAAATGACAGTGAAACACAGACAACAACCAAGAAATTGATGTATGCAGCAAGGAGGACAAGGCAGATTAATATGAAGAGCATAGCCTGTGGTGCCAAACCCATTTTCAGCCAAGAAGGACTTTACTGAGAGGAGCCTGTAACCCCCTAAATCTTAGAAGGGACTCTAACCCTCCTAAGTTGGGCCTCTAATCCAAGGTCAGTCAAGCGTCCTTGCCTTTTTTTATTAAGAGAGGCGTCTAACCCATTCTGTCTTTGGAGAGACTCTACCTCCCCTAACCCCATCCTATTCTTTACCCAGGTACCCCCGCACTTATCCAAAGTCGTCCAATCATTGCTGCAGTCTATTTCCTTTGGGTTGGAGGGGTTTCTTCAGTATCGTCTCTTCTGTGGTCTCCAGAAATATGTTACAGAAAAGGGGTCCCAGTCCAGACCCCAAGAGAGAGTTCTTAGATGTCATGCAAGAAATAATTCAGGGAGAGTCCAGTGTGCAAAGCAAAAGCAAGTTTATTAAGAAAGTACAGTGGTGAAACGACAGCTACTCCATAGACAGAGTAGGACATTCCTGAAAGTAGGAGAAGGAACGCATCCACCCTGGGTACGATACTTGTATATATGAGGAGATGTGCTCTGCTACAAGGGTTTGTGATAAAAAATTAATTTTCGTAATTACTATATTTTGCAAGAATTGATGTTATTATCTTCAAAGCAAAATTAGGAATGCCTTTGTTCTCCAGATATTGGGATATTAGGACACTCCCAAGTCTGGGTCTGTTTAGTAAACATTATTAATCTGTTCCCTTAACAGTAAACATCTAGAGGCTGGGAATACCTTTCTTTCTGAGAATGCAGCCCAGCAAGTCTCAGCCTCACTTTCCTTGCCCTCACTCAAAATGGAGTTGCTCTGGTTTGAACATCTCTGACATAACTATTAGCAATACATTTCAGACATAGAAGCTCATAACTGGCCCTAGTATAGATAATATCAGCCCTAGGCTTTATAAAATAGCTTGAACTCTATCTCTATATGCCTCACAGAAATGACTTAATTGACTTGATATGGATAACTTGAAACTAACGTAACTTAAAAAAAACTCACAAAATTTGTATTGTATTGAAACCACATTTGCAAAATTATGACTGAGACAGTGAAAAAGATCTAAGTTAATCAACTCCATTTTTCTTCTAATCTCCAAGTTGTCCTTGTTCATTCCTGGGTGTATGCTGAACTAACTTTGGGAGAAACTTAGTTTACAGTTTAAACAAAGACGGTAACAGACCTTTCTCAAAGCAGACCTCCTTCTTGCCTGGGGACTAGATTGCCTTTGTAGGACTAACACTAGCCACAAGATTAGAATTTATGGTTTAGGAGGCAGGCAGTTGGAGGCTACAAGATTCTGACCCTCCCTAAACTGCTCCTAAGATCAGTGCTTAAGATATTTTGCAGACCCTGCACTTGACGGATCAGCTGGCACCACCCAGATTGGCTCATTTGATCTTGTGACCCCACCCAGGAACTGACTCAGTGCCAGAAGACAGCTTAAACTCCCTATGATTTCATCCCTGACCAATCAGCACTCCTGGCTTACAGGCTTCCCCCTATCCACCAAGTTGTCCTTAAAAACTGTGCTCCCTGAATACTCGTGGAGACTGATTTGAGTAATAATAGAACTCCGATCTCCCACACAACTGGCTCTGTGTGAATTACTCTTTCTCTATTGCAATTCCCCTGTTTTGATAAATCAGCTTTGTCTAGGCAGTGGGCAAGGTGAACCTATTGGGCATTACAGTATTATTAGTAACAAAATATAACTTACCTCATGATAAATTAAGATATATTGATGTATCACTGAAGAACTGCTCTGTGCCTTGGTATGCAAAACCATGAATATTATTTTTGACCTACTTCCTTATTAGTTTCACCTGAAAATTATGAGAATTTCCTCCTTTTTCACTTGTTCTTCTTGTATGCCACTGATTACCCCTACCTTCATTATCCATTACCCTCTTTTCAATGTTAGTAATATAATGTCCTCCAAGATTTCAGCTGGGCACATGGCTGCTCAGCTGGACATTTCCCAGCCTCCCATGCAGCTAGGTGTGGTCATGTGACTGGGTACTGGCCAATTACATGTGAGCAGAAGTTATGTTACCAACTTCCATGCCAAATTCCAAAAAAAGTAATTATTTGCATTTGGTACCACTTTTAGACCCAGGCAACAGGATTGCCTTCCATGAGGCCTGTACTTTTCAAGGCCCTATTCTGGATGTGTCCCTCCCTATAGGGTGAGAATTCTGCAGGACCAAAGGGACCTGCTCACCTCCATATGGTTCTTCTAGACCAAGCTTTAAGTCCATGGAACCTTAGAATTCCTTGCCCAAATGTCTCTGAACCTGCTTCCAGAGCCTGCATGAGCTCTTCTGTGGATCTATCCTCCTGAGTGTAAACCATGCCACCAGTTCGTTCACTCCTAGGATGAAGGCTCACTGAGGAACAGCTGTATAGTGGGGAGGTATACAGACAAGAGTGTCTATACCTTGTACACAAGGATGCTGGCTGTGCAGGATGGAGCTGCAGTGGGGGAGAACAAGTGGTCAGCCATAGGCTCAGGGTCAGGTGTGAATTCTCCCTATACTGTCCTGTCCAGCTCAGAATTCCAAGAGGTCTGAGAATCCTAAATTTGCCCCTGGATTTCCAGGCAGTTAAGAAGGTATACCTGTCAAAACAGTAGGTTCGTTGGCAGTGTTTTTGCTTGTTTAATAATTTGGAAATATTTAGACAAATAGCATGTGGGCCTATAATTGTATCTCTGTCCTGGTCTCCTGAGTTCAGAAAAAGGCCTGCTTACACCTTTCTTCCTTTTTTCCTTAGGCTGGAATACAGATGTGTTGCTGACCAGCAAGCTCTGACCTTGTATGAACAAATACAGTATCTAAAGGGATGGCAGAGCAACCCAGTCAAAGGAACTGACTTCCTGAATGAGCCTGCATTCTAGAGCCACCCCAGCTCTGGAATGCTCATACCTAACTGTTCCCTGGAGAAATGCCAACTTCTCTCTTGTTTGAAACACTGCATTTTGGATTTTCTTTTTAATCAGTATGATCTGTATTCTAACCAACACAATGAGTTTCAGTCTCTTCTTCCCACTCTGCACACCACTGGTTCTATTTGAAGACCTTCTTAATAAGATGAATAGATTCCTAGTGAAGCACACTCTTTCTACTAAATATAAGATTCACTTTGTCTCATACTGGGTGCTCTGCAGCCAGACTGCTTGAGTTTGTGTCTCAGGTGTCCTTTTACTTTCTATATGTGACCTTGACAATGTTAGTCAACCTCTCTGTGTCTCATGTTTCTCATTTGTAAAATGGAGATTAAAATAGTTTCTTCCTTCTCAGGTTGTTGGGAGATTAGATGAGAATCTTAGTCTGTTCAGGTATAACAAAATAATATCAACTGGGTGGCTTATAAACAGTAGAAATTTATTTCTCATAGATCTGTAGGCTGTAAGTCCAAGATTAAGACACCAGCAGATTCAGTATCTGGTAAAGACTGGCTTTCTGGATCACAAACGACAATCATCTCACTGCATTTTCACATGCTGGAAGAGCTGAGTAAGCTCTCTGAGGTCTCTTTCCTAAGGGCACTAATCCCATTCATGAGGGCTTTACCACCATGACATAATCACCTCCAAGAATCCCACCTCCAAATGCTATCACATTAGACATTAAGAATTAGCATGAATTTTGGGGGAAACAAACATTCTGTCTATACATGCACAAGACCAAGAACAATATCTGGCAAAAGTAGGCTATCAATAAATTTCAAATTTTTTATTATTATTTGTTTCAACTGGCTTTCATTTTTTATTAGATTGTGCTACAGTAACAAACAGTTCCCAAATCTCAGTGACTTACAACAAAAAAGCTTATCTCCTTGCTCACCTTGCATGAGAGCTACAGCTCTGTTTCAAATAGCTCCTTCTTCCCATGATCAGGCTGTTTGAGACACTGGTGTTCTTGTGGAAGAGGTAAAAAATATATAGATATAGCAGAACAACGCAATAGCTTCCAAGATACCTACAGAACTTCTGCTCACATTTCATTGGACAAAGCAAGTCACATGGCCAATCTTGATATCCCTAGGGTAGAGAAGCATAACCCACTCACATAGAGGGGCAGTGAAAAGTGGGAAATAATAATGCAGTCTACCACATTATCAATCTAGTGCCAAAGCTGTGGTGCGTAAAACCACATTCTTTGACAGCTGCGATTTTGCTGGCTCAACAACACACCTTCTTAACTCCCAAAGTGACAAATGGAGAGGGAGATGTTTGATCCATCTGTGCCCCTGATTTTCCACGTCCCTGATTTTTCTACCCCTGATTTAAGTGATCACAACAGCATTTTATATTTTTCCTTTCTTAATCCTTCCTTCTCCTACAACTAGGGAGGCAGGAGAAATGGGTTTGATGGTTTTTAGGCTGCAAGGCCATAGAAAAACTTTGGGGGTAGATTGTGTTATTGCTCTCAACTCTTTATTCTCCCTTTGTACAAAAGAAGTGTATGTCCTGCCTGTTTCCATGAATATTCAGTGTCTCTTATGAGAAAAAGAATATACAGCCCAGTCCTATTGACATAGGGCTTGGCCATGTAACTTGCTTTGGCCAATAAAGTGGAAATAGATATAACTTATGCCACATTTAAACAGAAGCCCTTTGCCATAAGAGTAGCACGTTGTAAACAGGGGTTCCTTCACCCTGTATCCCAAGCAAAGTCACATCCAACAGAAGCGAAGCTTTGTTGCTGCAAACCACAGAGCATTGGGCATCATTTGTTACCACGGCAGAGAGAATCAATGTGCCTTTTGATTTAGCACCATCTGTCATCACACACCCACCTCAATCCTTTGAAGTTGGGAGGTGCAGAGCTCTATTTCTTGTCCCTCCCTCCCTTAATGGGCATCAAGATTCTTCACAGGGAAAATGTTCCACAGAGCATGGGAGCTTAGTTCTTCTGAGTGGCCAGTTTTGCCTCCTGTGGAAATAGGCTCTTGTGAATAACACCAGCAGTAGTGTCTTCTTCTCTTCCCCTCCAGTATCATACACTCATATTCAATCCTTGATATCAAATTTGATTCTCCTCTGATTTCTTGGCATACTAATTTTTTTCTGTTTCCTGCTTGGATAACTTATCTCATGCTCTCCAGAAATACTTCATGAACTAGAGCAAAGAAAGGCAGGTAAAAGGGTACAATAGTGACAAACAGGCAAGACCCTGCCCTCATAGAGCTTAGATTCTAGTAGGAAAGACAGACAAGAAATGATAAACAAAAACGCAACGTCAGATGGTGAGGAGTGCTATGTAAGAAAAATAAATCAAATAAGGGGAATAAGAATGACAGAGTTTTACATTAGCCTGGGTGGGCTGGAGCAACTGCATGTGTTAACACACTTTAGCATGGTACCACTATGTCCACACACCGTAGACTATGTCTTTGGCTAAACCACAGGATGTCGCTAGCAAAAATCCTGAGTGCTGACCATTTTCAGTATCTTTAGCACATATGGTATCAGTCACACCTGAGAATATCCCACTGTGTTCTACTTGCTGCTTTGAGAACCCCAGTGCTGTCTTCTTTCTTAATTGTAGACCAATGTGTTGATGACTCACCTCAGGTTTGTGTATTGCATTGTTTTAAAATATTTCTCTTTGTGCCTCAAATTTAGAAGGGAACTCAAGACAGCAGTGAGGAAACAAGAAATAGGAGAAAATATTTGTTTGCATTTGGCAAAAGAGAAGCCGAAAAAGAGCCTGGGCTGTTGCACTTTACAACTTTGCTCCCTTCCTCCACCCCTCGAATTGGGGTTCATTTATAACAGGGAAGCAGCTTGACAAGAAGCAAATATGACTTATCTGTAATATTTTATTTATTTTAAAAAAGAAAGAAAGACTAGAACCAAATCTGACTAAACTTAAAACTTACTAATTTTGCATGGTAGAAAGATGAATGTTTGTCATGTGGGTCTTTATTCCCTTCTATGTTTAAAATGTATCTTTAAAAAAAGGTTCTAAAGGAAAAAGAAGAACAGAAGATTCAAAACATTTGATCAGAACATTTGGTACCAGCCCTTGCATTACCATGTCAGTCTATGTGTCCCTGAGCAAGTTATTGAAGTTCTCTAAGCCTTGTGATCATAAGACCTGTCTTTTAGGATGTGGTTAATATTAAATCAGAATATGTATGCAGAACACCCAGCATTGGACCTAGATTCATATGTTCTTAATTCATGGTGGCCACTATGGCTACTTTCTGATTTCCCAAAATGTGTCTGCTACAGTTTTAAATGTATATTCTCTCCGAAATTCCTGTTGTAACTTAATCCCCACTGTGGTGGTGTATTAGTCTGTCCTTATACTGCTAATAAAGACATACCCAAGATTGGGTAATTTATAAAAGAAAGAGGTTTAATGGACTCACTCTTCCAGATGGCTGGGGAGGCCTCACAATCATGGCAGAAGACGAAGGAAGAGTAAAGGAACATCTTATGTGGTGACAGGAAAGAGAGCTTGTGTAGGGAAACTCTCCTTTATAAAACCATCAGATCTCATGAGACTTATTCAATATCATGAGGACAGCACAGGAAAGGCCCGTCCAATGATTCACTTACCTCCCACTGGGTCCCTCCCATGACACGTGGGAATTATGGGAACTACAGTTAAAGAAGAGATTTGCGTGGAGACACAGTCAAACCTTATCAGGTGGTATTAAGAGACAGGGCCTTTGTGGAATGAATTAAAGCACTTATAAAAGAGGCTTCAGAGACCGTCTTCCCTCTCTTTTCCTTCCACCCCTCTGCCATGTGAGGACACGGCATCCCTTCCCTCCTGAGGATCCAGCCACAAGATGCCATCTTGGAAGCAGAGAGACAGGGCCCTCACCAGCCACCACCTTGATCTTGGACTGCTCAGATTCCAGGACTATGAGAAATAAGTTTCTTTTGTTTATAAATTACCCAGTCTGTGGTATTTTATTATAGCAGCATGAACAGACTAAAGCAGTGTCTATGGAACAATAATACCACAAGAGGTTCCCAGGTATTCTGAGGTCAAGAAAGTTTAGGAAACTCTATACATTTCATTTCCTTCTTGAAGATTCAGAGTGACAACAGGATATTAATAACACAGAGAATTTCGACAGTTAAGAAATCTGTTTTGTTTATCTTTGTCTTTTCATTTACATCACTATTTCCCAGGTTTTGAACATGAGACACGGGCCTACAGTACTTTTGCCTAAAAAGAAGAAATGAAGCTACACTTGGGGTTCCTAAACTTTGTGAGAAAGGCTTTTAATTTCTTTTCCTCGAAAAACATGATGCAGAAGTTGGAGGGGCAGCTACAAAGTGACCATATTCTTCTCACTACTGGGACATGTGGTAACCTGTAGAGAGGGAGGGCTCAAAGCTGCACCTGACATGGGGCCAACCAATAAAGCCCTGAAGTCCACTGCTGGGTACTCATTAACTGGTTGGAAAGCTAACCCTGTTATTCTTTACAATTAGAAAATTATGGGCCAGGCCAGGTGGCTCACGTCTCTAATCCCAGCACTTTGGGAGGCTGAGGAGGGCAGATCACCGGAGGTCAGGAGTTCAAGACCAGCCTGGCCAACATAGCGAAACCCCATATCTACTAAAAATACGAAAATTAGCCAGGCGTAGTGGTGCGCGCCTGTAATCCCAGCTATTCAGGAGGCTGAGGTGGGAGAACTGCTTGAACCTGGGAGGCAGAGGTTGTAGTGGGCCGAGATCATGCCACTGCACTCCAGCCTGGGCGACAAAGCAAGACTCTGTCTCAAAGAAAAAAAAAAGAAAAAAGAAAAAGAAAAAAAAAAGAAAATTATGTAAAATTTTGATGATCTCACAAAACAAACAAGCAAACACATTTTCAATTAATAGGTATTGTTAGCTGTTAATAATTACCCAACGGGCAAAAATCTGCTTCACCCTAAAGTACAGCGTGCCCTGTTGTGCAGGGAAGAGACTGTTAATAACAGCCCCATCACGAATCCTATTGGCAGATTTTCCCTCAGCATGAAAAGGCGAAATATAGACGAGTTTCATGCTTGAAACTAATGTTTAAGATCTGTTCGAGCACTTAAGCATTTTACAATGAGGATGATATGTACCCCCTGCACTAGGCTACATATTCAAGAAGAGCTTAGCCAGAGACGCTGGGAAGAGGCTGAGCAGGGGCTGGAGAAAGTCTGCATTATTACTGGCAGTGTGTCCTGGGGTCCATCAGCTGGGCGTGACCACGGAGGATGCAGACAGACCTTTAAAATCGATGACAGCATGTCTCCAAAGAGGATGAGCGGCCAAGGAGAAAAGCAGCCCGCCCAGCAACCCAGGCAGGAGTCGAGGTGATGCAGGCAATATCTCCTTCCTAGAGAACACGGCTTCTCTATCATTGTGTTTCTTTTCCATACATTCATGTTTTCTAAACAAGGCAGGATTGAGAGAAGAGGTGGAGGTGTCTTACTGGGTGAGCTGAGGGGGCCTTTTCAGGGTCACGAATTTATTAATTCAGCTCTCCAAGGCCAGATTTCCAGCTATAAAATAGGGACAGTAATAGTATCTACCTAATGGTGCAGATCAGATGAGAGTCTTACCACAGTACATGGCCTGTAAGAGGAGCTCTGTTAATGTTGCCTTAATTTAGACAATGATAGTAGAGTGTTTACCTCCTTGAGCTCATGTCATATGCTGACCATATTTCACTTCCTTCTCCTAAGAGGGCCTGTGTCCCAGCAGGCGCTTGGCTGAAGCATGCTCATGGTAATTAAATCTAAGGTCTGGTGGTGTTGTGTAAAGAATAACTGATAGGCAGAGATTCTGAAGGGAGCTTTGGGAATGGAACATCTGGTTTGGAAGGAAGCCTTATAGGCCAACCCCCTGTAGGCCAGGGTAGGAGAGGAAAACAGGAAGTTTTATTCATCTTACTTTCTTGGTTTTTCAAGTTACAGTCTCCAGCTGTTTATATCAACTTTGTTTTTCCTAAAGAGCACAGAGAGTATAAAGCACTGTTAAGTCACAGCCTTTCCATTAAGTAGCCCTTTGTAGAAAATCGGAGTTATTCTTTGACTTGGCTAGTTCATCTTTTATTTTTCTTTTCTTCGCCCAAAGCAAATATCTTTTCCCTGGCTTCTTTTCAGGCCTGAATAAGTTGTAGAGAAGGACGAGAGGAAAGAAGTTTGGGAAGAAGAAGGTGGGGAGGAGCAGGAAGGTGGAAGAAACAGGAGAAAAACCCAGGGGAAGAGGAAAGAAAGGAAAAGAGTTCATACCCCAGAAATTTAAGATACCAACATGTTTCCAGGATTGGAGGGTCTGCACGTGGATCAGTATGAATTCAGTGGGGCACCACAGATGGGGATCGTTGTCCTCAGAACTGAAGAAGAACAACAGGAAACAAACCCTCAAAATGAAGACTATGTGTTCCTCGAAAATAGATTATATTCAACTTATTGACAAGTATCACTGCAAACACTTAACATGACATTTTCTAATCTTCCTGTTGCCCTCATATCTCTTCCCTCTAGGGTAGGGGTGAATGAATAGTCTCTGGTGCTAGACTACAAGGGTTCAGACCCCAACAGGGCTACTCACCAGTCAGGTGACCTTGGGCAAACCACTTAACTCTCTGGGCCACAGTTGGCTCATTTGTAAATGGGGATGATGATGATGTTGATGGTGATATCTTACCTATAGCCTAGGGTATCCTGAGGATTAAATGAGTTAACATACGTAAAGTGCCTAGGCAGAGGGTAAGTGCTATATGAATGTTAACTATGATTATTCTGGCCACTCTGTTGAGATACTTGAATCCTACAACACAAAATGGCATGCATTGTTTTTTCATAGCACTTACTGCATGCTTTGAACACTTCATATATAAGACACCATTTTATGCCCTAGAAGGCAGGTACATTATGAATATGACCCATATTATAGATGAGGAGACTGAGGCACAAAGAGATTAAGTGACATGCTTAATTTCCTGTATCTCATAAATGACAGAGTTGACTTAAACCTAGGTAGTTTAGCTCTAGAGAAGGGGTCAGCAAATGAGGGCCTGCCACCTGGCTTTGTAAATAAAGCTTTATTGAACCAAGGTTATTCCCAATCATTTATGTATCATCTGGCTGCTTTTGCATTAAAATGGCAAATTTGAAAATATTTGTTATCTGGTCTTTTTACACTAAACCTTTGCTGACTCCCGATCTACAGTCTAACTACACTTATAACTATTAAGGTAGGGTTGCCAGATTTAGTAAATTAAAATATGAGATGATCAGCTAGATTTAAACTGCAGATAAACAATGAAGAGTTTTTTTCAGTATAAGCGTATCCCATGTAATGTTTGGCAACTCTACATTAAGGTAACCTGCCTCTCTGATCTACCTTTGAATACATGGCCAACATTTTTCAGAAACCAAGTTCCCTTTCTCTCTTCTGAATCACGGTGAGCTAGAACTGCAAGGGACTTAAGATGGTCAATAACTTGCCCACCATCCACTCAGGAGTTCATGACAGAGCTGGCCTGGAGCTGTCTCTTTGTAAAACAGGTGGCCTTGTTAAAGTTTTTAAGGTGTGGTGGTGGTGGGGAAGTATGGTATTTGTGGAAAAGACCTGGACCAGAAGCATGGCTGAGCCTAGGAAAAATCATGACACAGAAAGTCATCTCTGTTAGGCACAGACAGACAAAACCACATGATCTCACTTATATATGCAGCGTAAAAAAGTTGAACTCACTGAAACAGAGAGCAGAATGGTGGTTACCAGAGACTGGGGGTGGCAGTGGCTAGGAAGATGTAGATGTTGGTCAAGGGATACAAAATTTGAGTTAGACAAGCAGAATGAGTTCTAGAGATCCATTGCACAATGTGGTGACTACAGTTAATAACAATATATCATATACTTGAAAATTGCTAAGAAAGTAGATTTTAATTGTTCTCGCCACAAATAAATAAGTGTATAATGTAACACATATGTCAATTAGTTTGATTTAACCATTCCACAATGTATCTGATATGGTTTGGCTATATGAGCCTGCCAAATCTCATGTTGAATTGTAATCCCCAATGTTGGAGGTGGGGCCTGATGAGAGACGTTTAGGTCATGGGGCCAGATCCCTCATGGCTTGGTGCTATCCTCATGATAGTGAGTGAGTTTTCCTGAGATCTCGTTTTTGTAAAGTGTGGCACCTCCCCATCCCCCAACTCTCTCTTGCTTCTCCTCTGCCATGTGAGATGCTGGCTCCCCCTTTGCCTTCTGCCATGAGTAAAAGCTTCCTGAGGCCTACCCAGAAGCCAAGCAGATGCCAAGCACCGTGCTTCCTATACAGCCTGTGGAACGGAGAGCCAATTAAACCTCTTTTCTTTATTAATTACTCAGTCTCACATATTTCTTTATAGCAATGCAAGAATGGCCTAATATAGCATCTCTGTTTCAAAACGTGATGTTTTATGCTATAAATATATATTTTAAAAGGAGGGAAAAAGGAGAAAGTCATCTCGTGACTTCCTGTCCACTGGTCACCTCACCAGCCTCAGTTTCCCCCATCAGCAGACTTGATGTACATCTTTACAGCTGACATTGCCTGAAACCATATTAACTGCTTCCTTTCAGCTTCTGTGAAGTATAATAAAACCAGCAGTGCTCTTCCCAGGTGAACTGAGACTTCTCTTCTCCCTCCTGTGACCTGGAAAAAGTCTTGGAGATTGGAAAGATGCAATTCAGAGTCAGACCAATTTGTTGTCAGGGGTAATGACAGCTAATATGCAACCTGTCTGGGCTGGAAGAGGGAAACACCTCCTGTCGCCCAGGCCTTGCCCTCAGAGGGATGAATTTTGTCCTCTGTGCATTCAGGAGAATGAGGAGATCAGGATCCCATGCCTGAAACCTTGTCTTCCACTTCTAGCTCTGTATAACTTTGAAGCAATTACCTAAATCCATCCACATGCAGATATTCATGCCAGAGTTCAGTAGATATTCTATTCTTGTATTCAGGTGAGGTGGTACTTTAAAGGTTTATTCCCTTCATGTTCCTCTCTTCAGAGGACAGTCAGAGACACACACCCTGGGCCTGAAAGGCAGGGGCCTACCCTGTATGTTAAATTACCAACCTACCTCCTATTTCCTGAGAATACATTGATTCATGCCTCTCAGGAGTTTCAAAATCTTGAGACATGCATGCAAAATAAAAGTCAAGATTGATTGGTTTTAAAATACAGGCACAAATTCTTCAATGCTCTTCTCGTCAAGAAGTGGGTGAGGGTCTATATTTACTCTTTAATCTGTGTAAGGTTATGTCTGCTTTGACCTATAAAGTGTGGTGGAAGTAATGCTATATAATTTTCAAGGGTAAGTTACAGAAGGTCATGCAGCTTTTTAATCTCTAAGATTGTTTACTAGAATACCTACTCTTATAGCCATGCCACGCCATGTGAGAAATCCATTGACCCTGAGAGGCCCTGAAGGGAGGAAACCCAGCCACATGGAAAGACAACATGTAGATGCTCTGGTCAACAGTCAGCTGAGCTAGCCTTCAACTTAGAGATACAAGGCATTTGTGTGCGGAAGCTTCCATAGGTACCAACACCCAAACTTTCATGTCACTTCAGGCTGTCTGAGTCTTCAGAGCTGAGACCTCAGATGTCATAGAGCAAAACATCCCCTATTGTGTCTTGCCTAAATTCCCTATCATCGAACCTATAAATCTAACAAAATGGTTACCTCTTATGCCACTAAGTTGGAGTGGTTTGTTATGCAATAGATAAACTGAAACAATCATAAACTTGAGAGAGAGAGAGAGAGAGATAGCATTGTATTATAAGCCTTTGGGGGTCTATATTAAAATTTACATTTTAGGATCTTAAAACTATGAGGAAGAGTAGATAAATAGATGCATCACTGATTAAAACATGAAAATAATTTTTACAACCCAAGATGGCTCATTTAATTTTGGCCAATTATCTTCAAAGAGGTTTGCTCAAGTATGACACCACAACTTGGAACAGCTCATTCGTGAAAAGGTAGCATCATGGGGTTTGTAATACCCAAGGTTTATTTTCCAGGGGGATGTTTACTTTTACTTTTATTTCCCCATAGGCCCCAACTCCCTATTATTCTTTTATTCTTCCCTCCTTGTATATAACCTTTCAGCAAAAGATCAAACTCTGGCCCTATTTCCCCTGACATCAATGGAGAAAAGAAAAAGGGAAAAATTTGGATCTAAAGAAGTCCATGGAGACCCTATATAACTGGGAAATGTGCCATTTGCATTTATTTATTTTATATATGGTTTCAAATTCTTTGAGATCCTCAAGGACTTTGGTTTGCCTGACTTTGGGGCAAAAGTAAGTCTGTGTAGTCCAGCATTTAGTTGGCTGCCTCTCTTGATCTATGCTTTGCTCCAGTAGCATAGCAAAGACTTGCTTTGTGTTGTAGACAAACAGAAGTAGACGTTTGGAAATTTGGCATCAAGGTGGAGCCCAGAAAGTAGGTAAAAGTTAGAACAGACAAAAAGTTGAAAAGATGAACTATTAATCTTGATAGCAGGCATATAAGCTCACTAAAGAAGAAAGCACTTTATATATGAAACCACTGCATAGGAAGGAAGACCCAATACCTGAAGATTAAATTAAATCAAAGCATAATTGCTTCTAAAAATAGTAATAATGAGAAAGCTATTGGAGTTGTATATTAAATTATAGATATTTGGCATAAACCTTGTAACCAGATGAGTTTTCAGTGTCTCTGTAGGCTCTTTCTCCTCTCAAACCATTTTGCGCACTATTATATTAATCTTGCAAAAAGTTTATTTCCATCAAAAAGTGCCAGAAAATATTTTCTCCTACTGTCCTATTTTGGATTTGAGAAATTGAAAGCCAGAAAGGTGATTTAGCCAAGGTACACAACTGCTTCATGAACTGGGGCCCAGATCATCTAATTCCCAACTAAAACTATATACTTTCTTAAGGCACAGACATTGAAAGGCAGTAGAGAAGATATAAGAGAGGTGACGAGGAAGCAGCAGCCAAGAGACTTGGGTTATCACCCAGGGAAACAGAAAGAAACTCACAAAAACTGTGAATGCTGTTCATCGAAAGTGAGTATAGGTGATTAAAACAGAACTGCAATTACTCTTGTAACTTTCTGTTTCAACAATCATAATAAAAGAATTCATGATTGAAATAACCCACATTAAGCATCCTATATGTGCACTTACACCCCATGTACACCAGTTTTTATGACCAAATGGATTTGCTTCTTGCAGAATAATTTATGTCATCTATGTAAGATTGATTAAAAAATCCTCACAGAGGGTAATATATAGCTAAATAGTTTATATATTTTGACTTCATGGCGCTCGTATTAGAGAAACTAATCTCACAGAGGTATGTTGATAGGAATAAAAGAAAATAGGCTGGGCACAGTGGCTCACGCCTGTAATCCCGGCACTTTGGGAGGCCGAGGCGGGTGAATCACGAGGTCAGGAAATCGATACCATCCTGGCTTACATGGTGAAACCCCGTCTCTACTAAAGATACAAAAAATTAGCCGGGCGTGGTGGCAGGTGCCTGTAGTCCCAGCTACTCAGGAGGCTGAGGCAGGAGAATGGCGTGAACCTGGGAGGTGGAGCTTGCAGTGAGCCAAGATTGCACCAGTACACTCCAGTCTGGGTGACAGAGCGAGACTCTGTCTCACAAAAAAAAAAAAAAAAAAAAAAAAAAAAAAAAGATATATATATATATATATATATATATAAATTTGACTTCACAGCACTCAGAAACACCAAGGCCGAGCGTAGGCATGGTGGCTCATTCCTATAATCCCAACACTTTGCGAGGCTGAGGTGGGCAGATCACCTGAGGTCAGGAGTTCAAGACTAGCTTGGCCAACATGGCAAAACGCTGTCTCTGCTAAAAATACAAAAAGTAGCCAGGCAGGATGATGGGCACCTGTAATCCCAGCTACTTGGGAGGCTGAGGCAGGAGAGTCGCTTGAATCCGAGAGGCAGAGGTTGCAGTGACCTGAGATCGTGCCACTGTGCTCCAGCATGTGCAACAGAGCAAGACTCCGTCTCAAAAAAAAAACAAATAAATAAAAAACCAATCTCACAGAGGCATGTTGATAGGAATAGAAGAAAGGATTTTAAAGCAATTTTATTGAGCTCAAGATACCTATTTTTAGATTTTTGTCTGAAATGAAGAAAGGTCTATAATTTCAAAACTTTCATCAATTGAAATAGCATCATATTTGTACCAAAATTACCTTGAGATTTTTCAATGGTTGTCCTTAAATTGCAACACTTAATATCAAAATCCATGCTTCAGATATGGGCTATTAAAACTAGAATATACAATCAGTATCTTGAAAAGATATCTGTACCCCATGTTCAATTGCAACATTACTACAATAACCAAAATATGGAAACAATCTAAGTGTCCATTGATGGGTGAATGGGTAAAGAAAATGTGATACACACACACACACACACACACACACACACAATGGACTATCATTCAGCCTTAAAAAAGAAGGAAATCTTGCCATTTGCGACAACATGGTTGAATCTAGAGGACGTTATATGCTAAGTGAAATAAGCCAGGCACAGAAAGACAAATACTATATGACCTCACTTATATCTGGAATCTAAAGAAGTTGAACTCATATAAGCAGAGAGTAGAATGGCAGTTGCCAAGGAATAGGGAGAGGGGTGAAAAATGAGAGATGGTGGCCAGAGAGTGCAAAGGTTCAGTTATGTGGGAAGAATGGGTTTTGGAGCTGTAATGTACAGCATGGTGATTATAGTTAATAACAATGTATTATATACTTGAAAATTCCTTTAAAAAGTTGATCTTGAGTCTTCTTCCCCCGACCCCCACACACACAAAGTCATAACTTTGGAAAGTGATGGATATGTTAATTAGCTTAGTTGTGGTAATCATTTCACAATTTATATCATCACCTTGTACACTTTAAATATACACAATTTTTGTGTGTCAAGTCTACTTCAATGAAGCTGGAAAAAAAGAGTAGGAAAACATTCCCCACAAAAACCTTCCTCAGTAACCAGATCCCACCCTTCCTGACGTAAGTCCAACAGAATGATAGTTCAGAATCCGAAATGAAGTTGAATCACAGAAAATGCGCAACGTTTTCTTTCTTTTATGCTGGAGTTTGTGAAATGAGAATCATACCCATTAAGTATTTCATATATCAAGAAAGAGTCTCTTAATGGTGTCCTTAGAACCTTATAGACTCTCCCAAAGACAACTGTTTTATTTTACTTAATCGGTGAACACAACCTCTCTGAAATGTAGCATCTTCAAAGACAATCAGTTTTAGTAACATTTCTTCCTTTAATTGATTCTCTTTCTTGTATATTTAACATAAAGAAGAAACATGTGTTCCTGGAAAGATCTATTTTACAAGGCGTTAGATTGGGTCCACAGCCAGATGGAACAAGGCAAGACGTAGAATGTGCAGCAGCCAGTGTGACAGGGCTTGCAGCTCAGACAGTCATTGAGCGCCTTCCTCAAGGTCTCATTAAAGCCTCCATGAATCCCCAGTGCCAAGCATTGCACAAGTGAGAGAAATAACATACTGTTTTTCCATCACCTCTTTCGGTTACAACTGAATTCACTTAGCAAATAATGGAAAAGTAAATGGAATGGGTTTTACCTTCTTTAATAGCTGACATTGCTATGTTGATCTTTTCCCATACAATAGTAGCAGCCCTAGCACCAACAATGGATTTTATTCTGGTCAGTGACATTTTCTTGAAGGAATCCCAAGTTTAATAAAATGGAGAAATATTTCTTACAATTGACATAAAGCTTTCTGACTGTAAGTCATAAAATCTGGAAGAAAACACCTTAGTCCAGTGTTGCTGTTTTTCCCCAAGGTAGTTATTAACAAACACACAAGGCTAGCAATAAAATTCAATGATGTTTCTAACAACAGGAGAAAAATTATTGCTGAATCTGCTGTAGTAAGTAATTAATATAAGGCAAATAATGACACTGTGGGATTAGGAGCAGGAAAAATTCATTAAAATGCTCTTTGTGTACTTAAAGCAGTTTGCATATCCAAGTGAATTACTTGAATGCTGGAGGACATTTACCCTCAGCATCTGTTTTATTATCCACTAGGAACCTGTGCACATACCTTGGTGAACCTCATCCTTGCTCCACCAAGATAAACATGCCAGAAAGGGATTGGGTTTGGCCAAGAATGAAGCATTCACTACACCATCAAGCATTTTCTTCTTTGTCATAAGGGAGCACTCAACTGGTTTTCCAAAGGCACACGTGCAAAATAGAATTAGCTCTGCCTAGTTGTGATGGCTCTTCCTCCTTCCTGTGGGGACAGCCCTGCCTCAGTGCACTTTCATAAGGGCAGCGTCTTTCCCCCATGGGACCTGTGTGATTTATAACTCTGAAGAAAAGCTTACACTCCATCTAATTGGGTGGTCAACATTTGGACTCAATTTTGAAATTCATTTTCTGTTACTCTTTGTAAACCTAACAAAATAAACAAGTGTAGTTAATTTAGATGTCTCTGGGCAATTTTCATCCATATGTACCTTGCGGCTTAAATTAAAAAGCAATTAAACCAGAAGACTCTATTTTGCTGTCAGAAAATTGCTCTCTTAAAGGGGGGGTGTGTGTGTGTGTGTTCACGCATGCGTGTGCATGTGTGTTTCCAATAAATAAACATAGTGAGTCATTGGATTGTAAGCTCGTTGAGGCATAATCTTGTTTAAACAAAATGTTTAATTCAGTTATTTTTATTTATCCTTTTAATCAACAAATATTTACTATGTGCCTGGCACTATCAATCAGTGGATAAATGAATGAAGAAATAAATGAACAAATGAATTAATAAACCATCCACTTCATGGCCTTGTCATATCTCTCCAACATTACATCCTCTTGTTTTTCATGCCCTGAAAAAAATACAGCAATTTACAAAAACTCCTTGCAGCCCACAGATCTTATACTTTGGAGTGAACAAGCAGTACCGTTGCTAGTATTATGGAAAAAACCATGTTTTTAATATAAAGTATATGTACCTCCATGGTAATGAATAATTCACCTGAGTACCTACTGGATTTACATACACTATGGGTATTTTGATAATATCAGTTAACATGAAGCCTTTACTTTGGCTGGAAAAATATTCTAAGTTTTAATATACAGTAGTCCCTCCTTATCCACAGGTGATACATTCCAGACCCACAGTGGACACCTGAAACTGTGAATGCTAGCCAACCCTATATATACTATGCTTTTTCCTATACATACATACCTATGATAAAGTTTAAGTTATAAATTAGGCACAGTAGGAGATTAACAACAAAAACTAAAAATAGAACAATTATAATAATATACTGTAATAAAAGTTATGTGAATGGGGTCTCTCTCTCAAAATATTTTGTTGAACTGTACCAGTGGGTAACTGAAATCTTGGAGAGCAAAACTACAGATAAGGGGGACTACTGTGTCTTCTTATTTAATCCTCACAACAACCCTATGATGTAGGTATCACCCCTACTTCATATCTGAGGAAACTGAGATACAGAGAGGTTGAGTAACTCCTGTAAGTCTGCACAGCTATTCAGTAAGAGTGCCGAGCTCTTGGTATCCACAGTCTGACTCTAGTACCTCTGCTCTTAAACTCGACACACTCGCTCCCGTCTCCACAGTGCCACAGCCCAGTCCATTTACAGTAAAGAGGCTGGCAGGCCACAAAGGACTCTCTATTTGCTTAGAGCAAATTTTCGTCTTCACCCACTTAAACAAGGAAACAGAGGATTGTTTGAGCTACACTGACCAGCAAACAAGAGCTTCAGGAGCCATCATTCATGTAAGAATTCTATTTATGCTACATTGTGTGTGCACGTGCATGCATACATAAACCAATGCAAAAAAGAATAGTTACCAAAATATGAATGTTTGTTATCTCAGACTGATGAGATTTCTGATGAATTGACTATTTCCCCTTGCATTTTCCTATGTTGTTTGAATGTTTACAAGAGCAATAAACAATTGATACAATCAGAATAAATATATTAAATCATTTTTATTGTGAAATAGTGATGGCTCTGGAGTCAGCTTGGGTTTAAAACACTTTGATCTGAGCTTGGGCATGTTTCTTATCCTCCCTACTTTGGGCTTCCTTATCTGCAAATTGAGGTTAATAAAAATACTGCTATCACTAGACCTGGAGAAGATGACAATGAAAGACACACCATGCCTTCATAGAGTGTGGCAGGTCCAGAGCCACATACATGTGGCTTCTGGAGATGAAAATGAAATTTCCACCTTGAAGACCTGCCATCGGCTCTCATTTCTAACAAGAAAGGCCAGGCCACCATGTGGCCACAGCTCAAACAGTGAGATGTGCTCCAACTCCATTTGGGTTGTCAAATCCTCTTTTCTGTTTTATATCAGAAGTTCAGAACAGCCCCAGGCAGCAGCACTACAAATGGCTTCACCCTTGGCATTCCTAGCATGAGAATCAGTGTCTAAACAACATACTGGAATGTTGAGTCTATTCATCTCCTTTGATCTGGCCAAAGAGGAAGCATTTTTCACATAAGACAGGTACAGTAGTTCTTTCATGCTGTCTCTATGCATATTGACTTTTCGAAAGAACAGTGATTGACAATGAAACCCATCCATGAAACAGAGAATGGAAATAGCTGGGAAGACTGGTTTCCCTGCTGCTTGTGGGATAGAGAACACTGACAGAGGCCATGGCAGCTCAGAAGAGAAGAAAACAGGAGCCAATGGTCTGTGGAACAATAATAATGATGATTACACCTTGTCACCTTCCCTGGCTGCAGAAGACCTTTGCTTTAATATATTTGGAGAAATTCCCAGCCATACATGGCCAGATTCAGTAAGAACCAGTATCCCTGGGTTTCCCAGCCAGGGAAAAGCATGTGACAGGGACTTCTCTACTCAGAGCCACTCAGCTGAGACTTATGTGACTCTAACAGGTCCATAGCCCAATGCGCAGTAAGTCAATACACCGACACCTGGGGCTGCAGCAGAGAACGTTTTAATCGTAAGGCTGCCAAATGAGGGGATGGGAAGAAACCTCAAATCCGCCTCCCTGGGGAGTTTGGGGATAGGGACTTTAAGGGGTTTGGAGTAGGTCAAGGTGTAGGGATCGTTGATTGGTCTGAGAATGCAGGGTGAAGTCATGGGATGGGGAGATGAAGAAACTGCATTCTCATGCTGATTTAGTTCCTCTATGGGGGTCTTCAAATTGTGTGACAACAGCTGTTCCACTGGAATTCAGCATCTGAAAAATATCTTAAGCAATGTTTAAAGAAAAAGCCTTGTGATTCCAATGTGTGATCCTATCTATAGGAACAAGGGATGCAAATGATCAGTGTCTACAGTTACGTGACTTTCTATTATAAGAAGGTGGGCCAGAGTGTGGCCTGATGAATGCTTAATTATAACTGTACATCTGCCCAGAGCTCAGTATGTAATTCTTGTTAACCCTGTGGGGACAGTTTCACTTCCAGTTAGAAGGAGGCTCCCTGGAGCTCCTATTTTACTAGTGAGGGCAGCACTAGAGGTATCTGGCTTCCAGAAGTGCCAGAGAGTCACAATGTCAAGTTCCTGGCGGGGCCGCGGTATTGGTAGGACAGTGGCCGCAGTGGTTTTTCCAGTGTTAGGCAGGGAAGCAGTGGCATTGTCCTTCTCAAAGCATTCTAGAGTTGGTTTGTTCATCCCTCCTGAAAGCCTAGCCTCAAGTCTCCCAATATTCTTTACCAAAATCATTTCCTGCTTAGTTAGTGGCAAGTTTCTTATGTATAACTAAGAACCCTAAAAATTACAAATACCTACTGTAAAGGAATATTTTTAGCCTTCCAGGAGCCTGAGAACCATGGCTGGGCAACGTTGTTGCTAGCTAGTCTCGCACGTGGAGACTGAGCACAGGACTGCTCTGCCCATCTGCTTATCCCCATCCAGGAAACCCATCACGTGAAGTGGCCCTTCTACCACTCCCTGCGCTCTGGGTCTCCAAAGCCCTCATTGTTCTTAACATGATAGGTTTACCCCCTCCCCCGTATCAGTGGCTTTCAAAGTCTGCTATATGACAATCAACTGGGGAGCTTTTAAAAAACACTAATGCCCAGGTCGTACTCCATACAAATAAAACCAGAGTCACTGGGGTGGACTCCAGGCATCATTAACTTTTAAGCTCCCCAGGAGATCCCGATATGCTGCCAAGTCTCAGAACCAGTGGTCTAACCAGTGGTATTCAAACTGTGCTCCCCAGACCAGCACTTCCAGGGAGCTTGTCAGAAATGCAAATCTTAGGCCCGGCATGGTGGCTCAAGGTTATAATCCTAGCACTTTGGGAGGCTGAGGTGGGTGGATCACTTGAGTTCAAGACCAGCCTGGCCAGCATGGTGAAACCCCATCTCTACTAAAAATACAAAAATTAGGCAGGTGTGGTGGCGTGTGCCTGTAATTCCAGCTACTCAGGAGGCTGAGGTGAAAGAATCGCTTGAACCTGGGAGGCAGAGGTTTCAGCGAGCTGATATCAAGCCATTGCACTCCAGCTTGGGCAACAAGAGGAAACTCCATCTCAAACAAACAAACAAAACGAAAAAACAGAAATTCAAATCTCAGGCCCCACCCCAGACCTACTGAATCAGAAACTCCAGGGAGAGTTCACTACCCCACAAGCAGCAATCTGGGTTTTCATAATCGCCCTCCACGTGACTCTGCTGCATGCTCAAGTCTGAGAACCACTGGACTAAATCACTCCCAGGCTGAAATTTAGGCAGTTATAGAATGTACTCTTTCTGGCCATTTGCTTAAGAACACTTTTATTCTTGCAATTAATATGTCATGATGCAAATTTCTACGTAGAGAGAATTTTTCATGTGTTCCAGGGTGGATACAGACTGCAAACCAACTTTATCCGTGCCCCCACTCCCCAACTCAAGATCAGAGTGAATCCATTTTTTAGAAAAGTCTAAAATATCTATTTCATGATGTTTATTCAACCAGACTGTGTGGCTTCATTTTGAAAAGTTGAACTGAAAAAAAAGATGGGATGATTAGCCTTAACCAGAGACTTGAATTACAGCAATGAAACACATAAACACACACTTGACTTGAATTATAGCAATGAAACACATAAACACACACTTGACTTGAATTATAGCAATGAAATACAAAAACACACACTTGTGCCTGCATGCACATTCCCACACACATGCACATACTCTCTCTCTCTCACACACAATTCCATGAAGTGAGTATTGGCTGTCCCTAGCAGCACTTGTGGATCTCAGGGACAGGAAGAAATTGGTGGTTGACCAGGAGAGACCTAATATGCAATACTGTATTGCTTGGCACAAAAATCATACAGTCCCAGGTGAGGAAGGATTATCCTGTGACCTTTTTTGTGTAAGAGAAGATTAGACAGACCTGTCTTCAAAGCCAGCTTCTGACACCTACCAGCAGCAAAATAAGAATAATCATTTTGATCCTGTAGTAACAAGTGCTATCAATAAATGGTTTTATGGTTGCTAACTTTATTATTGCTATTCTCATCATCATGGCAGTGGCCACCTGGAGTTCTTCTAAATACAGTCGCCCTCTTGAGACTTGTAAGCACAGAGAAGGATGACCTCATCAAACTGATTTTTCTATCCAGTCCTGATAAAGGGAGGCTTCAAGAAAGCCCGAAAGAGAGGAGAGGTCTGATAAATTTTAAGCACAACTGTCTCCTCTCCAGGCTCCAAAATAAAGTAGAGCACCTGGGCTTCAGGAAATCGTAGAAGAGAGTAATTGCTTTAAGAATGTTATGTCTCTTTTCTTTGTGATATGCTCATTTTTTAAAGTAACATGATGAGTAACAGCCAACACACTAGTGGAAGCCTAAAGGGAGAGAGGAGGTTGCAAGAGCTTATAAGTAGAGAAAGCAAAATGCAGGGGTCTCAGAAGTGATGGTTAATAATCACAACTAACATTCATTAACTAGGCACTTACAATTTGCCAGCCACCCAAAGGACTCCACCTAGTTTTATCCATATATAATCATGAGCCCCATGTTTCAGATGGAAACCGAGCACCGGATGGCTAAATAAACAAAGTGAATGTGGAAATTTGAACCTGAGTTTTCCTGGCTGTGGAGTTACCACTCTTAACGTGCCGAGCAGTGAGGGGTGACCCCTATAATTAGAACCGCTGGAGTCCTTCTTGCCTCTGCTATAAAGACACCATCATGTCCATTGCCATGTTTGGGGGTGGATATGATGGTGTAGGTGCAGGCTCAACTTCAAATGGAAATACAGAAAAATAATTGCAGCATATTGCAATTAGTGTCATCCTGGGGATGTCTCAATGGGAGCGACAGCTGAGCTGAGACCTGAAGGAGTTACCACTGATCAAGAGGGGGCAGAAGGGAATTCCAGGCAGAGGGAACAGCCAGCATGGATGCCTGGAGGCCTGCAAGTATGGCCCTTTAGTAAGACTTAAGTGTTCAGTGTGGCTAAAATGCAGACCAAGGGTTTTGACGTTACCATGGCAACTGAGGAGTCATTAAATAATTTTAAATAAGGAAGGGTCTTGATCAGATTTGAGTTTTAGAAAGATTGTTCTGGCTGCAGCCTGGAAAATGTGCTGGGTTTGGTAGTTGCTGATCAGAGGCAGAGAGACCATGAACAAATAAGTGTTGAGAATTACTATATGCCCATCATTGTTCTAGCGTTGCACTCTGTGGTAAACTAGGCAGCTTGAAGCATGCTCTCCTGGAACTCACATTCTAAGGGTGGAAGGAAAACAAGCAAGTTGCCACAAACACAGAGGCTATGGAAATTGTTCAGGTAAGAGGTGGAGGTCCTCCCTCCTGTGCTTCTCAGGCTATCTACAGTATAGGGAAGGATTAGATTTCCCTAGCTCATCCCAGACCCATATGTGATCCTAATGGGTGTGATTAGTGCACCCTCACACAACATGGGACCCACCACTCAAGTCTGACAACACATGAACTGGACTTTCTTTATTCTGGGAGACACGTTCATTGATTCTGTGTGTAGATGTTTGCAATAAAAGTTTCTAGAGCTCTACTCTCAATTACTTTCTGTATGTTTGTTTGTTTTGTTGTTTTGTTTGTTTGTTTTGAGACACAGTCTTGGTCTGTCACCAAGGCTGGAGTGCAGTGGCGCAATCCTGGCTCACTGCAACCTCCACATCCCGGGTTCAAGCGATTCTCCTGCCTCAGCCTCCCGAGTAGCTGGGACTACAGGCATGCACAACCATGCCCGACTAATTTTTTTGTATTTTTAGTAGAGATGGAGTTTCGCTATGTTGACCAGGCTGGTCTCAAACTCCCGAGCTCAAGTGATCCGCCCGCCTCAGCCTCCCAAAATGCTAGGCTTGCAGGAGTGAGCCAACATGCCTGGCCTCAGTTACTCTTAATCAGGGTGGACTGTGATGCTTCTCCCTGAGATAGAAGCGGATCTGGAGGAAGGCACAGCATTGGAGATATTGACAAGATGGGCAGCTGGTGGAATACAAGAGATATCTGAGCAGGTGAGTATGTGGGCTTGAATTTTAATCCATGAACAGGTGGGAAGTGCAACACACATTGTCATTTCAGTTCCTTCAACTTAAATATGATTCTGATTCACTGTCCTACATCTTAGATCAACTTGTGTAGATGGTAAAGTTCATTGGAATTGACTCACAGTGAAAAGCAAATACTGTTGCTAACTGAATTACGTTGGAGTGCCTACTGAGAATGTGACAGGGAAGGGAGGAGGGAGGAACAGATCTCGAAGCTGCATGGTTCCTGGGATACACAGCGTGATGGACTCGCTCTTGCTGGTAGGAAACTGCATTTTCCCAAAAGGCCCTGACTCTCCAGGGTGAGGTCCTTGGTCTGAAACCCTGAGCAGAAATCCTTGTTCCAGTAGCTGCAGTAGCCCAGGAAGCAGCAGCAGGCCCTGACTTTCTCGTGTTGGGCAGCCTGCTCCGTGGAGTTGGTCTCAGTGGTCTTCCTTCTGCTCTTGCAGCCAAGTTCTTGGGTTCAGGGGTTGGCTTTTAATGGCCTTCCGCCCTGGAAAACGCACCACCCCGGAGAAGCTCTGAACAGAGGCACTTCACAGGCCTGTCTACCCCCAAAAGATGTTTTTTTAACACAGATGGCTTCCAGGGGAAAAGGGCACACAGGCTTTCACCTTGAATCGGGTGCGATTGTGAAGACTGATCCCCAGAGACTTGGCCCTCCCCACCTCCCACCCCCTTCTATCTTCCCTCCACCACCTCATCCCTGGAGGCTCTCTGAGGACCAGTCCAGGCCACACCCTAGCTCTATGGTAGGAAACCCATCAGAGGGTTGCAAAGTGCCTCGCTGTCACCCCAAATTCAGTGCTAAGTGCAGTGCTGGATGCAGTCGCAGACCCTGACATGCTAAGGAGATTGAAGGAAGATTGTGACCCATCACTAGTCCATACCACCAGCAGTGCATGTTGATAATTTCAGAAATCAAATGATCTGGGGAAGCACCATTATAGTATATTGTATTTGTGTGTGTTAAAAAGACCAATTAAGCTGGACGTGGTGTTGCATGCCTGTGGTCCCAGGTACTCAGGAGGCTGAGTGGGAGGATGGCTTGAGCCCAGTAGGTGGAGGCTGCAGTGAGCTATGATCACACAACTGCATTCCAGCCTGGGCAACAGGGCAAGACCCTGTCCCTTAAAAAGTGTTAAAAATTAAAAAATAAAAAAAAAGACCAATAAGCTAAACATGTTTTAAATATCACAATTGCCATTTCTTCATTAAAAAAAAAACCGAGAACCTCAAGTAGTGAAACTTGTCTGACATTGTCTTGTCATCTAGGACACTTGCTTCTCCCTCACCCACCCATCCCTAGAAACTTGTCCATTGATCTCCTGAGTTAAACAGGAAAAAGAAAAAAGAAAAAGAAAAAGAAAAAGAAAGCAATAATTTGACCAGCAGGGGGCAGCAAGAGACAAAAATAAAACAATCGATTTAGCTTCCCCAGCCCCCAACTTTGCCTGAAATTCTAGATTAGAATGGTTTAAATTGGGAAAAGGATGGTGGAGGAGTGGGGATGGAATCCAAACCACAGAATCCAAATTCATAAAGTTAAGTGGATGCAGAACTTGCTAGAACAAGATTTACAGAGGACGATAGCCAGACAGTCATTTTTTTTTTTCTTGAATTCTATGGAAGAAGGCCGCCCAGCAGATATTTAAAGAGAATCTGGCTGTCTTTGACGATGTCCACGAACTCAGTAACATACATGTTATTTGGGAAATATCCTATAGATAAAGATGAAAGAAAGTGGTTCCCTTTGAAAATTCACCCCACCGTGAATTGAAAATGTGGGTCTCACTACGGGGCAGGAGTACCTGGGCAGCTGGGGTGTCTGGCATCCAGCCCTGGGCATCTCAGGACCCACCTGACCAGGTGAGGAGAAGTGGAAGACTCTGGGAAGAAAGATGGGTGGGCCTTGTGGTCCTGGATGGAATCTCTTACTTCCTGATGAATCCTTAATGTGTATTAAAATGTCAACCCTGATACAAAGAAACGTGGACCCTAAGGAAGAGAGTAAGAGGACACAGAGAAGGAAATTGTGGTCGTGGGAGGCTTCCTCATGGGAAATGTTTATTTGGGGTCCTTGGCTGAAATGGTGGAATTAAAAGTCCTGTAGCCTTCAGGACACGTGAGCTTGTGCCTATTACAGGGACTCTGTATTAGTTTCCTAGGGCTGCCATAACAAAAGTACTACCAACAGGGTGGCATGTGACAACAAAAAATTATTCTCTCACGTTCTGGAGGAGAGAAGTCCAAAACCAGTGTGTTGGCAGACCACGTTCCTCCAAAGCCCCTAAAGAAAAATTATTCTGTATTAGTCTGTTTTCAAACTGATATAAAGTACTACCTGAGGGCGCGGGGCCAGGATGGGTGGGTGACTAGAAACAGCCCTGATCGGAGGTTCCATCAAAAAGAAATATAATAAGTGTGTGAGTGCTTCACTGGCAACCAGGGTATCCAGGTTCTCTCATCAGAACTGACTAGGCGGCTGGAGTGATCCACGGAGAGGAAGGAAGAGCAGTGTTGTGTGGTGGCCCACTTAAGAGCCTCCCAGGGCCGGGGAGTGCCCACCCCCGCCAGCCAAGGGAGGCAGTGAGTGAGCTGCTACCCGGCTGGGGAAACAGTGATTTTTCCATGGAACTGCCCAACTCATGGATCGGAAGATCCCACTTGGGAACCCACACCACTAGGGCCTAGCATCCCCACCTCAGACCCTCGCAGATTCTCATCAGCCTCTCAGCTGGAATCTGCTTAAGCCTACGGAGTTTGGAGCTCGGCGGTCGGGGGGTGGTGGTGCGGAGGAGTGACCAGCACCACAGCTGTGGCTACCTGCTGTCTAAGCCCTTTGAGCTCCTCGGGGGAGGGGCAGCAGCCAGCACTGGGACTCACAACAGCCTAACACGCTAACCTTCCTGCGCTGGGGAAGGACAGCCTCCATCTCTATAGCTCCAGGCTGTGCTTTTCTCCTGCTGGAGCCAGGGAGGCTGGACAGCTTGGTCCCAAGATGTATCCCCCACAGCCCAACACATCAGCTGTGGCAGACTGTGGCCAGAGGTTTCTTCAGGCCTGACCCTGACTCATCCTTCCTCACTGGGTGGGGGTTCCCTGCAGGAACTCCAATAACTCCAGCCAAAGACTCAGGGACAGAACCTAGATCTCCCTGGGCCTGAGCCCCTAGCGGAAGGGGTGGCTGCAGTCTCTGTGGACCAGCAGACTTAGCCTTTCCTCCTGGTAGTTCTGAAGGATCCAGGCAGCCCAGATGAATGGGTTTCCCCCCAGCGAAGCACACCCCTTCCACCAAGGGATAGTCAAAGTGCTTCATTAAATGGGTCTTGTTCCCCATGCAACCCAACTGGTGACATTCTAAAAAAGGGATGTCAGACACCCTATACAGGAGCGATCCTATTGGCATCAGGTCAGTGCCCTTCAAGGTCAGAGATGCCAGCAGAAGGAGCAGACATGCATCTTTGCTGTTCTCCAGCCTCTTGAGTGACATCTCTAGGTGTGGAAGTGAACCAGACCAATAGGGCCTGAAGTGAACCCCCAGCAAACAACAGCAGCCGTACAGAAGAGGGACCTGACCATTGAAAGAAAAAGAAACAAACAGAAAGCAACAACAGCAGCATCAACAACAATAACAAAAAAAAAAAACCCATAAAAACCCCATCCAAGGATCAGCAGCCTCAAAGATCAAAACTAGACAAACTCATGAAGATGCAAAAGAATCAACAAAAAAAACGCTGAAAACCCAAAAGGCAAGAGTGCCTCTTCTCCTCCAAATGATTGCAATGTCTCTCCAGCAAGGGCACAGAACTGGACAGAGGATGAGATGGACAAATTGACAGAAGTAGGCTTCAGAAGATGGGTAATAAAAAACTACGCTGAGATAAAGGAGCACGTTCTAACCCAATGCAAAGCAGCTAAGAACCTTGATAAAAAGAGGAATTGCTAACCAGAATAATCAGTTAAGAGAGGAACATAAACGACCTGATGGAGCTGAAAAACATGGCACAAGAACTTCGTGAAGCATACGCAAGTATCAACCGAGCAGAAGAAAGGATATCAGAGTTTGAACACCATCTTGCTGAAATAAGGCATGCAGACAAGACCAGAGAAAAGAGAATGAAAAGGAATGAAAAAAGCCTCCAAGAAATATGGGACTTTATAAAAAAAACCAAATCTACAATTGACTGGAGTACCTGAAAGAGATGGGGAGAACAGAAACAAGCTGGAAAACACACTTCTGGATATTATCCAAGAGAACTTCCTAAACCTAGCAAGAGAGGCCAAAATTCAAATTCGGGAAATACAGAGAACACGACTAAGATACTTCATGAGAAGGTCAACTTCAAGACACATAATCATCAGATTCTCCAAGGTTGAAATGAAGGAAAAAATATTAAGGGCAGCCAGAGAGAAAGGCCAGGTCACTATGCTTTACCTACAAAGGGAAGCCCATCAGACTAACAGAAGACCTTTCAGCAGAAACTTTACAGCCAGAGGACAATGGGGGCCAATATTCAGCATTCTTAGATAAAAGAATTTTCAACTCAGAATTTCATATCTAGACAAACTAAGCTTCATAAGTGAAGGATAAATAAAATCCTCTCCAGACAAGCAAATACTGTGGAATTTTGTTACCACCAGGCCTGCCTTGTAAGAGCTCCTCAAAGAAGCACTTAATCTGGAAAGGAAAAACTGGTACCAACCACTGCAAAAACACACAAAAATATGAAGACCAATGACACTATGAAGAAACTGCATCAACTAGTGTGCAAAATAACCAGATAGCATCATGATAACAGAATCAAATTCACACATAAAAATACTGACCTTAAATGTAAATGGGCTAAATGCCCCAATAAAAAGACACAGAGTGGCAAATTGGATAAAGATTCAGGACCCATTGGTGTGCTGTATTCAGGAGACCCAACTCATGTGCAAAGACACACATAGGCTCAAAATAAAGGGATGGAGGAAAATTTACCAAGCAAATGGAAAGCAAAAAAAAAAAAAAAAAACAGGGGTTGCAATCCTAGTCTCTGACAAAACAGACTTTAAAATGACAAAGATCAAAAAAGACAAAGAAGGGCATTACATAATGGTAAAGGGAACAATTCAACAAGAAGAACTAACTATTCTAAATATATATGCACCCAATACAGGACCACCTAGATTCATAAAACAAGTTCTTAGACTCCCACACAATAATATTGGGAGACTTTAACACCCCACTGTCAATATTAGACATATCAACAAGACAGAATATTAAGAGGGATATTCAGGACTTGAACTCAGCTCTGGCTCAAGTAGACCTAATAGACATCTACAGAACACTACACCCCAAATCAAAAGAATATACATTCTTCTAAGTGCCACATGGCACTTATTATAAAACCGACCACATAGTTGTAAGTAAAACACTCCTCAGCAAATGCAAAAGAACTGAAATCATAACAGTCTCTCAGACTACAGTGCAATCAAATTAGAACTCAGGATTAAGAAACTCACTCAACCACACAATTACATGGAAATTGAACAACCTATTCCTCAATGACTCCTGGGTAAATGATGAAAATAAGACAGAAATCAATAAGTTCTTTGAAACCAGTGACAATGAAGAGACAACATACCAGAATCTCTGGGACACAGCTAAAGCAGTGTTAAGAGGGAAATTTATATCACTAAATACCTACATCAGAAAGCTAGAAAGATCTCAAATCAACACCCTAATATTACAAGTAAAAGAGCTAGAGGAGCAAGAGCAAACTAATCCAAAAGCCAGCAGAAGACAGAAAATAACTAAGATCAGAGAAGAACTGAAGGAGATAGAGACATAAACCCCGCTCCAAAAAAATCAATGAATTCAGGAGTTGTTTTTTTTAAAATTAACAAAATAGATAGAATGCTAGATAGATGAATAAAGAAGAAAAGAGAGAATAATCAAATAGACACAATAAAAATGATAAAGGGGATATCACCACCAACACCGCAGAAATACAAACTACCATCAGAGAAGACTACAAACACCTCCACGCAAATAAACTAGGAAATCTAGAAGAAACTGATAAATTCCTGGACACATACACCCTCCCAAGACTAAACCAGGAAGAAGTCAAATCCCTGACTAGACCAATAACAAGTTCTGAAATTGAGGCAGTAATTAATACTCTACCAACCAAAAAAAAAAAAAGCCCAGGATTAAATGGATTCACAGCTGAATTCTACCAGAAGTAAAAAGAGGAGCTGGTACCATTCCTTCTGAAAGTATTCCAAACAATTGAAAAGGAGAGACTCCTCCCTAACAAATTC
Organism: Homo sapiens; assembly: GCF_000001405.40. NCBI lineage: Eukaryota > Metazoa > Chordata > Mammalia > Primates > Hominidae > Homo > Homo sapiens. Next base: position 52,381,210 of record NC_000004.12, read on the forward strand.
TATGAAGCCAGTATCATCCTGATACCAAAGCCTGGAAGTGACACAACTAAAAAAGAAAACTTCGGACCAATATCCCTGATGAACATTGATGCAAAAATCTTCAATAAAACACTGGCAAACTGAATCCAGCAGCACCTCAAAAAACTTATCCACCATGAACAAGTGGGCTTCTTTCCTTGATGCAAAGCTGGTTCAATGTACACAAATCAATAAACATAATCCATCACATAAACAGAACCAAAGACAAAAACCACATGATTATCTCAATAGATGCATAAAAGGTCTTTGATAAAATTCAACATTGTTTCATGTTAAAAACGCTCAGTAAACTAGATATTGATGGAACTTATCTCAAAATAATAAGAGCCATTTATGACAAACCCATAGCCAATATATTGAATGGGCAAAAGCTGGAAGCATTCCCTTTGAAAACTGGTGCAAGACAAGGAAGCCCACTCTCACCTCTCCTATTCAACATAGTATTGGAAGATCTGGCCAGGGAAATCAGGCAAGAGAAAGAAATAAAGGATATTCAAATAGGAAGAGAGGAAATCAAATTGTCTCTGTTTGCAGATGACATGATTGTATATTTAAAAAAAAAAAACATAATCTCAGCTCAAAAACTCCTTAAACTGATAAGCAACTTCAGCAAAGTTTCAGGATACAAAATCAGTGTGCAAAAATCACAAGCATTACTTTACACCAACAATAGACAAGCAGAGAGCCAAATCATGAATGAATTCCCATTCACAATGACTACAAAGAGAATAAAATACTAGGAATACAGCTAACAAGAGATGTGAAGGACCTCTTCAAGGAGAACTACAAACCACTGCTCCAAGAAATAAGAAGGACACAAACTAATGGAAAAAATCCCATCATCATGGATAGGAAGAATCAATATCATGAAAATGGTCATACTGTCCAAAGTAATTTATAGATTCAATGCTATTCCCATCAAACTACAACTGATATTCTTCAAATAATTAGAAAAAAACTACTTTAAATTTCATATGGAATCAAAGAAGACCCCATATAACCAAAGACAATCCTAAGCAAAAAAAAACAAAACTGGAGGCATCATGCTACCTGACTTGAAACTATTCTACAAGGCTACAGTAACCACGACAGCATGGTACTTGTACGAAAACAGACATATAGACCAATGGAACTGAACAGGGACCTCAGAAATAACATCACACATGTACAACCAAAAACTAGAAATGGGGAAAGGATCTCCTATTCAATAAATTGTGCTGTGAAAACTGGCTAGCAATATGCCTAAAACTAAAACTGGACCCCTTCCTTACACCTTATACAAAAAAGAGGCACTTCTGAGCAAACAGAGCAGATATTACTTTCAAACAGAAAACAGAAACTGGAACCCTCCCTTCCACCTTATACAAAAATTAACTCAAGATGGATTAAAGACTTAAACGTAACACCTGAAACCATAAAAACCCTAGAAGAAAACCTAGGCAACACCATTCAAAACATAGGTATGGGCAAAGACTTCATGACAAAAACACCAAAAGCAATTGCAACAAAAGCCAAAATTGATGAATGGGATCTAATTAAACTAAAGACTTTCTGCACAGCAAAAGAAACTATCATCACAGTGAACAGGCAACCTACAGAATGGGAGAAAATTTTTGCAATCTACACCCATCTGACAAAGGTATAGTATCCAGAATTTACAGGGAATTTAAACAAATTTACAAGAAAAAAGCAAACAACCCCATCAAAAAGTGGGCAAAAGATATGAACAGACACTTCTCAAAAGAAGACATTTGTGTGGCCAACAAACCTATTAAAGAAGCTCAACCTCACTAATCATTAGAGAAATGCAAATCAAAACCACAATGAGATACCATCTCATGCCAGTCAGAATGACAGTTATTAAAATTCAAGAAACAATAGATGCTGTCAAGGCTGTGGAGAAACAGGAACGCTTTTACACTGTTGGTGGGAGTGTAAATTAGTTCAACCATTGTGGAAGACAGTATGGCAATTCCTCAAGGATCTAGAACCAGAAATATCATTTGACCCAGCAATCCCATCACAGGGTATGTACCCAGTGGATTATAAATTATTCTACTATAAAGACACATGCACACGTATTTTTATTGAAGCATTGCTTACAATAGCAAAGTCATGGAACCAGCTCAAATGTCCATCAGTGATAGATTGGATAAAAAAAATGTGGCACATATACACCATGAAATACTACAAAGCCATATAAAGGAATGAGATCATGTCCTTTTCAGGGACATGGATGAAGCTGGAAGCCATCATCCTCAGCAAACTAACACAGGAACAGACAACCAAACACCACATGTTCTCACTCATAAGTTGGAGTTGAACAATGAGAACACATGGACACAGGGAAGAGGATAAAACAGACCAGGGCCTGTTGGAGGATGGGGAGTGAGGGGAGGGAACTTAGAGGACAGGTCAGTAGGTGCAGCAAGCCACCATGGCACACATATACCTATGTAACAAACCTGCACATGTTCTGCACATGTATCCTGGAACTTCTTAAAAAAAAAAAAAAGAACTATCTGAGACTGGGTAATTTGAGAAGAAAAGAGGTTTAATTGACTCATAGTTCCCCAGGCTGTAAAGGAAGCATGTCTAGGAGGTCTCAGGAAACTTACAATCACGGCGAAGGTGAAGGGGAAGAAAGCATGTCTTACCATGTGGAGCAAGAGAGAGAGAGCAAAGGGGGAAGTGCCACACACTTTTATACCATCAGATCTCATGAGAACTCACTCACTATCACAAGAATAGCATGAGGGAAGTCCTCCCCATGACCCAATCACCTCCCACCAGGTTCCTCCCCTGACACGTGGGGGTTACAATTCAACATGAGATTTGGGTGGGACACAGAACAAAAACATATCACCTTCCTTTTCTCTTCCCAGCACCTGGTGGATCCCAGCAGTCCATGGCCTTCTTGGGTAGCAGACTCATCACTCCAGTCACTGCCTCCCTCTTGGCATGGCTTTTTCCCTGTGTATGCATCTGTGTCTAAATCTCCATCTCCTTTCTCTGATAAAGATATCAGTCCCTGGATTGAGGGCCCACCATAATCCAGTATGCCCTCATTTTAACTATTTACATCTGCAAATACCCTGTTTCCAATTCAAGAAACATTCTGAGGTTCCAGATAGATGTGAATTTGGGGGTGAGGGGTCACTATTCAACCCAGGACAGAACAGACCCTGAACAGGAATCATGTTGTGGCAATCAAGCTAGATGATGCTGCACTCAAATCCTGTTACTTGGTCTCCCTAAGCCTTGGCTTTCTCGTCTGTGAAATGGTAGGCAGCATCACCCCTAATGGGATTGGGAGATGAATCTGAGATTATATGCTTAATGCAGTTGATGTACAACAGTGGTCCAGTGGAAAAGCCAGCTGAGCTGTGGTGGAGGAGGCTCTTTGCCTGTTCACAGCCCCAAGGGACCTACCCAGCCCTCACGGGGCATTCCACACATTTCCCCAACTCAAGACCAATGACAGAAAGGGGATGCTTTTGAGCAAGACAGTGATTCCTCAGCCCTCAGATGACATCCAGTGGTGACCACCGTGAGGGAGGAATGTAGCATTTTTATCTTTGTAGCTATCTTATTTAGGACTAAAATGGGAGGTAGGTTTCCCTGATGCAGTTCTCAGCTTGACTTTTCCCTTTGGCTTAGTGAGTTTGGGGTCTCGAGATTTGTTTTCCTTTCACACACCTAACCTCACTACTGGTAGGGCCAGTGCTGGCTGTAGCAAGGATTGTTTTGGAAATCTGGCATAATCAACAACCACAAATCCTGGGAAGAAGATGGGACATTGAGAGAGCTGTGCTGCAGAATTTTTTAATTAAAAAACTTCTTTTAAAGTTTTTTTCCAACTTGATTTATATATATATAATTTCAGCTTTTATTATAGATTAAAGGGTACATGTGCAGGTTTGCTACATGGGTATATTGTGTGACACTGAGGTTTGGGTTCCAAATGATCCCATCACCAAGATAGTGGGCATAGTACCCAATAGGTGTTTTTTCAGCTCACACTCCCCTCTCTCCCCCATCCAGTAGTCCCCAGTGTCTTCTGTTCCCATCTTTATGTCTATCTGTATTCAATGTTTAGCCCCTACTTATAAGTGACAACATTCAGTATTTGATTTTCTATTCTTGAGTTAATTTGCTTAGGATAATGGCCTCCAGCTGCATCCATGTTGCTGCAAAGGACATGATTTCATTCTTTTTTATGGCTGCATAGTATTCCGTGGTGTATATGTACCACATCTTCTTTCTCCAATCCACCGCTGATGGGCACTTAGGTTGATTCCATGTCTTTGCTATTGTAAATAATGACATAGTGAACACATGAGTGCATGTGGTTTTTTTGGTAGAATGATTTGTTTTCTTTTGGATATACACCCAATAATGAGATTTCTAGGTCAGATGGCAGTTCTATTTTAATTTCTTTGAAAGATCTCCAAACCGTTTTCCACATAGGCTGAGTTAGTTTGCATTCCCCTCAACAGTGTACAACCATTCCCTTTTCTTCTCAACCTTGCCAGCATCTGTTATGTTTTACTTCTAAATAATCATCATTCTGACTGGTGTGAGATGGCTTCTCATTGTGGTTTTGATTTGCATTTATCTGGTGAGCACTTTCTCAATTTTTGTTCATCACTTGTATGGCTTCTTTTGAGAAGTGTCTCTTCATGTCCTTTGCCCATTTTTAAATTGGATTATTTGGTTTTTGCTTGTTGATTTAAGTTCCTTGTAGCTTCTGGATATTAGATCTTTGTCAGACACATAGTTTGCAAATATTTTCTCCCATTCTGTAGGCTGTCTGTTTACTCCATTAGTAATTTGCTGTGCAGAAGCTCTTTAGTTTAATTAGGTCCTATTTGTTAATATTTGTTTTTGTTGCAATTGCTTTTGGGGACTTAGCCATAAATTATTTTCCAAAGTTAATATCAAGAAGTGCATTTCCTAGGTTTTTTTCTAATATTTTTATCATTTGAAGTCTTACATTTAAACCTTTAATCCATCTTGAGTTAATTTTTGTAAGATAAGAGATAGGGATCTAGTATCATTCTGCATATAGCTACCCGGTTATCCCAGCACCATTCATTGAATAAGAAGTCCTTTTCCCATTGCTTATTTTTGTCAATTTTGTCAAAGAACAGATGGTTGTAGGTGTGCAGTTTTATTTCTGGGTTCTCTATTTTGTTCCATGAGTCTATGTGTTTGTTTTTGTGCCAGTACCATGCTGTTTTGGTTACTGTATCCCTGTAGTAGATTTTGAAGTCAGGTAATGTGATGTCTCCAACTTTGTTCTTTTTGCTTAGGATTGCTTTTACTATTCAGGCTAGGGCTCTTTTTTGGTTTCAAATGAATTTTAGAACAGATTTTTTTCTAATTCTGTGAAAAATGATATTGGTATTTTCATAGGGATAGCATTGAATCTGCAATTGCTTTGGGCAATATGGCCATTTTAACAGTATTGATTCTTCCAATCCATGAGCATGGAATAGCTTTCCATTTATTTGTGTTGTCTATTTCTTTCAGCAGTGTTTTGTGGCTGTCCTTGTACAGATCTTTCATCTTCCTGTTAGATGAATTCCTAGATATTTCTTTTTTGTGTGGCTATTGTAAATGTTGTTGTGTTCTTGATTTGGTTTTCAGCTAGAACATTATTAGTGTATAGAAATGCGACTTATTTTTGTACATTGATTTTGTATCCTGAAACTTTATTGAATTCGTATCAGTTCCAGGAGACTTTTGGCAGAGTCCTTAGGTTTTTCTATATATAGAATCATATCATCAGTAAAGAAAGATAGTTCATCTTCTTTTCCAATTTGGATGCCTTTTTTTGTTCTCTTGCCTAGTTGCCCTGGCTAGGACTTCCTGATGCAGGCTTTTTATAGGAACATTTGTTTCAGTGACTCTCACTTTGAGGCTGGCTCAGGCATGATACTTAGCATGGTTTCACAGCATACTTTCTGAATGCAGTGTCTACATTGAGGTAGATAACTGCAAAAGTTATTTCATATTTGCCATTGGCATTCATTCATTTAGCAGCCAGAAGTCTTTATTTTATGTCTATTGGATAAATGTATTACTTCAAAAAGCACATTGGGAGGGTGCTAATAACCTTTTTTTGTTTAATCAAGGAAAGATTTTGTATATGCCTAAGAATTTTGTAAGCCTGAATCTTCTTGAGTGAGCCAGTGACAGTTCACTGGTAATATTTGCCTTCCACATCCAGGTTGGCAGAACCCAACCAGACACAAATAAACATTTTAAGGAAGTGCCCTTCTTGTCCCACTGACTCAACAAAGCTACAAAAATATCTGACTGTAGCAGCCAGATCCTTTTGAAAGTGGACCTCCACTGAAATGTACTTTCACCTGTAAGTATACAATGATACATATTGACTTTGTCTGGGATGCCATAGTTTGATCCTTCATTATGATTAGCATCAAACTATATAACCTCATTTATGCAATTATTCATTCATTCAACAAATATCCATGCATCAAGTGGCAGGACTGCCTCTAAAATGTCCCCCAACCATCTCTGCCTCCTGGTACTTATATATTCTCCTACACTTGAGTGTAGGCTGGGCCTAGTGACTTGCTTTTGGCAACAAGAGTGCAGCTAAAGTGATGGCATGTCACTTACAAGATTGGTAGCTTATAAAAGACTAACTTCTCTACTGTTCGCATTCTCTCTCTCTCTCTCTCTCTCTCTCTGTCTGTCTTTCTCTGTATCTTCTTGCTTGCTTTCTCTGATGCAGTAAGTAGTCACGTTGTGGGCTGCCCTATGGAAAGGCTCATGAGAAAAGAGACAGAATCCTGCCGATCCAGTCAGTGAGCTTGGAAGACTCTCCTACCCCAGTCTAGCCTTGAGTTCACTGCAGCCCAAGCTGGTATCTTTTTTAAAAAAAAACGGTTTTCCTGGTTTTGTTTTTTTTTTTTTTTCCCATACTTTAAGTTCTGGGATACATGTGCAGAATGTGCAGGTTTGTTACATAAGTATACACGTGCCATGGTGATTTGCTGGTCCCATGAACCCGTCACCTATATTAGGTATTTCTCCTAATGCTATCCCTCCCCTAGCCCCCCACCCCACCCCTCGACAGTCTCCAGTGTGTGATGTACCCCTCCCCCTGCGTCCATGTGTTCTCATTGTTCACCTCCCACTTATGAGTGAGAACATGCAGTGTTTGGTTTTCTGTTCTTGTGTTAGTTTGCTGAGAATGATGCTTTCCAGCTTCATCCACGTCCCTGCAAAAGACATGAACTCATCCCTTTTTATGGCTGCATATGGTGTATATGTGCCACATTTTCTTTATCCAGTCTATCATTGATGGGCATTTGGCTTGGTTCCAAATCTTTGCTATTGTGAACAGTGCTGCAATAAACATATGGTATGCATGTGTCTTTATAGTAGAATGATTTATAATCCTTTCGGTATATACCCAGTAAAGGGATTGCTGGGTCAAGTGGTATTTTTGGTTCTAGATCCTTTAGGAATCGCCATACTGTCTTCCACAATGGTTGAACCAATTTACACTCCCACCAATAGCATAAAAGCATTCCTATTTCTCCACATCCTCTCCAGCATCTGTTGTCTCCTGACTTTTTAATGATCACCATTCTAACTGGCATGAGATGGTATCTCATTGTGGTTTTGATTTGCATTTCTCTAATGACCAGTAATGATGAGCTTTTTTTCATATGTTTGTTGGCCACATAAATGTCTTCTTATGAAAAGTGTCTGTTCATATCTTTTGCCCACTTTTTGATGGGGTTTTTTTTTCTTGTAAATTTGTATAAGTTATTTATAGATTCTGGATATTAGCCCTTTGTCAGATGGATAGATTGCAAAAATTTTCTCCCATTCTGTAGGTTGCCTGTTCACTCTAATGATCGTTTCTTTTGCTGTGCAGAAGCTCTTTAATTTAGTTAGATCCCATTAGTCAATTTTGGCTTTTGTTGCCATTGCTTTTGGTGTTTTTTTCATGAAGTCTTTGCCCACGCCTATGACCTGAATGGTATTGCCTAGGTTTTCTTCTAGGGTTTTTATGGTTTCAGGTGTTATGTTTAAGTCTTTAATCCATCTTGAGTTAATTTTTGTATAAGGTGTAAGGAAGGAGTCCAGTTTCAGTTTCCTGCATATGGCTAGCCAGTTTTCCCAAGACCATTTATTAAATAGGGAATCCTTTCCCCATTGCTTTTTTTTGTCAGGTTTGTCAAAAATCAGATGGTTGTAGATGTGTGACATTACTTCTGAGGCCTCTGTTCTGTTCCATTAGTCTGTATACCTGTTTTGATACCAGTACCATGCTGTTTTGGTTACTGTAGCTTTGTAGTATAGTTTCAAGTCAGGTAGCCTGATGCCTCCAGCTTTATTCTCTTTGCTTAGGGTTGTCTTGGCTATGCAGGCTCTTTTTTAGTTTCATATTAATTTTAAAGTAGGTTTTTCTAATTCTGTGAAGAATGTCAATGGTAATTTAATGGAAACAGCAGTGAATCTATAAATTACTTTGGGCAGTATGGCCATTTTCACAATATTGATTCTTCCTGTCCACAAGCATGGAATGTTTTTCCATTTGTTTGTGTCCTCTCTTATTTCCTTGAGCAGTGGTTTGGAGTTCTCCTTGAAGAGGTACGTCACACCCCTTGTAAGTGGTATTCCTAGGTATTTTAGTCTCTTTGTAGCAATTGTGAATGGGAGTTCACTCATGATTTGGCTCTCTGTTTGTCTGTTGTTGGTGTACAGGGATGCTTTTGATTTTTGCACGTTGATTTTGTATCCTGAGATGTTGGGGGAAATCAGGGACCCCGAACAGAGGGACTGGCTGAAGCCATGGCAGAAAAACATAAATTGTGAAGATTTCATGGACACTTATTAGTTCCCCAAATTAATACTTTTATAATTTCTTATGCCTGTCTTTACCGCAATCTCTGAACATAAATTGTGAAGATTTCATGGACACTTATCACTTCCCCAATCAATACCCTTGTGATATCCTATGCCTGTCTTTATTTTAATCTCTTAGTACCATCATCTTCGTAAGCTGAGGAGGATGTATGTCGCCTCAGGACCCTGTGATGATTGTGTTAACTGCACAAATTGTTTGTAGAGCATGTGTGTTTGAACAATATGAAATTTGGGCACCTTGAAAAAAGAACAGGATAACAGCAATATTCAGGGAACAAGAGAGATAACCTTAAACTCTGACTGCCGGTGAGCTGGGCAGAACAGAGCCATATTTCTCTTCTTTCAAAAGCAAATGGGAGAAATATCACTGAATTCTTTTTCTCAGCAAGGAACGTCCCTGAGAAAGAGAATGCATCCCTGATGGTAGGCCTCTTTGGGAAATGAAATGGCTGCTTTGGGAAAGTCTATCTTCTATGGTTGCAGCTGTAGGGATGAAATAAATTCCAGTCTCCCATAGTGCTCCCAGACTTATTAGGATGAGGAAATTCCCACCTAATAAATTTTGGTCAGACCGCTTGTCTGCTCTCAAACTCTGTCTCCTGATGAGATGTTATCAATGGCAATGCATGCCCTAAACTTCATTAGCAATTTTAATTTCACCGTGGTCCTGTGGTCCTGTGATCTCACCCTGCCTCCATTTACCTTGTGATATCTTATTACCTTGTGAAGCATGTGATCTCTGTGACTCACACCCTATTCGTACACTCCCTCCCCTTTTGAAAATCACTAATAAAAACTTGCTGGTTTTACAGCTCAGGGGGCATCACAGAACCTGCCAACATGTGATGTCTCCCCTGGACACCCAGCTTTAAAATTTCTCTCTTTTGTACTCTGTCCCTTTATTTCTCAGACCAGCCAACACTTAGAGAAAATAGAAAAAAACCTACATGAAATATCAGGGGTGAATTTCACCTGATATCTGGCTGAATTTCCCCCGATACTGAGACATTGCTGAAGCTGCTTATCAGCTTAAGGAGATTCTAGGCTGAGACAATGGGGTTTTCTAAATATACAATCATGTCACCTGCAAACAGAGACAATTTGACTTCTTCTCTTTCTATTTGAATACGCTTTATTTCTTTCTCTTGCCTGATTGCCCTGGCCAGAATTTCCAATACTATGTTGAATAGGAGTGGTGAGAAAGGGCATCCTTGTCTTGTGCCAGTTTTCAAATGGAATGCTTAAGGCTGATATCTTCATCCTGCTTGTGATAGCTCTTGAGTCAGAAGACCAGTTAAGATTTCTGACCCATGGAAACAGAGATAATCCATGTTGTTGTTTTATGCCACCAAGTTGTGGGCTAATTTGTAACACAGAGATAGATAACTAATACATCTTTACTGGCACTGAAGTTATATTATATATTATATATGTAATATGATATTAATATATTATATATAATATTATATATTGAGAGCAGAGGCAGAATGTGCTGTTGTCTCAAGACATGAAAACAATTTCCACAGGAATTGGCAAATGGCCTCATTGCACCTCTGTTCTAAATGTGGTGATAACATAAGTAAGGATGTGTCTTCCCTTTTTATCTTAAATACATAGGATTAACAAAACTGACCAAACTTTAAGGTGATTTGGAATGACTTTTAATTACATGAGATATTTCTGACTGCTTGGAAATGGTTCGCTATGGACTAGAGAATATGCATACATCTCAGAATAAAATATGTTTGGAGCTTGAAATAGGAATTATTTCACAATATGATATCTCCCTCTGCAAAACTCATTTATATTGATGGAACCACCATTTTAAAAAATCAGAAAAAGAGGTAATAAGGTCATTTCATCCATTCCATTTCTGCTTTCTTCATTTTCACCCAGTATTATATTTTTTCCTCTTTAGTAGCTGCAAAACATGGACTATAAATAAAGTATACAAAAAGATGTATGTCAATAAAATAGAAAGTATTTGAAGGAAACTTAAAAGAAAGGGCCTTGTTAAAATTTGGGGCCAGGATGCACCAAATCCTATGAAATCAAAATACATTCATAAATTTTAGGATCTGTTAGAAACTCCCTGCATTTCTAAGGCTGGGCACAGTGGTTCATGCCTGTAATTCCCAGCACTTTAGGAGGCCAAAGCAGATGGATTGCTTGAGCTCAAGAGCTTAAGACAAGCCTGGGCAACATGGCAAGATCCCATCTCTTTCTCTCTCTCAATCTCTCTCTCTCTCTCTGTATGCATGTATATAAATATATATATAATATATATATAATATATATTTAAAAACTGCATTTTTACTCTATCAATACCTATATTCCCAAATTTAATTCAAGAAAATTAGGTAGATACCCAAATGAAGTGAAGATAGGCAGTTGGATATAAGAGTCTAGAGCTCAGGAGAAGGGTTCAGGCTGGATGAGAGCTCCAAGGGAGTGGTAGAGATAAAGAAGAAAAGAGCCTCAAGGCTATAGACTGATAAGCTCCAGTATTAGGATGGTGAGAAGAAAAGGAGCAACTCACAAAGAAAACTAAGGAAGTCTGGCTCAGTCTCATTCAAAGCAGCCTTCACTGGGAGGAGTAGAACATTCCTACTGACTCCTAAAGATTGTGTCCTTGGTTTTTCCTATCCTCTCTGCATGCTCCCACTCTTACTTATCTCATTTAGCCCTATGTCCATTAAACATTCATCCTCATGAAAATTACTCCAAACTCTGTCTCTATTCCTACCTTCGGGACAGCTTTACCTGGCTATCTATACCCAGGTAGTGTCTCAGTGAAACATGTCCCAAATCAAACTAATCATCTTAAATCTCCACAGAGATGCCATCTTCTCCTGAGACTTCCCTTGAGCAATTTTGATGTGATCTTCTCCTAAAACGCTTCCCTTGAACAATTTATCTATAAAAGCCTTCTACCCTTTCCCCCAAACATTCTCTATCTCCTTAGGTTGTTTTATTTTTGGTAACAGTATTTCCTAATACTCAACATTATATTATGAATTTTCGTCTTTGTTAATTCTCTCTATTGCTCTAAAATAGATGCCCTGTGAGGACAGGGATTTAGATTCTTGCATTCCTTGATGTATCCTCAGCTCCTAAAATGGTCTCTGGCCAAAGTAAGGGCTCAATAAATACTTCCTGATTCTGATTTTTTTAAGCTTCTCATTACTAGATTTTAAAAATTAAACTTACAATTTTGGAGCCCAGGTAATAAAACCAAAAATAGATGGGATTGCATCAAACTGAAAAGCTTCTGCATAGTAAAGAAAACAACCAACAGAGTAGAGACAAATTATGGAATGAGAGAAAATATCTGCAAATTACACACCTGATAAGAGGTTAATATCCAAAATATTTAGAGAACTCAAACAACTCAACAGCAAGAAGACAAATAACCCAATTAAAATTGTAAGAATGGGCAAAGGAGATGAAAAGACATTTCTCAAAAGATGACATACAAATGGCCAACAGATGAAAAAGTGCTCAACATCACTAATTGGGGAAATGTAAATTAAAACCACAATGAAATATCAACTCATGCTTGTTGCAATGGCTATTATCAAAAAGACATAAAATAAGTATTGGCAAAGATATGGAGAAAAGGAACTCTTGTGTAATATTGGCAGGAATATAAACTAGTATAGCCATTATGGAAAATAGTATGGAGGGTCCTCAAAATATTAAAAATACAACTACCATATGATTCAGCAATCCCACTTCTGGATATATAACCAAAGGAAGTGAAATCAGTATGTCTAAGAGACACTCACACTCCCATGTTCATTGCAGCACTATATACAACAGTCACAAATGGAATTAACCTAATGTTTATGGATGGATGGATGAATAATTTTTTAAAGTACTATTCAGTCTTCCATTGGCATTCAGATTTCCTTGCCATTTTTAACAACGTGGATAAACCTGGAGGACACTATCTAAGTGAAATAACCCAGGCACAGAAAGACAAATATTGCATGATCTCACTTATATGTGGAATCTTAAAAAGTCAAACTCTTCCAGGACATAGGCATGGGCAAGGACTTCATGTCTAAAACACCAAAAGCAATGGCAACAAAAGCCAAAATTGACAAATGGGATCTCATTAAACTAAAGAGCTTCTGCACAGCAAAAGAAACTACCATCAGAGTGAATCAGGCAACCTACAAAATGGGAGAAAATTTTCACAACCTACTCATCTGACAAAGGGCTAATATCCAGAATCTACAATGAACTCAAACAAGTTTACAAGAAAAAAACAAACAACCCCATCAAAAAGTGGGTGAAGGACATGAACAGACACTTCTCAAAAGAAGACATTTATGCAGCCAAAGAACACATGAAAAAATGCTCACCATTACTGGCTATCAGAGAAATGAAAATCAAAACCACAATGAGATACCATCTCACACCAGTTAGAATGGAAATCATTAAAAAGTCAGGAGACAACAGGTGCTGGAGAGGATGTAGAGAAATAGGAACACTTTTACACTGTTGGTGGGACCGTAAACTAGTTCAACCATTGTGGAAGTCAGTGTGGTGATTCCTCAGGGATCTAGAACTAGAAATACCATTTGACCCAGCCATCCCATTACTGGGTATATACCCAAAGGACTATAAATCATGCTGCTATAAAGATACATGCACACGTATGTTTATTGTGGCACTATTCACAATAGCAAAGACTTGGAACCAACCTGAATGTCCAACAATGATAGACTGGATTAATAAAATGTGGCACATATACACCATGGAATACTATGCAGCCATAAAAAATGATGAGTTCATGTCCTTTGTAGGGACATGGATGAAATTGGAAATCATCATTCTCAGTAAACTATCACAAGAACAAAAAACCAAACACCACATATTCTCACTCATAGGTGGGAATTGAACAATGAGAACACATGGACACAGGAAGGGGAACATCACACTTTGGGGACTGTTGTGGGGTAGGGGGAGGGGAGAGGGATAGCATTAGGAGATATACCTAATGCTAAACGACGAGTTAATGGGTGCAGCACACCAGCATGGCACATGTGTACATATGTTACTAACCTGCATATTGTGCACATGTACCCTAAAAGTTAAAGTATAATAATAATAAAATCAAATCAAATTAAATTTTAAAAAGTCAAACTCATGGCCGGGAGCGGTGTCTCACGCCTGCAATCCCAGCACTTTGGGAGGCGGAGTCGGGCGGATCACGAGGTCAGGAGCTAACACGGGGAAACCACGTCTCTACTAAAAATACAAAAAATTAGCCAGGCATGGTGGCAGGTGCCTGTAGTCCCAGCTACTCGGCAGGCTGAGGCAGGAGAATAGCTTGAACCCGGGAGGCGGAGCTTGCAGTGAGCCAAGATCGCGCTACTGCACTCCAGCTTGGGGGAGACAGAGTGAGACTCCGTCTCAAAAAAAAAAAAAGTCAAACTCATAGAAGCAGAGAGTAGAATAGTGGATGCCAGGGGCTGTGGAATGGCAGGAGGGGAGAAGATGGAGAGATAGTGGTCAAAGGGTACAAAGTTCAGTTAAGATCAATAGGTAGTTCTGGAAATCTAATACACAGCATAGTAACTAAAGTTAATAATGTACTTGAAAATTGCTGAAAGAGTAAATCTTAAATGTACTCACCACGAAGTATGACAAATATGTGAGGTGATAGATATGTTAATTCGCCAACCATTTCACAATGTATACATATATCAAAACATCACATTGGACACCATAAATATATAGTTTTTTGTCAATTATACCTTATTAAAGCTGGAGAATAATGAATAGATTTATTATTTTGAGATAATTTTAGATTCACTTGCAGTTGTAAAAAAAAATAATAACACAGAGGAACCCAATGTGCCCATTACAGTTTCTCCCAATGATAACATCTGTCTGTTTAACCATTCAGCCACTGAAGGACAGGTCCTCTAGGTTTATCCACGTAGTCACAAATGGCAGGGTTTTCTTTTTTAAGACTGAATAACATTTTGTAAAAAATATATTCATCCATCCATCCATGAACATTAGGTTAATTCCATTTGTGACTACTGTAAATAGCGCTGCAGGGAACATGGGAGTGCAGATATCTCTTGGACTTACCGATTTCATGTGTAAGCTGTGTTCCAGTTTGGGCTATTTCAAATAAAGGTGCTATAAATATTTGTGTACATGTGTCTGTATAAATGTAAGTCTTCATTTATCTTGGATAAAACGCCCAAAACTACAATTACTTCGTTGAATAGTAATTCTGTGTTTAATTCTTTTTGGAAACTCAAATTGTTTTCCAGAGTGGCATACCACTTTACATTCCTACCAGCAATGTATAAATGCTTCATTTTCTCTGCATCCTGTCCAGCATGTTATATTTTCACTATTTTTAATTTTAGTTATTCTGATAAGTGTGTGGTGATAGCTCATTGCGGTTTTAACTTGCATTTCTCTAAAAGCTAATGTTGTTCAGCATCTTTCCATGTGTTTATTTTCTGTCTGTATATCCACTTGGATGAAATATTTATGTCTTTTTCTTATTTTCTAATTAAACTGTTTGGGTTTTTTTTTGTTTTTTTTTTTTACTGTTGAATTATCAGAGTTCCTTGTATATTTGAAATACTAGCCTTTTCTTGAATATGTGGTTTGCAAACGTTTTTAGCTCATCTCCTCTACTTGATAGGGTCTTCCACAGAGCAAAAGTTTTTATTGATAAAGTCCAATTTATCAATTCTCCTTTTATGAATTATGCTTTTGGTCTTCCATCTAAGAACTCTTTGTAGCTCTAGATCCTGGAGGTTTTCTCCTATATTCTTTTTTTCTATAATTTTTATAGTTTTACATTTAAGCCCATGATCCATTTTGACATAATTTTTTTATAAGGTGTGAGACTTAGGTCAAGATTCACTTTTTTTGCTTATGGATGTCCAATTGCTCTAGCACCATTTGCTGAGAAAGCTCTTTCCTGCATTGAATTTCTTTTAGACCTTTGTAAATATCAACCGAATATTTTTTGGGGGGGGTCTACTTCTGGGTTCTCTATTCCAAGGTTCCCCGCCCCACAGCCCATTAGGAACCCAGCCACACAGCAGGAGGTGAGCAGCAGGCCAACAAGTGAAGCTTCATCTGTATTTACAGCCACTCCCCATCGCTTGCTTGCATTACCACCTGAGCTCCACCTCCTATCAGATCAGCCAAGGCATTAGATTCTCAAAGGAGCACGAACCCTATTGTGAACTGTGCATGTGAGGGATCTAGGTTGCATGCTCCTTATGAGAATCTAATGCCTGATGGTCTGTCATTGTCTCCCATCACACTCAGATAGGAACGTCTAGCTGCAGGGAAACAAGCTTAGGTCTCCCGCTGATTCTACATTATGGTGAGTTGTATAATTACTTCATTATCTATTACAATGTAATAATAATAGAAATAAAGTGCACAATAAATGTAATGTGCTTGAATCACCCCAAAACCATCCCTGTACCTCACCCCCATGGTCCATAGAAAAACTGTCTTCCACAAAACCCATCCCTGGTACCAAAAAGGCTGGGAAACCACTGCGCTATTCTGTTCCCGCCATCTGTGTGTCTATCCCTCCACAATACCACACAGTCTTGATTACTGTAGCTATATAATAAGTCTTGAAATCAAGTATGGCTATTATACCTCCTCCCATTGTGCTCTTATTTTTTAGAAATGGTTTTAGCTATTGTATTTCTTTTGCCTTTCCACATGAATTTTAGAATAATGTTGTCTATGTCTATTAAAAATCTTGCTGATATTTTCATAGGAATTGCATTAAATCTGTGTATCAATTTGGGGAGAATTGACATCTTTGCTATGTTGAGTCTTATAGTCCATAAACATGTCACAACTCTTGTTTATTTAGATCTTCTTAGATTTCTTTCAGAGTTCTATAGTTTTCAGCATACAAGCCCTGTATACATTTTGTTATATTTATACCTAAAAGTTCCTCTGCCTTTCTCTTTGATTTTAAATGGTATTACATTTTTGAATATTACATTTTGAACATTTTTATGTTCTTTAATATGTTTTGCATATTATCTTAAGTTTTGTGACATTGATGAATTCACCTGTTATTTTTGGAAGTTTTTTTTGGTAAATATCTTGGCATTTCTATGTAGACAGACATATCATTTGCAAATAAGAACAGTTTTATTCCTTCCCTATGGTCTGTATGTCTGTTTCCTTTCCTTGCTTTATTGCACTGGCTACAACCTCCAACATTAAGTTTTATTAGAGTAGTGAGAGTGGACTTCCTTTATTAAATAAGTTTTGCAACTGTATATCAATGAGGAATATTAGTCTGTAGTTTTCTTTTCATGTATGATATTTTTCTGCTTTGGATATCAAGATAACACCAGCTTCATAAAATGAACTGGGAAGTAATCCTTCCTCTTCTATTGTGTGGAGAGATTTTACAGAATTGGTATTGATTTTCCTTTAAAGTTTGGTAGAATTCTCCAGTGAAACAATCTGGGCCTAGAGATTTCTTTTTTTTTTTTTTTTTTTTTTTTTTGAGTCAGAGTCTCACTCTGCTGTGAGGCTGGAGTGCAGTGACGTGATCTTGGCTCACTGCAACCTCCACCTCCCAGGTTCAAGCGATTCTCCTGCCTCAGCCTCCCAAGTAGCTGGGACTGCAGGTGCGTGCCACCACACCCAGCTAATTTTTGTATTTTTAGTAGAGATGGGGTTTCATCACGTTGGCCAGAATGGTCTCTATCTCTTGACCTTGTGATCCACCCACCTTGGCCTCCCAAAGTGCTGGGATTATTGGCATAAGCCACTGAGCCCTGCTAGGCCTAGAGATTTCTTTGGGGAAAATTTTAAATTACAAATTCAATTTCCTTAATAGTTATAGAGCTGTTCAAATTATCTATTTCATATTGGATGACTTATGGTAGTTGGTGTTTTTTGAGGAGTTGGTCCATTTTATCTAAATTTACCAAGTTATATCAACATAATGTCAAATCTGCCACCAACCAACATCAAGTTTATGTTTGTAGAGATGCTCCAAGTATTCTCTTATTATTCTTTTCAGGTCCGTAAGGTCTGTAGTGATATTTTGTTTCATTCCTGATGTTGGTAATTTGTATCTTCTTTTTTTCGTTGTCAGTCTTGCTAGCAGTTTGTAAACATGCTTGACCTTTGCTAAGGCCCAGCAATTTCTTTCATTGGTTTTCTACATTTTTTTCTGTTTTCAATTTCATCAATTTCTGCTCTTCTTTTTATTATTTCTTTCCCTCTCCTTGCTTTGGATTTAGTTTTCTCTTCTTTACCTAGGTTCTTGAGATGATAGCTTATATTATTTATTTAACACGTTTGTTATTTTCTAATATATGCATTTAGTGCTATAAGTTTCCCCCCCAGCACTGCTTAACTGTGTCCTATAAATTCTGGTGTGTTGTTTCTATTTTCATTCAGTTCAATGTATTTTATTTCCCTTGAGACTTCTTTTTTGATCCACGAATTATTTAGAAGTGTGTTGTTTCCAAGTGTTTGGAGATTTTTTTATCTTTTCTAGTGTGATTCTTTTGTGGTCATAGAACACACTGTATAATTACAATTTGCTTAAATTTTTTGAGGTTTGTTTTATGGCCCAGGATATTGTTGATCTTGGTATATATCCCATGAGCACTTTAAAACAAGAGGCATTCTGCTATAGATAGGTGGAATGTATTATAAACACTCAATAGATGTTGTTAGTTGATGCTGGTGTTGAGTTCTTCAATATCCTTGCTAATTTTATGTCTAGTTGTTATATAAATTGTTGAGAGTGTTGAAGTCACCAACCATAACTATGGACTTATCTATTTCACCTTTCTCTTCACATGTTTTATAACTCTGTTGCATACACATTTAGGCTATGAATTGTGCGTGGATTGGCCCTTTTGTCATTATATAATGTTCCTTTATGTCTCCAATAATTTTCTTTGCTCTGAAGTCCACTTTATATGATGTTAAAATAGCCACTTCTGCTTTCCTTTAATTAGTGTGTACATGATATAACTGTTTCCATCTTTTTGCTTTCCACTGGCCTATATCTTTATATTTAAAGTGAGTTTCTTTTAGCTTCTTGGCATATGTTGATGCTCCTCAGCTTATTATGTTCTGATAAACCCATCATAAGTTGAAAATATTCCAGGTCAAAAATACTTTAATAAATGTAACCTACTGAACATCATAGCTTATCCTAGCCTACCTTAAACATGCTCAGAACACTTACATTTGCCCACAGTTGGGCAAAATCATCTAACACGAAGTCTATTTATAATAAAGTGC
Source organism: Homo sapiens (assembly GCF_000001405.40). Classification (NCBI taxonomy): domain Eukaryota; kingdom Metazoa; phylum Chordata; class Mammalia; order Primates; family Hominidae; genus Homo; species Homo sapiens. The sequence goes on from NC_000004.12 coordinate 52,400,467, forward strand.
TCAATAGGTCATGTAATCTGTACTGAAAGTGAAAAACAGAATGATTGTATAGGTACTCAAAGTATGGTTTCCACTGAATTACTACTGCTTCACACCATTGTAGAGTGAAAAAATTATAAGTCGAACCATTATAAGTTGGGACCATCTGTAGCTGAGCCTTATTTAATTCACTCCACCGATCTCTCTTTTATTTGGTCTATTAGGACCATTTACGTTTAAGGTAATTAATGTTTATGCATAAGTGTGCCATTTTAACTTTTGTTTTGTTTGATGTCTATTTTTCTTTCTTTTTTATTTTACTTTAAGTTCTGGGATACATGTGCTGAACATGCAGGTTTGTTACATAGGTATACATGCGCCATGGTGGTTTGCTGCACCCATCAACCTGTCATCTAGGTTTTAAGTCCCACAGGTATTAGGTAATTGTGATGTCACTTTTCTTTTCCTTTTTTTTTTTTTTTTTTTTGAGGCAGAGTCCTGCTCAGTCGCCCAGGCTGGAGTGCAGTGGCGCAATCTTGGCTCACTGCAGCCTCTGCCTCCTGGGCCCAAGCCATTCTCCTGCCTCAGCCTCCCAAGTAACTGGGATTACAGGCACCCGCCACCATCCCTGGCTAATTTTTGTATTTTTAGTAGAGACGGGGTTTCACCATGTTGCCCAGGCTGGTCTTGACCTCAGACGATCTGCCCACCTCGGCCTCCCAAAGTGCTGGTATTACAGGCATGAGCCGCCACACCCAGCCTGTGATGTCTATTTTTCATGTCTCTTTCTCTTTCCTGCTTTCGTGTGAGTTAAACATATTTTAGAATTCAAATTTGATGTGCCTATAGAATTTTTTACTTTTATCTAAATATTGCTTTTTTAGTGGTTGCTCTATGTATTACCTTATATTAATAGGTAGAATAATAGGTAATATATATACAGAAGACATTCTACAGGTGTTGTCGTTTTATCAGTCCGAATGAGGTATAGAAACTTACTTCTCTTTATATTCCTTTATCCTTCCTCCTTTATAGTATAATTATTGTAACAATTTCCTCTACATTTAAAACCACAGTAGACAACATTATGCTTTTGCTTTCACCACCAAATATATTTTAGAAAGCTCAAGGGAAGAAGAAGAAGAGAAGAAGCTCTATCTCCAGTCTGGAGTGCAGTGGCGCTATCTCAAGTGATTCTCCTGCCTCAGCCTCCCGAGTAGCTGGGATTATGTGCCACTATGCCCAGCTAATTTCTGCATTTTTAATAGAGACGGGGTTTCACCATGTTGGCCAGGTTGGTCTCGATCTCTTGACCTCGTGATCCGCAGGCCTTAGCCTTCCAAAGTGCTGAGATTACAGGTGTGAGCCACCACGCCCGGCTAATTTTTTGTATTTTTAGTAGAGACGGGGTTTCACTGTGTTAGCCAGGATGGTCTCAATCTCCTGACCTCGTGATCCGCAGGCCTCAGCCTCACAAAGTGCTGAGACTGAGATTACAGGCTGAGCCACCGCCTCCAACTGTCCTTTTGTATTTTCTTCCTTTTTTTTTTTTTTTTTTTTTTTTGAGATGGAGTCTTGCTCTGTCGCCCAGGCTGTAGTGCATTGGCACAATCTCTGCTCACTGCAACCTCTGCCTCTTGGGTTCAAGAGATTCTCCTGCCTCAGGCTCCCGAGTGGCTAGGACTACAGGCGCATGTCACCACGCCTGGCTAATTTTTTGTATTTTTAGTAGAGACGGGGTTTCACCTTGTTAGCCAGGATGGTCTCGATCTCCTGACCTCGTGATCCGCAGGCCTCGGCCTCCCAAAGTGCTGGGATTACAGGCTGAGCCACCGCACCCGGCCTGTCCTTTCGTATGTACATGGAGACTTTATTACATAGATATGATTGATTACATCATTGGCCTTTGGTTACCAAGTCAACCTTCAACCCCTCCTCTCCCTTCCCTGGAGGTTGGGGGGTGGGGCTAAAAGTTCCAACCCTCCAATCTCATGACTAGTTTTCCCAGCAGTGAGCCCCACATTTTCTGTTTTCTGCAGGCTTTCCAAAAATCACCTTGTTAACATAAATTCAGGTGTGGTTGAAAGGAGTTTGTTATGAATAACAAAAAATACATCTTTTACCTGCTTGGGAGTTGTTTCAGGAACAAGTGACAAAAGGCCAAATACTTTAACAAGAATACTCCTATTGCTTCAGTTACTCAGGATTTTACAAATGTTTTAGGAGCTCTGAGCCAGGAACTGTAAATAAAAACCAAATTATATACAGTAGTCCCCCTTATCTGCAGTTTCACTTTCCAAGGTTTCAGTTACCAGTGGTCGACCGCAGTCTGAAAATGCTACATATGATAAGATATTTAGAGAGAGAGAGACCACATTCACATGACTTTTACACAGTATATGTTATAATTGTTTCATTTTATCATAAGTTATTGTTGATCTCTTACTATGCTTAATTTATAACTTAAACTTTATTATACATATTTATTAAATGTTTTCTTTTTTAAATTTTTAAAAATTTGTTTAGCATTTTTTATAGAGAGATCTCTGTATGTTGCCCAGGCTGGTCTCAAACTCCTGGGCTCATGTGATCCTCCTGCCTCGGCCTCCCTAAGTGCTAGGATTACAGGTGTGAGCCACTGCACCCAGCCTGTATGTTTGTATATGAAAAAAACACAGTATATACACAGTATATATATATAGGGTTCAGTACTGTCCACAGTTTTAGGCCTCCACCAGGGGTCTCAGAGAATATCACCCAAAGATAAGGGAGAACTACTGTATGCTTTATTGTATCACAGTATCATGCTTACTGTGTTTTTTTCTTCCTTCTTGATGATTCAGGGTTTCTTCTTTTATGGTTCCCTTTCTGCTCAGAGAAGTTCAGTTTGCTATCCTTTTAGGGCAGGTATGCTAATGACAAATTATCTTCATTTTACTTTGAGAATGTTTTGATTTCTGTTTCATTCCTGAGGATATTTTTGCTGGGACTATGAGTCTCGGTCGACAGTTTTTTTCTTTCAGCATTTGGAAAACGTTGTGCCACTTTCTTCTAGCCTCCATGGTTTCTGATGAGAAATACATCGTCATTTGATTTGTTTTCCCCTCAGGTAAGGTTTTGTTTCCCTCTCACTACTTTCAAGGTATCCTTCTTTGTCTTTAATTTTTAGAAGTTTGATATGATGTGTCTTGGTGTGATTTTTTTTTTTAACTTACCCTGTTTGGGGTTCACTGAGCTTCTTGCAACTGTTAAATTATATATTTTGTCAAATTTAGGAAGTGTTCAGCCACTATTTCTTCAAGTAATTTTTCAGCCCCATCTTTTTCATCTCTCTTCAGAACTCTGATGACGTGAATGTTAGGCCTTTTGTTATAGTTTGACCAGTTTTAATGTAAGAAACGTCATTCTAATAAAGTGCAAGGATGGAGTTTACCATTTTTCTTATAGTTACAGCCAGGCACTGCTGCCAGCATATATACAAAAAGAAATCTGTGCCCACTGTGAATCTATTTTTCTCACAATCCAGTGACCTTCTATTAGAGCTCCCATATCCCTCCCATATTAAAGGCAGGCAGGGACTTCACAGCATTTAATGGGTTCTTTATCTCCTAAAGAAAAATTTACAAAAGAGGTATAGCAAAGGCAAAATGAAATTTGGAATAATGGAAATAATTTTTAGAGAAAAAGGTCAAAAGTGGTAAAAAGATTAAATATAGTGCATTGTTAAAAGGCTGGCTCTGAACATAATACTCCCTCAAAGAGGCTTGAAGAGAAATCAAATGGTGTTCAAAATTCCCAATACAGCCTTCACAACAGTGCTTTCCACTTGATTAATAGCTAGAAAGCCCTCTTATGCAAGCAGTTTGAACCTCCCTTATTGAATACAGTGCTTACAACTAAACAATTTATTCATGTTTACAAAGATGACCACGTCCTTCACTTACATAAGCTCTGTTCCCTGCATTTGTGGGTTTGTGCCATTGCTGCTTCTTGATTGACAAGCGCAGAGACTAGTGGACTCTCCTGGACCATAACATAGAGTGCCCTCCAAACCAAAGTGCTTCTAAAACCCCCTGAACTTCCTCTGTGTTAACAATTTTCACATTTTGCTGATAGTCCCCCTTGAACATCTGTCTCCCCATATTGACCCTGTGTTCTGTGAGGTCTGATGCAAATCCCATCTTTTTTACTGAGCCCCAGTGTCTGGCACATAGGGGACACTTAATAAATGTTTTGTCTAATAAATTTGTGAATGAACAAGATCTCTCTGTACATATAGAAAAAGATCTATGCACTCCAAACTCTATACATTCATTCATTCAGTCATTTATTTTGAAAGGTTTTTACTGAATGTCTCCTATGTGCCAGGTGAGGTGCCAGACACTGAAAGTATAAGAAAAAAAAGAATGTGATTTATTTTCCAATGAGGAACTCTCATGTCAGACCTGTGCTCCCAAATATTGGCTTGAGCTCCCACATGTGCCCCTAGATCAGGGACTGGAAAACCTGACCACTTCCTTCTTTTGTAAATAAAGTTTTGTTCATGCTACAATGACCTGCAATGCTTAAAATACTTAATCTCTCTCTCTGTATAGGAAAATTTTACCAATCCCTGCCCTAAATCACAAATTGCAGAATATCATGTGGATATACCCTCTGCTTGCCTGGAAATACCTGCAGTGTCAAACAGACAAGGTCATGGCTCAATCCTTTAGCCAACACTTGCAGTCAATTTTATTGGGGGATATTAAATTAATAGACAAAATATAAGCATTTGCCACCCCCCAAAATCTTCAGATCACATATCACTCACTGCTAATCAAAGCCCATAGTTTTATTGCAATGTGTTCTATCTGCATTTAAACTCACAGAATGGAGACAACCAAAGGTGGTCTGCAGTCAGCATTCAGGACAATTGTTTGGGCTCCATCACTTAGTAGTGGGGAATACTTTATGTCTAGGCACATGCAATATACAGCTCACATTCCATTGACCTTGAAGTCAGAGCATGTTTGGAATGTTTAAGGAACAGCCAGGGGTTCAACATGGCTGGAAGAGAGTGATATGGTTTGGCTGTGTCTCCACCCAAATCTCACCTTGAAATGTAACAATTCCCACATGTCAAGGGTGGGGCCAGGTGGAGATAATTGAAACTTGGGGTGGTTTCCCCATACTATTCTCACAGTAGTGAATAAGTCTCACAAGATCTGATGGTTTTATAAATGGGAGTTCCCCTGCCCATGCTCTCTCTTGCCTCATGCCATGTAAGAGATCCCTTTGCTCTTTCTTTGTCTTCTGCCATGATTGTAAGGCCTCCCTAGCCATGTGGAACTGTGAGTCCCTTAAGCCTCTTTCCTTTATAAATTACCCTGTCTTGGGTATGTCTTTACTAGCAGCATGAGAACTGACTAATACAGGCAGTGAGGGGGTGCAGTGGGAGATAAGAAGGGTGAGGGGCAGGCTCCTGTGAGGACTTGGGTTTGCACTCCAAGTGAGATGGAAACCACTGAAGGATTTTGAGTAGAGGAGTGATCTATCTGACTTGTGTTCTGAGATGATCACTCTGGTTGATGTGTGGGGATTAGATAGTAGGGGTCAGAGTGAAAGCAGGGCCACAGGGAGAAGGCCAGTGGAATGATCCAGATGAGACTCAGCACTGAACCTGTCACACAGTGAGTGCTCCTAGGATGGCAACTATAATTATCATTATGAACTTGACATACCAGCCTGGCTTACTTTTCACTGCTTGCTCACCAAACTGGTGAGTATCTCTTGTGGAAATAAAAAGATAAATTGGGCTGGGTGTGGTGGCTCATGCCTGTAATCCCACCACTTTGGGAGGCTGAGGCAGGTGGATCACCTGAGATCAGGAGTTCGAGACCAGCCTGACCAGCATGGAGAAACCCCATCTCTACTAAAAATACAAAATTAGCCAGGCGTGGTGGTGCATGCCTGTCATCCTAGCTACTCGGGAGGCTAAGGCAGGAGAATCTCTTGAACCTGGGAGGCGGAGGTTGCAGTGAGCCGAGATCACACCATTGCACTCCAGCCTGGGCAACAAGAGCGAAACTCTGTCTCAAAAAAACAAACAAACAAACAAAAATAATAAATAAATAATAAAATGAGTCTAAGTTTCCTTTTGTAGTTTAAAAACTGGCCATGAATGCAATTCCCTAAGAAAGTTTTCATGTTTAAGCAATTATATGAGAGGTTCCTATGGAAAGATCTTTGAAAGATGGGCTCCTGTTTGCAGGTAAGAACTCCAGTGTGCTTGTAAAAGCCAGTCTCTGGTTTTGTAGTCACACCTAGGCCTAAGAGATGCAAAACTCAGAAGAGAGAAAAGGAAAACCCTCTATTACCATTATAAGAGTTCACATATCCAGAGCAAAATTGTTTTGCTTCAGAAAAATTCTAATCAAGGCAGCCTTGGAGTTAATTTTTCCCACGTGTGCAGCCCACATGGCTACCTCAGCAAATGCCTTTTAATTCTTTTTAAGGAGTTGCTGCATCCATTGACTGTCTAGCCCTCCACCATAAGGATAAGTCTGCACAGGCTTCATAACAAGGCATCCTCCTCAAACTGCTGGTTTTCTAAATTAGCAGAGTGCTTCTGCAAAGCAACATGGTATTAATGTAGCAGAAGCCACAAAGATGTCAGAAACACTATTCCTTTGCATTCATTCTAAGGCAATAATGAGAATAAATAGTTATATGCAAGAAGATGCTTTTGGCAACATGTCCTAAAAAATGGTAAAAATTTGAGAAGTGAACAAATTACCTAACAATGTGGGAATAGTTTAGTAACATATGAAATATTAGGCAGAGGAACATTTTAAATATGAAGCCTTCAGAAACATAGAAAATATTTTTGGCATGATGTTACGCAAAAAAGCAGGACACAAAATAGACATTGCTTTGTGGTCACAAGTATATAAAATGCTTATGTGTGGTTAGACATGGGTGGAAAATGAGCAAAAAATGAAAATTATTACTTGAAGGTGCTGGAAATAGAATTTTTCACTTCAAAATATTTGTTGATGTTGTTGCTATGACAACTTTTCCATAAAAATGTTTAAAATAATTAAAAGTACCAAAGATGCGGACTCCCTAAGGCTGGGCAAAATGATGCATTCTCTCATACACTGCTTACCAAGTGTTTTCTTCCCCTGTTGCTTAAGCACAGATTATATATCACCTGCTGACATTTGTCTTCTCACTTGCTGCTCCCTGGTAAGTCTTCAGAACGTGACCCACAGGCATCAAAGCCTCCAAACCAACACAGCCAGAGTTGGAAACACTTGACGCCTCCACCTGGAATTTTATGACTCATCTCCTGTCCATAGAAACGGGGTCTGGGTGGATGAAAAAGTTTGAGTTAGATCCCTTTACCTAAGGGAACCATATGGTCTATGCTTTTGAGTAATGAGTCATTTAAGCCAGACTAAGCTTGTAAACAAATTCATTTTTTCTGCCCCATGATAACCCATTCATTTATTTATTCATTCAGTCCCCAAGCCTGGATGAAACAGCTTTCATTTGTCCAGAATTTGCTCTGCATTAAAGAAGTAAGATGCATCAGAAATAATCTTAATAAGAAGCTCAAAAGGGAACTGGGAAAGAGAAATACATCTTCAATTTTGTAAAATGAGTTACAGTCTTGCTTTCACCATTTGGGAAATGGAGGAAGGAGTTCCTACTTCACAAAGTTAAGGGAGGATTTAGTGAAATGTCACATGTAAAAAGCCTTCAGGAAATAGATAATGACTCAGGAAATGTGTCTTTCTTTCCTGTTGACATTTTATGCTGAGCTGCTGTCATCACTCTAACATGGAGGAATAAGGGAACTCCAGGGATTTTGCTGATGACAGGCAGGGAAGGGTCCTCAGAAGCAGAAATGTTCACGCCAAGCCTGGGAGGATGGGTAGGATTCCTCCAGGGGGAAGAGAGGGGACAAGGCCATTCCAGACTGAAGAAACTGGGTGCACATGTATGGACGGGGTGGGACCATGCTACATGCATGCCCCTCCATGGGTATTGCTCTAGCATGCTTTACTTGCTTGGAGTTCAAGATTAGGTTACATTACTTTCAACATTCTGTGAGAATAAAAAGAGACCAATCAAATGAAAATGAGCAAAAACTACTTATTCAAAATTTGCAATTGCAAGACAGTCAGCCACCATGACTCGTATTTGGCAGAAAATCAAAGGCAGGCAGAGGAGTGGGAAAACTTTATGGGCCCAGGACGCTTGCGCTGCGCAGCTCTGAATGGAAAAACTTTATCATGGAAGAAAGAGAAGGCTTCAGGTGTCCCCTGATCAGAGGCTGTTGGCATCGGGAAGCTGCAGTTGAGCTAATTAGAAGCAGGGCATCCTAGTGTGTCCGGAATTGGTGGGTTCTTGGTCTCACTTACTTCAAGAATGAAGCCGCGGACCCTCGCGTGAATGTTAGAGTTCTTAAAGGCGGCGTGTCCGGAGTTTGTTCCTTCTGATGTTCAGATGTGTTCAGAGTTTCTTCCTTCTGGTGGGTTCGTGGTCTCGCTGACTCAGGAGTGAAGCTGCAGACCTTCGTGGTGAGTGTTACAGCTCATAAAAGCAGCGTGGACCCAAAGAGTGAGCAGTAGCAAGATTTATTGCAAAGAGCGAAAGAACAAAGCTTCCAGAGTGTGGAAGGGGACCCAAGCGGGTTGCCACTGCTAGCTCGGGCAGCCTGCTTTTATTCTCTTATCTGGGCCCACCCATGTCCTGCTGATTGGTAAAGCCCAGTGGTCTGTTTTGACAGGGCGCTGATTGGTGAGTTTACAATCCCTGAGCTAGACATATGGGTTCTCCAAGGCCCCATCAGATTAGTTAGATACAGAGTATGGACACAAAGGTTCTCCAAGGCCCCACCAGAGCAGCTAGATACAGAGTGTGGGATTGGTGCATTCACAAACCCTGAGCTAGACACAGAGTGCTGATTGGTGTGTTTACAAACCTTGAGCTAGATACAGAGTGCCAATTGGTGTATTTACAATCCCTGAGCTAGACATAAAGGTTCTCCAAGGCCCCACCAGAGTAGCTAGATACAGAGTGTCCATTGGTGCATTCACAAACCCTGAGCTAGACACAGGGTGCTGATTGGTTTGTTTACAAACCTTGAGCTAGATACAGAGTGCCGATTGGTGTATTTACAATCCCTGAGCTAGATATAAAGATTCTCAACGTCCCCACAAGACTCAGGAGCCCAGCTGGCTTCACCCAGTGGATCCCGCACCAGGGCTGCAGGTGGAGCTGCTTGCCAGTCCCAGTGCCGTGCACCCGCACTCCTCAGCCCTTGGGTGGTCGATGGGACTGGGCGCCCTGGAGCAGGGGGTGGTGCTCGTCGGGGAGGCTCGGGCCACACAGGAGCCCATGGAGGGGGTGGGAGGCTCAGGCATGGTGGTCTGCAGGTCCCAAGCCCTGCCCCACGGGAAGGCAGCTAAGGCCCAGTGAGAAATCGAGCGCAGCGCCAGTGGGCTGGCACTGCTGGGGGACCCAGTACACCCTCTGCAGCTGCTGGTCCGGATGCTAAGCCCCTCATTGCCCAGGGCTGGCAGGGCTGGCTGGCTGCTCCGAGTGCGGGGCCGCCAAGCCTATGCCCACCCGGAACTCCAGCTAGCCTGCAAGTGCGGTGTGCAGCCCTGGTTCCCGCTGGCGCCTCTCCCTCCACACCTCCCTGCAAGCTGAGGGAGCCGGCTCTGGCCTTGGCCAGCCCAGAAAGGGGCTCCCACAATGCAGCGGCGGGCTGAAGGGCTCCTCAAGTGCCACCAAATTGGGAGCCCAGGCAGAGGAGGTGCCGACAGTGAGCAAGGGCTATGAGGACTGCCAGCACTCTGTCACCTCTCACTAGGAGGTTGGTTAGGTGTGTATATTTGGGTTTCTGTAGTTGGTCCTAAGTTGGGGTGAGGACAAAAATTAGGGAAGCTGTCAGTTTTAATCAAGTCTACTTTGGGGTTACTGTTTGGCTTCCTGGATTATTGCTAGAGATAGTAGTCTGACTTCCTATAAGTCTGACGTAGCAGGCTGGCTTCCTGGGGCTGGTTACTATAGATAATCCATTGGTTTCCTGGGCTGGTTACTATCAGTTGGTTTCCTGGGCTGGTTACTATCAGTTGGTTTCCTGGACTGGTTACTGTAGATAACCAGTTGGCTTCCTGGGCTGGTTACTGTAGACAGTTGGTTTCTTGGGCTGGTTACTACAGATAATCAGTTGGTTTTCTGGGCTGGTTAGTGTAGATAATCGGCTGGTTTTCTGGGCTGGTTACTATGGATAATCAGTTGGCTTCCTGGGCTGGTTACTATAGATAATCAGTTGGCTTCCTGTGCAGGTTGCTGCAGATTATGAAGGAGTCCTATTTTTATGTATGGTCTGGCCATTGTCCATTTATATATTCACTCTCTCAAGTTAAATTAAATGCCCTGCATCCTCCATCTCACTTGGAGGGAAAATGTCATTTTTTCTCCCTGGAGCTCACCATAGGACCCACTTGTGTCTAAAGGGTTAATTTTGAAAGTCTCCAGAGAGCCAAAACATAGGCATAGCCCTCCTGAGTATGGCAGATGCCCCCATCCCCACCCCAGCCCCCAGGCATACTCTTGTCAGCCCAGAACGTGCTTCATTGCTTTGCCTCTAGTCCTCCCCAACATCCTGGCAGCCTGGTAAGACCTGAAACTTTCTCTCTGGCCTTCCCTGGTGCTGTGCTTGGAACCAGTTTGTTTGCTGTCTGAAAGCACATGCTTGGCCCTCCTACCTGGCTACCAGAGCCAGAACTCGATTCATTCTTAGCAAATGGACTCGGATTATAATTGGCAGCAACTTTGACCATGATTTTGCAAAATACATATTTTTTTCCACAGATGGGTATTTCTTTTATTTCCCTCTACCAAGAAAAAAAATGAAATAACAACTTTTTCCCACCAAATGCACTTCTGTGAAAAGTTTGATTAATAACAGAGTCTGGACCTACTGTTCTCTGATGAGCTGACTTTGCGCGGGGGCAGAGCTTAGAGAACTGAGAGAATCAGGAGTTGATGTGCCCTTTAGATGGTCTCTCTGAAAATCAGATGTCTCAACTGCAATTTTGGCAAATGCTGGGCTACAGTCAATTCTGGGATGAATTCTCTGACAGGTGCCTAAAATGATAATATTCTGGGCTGTTGATTAAAGCCTAATCCATATGTTTTAGATGCCAGATGTGCGAGCAAGCAAAGTCAACATGTAGTTGACAAAATGTGGGAGCCTGACTGATATTTGCCCCAGATAGACTGCTGGGGGATCTGCAAGTAAATGAAGTATTATTTTGGGAGGGTTAGGTCATAAAGCACAAAAGAGGTCACTTTGTCCTGAAAAGATAGAAAGAGCATTCAAAAATAATTTTTAATCTGCCTGGGTCTCAATCAGTTTATTTTTAAAAAGTGACTTGACCTTCAATTTGAGAAAATAATTATCTACTAAATGTCTTCCTGGCTTTAATATTAAAAATAAAAGACAGACATGTTTAAAGTAAGCAAAATGTAAAATAGAGGGTAACTATTGTATATTGGCTGCTCCTCAGAGCACTACTCTGAAGCAAGTCAGAACTGTTGGCTGATGAAATAGACCCTCTGGCTCAAAGGAGATGTGTCCTCAGCTTACACATGGACCCACTGTCTGCAAAACACTTGTATTAGTCCGTTTTCATGCTGCTGATGAAGATATATTCGAGACTGGGAAGAAAAAGAAGTTCAATGGACTTACAGTTCCACGTGGCTGGGGAAACCTCACAATTATGGCAGAAGGCAAGGAGGAGCAAGTCACATCTTACATGGATGGCAGTGGAAAAAGAGAGCTTGTGCAGGGAAACTCCTGTTTTTAAAACCATCAGATATCCTGAGACTTATTCACTATCACAAGAACAGCACAGGAAAGACCCGTCTCCATGATTCGATTATCTCCCACCCAGTCCCTCCCACAACATGTGGGAATTCAAGATGAGATTTGGATGGGGACACAGCGAAACCATATCAACACTATGCTTTATTCTATGGTAGATGAGAGAAAGGTGATATTTGTCTAAAACGGTGGTTCTCAAGCAGGGCCATTCTGCTTTCCAGGGCACACTGGGCAATGTCTGGAGACATTTTTAGTTGTCACACCTTAGGAAGTGCTTCTGGCATCTAATGAGTAGAGGCAGGGACTCTGTAACCCTTCTATCATGCACAACACAGCCCCCACCACAAGGCATTATCTGGCCCCAAATGTCAATTGTGCTAAGGAGGTTGAGAAGCCCTGGTCTCAAGTAAGCTGTCCACTCCATTCTCTGAGGAAGCTAAAATTGCTGGTGAGGACAGCTGACTCTGGAATGTATTGGACAGAAGGGGGAGACAGCCAGAGACTGCAAGTTCTGGCAGGAAGTGGATTATGGGCTGGCGATTGCTACCATCCTCCTCCTCACTATCACATCACCACTCCTGCCTCACCTTCCTGGGATGCCCTTGTATCAGGCACCACATTACTTGCCTGGAAAATCCATGACTCTTGACCTCTGTATGTTGGTCCCTCTGCCTGAATATCCCACTGCCCCTTTCTCTTTGGAAAAATCCTAACTATCTCTTAAGACCCTACTCAAATGCTAGACATCTCCATTGTGACACCTTCTCTGAACCCCTCTTCCCAACCTCCCTGCCCTTGTAGGCAGAGAAGATTCTCCCTCTCCTCTGTCTCCCACGATAGCACTTATCACATTTTATTGTGATGATTTGTTTGCATTTTAGAGAAATCTGAGCTTCTGGAAATTAGGCATGGAGTCTTTCCCATCTTTGTCTTCCTAAGACCTGGCATCATGTCTAGCACTTAGTAGGTGAATGATAATTTTCTGCCAACTTACTTCTTTAAAATGATCCCCACATACTATGCCTTTCCCACAGGGAGCATAAATTTCATAAACAGAGAGCAACAGCTTTTGTTGTGACTCAAAGAAAATGTGTGTTGTCGGGGTTGCATGTAAATCTCCTAGCACAATGCCTGACACATGGATTTATTAAATGAGCATTGTTTCCTTTCAGCTTCCCTTCAAAGCAGCTAGGGTAGCTCAATGAGAAGCATGGCACAGCCTTACGGCACATGCAGGGATGAAGGTATGATTAAGACTGCTATGATTAAGACTGGCTATTGTCACTGAGAAAAGTGTCTTCTGCCCAATTCTTACCATAGCCTGTCACCCCATCCTCGACCCATACATGTGTGGCAAAGGAGACCAGAGAAATGCACAACCAGATCCATCCTCCCTTTCGTCACACACAGGTGCAGCTAGCAAGTGGCTGCCCAGGCAGGGACTGGGTCTCCAACCTCCTTGAGTCTAACCGTGGGTACAAGACTGGTTCTCAGCAGTCCAGTGTGAGCGGATGTGATCTATATGCCACTGGCCCAAAGCTTTTAAAAAGTAGGCATGTCACCTCCCTGCTCTGTCTCCTCTTCTGCTGGCCAGGTGCAGATAGCAGCGAGACACTGGGAAATGGCAAAGTCACAGGAAAGGTAGAGTCTGGGTGCCTGAATCCCTGCATTGAGGGAGGCCACTGCCAGAAACTTTGGACCATTACACTAATATGAAAGAAGCTGCTACTATATCTTATATGTTTTAGGGTTAATTTGTTACAGTTATTTAGCCTACCTTAATTAATTCACCATACTTTTATAATTAAAACAAGTAGAGCCGTGTTCAAGGTGACAAATGGCATAATGCTTCTCTCCTCTCCCTCACTAAAATGATGCCAAGAAATAACAGCAAGGACAGGAGGGGGCCAATCAGAGTAGGAGAGTGCTCAGCAGGTTCCCAGGAGGGAGGAAGCAGATGAAAGAGCACTGACCACTGAAGCAGGGTGGAGCATGCCACATCCAGACCCATTGCCCTGTGTGGAGAGAGACTGGAGTGTCTTTAGGGTTCTACCTGCTAGAGTCCCAGGGACACTCCAGACTTGGAAACTGCACGTGGTTCAATGGAGAACAAGAGTGAGGAGTGAGGTATAAAATTGGAGTGTTATTTAATGGTCAGTCTGTGGAACAAAATGACCCACAGCAACCCCTCCAATCCAGTGCTCAGAATGGCCAGCAGCCAGGCATTCAGCATCCCTAACCCCACTAACATGAAGAAGGTTATTCTCTAATGAGACCAAACATGCTGTCTAAGATTAACCAGGATAGTTAGTGTGAGTGTTAATGTCTCCAATAAACTGCATTCTGATGTTAAGAGGGGCTACCAGCAGAAGGGACAGCTCCCTTCCCACTCATCCTAAAGTGAAGCCCGTTGGCCAATAAGCTCTACTCCCCTAGGCAGAGCTCTGAGCCCTGCTGTTTATTGATTTTGACATGAATATGAATAAGTAAGCAAGGGTCTCCAGAAATTTGAAAACAAACTGTAATGTCAGGGAAAGACTAAGAGAAGCAAACTGTCAAGGAAACAGAAATTTAGAGAACCAAAGAGGTCCTTGCTGCCAAAATCCTACAATGATATTGTCAGAAAAATTAGAGAAGATACAGCATGTATGAATAGGATGCTGTGAGAAAGAGACAATCAAAGAACAAGAATGGAATTTTGGAAATTTAAAATGTGGTTACTGAGACAAATCTCCCATGGAGAAGAATTTCAGATAAATTATGTAGATGCTTCACCCTCAAGTTGGGGAACATAAATTCCCATTCCTTGAGTGTGGACTGTGCATAGTCACTTCCTACCGAAGAGTACAGTGTGGAAAGGGTAAGAGCAAGAAAAGCGTAACTCTGAAGTGGAGAAACTTAACAAACACAGTCTCAGCCAGGTGATCAAGGTCAACATCAAACATCATAAATCATGTTGATAGAATGTTCTATTGACATGGCGTGATGCAAATGGCACTTTACCACTGTGATCCTCCTCCCAGTAACTCACTGACCCAGTAATATCATGAGAAAAACATTAGATAAATTCAAATAGTGGGCCATCCTACAAAATATCTGATCAGTATTCCTCAAAACAGTCAAGTCATCAAAAGCAAGGAAAGTCTGAGAAACTGCTATAGTCAAGAGGAGCCTGAAGAGACAATGCAATTACATGTAATGTGGTAGCTTGCATAGGGTCCTGGTCAAGAAAAAGAACAGTAGTTAAAAGCTAAGGACATCTAAATAAGCTATGAGCTTTGGTTAATAATAATGTATCAATATAATATAGGTTTATCAACTGTGACCACTGTCACTTACTAATGTAAGATGTTACTAATAGGAGAAATGGGGTACATGGTATATGGGAACTCTTTGTATGGTCTTTTCAATGTTTTGGTAAATCTAAAACTGTTCAAAAAATAAAGTCTGTTTTAAAAATGTGGTTACAGAATTCAGAAAGTTAATAGACAAACTGAAAGAGAAAGCTGAGAAATTTTTCCAAACAGTGGTACAAGAAGATGAAGAATAGGGAGATAGCAGTGAAAAGGTAAGCAATAGAAATGATTAATTTAGTTGATTGACCTTTCTACTAATATAGGTTCTAGAAAGCAAAAATAAGGAAAAATTGATGGGAAGAAATTGTCAGAGAAAGAGTGCACGAACATTTATGAAATAAGACATGAGTATTCAAAGTGAAAGTCTATCCATATATATATATATGGGTATATATATGTGTGTGTGTGTATATATATATATATATATATATATATATATATATCAGGATAAATGAAAAAAGATTAATAACCAGAATGTCCAGTTGCATTGTTTGAAAAGATGCAATTCTGCTATCGGAGAAAAGAAAACAAATGGGATGGGAATGAAACACTTAAGATATCTTAAGTACAGATTATGTAGTAAGTGGAATATGTCTGTGTTATACATAGAAGGGATGGAAGAACCAAAAGATAATTAATATTCATGAGGCATTAAATATACATAAGGCACCTGGATACAAAATAGTCATGATATATTGAATATTCACCATGCTCAGTGAATACTCAGAAATTGCTGAATATACATAAGACAAGATGTATTTAGTATTCAGAGGCCTAATCCAACTACCCATTAGCAACACCATTTTGGCTTCACATGTCCTCTGCTCAAGAAACAGTACTGAAACCCACAGCTACTAAGCAGGCTAATTGGCTAGCTATAGCTATGGCCAGACATACCTGCCCTGCATCTCTCCAACAGGGCAAGTCTGTGCCATGGCCCTGGGGGGCTTCCATCTCTGGGCTCCCTGGCCTAAACACTATCCAACTTTGGTCCTACTAAGCTACCATCAGTGGGGAAGGCTGATGTGGCAGAGAGAGGGAGAGAGAAGAGAGAGACACATACAGGTTGTGTACCCAGGACCAGTAGTGTGGTTCTTCTACCCTGCTTGCAACCTTACTTAAGGGTTAACTTACATAATTGATTTCCCTTAGCTTTTGTCTTTATGCATTACATTTTTAATTGATTTAATAAGCTGTGTGATCCCCACATTTTTATTTGGTCTGCGAGTCTGTCTTTTCTGTCAGCCGTGCAGGAAGAAGTACACTGATGCTTTCTCTGCCAGGAAGTATGTTTGAAGGCTACATTGCATCTGAGCAGTTATTGACATGACAATTCCCAGGCACATCATTGTGGAATGTCAGAACATTAGAGATAAAGGAAAAATTGTAATGCTTTCAGAAAGATGAAAGAGTTCGCTTACAAATAAACAAGAATTACGCAAAAGGCTTCTCATTAACTGCAACTGAGGCTAAAAGACAAATAAGAAATGCCTCCAAAGAACTGAAAGAAAATTATTCGCAACCTAAAATTCTATACGTTACCAAAATATTAGTAAAGTGACATAATAAAATTATTGTCAGGTTTGCAAGGATCCTTAAAGTTTACCTCCTCCACATTCATTGTCAGAAGATACTTGAGGATGTGATCTGGAAAAATGAAAGAGTAAACGAAAAGTCAGGATGACTTGGGACACAGGAAACTGGAAAACAAGGGGCAAGGTTGTTTCCAGAGATATGATACTATGTGTGAGGCTTAAAAAGGCAATAAACACAAAAAGCAGGGGAGACAAGGCAATCAAAACAACAGAAAAAAAACAAACCTACATATGGTAGAAAAATGTAATCAAAGTGAACTATTTGACCCTGTAATGAGCAATCTGTATGTACTCTTAACAATGTAACCGTGATTTACTAACTTTGTACAGTTAGACTGAACCCCTAAACAAATCTTCATTATGCACACAGAAAGCAATCTAAATATTTCTGCCATGATGATGTTAGTGGAAAACTACAAATGGTAAAGTAGGGGATAAAGTGAGAGATAAACCCTGCAGTAAGAGTAAGGAGACTAATATTTTCATCTTATAAAAAGCAAAGTTGAGAAACAATTCCTGTATTTGATAATTCAAGAAATACTGATGTAAATATTTAAAGTTTCAAAGGTAACCAACATAGGAAAGAAAAAAGAATGTTGTAACTATTTGGGAATGAATGGCAGAAGAACTGCTTCAGGTGAGCTAATCCCTCATCTGTCAGAGCAGGAAATTAGTAGATAATTTCTAAAATTGATAAGGAGTATAGTTATATACTTACTGACATGGAGGAACCATGAGAAGAATTCAAAACAGATACTATTAAATGAATTACAAATAATCATCTCCTCTTCCCAAGCTGAACTTGGGAAGATTTTTGGCCAGAGACTGATGCATTGTGTTCCAAGTCCTTGTATATGGTACTTTCTTTTTCTTTTTCTTTCTTTCTTTCTTTTTTTTTTTTTTTTTTTTCTTGAGACAGAGTTTTGCTCTGTCACCCAGGCTGGAGTGCAGTGGTGCTATCACAGCTGACTGCAGCCTCAACCTCCCAGGCTTAAGTGATTCTCCCACCCCAGCCTCCTGAGTAGCTGGGACTACAGGCACATGCCACCAGGCCTGGCTAATTTTTGTATTTTTATAGAGACAGAATCTCACTATGTTGCCCAGGCTGATCTCAAATTCCTGCGCTCAAGTAATCCACCCGCCTAGGCCTCCCAAAGTGCTGAGAATACAGGTGTGAGTCACTGCACCCAGCCCCTTGTATATAATTTTTATAAAACAATGTGCTCATATTGCTTTGATAGATATTTGTATCCTCCTCACTCTAGGCTGGCACTAGGCACCTGGCTCAGCATCTTCCCACTGAGCCAGCCACAAGGACTGGAGCTGAGATATTGTGCATGCCCTCACATATGCAAGCCTTGCTTAAGTTTAAATGCACAGCACAAAAACAATTTTCTAGCTGTCAGGATTTTACACTTATAACTTCAGTCCCACATTCTGTAAAATATTGGTTTCTATTGAGAGAGAAGACACCAAAAAATAAAATAGAAAAAATTAATCTTGTTCAACCTCTTCATCATGCATCACAAGTCCTTTCCTCTACTGAATGTCCTCTTCTATCCACACCCAACCCCACCACCTCCACTACCTCAGACACACACACACACACACACAATCTGTTCACCCTTCCAAGCCTTTTCACGTTTTCCCTCTCTGAGGGCCTTCTCACACCCATGCCCACCAGACACACACACACTCTTACACACACACACTCACATACACACACATTCGATCTGTTCACACTTCCAAGGCTTTTCACACTGTTTTCCCTCTCTGAGGGCCCTCTCACACCCATGTTCACCAGACTCTCACACACATACTCTCTCACACACACACTCACACACACATACACTCTTGCAAACTCCTAGTCCTCTTACCATCATTCTTATAGCACTTGGCCCATGGTAGAGCCTTGAAAAAATATTTATTGTGTAAATGTGTCAGGCCATGCCCTTGTGTACATGTTTGTTTTCCCACCATGAGTGACCTCCTCAAAGCAGGGCCTGTGTCTTTTCAGCCGAGACTGCATGGCAGAGTGATTTAAGGCTTACTAGCAATGAATGACAATTTGAAAATACATTTGTGAAATTGAAAATTAGTGAATATTAAATGTAATTATGTAAATCAAAAAGATTTTGAGTTCAATAAAAATTACATAAATGCCGATGATTTAACCCACTATTAATTCATTCATTTTCACTGTCATTGTGTCTTAAGTCAAATTCAATACTTCTGAATGGAAAACAATTTTTTTTGCAAAATTATCTTTGCCACGTTTACACTTTGAAAGAAGTTTGCTTCCTCCATAACTTAAGCAGGGTGTATTTTTTTTTGGTTTGATGGTATAGGCCCAAGCAAAGCTGGAGTTGCTAAGAACTTGGGTTCTTGACTGAGATTATCTGGGTTCAAATCCTTTTACCATTTAATAATTGGGTGTTTGGGGGTAGATGACTTGCCCTCCCTGTGCCTCCATTTTCTCAGTCTTTTAAATGGAAATAACATAACACCTAATGTGATTATTGAGCAGATTAAATTAACTAGTGCATGTATTAGTCTTCTGAGGATGCCATAAAAAATATCATAACAAAAAAAAGACTGGATGGCTTAAACAATAGAAATTTATTTTCTCACAGTTCTGGAGAGTGGAATTCCAAACTTAAGGTGGCAGTAGAGTGGGTGCTTGGTGAGTGTTCTGGCCTAGGTTTGCAGATAGCCACCTGCTTGCTTTTCGTGGTGTGTGAGCGCTTTGCTGTCTCTTCTTATAAGGACACTAATCCTGTTGGATCAGAATCCTCCTCCTTATGGCCTCATTTAACCTTAATTACTTCCTCAGAAGCCCCACCTCCAAATATAGCCACACTAGGCACCAGAGCTTCAACATATGAGTCCTGAGGAAACACAAACCCTCAGTGCATAATGGACGTAGGGCAGTTGGCAGAATACCTGGTGTACAGGGTCAGTACCTGTTAACTGTTTTTGCAAGCTACTTTCTGTTCATGTGAATATACATGCTTGGAGCTCTTAGGAACAGAATATGACAGCAGAGCCAGTAGGGACTAGAGAAAGCAGAGACTAGGTTTGGCTTCTGCCTGGCCTGAGAAGGGTCAGGAAACCAAGTGGGGGATACGCTGCACCTGTGCAGGCCAGAAACCAGGTGAGGGCCAGTATCCAGGTGAGGTCTAGGTTCCAGGTGAGGACCCTCCAGGTGAGGGTCAGCCTCCAGGTGAGGGCCAGCCTCTGGGTGAGGGGCAGCCTCCAGGTGAGAGTCAGCCTGCAGGTGAGCCCCAGCCTCCGGGTAAGGGCCAGGCTCCAGGTGAGGGCTGGCCTGCAAGTGAGGGCCAGCCTCCAGGTGAGGGCCAGCTTCTGGGTGGTGGCCAGCCTTCGGGTGGTCTCGGGGAGTCCTCAGGCATGCTCTGGAGAACGATACCCACTGCTGGACCTCTCATATTCTGTCCTGCAAATATTTGCTGTGTGTCTCACCTTGATGCTGCCTTAAGTTGGACTCATAGACTAGACAAAACCACTGGAAGTTGAAGCAAGGAGGTGGTGCAAGGTGGTGATGGTGAGGGGAAAGCAGGAGCCATGCAAAGCAGATCAGAGCAAAGCAGAGAACCTGAAAAGAGCCAAGAGAGGAAGGAAAAGAACCAGAAGACAGGGAAGGCAGTAGGCACTGACAGGACAGTGGACAAGAAGGAGAACAGGCTCTCTGTTATCTCAGCAGGCCTTGTGTCTCTCTTGGTGTTTCCCATCAGAGAATGCTCTCAGCAAGCAAAACATCAGGTCAGAGAATGGTCTAGAATTGTGTTTCATAAGGAAGCATAGTGAGATTACAAAACAGTCCTCACTTGCTTCCAGCATACTCAAGAGTGTTCCTATAGCATTTCTCCCTTACTTTTCTTGCTAACTGTCTCTCAGGTGGAAGAACTAAAGCTCTACATCTAAACCCGTGGAAAATGTGCTTCAGTCTCCTGGAGGTAAGACCAGATGGCCATTTAGAAAAGTCAGACTCCTGTCTATAGATTTTTAAAGGAATGGAAGGAATCAGCATATATTTACACATAGACTACATTTTAAGCACTCTGCTGTGTGTTTAAAATATTTTATGATATTTAATTCTTACAATGACATTTATAATCCTCTAATTTTCAGATGAGGAAGTTAAGCTCATAGACATTGTTCGTGACCTTAGCAAGACCACATGTTAGGATGGAATTTGAAAGCAGGTCTAACTATGAAACATAATAGTTGGAGACTTCCACACACAAAGATGTGCAAATATTAAAAGCCCACTGCCATCGTGGGAATTTTGTGTTTGCAGAATGTTTAGATAGAATAGAATTACCTGCATTTTAACAAATACTATTAATAATAATCGACTCCAATTTTAGTGCAGTCTCGATGTTTCTTATATTTGAACTCTGAGATGGAATGAAAACCTCAACAATTTGCCACAAAGCAAAAGGCAGTTATGATTTAAAGATTATTAATAACATAGGCTGTGTCTCTGTGATACAGCTAAGGAGTCCCAGCTGATTCAAAATAGATGTCTTCTAATTAAAAACAAATGCTACTCTGACAAACATAATTAGTACAAGTTACACTCAGTAGAAGAAAAGATAGTCTGAGATTGTGTAATGGCAAACATCTGGATTTGGGGGAATGGATGACTGGCTGAACTCAGTTGTCCATGTTTGGACAGCTGGATTATATCATATTTAGGGCAGTGTCTTCTCACCAGCCTTGCCCCTGTTTCCTACCAAAGAAAAATAACTTATTTCTCCAAACCAGTCCCAGGACATGCTTCTAATCTCCACTGGTGTACAGATAGTTGGGGCTAGAGGCTGTCACTTCATCAGGCCATTGACCTGCAACCTGAGGCTCCTGGGGTTATGCAGGAAGCTGAAAGGCTTCCAATCACAATTTCAGCATTTGTGAGACTTGGGTAATAAATATCTCTGTTGGCTTCTGAAAGGGCAAAGCCATGTCATCTTGCTGCTGTTCTACTTCTCTTTGCTCAGAAAATGAAACAAGGTCATCAGATCCAAATACATTTTTTATTTTCAACAATTCAAGATTCTTGTTTAAAGGGACATTTCAGAATGTCCTTGTTTTCCCTTAAGCTTTACTTGATCAGTGATTATTTGTTTGGCTTCCTGCAAGATGAAGAAGTAAGAAAGAGATAAAAGGTGTGATCCTCGTTTACATACAAGAATTTTCATGGCAGCATTGTTCATTATAGTGAGAAAATGAAAATAACTAAAATATCCAATAATAAAGGGTTAAATAGATTGTAGAACATTCATACTTCAGAGCTATTAAAAATTGTGCTTTTAGAGAAACATTTAATGGCATAGAAAAACATTCACAAGAAAATTATGGCAACCTAAATGAGAAGGGGGGTCATTCTAGAGAGAAAACAGAAAAGAGGAGAGAAAGAGGAGAGAAGGGGGAGTCGTGAAAGGTAGGTAGAAGAATTTAGATTTGATCAAGTAATTCAGTAGGAAGGACTGTCAGTTCTACAGTAAGAAACTAGTGGAATGAAAGGGGGTTTGTATGTATGTATAGGTGAACTGGAAGTAAGAAAGACTGGAAGTATAGACCCCAGGCAGGAGGTTGCTGCAGTAACAGAGGCCTGTGGTGGTAAAGACCTGGGCTATACCAGTGTGGACAGAGGGATGGTGATGAAGGTGGTAAGATGTTAACACAGTACATAGTTGTATGTAGATGATAGTGGTGGCAGTTATGGAGGTGATGATCGAGGGACTGGTGATGGCCATGGTGATGATGATGACAGTGGTGGTATCGGTGGAAGAAGAAGAGGAATAAATGGCTCCTATGTTTGCTTAGAGAAACCAGCCTGTTCTGAGTAGCACCTATCTGCCTCCCTGCCACATTTTACGTCTCAATGGCTTTGAACTAATGGACAAACTTTAGCCATCTAAGTACCACCCTCACAGTTTTAACATATTCATGTACTACCCGTACTATTATTTGCTTCTTCAAGTCACCTACTTTTTGAATTCAAGGAATGTTATTTTTTTTATTATTATTATTATTATTATACTTTAAGTTTTAGGGTACATGTGCACAATGTGCAGGTTAGTTACATATGTATACATGTGCAATGCTGGTGTGCTGCACCCATTAACTCGTCATTTAGCATTAGGAGATTTCCGTTTATTACTACTAATGAGAAATTTATTTTTGAAAGGGAACACAATTGTTTATTATTGTAAATGGAAAATGATATATCAGCTGGCATACATTGAAAATGTTAGTAAAAATTAAAAACTGTAAAAACTAAACTTTGTTATGAAATTCTTGTGTGCTGGAGACTCTGACTCTGAGATCTGCTCTTTCTTTGTTAAAAATGAAGATTGAGTGTTAGAGAAGCATTAAAAGCATAATAGTACTAAATCAAAACTTTCCCTTTCATGAAATCTAAAGGACTAGAAGAGAATTAAAAGGAAATGGCTTTTTCAGTATGTAGCAAAATGTCATTTAATGGCACATCTGTGTGTCACCTAAAATCACCTAGAATCATGTCTCGTGGTTTGGAAACACTGTTCTAGGGAAAGATTGTTTTTCTTCATCTGGAACCCTGGGGACTCCTTTATCTTAGGAGCGATGAACCCATGAGGGAAGAGACCATGGGGAGAGAGAGAAGAGGAAAGAGGGAGACTGGGAGACAAAAGGGCAGGCTCTGTTGAAGCAGCAAAGGCCCTGAGAGCTGGAACCAGGTGGTTGGTAAACACACCCCTGTTTAGAATTTTTACATCACAAAAAAATTAGCAAGAAAGAAACTATAAATAATCACATAAGTATGTTAAGGAACTGAAAGAGAAAAAGAACTTCGATACCACAACCTTTGTAAGATGCCCACATAAACAAACGAATTGGCATAGGCTGACTCACAGAAGGCCGTCTGGGAAGTGGTGGTGTGACTTAGATGTTGTCATTTGTGGAAATGCAAAAGTGCTGTATTTCTTTCCGATCTGGAAAAAAAAAAAAAAAACTAAAAAATAAAACCAATATCTTGACATATGTCTCCCAATTTATGTGGCTGATTTCCTATACTTTCAAAAATGTTTTTCCTCTGGGAAGTTGGTAAAAGCATGCTCGGGTCTCTTTGTGTCCTCCCCTACTCTCCACAGATGTTTACATAAATATTCTCACTTTTATCCTCACAACAGCTCTAAGACGTGAGTAATACTACCCCACTCTTACAGAGATCTGAGGATCTTAGAGATAAAGTAAGTAACAGCCAGCGACCACTTATCTGAGATTCATCTGTGACTCCCCATTTCTTTTTTTAAAAAATTAGGCCGGGCGTGGTGGCTCACGCCTATAATCCCAGCACTTTGGGAGGCCGAGGCCGGAGGATCATGAGGTCAGGAGATCAAGACCATCCTGGCTAACACGGTGAAACTCTGTCTCTACTAAAAATATGAAAAATTAGCCAGGCGCGGTGGCGGGCGCCTGTAGTCCCAGCTACTCGGGAGGCTGAGGCAGGAGAATGGCGTGAACCCGGGAAGCGGAGCTTGCAGTGAGCCGAGATAGCGCCACTGCAGTCCGGCCTGGGTGAAAGAGCGAGACTCCGTCTCAAAAAAAAAAAAAAAAAAAAAAAAAAAAATTTAAGTTCCAGGATACATGTGCAGAATGTGCAGGTTTGTTACATAAGTATACGTGTGGCATGGTGGTTTGCTACACCACCCTTCATCTGGGTTTTAAGCCGTGCATCCATTAGGTATCTATCCTAACGCTCTCCCTCCCCTTGCCCCCCACTCCCCAGCAGGCCCCCATGTGTGATATTCCCCTCCCTGTGTCCATGTTCAACTCCCACTCATGAGTGAGAACATGTGGTGTTTGGTTTTCTGTTCCCGTGTTAGTTTGCTGAGAATTATGGCTTCCAGCTTCATCCATGTCCCTGCAAAGGACATGAACTCATTCTTTTTTATGGCTGCATAGTATTCCATGGTGTATATATGCCACAGTTTCTTTATCCAGTCTATCATTGATGGACATTTGGGTTGGTTCCAAGTCTTTACTATTGTAAATAGTGCTGCAATGTGACACCCCATTTCATGCCTTCATGATTATCCCTCTTGCTCCTAGGTAAAGTGACTTGATCTTCGGTGATTAAAAAAAAATTTTTTTCTTTGTACTCATAAAACTCCTATTCTTTGCTCAGCATTACCATTAAATAAAAAAAAAAAAGCATCCCTCTTCAATGTGATGGTTATGCTGTACTCAGTTATGAAGCTGCACACAATCTTGGATAAGTGGGAAGAAAGCACATGCCCACCACCAGGTCCAAATAAGATCCAGAAAACCCACTGAGCCATTGGCTTCTTAGTACTAGTTTCCACACTCTATATACACTTTTCTTTAAAAGAGGTTGTTATTCGGGAACTGGAAAATGTTTTTTGGTTTGATAAGTAGATATTAGTGTCCTCAGATCACATTTATCAGGTGCCCACACAAGCCTGTGAAAACTGCAGTATTGTTTAATATGCATGAAAATTAATTAGTGGCTTAAATGTTAATAAATATCTTAGGAGTACCTCAAAAGAATATGCCAAATAAATGTCTGAGATTGATTCAAGAGGAAGTCCTGGGGTTATAATCAGCACAGAGGGATTGAGCCGCTTCCTGTGTTGCAGGGTAATTTTTACTATCCTGGGGGCACTATTTAAAATACTCATGAAGCATATGTAATGTCATATAATGATTTGCCTTCTATCCATCCGCACAGCTCTACTAGAAGACTTTTCTTCTTACTCCTGAAGGTACCACACAACGTGAGAGTTCTGTCAATGAGCCAATGTTTAGGGACTGGCCATGTGCCCAGATCTGTCTTCACAGAGGCTCCAGTTTTCCCAGTTCAGGTGAATGAGTAGATAATCACAGATGATTAGTCAAGGTGGTGTGTGAATGGGGACCAAGAGGACAGATTTCTATTTCCACTTTTGCTACCATGCTGGGTCTTGTGAGATATATTACAGTTTTCCTCTATCAAATGAGAAAATTGGTTAGGGTCCCTCCACTTAAAAAGCAAACTAACATAAAAAAAAAGAACTTATGATTCTGTTCTCTGGAGCTTGAATGTTGATATAGAAAGATCTGTAAAGAGCATTGTTTATCTGTGTGAACTACCATAGTGAAGCTGAAATGATACAGAGATTTTGTGACTCATCTGATCTACAATAAGCTGGAGAAATGTCATTGCCAAGCATTCACTGGGCATGGTCATTGCCTGTTCCACTATAGGGTTTATAGAAGTAGGAAGAAGTTAAGTTGCAAGTTCCTGACTGGAATCTGGTTCCTCCAATTCCACCTTAGACTCGGCCTCATGTAGTCATCTTAGGTTTACTTCATGAGCTGATGTGTTGGTCAGTTTACAAATGAGCCTTGGGAATGCAGGTTATTTTATAAATTGATGCTCTCTGCTGAATTTGGAGTTATGAAAACCTGTGTTCCTGAATCAGCACATCCTCACCAGACTGCAACGCCCACCTCCATTGTTAAGCTGGACACCAAGATTAAGTTCTACCTAGGTGTCAAATATATGAAGAGGGAAGGGTATTCATTAGAATTAGGTGTGGTCAAAAGACATCCCCCCCCCTGCAACACACACACACACACACACAAGCGTTGCCTTAAAGAAGATTAAAGTATATTTCTCTTTCAGGTAAATAGAGACAGTCCATGTGCAGAAGAGTTAACATAGCAGGCCTGAGGCTGTTCTCCTTAGAAAGATTGCTTGAAGGTCAGCCTTGACTGGCATCTGGGAATATAGCTCTTGGGGTGACCCTAGTCAACAATTAGCTGATATTGGGAAACAACTAGCAGTCTGCCACAACATGCACTATTTTCTAATAGACGAGGTGATTTTTTAAAAATTGAGATCAAACATTAAACACAGTGCCAAGACTGCTTTCCTTGTGGCAGTCTGGAATTTTGGTACATGGCTAGACAGAGGGTATCTAACATGATCTCAGCCATGTATCCTTACCACATTGCTGTATAAATCTTAGGCATGAGTGCATGACATTCTGAGTCCTTCTAGCAAAACTTTGAATGTGGGGGTGGTCTTGGGGAGCCTGAAATAGTTTAGGACCAGTATGGCAGCTCCACAATGACAGGCACCCCGACTGCTGCCACCTTTTGGTCTGCTATCTTGAAATGCATCTGGACCTTATAGTCCAGGATGGCTCTTTTTTATACCCTACATTCTCACTAACAGAGACAAGGGAAGTAACAAGAAAAGGGAAGCCTTCATTCCACACCACAGTTTAAGTACAGTTTCTAATTGTTACAGAACACAATTGCATCCCATTGGCCAGAATTTAGTCAGATGGCCACACCCAGCTGCAAGGGAGGCTGGGAAATGTCTTTATTCTGGGCAATCCTGTGTCCAGCCAACATCCTGGAGTTCTCTACTGAGAAAGGAGAAAATGGGTACTAGAGGACAACTAATAGTCTCTGCCACAGAAGGCAAGAAAATGGTGGGGAATTATTTTTTTAATTGAATCAAGTTAAGGATCTTTATGCCAGTAAGCAAAATTAATTAAACAGCTCAAAGTATTACATCAGTTTTAGGCTGAATTTCCTAAATAGTGTAAAAGAGGCAGGCTTTTTGCCTATAGAAAGATTTATTCTCAGACCATTGATGAGCTGCTAAATCATTTGCAAGCTGTTAAATGATTTACATATGGACGGAATTGAGAGTTCCCAGACATTGGGTTCCTACCACTTTCCTCACTCTCCCTCTCACCTCATTTTCTCAATATTTCTAAAAATAAAACATTTGAATGGAAATATTTAGGCCAAATGGAAAAATCTAGGCTATGAGACTTGGTTTTCTATACATCTCCTAAAACACCTACTACACAGGACTGTACCAAGTCAACATACTATAATTCTTGTCCTCAAGGAATTTTCAACTTAGTCCATGATAATATTAAATATTGTGATATATTTTTATGCAAATGCAATAGTACCAACCACACACAGATGCATCAGTTATTAATCTGAAGATTAATGGATGGGCTTCATGAAGTTGTACAGACATTCCTGAAATGGTGTACAAAATTGTGGTGCAAACATATTTTTTTCTGTCAATTTTGTCAGTTGCTCAAAGGAGTCTGGGACTCTCCAACAATTATAAATGTTTTGCATTCATAGTTTAACTTCTGATTGTCTAGAGATAATACATATGCTGTGGTCCATTCATGCTGAAGTCCCAGTGTCCTAGAAACTGGTGGTGAGGGGAAATTTGCCAGCCATCCAGAGCCAGAGGGATAAGCTGGACAAGAAGCAAAGCAAAATAGCAGGCCTTGGAGCATTAGAATGAGCTGGGTCTTAATTATAGAGTAGCTCTACCAAACAACACATTCTCTTAGAACAAGTCATACCTAAATAACATGTCTGACTTTCATCTAAGATGGCTTGTAGTCACCCAAATGAGCAGCCAATGCCAATCCAGGGACATCCATTTTCCATATAAATCCAAGGCATCTTTGCACAGGCCTCCTGTAGCAGTCTCATATCCTAAGTGTGACTTCTGCTGTGTCCTGGTGAGGGCTACAGTGAACGACAGGGGCAATTAGAGCAAAATTCAGAAGCCCAAGTTCAAACAGGTAGTACACCACATCTACTTAGGTATCTTTCAGTAGCCAAGGTCAATGAGCCCGGATAACGAACAATAAAATCCGTGTGTTTGAGAATATGGGTGATGAGATTTCTCACATTTGTTTTGTGTATTTCCTTCATTTGATTGGAAGGTTGCAGGGCACATGTCATGGTGATAGGACCCATTTTGCTCAGCCATGGGAAAGCAGATTTATTCTCATGAGATTAGCAGTTGGGATGTAAGAGTGATTAAGGACTCTAACCATGTGATTTTAGGTATATGCAGAATGCAGTCTGCATCTGACGGCTGCAGCAGACTTTTAAAGCAGCAGGGACAGCCAGATCACACTGTTTAGAGATTAAGCCTCATAATGCCAGAAGGCAAACCAGCTTTTTTCCAGAGTGCTTTAGGGGGCAACCCATCACAATGTGCAGTTTTTATATATCTGGAATGGGGCAGCTCAGACACTCTAGGAAATGTTGACTAGTGCTCTTGAATTATGGAAGTTACATTAGTTAGTAAATAATTTAGGTTACCAAAAAACTACAGTGACTCAAATGAGATAGTAGTTTCTTGCTAACTGCTCAGTGGTAGATGGGTGGTCCAAACAGCACTCTACCAAATTGTCCAGGGACCCAGGCTCTTTCTCCCTTGTTGCTCCATAGTATCAGGAAAGACCACCAGCAGCAGCACCTCAATCCAGCTTCCAGGAAGGGGAAAAGAGAGAATGTACAGGGCAGGTACTCTCTCTTTAAGGATGTGATACCCGGGCAGCTCACAGTACTCTGCTCACATTCCATCCTGGAGAACAGCACAAGATCACACCTAGCTGCAAAACAAGCTTAGAGATGGAAGTCATAGCCATGTGCTCTGCTGAAACTGTCCAGGGGTAGGAAGGAGCGCACTCTATTATTAGAATTTTTAAAAGGAGAGTGGATTCTGGGGAAGAAGGATCATGGTTGATATGAGATAGTTAAATATCCAACATGCCAAAACTGCCCATGCCAGTTAATGCCAGGAAAAGAATCACCAACACACTACTAGTACTTCTTTGATCCTGTTCTATGCATTATCCTAGGAGAAGCCTTCATCTTCAGAGAATCACTGTACCACAGTGTGATTCTCTTTGATAGAATTAGCCCGAGGCAGTAGAGCATCCTAGAAAGAGCATGGGCTTTTGAGTGAACCAGAAACCTCTCATTCCTGTGTAGCTCACTTAAATGTGTGTAATTTGAACATATTACTCTACCTCAATAAACTTCAGTTTTCCTAACTGTAAAATAGGCCTATGGAGATTAAATCATTGTTATATATGTTCACAGTGCCTGATACTTAGGGAAAAAAAGTGTATGTGTGTGTCTGTATATGACTTTTACCAGGTTATACTGAAAGGAAGGAGACAGAGAAAAGATTAATGATCAAGGTTGCATTGACCTTGAAAACTGAAATGAAAAATAACTTTCCCTTGTAAAAATTCCATTTGTTCTGTGTGCTTAACTAGAGGACACACTCATTTCAGAGAAGGAAAGGCAAAATGCTTCCCTTCTATTAATAAGGCAGCAAACAGTAACCCCAGCACTGTGGGAGGCCAAGGTGGGCAAATCACTTGAGCTCAGGAGTTGGAGACCAGCCTGGGCAACATGGCAAACCCCATCTCTACAAAAAATACAAAAATTACCCAGGCATGGTGGTGTGTGCTTGTGGTGCCAGCTGTTCAGGAGGCTGAAGTAGAAGGATCACCTGAGCCTAGGAAGTCCAAG
This sequence comes from Homo sapiens, assembly GCF_000001405.40. Lineage (NCBI taxonomy): Eukaryota > Metazoa > Chordata > Mammalia > Primates > Hominidae > Homo > Homo sapiens. Next base: position 52,430,682 of record NC_000004.12, read on the forward strand.
GCTGCAGTGAGCCTTGATCGCACCACTGCACTCTAGCCTGGGCAACAGAATGAGACTGCCTCATAGAGAATCAAAAACTGGCAGCAGTTGTGCAGTCTAAGATGCTGTCTAATAAGGAATTGAGAGCACCTAAGTTGATGTTACACTGAAAACTTTGGGCAGAGCTTCATCAGGAATATTAAGAGTTTGAAGTGAATGTTTCTTTCTTCTCTACGGTAAACTTCATCTTTTCTGTTTCTCCGAACCCTGCTCCTTCCAGGCCCAGTTTATATGCAGATTCCTCCTTGACGCAGACTTCCCCACTCCCTCACAGGCAGAAGGAATTGCTTCTCTCACTGTAGTCCTCAAACTGGCTTCTGCTCCTTTCAAGCCCTGCTGCCTTATGTGACTGTTGGTAGCTTACCTGTCTGTGTCCTCTAAAAGATTATAAGCAATTTGAGGGCAAAGACCACATTTTATATTCATCACTGTCTCCCTTCCCTTCAACCCCTAGTATAAAACTTCATACATAGCACATGCCAAATAATCAGGCTGCTTAATGAATAAATGAAAGAATTCCTACTTGGCCACTCCAGCTCAATGTTCTAGTGACTGTATATTCTGACTAAAAAGATTGACTCGTTATCTGACAAAGGAACATATTGAGGACAAAGAACAGGTAGTTTTAAATCTTAATTGTCCTGGGGAAATCAGAAACATTTGGTTATATTCAAAAGTCATGCATCTCTCAGTGAATTAATACAGCTCTAAGTTTTGTTTATCTTAAGCAAGTCACTTAACCTTTATAGCTTTGCATTCTTCCTTAGCCCAGTGTGGATAGCAATACTTGACCTGCCTGCTACACAGGGTCACTGTGATGAGGAACAAATGGTATCACAATGTGGGTGAAATCTCTTTGGGAAATTCTAAATCACTGTAAGATCTGAGGTCATAGTTACAGAAGTTGCTTTCCATTTTATGGAACATAAAAGTGAAGCTCCAAATTTTGACCTTCTGGCACCACAACTACATAATCCTTCAAGGCCCAGGCTAGCATTGCTTATTTTGGAGGAGTAACCTCTCATCTCTCATTACTTAAAAGTTTCAAGACTTGGAGGTCACTTAATAAACAATTCCAAGTTAATCCAGCAAATCATAGAATTAGATGATCTGACTCAACCTCTCATTTTACCTCATAGAGATCAAATCTGCTATGTTTCCTTTTCTATCATGGACAGACTCTCTTTTCTCACTTTCTGCCCCCAGAATGTACAATAATCTACCATCTTGAAAGGAAATTCTAGAAAAATAAAGTTTAACTGGAATGACGAATGAGGGCCACCCTCATTGTTAAGATGTTATGTTTCCACAAACGCAGAGCCGACTGTAAATTTGAACCTTAACGGGGGTAACATCAATTTAAGATATGGTCTGGTTTCCTGAAGCTACAGTCTACTAACATTACAAAGAGAGTTTGATTAAGGACTGGCTATATGGCTTTAGAATTATGCCAAAGAGGAGGAAGGAGAGAGAGCAAAGTCCTGCAGGAAATAGGCAAAGGCCTGGAAGATCAAAGGTTCTTGTCCCTGAAGTAAGCTTTCATTATTCATATAGTCCTTTTTAAAAAACCAAAAGGGTCCAGAGGAAGCACAGTAGATAAGTGACATCTGAGCAAGGGAGACTTCCTCTTACGTCAAAGCAACACAGAATACAAAAGAGTAATTCAGCAGTAGGATGTAGGATTGCTGCTGGTAGGGGAAGGAGAGCTGGGGACCCTCTAAAGCTATGAAAGTCTAGGGATGTGATGCATTTGTAGTATTTTCACTTTTTCAGTGCAGGGTTGTCAGCGTCAGCACTCTGGACATTTCGAGCTAGGTCGTTCTTTGTTGTGGGGAGCTGCCCTGTGCATTATAAGAACCACTGGCTTCTGCCTACTAGATGCGACATCTTCCAAGATGTGAAAATAAAAAATGTTTCCAGACAGTGTCAAATGTCCTCTGGCAGCAAAATTTCCCTGCTTTTGAACCGCTGAGTTGAAATATGCATATATTTGGCACTTGTTGGGTATAGTCTCCTATACTTGCCAGTTAGGTATGGAGGATGATCATTATTCAGATCTTTTATGTCTTTGTTGACTTCCCCCCAACTTTTCTATCAGTTGCTGAGAAAGGGGTGTTAAAATCCGTAACTCTGTGGAATTGTCTGACTTCTTCTTCCAATTCTGTCAATTTTTGCTTTACAAATTTTTTAACACTTTTTTTTTTCGGGATGGAGTCTCACTCTGTCGCCCAGGCTGGAGTGCAGTCATGTGATCTTGGCACGGGACAATCTCCGCCTCCCAGATTCAAGCGATTCTCGTGCCTTAGCCTCCCAAATAGCTGGAATTACAGGCTTCTGCCACCACACCCAGCTAATTTTTGTATTTTTAGTAGAGATGGGGTTTCACCATGTTGGCCAGGCTGGTCTTGAACTCCTGACCTCAGGTGACCCACCTGCCTTGGCCTCCCAAAGTGCCCAACAACTTTGTTGAGGTATAATTTACTTTTCAGGGTGCTAAGCAGCCTCTCTTAGATTCTCCCTGTGAGATCAGTAGCATCCCCCAGTTGTGACAACCCAAAATGTCTCCAGACATTGCCAAATGTCCTCTTGGGAGCAAAAGGCCCCGTCCCTAAGAACCATTGTTCCAGAGTCTATGACTACTGGGAAGTGTGAAGGTAGTTTGTAGCTCCTCATACTCATGCTTAGTTTAGAGTAAATGTGGCTCAAGAATGTAATAGGTCCCCTTAGTTTTACTCAGACAAATAGAGTAGGCAAAGCTGGTGCAGAGTGTACAGAATTGGGAGAAGGGCAGCACGGTTCTGGAAGCAACTATAGCAGATGAAGGATGAAATTCTGGGGCAGGGTAGGCTGGGGGTGGGAGAGGAGATGTCCCACTGGTTATTCTGCAGAGAAGTTCCTGGGCAGGGAAGACTGCTTAGGTGAAGTCAGCTCAGGTAGGAAGGGATTGATCATTACCATAGGCCAAGGCAAGCAAGATTCAACAAGAGTCCCAAGGCTAATAACTGGGCATAGTGGCATGCACCTATAGTCCCAGCTACTCGGGAGGCTGAGGCATGAGCATCACTTGAGTCCAGGAGTCCAAGGCTGCAATGAGCCATAATGGCTCCAGGGCACTCCAGCCTGGGTGAAGAGTGAGACACCACCCCAAAAAGGAAGAGCCCTGAGGATGAGAGAACCAATACCAATGGCAGTACTGAGCCCAGGAGCTGACACTAGAACTGGGTCTCCTGCCTCCACATATTAGGCATTGTTTCCCAGCTCTGCTTTATAATTACATCTTTACTGCACACTAACGGCTTTCTGTGGTGGTATTCCCAGAGGGATGATTTGGGCTGCAAAACTGTAGAAAACCTGACTTAGAATGACCTAGACAACAAGAACATTTATTATCTCAGATTACAAAAAGTCCAGAGGTAAAGTGGCTTCAGGTTTGGCTAATTCAGGGGATACATGATGTCGCTGGGCATGCAGGTTCTCCTCTTCTTTCTGCTCTTCTATGGTTGGCAGGTTGGCTTGCCTTTGCCCAATTCCCTTTATGGCTCTAGAATGTCTGCCACAGCTTTCAACATCACACATAGAGACAACAACTGGCAACAGCAGAAGGAATGAGTTCCTGTATATCTCTAGCAGAAGGAATGAGTTCCTGTATATCTCTAGCAAAAGGAGGGACCTCTTGTGATTGACCTCCCTGGCCTGGAGCTGGAGCTCAGCTAACCTGAGCTCAGGTTCTGCAGATCTCCAAACAAAAATGGGTCCTTCAGCAAGGAAGAAATGGAGAACTACTACTGCATAGGCATCCAAGGGTAAAACTGAATTTATTTTAAACACTACAGTTCTATGGGGAGGCACTATATTTTTTCCTTTTTTTTTTTCTTTTTTTTAAATTATTATACTTTAAGTTCTGGGATACATGTGCAGAACATGCAGGTTTGTTACATAGGTATACACATGCCATGGGGGTTTGCTGCACCCATCAACCTGTCATCTACATTAGTTATTTCTCCTAATGCTATCCCTCCCCTAGCCCCCCACCCGCCAACAGGCATGTATGATGTTTCCCTTCCTGTGTCCATGTGTTCTCATTGTTCACCTCCCACTTATGAGTGAGAATATGCGGTATTTGGTTTTTTCTTCCTGTGTTAGTTTGCTGAGAATTATGGTTTCCAGCTTCATTCATGTCATTGCAAAGGACATGAACTCATCCTCTTTTATGGCTGCATATTCCATGGTGTATATGTGCCACATTTTCTTTATCTAGTCTATCATTGATGGGCATTTGGGTTGGTTCCAAGTCTTTGGCCTATTGTGAACAGTGCTGCTATAAACATACGTGTGCATGTGTCTTTATAGTAGAATGATTTATAATCCTTTGAGTATATACCCAGTAGTGAGACTGCTGCATCAAATGGTATTTCTGGTTCTAGATCCTTGAGGAATCACCACACTGTCTTCCACAACAGTTGAACTAATTTACACTCATGGGGCTGTACTATTATTAACTTTGTTTTATAGGTAAGAAAGGTTGGCTAAGCTAAATGTCTCATCCATGGTCAAGGTCAGCAGGGAAGTGGTAAGGTGAAGATTCAGATAAGAGGTCTGACTTCAGACCCCATGTCTCTTAAGAGTCATTCTATGCTATAATAATTTACTCCCAACTGCACCACATTATGTGTTCTGGACTGGGCTGCTGCTAGCACCCTGTCTTATTAGTTTTTGGAAATAAACCACACTTCAAGGTCCTATCTGAAGAAGCTTTCACAAGTTTTTAAAAAATATAAACACAAAAACTACTAGGAGACTTTTTCCTTTCTTCTTCCTTTCTTCCCTCTCTCCCTTCATGTCTCCTGACTTACCCTTTCTTGTACTCTTTTTAAGCACCTAAGTCAACAAAACAGATCCTTATGAGGATATCACTCCTCTTGTCTTAACATCCCACACAGAAATCTGTGGAAATAACTCCTAGGCCACCCAAGAAACTGATACCATTTCTCCAAGGTGCAAATAGTTTGATCATGATGTGTTAAAAAGGAGTTTCATTGAGCAAAAAAGAAAACCAATAAACATATATTCTGCAACAAACCACAGTAATGTAAAATCCTGCTGTCCTTGATTTTATTTATTATTTATTTATTTATTTTAAAAGAGCTTTAGCTTCTGCGTATGTTTAAAAAGGAAGCAGAACAATTCACCAAAGCCGATTCAACAGAAGCTAATTCATTGAGTTTACTTGCTTCTGTTAAGTACTTACAGAATGTGCAATGCCATTTCGTAATATAAGGCAGCTTTGGGCAAATTAAGTGTTCGAGCCTTGTCTTTTCTGTCTGAACTTAGCGACAATGATGCCTAGTTCTGTGGGCAAAGCTCATGTTCAATGCTAAAGGAGATTATGCAGATTGTATATGTACACATACTATAGGGCCAGACTATACTGCATACATTGCATATGTAGTATAGTCTACTGTCTACGATGGCCCATTGCATACTACATATGCCTTGTATGTAGTGCTGTCTGGCCCATGTAGAAACTCAGTTTACTTTAGTTCTTGTCATTCTCCAGCTTGGTAATAAGTTACCCATCAGGGATTCTCTTCTCTTGAGTTTCACCTCTACCCCTGCCCCTGATTTATGGGTGCATATGTCTGGGAATACCAGATTTCAGTTCTGCCATACTTCTTCCTGAGTGTCTCTGATCATGCTACTCTGTGTGTGTGGACCCCCTTCCCACCACCCACTCCTGAGTCCCCTTCTCTTAAATAACTCTTGCTCATCCTCCATGTCTTGGCTTAAATCACTTCTTAAGAAAGTCTTCTTTGCCCCTACACCAAGTCAGGTCCTCCTGTTGAATGCCCTCTTGATACCCTATGCTTCTCCTTCACAGCACTTACTGCATTTGCAATCAAAGTATTGGCATGCTTTATGTCTGCCTGACATTGGGACCTAAAGCCACAAGAGAGAAAGGACTATGTCTGTCTTGTTTGCAGTTGTATCGGCAGCATATACAACAACTGAATGAGCCCCAGGGAGTGCCCTGCCAACTTTGTCATTTCTGTAAGACGTGAGCTTCAGTTTGAAATACATGAGCATTCCTGTAAAACTGCCTTAGGCCAGGCACAAGGGCACTATGCTTAGAGTGCCCTGCTCTGGCCAACATCTGGTTGCATCCCTGCCCACTAGGCAAGGAATCTGTGTGCTAAAAGGGTGTGCCCCCAGGAGTCTGTGCTCTCAGAAGGGACTAAGCTACAGTATCCACACAGCCTTATACCTGGGGAACAATCAAGGAGTAGCTGTTTGCAGTGTGGTAACAGGAGCTTGCACAGAAAGGCTGGGGGTGTGGGGTAAGACTGGGGCTGGAGGAAAAGTGGGGTAGACTTCAGTTTGTGCCTGGGAATTGATCTTCCTGTGCTGCCATGTTCAGGCTCAACCCTCCAAGGAGTCCAGGAATTCTAATTCACACCTGGCCTTCCAGACCTTAACACAAGTATACTTAACACAAGTATACTCCGACCTGGGAAGGAGTATATGGGAAGGAGGATATGACCTTTTATTTAATAGTTCGTTAAGTTGATTTATAACTTTTAAATGTTTAGACTGAAAGTAGACAAACCTCCATTTGTACCTTGCCCTAGTCCTGCAAATGTTGAGGCGTGCCTGCCTAGCAGGAGATGGGAGGTTTCTGGGTCCCATTCCTATGTCCCCATTGATCTGGATGCTCCTCCATTGGCCCCATGCTTACTTGGGCAGTGGTTGGCAATGTCCCCCAAGGTCTCCCTCTGTTTACAGTTGCCTCTGAGGTAAAGAGTCCCCTCTCAGAACCAGGATGCGGTGGCAAGCTTCTATCTTTCCTAAACCAGATTTTCATTAGTAGCTAAAGTCCTCATCATAGCAGTGGGATAGGAAAGTGGGAGGAGGTAGGAGGCCACTTCAGTGAACACCAGGAGACAGGAACCACTGCTCAGAATGCTCAGCTGCAAGAGAGCTCAGGGGTCTAAGAGAGCCCGTCTGTCTTGCCTTGAGACAGACAGAAAAAGGCAAGACTTTATTTTTATAAGTTAAGACCAATCAGACAGGAAAAATTTTATGAGACCATCCTCAATGGTAAACAGAGGTGGTCAGGGCTCACTACTGAGTGGAAGCCTAGGGGAAAAAATTGGACTTCCATGAAATGTATTGGATGTTAAACCCACTGAGAAAATGCTATACTTGTAGTTAGGTCAAACACGGAATTAGCAAAGTAGACACCAAGATGATTTGCCTCAGCATTCTCAAAGCTTCTTAAATATTTTCTCCTAAAAGTAGACTTATTCTGATGTGCTCAGAATGCCGAGGGACAAGTCAACTAATTCCTCATCACATGGCCACTTCTTTATTATATTTTGGTAGTGGGAGTGCTAAGAGCTTTGTTTTCTCTGGCACTTGGATTTCTATAAATTACTAGAAATAGCCTGTGGCAGCCAGCCTTTCACTTACTGGGGAGTTAATTGGCTTGTTAGTAAATTATCCAGAATGCTAAGACAACAGCCAGGCCAGATGAAGAATTTCTGTCTTTGTAGACTGAAACCTCTCTTCCATTTCTTCTGCCTTTGTCAAGATTTAGCTATAGGGAGATACAGAAAGAGACACACACACACACACACACACACACAGAGAGATGAAACCTTTACAGCCATATTAGAGATGGACTTTGGAGATAAATGCCCTTCTTGGGGGATAAACAACTTTATAAGCCTTCTTCCTGTTCGTGAAAATTTCAGGGCTTAGAGATTTGTTTTGTACCATCATCATAAGCTGTGCCATCAATGTATCTTTACTTTTCTGAGCTTCAGATATAAAACACTGAAATTTATCCAAGTGTTGAATTGCAATTACATTATTCTTTTCTTCAGAAATCCAAGGACTTTATCTTCCTCTCCAAATAATGTAATGTTTAAGTTATTTTGCTAATAAAAGATTTTCACCACTCTATTTAATGTTATACATGCTGAAGCCCTTGAGGGGAAGTACACTGATGTCTGCAACTTCCTTTGAAATACATAAAAAAATAAGATGGATTGGTGAATGCATAGGGGACTGGCTAGCTGGAGAGAACAGTGATAAATCCGGAATAGGAAAATGCTAATTCTAGAATCTGGGTGTTGGATATGTGAGGGAATCACTGTAAAACTCTTTCATGTTTTTTATATTTTTTATTATTTTCTTAAAAAATGTTAAGTAAAATTTAAAAAGACTTTTACAAACTCCCTTATTGTGAATAGGCCAACTATTCCCCCAGTCAAAGCATTTGAACTGTTATTAACCTCAAGCTCCATTACACAAATAGCAAGAAACAAACCAAAAATATTTGAATATTTATGTCTGGTTTAAGATAATTAAAAATGACATTGTGATTTGTCTTTTAATAAAGAAACATTTAACATTTTTATAAGGTCAAAATATGTAGTGATTTCACACCCTTGAATGATATTCTCAAAGTTATAGTATGGTGTAATATCTTAAAAGCAAGAATTGCTGTAGCAGTAAGGGTTCATCTTATATATTTTCTTGTATTAGTAACCTGTATAGATTTCCAAAATAATGTAAATCCAGAGAAGTGATAGTCTACATTTCTTCATAAGTTTCCTTTTCCAATATCTAGCCTGCTTTTAATATTTTAATATTTTAAAGCTCACATGTAAATTAAGATTTATAATCATGTATCACTTTCTTTGTTAAATTTAATTATTATATGTCCATGAAAGATGAAGATTTTATAGACAAACCATCATATATTTTTTATTTCATTAGCATGAGCTTTTCACATCTCTCAACCTAAAAATCATGATAATCTCAATTCAACTGGAACATATAAAAGGGAAATTATTTTCAATTCCCCACACACTTTCAAAGTAAAACCTAGGCATAGAAAAACTAAAAGATATACTATGCTCTGCAGAATGAATTTCTATTTTGTTAAATAAATAATTACTCAATAATTATTTTTCTTAAGATGGCCTTAAACGAATTGAATGGTCTATTAAAAGTTTGATTAGTGGGAAAAGAAACAGACACCTAAGAAATGAAAGAATATATTTTCTTTGGCTCAAATTTATTAAGAAGAATTGATGTATTTTTTAAATAGCCAAGGTCATTTCCTTCTCCATTTTTAAAAAATGTCTTTTGCTCACTGAAAGAAAGATTCAGACTTGACAATTTTGTCTGGGGAAGAGAAAATTATACCTACTGAAAAACCTGATCCAATTAATTTGCCAAGAAGAGTTAGTCAACTAAAACAATACCTCCTGCTCACAGTATCTATATCTTTAAGTGAATAGCTTTATAATACTGAGGAGTTTGAGAACGAGTTTATATGAGAATGGAAGCCGATCCAACACATGCACATATGAAAATCACACTTGTATCTTGAGGGAGCCACATGCATCCTGAGAAAGGGAGTATATAGCACCTGCAGGTTAGCACTAATAACATTCATACACTGTACAGACACTAATTACATACAAATTAATAAAAGTGATATAACAGGAAAAGAGAATTGTTGTTTAATACTTGTTCCATCTTTATAGCATGAAAGCAGTTCAATCAACTGGGTTTTATTTCTTTTTCACAGTAATTCCTTATCAATGATTTAGAATTTCTATAAGGGGCATAAAAATGCTTGCATTTGTACTCATCATTCTATCGGCTCTAACAGGTACTCTGCCTGAAGTTCAGTTTCCTTGGCTTTGACATTCGCTACAAATGCTGATCTTTGCTGCTTTTCACATTGCCTCGTGCTCTCTGAGGAAGTTTTACCTGAATATAGGTGAAGTTAAAAGCACAAAGTGAGCTTTGTGCTTATGAGACCACCAGGAACACAGCTAATCTTCCATAAATGATTAAAAACCATGTCTTCCAACAGAAGGGGCACTTGGAGAGAGAGCAACCTGTGAGTGTTACGCTTCCCAAGATGAGGTTAGGGCTGTTTCTCTTCCTGCAAGTAACAGAGTAAGGGCTGTTAACCTTGTGGGTTTGTCCTCTGGGAAACACTTCACAGGCACTGTGCGTGTAGTCTCTCAGGGCCAGGTGAGGCTGAAACCACCCAATAACTTCTGTAAAGCCTCGAGAAAGCACATGACAGTTATCCTCAAGCCAGCAGAATCTTCCCCACAACATTTAGTGTCACTTCTCCAATACAGTGGGTCAGGCTGCAGGACTCGGCTGCAGCTAGCAGTTATGGCTTATGTCAACACTGGCTGGAATGATATTCCAGCTGGTGGGAGAAATTCAGTATGTGAGAAATTTCAAGGAGTTCAGCTAATATGGCAGAGTAGTTGCTGCAACCATCCCCTTCTGGTGCAGGGCTTGTCACCATAGCATAGCCCTCTACAAGAAAACAGCTTTTTAGAGTTGAAAACATTCTCAAATCATCTTACTTTGCACCTCTTCCTCTGATAGTGGAAGCCAGTGTCATGGCTGCCAGCAGCTACCTGGAGCTGCACATGCGGTGGATGGTCGAACACTAGGACATTGTGCCACATCTTCTGTCAACCCGGCAGAAACACCGTCTTCCCACATCCACAGCGTCTCATGGAGTAAAATCAATTTCAGGTTGCAGCAATCATCAATGGTGTGGAAGGCCCTCTCCATGTGCCATGTCCATGCAGTAATCTCACTGTCTCAAGTAAGAGGCTGTCAGCCGGAAACATGATCTTCAGCACAGGTTCTAGACACCGCTGTTCTCAGGCCCACTGTGTTGAAAGATCACTAAGTAATGATTAAGCATTCAAAAATTAGAAGAGCTGAAAAAGGAACATCTATAAGCTTCAGCTGCAAATAGCTCTTGAACACGAAAAAAACTAAAAAAGTTCTGGAAAATCGCTTGAGCCCAGGAGGCGGAGGTTGCAGTGAGCCGAGATCATGTCATTGCACTCCAGCCTGGGCAACATGAGAAAAACTCCGTCAAAAAAAAAAAAAAAGTTCTGCCTTCTAAGTTCTAATCTGATTGGAGCCTTTCCTCCAGCCTATGTCTTCCAATGGTAACCTGTTCAATCCAGTAAGAGTTTGCCATGAGAAATACTTGGAAATACCAAGCAAGATGGATGTGTCCAGGTCTCAGCTAAATACCTGGTACATAGGCTCCAAGTTGGCACATATGCACTGGAAAAGACTGTGTTTATATATGCTTTATATTTCTCCAATTGTCAAATACTTTACGATTTTCAGTTTTTAAAAACTGTTTATATCTTCTTTGCTCCTTAGCATGGTCACTTATTTATTTTTTTATTTTATTTTTTATTATATTTTAAGTTTTAGGGTACATGTGCACAACGTGCAGGTTTGTTACATATATATACATGTGCCATGTTGGTGTGCGGCACCCATTAACTCCTCATTCAATCAGTTATATCTTCTAATGTTATCCCTCCCCTCTCCCCTCACCCCACAACAGGCCCCAGTGTGTGATGTTCCCCTTCCTGTGTCCATGTGTTCTCATTGTTCAATTCCCACCTATGAGTGAGAACATGTGGTGTTTGTTTTTTTGTCCTTGCGATAGTTTACTGAGAATGATGGTTTCCAGCTTCATCCATGTCCCTACAAAGGACATGAACTCATCATTTTTTATGGCTGCATAGTATTCCATGGTGTATATGTGCCACATTTTATTAATCCAGTCTATCATTGTTGGACATTTGGCTTGGTTCCAAGTCTTTGCTTTTGTGAATAGTGCCGCAATGAACATACGTGTGCATGTGTCTTTACAGCAGCATGATTTATAATCCTTTCGGTATATACCCAGTAATGGGATGGCTGGGTCAAATGGTATTTCTAGTTCTAGATCCCTGAGGAATCGCCACACTGACTTCCACAATGGTTGAACTAGTTTACAGTCCCACCAACAGTGTAAAAGTGTTCCTATTTCTCCACATCCTCTCCAGCACCTGTTGCTTCCTGACTTTTTAATGATCACCATTCTAACTGGTGTGGGATGGTATCTCATTGTGGTTTTGATTTGCATTTCTCTGATGGCCAGTGATGATGAGCATTTTTTCATGTGTTTTTTGGCTGCATAAATGTCTTCTTTTGAGAAGTGTCTGTTCATATCCTTTGCCCACTTGTTGATGGGGTTGTTTGTTTCTTTCTTGTCAATTTGTTTGAGTTCATTATAGATTCTGGATATTAGCCCTTTGTCAGATGAGTAGATTGCAAAAGCTTTCTCCCATTCTGTAGGTTGCCTGTTCGCTCTGATGGTAGTTTCTTTTGCTGTGCAGAAGCTCTTTAGTTTAATGAGATCCCATTTGTCAATTTGGCTTTTGTTGCCATTGTTTTTGGTGTTTTAGTCATGAAGTCCTTGCCCATGCCTATGTCCTGAATGGTATTGCCTAGGTTCTCTTCTAGGGTTTTTATGGTTTTAGGTCTAGCATTTAAGTCCTTAATCCATCTTGAATTAATTTTTGTATAAGGTGTAAGGAAGGGATCCAGTTTCAGCTTTCTACATATGGCTAGCCAGTTTTCCCAGCACCATTTATTAAATAGGCAGTCCTTTCCTCGTTTCTTGTTTTTGTCAGGTTTGTCAAAGATCAGATATTTGTAGATATGTGGCATTATATCTGAGGGCTCTGTTCTGTTCCATTGGTCTACATCTCTGTTTTGGTACCAGTACCATGCTGTTTTGGTGACTTTAGCCTTGTAGTATAGTTTGAAGTCAGGTAGCATGATGCCTCCAGCTTTGTTCTTTTGCCTTAGGATTGACTTGGCAATGAGGGCTCTTTTTTAGTTCCATATGAACTTTAAAGTAGTTTTTTCCAATTCTGTGAAGAAAGTCATTGGTAGCTTGATGGGGATGGCATTGAATCTATAAATTATCTTGGGCAGTATGGCCATTTTCACGATATTGATTCTTCCTACCCATGAGCATGGAATGTTCTTCCATTTGTTTGTATCCTCTTTTATTTCCTTGAGCAGTGGTTTGTAGTTCTCCTTGAAGAGGTCCTGCACATCCCTTGTAAGTTGGATTCATAAGAATTTTATTCTCTTTGAAGCAATAGTGAATGGGAGTTCACTCATGATTTGGCTCTCTGTTTGTCTGTTATTGGTGTATAAGAATGCTTGTGATTTTTGTACATTGGTTTTGTATCCTGAGACTTTGCTGAAGTTGCTTACCAGCTTAAGGAGATTTTGGGCTGAGACGATGGGGTTTTCTAGATACACAATCATGTCATCTGCAAGCAGGGACAATTTGACTTCCTCTTTTCCTAATTGAATACCCTTTATTTCTTTCTCCTGCCTGATTGCCCTGGCCAGAACTTCCAACACTATGTTGAATAGGAGTGGTGAGAGAGGGCATCCCTGTCTTGTGCCAGGTTTCAAAGGGAATACTTCCAGTTTTTGCCCATTCAGTAAGATATTGGCTGTGGGTTTGTCATAAATAGCTCCTATTATTTTGAGATACATCCCATCAATACCTAATTTATTGAGAGTTGTTCGCATGAAGCGTTGTTGAATTTTGTCAAATGCCTTTTCTGCATCTATGAGATAACCATGTGGTTTTTTTCATTGGTTCTGTTTATATGCTGGATTACATTTATTGATTTGCGTACATTGAACCAGCCTTGCATCCCAGGGATGAAGGCCACTTGATCATGGTGAATAAGCTTTTTGATGTGCTGCTGGATTTGGTTTGCCAGTATTTTATTGAGGATTTTTGCATCGATGTGCATTAGGGATATTTGTGTAAAATTGTCTTTTTTGGTTGTGTCTCTGCCAGGCTTTGGTATCAGGATGATGCTGGCCTCATAAAATGAGTTAGGAAGGATTCTCTCTTTTTCTATTGATTGGAATAGTTTCAGAAGGAATGGTACCAGCTCCTCCTTGTACCTCTGGTAGAATTCAGCTATGAATCCATCTGGTCCTGGACATTTTTTGGTTGGTAAGCTATTAATTATTGCCTCAGTTTCAGAGCCTGTTATTCGTCTATTCAGAGATTCAACTTCTTCCTGGTTTAGTCTTGGGAGGGTGTATGTGTCCAGGAATTTATCCATTTCTTCTAGATTTTGTAGTTTATTTGAGTAGAGGTGTTTATAGTATTCTCTGATGGTAGTTTACATTTCTGGGGGATTGGTGGTGATATCCCCTTTATCACTTTTTATTGTGTCTATTTGATTCTTCTCTCTTCTTTTCACTCTTGAGAGCAGTCTATCAATTTTGTTGATCTTTTGAAAAACCCAGCTCCTGGATTCATTGATTTTTTGAAGGGTATTTTGTGTCTCTATTTCCTTCAGTTCTGCTCTGATCTTTGTTAGTTCTTGCTTTCTGCTAGCTTTTGAATTTGTTTGCTCTTGCTTTTCTAGTTCTTTTAATTGTGATTTTTGGGTGTCAATTTTAGATCTTTCCCGCTTTCTTTTGTGGGCATTTAGTGCTATAAATTTCCCTCTACACACTGCTTTGAATGTGTCCCAGAGATTCTGGTATGTTGTGTCTTTGTTCTCATTGGTTTCAAGAACAACTTTACTTCTGCCTTCATTTCATTATGCACCCAGTAGTCATTCAGGAGCAGGTTGTTCAGTTTCCACGTAGTTGAGTGGTTTTGAGTGAGTTTCTTAATCCTGAGTTCTAGTTTGATTGCACTGTGGTTTGAGAGACACTTTGTTATAATTTCTATTATTTTACATTTGCTGAGGAGTGCTTTACTTCCAACTATGTGGTCAATTTTGGAATAGTTGTGGTGTGGTGCTGAAAAGAATGTATATTCTGTTGATTTGGGGTGGAGATTTCTGTAGATGTCTATTAGGTCTGCTTGGTGCAGAGCTGAGTTCAATTCCTGCTTATCCTTGTTAACTTTCTGTCTCATTAATCTGTCTAATGTTGACAGTGGGGTGTTAAAGTCTCCCATTATTATTGTGTGGGAGTCTAAGTCTCTTTGTAGGTCTCTAAGGACTTTCTTTATGAATTTGGATGCTCCTGTATTGGGTGCATATATATTTAGGATAGTTATCTCTTCTTGTTGAATTGATCTCTTTACCATTATGTAATGGCCTTCTTTGTCTCTTTTGATCTTTGTTGGCTTAAAGTCTGTTTTATCAGAGACTAGGATTGCAACACCTGCCTTTTTTTGTTTTCCATTTGCTTGATAGATCTTCCTCTATCCCTTTATTTTGAGCCTATGTGTGTCTCTGCACGTGAGATGGGTTTCCTGAATACAGCACACTGATGGGTCCTGACTATCCAATTTGCCAGTCTGTGTCTTTTAATTGGAGCATTTAGCCCATTTACGTTTAAGGCTAATATGATATGTGTGAATTTGATCCTGTCATTATGATGTTAGCTGGTTATTTTGCTTGTTCGTTGATGCAGTTTCTTCCTAGCCTCAATGGTCTTTACAATTTGGCATGTTTTTGCAGTGGCTGGTACTGATTGCTCCTTTCCATGTTTAGTGCTTCCTTCAGGAGCTGTTTTAAGGCAGGCCTAGTGGTGACAAAATCTCTCAGCATTTGCTTGTCTGTAAAGGATTTTATTTCTCCTTCACTTATGAAACTTAGTTTGGCTGGATATGAAATTCTGGGTTGAAAATTCTTTTCTTTAAGAAAGTTGAAGAGCTGAATTTGGGAAGCAGCTGCCTGCTATGCTGAAAACCCCTGGAAACTTGCTAAATTGCTGTGGAACAGCTCCGGTCTACAGCTCCCAGGGTGAGTGATGCAGAAGATAGGTGATTTCTGCATTTCCATCTGAGGTACCGGGTTCATCTCACTAGGGAGTGCCAGACAGTGGGTGCAGGAGAGTGGGTGCAGCGCAGCGTGCATGAGCTGAAGCAGGGTGAGGCATTGCCTGACTCGGGAAATGCAAGGGGTCAGGAAGTTCCCTTTCCTAGTCAAAGAAAGGGGTGACAGACGGCACCTGGAAAATTGGGTCACTCCTGCCCTAATACTGTGCTTCTCCGACAGCCTTAAAAAATGGCACACCAGGAGATTATATCCTGCACCTGGTTCAGAGGGTCCTACGCCCATGGAGTCTCACTGATTGCTAGCACAGCAGTCTGAGATCAAACTGCAAGGTGGCAGCGAGGCTGGGGGAGGGGCACCCGCCATTGCCCAGGCTTGCTTAGGTAAACAAAGCAGCTGGGAAGCTCCAACTGGGTGGAGCCCACCACAGCTCAAGGAGGCCTGCCTGCTTCTGTAGGCTCCACCTCTGGGGGCAAGGCACAGACAAACAAAAAGACCTCTGCAAACTTAAATGTCCCGTCTGACAGCTTTGAAGAGAGCAGTGGTTCTCCCAGCACACACCTGGAGATCTGAGAATGGGCAGACTGCCTCCTCAAGTGGGTCCCTGACCCCTGACCCACGAGTAGCCTAACTGGGAGGCACCCCCCAGTAGGGGCAGACTGACACCTCACACGGCCAGGTACTCCTCTGAGACAAAACTTCCAGAGGAACGATCAGACAGCAGCATTCACGGTTCATGAAAATCTGCTGTTCTGCAGCCAGCGCTGCTGTTACCCAGGCAAACAGGGTCTGGAGTGGACCTCTAGCAAACTCCAACACACCTGCAGCTGAGGGTCCTGTCTGTTAGAAGGAAAACTAACAAACAGAAAGGACATCCACACCAAAACCCCATCTGTACATCACCATCATCAAAGACCAAAAGTAGATAAAACCACAAAGATGGGGAAAAAACAGAGCAGAAAAACTGGAAACTCTAAAATGCAGAGCACCTCTCCTCCTCCAAAGGAATGCAGTTCCTCACCAGCAATGGAACAAAGCTGGATGGAGAATGACTTTAACGAGTTGAGAGAAGAAGGCTTCAGATGATCAAACTACTCCGAGCTACAGGAGGAAATTCAAACCAAAGGCAAAGAAGTTGAAAACTTTGAAAAAAATTTAGAATAATGTATAACTAGAATAACCAATACAGAGAAGTGCTTAAAGGAGGTGATGGAGCTGAAAGCCAAGGCTTGAGAACTACGTGAAGAATGCAGAAGCTTCAGGAGCCAATGCGATCGACTGGAAGAAAGGGTATCAGTGATGGAGGATGAAATGAATGAAATTAAATGAGAAGGGAAGTTTAAAGAAAAAAGAATAAAAAGAAATGAACAAAGCCTCCAAGAAATATGAGACTATGTGAAAAGACCAAATCTATGTCTGATTGGTATACCTGAAAGTGACAGGGAGAATGGAACCAAGTTGGAAAACACTCTGCAGGATATTATCCAGGAGAACTTCCCCAATCTAGCAAGGCAGACCAAAATTCAGATTCAGGAAATACAGAGAATGCCACAAAGATACTCCTCGAGAAGAGCAACTCCAAGACACATAATTGTCAGGTTCACCAAAGTTGAAATGAAGGAAAAAATGATAAGGGCAGCCAGAGAGAAAGGTCGGGTTACCCACAAAGGGAAGCCCATCAGACTAATAGTGGGTCTTTTGGCAGAAACTCTACAAGCCAGAAGAGAGTGGGGGCCAATATCCGACATTCTTAAAGAAAAGATTTTCAACCCAGAATTTGATATCCAGCCAAACTAAGCTTCATAAGTGAAGGAGAAATAAAATCCTTTACAGACAAGCAAAGGCTGAGAGATTTTGTCACCACTAAGCCTGCCCTAAAAGAGATCCTGAAGGAAGCACTAAACATGGAAAGGAAAAACCGGTACCAGCCTCTGCAAAATTATGCCAAATTGTAAAGACCATCGAGACTAGGAAGAAACTGCATCAACTAACGAGCAAAATAACCAGCTAACATCAAAACGACAGGATCAAATTCACACTTGACAATATTAACTTTAAATGTAAACGGACTAAATGCTCCAATTAAAAGACACAGACTGGCAAATTGGATAAAGAGTCAAGACTCATCACTGTGCTGTATTCAGGAAACCCATCTCAAGTGTAGAGACACACATAAGCTCAAAATAAAAGGATGGAGGAAGATCTACCAAGCAAATGGAAAACAAAAAAAGGCAAGGGTTGCAATTCTAGTCTCTGATAAAACAGACTTTAAACCAACAAAGATCAAAAGAGACAAAGAAGGCCATTACATAATGGTCAAGGGATCAATTCAACAAGAACAGCTAACTATCCTAAATATATATGCACCCAATACAGGAGCACCCAGTTTCATAAAGCAAGTCCTGAGTGACCTACAAAGAGACTTAGACTCCCACACAAAAATAATGGGAGACTTTAACACCCCACTGTCAACACTAAACAGATCAACAAGACAGAAAGTTAACAAGGATACCCAGGAATTGAACTCAGCTCTGCACCAAGTGGACCTAATAGACATCTACAGAACTCTCTACCCCAAATCAACAGAATATACATTATTTTCAACACCGCACCACACTTATTCCAAAATTGACCACATAGTTGTAAGTAAAGCTCTCCACAGCAAATGTAAAAGAACAGAAATTATAACAAACTGTCTCTCAGACCACAGTGCAAAGAAACTAGAACTCAGGTTTAAGAAACACACTCAAAACCACTCAACTACATGGAAACTAAACAACCTGCTCCTGAATGACTACTGGGTACATAACAAAAAGAAGGCAGAAATAAAGATGTTCTTTGAAACCAATGAGAACAAAGACACAACATACCAGAATCTCTGGGACACATTTAAAGCAGTGTGTAGAGGGAAATTTATAGCACTAAATGCCCACAAGAGAAAGCAGGAAAGATCCAAAATTGACACCTTAACATCGCAATTAAAAGAACTAGAGAAGCAAGAGCAAACACATTCAAAAGCTAGCAGAAGGCAAGAAATACCTAAAATCAGAGCAGAACTGGAGGAAATAGAGACACAATAAACCCTTCAAAAACTTAATGAATCCAGGATCTGGTTTTTTGAAAGGATCAACAAAATTGATAGACCGCTAGCAAGACTAATAAAGAAGAAAAGAGAGAAGAATCAAATAGACACAATAAAAAGTGATAAAGGGGATATCACCACCATCCCCCAGAAATATAAACTACCATCAGAGAATACTATAAACACCTCTATGCAAATAAACTAGAAAATCTAGAAGAAATGGATAAATTCCTGGACACATACACCCTCCCAAGACTAAACCAGGAAGAAGTTGAATCTCTGAATAGACCAATAACAGGCTCGAAATTGTGGCAATAATCAATAGCTTACCAACCAAAAAGAGTCCAGGACCGGATGGATTCACAACCGAATTCCACCAGAGGTACAAGGAGGAG
The DNA here is from genome assembly GCF_000001405.40 of Homo sapiens. Lineage (NCBI taxonomy): Eukaryota > Metazoa > Chordata > Mammalia > Primates > Hominidae > Homo > Homo sapiens. The sequence goes on from NC_000004.12 coordinate 52,449,887, forward strand.
CTGGTACCCTTCCTTCTGAAACTATTCCAATCGATAGAAAAAGAGGGAAACCTCCCTAACTCATTTTATGAGGCCAGCATCATCGTGATACCAAAGCCTGGCAGAGACACAACCAAAAAAGAATGTTTTAGACCAATATCCTTGATGAACATTGATGCAAAAAACCTCAATAAAATACTGGCAAACCAAATCCAGCAGCACATCAAAAAGCTTATCCACCATGATCAAGTGGGTTTCATCCCTGGGATGCAAGGCTGGTTCAATGTATGCAAATCAATAACTGTACTCCAGCATATAAACAGAACCAAAGACAAAACCCACATGATTATGTCAATAGATGCAGAAAAGGCATTTGACAAAATTCTACAACGCTTCATGCTAAAAACTCTCAATAAATTAGGTATTGATGGAACATATCTCAAAATAATAAGAGCTATCTATGACAAACCCATGGCCAATATCATACTGAATGGGCAAAAACTGGAAGCATTCCCTTTGAAAATTGGCACAAGACAGGGATGCCCTCTCTCACCACTCCTATTCAACATAGTGTTGGAAGTTCTGGCCAGGGCAATTAGGCAGAAGAAGTAAATAAAGGGTATTCAATTAGGAAAAGAGAAAGTCAAATCGTCCGTGTTTGCAGATGACATGATTGTGTATCTAGAAAACCCATCGTCTCAGCCCAAAATCTCCTTAAGCTGGTAAGCTACTTCAGCAAAGTCTCAGGATACAAAATCAATGTACAAAAATCACAAGCATTCTTATATACCAATAACAGACAAACAGAGAGCCAAACCATGAGTGAACTCCCATTCACTATTGCTTCAAGGGAATAAAATACCTAGGAATCCAACTTACAAGGGATGTGCAGGACCTCTTCAAGGAGAACTACAAACCACTGCTCAAGGAAATAAAAGAGGATACAAACAAATGGAAGAACATTCCATGCTCATGGGTAGGAAGAATCAATATCGTGAAAATGGCCATACTGCCCAAGATAATTTATAGATTCAATGCCATCCCCATCAAGCTACCAATGACTTTCTTCACAGAATTGGAAAAAACTACTTTAAAGTTCATATGGAACTAAAAAAGAGCCCTCATTGCCAAGTCAATCCTAAGGCAAAAGAACAAAGCTGGAGGCATCATGCTACCTGACTTCAAACTATACTACAAGGCTATAGTAACCAAAACAGCATGGTACTGGTATCAAAACAGAGATATAGATCAATAGGACAGAACAGAGCCCTCAGAAATAATGCCACATATCTACAACTATCTGATCTTTGACAAACCTGAGAAAAATCAGCAATGGGTAAAGGAATCCCTATTTAATAAATGGTGCTGGGAAACCTGGCTAGCCTTATGTAGAAAGCTGAAACTAGATCCCTTTCTTACACCTTATAATTGAAAAATTATAATTGAAAAATTAATTCAAGATGGATTAAAGACTTAAATGTTAGATCTAAAGCCATAAAAACCCTAGAAGAAAACCTAGGCATTACCATTCAGGACATAGCCATGGGCAAGGACTTCATGTCTAAAACACTAAAAGCAATGGCAACAAAAGCCAAAATTGACAAATGGGATCTAATTAAACTAAAGAGCTTCTGCACAGCAAAAGAAACTACCATCAGAGTGAACAGGCAACCTACAGAATGGGAGAAAATTTTCACAACCTACTCATCTGACAAAGGGTTAATATCTAGAATCTATAATGAACTCAAACAAATTTACAGGAAAAAAACAAACAACTCCATCAACAAGTGGGCAAAGGACATGAGCAGACATTTCTCAAAAGAAGACATTTATGCAGCCAAAAAACACATGAAAAAATGCTCATCATCACTGGCCATCAGAGAAATGCAAATCAAAACCACAATGAGATAACATCTCACACCAGTTAGAATGGCAATCATTAAAAAGTCAGGAAACAACAGGTGCTGGAGAGGATGTGGAGAAATAAGAACAATTTTACACTGTTGGTGGGACTGTAAACTAATTCAACCATTGTGGAAGTCAGTGTGGCAATTCCTCAGGGATCTAGAATTTGAAATACCATTTGATCCAGCCATCCCATTACTGGGTATATACTCAAAGGACTATAAATTATGCTGCTATAAAAACACATGCACATATATGTTTATTGCGGCACTATTCACAATAGCAAAGACTTGGAACCAACCCAAATGTCCAACAATGATAGACTGGATTAAGAAAATGTGGCACATATACATCACGGAATACTATGCAGCCATAAAAAATGATGAGTTCTTGTCCTTTGTAGGGACATGGATAAAATTGGAAGTCATCATTCTCAGTACTATCGCAAGAACAAGAAACCAAACACTGCATATTCTCACTCATAGGTGGGAATTGAACAATGAGAGCACATGGACACAGGAAGGGGAACATCACACTCTGAGGACTGTTGTGGGGTGGGGGGGGGGGAGGGATAGCATTAGGAGATATACCTAATGCTAAATGACAAGTTAATGGGTGCAGCACACCAACAAGGCACATGTATACATATGTAACTAACCTGCACACTGTGCACATGTACCCTAAAACTTAAAGTATAATAATAATTAAAAAAAATTTTAAAAAAAAGAATGTTGAATATTGGCCTGGACTCTCTTCTGGCTTGTAGAGTTTCTGCCAAGAGACCCACTGTTAGTCTGATGGGCTTCCGTTTGTGGGTAACCTGACCTTTCTCTCTGGCTGCCCTTAACATTTTTTCCTTCATTTCAACTTCGGTGAATCTGACAATTATATGTCTTGGAGTTGCTCTTCTCGAGGAGTATCTTTGTGGTGTTCTCTGTATTTCCTGAATTTCAATGTTGGCCTGCCTTGCTAGATTGGGGAAGTTCCCCTGGATAATATCCTGCAGAGTGTTTTCCAACTTGGTTCCATTCTCCCCATCACTTTCAGGTACACCAATCAGATGTAGATTAGGTCTTTTCACATAGTCCCATGTTTCCTGGAGGCTTTGTTCATTTCTTTTTATTCTTTTTTCTCTAAACTTCTCTTCTCACTTCATTTCATTCATTTGATCTTCCATCACTGATACCCCTTCTTCCAGTTGATCGAATCAGCTACTGAGGCTTGTGCATTCATCATGTAGTTTTTGTGCCATGGTTTTCAGCTCTGTCAGGTCCTTTAAGGACTTCTCTGCATTGGTTATTCTACTTAGCCATTCGTCTAAACTTTTTTCAAGGTTTTTAACTTCTTTGCCATGGGTTCGAACTTCCTCCTTTAGCTTGGAGTAGTTTGATCATCTGAAGCCTTCTCTCAACTCATCAAAATCATTCTCCATCTAGCTTGTTCTGTTGCTGGTGAGGAACTGCATTCCTTTGGAGGAGGAGGCTCTCTGATTTTTAGAGTTTTCACTTTTCCTGTTCTGTTTTATCCCCATCTTTGTGGTTTTATCTACCTTTGGTCTTTGATGATGCTGATGTACAGATGGGGTTTTGGTGTGGATGTCCTTTCTGTTTGTTAGTTTTCCTTCTAACAGTCAAGGCCCTCAGCTCCAGATCTGTTGGAATTTGCCAGAGGTCCACTCCAGACCCTGTTTGCCTGGGTATCAGCAGCGGAGGCTGCAGAACAGCTGATATTGGTGAACAGCAAATGTTGCTCCCTGATTGTTCCGCTGGAATTTTTGTCTCAGAGGAGTACCCGGCCATGTGAGGTGTCAGTCTGCCCCTACTGAGGGGTGCCTCCCAATTAGGCTACTCAACGGTCAGGGACCCACTTGAGGAGACAGTCTGTCCATTCTCAGATCTCCAGGTGTGTGCTGGGAGAACCACTGCTCTCTTCAAAGCTGTCAGACAGGGACATTTAAGTGCCACTATAAACATACATATCATGTGTCTTTATAGTAGCATGATTTATAATCCTTTGGGTATATACCCAGCAATGGGATGGCCGGATCAAATTGTATTTCTAGTTCTAGATCCTTGAGGAATCGCCACACTGTCTTGCACAATGGTCAAACTATTTTACACTCCCACCAACAGTGTAAAACCATTCCTACTTCTCCACGTATTCTCCAGCATCTGTTGTTTCCTGACTTTTTAATGATCGCCATTCTATCTGGCATGAGATGGTATCTAATTGTGGTTTTGATTTGCATTTCTCTGATGACCAGTGATGATGAGCATTTTTTCATGTGTCTGTTGGCTGCATAAATGTCTTCTTTTGAGAAGTGTCTGTTCATATCCTTTGCCCACTTTTTGATGGGGTTGTTTCTTTTCTTGTAAATTTGTGTAAGTTATTTATAGATTCTGGATATTAGCCCTTTGTCAGATAGGTAGATTGTAACAACTTTCTCCCTTTCTGTAGGTTGCCTATTCACTCTGATGGTAGTTTCTTTAGCTGTGAAGAAGCTCTTTAGTTTAATTACATCCCATTTGTCAATTTTGGCTTTTGTTGCCATTGCTTTTGGTGTTTTAGTCATGAAGTCTTTGCCCATGCCTATAGCCTGAATGGTATTGCCTAGGTTTTCTTCTAGGGTTTTTATGGTTTTAGGTCTAACATTTAAGTCTTTAATCCATCTTGAATTAATTTTTGTATAAGGTGTAAGGAAGGGATCCAGTTTCAGCTTTCTACTTAAGGCTAGCCAGTCTCCCCAGCACCATTATTAAACAGGGAATCCTTTCCCAATTTCTTGTTTTTGTCAGGCTTGTCAAAGATCAGATGGTTGTAGATGTGTGGTGTTACTTCTGAGGCCTCTGTTCTCTTCCATTGGTCTATATATCTGTTTTGGTACAGGTACCATGCTGTTTTGGTGACTGTAGCCTTGTAGTATAGCTTGAAGTCAGGTAGCATGATGCCTCCAGCTTTGTTCTTTTTTCTTAGGATTGTCTTGGCAATGCAGGCCCTTTTTTGGTTCCATACAAACTTTAAAATAGTCTATTGAGATAATCATGTGGTTTTTGTCATCAGTTCTGTTTATGTGATGGATTATGTTTATTGATTTGCATATGTTCAATCAGCCTTGCATCCCAGGGATGAAGCTGACTTGATCATGGTGAATAAACTTTTTGTTGTGCTACTGGATTCAGTTAGCCAGTATTTTATTGAGGATTTTCACATTCATGTTCATCAGGGATATCGGTCTAAAATTCTCTTTTATTGTTGTGTCTCTGCCAGGCTTTGGTATCAGGATAACGCTGGCCTTGTAAAATGAGTTAGGGAGGATTCCCTCTTTTTCTATTGATTGGAATAGTTTCAGAAATAATGGTACCAGCTCCTCTTTGTACCTCTGGTGGAATTTGGCTGTGAATCCATCTGGTCCTGGACTTTTTTGGGTTGGTAGGCTATTAATTATTGCCTCTATTTCAGAGCCTATTATTGGTCTATTCAGAGATTCAACTTCTTCGTGGTTTAGTCTTGGGAGGGTGTATGTGTCCAGGAATTTATCCATTTCGTCTAGATTTTCTAGTTTATTTGCATAGTGGTGTTTATAATATTCTCTGATGGTAGTTTGTATTTCTGTGTGATCGGTGGTGATATCCCCTTTATCATTTTTTACTGTGTCTATTTGATTCTTCTCTCTTTTCTTCTTTTTAGCCTTGAGAGTAGTCTATCAATTTTATTGATCTTTTCCAAAAGCCAGCTCCTGGATTCATTGATTTTTTTAAAAGATTTTTTTGTGTCTCTATTTCCTTCAGTTCTGTTCTGATCTTAATTATTTCTTGCCTTCTGCTAGCTTTTGAATTTGTTTGCTCTTGCTTCTCTAGTTCTTTCAATTGTGATGTTAGGGTGTTGATTTTAGATCTTTCCTCCTTTCTCTTGTGGGCACTTAGTGCTATAAATTTCCCCTACACACTGCTTTAAATGTGTCCCAGAGATTCTCGTACATTGTGTCTTTGTTCTCATTGGTTTCAAAGAACATCTTTATTTCTGCCGTCATTTCATTATGTACCCAGTAGTCATTCAGGAGCAGGTTGTTCAGTTTCCATGTAGTTGTGCAGTTTTAAGTGAGTTTCTTTATCCTGAGCTGACATTTGATTGTGCTGTGGTCTGAGAGACAGTTTGTTATAATTTCTGTTCTTTTACATTTGCTGAGGAGTGCTTTACTTCCAACTATGTGGTCAATTTTGGAATAAGTGTGATGTGGTGCTAAGAAGAATGTATATTCTGTTGATTTGGGGTGGAGAGTTCTGTAGATGTCTATTAGGTCTGCTTGGTGCAGAGCTGAGTTCAGGTGCTGGATATCCTTGTTAACCTTCTGTCTCATTGATCTATCTGATATTGACAGTGGGGTGTTAAATCTCTGATTATTATTGTGTGGGAGTCTAAGTCTTTTTGTAGGTCTCTAAGGACTGGTTGTATGAGTCTGGATGCTCCTGTATTGGGTGCATATATTTTTAGGATAGTTAGCACTTCTTGTTGAATTGATCCTTTTACCTCATGTAATGGCCTTTGTCGCTTTCGATCTTTGTTGGTTTAAAGTCTGTTTTATCAGAGACTAGGATTGTAACCCCTGCCTTTTTTTGCTTTCCATTTGCGTGGTAGATCTTCCTCCATCCCTTTCTTTTGAGTCTATGTGTGTCTTTGCTTGTGAGATAGCTCTCCTGAATACAGTACACTGATGGGTCTTGACTCTTTATCCAATTTGCCAGTCTGTGTCTTTTAATTGGGGCATTTAGCTCATTTACATTTAAAGCTAATATTGTTATGCAAGAATTTGATCCTGTCATTATGATGTTAGGTGTTTTGTTTGCCTGTTAGTTTATGCAGTTTCTTCCTAGCCTCAATGGTCTTTACAATTTGGCATGTTTTTGCAGTGGCTGGTACCAGTTTTTCCTTTCCATGTTTAGTGCTTCCTTCAGGAGCTCTTGTAAGGCAGGCCTGCTGGTGACAAAATCTCTCAGTATTTGCTTGTCTGTGAAGGATTTTATTTCTCCTTCACTTATGAAGCTTAGTTTGGCTGGATATTTAATTCTGGGTTGAAAATTCTATTCTTTAAGAATGTTGAATATTCACCCCCACTCTCTTCTGGCTTGTAGAGTTTCTGCTGAGAGATCAGCTGTTAGTCTGATGGGCTTTCCTTTGTTGGTAACCCAACCTTTCTCTCTGGCTGCCCTTAACATTTCTTCCTTCATTTCAACTTTGGTGAATCTGATAATTATGTGTCTTGGGGTTGCTCTTCTCGAGGAGTATCTTTATGGTGTTCTCTGTATTTCCTGAATTTGCATGTTGGCCTGCCTTTCTAGGTTGGGGAAGTTCTCCTGGATAATATCCCACAGAGTGTTTTGCAACTTGGTTCCATTCTCCCTGTCACTTTCAGGTACACCAATCAAATGTAGATTTGGTCTTTTCACATAGTCCCATATTTCTTGGAGGGTTTTTTCAATTCTTTTTACTCCTTTTTCTCTAAACTTGTTTTCTTGCTTTATTTCATTAATTTGATCTTCAATCACTGATATATTTCCTTGCACTTGATTGAATCAGCTATTGAACCTTCTGCATGCTTCATGTAGTTCTCATTCCATGGTTTTCAGCTCCATTAGGTCATTTAAGGTCTTCTCTACACTGTTTATTCTAGTTAGCCATTCTTCTAACCTTTATCAAGGTTTTATCTTCCTTGTGATAGGTTCGAACATCCTCCTTTAGCTCAGAGAATTTTGTTATTACCAACCTTCTGAAGCCTACTTCTGTCAGCTTGTCAAAGTCATTCTCCATCCAGCTTTGTTCCATTGCTGGTGAGGAGCTGCGACCCTTTGGAGGAGGAGAAGAGGAGCTCTGATTTTTAGAATTTTCAGCTTTTCTCCTCTGGTTTCTCCCCATCTTTGTGGATTTATCTACATTTGGTCTTTGATGTTGGTGACCTACAGATGGGGTTTTGATGTGGATGTGGATGTCCTTTTTGTTGATCTTGTTGCTATTCCTTTCTGTTTGTTAGTTTTCCTTCTAACAGTCAGGTCCCTCAACTGCAGGTCTGTTGGAGTTTGCTGGAGTTCCACAGCCTTGGTACCACCAGCCAAGGCTGCAGGGCAGCAAATATTGCAGAACAGCAAATATTGCTTCCTGATCCTTTCTCTGGAAGTTTCATCCCAGAGGGGCACCCGTGTGTGTGAGGTGTCAGTGGGCCCCTACTGGGAGATGTCTCCCAGTTAGGCCACATGGGGTTCAGGGACCCACTTGAGGAGGCAGTCTGTTCTCTGAGCTCAAACGCCATGCTGGGAGAACCACTGCTCTCTTCAGAGCTGTCAGACAGGGATGTTTAAGTCTCCAGAAATTTCTGCTGCCTTTTGTTCAGCTATGCCCAGCCCCCAGAGATGGAATCTACAGAGGCAGCCAGCCTTGCTGAGCTGAGGTGAGCTCCCCCCAGTTCAAGCTTCCCTGGCTGTTTTGCTTACCTACTCAAGCCTCATCAATGGAGGACGCCCCTCCCCTGCTGCTGCCTTGCACGTTGATCTCAGACTGCTGCCCAAGCAGTGAGCAAGGCTCCGTGGGTGTGGAACTCATGGACCTGGGCATGGGATATAATCTCCTGGTGTGTCATTTGCTAAGACCATTGGAAAAGCACAGTATTTGGATGGGAGTGTCCCATTTTTCCAGGTACTGTCTGTCATGGCTTCCCTTGGCTAGGAAAGGGAAATCCCCCATCCCCTTGCACTTCCTAGGTGAGTCGACACCCCGCCCTGATTTGGCTCACCCTCCGTGGGCTGCACCCACTGTCCAACCAGTCCCAATGAGACAAACCAGGTACCTCAGTTGGAAATGCATAAATCACCCATCTTCTGCTCAATCATGCTGGGAGCTGAAGACCAGAGCTGTTCCTATTTGGCCATCTTTAGTTTACATTTTTAATGTATCTTTCTTATCTTATTACACTGGCTAAGGTGTCCACTATAATATTAGATAGAAATGGTGAAAGGAGGCAATCTTACCTTGTTCCCAGTCTCTAAGGGAAATCATTTAGCTTTTCACTATTAAATATGATGTTAGCTGAGTTTTCCATAGATGCTCTTTATCAATTTACCAATGAATGCATGTTGAATTATGAAAAAAATATGCATCTACTAAAACAATCTTTTTTTTTCTTTTTCAGTGTGTTAACATAATAAGGTAAGGGCAGTTCCAAGATGGCCAAATAGGAACAGCTCCAGTCTACAGCTCCCAGCATGAGTGATGCAGAAGATGGGTGATTTCTGCATTTCCAACTAAGGTACTGGGTTCATCTCAATGGGGCTTGTCAGACAGTGGGTGCAGAACAGTTGGTGCAGTGCACCAAGCATGAGCTGAAACATGGTGAGGCATCACCTCACCCAGGAAGCACAAGGGATCAGGGAATTCCCTTTCATAGCCAAGCAAAGCTGTGACAGATGGCACCTGGAAAATTGGGTCACTCCCACCCTAATATTGTGCTTTTCCAATGGTCTTAGCAAATGGCACACCAGGAGATTATATCCCGCGCATGACTGGGAGGCTCCCATGCCCATGGAGCCTCGCTCATTGCTAGCACAGCAGTCTCAGATTGAACTGCAAGGTGGCAGCAAGGCTGGGGGAGGGGCACCCGCCATTGCTGAGGCTTGAGTAGGTAAACAAAGTGTCCAGGAAGCTCAAACTGGGTGGAGCACACCACAGATCGAGGAGGCATGCCCACCTCTGTAGACTCCACTGGTTGAGGCAGGGCATAGCCGAACAAAAGGCAGCAGAAACCTCTGCAGACTTAAATGTCCCTGTCTGACAGCTTTGAAGGGAGTAGTGGTTCTCTCAGCACGGAGTTTGAGATCTGAAAATGGACAGACTGCTTCCTCAAGTGGGTCCCTGACACCCAAGTAGCCTATCTGGGAGGCACCCCCCAGTAGGGGCAGACTGACACCTCACACAGCTGGTGGAGGTTTCTGAGATGAAATCTCCAGAGGAACGATCAGACAGTAACATTTGCTGTTTAGCAAATTCACTGTTCTGCAGCCTCTGCTGCTGATACCCAGGCAAACAGGGTCTGGAGTGGACCTCCAGCAAGCTCCAACAGACCTGCAGCTGAGGGTCCTGACTGTTAAAAGGAAAATTAACAAACAGAAAGGACATCCACACCAAAACCCCATCTGTACATCACCATCATCAAAGACCAAAGGTAGATAAAACCACAAAGATGGGGATAAAACAGAACAGGAAAACTGAAAATTCTAAAAATCAGAGCACCTCTCTTCCTCCAAATGAATGCAGCTCCTCACAAGCAATGGAACAAAGCTGGGTGGAGAATGACTTTGATGAGCTGAGACAAGAAGGCTTCAGGCGATCAAACTTCTCCGAGCCAAAGGAGGAAGTTTGAACCTATCACAAAGAAATTAAAAACCTTGAAAAAAGATTAGACAAATGGCTAACTAAAATAACCAGTGCAGAGAAGTCCTTAAAGGACCTGATGGAGCTGAAAACCATGGCACGAGAACCACGTGATGAATGCACAAGCTTCAGTAGCCGATTCGATCAACTGGAAGAAAGGGTATCAGTGATGGAAGATCAAATGAAAGAAATGAAGCAAGAAGAGAAGTTTAGAGAAAAAAGAATAAAAACATATGAACAAAGCCTCCATGAAATATGGGACTAGTTGAAAAGACCAAATCTACATCTGATTGGCAAACCTGAAGGTAATGGGGAGAATGGAACCAAATCGGAAAACACTCTGGAGGATATTATCCAGGGGAACTTCTCCAATCTAGCAAGGCAGGCCAACATTCAAATTCAGTAGATACAGAGAACGCCCCAAAGATACTCCTCAAGAAGAGCAACTCTAAGATACATAATTGTCAGATTCACCAAAGTTGAAATGAAGGAAAAAATGTTAAGGGCAGCCAGAGGGCTGCCCACAAAGGGAACTTCATCAGACTAACAGCGGATCTCTTGGCAGAAATTCTACAAGCCAGAAGAGAGTGAGAGCCAATATTCAACATTCTTAAAGAAAAGAAATTCATCCCAGAATTTCATATCCAGCCAAACTAAGTTTCATAAGTGAAGGAGAAATAAAATCCTTTATAGACAAGCAAATGCTGAGAGATTTTGTCACCAGCAGGCCCGCCCTAAAAGAGCTCCTGAAGGAAGCACTAAACATGGAAAGGAGCAACCAGTACCAGCCACTGCAAAAACATGCCAAATTGTAAAGACCATTGAGGCTAGGAAGAAACTGCATCAACGAACAAGCAAAATAACCAGCTAACATCATAGTGATGTTATGATGTTCACTACAAATTCACACATAACAATATTAACCTTAAATGTAAAGGGGCTAAATGCTGCAATTAAAAGACCCAGACTGACAAATTGGATAGTCAAGACCCATCAGTATTCTGTATTCAGGAAACCCATCTCACGTGCAGAGACACACATAGGCTCAAAATAAAGGGATAGAGGAAGATCTACCAAGCAAACGGAAAACAAAAAAAAGCAGGGGTTGCAATCCTAGGCTCTGATAAAACAGACTTTAAACCAACAAAGATCAAAAGAGACAAAGAAGGCCATTATATAATGGTAAAGAGATCAATTCAACAAGAAGAGCTAACTATCCTAAATATATATGCACCCAATACAGGAGCACCCAGATTCATAAAGCAAGTCCTTAGAAACCTACAAAGATACTTAGACACCCACACAATAATAATGGGAGACTTCAACACCCCATTGTCAACATTAGACAAATCAATGAGACAGAAAGTTAACAAGAATATCCAGGAATTGAATTCAGCTCTGCACCAAGCGGACCTAATAGACATCTACAGAACTCTCCACCCCAAATCAACAGAATATACATTTTTTTTTTCAGCACAACGCTGCACCTATTCCAAAATTGACCACATACTTGGAAGTAAAGCACACCTCAGCAAATGTAAAAGAACAGAAATTATAACAAACTGTCTCTCAGACCACAGTGCCATCAAACTAGAACTCAGGATTAAGAAACTCACTCAAAACCACTCAACTACATGGAAACTGAACAACCTGCTCCTGAATGACTACTGGGTACATAATGAAATGAAGACAGAAATAAAGATGTTCTTGAAACCAATGAGAACAAAGACACAACATACCAGAATCTCTGGGACACATTTAAAGCAGTGTGTAGAGGGAAATTTATAGCACTAAATGCCCACAAGAGAAAGCGGGAAAGATCTAAAATTAACACCCTAACATCACAATTAAAAGAACTAGAGAAGCAAGAGCAAACACATACAAAAGCTAGCAGAAAGCCAGAAATAACTAAGATCAGAGCAGAACTGAAGGAAATAGAGACACAAAAACCCTTCAAAAAATCAATGAATCCAGGAGCTGCTTTTTTTTGAAAAGATCAACAAAATTTGATGGACCACTAGCAAGACAAATAAAGAAGAAAACAGAGAAGAATCAAATAGATGCAATAAAAAATGATAAAGGGGATATCACCACCGATCTCACAGAAATACAAACTACCATCAGAGAATATTATAAACATCTCTATGAAAATAAACTAGAAAATCTAGAAGAAATGGATAAATTCCTGGACATATACACCCTCCCAAGACTAAACCATAAAGAAGTTGAATCTCTGAATAGACCAATAACAGGCTCTGAAATTGTGGCAATAATTAATAGCTTACCAATCAAAAAAGGTCCAGAACCAGATGGATTCACAGCTGAATTCTACCAGAAGTACAAGGAGGAGCTGGCACCATTCCTTCTGAAACTATTCCAATCAATAGAAAAAGAGGGAATCCTCCTTAACTCATTTTATGAGGCCAGCATCATTGTGATACCAAAGCCTGGCAGAGACACAACCAAAAAAGACAATTTTAGACCAATGTCCCTGATGAACATCGACGCAAAAATCCTCAATAAAATACTGGCAAACCAAATCCAGCAGCACATCTAAAAGCTTGTCCACCATGATCAAGTGGCCTTCATCCCTGGGATGCAAGGCTGGTTCAATATACACAAATCAATAAACATAATCCAGCATATAAACAGAACCAAAGACAAAAACCACATGATTATCTCAATAGATGCAGAAAATGCCTTTGGAAAAATTCAACAGCCGTGGATGCAAAAAAACTCTCAATAAATTAGGTATTGATGGGATGTATCTCAAAATAATAAGAGCTATCTATGACAAATGCACAGCCAATATCATACTGAATGGGCAAAAACTGGAAGCATTCCCTTTGAAACCTGGCACAAGACAGGGATGCCCTCTCTCACCACTCCTATTCAACATAGTGTTGGAAGTTCTGGCCAGGGCAATCAGGCAGGAGAAAGAAATAAAGGGTATTCAATTAGGAAAAGAGGAAGTCAAATTGTCCCTGCTTGCAGATGACATGATTGCATATCTAGAAAATCCCATCATCTCAGCCTAAAATCTCCTTAAGCTGATAACCAACTTCAGCAAAGTCTCAGGATACAAAATCAGTGTGCAAAAATCACAAGCATTCTTATACACCAATAACAGACAAACAGAGAGCCAAATCATGAGTGAACTCCCATTCACAATTGCTTCAAAGAGAATAAAATGCCTAGGAATCCAACTTACAAGGGATGTGAAGGACCTCTTCAAGGGGAACTACAAACCACTGCTTAACAAAATAAAAGAGGACACAAACAAATGGAAGAACATTTCTTGCTCATGGATAGGAAGAATCAATATCATGAAAATGACCATACTGCCCAAGATAATTTATAGATTCAATGCCATCCCCATCAAGCTACCAATGACTTTCTTCACAGAACTGGAAAAAACTACTTTAAAGTTCATATGGAACCAAAAAAGAGCCCGCATTGCCAAGTCAATCCTAAGCTGAAAGAACAAAGCTGGAGGCATCATGCTACCTGACTTCGAACTATATTATAAGGCTACAGTCACCAAAACACATGATACTGGTACCAAACAGAGATATAAACCAATGGAACAGAACAGAGCCCTCGGAAATAATACCACACACCTACAACTATCTGATCTTTGACAAACCTGACAAAAACAAGAAACAGGGAAAGGATTCCCTATTTAATAAATGGTGCTGGGAAAACTGGCTAGCCATATGTAGAAAGCTGAAACTGGATCCTTTCCTTGCACCTTATACAAAAATTAATGCAAGATGGATTAAAGACTTAAATGTTAGACCTATAACCATAAAAACCCTAGAAGAGAACCTAGGCAATACCATTCAGGACACAGGCATGGGCAAGGACTTCATGTCTAAAACACCAAAAGCAATGGCAACAAAAGCCAAAATTGGCTCTCCCTCTCCCTCTCCCTTTCCCTCTCCCTCTCCCTCTCCCCACGGTCTCCCTCTCATGCGGAGCCGAAGCTGGACTGTACTGCTGCCATCTCGGCTCACTGCAACCTCCCTGCCTGATTCTCCTGCCTCAGCCTGCCGAGTGCCTGCGATTGCAGGCATGCGCCACCACACCTGACTGGTTTTGGTGGAGACGGGGTTTCGCTGTGTTGGCCGGGCCGGTCTCCAGCCCCTAACCGCGAGTGATCCGCCAACCTCGGCCTCCCGAGGTGCCGGGATTGCAGACGGAGTCTCGTTCACTCAGTGCTCAATGGTGCCCAGGCTGGAGTGCAGTGGCGTGATCTCGGCTCACTACAACCTACACCTCCCAGCCGCCTGCCTTGGCCTCCCAAAGTGCCGAGATTGCAGCCTCTGCCCGGCCGCCACCCTGTCTGGGAAGTGAGGAGTGTCTCTGCCTGGCCGCCCATTGTCTGGGATGTGAGGAGCCCCTCTGCCTGGCTGCCCAGTCTGGAAAGTGAGGAGCGTCTCCGCCCAGCTGCCATCCCATCTAGGAAGTGAGGAGCACCTCTTCCCAGCCGCCATCACATCTAGGAAGTGAGGAGCGTCTCTGCCCGGCCGCCCATCGTCTGAGATGTGGGGAGCGCCTCTGCCCCGCCGCCCCATCTGGGATGTGAGGAGCGCCTCTGCCCGGCCGAGACCCCGTCTGGGAGGTGACGAGCGTCTCTGCCCGGCCGCCCCGTCTGAGAAGTGAGGAGACCCTCTGCCTGGCAACCACCCCGTCTGAGAAGTGAGGAGCCCCTCCGCCCGGCAGCTGCCCCGTCTGAGAAGTGAGGAGCCTCTCCGCCCGGCAGCCACCCCATCTGGGAAGTGAGGAGCGTCTCCGCCCGGCAGCCACCCCGTCCGGGAGGGAGGTGGGGGGGGTCAGCCCCCCGCCCGGCCAGCCGCCCCATCCGGGAGGGAGGTGGGGGTCAGCCCCCCCGCCCGGCCAGCCGTGCCATCCGGGGGGGGGCGTCAGCCCCCCGCCTGGCCAGCCGTGCCGTCCGGGAGGTGAGGGGCGCCTCTGCCCGGCCGCCCCTACTGGGAAGTGAGGAGCCCCTCAGCCCGGCCAGCCACCCCGTCCGGGAGGGAGATGGGGGGGTCAGCCCCCCCACCCGGCCAGCCGCCCCGTCCGGGAGGGAGGTGGGGGGGTCAGCCCCCCGCCCGGCCAGCCGCCCTGTCTGGGAGGGAGGTGGGGGGGTCAGCCCTCTGCCCGGCCAGCCGCCCCGTCTGGGAGGTGAGGGGCGCCTCTGCCCGGCCTCCCCTACTGGGAAGTGAGGAGCCCCTCTGCCCGGCCAGCCGCCCCGTCCGGGAGGGAGGTGGGGGAGTCGGCCCCCCACCCGGCCAGCCGCCCCGTCCGGGAGGGAGGTGGGGGGGTCGGCCCCCCGCCTGGCCAGCAACCCCGCCCGGGAGGAAGGTGGGGGTGTCGGCCCCCCGCCCGGCCAGCCGCTCCGTCCAGGAGGGAGGTGGGGGGGGTCAGCCCCCCCGCCCGGCCAGCCGCCCCATCCGGGAGGTGAGGGGCGCCTCTGCCCGGCCGCCCCTACTGGGAAGTGAGGAGCCCCTCTGTCCGGCCAGCCGCCCCGTCCGGGAGGGAGGTGGGGGCGTCAGCCCCCTGCCCGGCCAGCCGCCCCGTCCGGGAGGGAGGTGGGGGGGGGTCAGCCCCCCAGCCCGGCCAGCCGCCCCGTCCGGGAGGTGAGGGGCGCCTCTGCCCGGCCGCCCCTACTGGGAAGTGAGGAGCCCCTCTGCCCGGCCAGCCGCCCCGTCCGGGAGGGAGGTGGGGGGGTCAGCCCCCCGTCCGGCCAGCCGCCCCGTCCAGGAGGGAGGTGGGGGGGGTCAGCCCCCCTGCCCGGCCAGCCGCCCCATCCGGGAGGTGAGGGGCGCCTCTGCCCGGCCGCCCCTACTGGGAAGTGAGGAGCCCCTCTGCCCGGCCACCACCCCGTCTGGGAGGTGTGCCCAACAGCTCATTGAGAACGGGCCAGGATGACAATGGCGGCTTTGTGGAATAGAAAGGCGGGAAAGGTGGGGAAAAGATCGAGAAATCGGATGGTTGCCATGTCTGTGTAGAAAGAAGTAGACATGGGAGACTTTTCATTTTGTTCTGCACTAAGAAAAATTCCTCTGCCTTGGGATCCTGTTGATCTGTGACCTTACCCCCAACCCTGTGCTCTCTGAAACATGTGCTGTGTCCACTCAGGGTTAAAATGATTAAGGGCGGTGCAAGATGTGCTTTGTTAAACAGATGCTTGAAGGCAGCATGCTCGTTAAGAGTCATCACCAATCCCTAATCTCAAGTAATCAGGGACACAAACACTGCGGAAGGCCACAGGGTCCTCTGCCTAGGAAAACCAGAGACCTTTGTTCACTTGTTTATCTGCTGACCTTCCCTCCACTATTGTCCCATGACCCTGCCAAATCCCCCTCTGTGAGAAACACCCAAGAATTATCAATAAAAAAATAAATTAAAAAAAAAAAAAAATTAGTGCCTTCCTGGAAGAAGTTGCAAAAAAAAAAAAAAAGGCAAAATATCTCAATAAACGTTTCAACAAAGAAGATAAACAAATGGTTTAATATGCACATGAAAAGATGCTCAATATCCTTAGTCACGAGGGAAATGCAAAACGAAACCACAAGTAGATACTGCTTCACAACTTAACTAGAATGGCTGTCATCAAAAACAAAGGCCGGGTGTGGTTAGTGCCTCAAGCCTATAATCCCAGCACTTTGGGAGGCTGAGGAGGGAGGATCATTTGAGCCCAGTTCAAAACCAGGCAGGGCAGCACAACCGGACCTTCTCTTTGCCAAAAAAAAAAAAAAAAAAAAAAAAAAAAAAAAAAAAAAGCCCATTTGGTGGCCTGCACCTGAAGGCGGGATTGCTTGAACCTAGGCAGTCACGGTGGCAGTGACCTATGATTTTGCCATTAAACTCCAACCCCTGTGACAGAGCCAGACTCTTATCAAAAATTAATTAAAAATAAAAAACTCAAAAAAAAAAAAAAAAGCCAAAATTGACAAATGGGATGTAATTAAATTAAAGAGCTTCTGCACAGCAAAAGAAACTACCATAAGAGTGAAAAGGCAGCCTACAGAATGGGAGAAAATTTTTGCAACCTACTCATCTGACAAAGGGCTAATATCCAGAATCTACAATGATCTCAAACAAATTTACAAGAAAAAAACAAACAACCCCATCAACAAGTGGGCAAAGGATATGCACAGACACTTCTCAAAAGAAGACATTTATGCAGCCAACAGACACATGAAAAAATGCTCATCATCACTGGCCATCAGAGAAATGCAAATCAAAACCACAATGAGATATCATCTCACACCAGTTAGAATGGCAATCATTAAAAAGTCAGGAAACAACAGGTGCTAGAGAGGATATGGAGAAATAGGAACACTTTTACACTGTTGGTGGGACTGTAAACTAGTTCAACCACTGTGGAAGTCAGTGTGGCAATCCCTCAGGGATCTAGAACTAGAAATACCATTTGACCCAGCCTTCCCATTACTGGGTATATACCCAAAGGAAAATAAATCATGCTGCTATGAAGACACATGCACACGTATGTTTATTGTGGCACTACTAACAATAGCAAAGACTTGGAACCAACCCAAATGTCAAACAATGATAGACTGGATTAAGAAAATGTGGCACATATACACCATGGAATACTATGCAGGCGTAAAAAAGGATGAGTTCATGTCCTTTGTAGGGACATGGATGAAGCTGAAAACCATCATTCTCAGCAAACTATCACAAGGACAAAAAACCAGACACCACATGTTCTCACTCATAGGTGGGAATTGAACAATGAGAACACTTGGACACAGGAAGGGGAACATCGCACATCAGGGCCTGTTGTAGGGGGGGTAGAGGGGAGAGATGGCATTCGGAGATATACCTAATGTAAATGATGAGTCAATGGGTGTAGCACACCGACATGGCACATATATACATACGTAACAAACCTACACATTATGCACATGTACCCTAGAACTTAAAGTATAATAAAAATATATGTATATATATTTTAAAAACCCATCAAACATCAGAGAGTTTTTTTTCTAAATGCTGCAGAATTAAAGTCATGTATTAATGCATTTTACTGATGATTCCCAAGGACCTACAACTATACCAGACATACAGTAGGTGCTCAAAAATATTTATCAAACAAACTAATGAATGATTTCTGAAAATAAAACATAATAAGGTAAGTTACATTGATTGATTTTAGAATGTTGAACCAGCCTTACATTTCTGGGATAACCCTCTTCCCTTTGGTAGTAATATACTTTTAATATATAGCTGGATTTGCACCATTAATATTTTACTGGAGGTTTTTGTGCCTGTGTTGCTATGTTTATGAGGGTTATTGAAATGTTCCATTGATGTATTTTTCTATTCTTTCACCAATATCATACTCTCTTGACTACTGTGGCTTTACAGGAAGTCTTAAAATCAGGTATTTTGCATCCTCCAACATTTTTCTTCTCTTTAAAAAATTATTTTAGCTATTCTAATTACTTTATGTTTCATATAAACACTCCTCTTCCTTTTCTTCCTCCTTCTTTTTATTCTTCTATTCTATTTCCCTAATTTTGCATGCAAGTTATGTTGGTCTTGTAAGATGAGTAGAGATCATGTAAAACTGGCATTATTTCCTCCTTATGTATTTGGTAGAACTCACAAGTAAAGACACTTAGGTTTGAAATTCTCCCTGCTGGAAGGTTTTTAACTATAAATTCTGTTTCTTGGATACGGATAAAAGTACTCAAGTTTTCCATTTCTTTTTGTATAAACTTTAGCAACTTGTGTATTTCAAATAATTGGTCTATTTAATCTAAAGTCTTAAATTTATCAGCATAGTTGTTTATTGTATTCCCTTGTTGTATTTTTAATGTCTGTGGCATCTATTGAGATATCTCCTTTTTTGTTTCTGATACCTGTAATTCTTGTGTTTTTTTTTTTTTCCTCTCTCTCTCTCTCACCTCATTCCGGATATTACTGGTCTTTTCAATGAACAAGCTTTCGGTTTTGATTATTTTTTCCATTATTTTTCTGTTTTAAATTTCATTGATTTCTGCTCTTTATTGCTTCCTTCTTTCTACATACTTTGGGTTTAACTCTTTCTAGCTTCTTAAGGTATAATACTATATTTTGATTTCAGACCTTCTTGTCTAATATGAGCATTTAATGTTCCATATTTTCCTATAAGCATTGCCTTGGTTGCATCCCACAAATTTTGGTATGTTCAAAATGTTTTAAAATTTTCCTTGGATAATTTTTATTTATCTATTTTCACGTTTCTCATCTCCTCTGGTATCTCCATTCCGCTATTCAATAATTCCAGGGAACTTTTTTTTCAGTTGTTGTAATTTGAGGTCTAAAATCCTCATTTGGTTATTTCTTTTAGTTTTTGCTTATTTGCTGAAAACTTGTATCTTTCCCTTCATTTCAAGAGTATGTGCCCTTACTTCATGGAACATAGCTATTATAATTGCTTTAAAGTCTTTGTCTGATAATTCCAACATCTGGATCATCTGGGGTTGCAATCTGTTGATTCTTACTTTCTTGTGAGAATTACTGAGATTTTTCTGGTTCTTTGTATGTTGAGTAATTTCAGATTATATCCTAGACATTTTAAATTTTGTTTTGAGTCTCTGACTCTAGTTTAAATGCTCTGGAAAATGTCTATTTTTATTTTTGTAATCAATCTGATTAGGTTGGAGTGCAAGTTCTCATCCACCTTTTGCATGTTTCTGTTTCAATGTCAGTTTTTATTTTTCAAAACATTTGCTTTGATATTTGGGTCTGCACCATGGGAGCACCACCCAGGTATAGGATATAGGAGGCATTCTACACGTAGTTCAGTTCTCCAAGCCTTTGCTGTGCTGCTTCAGATCTGTTTTATGCATGTGCAACTCAGTGGTGAGTTTAAGATTTGATACACAGATTCAAGGGATTTCTTTGTCAATTCCTTTCTTTCTGTGATATT
Organism: Homo sapiens; assembly: GCF_000001405.40. NCBI lineage: Eukaryota > Metazoa > Chordata > Mammalia > Primates > Hominidae > Homo > Homo sapiens. The sequence continues at coordinate 52,470,135 of NC_000004.12, forward strand.
TCCCCCACACTTTCCAGAACCCAGAGTCCCTTTTCCCAGTACTATAACTTAAAAACTGGGTTTTTATCCTCCCTGCACTGTTACACACATCAAGGACTGAGTTCACCTTAAGGGCAGGGCAACAAGACCACAGGGTCCACTGATCGGAGAAAAAGTCTTTCAGAGAGTTAGGTGCCTTTACGGCCTCGGCCGCTACTGCAGAAGTCAGCTTCATGACTGGGGCTTGCCTCAAAGCAGGACTCAGAGAATAAAAAGAGAGAAAATGAAGAGAGGAGGTATTTCTACTGAACAATTTGTCCTGTAAGAAACCCACTTCCTGCTTTATTTCCTCTGTCCAAAAAGTAAGCGTTTTTCTTGGAGCTTTTTCTATTCACAACTGCTGCAGACTTCCAGCATTCAGGCTGCTCTTGAGTATAAACCGGAAGATATGGCAGAGTTTTTTTAAAGGTGGGGGAGCAGGAGGGGTGGGCGGTGGGCATGGTGGCTCATGCCTGAAATCCCAGCACTTTGGGATGTTGAGGTGGGAGGATTGCTTGAAGTTCGAAAACAGCTTCGGTAACAAAGTGAGACCCTCATCTCTACTTTTTTAAAATAAAAATTAAAATTAAAATAATGGGAAACTTGCTCCTGTATCAGTCATGATCTTCAAGCTTTTATTTCCCTCCTCAATATGCCTACTATTACTCTTCAAAGTTCTCAGATAGTTGCTTTATATATTCTGTCTAGTTTTTAGTTGTAATCAAAGAGATTGGCAGACTGTGCTTAATCTCTCACAAGCGCTAAGAATTAATTTTGTCTACTTTCATTTTATTCACCAACTTTAGAATCTAAATCTTAAGATTTTTACTCTCTTTGTTTTCTGAATCTCTTGCCATAGCAACTTTGATCAAAGTGTCTTCAGATTTTGGAAGTTGCCCTTGCTCATATGAAAGCACTTAAAGCTGTAAAGGGACTCACAAATTATAGGAACATTGTGTCATGTTACCTGTGTTTGATTTGGTGTGAGAAGAACTTGGGTCAGGTCCAGTTCTGCCCTTATCAGCTAGAAGATCTTGAGTAAGTTATCAAACCCCTCTGAACTGCAGTTTCCCCATCTTTAAAATAAAGATCATCATACAAAACTCACAGGTTTGTTGTAAGAATTAAATCAGACATTAGGGGTGCTAAGTCTGCCTATACGAGGTACTCAATAAATAGTAACTATTTTTATCATTAGGAACAGTTTGTATTGCTGATGTTTATTTGATCAATTTTGGTCAAAGGATACTTTGCTTTATAGCCTTGTTTCAGTGTTATGGTAACAGTAATCATTAGACCTCGATCAAGATAATTGCAAACTATGGATGAGATCAGTCAGAAGTATCTCAGTAATGAATATCCATAGGGGATTTCTTTGCTTGTACAGTAGCACCCTTCATCCTTCGTTTCACCTTCTTTGGTTTCAGTTACCTGTGGTCAACCACATTCTGAAAATATTACATACAGTAAGACATTTTGAGAGAGAGACTATAGTCACATATTATAGTATATTATTATAATTATCCTATTTTATTTTTAGTTATTGTTGTTAATCTCTTACTATGCCCATTATAAATTAAACATCATCATAGGTATATATGTATAGGAAAAAAACATGGTATATATAGGGTTCTGCACTATCTACAGTTTCAGGCATTCAATGGGGATCTTGGAATGTATTCCCCATGGATAAGTGAATACTATTTTTACTCTTGGTAAAAATAGTATATTTTTCGAAGAGGTGCGATTACAGAAGATGGCAGTGCCCCGATGACCAGAAAAAACCAGCACCTTCTGGAGAAACATTTAGCAGGGATCTGACAATACAGAAAAGAAGAATCGAAGTGGTTGTAGAAACACAAAGAAGAGTATAAGAGTAGAGTGATATATTCTGTCTTTGGTAGAAAACTTTTCCTCCAGTACCTTTTTTTTGTTAACTGTAGCTTCAACTCATGTATTTCTTTGTTTCTTGAAATATCCAATTCTCTTCTATTCATCAATCCTCATTATAAATTCAAAACCGTGTCACTGCCTGGAATTTCTTTGTTGAAATGGAGGTCGCATTTTTAATAATCCAGCTTCCTTGGGGGCCTCTGATTATCTTTTTCCATATGCTAATTAACGGTCATAACTTTTTTTGTTCTTTTCTGATTTTCTATCACCTTTGTCACATCTGGCAGGTTATAACTTGCTTCAAGATTTGCTTCTTGATTTTTTTCTTCTTGCTAGCTCTCTTGTTTATGAGCTTATAATGCTTGCCTGGGACTTTTTAATTGCATTCTATTTGAATACAAATGGCTTCTGAACTTTTTATTCTTCACATTTCTGGAATGATAATAAGTAACAGAGTCAAATTTAACTAAGGAAGAAGAATATCGAAAGTTTGCTAGAGCAGAACACAGAATAATACAGCAATTCATTAGTTTCAACACCCACACTAGAAACCTCACTAGTGATCATTCTTTTCCATTCTGTTGCCATCACTCCTGCATTCACAATGTCTGCTGCTATTTCAAAAGTGCCAAAATACAGTGATGATTTTTTCCACAGGGCAATGTAGGATGGAAAATGAGCTGGCCATTATTAAAGGGAAAGTATCAGCTATACTGAATATGAAATTCCACATCAACCAATAATCAAGTGTCTATTAAGTGCCTACTGTATACCTAACAATGAATGAAAATGACATATGTCAAAAGCTCTTTCTTTCTCTATTCCACCTCCTTTGATACTCTCTGGTGGTCTTTAGTGCTCTCCCTCTATACCCTCCCGTTCCCCTCACTCTAATCAGCAATTTTTATCCCAAATATTCTTTCTTGAAAGACATAAACCTTAAAAGCTTCACAGGTTTGACTTAACAGCCCCTCAGATCATGTGGGTGCAAAAAATACTGACAGTCTGCTATAGACTGAATGTTTGTGCACCCTTAAAATTCATAGGTTCATAGGTTGAATCCTAACCTCCAAGATGATGGTATTAGGAGGTGAAGCCTTTGAAAGGTAATTAGATCATAAAAGTGGAGCCCTCATGAGTGGGATTAGTGCCCTTACAAAGAAGTGCCAGAGAGCTCCATTGCCCCTTCTCCTATGTGAAGACACGACAAGAAGACAACCATCTTTGAACTAGGAAGTGGCTCCTCACCAAATACTGAATCTGCTGACACCTTGATCTAGACCCGTAGCCTCCAGAACTTTAAAAATATATGTTTGTAACTTAAACCACCAAGTCTATGGTATTTTTGTTATAGCAGCCCAAATGGACTGAGACACAGTCCAAAGGAGTGGGTAACAGGAGCACCCACTATTATAAATGTGGCAATGCCACTTGGGTTTGGGAGGGTTCCTGCTGAAATGGCCCAGGAGTAGAGATGAATTGTGAAGGGAGGTAGAGTGGGGCTCTTCTGTTGTGGCTGAGGACTCTGGAAATCTGCCATTAAGAACTGCTTATTTGATTAATTTTATTTTTTAAAAAGGAATCTGGTTATGATGATGGACAGGGAGAATGGACATCTGAGAAGGGGCCTACATTAGCAAAATAATCCAAGCTGTGGTCTGGATTTATAGCTTCCTTTTGTACTTCTAAGATTTTAAAACTCTTCTAGTCGGCTAAGGAAAAATCTATCTTAAAATTATAATTCTGTGTCAAAAGTGAATTCCTAATGAAGTTAATAAAAATAAATTTCTACATAACTAGCTGACAAAAGCTGAACTAAGAATTTTTCTTCCCATCATGATGGAGTAATTCGTTCTGGACCAGCCCTTCTATTGAAAACAACTATAAAACTGAAAAAGATATATTAAATGATTATTTTCTTGAGTATAGAAAGCACAGAACTACGATCCATGAGTGAGGTGAAGCAAAGATGAGACCCACAGCCAGTGCAGATCTTTCTGGACTGTGGCATAGAGAGGGAGACTCTTCATGGTGATTGGCCACCTTGGTGAGCTGAGAGACAGAGATTAGAACTCAGATACTAAGTTCGCTGGGATTGGTGGGGCCGCCTCCACTACAGAGTGCTGTCTCCTCCATTGTCACAGGCTTTCTGGAGTGGCTCCCATGTAAGGACTGAGCAGGGCAAGGTGTGAAGGCTGTACCTGACTCTGCTACTTACTCCAGAGTACCCTGCTGGGTTGGCCCACATTCATTGGGCCTTCACTGAAGTTTATTTTCTGCCTTTCCCAAACTTCTTTCCTCTCCCTTCATAGCTGTTGATCCCTAGAAAACATCTTTCACCCCTAAACTCTACCTCAGCCTTTGCTTGCAGAGAATCCAACTTGCTGTACTGGTTCTGCTATACTGAATTCTATCAAACGTTGAAGGAGAAAATAATAACCATTTTATACACACCCAGAAAACAGAGGAGGAAAGAATACTCCTAACTCATATTATACAGACAGAATAACCTAATACCAACATCTGACAAGGACATTACAAGAAAACTAAAGATAATATCCTTTATAAACATAGATATAAAAAAGGTTTAACAAAATAATTAGTAAAACAAATCCAACAATTTATAAAAAGGAAAATATTGTATGTCATGACAAATGTGGTTTCTACTAGGAATGCAAGATAGAATTATCTGAAAATCAATCAGTGTAATTTACTACATTAACAAAATAAAAGAGGAAAGTAATACGATTATCTCAATGGATGCAGAAAAGGCATTTAACAAATTTCAACTTTCCTTTATGATTAGAAACTCTCAACAAAATGAGTATAGAAAGAAATATTCTCAATTTGATAAAGGGCACCTATGAAAACTCTACAGATAATGTGGTACTTAATGGTGAAAAAATGAATACTTTCTTCCTAAAGTCAGGAATGAGGCAAGGATACCTAATATCACTACCTCTATTCAACATCATACTGAATGTTCTAGCCAGTGGTACAGGCAACAAAAATAAATAAAAGGCAAAATGTCCAGAAAGACTAAAGTATAATTGTCTTTATTCATATACAACATGTTTGAATGTGTAGAAAATCCTATAAATGTATAAAAATGCTAAAATAACTAAGTGAATTTAGCAAGTCTGTAGGATGTAAGTTCAATAACTTTAAATCAAATTTATCTATTTATACTAGCAACAAAAATTGGAAGATAAATATTAAAACAATACCATTTATAATAACATATAAGAAAACAAAAATACATGAGGATAGATGTAATAAAAAACACATTATCTCTATATTGAAAACCGAGAGAAATTAGAAAAGACTGAAATAACTAGTAAGTTTTCATATGTTCATGGATTGGAAGATTTGACACTCTTAAGATCTTATTTCTCTCCAAGTTGATCTATAGATTGAAAACAATCTCAATCAGAATCCCAGAAGGTTTTTTGTAGTAATTGATGAGATGATTCTAAAATTTATATAGAAATACTAAAAACATAGAATAGCCAGAGCACTGTTGAAAAAGTAGATCAAAGTTTGAGGACTTACTCTACATGATTTTATGGCTTACTCTAAAGCTACAGAAACCAAGACAATAGGGCATTGGTGAAAGGCTAAACACATAGATCAATATGGATTAATGGAATGGTATAGAGAGTCCAGAAATAGACATATATGGCCAATGGATTTTCATTAAGTTGTCAAGGAAATTCAGTGAGGAAGTGATAGTAGGTGGTTTTGGAACAATTGGATATTATATATCATGTGTGGAAAAGAAATCTCAACTTTTGATTGGTACAAATTTCTACTTTTAACTCATACTATGCAGAAAAATTAACTTCAAATGCATCATGGACTTACACTTGAAAGCTAACACTCTTAAACCTTTGAAAAAAAAAAAAACCAGGGATGTTTTCACAACCTTGGAATGAAAAAAATAGCATAGACAAAACACCAAAACTACAAACCATTAAAAAAATTGATAAACTAGACTTGCATCAAAATTTAAATTTCCTTCTCTTTGAAAGACATCATTAAGAAAATTTAAAAAGCAAGTTACACACTGGGAGAAAATCGCAATAAATCTGTAACATCTGACAAAGAAATTATTTAAAGAACCCCAAGAATTCAGTATTTTAAAAGGCAGACAATGCAGTTTTTTAAAAGGACAAAATACTTAAACAGACACTTCACAAGGGAATGGGAAAATGGTCAGGAAACAAGTTAAAAGGTACTTGACATTATTAATGATAAGGGAAATGCAAATTAAAACCACGAGATACCACTTCATGTGCACTAGGATGGCTATAATCAAACACACAATGACAAGTATTGGTGAGAATGTGGAGAAATTGGAACCTTAACACATTGATGATGGGAATGTAAAATGATGTAGCCACTAGGAAAAATAGTTTAACAGTCCTTCAAATGTTAAACATACAGTTATTATATGACCCAGAAATTCTACTACTGGATATATACCCAAGAAAATTGAAAATACATGCCCACACAAAAACTTGTACACTAATGTTATTTTAAATATCCAAAAAGTGGAAACAATTCAAATCATCAATTCATCAATTGGTGAATCGATAAATAAAATGTGGTATAGCCATACAATGGAAGGCAATGTAGCCATAAAAAAAAATTATCCTCTGATACATGCTGCAACATGGATGAACCTTGAAGATATTATAATTTGTATGATTTTGTTATTCTAGCAATTCATACACTAAAAGCCCTGACTTCATCACCACACAATATATCCATGTAACAAAATTACACTTATACCCCACAAATTTATACAAATAAAACATTCTTAGAGGAAATATTGTGTTAAGTGAAAGAAGCTAGTCACAAAAGGTCACATATTGTAAGATACCATTTCTGTGAGAAGTCCAGAATAGGCAAATCCATATAGACAGAAAGTTGGTTATTGATTTCCAGAGACTAGGGAGAGAGGGAAATGGAAATCCATGCTAATAAGTAAGGGACTTATTTTGGGGGTGATTAAGATTTTCTGGAATTAGAGAGTAGTGATTGTTTCACAACATTGTAAATATACTAAAACCCATTAAATTGTACACTTTAAATAAACTATTTGGTATTTTAATTATATCTTAAAAAGGTTGAGTTTTTGATAGTACAAAAATAAAATAATTGGTACAAATTTCTAAGTCATTATCAGATTTTACATTATCTCCTTCCTAAAAGCCATTGCTGACTTGACCTAATTTTTGATACAGAAAAATATTGTCATTGTATGCATAGAAGTTATGATTCATCTCAGTTCTGTTTCAGAGATACTAACAGCTCTCTCCTTCCACCCCCACACAAGCGAGAACAGGGCACCGTATTACTTACATAAACTCTGCCACAGCAAGAGGCTAATTTATTTCTGAGCTTTGACAAATCAAATCTGGAGTCTGGTCTGCTTAATGCAGAGGGCTTACAGTGTTCCTCTGTTCTAACACTGTGTTTTCACTTTGGTAATGTTGGCATTTGCTTATGGAATTCAATCACCAATTCAGCTACGAGACAGATTTTAAAGGATGTTTTGTTCCAGTACTGACCATTAAAATAGCAAGATGGGTTTGTTTTTCACATCTTTCCATCACTTTAGCCTAGAAAAAAAACTTCCTATGAAAAGTGAATTTGTATTTTACAGTTTCTATGGAGATTGTACAAATAATAGGAAGCCTAACATCAACTATGCTTGAGAAGCAGTATGCGAATGTACCTTTTGGTAAAACATGGTGCATTTCCATCTGTAATGTGACCTGCAAGACAAGGAAACATTCTATGGAGCAAAGATTAGACTGATTATTAGAAGATCTAGATCTAGTCCTGAATTTGTGGCCACCTAACTTGTAGGAGCTACTTAATGGCTCTGGGCCCCAATTCTACCATCTGTTACTTATAGGGACTAAATCAGTGGCTTCCAGTTTATTTGTTTTTTAACTCGCATATTAGTCAGGTGGATTGTCCAGAGAAACAGAACCAACAGGGTATAAATGTGTGAGGCTGGGGGGTTGGGAGCAATAGTGAGGGCGAGAGAGAGAGAAAGATTTATTAGACTTGTTATAAGACATCAGCTCATGTGATTATGGAGGTTGATAAGTCCCAAGATCTGCAGTCAGCAAGCTGCCCCTCCAGGAGAGCCAATGGTATAGTTCCAGTCCCAAGGCCAGCGGACTTGAGACCCAAGAAGAACCAACGTCTCAGTTTGAGTCAAGAGGCAGGAAAAGACCAATGCCCCAGCTCAAGGCAGTCAGGCAGGAGGCGTTTTCCTCTTAGTGAAAGGAGAATCAGCCTTTTTGTTCTATTTAGGTCTTCAATGATTGGATGAGGCCCATCCACATTAGAGAGGACAATCTAGCCAGTCTACCTGTTCAAATGTTCATTTCATCGAAAGCACCCTCATAGACACAATCAAAGTAATCTTGACCAAATGTCTGGGTACCCTGTGACCCAGTCACGTTGACACAAAAAATTACCCATTACAACTTGGGAACCCTTACTTTAAATGGCATCTTGCTCAGAAGTCACGTCAGTGAAACAAATGCAGGAGACGCTACACTTATTGAAGATTTAATGTAGGGTCACCCCGGCACCTCCTCCTTATCCCTGTAGTGATCCCAAAGATAGATGCAGAGAAAGGGGCAGGCCAGCCACATGCCCAAGTGCCAGTCTCTAAGAGAGCACTGGAAGCCTAAAACATCATAGGTAAGGTACTCAGTTGTACTCCGTTGAACAGAAGCTGCTGGTTTTGCATCAGTAGCCATCTTTCTGTCTTCCACAGTGATTTTTTTAGTGATTTGTTTTGAGCATAAGGCCACTCTGAATAAAGACAATATTCTCTAGGCACCTTTGTGACTGAGTGTGGGCGGGTGCTGGCCAAAGGGATGAGAATAAAGTAATGTATGCAACTCTAGGTCCTGCCTGCCCCTAAAGGAAAGAGCATACCTACTCCTTCCTCTTTCCCTATTGCCACTGGCTGGAATACAAACATGATGGTAAGTCATCTTGGGCCATATGGATGACATCACCACCACACAACAAGAGAGTAGGAGCCTGGGCCCCCAGTGATCTTGCAGTACAAAGCTGCTATACCAGCACAGACCTTTATGTGAAAGAGAAATACATTATTTCATTTATGCCATTGTTATTTTGTCTCTGTTATATGGCGTTGAATTTATATCCTAACCAAAAATATGGTTCTATCAGAATTTTTCTATGAGAGAATAATATGTGTGTTTAGAAGGAATATTTTGGTAAGCTACTTAGAGTATAGAACTGAGGTTCTTAATAAAGAGTATGATTTATAAAGGCATTTTATATCTATCTGTGAGCTAACCACATTGGGTCATTCCTAAACTATTTGGTTGAAAAGAGGGAAGTCTAATAATGACCATCAGTCATCCATCCTCCCACATACAGAACAGAGTTCAGTGTCTTCTCCAAATAATGTTAAACAAATGTTTTAAAAACATCATTATGAAAAGGTGCTAAAGTATTATGCTCAAAGTGACTATGTGTCCTCATTTAATCCTATCTTGAGGGTCAGCCATATGGATTTTGTTAGAGTCCCTGTTAAAAACCACTGGAGGAGATGGTTCCTGTGTTCTCTTTCAACATCATCATTCTCTGGTATATTCTCCCTAAATAATAATGTTCAAGGCCCACAGCATTGTTTAAATATAAGAAGCAATTATGTCATCCCATTTAAGCAACATAGACACACATTTTCTTGAAAGAGTTTTCTATAGTCATTGTCTCATCAGATATTTTTCTTAACCCAGTCCAATCAGGCTTGCATTTTGCTATTTTTATGTACCTTCTCTTACAAACTCACCAGTGACTTCCATCTTGGAAAACTGAAAAAATTGAAAAAGGTTATCAGTACTCATCTTATGGTATTTCTCAGTAGAATTTGACATAATCATTCTGTCCTCTTTGAAACACTTTCTTTTTTATTATTATTATTATACTTTAAGTTTTACGGTACATGTGCACAATGTGCAGGTTAGTTACATATGTATACATGTGCCATGCAGGTGTGCTGCACCAATTAACTCGTCATTTAGCATTAGGTATATCTCCTAATGCTATCCCTCCCCACTCCCCCCACCCCACAACAGTCCCCAGAGTGTGATGTTCCCCTTCCTGTGTCCATGTGTTCTCATTGTTCAATTCCCATCTATGAGTGAGAACATGCGGTGTTTGGTTTTTTGCCCTTGCAATAGTTTACTGAGAATGATGATTCCCAATTTCATCCATGTCCCTACAAAGGACACGAACTCATAATTTTTTATGGCCGCATAGTATTCCATGGTGTATATATGCCACATTTTCTTAATGCAGTCTATCATTGTTGGACATTTGGCTTGGTTCCAAGTCTTTGCTATTGTGAATAGTGCCGCAATAAGATGCAGAAAAGGCCTTTGACAAAATTCAACAACCCCTCATCCTAAAAACTCTCAATAAACTAGGTATTGATGGAATGTATCTCAAAATAATAAGAGCTATCTATGACAAACCCACAGCCAATACCATACTGAATGGGCAAAAACTGGAAGCATTCCCTTTGAAAACTGGCACAAGACAAGGATGCCCTCTCTCACCACTCCTATTCAACATAGTGTTGGAAGTTCTGGCCAGGGCAATTAGGCAGAAGAAGGAAATAAAGGGTATTCAATTAGGAAAAGAGAAAGTCAAATTGTCCCTGTTTGCACATGACATGATTGTATATCTAGAAAACCCCATTGTCTCAGCCCAAAATCTCCTTAAGCTGATAAGCAACTTCAGCAAAGTCTCAGGATACAAAATCAATGTACAAAAATCACAAGCATTCCTATACACCAACAACAGACAAACAGAGAGCCAAATCATGAGTGAACTCCCATTCACTATTGCTTCAAAGAGAATAAAATACCTAGGAATCCAGCTTACAAGGGATATGAAGGACCTCTTCAAGGAGAACTACAAACCACTGCTCAATGAAATAAAAGAGGATACAAACAAATGGAAGAACATTCCATGCTCGTGGGTAGGAAGAATCAATATTGTGAAAATGGCCATACTGCCCAAGGTAATTTATAGATTCAATGCCCTCCCCATCAAGCTACCAATGACTTTCTTCACAGAATTGGAAAAAACTACTTTAAAGTTCATATGGAACCAAAAAAGAGCCTGCATCACCAAGTCAATCCTAAGCCAAAAGAATAAAGCTGGAGGCATCAGGCTACCTGACTTCAAACTATACTACAAGGCTACAGTAACCAAAACAGCATGGTACTGGTATCAAAACAGAGATATAGATCAATGGAACAGAACAGAGCCCTCAGAAATAATGCCACATATCTACAACTATCTGATCTTTGACAAACCTGAGAAAAACAAGCAATGGGGAAAGGATTCCCTATTTAATAAGTGGTGCTGGGAAAACTGGCTAGCCATATGTAGAAAGCTGAAACTTTCCTTATACCTTATACAAAAATTAATTCAAGATGGATTAAAGACTTAAACGTTACACCTAAAACCATAAAAACCCTAGAAGAAAACCGAGGCATTGCCATTCAGGACATAGCCATGGGCAAGGACTTCATGTCTAAAACACCAAAAGCAATGGCAACAAAAGTCAAAATTGACAAATGGGATCTAATTAAACTAAAGAGCTTCTGCACAGCAAAAGAAAGTACCATCAGAGTGAATCAGGCAACCTACAAAATGGGAGAAAATTTTCACAAACTATTCATCTGACAAAGGGCTAATATCCAAAATCTACAATGAACTCAAACAAATTTACAAGAAAAAAACAAACAACCCCATCAAAAAGTGGGCAAAGGATATGAACAGACACTTCTGAAAAGAAGACATTTATGCAGCCAAAAGACACATGAAAAAATGCTCATCATCACTGGCCATCAGAGAAATGCAAATCAAAACCACAATGAGATACCATCTCACACCAGTTAGAATGGCAATCATTAAAAAGTCAGGAAACAACAGGTGCTGGAGAGGATGTGGAGAAATAGGAACACTTTTACACTGTTGGTGTTACTGTAAACTAGTTCAACCATTGTGGAAGTCAGTGTGGCGATTCCTCAGGGATCTAGAACTAGAAATACCATTTGACCCAGCCATCCCATTACTGGGTATATACCCAAAGGACTATAAATCATGCTGCTATAAAGAAACACTTTCTTAATTTGACTTCTATATTCTCCCAGTTTCACTCCTATTTCCTTAGTTGATTAATCTTAATGTTCTTTACTGATTTATCTTTATTGTCCCAAATTCTAAGAGTTGGCATGGCTTTTCAAGCCTCTGACCTCAGATGTCATCTCTATTTTCAATACCTAAGGGATTGTTCAGTCCTTTGGATTTAAATACTGTCTATATACTAATGACTTTCAAAATGTAACCCCAGTACCAACCTCTCCCTTGAGCTCCAGATTCACATATCCAACTTACATATCACTCTGATATCTCCACTTTGATATCTAACAGGAATTCCAAGGATAATATATCTAAAACTAAATCTTACCAATTTATTTCAAATTTAAATATTGAATATATTTTACCTACAGTAAAATGCATAGATTTTTAAGTGTAAATTTTAATGAATTTTAATAAATGCATATACCTGTCCATTGATGATATCAACATGTGGGACATTTCTATCACTCCAGAAAATTTCCACATGTCCTTTTTCAGCTAACCTCCTTCCCCTCACCCCTACAGAAGTAATCACTGTTCTGATTACTTTTACTAAGGATTGGTTTTACTTATTCTGACAATTACTGAGAAACAGGTGTTAAAATCTTCAACCGTAGTTTGTGTGTTTTTTTATTTATTTAGACTTGGCTTCATGTAGTTTGAAATTCTGTTATGAAGCACCTACACATTTAGTATTTATATGCCTTCTGATGCAGATCCTTTCATCATTATCTGTATTTTGGTCCCCAACTGGGTTAGAGTTGCAGTAGTCTAGTCTAGTCTAGTAGTGTAGCCTACTTTAAGTGCAAAGTGCATATGTTTTCAACCCTACTCCACTTCTCAATATTTTAGACAGGGAATATACTATTTCTCCAATTTGGTGATGTTTTCCTATATTTCAAAACAAGCCTAAATTAAATGCATCCCTTTTCACATTAGCAGAATATATTACAATAACTCTCCTGGAGTTATAATAGTTTATTATCCTCCTTTGCCTGCTCTGTGAAAATATGCTATACTTTTGTTGGGAACATGCAGAAAAGGCCCACAGAAATCCAGCCACGTGGATCTAATGTTTTGTCAGTTTCAATAGAGTCTGTTTATTGTCTTAGTCACAGTAATTATGGAACAACAGCTTTTAACAATTTCAGTGGAGGAGGTGTATTGTTTTGGCCTTTTAGTTTCTGCCTGTTTCTTCAGTGATAAGAAAGACAAATTAGGCTTACAATTAAGCTAGAACTCTACTTCATTTGGAAAGTTCACATATCCCAGCCAAACCAACAGCCTTATGTTTAATTACAGAGCTAAGAAGCCAAAGGGCTTGCCACTCTTGTTTGCAACTCTGAAATTTACAGCTAACATTGGTGCAATGCCACAGTGAGTATAACTGTAGAAATATTTGTGTGACATTAACGCTATGCACCCTCATATTCTCCATTAGGGTAGAGAGTCCAAGTGTGTTTAAAATGCAAATACACATGACATTTAGTTGTTTTGGTAGGTCAATGATTCAAGCACTGAAATTAAATTTTCTTGACAGAAGTGGCCTCATTAATGATCTGATTGATCCCAGCTTTTTCCCCTTCTTCCATCCTTTGTCACCTCTCCACTCCCAACAATAAGCCAAGCATCATCAAAATCCTAAAATTTTAACTTCTCTTTCTAAAAGGGATCAGTTTATGCAAGCAAGCAAAGGCCATCCTTTTAAAATTTTTATAGAGTTGCTTCTGAACATCTGCTATGGTTCAAATGTTTGTCCCCTCCAAAACTCATGTTGAAATGTGGTTGCATTGTGGTAGTGGGAACCTTGTGAGGAGATTGGGCCGTGAGAGCTCCCCTCATGGTGGGATTAATGCTGCTATAAAAGGCCAGGTTTGGCCTCTTTTGCCTTCTTTCCTTTCTGCTTTCTGCCACATGAGGACACAGCAAGAATGCCCTCATCAGATGCTGGTACCTTGACCTTGGACTTCCCAGACTCCAGAGTTGTGAGAAAATACATTCCTGTTCATTACAAATTATCCAGTATGTGGTATTCCATGATAGCAGCACAAAACAGACTAAAACAACATCCTATACACAAAAACTCTAGTATCTGCTCATTAAGCTAGAAAATCTTGAATATTTATTGCAAATAAACAAAGGACAAAGGATGGGAAGAGGAAAAGAAGGAGAAAGAAGGAAAAGGAAGAGACTGAGGAGAAATAGACAGAGAAGGAAGAAGAGGACAAAAAAGGACTAGACAGTCAGCCTCTGATAAGCCAAATGGAATAGTGAATATAGCCTGCTAATATTTCCTGTTTCTTCCCCTCTTCACCAAGTTAATTCCTTGCCATCTCTTAGCTCTGAGTGTAATTATTACTGCCACAGGGAAACCTTCCCTGACCTTTCTGCCCAGGTCAAATTTTTCATTACAGATTCCCTTGACATTATATACCTCTTTTTCTTTGCATTTCGCCTAGTGGTGATTTCAATTTTGTACTATTTGATTAATGCTTCCCTCCCAAGTAAATTGTAAGTTCTTCCAAGGCAGCAACCATTTCTGGTTTTTCTCACCATTGTATGTCCTGTTCTTAGCACAACATGTTCCACAGAGGAGAAAGTCAATTAATATTTATTGAATGAATCTACTAAATAATCAATAAAAGCACATGTGAGAATTGGAGCAAAGAAAAATACTTTTGCTCCTCTCCTGAGAAATACTGTCCCTAGCTTAGTGGTGCTAAAGTATTTTGGTTGTAACACCCTTTACACTCTTAAAACTATTGAAGATTACATGAATGTTTATAGCAATTGTGAAAAAATTGAAAGCATCCAAGATATCCTTCAATAGGTGGAGGGATAAGTAAATTGTGATATATTCATACAATAAAATATTATTCAATGATAAAAAGAAATTAATTATTGATCCATGAAAAGATAGAGGAAACTTAAATGCATATTTCTATGTAAAAGAAGCCAGTCCCAAAAGACTACTTGCTGTATGATTCCAACTATGTAACATCTGGAAAAGACAAAACTATAGAGACTGTAAAAAGATCAATGGTTGCCAGGGGTTTAGGGGAAGAGAGGAATACATGGGAAGAACGCAGGGAATTTTTAGGGCAGTGAGACTATTTTATACAATACTATAATGTTGGATACATGTCATCATATGTTTGTAAAAATCCATAAAATGTACGACACAAAAGCAAACTCTAATGTAAATTATGTGCTTTGTCAGATAATGTATCAGTGCTGTTTCACTGATTGTAACAAATGTGTCATACTGATGTAAGATGATGATAGCAGGGAAGGCTGGGATGAGGGAGATGAGGAATATATAGGAAGTCTCTGTACTTTCTACTCAATTTTTCTGGAAACCAAAAACTGATCTTAAAAATAATTTATATCAGGAGGCTGAGGCAGGAGAATTACTTGAACCTGGGAGGTGGAGGTTGCAGTGAGCCGAGATCACGTCACTGCACTCCAGCCAGGCAACAGAGTAAGACTCTGTCACAAAAAATAATAATAATAATAATTTATATCAATTTTTTAAAAGCCTATTGAAGATCTACAAAGAGATTTTGTTTATATGAGTTTGATCTATTGATGTTTACCAAATTACAAACTAAAATGAGAAATTTTTAAAATATTTATTTTTAATTCATTTAACAAATCAATGAACCCACTACATGTTAACATTAAAATGTGTTTTATTACATATAACTATATTGGAGGCATTCACTTGCAGCCAAGATGGAGTTAACAAAGATCAGATTTACCATCCCACCTGAGCTTTTTTTTTTAAGAAAAAAAAAGACAGATAAAAAATATATAAAACAACAGCTCTTGAGACATTAGACATAAGGCAATAAAAAACAGTAATCCCCAAGAGAAAAGAAACAAGTGAAGTGAGCCCTGTACTTGCATCAGCTTACTATCAGGGTCAGCTAACTTTTTTTGTAAAGGGCCAGATGGCATACATTTTAGTCTTTCTGGGCTACATAAAGATTCTAGGTAATAGAGTAAGGACAAAAAAACTCAAGTATAGAGTGTCTCTGAATTGAGGAGATGGAGTTCGGAGTTTAGGTAAACCAAGGTTCACAGGGCAAAGTACTATAGAGCAGTGGTCCCAACATTTCTGGCACTGGAAACCAGTTTTGTGGAGGAATATTTTCCCATGAACAGGGGGTTGGGGTGGGGGATGGGTTTTGGATGTGCAGTTCACAATAGGATGCACGCTCCTATGTAGAATCTAATGCTGCCGCTGATCTGACAGGAGGCAGAGCTCAGGTGGTAATGTTTGCTCGCACACCCCTCCCTCACCTCCTGCTATGTAGCCCGGTTCCTAAGAGGCCATGGATGGGTACCAGTCTGGGTCCCAGGGGTTGGGGAGCCCTGCAGAGGACAGAGTAGCATGGGAGGTTAACTTCAGAGATCTTCCGGAGGCATCTTCAAGTATTCAGATGAATACTGAGCAGCCCATGTGTGTGTGACCATCCAAGGCTAGGGGAAGAACAACTTGAAAGCATTGGAGGGGAACAGTGCCCACTGCTCACATAAGACTCAGATTACTGTCTCATTTCAACAACCAGAGCAGAAAACTGTATAACTTATGGGGCCTTGGATTGGGCACTAAGAAGGGCCTTGCCTCAGTAGTGGGGAAAATTAATGGTAGATAAAATGCTGCTCTGATCCAGCTAAACAAACCTTAAATGCAAGACCCCAAAGAATCAAACTGTTGCTAAGTAACTTCACTGCATTCCAAAACAAAGATCAAGAATATTTATAGGAATACAGAAATACATGACACCCTACAGGGCAAAATTCACACTATGTGGCATATAATAGAGAACTACCTGGAATAAGACAAAGCAGGAAAATATAATCCACAATGAGAAAAAACAGTTAATTTACATTAACCTAGAAATGACAGAATGATAGAATTTGTACAAAAGGACGATAAATATTTTCCAAATGTAAAAACTACAAACCCACAGATCCAATAAGTTCAATGAACATCAAACATAAGAAACATGAAGAAAACTACACAAAGGCATAATAATTAAACTGCTAAAAGCCACTGATAAAGAGAAAACATTTTTTAAAAACACGTAGGAAAAAAGACACATTATTTATAGAAAAACTAGATAAAGATGCCTCATCAGAGACAATGCAACCTAGAAGATAGTGGAGCAACATCTTGAAAGTACAGGAAGAGTAAATCTAGAATTCTTTGCCCAAGAAAAACATCTTTTAATAAAGAAGGCAAAATAAAACTTTTCCAAACATACAAAAGCTGAAAGAATTTATCACTAGCAGACTTGCACTATGAGAAATTTTAAGAAATTATCCTTTAAGCAGAAGGAGAATAATACCAGATGGATACTTGGATCCTCACCAAGTAAATAAATGGTACCAGAAATTCTAACTAGATAGGTAATTTTCTTATTATTTAAATCTCTTTAAAGTTAAAGAGATAATTGAAATTTAAAGTAAAATTAATATCGATATATTGTGGGATTTATGTAAATTGTAGAAGTAAATTGTATGACAATAGCAGAGAAGCCTGGAGGATCAAAATGGAGGTGTCCTGCTGCAAATTTCTTATACTGTACATCAAGTAGTATTGAAGGTAGACTATATTGTTAAAGATGAAACTCAAAAGCAACCACTTAAATAATGCAACAAAGAATTATAGTTAATGAGAAAGAAAAGGAGATAAAATGAAATCATAACAAATCCTCAATTCATCTAAAAACTGTCAAAAAAGAAGAAAAAAGGAAACAAAAATAGAAAAAATTAAAAGCAAATCACAAGATGATAGATTTAAATGAAACCATGTCAATGATCACATTCTGTATAAATAAACACACCTCAATCAGAAGGCAGAGGTTTTCAGATCAGAAAAAAACAAATAAACAAGATCCAAAGCTATGCTGTCTAAAAGAAATCTGTTTTAATTATAAAGACACAATAGAAACAGCCTAATTGATATAGAACACTCCAGCCAACAGTAGACTGCTGACACTTTTCAGGTATACATGAAACATTTACCAAGATTAATTATATTCTGGGCCATAACATAAATCTATCTAAGTTTTAAATGACTTATGTCATACAAATATGTTCTCCAACAGCAAAAAAAAAAAAGTTAGATTAGAAATTAATGAAAGTATCTAGAAAATTCCTGAAGATTTGGATACTAAATAACATGCTTCAAAATAATCCATGGGTCAAAGAAGAAATCAAAAGGGAAATAAGAAAACATTTTGAACCAAATGAAAATGAATATACATATGTCAAAATTTTGGGGTTACCACCAAACCATTCTTTAGAGGGAAACTTGTGCACTGAGAAGAAAAAAACAATTAAATAATCTTAACTTTCACCTTAGGGGAAAAAAAAACAAACTAAACAAAGCAGCAAAAGAAAGAAAATATAGACAGTTCTTAACTCACAATGGTTCAATTTAACAACTTTTTGATTTTACAATGGTGCAAAAGTAATATGCATTTAGTAGGAAGCATACTTGGAGTACTCATACAGCCATTCTATTTTTCACTTTCAGTAGAATTTTCAATAAATTTCATGAGATATTCAACACTTTATTATAAAATAGGCTGTGTGTTAGATGATTTTGCCCAGCTGTAGGCTAAGGTAAGTGTTCTGAGCATGTTTAGGGTAGGCTAGGCTAAGCCAGGATTTTAGTAGGTTGGTTGTACTCAATGCATTTTCAACTTATGATATTTTCAATTTATGATGGTCTTATCAGAATGTAATTCCATTGTAAGTGAAGGAACATCTGTAATAAAGATCAGAACAGAAGTCAGGAAACTGGAAAATGATGCCAGTTCAAATGGGTGGAAAAGGAAGCTCCAAAAGTGTGTTCCTCCATAAAAGCCACAAATAAATTGGCAAAACTGTCAGAATTAGTTTTGTCAGAACTCTGAATACTAATACAAAATTTACAGTAAACAGATGAACGTCTAATCAAAACAAACAAACACACAAACAAAAACAAAAAACCTGCCTCTACGAAAAAGAGCTTTGTGGTGCTTTAATTAACTGCAGCCCCATCTTCCACTCTCTAGCTCTGCAGCCTCCCCAGCAATGTGGGGAGAAGACAATAGCCCACATTACCAAGATAGGATCTTAGTATGAAGGGAGCAGAACAAGCCTCATTCTTAAAGAATTGTAGTTGTTTTGACCTATGTCTCCCGAATAAGTGGCTCAAAGGGCTTCTCTTTATTTCACTTAACCTGAAATTCTCCCAGAGCTAAGTCTACTCAGGGGGCATTAGTGGAAAATATTCCGAGGCAAATGTATGAGCTGCTGCCACCTGGGGCAAAAGATAAGAGTTTCGGCAAACCACTAATTACTCTGGCAGGAAAAGCCAGGGAATAAGATGCCTTGGGAAATAAGGGCTTTGAAAAGGTAGCATATATTTCTGGGAATTTAGAAGGCAACACTCATGCCCAGGAATGATGCAGTATCAACAAAGACCTGAGAACCTAATCTCTCATCTATGACTGACCCTCACACCCTGTGCAAGCCAGAAGTGAATGAAGGCAAAGGCAGAGCTGTAAACTGCCTGCCTGAGGAAGGTGTCTTCCAAAACACACACATAGCTCATCTGCAAATGCTAGATTTTTTTATTGTTGTTACTTAAGGCATTTAAGGAAATTTCTGTCAAATTTAATTTAGTTGTCTACCTGACAACTAAACTAACAAAATGGAGATTTCAGTGGCTAGATATAACAAAGAATACAGACTTTACAAAACTTGTTTGAAAAGTCACTAAACAAACAAGTGACAACTACACAAGCAACAATGAAAGAGAAAGAGAAAGGAGAAAGAAGAAAGCGAAGAAAGAAAGAAAGAAAGAAAGAAAGAAAGAAAGAAGAAAGAAAGGAAGAAGAAAGAGAAAGAAAGAGGAAAGAAAGGAAGAAGAAAGAAAGAGAAAGAAAGAAAGAAAAAGAAAGAAAGAAAAAGAAAGAAAGAGGAAGAAAGGAAGAAAGAAATAAAAGAAAGTAAAGAAGGAAGGGAAGGAAGGAAGGAAGGAAGGAAGGAAGGAAGGAAGGAAGGAAGGAAGGAAGGAAGGAAAAGAAAGTAAAGAAAGAAAGAGGAAGGAAGGGGCCAGGCGCGGTGGCTCACGCCTGTAATCCCAGCACTTTGGGAGGCTGAGGCGGGCGGTTCACGAGGTCAGGAGATCGAGACCATCCTGGCTAACACGGTGAAACCCCGTCTCTACTAAAAACACAAAAAATTAGCCGGGCATGGTGGCAGGCGCCTGTAGTCCCAGCTACTTGGGAGGCTGTGGCAGGAGAATGGTGTGAATCCAGGAGGTGGAGCCGGCAGTGAGCTGAGATCGCGCCACTGCACTCTAGCCTGGGTGACAGAGTGAGACTCCATCTCAAAAAAAAAAAAAGAAAGAAAGAGGAAGGAAGGAAGGAAGGAAGGAAGGAAGGAAGGAAGGAAGGAAGGAAGGGTGGGAGGGAGGGAAGGAAGGAAGGGAGGGAGGGAATGAGGGAGGAAGGCAGGAAGGCAGGGAGGGGAGGAGGGAAGGAGGGAGGGAGGAAGGGAAGAACTGAAGACGGGGGAGAATAAGAACTCAAATGGTAACACTACAGAGAACTGCCAAACCAGAGTAACAAACAATAAGAGAAAAAGGAAGGAACAAAAAATATATAAAACAACCAGAAAACAATTAACAATATGACAGAAACAAAACCTAATATATCAATATTAACCTTGTGTATAAATATATTATTAAGTTCTCCACTTAAAAGATATAAACTGGCTAAGTGGATTAAAAAAACTTGATCCAACGTTGCCTAAAAGAAACACACTTTACCTGTAAAAACCCAACATAAACTTAAAGAGATGAAAAAAGATACGCCACATAAACAAAAATCAAAAGCAAGAAGGAATAGCTATATTTATATCAGATAAAACAGACTTTAAACCAAAAAGAGTTTTAAAAGGCAAAGAAAGTCACTATCTATTGATGAAAGGATCAATCCAGCAAAAGAAAATAATTCTAAATACATATGCACCCAACACTGGAGCACCCCGATTCCTAAAGCAAATGTTACTAGATCTAAAGAGACAGATTCCAATACAATAGTAGTGGGAGACTTCAACTCAGCATTAGACAGGTCATCTAGACAGAAAATCAGCAAAGAAACACTGGATTTAAACTGGACTTTAGACCAAATGGACCTAACAGCTATTTACAGAGCATTTTATCCAACACTGCAGAATACACATTCTTCTTATTAACACATGGAACATTCTCCAAGATAGGCCATATGTTAGGCCACAAAACAAATCTCAACAAATTTTAAAAATTGAAATTATATCAAGTATCTTCTCAGGCTACAATGGAATAAAATAAAAGTCAATACCAAGAGGAACTTCGGAAACTACTAAATACATGGATATGAAACAATAAGTTCCTGTACAATCTCTGGGTCAGTGAAGAAATTAAGATGAAAATCAAAAATTCTTGAAACAAGTGAAAATGAAAACACAACATACTAAAACCCATGAGATACAGTAAAAGCAGTACTAAAAAAGAAGTTTATAGCAACAAGCCTACATCAAAAAAGTAGATTTAAAATAAATGATCTAACAATGCACCTCAAGGAACTAGAAAAGTAAGAACAAACCAAACCTCAAACTGCAGAAGAAACAAAGAAATAATAAAGATCAGAACAAGATCAGAAAGAGAATAAAATAAAATAGAGACTAAAAAAAATACAGTGGATCAATGAAGCAAAAAAAATGGTTCTTCAAAAAGATAAACAAAATTTATAAACCTTCTATCTAGACTAACCAAAAAAAAGAAGACCCAAATACCCAAAATCAGAAATGAAAAAGGAGACATTACAACTCATACCACAGAAATACAAAATATCATCAGAGACTTTTATGAACAACGATACACTAACAAATTGGAAAGCCTAGAGGAAATGAATAAACGCCTGGTAACCTACAACCTACAGAGACTGAATCAGGAAGAAATAAAGAACCTGAACAGACCAATAACAAGTTGCAAGATTGAATCAGTAATAAAAACTCTTCCAACAAAGCGAAAGCCCAGGACTGGATGGATTCACCACCAAAGTCTTCCAAACTTATAACAAAGAACTAATAAAGAATTAATCCTTTTTAAACTCTTCCAAAAAAACTGAAGAGGCAGGAGTTCTCCAACTCATTCTACAGGGCCAGAATTACCCAGATACCAAAACCAGACAAGGACAGGACAAATAAAGAAACTTACAGACCAATATCCCTGATAAATGTGAACTCAAAACTCCTCAACAGAATACCAGCAAACAGAATTCAAGAGCACATCAAAAAGATAATACACCATCATCAAGTGGGATTTATACCAGGGACACAAGTATCATTCAAATACACAAATCAATAAACATGATACACCACATCAACAGAATGAAGGGCAAAACTATATTATCATCTCAATAGATGCAGAAAAAGCATTTTATACAATTCAACATCCCTTCATGATAAAAGAAAAAAAACTCTCAACGAACTAAGCATAGAAGAAACATGCCGCAAAGTAATAAAGGCCATATATGACAAACCCATAGCTAACATCATCCTGAATGGGGAAAAATTGAAATCCTTTCCTCTAAGAACTAGAATAAGACAAGGATGCCCATTTTCAGGACTCCTATTCAACATAGTACTGGAAATCCTAGCCAGAGCAATCAGGCAAGAGAAAGAAATAAAAGGCTCCCAAATTGGAAAATAGGGAGTCAAATTGTCCCTTTGCAGATGACATGATCTTATATTTAGAAAGAAAAGCCAAAGACTCCACCAAATATCTCTCAGAACTCACAAACAAATTCAGTAAAGTTGTAGAATACAAAATCTACATACAAAAGTCGGTAGTGTTTCTATACAACAATAATGATCTAGCTAAGTAGCAAATCAAGCAGGCAATCCCATTTACAATAGCCACAGAAAAAAAATAAAATAGGAATAAATTTAACCCAGGAGGTAAAAGATCTCTACAGGAAAAACTACAAAACCCTGATGAGAGAAATTAAAGATGATACAAACAAATGGAAAGACATCCCATACTCATGGATCAGAAAAATTAATATTGAAATGATCATACTGCCCAAAACAATATACAGATTCAATGCAATCATTATCAAAATACCAATGTTATTTTCACAGACAAAGTAAAAACAGGCCAGGCGCAGTGGCTCATGCCTGCAATCCCAGCACTTTGGGAGGCCGAGGCAGGTACCAGCCTGGCCAACATGGCGAAACTCTGTCTCTACTAAAAATACAAAAATATTAGCTGGGTGTGGTGGTGGGCACCTGTAATCCCAGCTACTCGGGAGGCTGAGGCAGGAGAATCACTTGAACCTGGGAGGCAGAGGTTGCAGTGAGCCAAGATTGTGCCACTCCACTCCAGCCTGGGCAACAACAGTGAAACTCCATCTCATAGAACCAAAGAAGAGCCAGAATAGCCAATGCAATCTTGAGCAAAAAGAATAAAGCTGAAGGCATAAGACTACCTGATTTCAAAATATATTATGAGGCTATAGTAATCAAAACAGCATAATATTGGTATAAAAATAGACACATTGACCAATGGAGCAAAATAGGGAACCCAGAAATAAACCCAACTATAAACGGCCACCTGACTTTTGACAAAGATGGGGAAAAAACATCCTTTTCAATAAATGGTGTTGGGAAAACTAGATATTCACATGGAGAAGAATGAAACTGGATCCCTATTTCTCACCACATACAAAAATCAACTCAAAATAGATTTAAATGTAAAATAGGAAACTAGAAAACTACCAGGAGAAAATGGGGAAAAGGATATTGGTCTAGGCAAATATTTTATGGCTAAGCTCTCAAAAGCATGGAAAACTAAAATAAAAATAGAGAAATGAGACTGATACAGTTTGGCTGTGTCCCCACCCAATTCTCATCTTGAATTCCCACATTTTGTGGGAGGAACAAGGTGGGAGGTAACTGGATCATGGGGGCAGGTATTTCCCCTGGTATTCTTGTGATGGTGGGTGGGTCTCACAATATCTGATGGTATTATAAGGAAGAGTTTCCCTGCACAAGCTTTTTCTTCTTTGCCTGCTGCCATCCATGTAAGATGTGACTTGTTCCTCCTTGCCTTTTGCCATGATTGTGAGGCTTCCCCAGCCATGTGAAACTGTAAGTCCATATTAAATATCTTTCTTTTGTAAATTGCCCAGTCTTGGGTATGTCTTTATCAGCAGTGTGAAAACAGACTAATATAGAGAAAATATTAAGCTAAAAAGCTTCTGCACAGCAAAGCAAACAATCAACAGAGGGAAGAGACAATGTGTTGAGTGAGAGAAAATATTTGCAAACTATCCATTCAACAAGGGACTAATATCCAGAATATACAAGGAACCCAAACAATTCAACAATAGAAAAAATCACATTAAAAAGTGGACAAAAGACACAAATAGACAAGTCTCAAAAGAAGACATACAAATGGCAAACAGTATATTAACAAATGTTCAACATCACTAGTCATCAGAGAAATACATGTCAAAACCACAATGAGTGCTTCCTTCAGCATCATGTATACTAAAATTGGAATGATACAGAGATTAGCATGGCCCCTGCACAAGGATGACATGCAAATTCATGAAGCACTCTATATTTTCCAGAAAACAACCACAATGAGATATCATATCACTCCAGTTAAAATGGGTATTGTTCTAAAAATTATAGAAGGGAGGCTGAAGAGGATTTGGAGAAAAGGGAACTCATACAATTTGGTGGGAATGTAAATTAGTACAACCACAATGTAAAACGGTATGGAGATTTCTCAAAAAACTAAAAATAAAACTACTACTTGATTCAGCAATCTCACTACTTGGTATCTACCCAAAGGAAAAGAAAACAGTGTATGAAAAGGATACCCCCACTCGCATGTTTATCACAGCACTATTCACAATAGCAAAGATATGGAATCAACCTAAGTGTCCATCAGCTGATGAATGAGTGAAGAAAGTGAGATATATGTATGTATACAATGCAGTGCTATTTGGCCATAAAAAAAGAATGAAATTATGTCATTATCAGCAATATGAATGGAACTGGAGGCCACGTTAAGTGAAATAACCCATGCACCAACAGGCAAATATCAGATGTTCTCACTAATATGTGGGAGCTAAAAACTTGATCTCATAAAGGTAGAAGAGCAGAATAATAGATACTGGAAGCTGGGAAGGTTGGGTGCATGGGAAGGGGAATGAAGAGAGAGAAGTTCAGAGGTACAAACATATAGTTAGATAAAAGGTATAAGTTCTGTTGTTCAACAGCAGAGTTAACAACAATGTATTGTATATTTCAAAGTAGCTAGAAGAGAGAACTTGAATTCCCAACACCTGGAAATAATAAATACTTAAAGTGATGGACACCTCAAATGCCTTGACTTGATCATTACATATTCTATGCATGTAACAAAACATAACGTGTGCTCCATAAATATGTAAAATATTATGTATCAATTTTTAAAAATCCCAATTTAAAATGGGCAAAATATTTGAACAGACACTTCAACAAAATATACACAGAGAGCAAATAAACCCATGAAAATATGCTCAACATGATTAGTTGTGGGGACAAGTATCACTCCATTTTAGATGCTAATCCACCTTGTGAATCCTGACTAACCCCAAGTCCAGGAATGCCTCCAAAATGTCTAGTTGATATATTACTTCTTACATAGAAACACCTAGTTACTGGAGTTTCACCTTTCCTCCAAAACAACTCTTGATATTGTTGCATGCATCATAGGCTGTGATGCCCACAGCATTCTTTCAATTCACCATTATTTCCAGAGCACATGGACTTTCTCCCTAATATAGAAGTGCTGGGTCTGGAGGGTTGTGTGGAGATCCACCTGTCTTGCAGCCACGCAAGACCAGGCTTCTGCCTATAAGTTCCCTAATAAATCACGCTTTACTAACAAACTGGATTTGTCTGCGTTGTTCTTTGGCTCCTGCATTTGGGGGCTGCTTTGCGTATGTGGCCCTTTTATAGAACATTAGTAATTCAATTAAATGTTAATAAGATGTCAATACAATCTCAAGGGAGAGGTTCAAAGAAGGGCAAGATCAATGTGCGCCAAGGAGGCTTGGAGGTATACTGTTTTATGTGTGTGCTCAATAAACAGACTGAATGAAAAGAACAAAAAAAAGATGTCAATATACACCTTTTGGAATGGCCAAGTGTTTGTGACGATGTGGAGGAACTTGAACCTTCAGATACTGCTGGTTGGAATGTAAAATTGTACTACTTTGGAAGCCTGTTTGCAGTTTCTTAAAATGTCAAACATATGCCTAGCATATGGCCCAGGCATTCCTCTCCTAGGTATTTACCCAGAGAAAGGAAAGAATATACCCATACAAAGTCTTATACACCAACGTTCATAGCCACAATGTTCATAGCCACTTTAATTATAATAACCAAAACCAGAAAACAATCCAAATGTCCATCATCAGGTTAATGGATAAATAAATTATACTATAACCATACAATAGAAGAGTACCCAGCAATAAAAATGAATGAGCTTTTGATACAGGCAAAACCATGGGTGAATCTCAAAATAATTATGCCGTGAGGAAAGCCAGACAAAAAGTATACATAGACTGTGATTCCATTCATATAAAATCCTAGAAAATGAAAACTAAAACAGACTGACAGAAGATCGTGATTTCCTAGAAATCAAGGAGTCAGGAAGCGGAGAGATGTAGGAATGAAAAGGGGCACAAGGACACTTTTGGGGGTGGTGGCTGTGTTCATTATCTTGATTGAGGTGATGGTTTTGTAGACATATTCACATGTCAAAATTTATTAAATTGTGTATCTTAAGTATATGTCATTTACTATATTTTAATTATACCTTATTAAAGCCATTTAAAGAAATATCTATGTTTTCCAAAACAACTTAATGAGAAAAGTGTCATTGCTTGACATTTTTGCACATCTGGTTTATGTCTTACTTAATACAAGGCAGCTGGATTCTCATATCTGCTTGCTGCATTCAAAATGTTGCATTATGTTGTTTTAGTTTAAGTATATAAAGAAAATCCATCTTCACACAAATATGTAGTGGGAAAGGGACAGATGTTTTAATAGCTTTTTGAGATAATTGTGGATATTCTTCTTTGATATCACATCAGAGCTTGACAAGTGGTAGTGTCCTAAAGTTTAGTTGCAGTATGGAATCTAAAACCAAATTAACAAACTTTTCATACTCTCTTATGTTAAAATCCATTGGTCCATTGTAAAATTGGAATGGATCTTTTTCCATGTATAGTATTATAATAGCGTGGTCATTTGGCAAATATTGGTTTGCTGAGTTACATAGATCTTCCAAATGTTGGTACATAATGTTGTACATGTATACAAGTTTACATATGTACACACACACAATATGCATGTAAATAATATACCACTGATATTATTTCAAAAAGTCATCAAGTATTGGAAAACTATCAAACTTACCGTGGTGAACACAAGTTTACCAAAATTCTAATTGTCACTTGAAAATTCAAATTTTATAATTGGCAACAAATACTGGCAGATATTTTGCTTGAAATGACAGCTTCACTTTATTCATTTTCTAGAAAAGTCTGCCAAATATTCAAATCTAAAAAAACACAATTTCTACGTCAGTGCTATGGCCTGAATGTTTGCGTCCCTCCAAAATTCATATGTTGACACCCAATCACCAATGTGATAATATTAGCAGGTGGAGCCTTTGGGAGGTGATTAGATCATGAGAGAAAAGCCTTCATGAATAGAATTAGTGCCCTTATAAAAAAAAAAAAGGCCCAGAGAGCTGCCTTGTACCCTTTCACCGTGTAAGGAAGCAGCAAGGATGCACCATTCTAGGAACCTGCAAATGGGCCCTCCCCAGACATTGAAAGTGCCGGCCCCTCGATCTGGACTTCCCTGCCTTCAGAACCAAAAGAAATAGATTTCCATTGTTTATAAACTACCCAGTTTATGGTATCTTGTTATAGCAGTCTCAACAGACCAAGATAGTCACTCTAAAAACAAAAAATGGTTTTCCCTAAAGAAAGTGACTAGTTCAGCTTGCAGTTCAGTCTCACAAGAGCTTTCCTTCAAAACAATCATTATACTTTGGTATAGAGCAAATGTGTTTTATGCATACTTACCATTTCATAACAGCAAATATTAAAGTTATTGATTCAAGGGTTGAGATTTAATATAGTTAATTTTTACATCAAGAACATTCTGAACTGAAACCAGTAAGTTTTTTATATGAGTGCATGGTGAACTAGGCATTGGGCACAATGCCTCATAGTTCAGTGTGATGCCAGTGCTTTCATTTCTGCTATGTCATCAGCAGTTTACCCACCATTGTAGGTGAACTATCAGGTCAAATGTCAACACAGTGGAAAAGGGTCTTTGGCACCTCTTGGTGCATGGGCCATACTTCAGGGACCATGGTCCTAGCCTGAAAGCACAACACTTCATGTTTGCCCAAAGTTATCCTGAGAAGTTATCTAATCGCAAGAGATCAGAATGTGCCCTTAATAAGACCAGCCACACTTAAGAGTCCTATCTCATTCATCTAATGAGTATTTTTTAATTAATAAATACCAGAGTTTAATTCACAAAAGTATAGGTGTAAGTTTTACAGATTTTCAACAGGATTGTGCTTCAAAGGATAAAACTGACCACATTAAATGTTGGATGATTTTTCTGTTCTTGTCCTCAAAGGAACAGGTGCCAAATGGAATTAGACATGCAAAAACTATGCCAATTTGGGACATTTTTAAAGGAATTCTGTGTGAAAATTTTCCATCATATATGGTTTGTGACAAAAACATTCTAATATGGTAAAAATTAATATAATAGCTTTCATAAACACAGTAAGATACCCAATGTAATTTTTTCATGACTGTGTGACTCATGTGTACTATATATTGCTGTATACTGAAGGACACAAAGCCCCAACCCAGGTCTGGCAGTGCCTATAAAAGCAAGGCTACAGACACCATCAGAGCTCTCTGATGATATGGTGTTCACATAGTAGCCATTAATGGCTTTTTCTTTTTTTTTAATATATATTTTTATTATACTTTAAGTTCTAGGGTACATGTGCACAATGTGCAGGTTTGTTAAATTGTATACATGTGCCATGATGGTGTGCTGCACCCATTAACTCGTCATTTATATTAGGTATATCTCCTAATGCTATCCCTCCTCCCTCCCCCCGCCCCACAACAGGCCATGGTGTGCGATGTTCCCCTTCCTGTGTCCAAGCGTTCTCATTGTTCAATTCCCACCCATGAGTGAGGACATGCAGTGTTTGGTTTTTTGTCCTTGCGATAGTTTGCTGAGAATGATGGTTTCCAGCTTCATCCACGTCTCTACAAAGGACATGAACTCATCATTTTTTATGGCTGCATGGTATTCCATGGTGTATATGTGCCACATTTTCTTAATCCAGTCTATCATTGTTGGACATTTGGGTTGGTTCCAAGTCTTTGCTATTGTGAATAGTGCCGCAATAAATATACATGTGCATGTGTCTTTATAGCAGCATGATTTATAGTTCTTTGGGTATATACCCAGTAATGGGATGGCTGGGTCAAATGGTATTTCTAGTTCTAGATCCCTGAGGAATCGCCACACTGACTTCCACAATGGTTGAACTAGTTTACAGTAACACCAACAGTGTAAAAGTGTTCCTATTTCTCCACATCCTCTCCAGCACCTGTTGTTTCCTGACTTTTTAATGATTGCCATTCTAACTGGTGTGAGATGGTATCTCATGTGGTTTTGATTTGCATTTCTCTGATAGCCAGTGATGGTGAGCATTTTTTCATGTGTTTTTTGGCTGCATAAATGTCTTCTTTTGAGAAGTGTCTGTTCATGTCCTTCACCCACTTTTTGATGGGGTTGTTTGTTTTTTTCTTATAAATTTGTTTGAGTTCATTGTAGATTCTGGATATTAGCCCTTTGTCAGATGAGTAGGTTGTGAAAATTTTCTCCCATTTTGTAGGTTGCCTGCTCACTCTGATGGTAGTTTCTTTTGCTGTGCAGAAGCTCTTTAGTTTAATTAGATCCCATTTGTCAATTTTGACTTTTGTTGCCATTGCTTTTGGTGTTTTAGATATGAAGTCCTTGCTCATGCCTATGTTCTGAATGGTAATGCCTCAGTTTTCTTCCAGGGTTTTTATGGTTTTAGGTGTAACGTTTAAGTCTTTAATCCATCTTGAATTAATTTTTGCATAAGGTGTAAGGAAAGGATCCAGTTTCAGCTTTCTACATATGGCTAGCCAGTTTTCCCAGCACCATTTATTAAATAGGGAATCCTTTCCCCATTGCTTGTTTTTCTCAGGTTTGTCAAAGATCAGATAGTTCTAGATATGCAGCATTATTTCTGAGGGCTCTGTTCTGTTCCATTGATCTATATCTCTGTTTTGGTACCAGTACCATGCTGTTTTTGTTACTGTAGCCTTGTAGTATAGTTTGCAGTCAGGTAGCATGATGCCTCCAGCTTTGTTCTTTTGGCTTGGGATTGACTTGCTGATGCGGGCTCTTTTTTGGTTCCATATGAATTTTAAAGTAGTTTTTTCCAATTCTGTGAAGAAAGTCATTGATAGCTTGATGGGGATGGCATTGAATCTATATATTACCTTGATTCTTCCTACCCATGAGCATGGAATGTTCTTCCATTTGTTTGTGTCCTCTTTTATTTCATTGAGCAGTGGTTTGTAGTTCTCCTTGAAGAGTTCCTTCACATCCCTTGTAAGTTGGATTCCTGGGTATTTTATTCTCTTTGAAGCAATTGTCAATGGGAGTTCACTCATGATTTGGCTCTCTGTTTGTCTGTTACTGGTGTATAAGAATGCCTGTGATTTTTGTACATTGATTTTGTGTCCTGAGACTTTGCTGAATTTGCTTGTCAGCTTAAGGAGATTTTGGGCTGAGACTATGGGATTTTCTAGATATACAGTCATGTCATCTGCAAACAGGGACAATTTGACTTCCTCTTTTCCTAATTGAATACACTTTATTTCCTTCTCCTGCCTAATTGCCCTAGCCAGAACTTCCAACACTATGTTGAATAGGAGTGGTGAGAGAGGGCATCCCTGTCTTGTGCCAGTTTTCAAAGGGAATGCTTCCAGTTTTTGCCTATTCAGTATGATATTGGCTGTGGGTTTGTCATAGCTCTTATTATTTTGAGATACGTCGCATCAATACCTAATTTATTGAGAGTTTTTAGGATGAGGGGTTGTTGAATTTTGTCAAAGTCCTTTTCTGAATCTATTGAGATAATCATGTGGGTTTTGTCTTTGGTTCTGTTTATATGCTGGATTACATTTATTGATTTGTGTATATTGAACCACCCTTGCATCCCAGGGATGAAGCCCACTTGATCATGGTGCATAAGCTTTTGATGTGCTGCTGGATTCGGTTTGCCAGTATTTTACTGAGGATTTTTCACCAATGTTCATCAAGGATATTCGTCTAAAATTCTCTTTTTTCGTTGTGTCTCTGCCCGGCTTTGGTATCAGGATGATGCTGGCCTCATAAAATGAGTTAGGGAGGATTCCCTCTTTTTCTATTGATTGGAATAGTTTCAGAAGGAATGGTACCAGTTCCTCCTTGTACCTCTTGTAGAATTCGTCTGTGAATCCATCTGGTCCTGGACTCTTTTTGGTTGGTGAGCTATTGATTATTGCCACAATTTCAGAGCCTGTTATTGGTCTATTGAGAGAGTCTACTTCTTCCTGGTTTAGTCTTGGGAGGATTTATGTGTCCAGGAATTTATCCATTTCTTCTAGATTTTCTAGTTTATTTGCATAGAGGTGTTTGTAGTATTCGCTGATGGTAGTTTGTATTTCTGTGGGATTGATGGTGATATCCCCTTTATCATTTTTTATTGCGTCTATTTGATTCTTCTCTCTTTTCTTCTTTATTAGTCTTGCTAGCGGTCTATCAATTCTGTTGATCCTTTCAAAAAACCAGCTCCTGGATTCATTGATTTTTTGAAGGGTTTTTTGTGTCTCTATTTCCTTCAGTTCTGCTCTGATCTTAGTTATTTCTTGCCTTCTGCTAGCTTTTGAATGTGTTTGCTCTTGCTTTTCTAGTTCTTTTAATTGTGATGTTAGGGTGTCAATTTTGGATCTTTCCTGCTTTCTCTTGTAGGCATTTAGTGCTATAAATTTCCCTCTACACACTGTTTCAAATGTGTCACAGAGATTCTGGTATGTTGTGTCTTTTTTCTCATTGGTTTCAAAGAACATCTTTATTTCTGCTTTCATTTTTTTATGTACCCAGTAGTCATTCAGGAGCAGGTTGTTCAGTTTCCATGTAGTTGAGCAGTTTTCACTGAGTTTCTTAATCCTGAGTTCTAGTTTGATTGCACTGTGGTCTCAGAGACAGTTTGTTATAATTTCTGTTCTTTTACATTTGCTGAGGACAGCTTTACTTCCAACTATGTGGTCAATTTTGGAATAGGTGTGGTGTGGTGCTGAAAAAAATGTATATTCTGTTGATTTGGGGTGGAGAGTTCTGTAGATGTCTATTAGGTCCACTTGGTGCAGAGCTGAGTTCAATTCTTGGATACCCTTATTATCTTTCTGTCTCGTTGATCTGTCTCATGTTGAAAGTGGGGTGTTAAAGTCTCCCATTATTATTGTGTGGGAGTCTAAGTCTCTTTGTAGGTCACTCAGGACTTGCTTTATAAATCTGGGTGCTCCTATATTGGGTGCATATATATTTAGGATAGTTAGCTCTTCTTGTTGAATTGATCCCTTAACCATTATGTAATGGCCTTCTTTGTCTCTTTTGATCTTTGTTGGTGGAAAGTCTATTTTATCCGAGACTAGGATTGCAACCCCTGCCTTTTTTTTGTTTTCCATTTGCTTGGTAGATCTTCATCCATCCTTTTATTTTGAGCCTATGTGTGTCTCTGCACGTGAGATGGGTTTCCTGAATACAGCATACTGATGGGTCTTGACTCTTTATCCAATTTGCCAGTCTGTGTCTTTTAATTGGAGCATTTAGTCCATTTAATATTGTTATGTGTGAATTTGATCCTGTCATTATGATGTTTGCTGGTTATTTTGCTTGTTAGTTGATGCAGTTTCTTCCTAGTCTCGATGGTCTTTACATTTTGGCATGATTTTGCAGTGGCTGGTACCGGTTGTTCCTTTCCATGATTAGTGCTTCCTTCAGGATCTCTTTTAGGGCAGGCTGGTGGTGACAAAATCTCTCAGCATTTGCTTGTCTGTAAAGGATTTTATTTATCCTTCACTTATGAAGCTTAGTTTGGCTGGATATGAAATTCTGGGTTGAAAATTCTTTTCTTTAAGAATGTTGAATATTGGCCCCCACTCTCTTCTGCTTGTAGAGTTTCTGCCGAGACATCTGCTGTGAGTCTGATGGGCTTCCCTTTGTGGGTAACCCAACCTTTCTCTCTGGCTGCCCTTAACATTTTTTCCTTCATTTCAACTTTGGTGAATCTGACAATTATGTGTCTTGGAGTTGCTCTTCTCGAGGAGTATCTTTGTGGCATTCTCTGTATTTCCTGAATCTGAATGTTGGCCTGCCTTGCTAGATTGGGGAAGTTCTCCTGGATAATATCCTGCAAAGTGTTTTCCAACTTGGTTCCATTCTCCCTGTCACTTTCAGGTACACCAATCAGATGTAGATTTGGTCTTTTCACATAGTCCCATATTTCTTGGAGGCTTTGTTCATTTCTTTTTATTCTTTTTTCTCTAAACTTCACTTATCACTTCATTTCATTCATTTCATCTTCCATCACTGATACCCTTTCTTCCAGTTGATCGCATTGGCTCCTGAAGCTTCTGCATTCTTCACGTAGTTCTCAAGCCTTGGCTTTCAGCTCCATCAGCTCCTTTAAGCACTTCTCTGTATTGGTTATTCTAGTTATACATTCATCTAAATTTTTTTCAAAGTTTTCAACTTCTTTGCCTTTGGTTTGAATTTCCTCCTGTAGCTCGGAGTAGTTTGATCGTCTGAAGCCTTCTTCTCTCAACTTGTCAAAGTCATTCTCCATCCAGGTTTGTTCCATTGCTGGGGAGGAACTGTGTTCCTTTGGAGGAGGAGAGGTGCTCTGCTATTTAGAGTTTCCAGGTTTTCTGTTCTGTTTTTTCCCCATCTTTGTGGTTTTATCTACTTTTGGTCTTTGATGATGGTGATGTACAGATGGGTTTTTGGTGTGGATGTCCTTTCTGTTTGTTAGTTTTCCTTCTAACAGACAGGACCCTCAGCTGCAGGTCTGTTGGAGTTTGCTAGAGGTCCACTCCAGACCCTGTTTGCCAGGGTATCAGCAGTGGAGGCTGCAGAACAGTGGATTTTCATGAACTGTGAATGCTGCTGTCTGATCCTTCCTCTGGAAATTTTGTCTCAGATGATTACCCGGCCATGTGAGGTGTCAGTCTGCCCCTTCTAGGGGGTGCCTCCCAGTTAGGCTGCTTGGGGGTCAGGGGTCAGGGACCCACTTAAGGAGGCAGTCTGCCTGTTCTCAGATCTCCAGCTGCATGCTGGGAGAACCACTGCTCTCTTCAAAGCTCAGATGGAAATGCAGAAATCACCCATCTTCTGCGTCACTCATGCTGGGAGCTGTAGACCGGAGCTGTTCCTATTCGGCCATCTTGGCTGGCCCCCCAAAACCAAAATTAAATTTAAACATTATCACATTTGATAGAAAAGAGCACTATTTTCATCCAAAGCTTTGGATGAACCAATTATTAATGAAGAAGATAATTATAAAATATTTTTTTCCTGTGTTGAAGATACATCATAGAGTGCATAAATGGGGGTTTTAAATTCTGTATCTTAAACTGCCGCCACAAGAATTTGGAGCAGGAACTGTCAGATGAAACATTACAATGTTACTGTATACATTTCCAGTTAAAATTTAATTCAAACTTAGGTGAAACTGATTTGTATGAAGGGTTAAATCTTTTTAGAAAAATTTTTCTGAAACTATCATCAGTTCTAGGTATACTAAGGTTTATATTTTGAAACGACTTATTAATATGTATCCTAGTATTGTCACAAATCATAAAATAATCTTAACAGCTCTAGAAAGAGTGTGTCAACAGAAAGATACTTTGCAAAATTAAAAATGTTCCGAAATTATTTACAATCTTGCATTTGTCAAGAGTAATTGACATCATTTTCAATTATATCAATTGAAAATGAAGTTATTAAATGTATACTTTTTGATGAACTAATAAATTAATTTGCAGGAAAGTGACCCAGAAAAATCTTGTGATCAAGAAAGATTTTATATTAATTACTATTATGTGTTGCATTACATAAAAATGACACCATTTATGCAATTTGCAAGTTTATATTGTTATTCATGTATCATTCCTATTCTTTTTATAGGTAATAAAATATTTTTAATGGAGAAAGCTTTTTCCTTTAGTAACTTTCACAGTACTTTTTCCCCCCACTTTTTTTTTTAAAAAGCCTCTACCTGACACTGTGGCAAAGAAGTCTGACAAACTTTTGCTGGTCTCAGTGTACTCTAACCAGCAACATACATCAGATTCTCCACATTGTCCACAAACCAACAGTGCTATGACTTGATCAGTTAAAAAGAACAAAGTAAAAGCTGTAATAGCTATTCAACTAAACTGCACAATTGGAGCACAAGCAGCACTACTATAAGACACCTCTAACAGAGTGCTGCACAAAGGAAATCCAGACAACCACATAGTAAGAGACAGTGGAGGGGTATGTGTGTCTATACACTTTACCCATCTTCAATCCATTCTACAACCAGCAGCTAAAGGAGTCTTCAAAAAATGTTCAAACACACTTTGGCTAGACCCTCTTAGATTGCTCTAAGAAGAACATGGTTCCTCTGTGATAAGGCCTTGGGGGTGGATCCCAAGCTTAAGCCAAAAAATGTGTCCCTAAATTGCTATGAAGAAGACAACAAGGAATTTTTTCTCCTAGAAAAGATGGAGGAGAAAAGTGAAGAAATGAAGGCTCTATCCCAAATCATCAGTAGAGTCCAGGACACAAAGAATATTTGGTATAAAGGCACCATGACAGAATGGATGAAGCTGGGGTCCAGGATACAAAGGAGGCCAGAAGAACCTATGTCCGCTGGAATTTGGAGGAAGTGCTTGGGAGACGCTGGACTTTCACATACCATGGAAAGGGGCTGTTCAAATAAATCTCCTCTATATCGCAAGGAACAGGGAGTTGCTGGCTGACAGCTGAGCTAGAGTTGATGGGTGGAATGAATAAGACAATGGATGAATGAGTGAATAAATGAACAAATGAATGAATGAATGAATGAATGGGTGGAAGGCATCCAGTACTGTGAAGCTAGACTGGAGGATTTTAGCATGGTACATTCTTCAGTACTTATAGAATAGATTACGGGAATGATGTTTGAGTGTCAGAGACCCTAAAGTCTATTTGACTAAAAATGCCTTTTGATAATATTTCTAGCCACTTTAGCATGAGATTTCTAGTTATTACGGGCCTAAAATCTTAAGGTCATCCTTTCCTCCTCTACTTCCAAGCTGTCAGTAGATCCTAATGATTCTACTTCAAGACCTAGCTGGAATCCAACCACTTCTTACCCATCCACTGCTACCATCCCAGTCCGAGCCATCATCTCTTACCTGGATTATGGCAGTAGCTTCTTGGCTGGGCTTCCACTCTTTCCCCACTTTGAATTATTCTTGACATTATTATCAGGTCAAGTGGCTTCTCTGCTAAAACCCTCAATGACCTCTCATTTCACTCACAAAGTCCAGTCCTTATGATGGCCTACAAAGACTGACATGGTAGCCTACCCCACCACTGCCTACTGTCTCACCTCATCCCGCTGCTATTGTCTCGCCGCTGTTTCCTGCTCCTGCCATACCAGCTCCTTGCTTCTGCATGTACCTCAGGACATTTTCACTAGGAAGCCCTCTGCCTAGAACACTCTTCCCCCAAATACCTTCATGGCTTGCTTCCTCACTTTCTTCAAGACTCTACCCAAATGTCACTTTCTCAGTGACATCTTTCCTGACCACCCCCGACAACTGCAAAGCTGCCCACCATCTGGGGCACTTCCTAATTCCCTTCTCTGCCTTATTTTTCTCCATAATGTATGTCACCATATGACAAAAGATATATTCCACTTAATGGCTTTATTTATTGTCTGTCTCTGCCTGGTAAAATGAAAGCTCTATGGGACCAGGGACTTTTGTTTATTTTTTCTGAAGTGTATCTCTGGCTCCACCAAGGGTGCCTTACCCTATAGTGGGTGCTCAGTAAACAAATAAATGCATTGGTCATTCTAACTCTGATTTGAAGACCTTGCTCTTTACAAACCTCCATTTATTACTGTAATGTTTGGAGGAAGCGTCTTAACCCCAGTCCTATTCAGGCAGTTGACTGTGGCATGAGAAGTAAACTGTGCCAGGAAATGCACAGTTCACCATCAGAAGCCCCAGAGGTATTGCTAGGGCAACAAAGATTATGTTTTAGCCAGTTTACTGGTTCCTCAACTGTTTCCTCTCATCATTCATAAATTTGCTGCAGAGATTGGCAGAGAACAAATTGGCTCAGGCTGCACTGCAGTTAGAGTTACAGGGGCCTTTGGTAAGTTCCCCTAAGAAGTCCAATGACCTTGTCTGAGAACCAGCAGGACTCTGGCAGAATCCCCAGAATTCTGGGATGCCTCAGCACAGGAAGCACTAATTCTCCTTTGCTGGGCCTGCTGATTAGCCATTCCCCACAGAAAAGCCCTTCTTTGTAAACAATCACCATCATAACGCCAATACCATTCCAATACCCCTGCATTGCTTGGGATATTTATGTTCATTACCTATCTGTTGGTTTTGAGATTAAAACAATAGTGTATCTTGGATTGTGCTGTGCCTCTGTCCATACAACCTAATAATTAAGTTGCATTTTCATAATGCTTTCTGTAAGAACAGTCTTTGTTTGGAGACATTCTACAGTGCAGAAGCTAACCTTGCTTGCCCAGTCCAGATGCTAATGTTGGACTAAAAAAAACCCAAAGCCCAGAAAATCTTCTTTCCTCTAACTCACCAAAACAACAGATAGATTAAAGGAAGTCTTACTGCCTTGACAGGATAGATTTCATCACTTATTTTAGGCTGAATTTTGTCCCCTACCCAAATTCATATGTTGACATCCTAACCTCCAATACATGAGAATATGATATTATTTGGAAACAGGGCCTTTAAAGAGGTAATTACATTGAATGAAAACAATAGAGTGGGACCCTATGTTGGGAAAATCAGATATCCACATGGGAAGAATGAACCTGAATCCATATCTCTCACTATATACAAAAATTAACTCAAGATGAATTAAAGACTTAAATGTAAGACCTGAAACTATAAAAATCCTAGAAGAAACACCTAGGAAAAGCTCTTCTGAACATTGGCCTTGGCAAAGAATTTATGACTAAGAATTTATGACAAAGCAAATGCAACAAAAGCAAAAATTGACAAATGGGACAAAATGAAACTGAAAAGCTTCTATACCTCAAAAGAAATAATCAACAGAGTAAACAGACAACCTACAGAATGGGTGAAAATATTTGCAAACTGTGCACCTGACAAAGGACTAATAGCGAGAATCTACACGGAATTCAAACAGCTCAGCAAGGAAAAACAAACAATCC
This sequence comes from Homo sapiens, assembly GCF_000001405.40. Taxonomy (NCBI): domain Eukaryota; kingdom Metazoa; phylum Chordata; class Mammalia; order Primates; family Hominidae; genus Homo; species Homo sapiens. The sequence goes on from NC_000004.12 coordinate 52,508,986, forward strand.
CATTAAAAAGTGAGCAAAGGGAAGGGTAGTGGGAGGGAGGGGTAGAGGTGGGGATAGTTAATGGATAAGAAAAAAAAATAGTTAGAAGAATGAATAAGGCCAGGCGCAGTGGCTTGTGCCTATAATCCTAGCCCTTTGGGAGGCTGAGGCAGGAGGATCACTTGAACCTAGCTTGGGCAAGGCTTGTGAACAGCCTGGGCAACATAGTGAGACCCCATCTTTACAAAAAATACAAAAACTAACTGGGTGTGGTGGCTTATGCCTGTGGTCCTAGCTACTCAGGAGGCTGAGGTGGAAGGATCACCAGAACCCAGGGAAGTCAAAGCTGCAGTAAGCTGTGATCTAGCCCACTGCACTCCAGCCTGGGCAACAGAGTGAGACCCTGTCTCAAAACGAACAAACAAAAAAGAATGAATAAGACCTAGTACTTGATAACACAACAGGATGACTATAATCAATAATAATTTAATTATACATTTAAAATAATTAAAAGAGCATAATTGGATTGTCTGTAACACAAAGGATAAATGTTTGAGGGGATGGACACCACATTCTCTATGATGTGATTATTACACATTACATTCCTGTATCAAAACATCTCATGTACTCCATAAATATATACACTTATGTACCCACAGAACTCAAAATTTTTTAAAAAAAAATTTAATGGGCAAAGGACATGAACGTTTTCCAAAAGAAGATATACCAACAGTTAACAAACATATGAAAAAATGCTCAACATCACTAATCATCAGGCAAATGCAAATTAACACCACAATGAGATATCATCTTACACCAGTCAGAATGGCTATTATTAAAAAGTCAAAATCAATAAATGTTGGCAAGGATGCAGAGAAAAGGGAATGCTTATACACTGTTGGTGGGAATGTAAATTAGTACAACCTGTATGGAAAACAGTATGGAGATTTATCAAAGAACTGAAACTAGAACTACTATTTGATCCAGCAATCCCACTACTAGGTATCTAACCTAAGGAGAAGAAATAATTATATAAAAAAGATACCTGATCCTTTTGTAGTTCATGAGCATGATGATTGGTTGTTCACGTACATGTGTGAGATGTGTCACCCTCGAACCTTGTGGCAATGTTGGAATATTACCTGTCTGACATGAAGAAAATTTAAAAACTTTTAAAAGTTTAAAAAGATATCTGCACTCATGTGTTTATGATAGCACCATTTATAATAGCAAAGATATGGAATCAGCCTAAGTGTCTATTAATGGATGACTGGATAAAGAAAATGTGGTGTGTGTATATATATTTATATGAATACGACTCAGCCATAAAAAAGAATGAAATCATGTCTTTTACAGCAAAATGGATGGAAATGGAGGCCACTATATTAAGTGAAAAAACTTAGAAACAGAGAGTCAAATACTACATGTTGTCATTTATAAGCAGGAGCTAAACAATGGGTCCACATGGACCTACAGAGTGGAATAACAAACACTGGAGACTCCAAAAGTGGGAAAGTGGGAGAGAGGTGAGGAATGAGAAGTTACCTAATGGATACAATGTACACTATTCAGGTGATGGTTACACTAAAAGCCCAGACTTCACCACTCCACAGTATATCCATGTAACAAAATTGCACTTGTACCCCGTAAATCTGTTTTTTAAATAGGAAGGGGGGCAAACCCAATATGACTGGCATCCTTAGAAGAAGAAGAGTCCTGCATGCACAGAGGGAAGACCATGTGAAGAGGCAGCAAGAGGCGAGCCATCTGTAAATCAAGGGTAGCCATCTACAGAATCCAGGATAGAAGCCTCAGAGGAAGCCAACCCTGCTGGCACCTTGATCTACAACAAGCTTGTCCAACCCACAGCCCACTGGCTGCATGTGGCCCAGGATGGCTTTGAATGTGGCCAAACACAAATTGATAAACTTTCTTAAAACATTAGGACATTTTTTTGAGATTTTTTTTTTTTTAGCTCATCAGCTATCGTTAGTGTATTTTATGTGTGGCCCAAGATAATTCTTCTTCTTCCAATGTGGCCCAGGAAAGCCAAAAGTTTGGAAACCTCTGAATTCAAGACCTTCCTGCAACAAAAACTGTGAGAAAATAAATGCCTGTTGTTTAAGCCACTGAGGCTGTGGTATTTTGTGATGGCAGCCCTAGCAACCTAATACACAACCTTATTTCTCACGTTCTATTTCTGTTCCTGTGTGCTCTATCACAAGTGAAATGCTGGAAATTCTGAAGATATGAATGCTTCCAATGTAAACACATTTCTTAAGTACCTTCTGCAAAGTTTGTGTAAATGCCTTTAGAAATTATGGCCCCCAAGATTATTCCTATGGCAATGGAGAGATGGTTTTTAAAATAAACTTCTATGGTAATATAGATGACTTAGGAGCAACCGTGAAGTTGATTTGTGGTAGGCTACCAGCCAGGATCTTACACTTAGCTTTATTAGTGCACCAGAGTTGGCTGAAAACAGGAATGCTGAACTTTTGCCATTCAAGCTCATTGAAATGTACAAACCAGACAGAAAATATGTTACTTTTCAGTAAAGGATATTTCTTTCTAGTGGCTAAAATACCCCTACTCCTTTCTGAGACATTGTCTTCTAACGAGCAAAATACTGAAGAAGATATATTATCAAATTGGCCAGGGACAGTGGCTCACGCCTGTAATCCCAGCACTTTGGGAGGCCGAGGCAGGTGGATCACTTGGGGCTAGAAATTAGAGACCAGCCTGGGCAACATGGTGAAACCCCATCTCTACAAAAAATCAGAAAGTTAGCCGGACATGGTGGCATGTGCCTGTGGTCTCAGCTACTCTGGAGGCTGAGGTGGAAGGATAGCTTAAGCCCAGGAGGTCGAGGCTTCAATGAGCCATGATCACACCACTGCACCCCAGCCTGGGCAACAGAGCAAGACCCTGTCTTAAAAAAAAAGTGATGGGAGTGTAGCATTAGAGCAAAGGAGGGTGGTGGACAGTTGTAGAGTTGTAGAGGTGTTCATCCAGGTCACTATCCCTGTCTCAGCAGAGCCACTCTCCAGGCATAGAAAGCTGGTGATTTCCAGAGTAGCATCGCTCATCCAGACAGTGCCAGGTTGGCACTACCAACTTTGAATGCTCCAAGGTGACCCTGCTTTTTCTGTTTAACTACTGTTTATCCAAAAAGGACACAGTTTGACTTGTGTCAATTTGATTTGGAAAAGGAAGGATTTGATTTCCTCTTTCTAATGACAAATTGCATTCAGGTTGGCATTTTAGCTGTTCACAAATTCTTCAAGTCCTCGTTTACAGGCAGTTTCTTGCTTTACTCTGGGAGACATCAATCATACCCACTGTATGTGGATTTTACTAAGCACTGAGAGCAGCCTTTCCTCCAGGTTTTAGAAAGCACATTGCTGTGATCTCATGAATGGACAATTACACCTGGTTTCCAGCAGGAAAAAAAATATCTATTCTAGGCACTAGCGTTCTTTATTTATCTCCCTCAGCAATTCGCTGGCTGCCCCTTGCTGCTCTTTAACTGTGTCCTGCCCACATATGTGTATGCTCAGCTTCTGTGACAAGTTGTACTTATCACATCCAAACATCCCTCTTGAATACCAGGGCACAGTTTATAATTTCTGTTTCACATAGGAGTAGCAGAATATCCAAGTAATTCTAGTGAAAGTTTGTTTGGTTGCAAGAAATGCACAAATTAGTTTGAATGAAAGTAGGAATTTCTTGTGGTGGGGGGTGGGTTGCAGGGGTACAGGGTCTTGTTCAGTTGCCCAGGCTGAAGTGAAGTGGCGCCATCATGGCACATGGCAACTTTGATCTTCTGGGCTCAAGCCATCCTCCCGCCTCAGCCTCCTGAGCATCTGGGACTACAGGTACATGGCATCACACAGCTAATTTTTTTTAACTTTTTTTGTAGGCTGGGCATGGTGGCTCACGCCTGTAATCCCAGCACTTTGGGAGGCCGAGGAGGGCAGATCACGAGGTCAGGAGATTGAGAATATCCTGGCCAACATCGTGAAACCTCGTCTGTACTAAAATGCAAAAAATTAGCTGGGCATGGTGGCATGAGCCTGTAGTGCCAGGTACTCGGGAGGCTGAGGTAGGGGGAGTCGCTTGAACCCGGGAGGCGGAGGTTGCAGTGAGCCAAGATTGCGCCACTGCACTCCAGCCTGGCGACAGAGCAAGACTTCGTCTCAAAAAAAAAAAAAAAAAAAAAAAAAAAAGGTTTTTTGTAGAGCCAAGGCCTTGCTATGTTGTGTAGGCAGGTCTTGAACTCCTAGCTTCAAGAGATCCTCCCACCTTGGCCTCCCAAAGTGTCGTGATTACAGGTGTGAGCCACTGCATCCAGCCAGAACTTCTTATAAGAATACACATCTTATGGAAATTGAAGGCACTAAACCCAAACCTCACCCAGGCAAAGCAGCTTCCCTCAAGTTTGGCTCTAGTATGCAGGGTGAGAAGAGGGGGAGCTTATAAGAATGACTGGGGCTTTCCTAGAAATGCCACTCACAAGATCGTGTATAAAACAACCTTCAAAGTTGCTTGGAGGCCTAAGGAGGAAAGAAAATTATTGAAATATAGCTTTATGTGTGATATGGTTTGGCTGTGTCCCTACCCAAATCTCATCTTGAATTTTATGTAGCTCCCATAATTCCCACATGTCATGAGAGGGATCCAGTGGGAGGGAACTGAATCATGGGGGCGGGTCTTCCCCATGCTGTTCTTGTGATAGTGAATAAGTCTCAGGAGATCTGATGGTTTTCTAAAGGGTAGTTCCCTTGCACATGCTTTCCTGCCCACCTCCACGTAAGATGTGACTTTGCTCCTCATTTGCCTTCCGCCATGATCATGAGGCCTCCCCAGCCACATGGAACTGTGAGTCAATTAAACTTCTTTCCTTTATAAATTGCCCAGTCTTTTTTTTTTCTTTTGATCATTCTTTTTTTTTTCTTTTTTTATTATTATATTTTAAGTTTTAGGGTACATGTGCACAATGTGCAGGTTAGTTACATATGTATACATGTGCCATGCTGGTGCGCTGCACCCACTAACTCGTCATCTAGCATTAGGTATATCTCCCAATGCTATCCCTCCCCCATCCCCCCACCCCACAATAGTCCCCAGAGTGTGATGTTCCCCTTCCTGTGTCCATATGTTCTCATTGTTCAATTCCCACCTATGAGTGAGAATATGCAGTGTTTGGTTTTTTGTTCTTGCGATAGTTTACTGAGAATGATGATTTCCAATTTCATCCATGTCCCTACAAAGGACATGAACTCACCATTTTTATGGCTGCATAGTATTCCATGGTGTATATGTGCCACATTTTCTTAATCCAGTCTATCATTGTTGGACATTTGGGTTGCTTCCAAGTCTTTGCTATTGTGAATAGTGCCGCAATAAACATACATGTGCATGTGTCTTTATAGCAGCATGATTTATAGTCCTTTGGGTATATACCCAGTAATGGGATGGCTGGATCAAATGGTATTTCTAGTTCTAGATCCCTGAGGAATTGCCACACTGTCTTCCACAATGGTTGAACTAGTTTACACTCCCACCAACAGTGTAAAAGTGTCCCTATTTCTCCACATCCTCTCCAGCACCTGTTTTTTCCTGACTTTTTAATGATTGCCATTCTAACTGGTGTGAGATGTTATCTCATTGTGGTTTTGATTTGCATTTCTCTGATGGCCAGTGATGATGAGCATTTTTTCATGTGTTTTTTGGCTGCATAAATGTCTTCTTTTGAGAAGTGTCTGTTCATGTCCTTCACCCACTTTTTGATAGGGTTGTTTGTTTTTTTCTTATAAATTTGTTTGAGTTCATTGTAGATTCTGGCTATTAGCCCTTGTCAGATGAGTAGGTTGTGAAAATTTTCTCCCATTTTGTAGGTTGCCTGTTCACTCTGATGGTAGTTTCTTTTGCTGTGCAGAAGCTCTTTAGTTTAATTAGATCCCATTTGTCAATTTTGACTTTTGTTGCCATTGCTTTTGGTGTTTTAGATATGAAGTCCTTGCCCATGCCTATGTCCTGAATGGTAACGCCTCGGTTTTCTTCTAGGGTTTTTATGGTTTTAGGTGTAACGTTTAAGTCTTTAATCCATCTTGAATTGATTTTTGTATAAGGTGTAAGGAAGGGATCCAGTTTCAGCTTTCTACATATGGCTAGCCAGTTTTCCCAGCACCACTTATTAAATAGGGAATCCTTTCCCCATTGCTTGTTTTTCTCAGGTTTGTCAAAGATCAGATAGTTGTAGATATGCGGCGTTATTTCTGAGGGCTCTGTTCTGTTCCATTGATCTATATCTCTGTTTTGGTACCAGTACCATGCTGTTTTGGTTACTGTAGCCTTGTAGTATAGTTTGAAGTCAGGTAGAGTGATGCCGCCAGCTTTGTTCTTTTGGCTTAGGATTGACTTGGCGATGCGGGCTCTTTTTTGGTTCCATATGAACTTTAAAGTAGTTTTTTCCAATTCTGTGAAGAAAGTCATTGATAGCTTGATGGGGATGGCATTGAATCTATAAATTACCTTGGGCAGTATGGCCATTTTCACGATATTGATTCTTCCTACCCATGAGCATGGAATGTTCTTCCATTTGTTTGTGTCCTCTTTTATTTCATCGAGAAGTGATTTGTAGTTCTCCTTGAAGAGTTCCTTCACATCCCTTGTAAGGTGGATTCCTAGGTATTTTATTCTCTTTGAAGCAATTGTGAATGGGAGTTCACTCATGATTTGGCTCTCTGTTTGTCTGTTATTGGTATATAAGAATGCTTGTGATTTTTGTACATTAATTTTGTATCCTGAGACTTTGCTGAAGTTGCTTATCAGCTTAAGGAGATTTTGGGCTGAGACAATGGGGTTTTCTAGATATAAATTACCCAGTCTTTGATATGTCTTTATTTGCAGCGTGAGAACAGACTAATACAATGTGACTTTTTTTTTAATTATAAAAAGCATTCTGTACTGCCTCTGGGTGACACAGTGATTTTAATTACATAGGCCCTTTCTTTTCACCTTTCCTGCTGTTTCTCCAACAATTGTTGGAAGATGGGTTAATAAGAGTCTCTTTCAGAGCTCTCCCAGGCAACCTTTCTATCCGTGTCACTGCCTCATCCAGTCTTTCATCTCCTCTTCTCTTTTTGCTGCTCTTCCATTCTTATCCTTTGCTTGCTTGGTCAGCTGCCTTTCTCAACTTTATTTCTGCACCTTCTCTCTTAAGTTTAACTTGATCCACAGCTTCATCCCTTTATTAAGCCACACACTTATTCTTTTTTTTTTTTTTTTTTTTTTTTTTTTTTTTTTTTTGAGGCTGGAGTGCACAATCTCAGCTCACTGCATCCTCCGCCTCCCGGGTTCAAGCAATTCTCCTACCTCAGCCTCCTGAGTAGCTGGGATTACAGGCATGCACGACCACTCCTGGCTAATTTTTGTTTTTTTTAGTAGAGATGGGGTTTCACCATGTTAGTCAGGCTGGTCTTGAACTCCTGACTTCGAGATCCACCCACCTCAGCCTCCCGAAGTGCTGGGGTTACAGGCATGAGCCACCATGCCTGGCCGCCACACACTTATTCTATATGACCTTTCAATGCAAATCTTGTCTCTGTAACCATTGGGTCAGATTCCCAAGAGGGAAAATCTGACTGGTCACTTTCCATCCAGTAGCTTTATAGGTGTGGGCCACGTGTCCACTAAGATCTAATCAGAGCAACTGAAGGAGGAAGGGGGTCACATGCTAGCTCCCTAGTTTAGGGCACACAATGCTAGGAGGGAGTGTTGTGAGAGACAACAAACAGACTGCTATGTCCTCCACTCCCAAGTCTCCCAGCTCTCCCTGGTAAAACCAGCCCAAGATGCCAGAGCTTAACCCAATGCTGTATCCACTAGAATATTTACAATGAATATGCTAAAAATGAAGTTTCTCTATCCAGAAATAGACCCACATATGTGCAGTCAATTGATTAACAACGAAAGTAATACTGAAGTGAGAAAATATAGCCTTTTCATAAATAGTGCTGAAGCAATTGGATCTCCTTATGGGAGGAAAAGTAAACCTTGACCCCTACCTCATATCACACTCAAAAGTTAATTTGAGATGCAGTATAGATAGGAATGTAAAAGGTAAAATAAGAAGGCTTATAAAAGATATGTAGGAGAATATATTCTTGACCTATGGGTAGGCAAAGATTTCTTCAACAGTGCACAAAAAACCCTATAATAGCAAAATAAAAAGTTTTTAATAAATTGAGGATCAATAAAATTTTTAATAAATTGAGTCTCAATAAAATTAATTTCTGTTCTTCACTATAAAGATAGTAAACAAAAAAGCCACAGAATGTGAGAAAATTTGGTAATACATAGTACAAAAAAGGATTCATATCAAGAATATATTTAAGACAGTGTTTAATAGATCAACAGGGTGATTAGGGTGACTGTAGTTTACAATAATCTATTGCATATTTCAAAATAGCTGAAAGAGAATAATTTGAATATTCCTAGCATAAAAAATGACAAATATTTAAGATGATGGCTATCCCAATTACACTGATTTGATCTTTGCAAATTATACAGATGTATTAAATTATCACAGGTACTCTGAAAATATGTACATCTATTATGTCTCAATGACAAATAAATAATAATTTTTAAACAAAATTAAATTTTTAAAAAAGAAGACATAAAGAACTTCTACAAATCAATAAGAAAAAGACAACAAAAATAAAAATGCGCAAAGGTTAGGAACTTCACGTTACAAAGTATCCAATTGGCCTATAAGCATATGAAAAGTTGGTCAACATCATCTTTGACCAGGGAAATGCAAGTTCAAACCACAGTGAGATACCACCACACAGCCACCAGAATGGGTAAAATTAAAAAGACTGAGCTACAAAGTATTGGTCAGGATAGAGAGCAACTGTAGCTCTTTTATGTACATTATTGCTGAGAGTTCAGCCATTTTAGAAAACAGTTTGACAATAACCACTAAAATTAAACATATCTTATGATCCATCAATTCCACTTCTGGGCATACACTAAAGAGAAATTAGTGCTTCTGCCAATTAAAAGACATATGCCAAAGTTTTTTGATTTTCTGTTTTTTTTGGGTCGGGGGGGTTGGGGTGCTTTTGTTTTTGTTTTTGAGACACAGTCTCACTCCATCACCCAGGCTGGAGTGCAGTAGTGCATTCTCGGCTCACTGCAACCTTCACCTTCAGGATTCAAGTGATTCTCCTGCAGTGATTCTCCTGCCTCAGCCTCCCAAGTAGCTGGGATTACAAGTGTGCACCATCACACCTGGCTAATTTTTGTATTTTTAGTAGAGATGAGGTTCAGTCAGGCTGGTCTCGAACTCCTGACCTCAAGTGATCCACCCGCCTTGTTCTTCCAAAGTGCTGGGATTACAGGCATGAGCCACTACACCTGGCCAACATACATATCCTTAACATTTTTATGTATAAGTCAATACTGAAAACAATCTGGATACCCATGAACTAGAAACTGGATAAATTCTGATATACTCTGATAATGGAATGCTATCTACAAATTTTTAAAGTCTACTGATAGAAGCAACGACATGAATGAATCTCATAGACATGTGCAGTGAAAGAAGCTAAACACAAAAGAGAAATACTGTGTGATTCTATTGATAGGAAGTCCACAAAGAGAAAAAGCTAAGGGATTATGCTAAAAATCAGAATAGTGGTTAATTCTGGCAAAGGCCAGGGATGGACAGGGAAGGAGCGTGAGGGAGTTTCTCAGGTGGTACAGACTTTTTTATCTTGATCTAGATGGTAGCTACATGAGTATATACATACATAAAAATGTATTGAGCTATATATACTTATATTTTGTGTGCTTCGATGTGCACTTCAATTTTGTAACTAAATAGAAAACTAAGTAAATAAATAAGTAGATTCTAAGAAAGAGACTAAATGGGCAGAAGCAATGATCCTTCTCATTTTTTGTCTTTTCTAGACTATATTTAAAGCCATATGAAATAAAGGAGTAGAAATTAGTAGTACTGACAGAGTAATTAATAATCTCTAAAATAGCCATGGCAGGTTGGGTGCAGTGGCTCAGGCCTGTAATCCCAGCACTTTGAGAGGCCAAGGCAGGAAGATCACTTGAGCCCAGGAGTTCAAAACCAGCCTGAGCAACATAGCAAGACCTGCCTCTACCTACGTTTTTTTAATTTAAAAAATATATATAATAAAACAAAATAAAATATCCATGACATCTCATTATTAGGATTTTTACAAATAATTTTTTAATAAATCCGTATATTTTCTCATATGGAAATGAAAAATACCATTCCATTTTAAATGCTCTGGGAGTCTTGATTTTCCTCACAGTCTGCATTTTCACTTTAACAATCAAACACACAGCGCCATCTCTGCCCTTAAACCATGCTTGAAGTCTCTGTTAGATTCGGAAAAGTGATGCAGGGAAACAGTTTTTAAGTTCTCAAAGCTGAAAAAGACCAAATGGATTTCTGTAAAGAAAGAATCAAATGGAATTAATGCTTTTTAGCCATGTTCCTTCTCTGGTGGGAAATGCAACCTTAACACAAGTACTTTCCACACTTGGCCTCCTGTTTGTTAGGAAAACAAGAAACAAGAAGTTGACCTTGGGAGGACGAATCTTGAGAACTCTGCTCCATGCAAAAGAGGTAGCAGGAGCAGCCACCAGCATGGGACTGAAGTGGGAGGAAGGGTGTTGTACACCTTGAGATAAAGTCTAGGAAATTCAAGCTTTTGTCTGGAAGCAACATGCAGAAAAGTAGAGACACACTTGAGCAGAAGGAGGCACTGCTCCTTCTGTCACTGTGTTTGAATGACAGCTTGTCTTCATCTGACAGCTTGTCTTCATCCTTAGTGCCCTCCTGCTGACCTCCTGGAAAATTAGATTTGCACCCAAGTGAAAAAGTCTGCATGCATTTCCTCAGCCGTAATTTACTTTTTTAGAAAAGATGGTATTAGACAAGAAAATAGACTTTAAAAAGAAAAAAAATATGGTGTGATGGAATAGAAAGAACTATCCAAAAATTTATTTGAAGACCTTGTTCTTCCATAAGTGGGTTATATGGCTTTGTGTGACCTGCCCCCCATCCAAGTTTTCTGGGTCACAGATTCCTCATTTGTGAAATGAAGGGATTGAGTCTGATTATTTCTATCAGGCCTCCCTGCCCTAACACTAAGTTGTGTTTCATATTCTCTATTTAAAGAATCTGGAAAGGATGTGATAAAGTTTTAAAAAGATTTTCGTCAAATATGCTTCAAAAAGGAAAGTTGGTGCTTAGAGGGGTCTGCTTCCACCAATGTGACATTTTACCCCTCTGAGCACCTCCTCTGAGCTGATTTCATTTTGGTACTTTTTTTCTCTCTGTGTACGACTCTTCCAAATGCCAGTTCCTCTATTAACATCAGGCTCAATTCAGAATACCAACCACCCTCCTGTGCCATCTCAGGAGCTCCAAATAGAATGTTACTAAAAGAACAATTGTTTTTTGTCTATTCACAGAGACAGAGAAATGGATGTAGGCAATCATCAAAGCCTCAGCTCCCTTCCTTGAGCCCTGGGACATGCACCAGCTCCACTGGGAACAAAGCTCTGGCTCAGCAGCCTGACAAGGATGTCTACATTGAGAACCATTTATACAGGCTCACTGGCCTGAGCAAAATTGAGGGTTCACTGTTCAATTTCAACAGAAACTAAAAACAAACAAAAATAGACCCCTCTAGAAAACAAGCTGAAATGACCACAGCTTCAGTCCTGTAATACAGGGTATAATTGTTATTAAGTGCTTTTCATGTGCCCAGTGCTACTACAGGTATGAGTCACTGAGCCCAGCCAGGACTCCTTATAAAAATACATAACCTATGGGAAATCGAAGGATTTGAAATTGGCAAGACCCCCTCACCTGAGAATCTTGTCAAAATGCAGATTCTGATTCAGAGGGTCTAGGGCACGTCACAACCTCCTGCAGCTCTGACAAGCTCATGGTGCTGCTGGGGCTGCCAAGCCACAGTCCACACTGAGTAGGAAAGGTATAGAGTCTTTCAGATTCATTCTGGATTCTGCATCTATCTCATAACTAATGGATCTAGTCTCTGGCATTCTATTAACCAAGACATCCTCTGATCAACAATCCTGCATCTGTAATATTTTGGTCATTGACTTGAGACTGCATGTTCAGGTGCTCGTAGTATTCTAAAAACAGTGATTAGAGTTTGGAGGTTGTAAGTTTGGTTTCATATCCTACCTTCACCACCCATTTCCAGTGTATGACCTTGGGCAGTATAGTTAATAATTTGTGCCACAGTTTCTTAGTTTCTTCATCTTTGCAGTCTCTAGAATTCAACAGAGCCATCACCTTGCGATAGGGCTTCAGTTTCCTCATCTGCACAATAGACCTGTCTCAAGGAGATGTTAAGAGAATTAAATCAGATAATGTGCCAGCACATAATCGATATTTGTTCAGTGTTAGCTAAGACAATTTATGTTATTTTTTGTTTCACTACCCCAGGTGTTTTAGTGCACTCTATTTTTTTTTTTTTTTTTTTTTTTTTTTTGGTAGAAAATATGTATAGAGCATGTAATCCCAGCACTTTAGGAGGCTGAGGCAGGAGGATTGCTTGAGCCCAGGCTGGAGTTCCAGACAAGCCTGGGCAAAAAAGTGAGGCCCTATCTCTAAAATAAAATAAAATAAAATATCCAGGCATGATGGTATGCACCTGTAGTCTCAGCTACTCAGAAGTCTGAGGCAGGAGGACCCCTTGAGCTCAGGAGTTTGAGGTTGCAGTGAGCTATGATTGCACCACTGTACTCCAGACTGAGTGACAGAGATAGACCTTGAAAAAACAAAAAAGAAAAGAAAAGAAGGAACGATGAAAGAAAGAAAGTAAGTTAGTTCCAAGATGGCCAAATAGGAACAGCTCCGGTCTGCAGCTCCCAGCATGATCTATGCAGAAGATGGGTGATTTCTGCATTTCCAACTGAGGTACCTGGTTCATCTCACTGGGACTGGTTGGAGAGTGGGTGCAGCCCACGAAGGATGAGCCAAAGAAGGGCAGGGCGTCACCTCACCCAGGAGGTAAAAGGGGTTGGGGGATTTCCCTTTCCTAGCCAAGGGAAGCCGTGACAGACTACCTGGAAAAATGGGACACTCCTGCTCAAATACTGTGTGTTTCCCAAGGTCTTAGCAACCAGCAGACAAGGTGATTCTCTCCCATGCCTGGCTCGGTGGCTGCCAAGCCCATGGAGCCTTGCTCACTGCTAGCACAGCAGTCTGAGATCGATCTGTGAGATGACAGCCTGGCTGGGGGAGGAGCATCCGCCATTGCTGAGGCTTGAGTAGGTAAACAAAGTGGCCGGGAAGCTCAAACTAGGCAGTGCCAACCGCAGCTCAACAAGGCCTACTGCCTGTAGACTCCACCTCTGTGGACAGGGCATAGCTGAACAAAAAGCAGCAGAAACTTGTGCAGACTTAAACATCCCTGTCTGACAGCTCTGAAGAGAGCAGTGGTTTTCCCAGCTTGGCGTTTGAGCTCTGAGAACAGACAGACTGCCTCCTCAAGTGGGTCTCTGACCACCATGTAGCCTAACTGGGAGACACCTCCCAGTAGGGGCCGACAGATACCTCATATAGGTGGCTGCCCCTCTGGGATGAAGCTTCTGGAGGAAGGATCAGGCAGCAATATTTGCTATTCTGCAATATTTGCTGTTCTGCAGCCTCCGCTGGTGATGACCAGGCAAACAGCGTCTGCAGTGGAACTCCAGCAAACTCCAACAGACCTGCAGCTGAGGGACCTGACTGTTAGAAGGAAAACTAACAAACAGAAAGGAATAGCATCAACAACAAGAAAAAGGTCATCTACACCAAAACCCCATCTGTAGGTCACCAAAATTAAAGACCAAAGGCAGATAAAACCACAAAGATGGGGAGAAACCAGAGCAGAAAAGCTGAAAATTCTAAAAATCAGAGGGCCTCTTCTCCTCCAAAGGATCATAGCTCCTCACCAGCAATGGAACAAACCTGGATGGAGAATGACTTTCACAAGTTGATAGAAAAAGACTTCAGAAGGTCAGTAATAACAAACTTCTCCGAGCTAGAGGCGGATGTTTGAACCCATCATGAGGGAGCTAAAAACCTTGAAAAAGGTTAGAAGAATGGCTAACTAGAATAACCAGTGTAGAGAAGACCTTAAATGACCTGATGGAGCTGAAAACCATGGCACGAGAACTTCGTGACGCATGCACAAGCTTCAATAGCTGATTCAGTCAAGTGGAAGAAAGTGTATCAGTGATTGAAGATCAAATTAATGAAATAAAGCGAGAAAACAAGGTTAGAGAAAAAAGAGTAAAAAGAAATGAACAAAGCCTCCAAGAAATATGGGACTGTGTGAAAAGACCAAATCTACGTTTGATTGGTGTACCTGAAAGTGATGGGGAGAATGGAACCAAGTTGGAAAACACTCTTCAGGATATTATCCAGGAGAACTTCCCCAACCTAGCAAGGCAGGCCAACATTCAAATTCAGGAAATACAGAGAACACCACAAAGATACTCCTCAAGAAGAGCAACCACAAGACACATAATTGTCAGATTCACCAAGATTGAAATTAAGGAAAAAGTGTTAAGGGCAGCCAGAGAGAAAGGCCGAGTTACTCACAAAGGGAAGCTCTTCAGACTAACAGCAGATCTCTCAGCAGAAACCCTACAAGTCAGAAGAGAGTGGGGGCCAATATTCAACATTCTTAAAGAAAAGAATTTTTAACCCAGAATTTCATATTTAGCCAAACTAAGCTTTATAAGTGAAGGAGAAAAAAATCCTTTACAGACAAGCAAATGCTGAGAGATTTTGTCACCAGCAGGCCTGCCTTACAAGAGCTCCTGAAGGAAGCACTAAACATGGAAAGAAACAACCAGTACCAGCTACTGCAAAAACAGGCAAAATTGTAAAGACCATCACTGCTATTAAGAAACTGCATCGGCCAGGCGCAGTGGCTCATGCCTGTAATCCCGGCACTTTGGGAGGCTGAGGCAGGTGGATCATAAGGTCAGGAGATTGAGACAATGCAGGCTAACACGATGAAACCCCATCTCTACTAAAAATACAAAAAATCAGTGGGGCGTAGTGGCAGGTGCCTGTAGTCCCAGCTACTCAGGAGGCTGAGGCAGGAGAATGGCATGAACCTGGGAGGCGGAACTTGCAGTGAGCCAAGATCAAGCCACTGCACTCCAGCCTGGGCAACAGAGCGAGACTCCCTCAAAAAAAAAAAAAAAAAAAAGAGAAGAAAAGAAAAGAGACTGCATCAATTAACAGGTAAAATAACCAGTGAACATCATAATGACAGGATCAAATTCACATATAATAATATTAACCTTAAATGTAAATGGGCTAAATGTCTCAATTAAAAGACATAGACTGGCAAATTGGATAAAGATTCAAGACCCATCAGTGTGCTGTATTCAGGAGACCCATCTTACATGAAAAGACACATATAGGCTCAAAATAAAGGGATAGAGGAAGATCTACCAAGCAAATGGAAAGCAAAAAAAAAAAAAAAAAAAAAAAAAAAAAAAAAAAAAAAAAAAAAAAAACAGGGGTTGCAATCCTAGTCTCTGAAAAACAGACTTTAAACCAACAAAGATCAAAAGAGACAAAGAAGGCCATTACATAATGGTAAAGGGATCAATTTAAAAGAAGAGCTAACTATCCTAAATATATATGCACCCAATACAAGAGCACCCAGATTCATAAAGCAAGTCCTTAGAGACCTACAAAGAGTCTTAGACTCCCACACAATAATAATGGAAGACTTTAAAACCCCACTGTCAATATTAGACAGATCAATGAGACAGAAGGTTAACAAGAATATCCAGGACCTGAACACAGCTCTGCAACAAGCAGACATAATAGACATCTACAGAACTCCACCCCAAATCAACAGAATATACATTCTTCTCAGCACCACATCACACTTCTTCCAAAATTGACCACATAGTTGGAAGTAAAGCACTCCTCAGCAAATGTAAAAGAACAGAAATCACAACAGTCTCTCAGACTACATTGCAATCAAATTAGAACTCAGGATTAAGAAACTCACTCAAAACGCACAACTACATGGAAACTTAACAACTTGCTCCTGAATGACTACTGGGTAAATGACGAAATGAAGGCAGAAATAAACATGTTCTTTGAAACCAACGAGAACAAAGACACAACATACCAGAATCTCTAGGACACATTTAAAGCAGTGTGTAGAGGGAAATTTATAGCACTAAACACCCACAAGAGAAAGCAGGAAAGATCTAAAATTGACACCCAAACTTCACAATTAAAAGAACTAGAGAAACAAGAGCAAACAAATTCAAAAGCTAGCAGAAGGCAAGAAATAACTAAAATCAGAGCAGAACTGAAAGAAATAGAGACAAAAAACCCTTCAAAAAAATCAATGAACCCAGGAGCTGGTTTTTTTGAAAACATCAACAAAATTGATAGACTGCTAGTAAAACTGATAAAGAAGAAAAGAGAGAAGAATCAAATAGACACAATAAAAAATGATAAAGGAGATATCACCACTGATCCCACAGAAATACAAACTACCATCAGCGAATACTATAAACACCTCTATGCAAATAAACTAGAAAATCCAGAAGAAATGGATAAATTCCTGGACACACACACCCTCCCAAGACTAAACCAGGAAGCTCAATCTCTGAATAGACCAATAACAGGCTCTGAAATTGAAGCAATAATTAATAGTTTACCAACCAAAAAAAGTCCAGGACCAGATGGATTCACAGACGAATTCTATCAGAAGTACAAACAGGAGGTGGTACCATTCCTTCTGAAACTATTCCAATCAATAGAAAAAGAGGGAATCCTCCCTAACTCATTTTAGGAGGCCAGCATCATCCTGATACCAAAGCCTGGCAGAGACACAACAAAAAAAGGGAATTTTAGACCAATATCCTTGATGAACATTGATGCAAAAATCCTCACTAAAATACTGGCAAACCGAATCCAGCAGCACATCAAAAAGCTTATCCACCACGATCAAGTGGGCTTCATCCCTGGGATGCAACCTGGTTCAACATATGCAAATCAATAAACGTAATCCATCATATAAACAGAACTGATGACAAAAACCACATGATTATCTCAATAGATGCAGAAAAGGCCTTCGACAAAATTCAACAATGCTTCATGCTAAAGACTAGGTATTGATGCAACGTATCTCAAAATAATAAGAGCTATTTATGGCAAACCCATAGCCAATATTATACTTAATAGGCAAAAACTGGAAGCATTCCCTTTGAAAACTGGCACAAGACAAGGATGCCCTCTCTCACCACTCCTATTCAACATAGTGTTTGGAAGTTCTGGCCAGGGTGATCAGGCAAGAGAAAGAAATAAAAGGTATTCAATTAGGAAAAGAGGAAGTCAAATTGTCCCTGTTTGCAGATGACATGACTGTATATTTAGAAAACCCCATCATCTCAGCCCAAAATCTCCTTAAGCTGATAAGCAACTTCAGCAAAGTCTCAAGCATTCTTATACGCTGTTAACAGACAAAGAGAGAGCCAAATCATGAGTGAATCCCCATTCACAAATGCTACAAAGAGGATAAAATACCTAGGAATCCAACTTACAAGGGATGTGAGGGACCTCTTCAATGAGAACTACAAACCACTGCTCAAAGAAGTAAAAGAGGACACAAACAAATGGAAGAATATTCCACATTCATGGATAGGAAGAATAAATATCATGAAAATGGCCATACTGTCCAAAGTAATTTATAGATTCAATGCCATCCTCATCAAGCTACCAATGACTTTCTTCACAGAATTGGAAAAAACTACTTTAAAGTTCATATGGAACCAAAAAAGAGCCTGCATTGCCAAGACAATCCTAAGCAAAAAGAACAAAGCTGGAAGCATCACGCCACCTGACTTCAAACTATACTATAAGGCTATAGTAACCAAAACAGCATGGTATTAGTACCAAAACAGATATATAGACCAATGGAACAGAACAGAGGCCTCAGAAATAACACCACACATCTACAACCATCTGATCTTTGACAAACCTGACAAAAACAAGCAATAGGGAAAGGATTCCCTGTTTAATAAATGGTGCTGTGGAAACAGGCTAGCCATATGTAGAAAGCTGAAACTGGATCCCTTCCTTACACCTTATACAAAAATTAATTCAAGATGGATTAAACATATAAATGTTAGACCTAAAACCATAAAAACCCTAAAAGAAAACCTAGGCAATACCATTCAGGAAATAGGCATGGGCAAGGACTTCATGATTAAAACACCAAAAGTAGCGGCAACAAAAGCCAAAATTGACAAATGGGATCTAATTAAACTAAAGAGCTTCTGCACAGCAAAAGAAACTATTATCAGCATGAACAGGCAACCTACAGAATGGGAAAAAAAATTTTGCAATCTACCCATCTTACAAAGGGCTGATATCCAGAATCTACAAAGAACTCAAACAAATTTACAAGAAAAAAATCAAACAACTCCATCAACACGTGAGCAGAGGACATGAACAGACACTTCTCAAAAGAAGACATCTATGCGGCCAACAGACACATGAAAAAATGCTTATCATCACTGGCTATCAGAGAAATGCAAATCAAAACCACAATGAGATACCATCTCATGCCAGTTAGAATGGCAATCATTAAAAAGTCAGGAAACAACAGATGCTGGAGAGGATGTGGAGACATAGGAATGCTTTTACACTTTTGGTGGGAGTGTAAACTAGTTCAACCATTGTGGAAGACAGTGTGGCAATTCCTCAGGGATCTAGAACTAGAATTACCATTTGACCCAGCAATCCCATTACTGGGTATATACCCAAAGGATTATAAATCATGCTACTATAAAGACACATGAATACGTATGTTTATTGCGGCACTATTCACAATAGCAAAGACTTGGAACCAACCCAAATGTCCATCAATGATAAATTGGATTAAGAAAATGTGGCACATATACACCACGGAATACTATGCAGCCATAAAAAAGGATGAGTTCATGTTTTTTGCAGGGATGTGGATGAAGCTGGAAACTATCATTCTGAGCAAACTATCACAAGGACAGAAAACCAAACACCACATGTTCTCACTCATAGGTGGGAATTGAACAATGAGATCACTTGGTCACAGGGCGGGGAACATCACACACCGGGGCCTGTTGAGGAGTGGGGGGCTAGGGGAGGGATAGCATTAGGAGAAATACCTAATATAAATGATGAGTTGATGGGGGCAGCAAACCAACATGGCACATGTATACCTATGTATCAAACCATGTACCCTAGAACTTAAAGTCTGAGAAAGAAAGAAAGAAAGAAAGAAAGAAAGAAAGAAAGAAAGAAAAGAAAGAAAAAGAAAGAAAGAAAGAAAGAAAGAAAGAAAGAAAGAAAGAAAGAAAGAAAAGAGAAAGAAAGAAAGAAAAAGAAAGAAAGAAAGAAAGAAAGAAAGAAAGAAAGAAAGAAAAGAAAGAAAAAAGAAAGAAAGAAAGAAAGAAAGAAAGAAAGAAAAGAGAAAGAAAGAAAGAAAAAGAAAGAAAGAAAGAAAAAGAAAGAAAGAAAGAAAGAAAGAAAGAAAGAAAGAAAGAAAGAAAGAAAGAAAGAAAGAAGGAAGGAAGGAAGGAAGGAAGGAAGGAAGGAAAGAAAGAAAGAGAGAGAAGAGGAAGGAAGGAAGGAAGGAAATAGATATGCATTCATTACTCAGATTAGTAAACTTTGACTCCTAATATGACAACATTCCCTGGGTTTACCTAATGTTTACACCTAGTTAAAATAGGAACCTGCTGAAAAAGATTACTGAGGAATCGGTGGGAGCTGGGGTTAGAAAGAGTGTGATGGGCTAAACTGTGTCCTCCCTAACCCCACCAAAATTTATACATTAAAACCCTAACCCCCAAGACCTCAGAATGTAACCATATTTGGAGATGAGGTCTTTAAAAAGGTGATTCTGTTAAAATGATCTTTAGTGTAGGGCCCTAATCCGACAGGACTGGTGTCCTTGTAAGATAAAAAGATACCATAGGTGTGTGTGCACAGAGGCCATGTGAGGACAAAGCAGCAAGAATTGCGGCCATGCACAACCTGAGGAAAGAGGCTTCGGAAGAAACCAACCCTGCTGATACCTCGATCTTAGACTTCCAGCCTCCAGAAGTGTGAGAAAATAAATTGCCATTGTTTAAGCCACCATTCTGTAGTATTTGCTGTGGCAGCCCTAGCAGTGAAATACAGGAGAAAAAAGAAACCCTGAAGCAAGAGGAGCTTTTTTCATGCATAAACTTTACTCCACAAATATGCTGACATTTTCCAGGAGAGCTTCCGTTGCACATCATTTTTATTATGTTTAATAAAATTATTTAATGCACAGCTAAAAGTGCCATTTTCATACCTTCATATGAATAACTTTTTATAAATCAAGGGTAGAGGAAGCCCTTGTTGGGCTGCTGTATCAATTTTAATTCATTCTCTGGTCTTCTTTCCTGTAGCTGACAGGCAGACTTATACATGATGCTTGGGGCAGCCACACATGGGATCAGCCCCTTATCTGCCAGGCCTGAGGAAATGGGCAGTTTGATAAGGGTGGTAGGCAGAAAAACAGCCCCCACCCCCACCCACCACCAGAGATGTCCACATCCTACTGCTTGGAACCTGTGAATATGGTCCACAGGACCTTGCAGATGTGACTGAATTAAGGATCCTGAGACAGGCAGATTGTCCTGGATTCTCCAGGGAGGCCCAATGTAATAACAAGGGTCCTTGTAAGAGTAAAACAGAGGAATCAGAGTGAGTAGTAGGAAATGTGATGACAGAAGCAAGAAGTAGGAATGATGCGGAGAAGGTGCTATGAGCCACAGAATGCTAGCAGCTTCCACAGGCTGAGAAAGGCAAGGAAACAGATTCTTTCCTGAAGCCTCTGGAAAGGACAGAGCCCCACTGACACCTTGATTTTAGACTTCAGACCTGTGTTGTTTTAAGTCATTAAATTTGTGGCAATTTGTAACAGCAGCCATGAGAAATGAGCACCCTGAATATTCTGGTTTCCAGGCAGCAGGCTGTGATGGGCTTCTCAATTTAATGCAGATTTGGGGTTTGATGCAATGTTCTTGTTTTTGTATTTGTTTTTGAAACAAGATCTCACTCTGTCACCCTGGTGGTGGATAATACAATAACGCAATACCATATATTGTACTATTATTCTTTACATTGTACAGAAATGCTTCATATACTCTAGTATAAAAAGCATGTTTTACAATAACATTTTAAAAATAAAAAAATTGTTAAGAATTTTAAGACAAAGAAATCTGTGAATTGGCTCAAGTCCAAGGTCCATGAAAGAACCGAGAACAAAACTCAGTCTTCTGATGCGTGTAGATTATGATTGTTATGGACAATTCTTCCCTAAATATGCCTAGATCAACATTAACCCATCAAATGAGGATTCCTAAGCTTGCAGAATACTCAGTGCACATAACCTTAATTCTGAAGATCCAAGGGCTTTGTATAACGGACCTGAAAATCACTCTTGTTTTTTAGGGTTAATGTGTGTTAAAAATGATTATACATATAAAGTGCTAAAAGTGGTTCCTAGTACAAAATAAAGATTCAATAATTATTAATTGTTATTATTGACCTAGAGCTAAAGAATCATTTCAGAAAGTTTAAATTTCAGGGTGTTTAACAGAGTTGATGTTTTATACCTTTTAACACTTTTATGTTGAGAACTGGATGTGGACTATGGTCTTTCTGAAATAGGAAATTAATAAAAAGAGAAATCTAAATTCACAGCTATTGGAAGATTTGGCTGTGGTTATGATGCATTCAAATGGTAGAATCTGGAAATCACGAGGTTTCAACTGTTCAACTGTCAGAGGCTGTGGTGTATTTAACCTTCCACCTGCCTCCAGTCTCTTTTTGTGCTTGAATATTCAGGGATTCTATTGCCCTCAAGTTCCTTCCCAAACTGAGATGTCTCTTGGGATCTTTTCACATTAGGGGTCTGCATCCTCTCACTCAACTACCCTGAGCCAGGGGTCTGCACATTCTTGTTGATATTAACTTGAACAAGACAGAATTGGACAGGCAAATCTGCTCCCCAACCAGGGCCTCCAACACCCACCCCCTTACTTCTTAAACTCCATCTTTATTTGGTTTCTCAGATGCCAAGAGAGCAAGCTAACTTGGGGTGAGAACAAAGACTCTGAAGTACAACAAATGTGGGTCCAAGTCCTGAGTCTGCTATAGGCTAACAACATGACCTTTGCTGAGTTACTTACTCTCTCTAAACTTCTATTTCCATATCCATACAAAGAGCCTAATATCAATTTCATAACAATTCATGACAATTTCATTGTCATGAGCATCAAATCATACGATGCATGAAAATGTATTTAGCACAGTAGCAGGCATATAGTAAACACTCAATAAAATGTTAACTATTTCTGTACTCTCTTAGTTTCTATCCAGGCCCTGCAACACCTCTGTTAGTTTCACTGCCTGGTTCCCCCTTCTCTACCTGCACTCTTAATGTTAGAGTTCCTTTTCTCCCCTACTTTGCACACCTGCCCAAGGGGACCTCACCCAGTCTCAGGACTTTCACTGACACCCACCTACTATGCACAAAACTCGGGGTGACAGCACCCAGAGCTCTCTGTCCAACCCTGATCTTTTATCCAAGCTCTAGATTTGCATTTCCAATTATTTATTTATTGTGTCACCTTAGATACCCTATAGTCGCCCAAACAGAACCCACCATCATCCTCCTCTAACCCATTTCATTTCCTGTCTTCTCAAGCACACTTAATGGGGTCTCCCAGGGTAGAAACTGTGAAGACATTCACAACCGCTCATGCCCACTAGCCAAGCCCCGGGATTAAAAAATGTCTCCTGGCTCCAATGCCTTCCCAATCCCTCCACCCTGCCACTGCCTTGGTTCTGGTCTTCCTTATCACAAACTAGACAAAGGAAATAGACTTCTATTTGTGGCCTGTCAGCCATCACACACCAAGTCTCCCATATCCATTCATCCTCTAGTCCCCTACCCAATTCATCATCTTGAATACATGCCAAGGACTACAAAGATACTCTGAATGTCGGGAAAAGGGAACATCTTAACATACATTTCACAGTGAAATATTGGGGGCATAAACATTAAGTTCAAGAAACAATAAAAAAAAACACCCGGTGATATTATTATTATTTAACATGGTTCTGTTTTTTAGTTTTTACCATATTATTTAACTACCACCCTGATAGAATTAGTTGCTCTGTCTTCTGGGGCCCCACTACACCTTCATTACACATTTGCTTTAGCCTTTAACATGTTTGGTAATTCATCTGCCTTTCTCTGTTTAGCCTACATCATTGGCGTCTTTTTACAACCAGAATCTGGTATCAGGCCTACACATAGTCAAAGCTTGCTAACCAGTAGAAAACAGTCTAATAATTGACTTTTCATGCTTCCCATTAGAAACTAAGAAAATTGACACTTTTCTTGAAATCGCAAAATGGTAGCATAGGTTTTGTTTTGTTTTGTTTTGTTTTGTCTTCAGACGAAGTTTTGCTCTTGTTGCCCAGGCTGAAGTGCAAATGCACGATCTGGGCTCTCTGCAACCTCCACCTCTTGGGTGCAAGCAATTTTCCTGCCTCAGCCTCCGGAGTAGTTGGGATTACAGGCATGTGCCACCACGCCCGACTAATTTTGTATTTTTAGTAGA
This sequence comes from Homo sapiens, assembly GCF_000001405.40. Taxonomy (NCBI): domain Eukaryota; kingdom Metazoa; phylum Chordata; class Mammalia; order Primates; family Hominidae; genus Homo; species Homo sapiens. The sequence continues at coordinate 52,532,734 of NC_000004.12, forward strand.
GACAGGGTTTCTCCATGTTGGTCAGGCTGGTCTCGAACTCCCGACCTCAGGTGATCCTCCCGCCTCAGCCTCCCAAAGTGCTGGAATTACAGGTGTGAGCCACCACACCCAACCAGTTTTTTTGTTGTTGTTGTTGTTTGTATCAAAGTATTTTCCCTTCTTGAGAATTCAGGGTTTTTTATTTTGTCTTTATTTTGATCTCTTTTTTCCCTTCGAACATTAAGTCTAGGCCCCAGGAATAGAAGGCAGATTCCACCTATAACTTTGAGTTTCAAACTAGACTTTTTATTAAGGTAAGTAAGAAGAAAGTCTTTGAAGGAACCAGAGCTTGGAAGATTGACGGTGGAGTTTATCACAGAAGGAGATACTTGAGGGAAGTTCCTGCCTAACTAGAAGGGGAAAGCCTTTCCAGTGCTAAGAGGGAATCTGTTTTTCTCCTTTGCACACTCTAAAATTCAGCATTATCAGTGATCATGGAACAATGAAGCTTATGATATCAGCCTTCATCCTAACTAAATTCATAAAAGAGCAGTGCAGAAAGTACAATGTCCCTTGTTTTATAACTGATTCACTCATTTAACAAGGAAATGCAGCACAAGATTAAGAATGCCAGCTCTGGAGTCAACAGCAGGTGTGACTGGGGCCACAGGACTCAGTCAGATTTTTTATTTAGCCCTTTAGCGCACACCTAAGATTTTCTCTCCAATCTATAGAGTTTCAATCCTCTATTCTCTTTGTATATATAAGATCCTTAGATTAGCACATAGAACATAAGAAGAGATCTAGAAATATCAGCCATACAAGCTGAGAGCCGAATCACATATGAACTCCCATTCATGACTGCTACAAAAAGAATAAAATACCTAGGAATACAGCTAACAAGAGAAGTGAAGGACCTCTTCAAGGAGAACTACAAACCACTGCTCAGAGAAATCAGAGATGACACAAACAAATGGAAAAACATTCCATGTTCATGGATCGGAAGAATCAATATGGTGAAAATGACCATACTGCCCAAAGCAATTTATAGATTCAATGCTATTCCCATAAAATTACCACTGACATTCTTCACAGAATTAGAGAAAACTATTTTAAAATTTATATGGAACCAAAATAGAGCCTGAATAGCCAAGGCAATCCTAAGCAAAAAGAACAAAGCTGGAGGCATCATGCTACCCAACTTTATACTATACTACAGGGCTACAGTAACCAAAACAGCGTGGTACTGGTACAAAACCAGACACATACACCAATGGAACAGAATACAGAACCCAGAAAGAAAATGACACACCTACAACCATCTGATCTTCAACAAAACTGACAAAAACAAGCAATGGGAAAAGGATTCCCTATTTAATAAATGGTGCTTGAAGAACTGGCTAGCCATATGCAGAAAATTGAAACTGGACCCCTTCCTTACACCATATACAAAAATCAACTCAAGATGGATTAAAGATTTAAATGTAAAACCCAAAACTATAAAAACCCTGCAAGAAAACCTAGGCAACACCATTTAGGACATAGGCACGGGCAAAGATTTCATGACAAAGACAGGAAAAGCAACTGCAACAAAACGAAAATTGACAAATGGAATCTAATTAAACTAAAGAGCTTCTGCACAGCAAAAGAAACTATCAACAGAGTGAACAGGCAACTCACAGAATGGGAAAAAAATGTTGCAATCTATGCATCTGACAAAGGTCTAATATCTAGCATCTATAAGGGACTTAAACAAATTTACAACAAAAAAACAAACAACCCCATTAAAACATGGGCAAAGGACATGAACAGACACTTCCCAAAAGAAGACATAGATACATGCAGGCAACAAACATGAAAAAAAGCTCAACATCACTGATCATTAGAGAAATGCAAATCAAAATCACAATGATACACCATCTCACACCAGTGAGAATGGCTATTATTAAAAAGTCAAAAAATAATTGATGGTGGTGAGGTTGTGGAGAAAAAGAAACACTTATGTGCTGTTGATGGGAGTGTAAATTAATTCAATCATTGTGGAAGAGAGTGTGGTGATTCCTCAGATATCTAAAAACAGAACTACCATTCAGCCTAGCAATCCCATTACTGGGTATATACCCAAAGGAATATAAATCATTCTATTGCAAAGACAGATGCACACATATATTCAATGCAGCACTATTCACAACAGCAAAGACATGGAATCAACCTAAATGCCCATCAATGATAGACTAGATAAAGAAAATGTGGTACATATACACCATGGAATACTATGCAGCCATAAAAAGGAATCAGATCATGTCCTTTGCAGGAAAATGGATGGAGCTGGAGGCCATTATCCTCAACAAACTCATGTAGTAACAGAAAACCAAATACCGCATGTTTTCACTTGTAAGTGGGAGCTAAATGATGAGAATACATGGACACATGAGGGGAACAACACACATTGGGGCCTGTTGGAGGGTAGGAGTGAGAGGAGGGAGAGGATCAGGAAGAATAGCTAATGGATACTGGGCTTAATACCTAGGTGATGGTATGATCTGTGCAGCAAATCACCATGGCACACGTTTACCTATGTAACAAACCTGCACATCCTGCACATGTATCCCTGAACTTAAAATATAAGTTGGAATTTATATATATATATATATATACACACACACATATGTGTGTGTGTATATATGTGTAAACATATGTGTATATATGTATATATACACACATATATAATTATATATTTTATATATAATTATATATAATAAATTATATATGTAAATTATATATATACAAATTATATGTGTGTGTGTGTGTATATATATATCAGCCATGGTTATCATCTGGGCCAGGAGATGAGCTAAAGTTGTGGACACCTGGTCCCCATCCCCAATGTGCTTCCTGAAGGCTGAACTAGAGTTCTGCTGCTCTTAGGCAATGTGTTATTTCTCTTTAGGCAATCTGTGGAAGCCAAATCATTAGTTGCTGTTTGCTTGGTAACCATCTTGGCAAATAAGATTAAAAGTCAGGATGTCTGTTGGCTCACTGAGTCCTCCTAATGGGCCAGTCTCAGGCTGTCTTACTCTGAAGTATCCTCCACTCCACAAAATCACAGATGAATGCTTCTGGGAAAAGTGGCATCTTGTTTACTTTCACAGAAACTGCCATGTATGCATCAAACCCATTTCCACTTCTGCCTGGGCACACACCTAACCTTGTCTCCCAGCTTCCTTTGCAGTTAGGCCACGTGACATGCATTAGCCAATGCCATTGGCATGGAAGTGATGTGCACCCTTCCTGGTCTTGCTGATAAAGTTACGCCACAGGCAACCCTCCGTGCTCTACAGGGACTTTGGAAGCCACATGCTGAAGACATGAGAGCCACAGGCGAAAGAAATCTGGGTCCTCACATATTACTTGGGTGAGGCATCCACTCATCAGCAATGCCCGTTGTGAACTTTATGTGAGGAAAAACAAACTTCTATCACATCTGAGCCATTACACATTCTTTAGTTTGTTTGTTACAAGTTCTAGGATTACCTTAACAAATACATCTGTCTCAATCATCATGAACCTATCATTCCCATAGCAGTGCCTGGTACACAATAAGAATTTATGTCTGTGGAAACTCTAGATTTTACTAGAAATCAGAGCCTGGTGTTTTCACAGACTAAGAGTAATCATTGACATGCAGGAGACAGACTCTGGAACTCTGCAGAAGAGTTTAGTTGTCTACATTTCTGAAACATGAGGATGCCACCAGGAGAGGAAATATAAGATATTTTTTCCCAATTTCAGTTCTCCTCAGATTTCATCAGTCTGATCATCCAGACTCAGAATTATCTGAAGTTATTTCATTCAGAGACAATAGAAACCAGGGCATTTAAGTATGCAGAGAGCAATTACATTCTGAGAAGAAACCTCTGAATAGCACAATCACTGGCAGCTATTTAAAGAGAATAGAAGATTGAGACTGCATAGGTGGGAAAAAGATCTTAGGTTTGACCTAAAGGGCTGAATAATAATCCTAAAGGACACTTATGGCCCCAGAGCTGGTGCTCTCTGGGGGTGTGAGGCCTGGACAGTTGGAGAACCGGCAGTAGTGACTAGAAAAGGATAGTATTTGGACAGATGCCTGAGGTTACGTTCCAAATTCCTTCCACCTCACCCCACTTCTCATTCCCCAAAACATTATTCTCAAGGGAGGAGTCACGGTATATTGAATTTACCACTGAGGCCATTAAGAGAGGTGTGTGTTGTTATACATCACCAGAAAACATTTCCTTGTTTCTCAAGGTCTTTTTTGATTAAAGAAGCAAAATCATACCAGCTCTTCCCAAACTCATCTTTCACTCTCCATTAAAGAGAAAAGCAAGACTATCAAGTAAGGCAAGCAGCAACCTACAAAATGCAATCTTGGACCACATGAGCAAGAAGATGAGCAATGGACAAGAGAATGGCATTGCAGGTGGGAGTTCGAGGTAGTATGTATGTCGGACAGAAAAAGCCTTGAAATCTACGACCCTCATTGACCCCTCACAAGCGGTTATACTCAAAGCACTTCATCAAGCTTCTGCTCCATAAGCGTAAACAGCCATGCCCTGCACCATGTGACCCCACCCCAGGCTATAACTAACTGAACCAGAAGTGGACACCCAACCCAAAGGCAGCCAATTTAGAATTGCCCAATAGCCTGTGAGATAGCCTGGTAAGAAATCTCTGTTATACACAAATAATGATGATAAAGGCATCAAATTATCTTTCTCTGGAATAGAAAATGAAGATGAAATAAAAATATGATATAAAATGAAAATATGGGGAAATTCTCAGGAATACGAAGAAGAGATAGAGGGAGAGAATCCATCTTCGTTAGCAAGAGAGAAAGAAAAAAAAACAGAGAAAAGGCAGGCAAGATTCAAAAGAATAATGAAAGGTCAAGAGAAAGCAGAAATTATTAAATTAGAGTAAGCAGAAGTTGTGAGGAGGCAGAAGTCCAAATATACGTTAAATAGAGCACGAGGGAGATGTTTCGAGCAGGTTCAAGATAAAGGCAAAAAGGAGGTAGGCCCCATAATGCTATACCTCTTGAAGATCAACAAATTCCAGCTTCTGGTATAAGCAGGGAGACAGGACAGAGGGCCAGCAACAAGATTATCAGTGTCCAGGACATTTAACTGGACACTGAATGACCTTCTGCATGGGATGATTTATTCTGGGCTCTCTGATGCTCTGCTGTCCTGTGGGTCTTACTCTTCTTTGGCTGTTATGTGGCTTTCCCTCGATTCCCAGGAGGCCTGGCAACAAGCTTGAGATTCCTGTTTTCCTTAGTCCCACAAATATGCTAGCAAACTGTCCCCTACTTTTACTCGAAGTAACACAGGTAAGTGTATTCCTTGCTACCAAGCAGTGGGGTGTGTTATTTGTACAGTGTGGATGTATGTGTTTGTCTAGTGTGTTGTATGCTGGGAGGATGAGATGAGAGGCCAAACGCAGAGGACAGAATCACCTTGATAAGTTTGGGAGAACAGGGGGGTGATAAGGTAGGGAAGTCTGGGAATGGGAGTAATAGGAGTGAGCAAACTCATTTGGGCTTCTTCACATATGTCTGGCACCTGGTCTGTGGCTTCCTGTGTCCATCAGTTTCCCTATCTCTTAAATATACTGCATATCAAGAGAAAAGGGTACACGTCTCTTCTATGGACATTCCTAATCTATTGTTATGTTTATTCAGAAAGTCATCTCATCTTCCTCTAAAGAATGTGTTAGGGAGGAGCCAAGATGGCCGAATAGGAACAGCTCCGGTCTACAGCTCCCAGCGTGAGCGACGCAGAAGACGGGTGATTTCTGCATTTCCATCTGAGGTACCAGCCTCATCTCACTAGGGAGTGCCAGACAGTGGGCGCAGGCCAGTGTGTGTGTGCACCGTGCGCGAGCCGAAGCAGGGCGAGGCATTGCCTCACCTGGGAAGCGCAAGGGGTCAGGGAGTTCCCTTTCCGAGTCAAAGAAAGGGGTGACGGACACACCTGGAAAATCGGGTCACTCCCACCCGAATATTGCGCTTTTCAGACAGGCTTAAGAAACGGCGCACCACGAGACTATATCCCACACCTGGCTCAGAGGGTCCTACGCCCACGGAATCTCGCTGATTGCTAGCACAGCAGTCTGAGATCAAACTGCAAGGCGGCAACGAGGCTGGGGGAGGGGCGCCCGCCATTGCCCAGGCTTGATTAGGTAAACAAAGCAGCTGGGAAGCTCCAACTGGGTGGAGCCCACCACAGCTCAAGGAGGCCTGCCTGCCTCTGTAGGCTCCACCTCTGGGGGCAGGGCACAGACAAACAAAAAGACAGCAGTAACCTCTGCAGACTTAAGTGTCCCTGTCTGACAGCTTTGAAGAGAGCAGTGGTTCTCCCAGCACGCAGCTGGAGATCTGAGAACGGGCAGACTGCCTCCTCAAGTGGGTCCCTGACCCCTGACCCCCGAGCAGCCTAACTGGGAGGCACCCCCCAGCAGGGGCACACTGACACCTCACACGGCAGGGTATTCCAACAGACCTGCAGCTGAGGGTCCTGTCTGTTAGAAGGAAAACTAACAACCAGAAAGGACATCTACACCGAAAACCCATCTGTACATCACCATCATCAAAGACCAAAAGTAGATAAAACCACAAAGATGGGGAAAAAACAGAACAGAAAAACTGGAAACTCTAAAATGCAGAGCGCCTCTCCTCCTCCAAAGGAACGCAGTTCCTCACCAGCAACAGAACAAAGCTGGATGGAGAATGACTTTGACGAGCTGAGAGAAGAAGGCTTCAGACGATCAAATTACTCTGAGCTACGGGAGGACATTCAAACCAAAGGCAAAGAAGTTGAAAACTTTGAAAAAAATTTAGAAGAATGTATAACTAGAATAACCAATACAGAGAAGTGCTTAAAGGAGCTGATGGAGCTGAAAACCAAGGCTCAAGAACTACGTGAAGAATGCAGAAGCCTCAGGAGCCGATGCGATCAACTGGAAGAAAGGGTATCAGCAATGGAAGATGAAATGAATGAAATGAAGCGAGAAGGGAAGTTTAGAGAAAAAAGAATAAAAAGAAATGAGCAAAGCCTCCAAGAAATATGGGACTATGTGAAAAGACCAAATCTACGTCTGATTGGTGTACCTGAAAGTGATGTGGAGAATGGAACCAAGTTGGAAAACACTCTGCAGGATATTATCCAGGAGAACTTCCCCAATCTAGCAAGGCAGGCCAACGTTCAGATTCAGGAAATACAGAGAACGCCACAAAGATACTCCTCGAGAAGAGCAACTCCAAGACACATAATTGTCAGATTCACCAAAGTTGAAATGAAGGAAAAAATGTTAAGGGCAGCCAGAGAGAAAGGTCGGGTTACCCTCAAAGGAAAGCCCATCAGACTAACAGCGGATCTCTCGGCAGAAACCCTACAAGCCAGAAGAGAGTGGGGGCCAATATTCAACATTCTTAAAGAAAAGAATTTTCAACCTAGAATTTCATATCCAGCCAAGCTAAGCTTCATAAGTGAAGGAGAAATAGAATACTTTATAGACAAGCAAATGCTGAGAGATTTTGTCACCACCAGGCCTGCCCTAAAAGAGCTCCTGAAGGAAGCGCTAAACATGGAAAGGAACAACCGGTACCAGCCGCTGCGAAATCATGCCAAAATGTAAAGACCATCGAGACTAGGAAGAAACTGCATCAACTAATGAGCAAAATCACCAGCTAACATCATAATGACAGGATCAAATTCACACATAACAATATTAACTTTAAATATAAATGGACTAAATTCTGCAATTAAAAGACACAGACTGGCAAGTTGGATAAAGAGTCAAGACCCATCAGTGTGCTGTATTCAGGAAACCCATCTCACGTGCAGAGACACACATAGGCTCAAAATAAAAGGATGGAGGAAGATCTACCAAGCCAATGGAAAACAAAAAAAGGCAGGGGTTGCAATCCTAGTCTCTGATAAAACAGACTTTAAACCAACAAAGATCAAAAAAGTCAAAGAAGGCCATTACATAATGGTAAAGGGATCAATTCAACAAGAGGAGCTAACTATCCTAAATATTTATGCACCCAATACAGGAGCACCCAGATTCATAAAGCAAGTCCTGAGTGACCTACAAAGAGACTTAGACTCCCACACATTAATAATGGGAGACTTTAACACCCCACTGTCAACATTAGACAGATCAACGAGACAGAAAGTCAACAAGGATACCCAGGAATTGAACTCAGCTCTGCACCAAGCAGACCTAATAGACATCTACAGAACTCTCCACCCCAAATCAACAGAATATACATTTTTTTCAGCACCACACCACACCTATTCCAAAATTGACCACATAGTTGGAAGTAAAGCTCTCCTCAGCAAATGTAAAAGAACAGAAATTATAACAAACTATCTCTCAGACCACAGTGCAATCAAACTAGAACTCAGGATTAAGAATCTCACTCAAAGCCGCTCAACTACATGGAAACTGAACAACCTGCTCCTGAATGACTACTGGGTACATAACGAAATGAAGGCAGAAATAAAGATGTTCTTTGAAACCAACGAGAACAAAGACACCACATACCAGAATCTCTGGGACGCATTCAAAGCAGTGTGTAGAGGGAAATTTATAGCACTAAATGCCTACAAGAGAAAGCAGGAAAGATCCAAAATTGACACCCTAACATCACAATTAAAAGAACTAGAAAAGCAAGAGCAAACACATTCCAAAGCTAGCAGAAGGCAAGAAATAACTAAAATCAGAGCAGAACTGAAGGAAATAGAGACACAAAAAACCCTTCAAAAAATCAATGAATCCAGGAGCTGGTTCTTTGAAAGGATCAACAGAATTGATAGACCGCTAGCAAGACTAATAAAGAAAAAAAGAGAGAAGAATCAAATAGACACAATAAAAAATGATAAAGGGGATATCACCACCGATCCCACAGAAATACAAACTATCATCAGAGAATACTACAAACACCTCTACGCTAATAAACTAGAAAATCTAGAAGAAATGGATACATTCCTCGACACATACACTCTCCCAAGACTAAACCAGGAAGAAGTTGAATCTCTGAATAGACCAATAACAGGCTCTGAAATTGTGGCAATAATCAATAGTTTACCAACCAAAAAGAGTCCAGGACCAGATGGATTCACAGCCGAATTCTACCAGAGGTACAAGGAGGAACTGGTACCATTCCTTCTGAAGCTATTCCAATCAATAGAAAAAGAGGGAATCCTCCCTAACTCATTTTATGAGGCCAGCATCATTCTGATACCAAAGCCGGGCAGAGACACAACCAAAAAAGAGAATTTTAGACCAATATCCTTGATGAACATTGATGCAAAAATCCTCAATAAAATACTGGCAAACCGAATCCAGCAGCACATCAAAAAGCTTATCCACCATGATCAAGTGGGCTTCATCCCTGGGATGCAAGGCTGGTTCAATATACGCAAATCAATAAATGCAATCCAGCATATAAACAGAGCCAAAGACAAAAACCACATGATTATCTCAATAGATGCAGAAAAAGCCCTTGACAAAATTCAACAACCCTTCATGCTAAAAACTCTCAATAAATTAGGTATTGATGGGACGTATTTCAAAATAATAAGAGCTATCTATGACAAACCCACAGCCAATATCATTCTGAATGGGCAAAAACTGGAAACATTCCCTTTGAAAACTGGCACAAGACAGGGATGCCCTCTCTCACCGCTCCTATTCAACATAGTGTTGGAAGTTCTGGCCAGGGCAATCAGGCAGGAGAAGGAAATAAAGGGTATTCAATTAGGAAAAGAGGAAGTCAAATTGTCCCTGTTTGCAGACGACATGATTGTTTATCTAGAAAACCCCATCGTCTCAGCCCAAAATCTCCTTAAGCTGATAAGCAACTTCAGCAAAGTCTCAGGATGCAAAATCAATGTACAAAAATCACAAGCATTCTTATACACCAACAACAGACAAACAGAGAGCCAAATCATGAGTGAACTCCCATTCACAATTGCTTCAAAGAGAATAAAATACCTAGGAGTCCAACTTACAAGGGACGTGAAGGACCTCTTCAAGGAGAACTAAAAACCACTGCTCAAGGAAATAAAAGAGGACACAAACAAATGGAAGAACATTCCATGCTCATGGGTAGGAAGAATCAATATCGTGAAAATGGCCATACTGCCCAAGGTAATTTACAGATTCAATGCCATCCCCATCAAGCTACCAATGACTTTCTTCACAGAATTGGAAAAAACTACTTTAAAGTTCATATGGAACCAAAAAAGAGCCCGCATCGCCAAGTCAATCCTAAGCCAAAAGAACAAAGCTGGAGGCATCACACTACCTGACTTCAAACTATACTACAAGGCTACAGTAACCAAAACAGCATGGTACTGGTACCAAAACAGAGATATAGATCAATGGAACAGAACAGAGCCCTCAGAAATAATGCCACATATCTACAACTATCTGATCTTTGACAAACCTGAGAAAAACAAGCAATGGGGAAAGGATTCCCTATTTAATAAATGGTGCTGGGAAAACTGGCTAGCCATATGTAGAAAGCTGAAACTGGATCCCTTCCTTACACCTTATACAAAAATCAATTCAAGATGGATTAAAGATTTAAACGTTAGACCTAAAACCATAAAAACCCTAGAAGAAAACCTAGGCATTACCATCCAGGACATAGGCGTGGGCAAGGACTTCATGTCTAAAACACCAAAAGCAATGGCAACAAAAGCCAAAATTGACAAATGGGATCTAATTAAACTAAAGAGCTTCTGCACAGCAAAAGAAACTACCATCAGAGTGAACAGGCAACCTACAACATGGGAGAAAATTTTCGCAACCTACTCATCTGACAAAGGGCTAATATCCAGAATCTACAATGAACTCAAACAAATTTACAAGAAAAAAACAAACAACCCCATCAAAAAGTGGGCGAAGGACATGAACAGACACTTCTCAAAAGAAGACATTTATGCAGCCAAAAAACACATGAAGAAATGCTCATCATCACTGGCCATCAGAGAAATGCAAATCAAAACCACTATGAGATATCATCTCACACCAGTTAGAATGGCAATCATTAAAAAGTCAGGAAACAACAGGTGCTGGAGAGGATGTGGAGAAATAGGAACACTTTTACACTGTTGGTGGGACTGTAAACTAGTTCAACCATTGTGGAAGTCAGTGTGGCGATTCCTCAGGGATCTAGAACTAGAAATACCATTTGACCCAGCCATCCCATTACTGGGTATATACCCAAAGGACTATAAATCATGCTGCTATAAAGACACATGCACACGTATGTTTATTGTGGCACTATTCACAATAGCAAAGACTTGGAACCAACCCAAATGTCCAACGATAGACTGGATTAAGAAAATGTGGCACATATACACCATGGAATACTATGCAGCCATAAAAAATGATGAGTTCATGTCCTTTGTAGGGACATGGATGAAATTGGAAACCATCATTCTCAGTAAACTATCGCAAGAACAAAAAACCAAACACCGCATATTGTCACTCATAGGTTGGAACTGAACAATGAGATCACTTGGACACAGGAAGGGGAATATCACACTCTGGGGACTGTGGTGGGGTCGGGGGAGGGGGGAGGGATAGCATTGGGAGATATACCTAATGCTAGATGACACGTTAGTGGGTGCAGCGCACCAGCATGGCACACGTATACATATGTAACTAACCTGCACAATGTGCACATGTACCCTAAAACTTAGAGTATAATAAAAAAAAAAAAAAATTAAAAAAAAAAAAAAAAGAGGAAGTGAATAAATGTATTCATGTATATATTTTTTCTAATCTGGACAAAAATTTAAGGTTGAATTCACAGCCAACAGTAATAAAATATGTTAATTCCTGAGAAAAAAAAAAAAAAAAGAATGTGTTATAGGCCTGGAGTGGTGGCTCATCCTTGTAATCCCAGTACTGTTCAAGGCTGAGGCAGGAGGTTTGCTTGAGCCCAGGAGTTCAAGATCAGCCTAGGCAACATAGTGGGACCCCATTTCAACAAAAAAATACAAAAATTAGCCATGTGTGGTGGTGCATGCCTGTACTCTCAGCTACTCAGGAGGCTGAGGCAGATGATCACTTGAGCCTCAAAGGTTGAGACTACTGTGAGCTATGATCGCACCACTGCACTCCAGCTTGGGCGACTCTAGAAGAACCCCATCTTAAAACAACAACAACAACAACGAATGCTTTATAGAGTGTACTGGTCAGGACTCTTGGTCAAACGGGGAAAAAACTCAATTTGGACTAGCCTAAGCTAACACTCCCCTCTCTCTCCTGTCTGTCTGTCTTCTCTCTCTCTCTCTCTCTCTTTCCCTCTCTCTCTCTCTCTCTCCCTCTCTGTCTTTGAGACAGGGTCTCCAGGCTGGAGTGCAATGGTGCAATCACAGCTCACTACAACCTCCAAGTCCTAGACTCAAGCGATCCTCCCACCTCAGCCTCCCCCAAGAGCAGCTTGGACCACAGGCCTGTTCCAACACACCCAGCCCCTCCTCCTGAGTCTGCTCCTCCTGGCTTGTCGGGCACCTTCTCACAGGCCTGCTGTCTCCTTGAGGCTGAATCCTGAGAGCACAGATCCTGTGTTCACATCCTCGCAGCTTCACCTGCCCAGATGACAGACACTCAGAGCAATTGCTATGACCAGAAGGGGACAGTCAGCTCCTATTTGAATCAAATGTTGAACTTTTGGCAAGAGATGTGGGGCAGACCGAGCAAGCCCACTAAAGGAGTTGTTGGGGTCCCCCACACTAACACTTTGCATCTGCTGCCGGAGCCGTTATTGCCCTCACTGTCTCAGATTTGGCCAGCACTTAGTGGCTGCACAGGGACACTTCCCCTCTAGACCTGCTGCTCCCCTTTAGCCCAGTAGGAGGCAGCATTGCCCCTCCTTGCCCTACGACTCGCTGGACTGATTCCAGGCTTCCAGCTCAGCAGGAAGAGGATCCATTAAAAAGATTTTATCTTCGGAAAACCTTATCACCCCTCAAATGTCAAGACTTTCAGAAATTAATCTAGAGTTTTCTCCTTTTCAGGTCTCAAATTTTAAAACAGAATCATAAAATGCTAGAGCCAGGAGGAGCCTCTGGAGTCCTGTCACATCCAGCCCTCTGTTTTAAAGATGAATAGATCGACCAAGGCAGAGACTCAAATACATATTCTAACATTTGGTACCAGATTGCGAAGTCATTGGAACCGAGCATAAAAAGCTATCAAGGAGAGATAAAAGATCTGAAGGAAAGGTTGCGTATCAATTTCTGGAAAGCTGGACTAAACTTTTAATGGAAAACAATTATTTTATAAAAAGGTAAAGAGAAAAGGTGAAATTTTAAAAATAGGTTAAGTAATACTTCAATAATATTTAACCTACATATCAAATATACTATTATTTCACCATGTAGTCAGTAAAGACACCTGTGAATAAGATCTTTTGCATTCTTTTTCTGTACTAAATCTTTGAGATCTGGTGAGTATTGTACAGTTATAGCATATCTCAATTTGGACAAGCCATGTCTCAAGTGCTTAGTAGCCACATGCAGCCAGTGGCTACTGTGTTGGATGGTGCAGAATTGAAAAACAGGTTAGTACAGAACCTTGTGGAGCCCTCAGGACAAGCTGCACAGACATTTGAGCTCACCCAGGGCATTCTGGGGAAATGTCTTATACCAACAGAATATAAGGGGCTGATATATTTTACCAAAAAGAGCTTCCTGTTTGAAAAAAAATATATACTTTTCACCCCATCTCCTCTCCTCAGATAAGCTGCAGAAGGATGCATGATCATCGCATCATTATTATTCTTAAACAATGAACTGAAGTGGACCAGTCAAGTGAATGCCAAAGGGAGTTTGATGGAAGAGGCTGTCCTGTTCTCGCCTAGAGTGACCTCACAATCTGTGGCCCAGGAGGATTTTATAAGATATCAGCATGCCTGTGGAGAACAAATGAATAGTTTTTTCCTTAGTGCTAAAAACACCAGAGGCAATTTTCACATACCCACCCTTCGTTTTTACAGGACGTGGTGGGGGAGTCAGGCTGTAATCACAGTGTGTTAACTGAGGATAAAATAGAGAGCATCAGCTAGATTGCTCTTTCTTGAAAACAACAGCCAAAAAAGAAAAACAGCACTCAGGATTTTGAGTCGTTTTGCATGCTCAGGAGAGGATGGCAGTTTCAAGCACAACATCAAGAGGAAGGACAAAGTTGAGCCCAACTGGGCACCAGCAAGGAGTGGGTGCACCCATCCATGCCTCCACGCTCCTAAAAATGAGGGCTCCCGTCATTTTGGGGTAGTGGGTGTTTCACAGCCTGTTCTCCTCAGCAGCTTTGAAATTCCGCGTTCTGAGTTCTGGTAGTGTAGCCTGGCACAGAGTTGCAGGGACAAGGTTTGTTCGCACCCTAATCTCCTACCCCAGCCTGCTGTCTTCCTGGCTGCCCCACAATCTGAAGTCGAGGGTTTCTCACTAAACACTGAGCAGAGCGGCAGGCAGACCTTGACCTTGCCTCATACGTTCAAGTGAAATAAGCAACCACCCTAAAAAAGAAACCAAGTTTTGCCTTTGTTGATGGATTCCTCCTTCTATGGAAGTATCTGTGATAAGGATACTGTCATCCTGAACCACTGAGTCCTTTGTTCCAAAAATAGTGATTGACAGTCATTGATCACTTACTGCCGGGTGCCTATAGTAACTCATTTAAAGCTCTGCATAATAGTCCTTCCACAGCCGGTTGTGGTGGCTCACACCTGTAATCCCAGCACTTTAGGAGCCTGAGGTGGGCGGATCACTTGAGGTCAAGAGTTCAAGACCAGCCTGGCCAACATGGCGAAACCCTGTCTCTACTAAAAATACAAAATTAGCTGGGCTTTGTGGCAAGCGCCTGTAATCCCAGCTACTCGGGAGGTTGAGGCACAAGAATTGCTTGAACCTGGGAGGCAGAAGTTGCAGTGAGTTGAGATCACACCACTGCACTCCAGCCTGGGCAACAAGAGCAAAACTCCATCTCAAAAAATAATAATAATAATAATAAATAAAAATAAAATAAAATAAATAAAAATAAATTAACCAGTTATGGTGGCTCACACATGTAGTCCCAGCTACTCAGGAGGCTGAGGCAGGAGAGTCGCTTGAACCCAGGAGGCAGAGGTTGCAGTGAGCTGAGATTGTGCCATTGCAATCCAGCCTGGGCAACATAGAGAGATTCTGTCCAATAATAATAATAACAGTAATAGTCCCTCCAAACTATCCTAAGTGCTTTGTATACTGTATTAAAGTCCTAGGTTCGCCATAACAAAGTACCACAGACTGGGTGGCTTCAACAACAGAAATTGTATTTTTCCACAGTTCTGGAGGCCAGGCATCCAAGATCTAGGTGTCAGCAGTTTTGGTTTCTTCTGAAGCTATGAAGGAGACTCTGTTCCACACCCCTCTCCCAGCTTCTGGGGGTTTGCTGGCAATCTTTGGTATTCCTTGGCTTGTAGATGCAACACCCTAGTCTCTGCCTTTGCCTTCACATGGCATTTTCCCTTTGTATGTCTGTATCCAAATCTCTCCTTTTCAAAAGGGCACTGGTCATGCTGGATTAGGGCACACACTAATAACTTTATTTTAAGTTGATTACTTCTGTGAAGACCCTGTTTTCAAATAAGGTCACCTTCTGAGGTCTTGGAGGTTAGGACTCCAGTTTGTTTTGAGGGGGACACAATTCAACCCATAACACACATATTAACTCATTTGTCTTTCCAACAGCCCTTCAAGGCATCTTCCTGGATAATTTATCCCATTTGCAGAAGAGGGCACCTGGGACACAGAGAAAGTAAATGACTGGCCAAGGTCACTGTATTAGTCGGTTTTCATGCAGCTGATAAAGACATACCTGAGACTGGGTAATTTATAATGAAAAAGAGGTTTAACGAACTCACAGTTCCATGTGGCTAGGGAGGCCTCATAATCATGGCAGAAAGCAAAAGGCACTTCTTACATGGCGGCAGCAAGACAGAAAACTTGTGCAGGGAAACTCTCCTTTATGAAACCATCAGATCTTTTGAAACTTATTCACTGTCACGAGAACAGCACAGGAAAGACCTGCCTCCATGATTCAATTACCTCCCACCAGGTCCCTCCCAAGACGTGGGAATTGTGTGAACTATGATTCAAGATAAGATTTGGGTGAGGACACAGCCAAACCATAGCAGTTACCAAGTTGGCAGTTGGTGGAGTCCCACAGGCTGTCTAGTTTGAGTGAGTCTGCTGTGCAACCCCATATGTATTGTTATTACTGTCTCAGATTTACACCTGAGGAAACCAAAATATACAGGTCACAAAACCCACCAGTATTACACAGTGAGTCATTGGCAGAGCTGGAGTTTGAACCCACTGCTATTCGGCTTCAGCACCTGAGCTGGTAATCACTAAACTATGTGACTTCTCTTACATAAAAATATCTTCCCAGAATTCAGGAAAGGCTAATTCGCCACTGCACACTTTCCAAGGACTGCACAATTCTTTGGTGGTGTTGGTTATGCATGACAGTAACTGTTGGAAGGGACTGGTGTCGGTCATTGGCGTAGGGCAGCAGGGTGAGTATCAGGAAAAAGCAAAAGGACCCAGGGGATCTGCAAGTCCTTGAGCCCCCACCTCTAGCACTGCCCTTAACCACCTCGGCCTCTGCCAGGGAACCAGGAAGAGGATGGGCAAATAGGAGGGCAATTCTGGGCTGCTTTGGGTAAAATAAAAAGGGGGCAGGAAATGAAAGGATTCAGGCTGTTAAAAGAAGCGACTCAACAGATCTTGCCTTATCCTTTCTTCCTTACTGGAAGGAAGCGGGTCTTACTGTCGCATGAGGAAATGGGGGAGCCCAGCTCCTGAGCATTCAGGCTAGTCTTGGTGTGATTCATAGTGTGATGATTTCTCTCTCTGAAAAATTTAAATGTAGAGACACAAAGCTGGGAGTTGAGAGCTGTGTCTCATGAATGTCACAACTGGGGTCCACACCTACCCTCCTCAGGATTAGCTGTTCAATTCCTCCTGGAATTTTGGGAGAAATCCATTGAATCCCACCCCCAACTCCCTGTTACTAGTTGTTAGTGGTGGTTAAGAGAGCTTGAGTTGTTTTCTCTATTCACTTAGTTTGAGTCCTGTACACTCATAAAAGTTATATCATTACCTTTCATTTCATTGAATCTAAACTATCTTTTCCCCATTTGCCCAATTTAATGAATTTCCTCAATTTAGTTCTCACTAATTACACACCCTACTCAGTATCTAAAATAAATCCATTTTTTTATACCCGTAGTGTAAAAGCTCCCTGAGGGTAGTGATTTCATCTTTTGTTTACTTCTATATCCTGAGCACCTAGCAATATTGATAAAGAAGGAACAGCTATGTGTAAATTTTTTCTCTCATTTTATATACATGGTAACTTGCTATACATACTGTTCTGCATATGTGTTTGTCCACTTATCAATATATCATGGAGATTGTCAACATTTAGTGGGTCAACAGGCAGGGGACGGGACTTTTACATTTATTAAAATTACCTGCTTAGAGTTCCAAGCAGAATAAAAGCAATTCTCCATCCATGCATGCACAGACTAATCCCAGGAAGTAGCCGTCACCCAGCATGAATTAAATTCGCTGTGCAAGGCATGCCTGGTATGCAATAGAGCCCTCTCACTTTTTTGTTGTTTTTAATCTACATGACTGACACCATAGCCACTGTTTCTTAGTACACACCATTCAAGATACAGCTACATTTTAAAGTATCTATTTCACTCCATAGAATCCTTTTATCTTGCAATCACACTAAACTTGAGTGCCTTATACCTGACAGGTATTCAAGTGTGGGGAAGGGGTGTGAATGAAAAGTTAAGATATACTAAACCACAAAGTATATTAACTTTTTTTCCAAGTTAAGGTAGAAAAAGGGAGGAAATCAATACATTTTAATTTCTTTAAATGAAAAACTTTGGAATAACCACGGGATTTAACCCAATAAGCTAAGGCAAAATCATTTTGGTGACTTGTGCCTGGTGCCTGCCCATCCATCTACTTCATGACTTAGCACCAAGTTTTTTATCTGAATTTGGGTGTGTACCACTTGTGTAAGACACAGCAAATTTAAGAGTACCATCCCCAGATTGCAATGTCAAAGTTCTCATTTATGGCCTATCGACAAAAACATTGTAGGATGAAAAGAGGAGCATAGGCAGAATTATTGGAGTTTCAAAATTGGAACAATGTGAGATAAATGGGTGATCAGGGGTCAAAAGGGCTATTTATAAGGCTTACTCTTCTCCTAGACTTTAATTCTCCAGAACACTTATATCACCCCGTGGAAGTATCTTGCCTGTGAGTTTTTGTTTATTCTCTATTTCCTCCCACTGGAAAGTATGTTCCATGAGAGTAGAGACTTCATCTTTGTTCACTACTATATGTCTAGTTGCTGGCATATGGTACATGCTTAGTATGTATTTGTTGAATAAATGAATACACAAGAGAAGGATGAAGGTGACTTTTGGCTTCATCCCATTCCTATTGCTTAGGGGTCATTCATCTTAAGAACACTTCTAGAAATTACCAAAGAAAGTTTTTTCCATATAAACAAGTGGGAGTGGAGCAGATTCACTGTGCACTGATTACCAGTTTACCTGAGTACAGTGAGACAGAACACCCACATGCAAGTTACATGAAGCAGGTTTATCACTTACAGATAGGCAGCAATGGATAACAGAAGACAAGGCTTCATCCTGAGCTGGTCTCCCAAGGCTCACAAAGCTGCTTGGGGAACATAGTCTCCGAGGCATATGCCCCTCTTGCACTGCATCTGAGGGACCTGGAAATACAGTCTACCCTGGGCTTTATGCCCAGGGGCAATGAGATTCTGGGCCAAAGCATTGAAGGACATCCTATTTCTAGGGTGGGCTGGAACAGAGCCCAGGCTGTTCTGGCCAGTCCCCTACTATCTCATGACATTGCACTCCCAGCACATTCTACAGTTATTCTTAAGAATTACAAGTAAGAAAGTAGTGAGAACTGGGTCAGTCCAAGGCCACCTGGAGAACTGTCCTGCAGGAGTCATTGAGAAAGGAGTGGCCACCTGGGGTTCAGTGGAAAATTTTCTCTTAAAATGTAGCTACAGCCCAGGGTCCACAGAGCTTGACTTCAGTCTCACCAGTATTCTTTAGTTTTTCACTAACACTCTTTCCAAAGTCCTGCCTACCACCCCATTCCAAAGCCACATCCACACTTTCAGGCTTCCATTGACTCCTCCAGGTACCTACCTCTAGATTAGTTATCAATTACTGAGTGAAATATTACTTCAGAGTTAATGCCTTAAAATAAATACAGTATAATGGGAAATATATATTTGGTCTTTATCCCCAATTAGTGACCAACAGTTCTGAAACCCTTGGAATCCCCGGAGTGATAGGAGTGTTTCTGATATGTTAATGGAGATGACTGGTGGCTGCGGGGCCCCGGATACCTTCAGGATGGAGGCTGGTCACCCAAAAGACCAAGGCATGATTAGAGGGTTGGAACTTTTAGCCCACCTCAACCTTCAGGACCAACAGCTAATGATTTAATTAATCACACCTTCATAAACATCCCCCAACAACAGGGTTCAGGAAGCTTCCAGGTACTGGGAGGGTGGCATGCTAGAAAAAGGAATGGAAGCTCCGTGTACCCCTCCCTGTCCCTGTACCTTGCCCTATGCATCTCTTTCGTTTGGCTATTAGAATAAACCAGTAAAAGTGGTAATGTGTGTTCCTGAGTTCTGTGAGCCATTCTAGCAAATTATCAAACCTGAGGAGGTAGCAGATATGTGGCTGGTTGGTCAAAAGCACAGGAGGCCTGGGACTGAAGACCAGCATCTGAAATAGGAGGGACTGAGTCATTCACCTGTAGGGCCTGCACAGGTAGAGTCGGAATTGGTTGGAATTGAACGCTCAGCTGGTGTCCAGAGAATCAGAAAATAGGTTGTTGGTGTGGAAAACCCCCATACCTTTTGGGTCAGAAGTGTTGTGAGGAGATACAGCTCAACAATAAACATTTATTATCTCATCATTTCTGTGAGAAAGGAATTTGGGCGCAGCTTATCTGGTTGGTTCTGGATTGGAGTCTTGCCAAGAGGTTGTAATCAAGACGTTGTCCTGGGCTGCAGTCATCTGAAGGTTTGACTGGGCCTGGAAGATTTACGTCCAAAGTGACTCACTCATATGACTGTCTGGTGGTTACAGGTGTAGGCAGGAGGCCTCATATCACCAGTTGGGCCTCTCCAGGGCGCTGCTCAGTCCATGACAGCCGGCTTCCCTCCCAGCAAGTGCCCAAGAGAGCAAAGTAAAAGCTGTAATGTGTTTTATTCCTGGCCTCCTAAGTCACAGCCTGTCATTTTAACAGTGTCCTATTGGTTACCCAAGTCAGCCCAACTGATTACAGAAGGGAATTAACAAGAACATGAAGACCAGGAGGTGAGGCTCTTCAAGGGCCATCTTGGAGGCTGCCAACCCACAGGGCTCACATACACTTTTCAAATAAATGAACAAAATATTTAATCAACTCCAAGTCCTCTGTATTCAGTCCATTTGGATCTAACATGAGAGATAATGGCTTTTGACGACATGCAACTTTTTACTGGCTTTAGCATTTTCACTCTGGAAGACCTCTGACAAGTGATCTACTTTCATTGTGCCTCAAGTCTTAAAACAAGAGCTGTAAGATCACCATGAAATTAAATAATTTTAGTGCCATGGAGAATGTTCATTAATGAAACCTTCCCACAGGACTGGCCCCACGCAAAATCATGAAGCTAAAGTAGCTTGCTTTTTCTAACCCATCTCCACAAATCTCCCCAATTTCCCCCACCCCTGCTCCCCGACCCTACACATGCAATATTCAGTTTAATGTACAGAGGCACGTATTTTGCAGGATTTGCTTCCACATGCCTTGAAAAAGTGCCAGTTGGAGATAATAATTGTGTATACATGCATGTTTCAGTAAACTCGATAAGGCCAATTTTTCCTGTAGCTTTAAAACATGTCACTGAATCTCAGTTGAACACCTGATGAAAATGGCTTACAAACAGAAGTTGAGATGTATGAAAATCCTGAACACTGGAGACATTTGTTGTGGAGAGATCATCAAGGAGTGAGATCTTGCTGAGGGGCAGCGGATTCCTACAGCTCATCTCAGGCTCACCTGAAGGGTACATGAATTGAGCGGAAGGATGGATAGAGTTTGCTTGTTTGTTCATTTAACACATATTTTCCAAGCACCTACTTTGTGCCAGGCACTGTTCTAGGTGTTAATCTATGCTCACTTTGGGTTTTTGCTCAAATATCATCATTTCAAGAAAGCGTAGCCTGACTGCCATATTTTAAATTGCAATTTTGATTGCAGTCTTCCCAATCCCTTATTCTGCTCTACATTTTCTTGTTTCATAACATGTGTTATGTTTTACTACATACTATGATTTACTTCTCTATTGCCTTTTGTTGTCTTTCTTCCCCCCCCCAACTCCATGCCAGAATTTCTGCTCCACAATGGCAGGAATCTCAATCTATTTTATTCATTGATACAGTGCCTGACTCATAATAGGAATTGAATTGAATGCCCCGCTGGTGTCCAGAGAATCAGAAAATAGGTTATTGGTGTGGAAAACCTCCATACCTTTGAGGTCAGAAGTGTTATGAGGAGATACAATACAGCTCAACAGTACACATTTATTATCTCATCATTTCTGTGAGAAAAGAATTTGGGAGCAGCTTTTCTGGTTGGTTGGTTGGTATTGAATAGTTGGTGAATGAACTGATGAGTGCTGGCAGCATAAGAATGAATAAAACATACCAAATTCTCTGTCTTCTACAAATTCATTCATTCATTTATTCTCTCTCTCTCTCTCTCTCTCTCCCTCCATGCATATAGTTGCCATTCACTGGGTTAAGTCCAGCTATGATGCTATCACATTGTTCCGACCTGCAAATATCATTTCTTACAAATGCCCTGGGCAATCCGTGGCTTCTTTCCAGAGCAGCCTAAATGCCCTTGCTACAAAACCTAGATCCCTAGTGCACTGCATATTCTAATTTCCCATTTGTTTTTATGAAAATAAAGTTTGCCTTTCAAATGTAAATGCTCCAGGGCCCCAGTCAGGCTTCCTGAACTCTCTGCACAGCAGTACCTCTGGGTTTAGGGAAGAAAACAGATTTATTTTTACTTTCATATTGGTCTAACAACGTTACAACGCTATACACACTTTTGTCAATAAAGTTAAGATTACCACCACCCCCCTTTCCAAACTATGAAAAAGACAAAACTCATTACTCTCCAAAAGCCACATAAAAGCAAAAACATTCCACTGACAGTTTAATAAAAAACAGGACATGCCAAACAGGAAGCATACAGAGAATGACAACTGGGATTAAGCAAGGGGGCTGGAGAGGACAGATTAAAGATTCTCGGTGAGCACAATCAACAACAGGAATGTTTAAGGGAGGGTTGCATTAAAGTGCATGAAAATGGTAACTGACTTCAGTAATATCTACTGCCTTTCAACACAGATAATGACATTAGTGTATGAGATACAGAATAGACATCAGGAACTATTTTTCCAGGTAGAAGACAAAACGAGAACAAAAAGCCTTATATGTCAAGACCAACTGGGTACAAAAACAGTGAAATGAGAACAGAATGTGAATAGAAGGGGAACGTTGCTGAAACCAGCAATTAAGAGCTGTCTCAGGAATTTAAAGGCGTGTTTTGGTGGGAGGCATGGAGCGGGAAGGGACACAAAAAAATCTTTGTGGCTTTGTTTCTTTTGCCGAGGGATGAAAGGCCAATAGTGGTTGGTCTTGCGAAGGAGGGAAAGAATTGTCAAACCTGCATTTCAAGGGCTGAGCTGTTTAACAAGGTAGCACTAGCCACATATGTGATTGAAGATTAAACGGAAATAATTTTTTTTATACTTTAAGTTGTAAGGTACATGTGCACAACTTGAAGGTTTGTTACATATGTATACATGTGCCATGTTGGTGTGCTGCACCCATTAACTCGTCATTTACATTAGGTATATCTCCTAATGCTATCCCCTTCTCCTCCTCCAACCCCATGACAGGCCCCCAGGTGTGATGTCCCCCACCCTGTGTCCAAGTGTTCTCATTGTTCAAATCCCACCTGTGAATGAGAACATGCAGTGTTTGGTTTTCTGTCCTTGCAAAAGTTTGCTCAGAATGATGGTTTCCAGCTTCATCCATGTCCCTACAAAGGACATGAACTCATCCTTTTTTATGGCTGCATAGCATTCCATGGTGTATATGTGCCACATTTTCTTAATCCAGTCTATCATTTATGGACATTTGGGGTTCCAAGTCTTTGCTATTGTGAATAGTGCCGCAGTAAACATATGTGTGCATGTGTCTTTATAGCAGCATGATTTATAATCCTTTGAAATGAAGTGTAAAATTCAGTTTCTCAATCACACCAGTCACATTTCAAGTGCTCAGTAGCCACACGTGACACATTGGACAGCACAGGGCCAGAACATTTGTTTCATCATTACAGAAACTCCTCTACGACAGCACTGCCATGGAGCATGGCAGGTAGGAAAGCAAGTTTTGGTCAGTATCAACTCCAGCTTTACCTGTGGTTCTCTTACCCCCTAAAGAGCTACAAACTCCTAATGTTAGAGTCTGCAAGGACAGTGCAACTGAAGTCAAAATTCTCATCACCCTTGAGGCTTCCTCCTCCACACACACAAATGAGGTTCAGAGTGGTTAGAATAAGGCATTTATTAAACATATCTTCATAAAGGTGCCAGAGATACTAAAGTGAATAAAACACAGATTAAAACCTCCAGGTACTTGCACCCTTCAGCCAGTAGGGTAGACATGAAAGAGACTAATGACATCAAGATGGTCAATATGGGAATAGAGATGCATATGAGGCACTGTAGCAAACTGGATTTTCAAACAAAAAAAATGGCCATGGCAATATTTCCAGTTTCACATGCCTTTCCAGATGCTTCCCTCTCCATCAAGAATGGGAATCCATTTCTTCTCCTTTTCCACCTAGAGAGCCTCATGACTGCTCAGACCTATACAGTAGAACGGAAGTGATGCTATGTGACTTCTGAGGCTAGGTCATATAAAAGACACACATTCCTCCCGGCTTGCTGTCTCTCTCTCTCTCTCTGCCACGTGAAGTGCACACCTTTGTAGCCCTCAGCCACCCTGTAAAAAGTCTAGCACTTTGAAGTTGTAATGCTAAAAAGACCATGTGGGAAAACAACAGAAATACAGAGAGAGATGCCCAAGGAGCCCCAGCTGTTCCATACTCCGGAGGTTTGGCCCTTCCCAGCATCAGCCAAGTGAGTGAATGTCCTCTCAAATGATTCCAGCCCAGCCTTTAAGTCTTCCAGATGAGGTCCTGTTAACACTCAGGGATGGCTGGAGTGTAGGCAGATGTAGTAAAGGTAGGAGTTTCATTTATTCATTCTCTTATTCATTTATCCAATAAATATATATATTTAACCCCATTGTGCCAGGCACCTGGCTTGTGCATCAGTTAAGATTGCTTTTGACTGAAAACAGCTGCACTCCCAAAAAAGTGGTTCAAATGCTAAGGACAAGTTGTCTATTTAATGAGAAAATCAGAGGGGAGCAGTCCCTGGAATATGTTGCTGTTTCCAGCTAGCCTCTTGCTATCTTTCTCCTTCACCAACCTCAGAATGTTGGCTTTTTATCTGAATGCCTCATGGTCACAAGATGGCTGTAATAGCTCCACGCATCACACCCTCTCAAGCTTCTCATGCCACATCCAAAGGCAGGAAGAAGAAGAACACCAAAGTTTCCTCTTGTGTGCTCTCAACTTTTATCAGAGAGAAAAACATTTATCTGAAGTTCCCACCAGCCAACTTCCCCTTATATCAAATCAACCAGGAGCAAATCACACAGCCATCCTAGCAGAGGGTAGATGAAACAGGGAGGGTGCTGGGAAAGTGAGTATCTGGCCTTTTCAGCTTCTATAGTGGAAAACAGACGAGGGAAAGGGGGATTGGAAAAATTAGGGGGAAGACAACCAGCAGGGCCTGCCACAGCGAGGCTCATCAAAGTAGTTGGGACATAATCCTGCCTTCAGAATGCCAAGGTAGGAAACATCCAATTATGCAATGCACAACCATGGAAAAGTATGGAAAGGCTGCAAGCAGCACACTTGAGATGTGGCCAGTAGCATAATGGGAGGCAGAGGAGAGGAAAGGAAGGGAGAAGGTAGCGATAGTTATTCCCTGGTGGTGATACTTTTGCAACAGGCACCCCCTACACACACACACACACAAACACACACACATCACACAATTACCATTTAATTCAATAAGAATAATAGGATGTATTAGGAAACTCTGCTGTCATGTGGAGCGAGGTTGGATGGGACCAGGTCAGAGGCAGAAGAAAGACTAGATTTTTCTTTCTTTTTTTTTTTTTGTTTTTGAGACAGAGTCTTACTCTGTCACCAGGCTGGAGTGCAGAGGCACGATCTCGGCTCACTGCAACCTCCGCCTCCCAGGTTCAAGAGATTCTCCTGCCTCAACCTCCCGAGTAGCTGGGACTACAGGCATGTACCACTACACCCAGCTAATTTTTGTATTTTTAGTAAAGACAGGTTTTCACCATGTTGGCCAGGATGGTCTCTATCTCTTGACCTCGTTATCCACCCGCCTCGGCCTCCCTAAGTGCTGGGATTACAGGCATGAACCACCGCGCCCAGCCTAGACTAGACTTTTCAAAAAAAATCTACCTTAGTTTCAAAACAGAAATGGGAAGCAGAGTTTGAAGAGCTTACTTTGTTATTATGTATGTCTTAGTCCATTGGGGTTGCTGTAACAAAGTATCATTAAATGGGTGGCTTATAGGCAACAGACATTTATTTCTCACAGTTCTGGAGACTGGGAAGTCCAAGATCAAGGCATCAGCAGATTTGGTGCTTAGTGAGGCCCTGTTTCTGTGTTCTCACGTGGTGGAAGGAGTGAGTGGTCTCTGTCTGGGTCTTTTATGAGGGTGCTAATCCCACCCAAGAGGATTCTTCTGCCCTTGTGATCTAATCAATGCCCAAAGACCTTGCTTCCTCATACCATCACCTTGGCAGTTAGGATTTCAATGTACGAATTTGGGGAGACACATTCAATCTATAACAATATAATCTACAGAAACATTAAAAATACCCTCCCTGGAATTCCTTTAAATTCAAATGCTTTATTTAATCAGAGAAATAGAATAGAAGAGTAGAGGCAGAAATCAATTTCTTTAGATTAAAAAAGCTTTGCAATGCATTAAGAGGGAACAAAGGAATTTAATAACACAAAGATAAGTGACAGTGGCAGACAATCCCCCAACACTGACTCTCACACAAACAGTACACTTTTTCCCAATGCAAGAGGGGAAATGCTACTAATTTTTCACTGAACTATTTTCTCTTCTCCAGTCCAGGCTGGACTTGATAAATAGAAAGTATTCAAACAAGAAATGGCTGAGATATTGTAAAATAATAATTAAACCACATACACAATTGCTCTAGCTGAAAAGGTCTCTAAGCATTTTTCTGTGGATAAGAAATGCACATGTTTACCTGGAAGCTTCTGTGTGTTCATAGGATATGGAGAGTGTGATTAAACTGGAAGATAGGTGAAACATAAAAGTAAACTGGATTATTCTACTAAGAAAAGTTACCTTTTTGTTGAAAAATGAATGTACTACTAGGTCTTGCTTTTGTCCCAAATAAGTGTTCAACCAGGAGATTTGAAGCTTCCACAGGATAAAAAAGGAAAATACGAACATGCTATGCGTATGGATTTTGAAAGGGGTTTGTGTATAGGTCATTAGTTGAGGAAGGGGAAGGGAGGTGGAAGATTATATCTGAGATGCTTAAATCACTCTTTGGGCTTCTCTTCATCACTGAGTTGCCCCAGCCAGGTGTAACCCTGGATAAACTGAGGAGACCTCCAGGTACAGCGACAATGGGACCTGAAAAAGACAGGCAAATAAGTGTCCACTCAATTGCCTAAGTTGCTTGGCACTGTGCAGAGGCCTGATGGAGCCATACTCTACTCTTACTGAGAACTCCATGCCCCTGGAACCAGTTGCCCAGTCCCAGCAGGGGCATGGTACATGTGACAGTAACATGTTTGGTCACAAAATAGGAGAAAGAAGAGTGACAATGAAACTGCTTCCTCCTATTCTCCCCCAACCCAACTCCCCCCACCCCTCTCTAATATAATTATTGATGGTTAATTTTATGTATCAACTTGGCTAGGCCATGGTACCCAGATATTTGGTCAAACATTATTCTAGATGTATCTGTGAAGGTACTTTTCAGATGATATTAACATTTGAATCAACAGACTTTGAGTAAAGCAGTGTATCAGTCTATTTTCGCACTGCTATTAGGTTAGCATAAAAAATAATTACCTTTAATTATTAATTTTAATGGCAAAAAACGCGATTACTTTTGCACCAACCTAATATAAAGATACTACCAGAGACTGGATAATATAAATTACCCAGGAATTCACATTATATTAAAGGAAAGAGGTTTAATTGACTCACAGTTCCACATGGCTGGGGTGGCCTCAGGAAACTTATGATAATGGCAGAAGGCGAAGGGCAAGCAAGCACCTTATTTACAAGGTGACAGGAGAGAGCGTGAGCAAAGGGGGAAAAGCCCTTATAAATTATCAGATCACATGAGAACTCAGCCACTATCATGAGAACTGCATGGGGGAAACTGCCTCCATGATCCAATCATCTCCCTCCCTCAACATGTGGGGATTACAATTTGAGATGAGATTTGAGTGGGGCCACAGAGCCAAACCATATCAAGCAGATTATGCTTCCTAGTGTGGGTGTGGGTGGGCCTCATCCAATCATTGGAGGCATTAACAGAACAAAGTCTGACCTCCCCAAGAACAAGCAGGAATTCTGCCAGCACATGGCCTCTGGACTGTGACTCTTCCCTAGGTCTCCAGCCTGCCCGCCCACTCTGCAGATTCTCAACCTGCCAATCTTCACTATTGCTTGAGACAATGCCTTAATCTCTCTCCTCTCTCTCTTTACACACACACACAGGCACCCACACACATTCCATGGGTTCTGTTTCCCTGGAGAACCCTGACTAATACACACACACACATACACACACACACATACACACACACACACAAGCACCCACACGCACTCCTCCAAGGCATCAAATTCTTACTATTTAATTCAACAAGACAAACTTGGGGTTTCTTAGATGTATCATCCACTGGTTTGACTGTGAACTATCCTAATAGTCATGGCTCATCATTCATGACAAAGAATCCCTATTTCAGTTTGCCTGTGATGATTAAACCACCTCCTCCATCCCCCACCCCAGGAGGAAGCACTCCTTCCCATAGTGCCTGGGAATGTTGGCTGTTGACAGCTCTCAGCTGAGTCTCTCACCAGAAACTGTCCTTGGCTGAAGAGAATGGTCTCAGCCAAGGTCATACACCCTCCCTGAGGCAATCCCACGCAAGTCTGGAATGATGTGTGGTAAAGGGGTGGGTTACGGTTTACCCACTTTGCCTCAATTTGGGATAAATCTGAAAGGTCCTCCAGCTCCAGAGCTCCCCTTGGAATCAGCTGTGGCCTTTGTTACACTGCACCTTGGTTCAGCTTCTCTCTCTGCCCAAACTTGCTTCACTTACCACCGCCCTCAGCCACCACACTTGCTGATATTGAGACCACTCCCCAGTATATCTCCTGCATGCAAATATCTGCCTCAGAGTTCACTTCCAGAATCCCTGCACTGTGGTCCCAGCCCACCCTCAAGCAGCCTTCTGACCATTAGTGGGATCCCGTATGTGAGGATTTGCCAAGATCTCAGACAGTGCCAATGGCTTGCTGTGTCAATTGCGTACCCCTATATGGATAAAACCAAGGAGGTTGTTGTGGGCAGCACTGTCCTTACACCTGTGCCTAATAGAGGGCCCTGTACCTTGGAGTGCCTTCATCAAAATTTTCTTTTTTTCTTTTTTAGATGGAGTCTCGCTCTTGTCACCCAGGCTGGAGTGCAGTGGCGCGATCTCGGCTCACTGCAACCTCTGCCTCCTGGGTTCAAGCAATTCTCCTGTCTCAACCTCCTGAGTAGCTGGGATTATAGATGCCCGCCACCACACCCGGCTAATTTTTGTACTTTTAGTAGAGATGGGGTTTTGCCATGTTGGCCAGCGGTCTCGAACTCCTGACCTCAGGTGATCCTCCCGCCTCAGCCTCCCAAAGTGCTGGGATTACAGGCATGAGCCACCATGCCCAGCTGCCTTCATCAAAATTTTCTAAGTCTCCCTCTGATGCCTGAGGGCAGTCAGGGCCAGCAGTGCCATCCAGGTGGGCCACCTCTTTCCTTGAGGTGGCTGCACCTGTATCTTCCAAGGGTATTCTAGCTACTAGGCCACATGATTAGGCTAATGGCAATTTTTACAGAATGCCTAACAAATATGATCTTATTTGTCTTCTGCTCTGAATAAAAAGTGAAATATAGATTTTTGTTAGTATTAGATTGGTGCAAAAGTAATCTCCCTTTTGCCATTACTTTGCGTGGACTATTAGACTTAGACATGGTCTCTGGGCACTCCCACTTTTCCCCTGCCACCACTTTGGCCAGGCTGTATTCTTTTCCTTTGGCTCTCAGCTTAGAAGTAACCTCCTCTGTGAAGCCTTCCATACTCCACCCTAGCCCATTAATTCTCCTGCCACATGTCATACCGTATGTGCTTGCCTGTGTACCTGCCTGTTGCCTTGAGGGCAGGATCTATGACTTACTCGTTAATAAATGCCCAGCACCCAGCAGATGCTGAGCACATGGTAGAGAGTTGTTGAATGAATCTGGTCCAACCCTTCATAACACCTGAATATCCTTTCATCATTGCTTTACTTGAAGGAAACAAAGCACAAGACAGTTAGTTATAGGTTTGGGAATCCTAGATATCAAAAAATGCCTTCATTAAAATGAGCTCCCACCGGCTTTCTTGTGAATTCCACCCATCAGCCCTATCTCTGCCTTCCTGAGCTACTCAGAACAAACCTGGGTCCCTACTCCATCAATTACTCCTTGAGTATTTGGGGTCACATCCTCCCTTCCCAGACGGGGCAAATTATTTTCTCTTGAAGTCCCTAAGTTAAACATCTGGATACTTATCAACACATGAGAAGTATGTATTTCCCTAATGAATAGTGTTTATAGGAAACCAAATAGATTTCAGACCCAAAAAGGGTAACACACTTCTCAAGACCAAGAACTGTGCATCTCTTTATATGTACTGCCCAGCACTCAATAGATGTTCAGATTAAACTACCTTTCACTCTTCTTTTTCATTTATTGCATAAATGAAAAAATAAGCATGGCTCCACTAGGTCTTCCATAATATCACTCTTCCTTGACCCGCCTCCAGCCCTGTGGAAATAATTCAATGATCCTTCATGTACTTCTACAGCATATTGTAAACCAATTTGAAAGTATTGGCCAGGCATGGTGGCTCACGCCTGTAATCCCAGTGCTTTGGGAGGTTGAGGTGGGAGCATTGCTTGAAGCCTGGGCAACAAAAAAAATTAAAAAAAACAGCTGGCCATGATCATGCATGGCTGTAATCCCAGGTACTTGGGAGGCTGAGTTAGGAAGCCCAGGACTTGGAGGCTGTAGTAAGCCATCATCGAACCACTGCACTCCAGCCTGGGTGACAGAGAGACACAGACAGAAAGAAAGAAAAGAAAGAAAGAAAAAAGAAAGAGAGAAAGAGGAAAGAAGGAAGGAAGGAAAGAAGGAAGGAAGGAAGGAAGGAAGGAAGGAAGGAAGGAAGGAAGGAAAGGAAAGGAAGGAAGGGAAGGGAAGGAAAGAGAGAAAGAAAAAGAAAGAAAGAAGAAAGAAAGAAAGAAAGAAAGAAAGAAAGAAAAAGGGAGAGAAAGAAAGAAAACACAAACTGACCAATGTGTGTTATTGTGAAGTGCTTATGTACATGTATGTTTCCCCACTAGACTGGGAACACCTTGAGGAGGGAAAGGTTTTATTTGTTATTGTATCACCAACACCTAGCACAATGCCTGCTACATGATAGGTACTAAATATATGTTCTCAGTGTGTACAGTAGAGTATTTGAACTAAAAATATCTTATTTGTGTACACAATTCTTTGTCCTATCCATTTTTAATAAAGAGATAAAGTTCTGCTTTGCTGGGCCATTTTGCAGCAAGACAAGATGTGCTCTTGTACATATGGTACTGGTTAGATATTTGAGAAACATCAGACAGGAGTCTTCTTGGGCTTTCAGAAGAAAATATATGTGCTTTATGCTTCCACATAGTCAATGCATAGTGCACAGGGTGTGCCTGAGTTGAGTTGAATCACATCATTGCTTCAGTGAGAGCACTCTGAAGTTCGAAAACATGACGCCTAGAGAGTGCAAATCACCCTTGCTCCTTCATGAGAACTTCTGTGGCAAAACAGACATCTAAGCAATACTCCCCCTGGAGCAGGAAAGCTTTAGAAGTCAACCTTACAATGAAATTTTTTTTCTTTTTAAAATTAATCTCCATCATCTCTTTAATCTTCTTTAAGGATATAATGGATTGTTGGGTTAGAAGTCAAAACCCATGACAGAATTTACCCAAGAGGTATCTTCATCAGCTGTAATGGAAACGGAAATGTGTATGCTAATAGTAACAGACACATCAGAGCAACATCAGTTAAAATAGAAGCAGAGCTTCCTGGAATTTTGTTGAGGCACCCCCAAGGCCAGACACTAAATCTACAGAAGCGGAGTCCTGATGAAGATTCCATGGCAACCATCACTAGGGCAGATGGGCATAGTAAGAGCGAAGACTAACTGCCCCATTCCCTTTTAGAATTGTCCATTGAAAGAGCGAGCCAAATGTATATCCCTCTTAGCAAGTGTGAGTTTACATTTTGTTTACATTTTGTCAGCCTGTTTGCTGACACCATTTTACGTCTCTACTGTATCTTTTTTTTTTTTTTTTTTGAGACGGAGTTTGGCTCTTTTTGCCCAGGCAGAAAGTGCAATGGTGCAATCTCGACTCACTGCAATCTCCGCCTCCCAAGTTGAAGCGATTCTCCTGCCTCAGCCTCCTGAGTAACTGGGATTACAGGCACGTACCACCACACCCAGCTAATTTTTTGTATTTTTAGTACAGACAGTGTTTCACCATGTTGGCCAGGCTGGTCTTGAACCCCTGACCTCAGGTGATCTGCCCACCTCGGCCTCCCAAAGTGCTGGGATTACAGGTGCGAGCCACCACACCCGGCCTATTGTATCTTTATAAGCCCTCATAAATTAGTTTGGGAACAAAATGAGGAATAATGGAAAAGGAGAGCATAGGGCTGTTGACTCGTGGGCTTCTCTGGCATGATATCGAGCTAGAGATCACTAATTTTTTGCATGATAGGGCTCGATACCACTAATTCTTTTCTCCTGGACTGATAGGTTTTGCCAGAGAGAAATACTCAAATTTCTGCCTGGGATAGAGATGGCTGTAAAGCCTCTTTTCTGTTTTCATGTTTTTTCAGAACCTAGTGGAGAAAGGAATTAGGAAAGAGGGCATTAACTATTTAGTTGGTGTCCTCCTGTGATTTTGCCTTTGGTTGTTCCTTTACTATACACTGATGGTGGGAGTGGGGTGGTGGACTGAGGGAAGTGTGTGATTTCAACCTGCCAGAATTAACTGCAAATCTTCCCAATGATGTCAGAGAGGGGTGGGTGCCTATAAGTGATTGCATGAGTGAGAATATCTAGTGGCCATATGACATGGAGAAACACTCAACTGAACTTTCTCTATTGGAAGCAAGGCTGTTCTTCAGTTTCTTGGACCGTATTAACCTAGTGTTTTTCTAGAGCACTTAAAGAAGTCATCACTGAAAGGTCCAGAAAAGGGCCACACTCTATGTCTGCCATTGAGGCTCTAATCCACCTTCACTCGGTAGGGACTCCACATCTTTGAAACCACTGTTAGAGAGGTGTGGGTACATGCCAGGACAGTACGAGTTCACTTGCTCAAAAGGGCTCCTCCAGATTTCATTACATGCCAGGGTCCTGCTGGTAGGTGCCTTGTCTCCTTCTCTGTGACTGTCATCTCTACAGTCCTCCCAGAGTCCCTCCCAGTGACAGACCTCCAGGTTCAAACCCAAAAAGATTGGAGAAGGTGGAGGATTTGGGGAGGCTGCCTATTTTATGTGAGGCCCTCTCTTTTCTACATACCAAGGATAAAACAGGGAAGAAAATAGGAAAACTCCGTGTTTTCATGGAGCTTACACTCTCATGGGAATGAAATTTAAAGGCAGCAAGACCAATTTTAGGAAAAACTTACCCACTCATTCTAACTGTAAGCAAAAGATGACAAGTGGTGCATTTAGGCTTCTAAATCTTAGGAAACACAAGGTCTTTATAAACTCAAAAAGAGTGAAGACAATGGCCACCCAGGAGCAGAGTGGCAGGTTGGTGAGTGGACAATGAGTCAGCAAGGATCCCTGACCCCCAGTGAGGTCTGGACTAGACGTCCCTGGCCCATCCATGGAGGAGCTGGTGATCTCACATTCTCATTTCTAATGTCATTTTCTCTGTTGGACATAGAAACACATGGATGTGCTGAGCACAGTGCCCAGGGACAAATGCTGATATTACAGCTGCTGGAGTCAACACCTCTTCTTTCTACCCTTTCTTGTTCAAGGCTGTGAAGATAAATGTAATGTAACAGCCATTGGAACCCCCAAAACGCTTTAAGTCTTGAGAAAGATGTGACTGTGATCTGAGTCAAATATGGTTACAACATCTGTTCTCAGATTATAGATTAACTGACCAGATGATAGAAAACTCATGACTATTACATCCTCTGTTTAAAACAAAGTGAAATAGTTAAATGTACCCTTTCTAAAGAGAAAAACTGCCTATAAGCAATTAAATTGCTGTAACTATGCACCAACCTTGTCTGAATAATGTTGTAATCCTGCTAAAAACCCCTCTGTCTCTGCCAGTATAAATACATGAAACCTTAACTTTCCTATTTGTGAACACTTACTCCATTCCTTTGGAGTTGGTGTTTCTGGGTGGTCCATCCTCACACTTTGCACTTGAATAAACTCTCTTTAAATTTGATGCTGACCATTTTGATTATTTTAAGTTGACAAGGCTGACAGCATATCCATATTTCCAGAAACATCTTTCTTATCTGAAACTTTATTTCCCCAGGGCACTTGGATTCACACTCTAGATAAAATTTCTCAAGCAACTCTGAGTAAAACTGTTGGGAAAATTGAGGTCTCCCTTTAATATTTAGGGGATGAAAGACTTCTGTTGTCTTAATGTAGAGCACAGGTTTAGGCAGGAATGGCAATGGGCATTTGTTGATTTAGTGTCATCCAGCATCCATAACAGGTCCTGTTTTCATTTTCTTTTGGAAATCCACGCTCACCTATTCTTAGGTCATGTGGTTCAGATGCACACCAGCTCTCCCGCTGCTCCCAAGATATCACCCCATGAAGCACAGGGATGAAGAAGCATGTGACTTCAGCCAAGTGGCTCATTCAAACTCCTCACCACAGTGATTAGTCTGAGGCAGCAACATGGGTTCTAAGCAGAGCTGGCGAAATGCAAGGAGACCTTTTGTGGAAATGCCAGAAGAGAAGCAGGTGCTCCTTGATGAACCTGAACCTCAGACATTGGAAGACCTAGGACTACAGCCATATTTTAACCAGCTGGGCACTTGAGCTAAAATTGAGGAAAGACAGACAGAGAGAGAGAAAAGGAAACATAAATGATATCAAAGAAAAGTGGGAAGACAGATTGGATCCTGGTGCCATTATTTGAGCCCTGAGTCAAACTGTACTTGAAACTGGATATAGAGCTCAAGTTTTCATCCAGATGAGTCAATAATCTCCCATTTTTACTTAAACGAGCTTGCATTACATTTACTGTTGTAAAGAAGAAGCCTAGTTGATAAGCTAGTGTGGCTATCCTCACAGAATAAGTGGGGAAGGGATGCCTCACTGATGTGACTTGAAGGGAAACAGGCCCAGGACCAGCAGACTTGATTAAAGAGATGTGCAAACAACAGATCTTCTTGGTCCTCCTCCCAGAACTTAGGACAGCTGAGAGCTTGGGAAGAGGATGTCACTGTTTGTCTCAGGTAATACAGTGTCTATGTGTTTATAAATCTAGGGAGGACAAGTGATTTGAGTGATTGCAATTAGGAAATAACGAACTGCCTAATAAAGTAGATTTCCTAGATCTCTCAGACCCCAGAAAGGAATGTGATTCTCATGAAGTTCTACCATCTGGATTCGCCAAAAAAATTCTGCAGCAAGAAAAAGAACCCAGTTCCTGCATGCTAAACCCAGAAACTCTTCTTAATCGGAAATATAAAGTAAGCCACCATAATGCTGCAGAGATTCAGTGGGCTCCTGCCATATTTCCGCTCTTTAAATTTCACACTATGACAAACCCCTTCCGGTTGTTTAGAGGTTGCTGCGGTGATTTTGATAGCTGAGATTCCTGACCCGCAGTTTTTCCTGCCTCCCAAAACCAAGGTGCCCTTTTTTTCATGGGGCAGGTTTCATTTTGTGGTTTTCTTCAATTCCAAGTTTGAGCCTGGTGTCTAAAATAGATATACTGCCCTTTGCTGCTGATCACAGTGACCTTCTAAAGGGTTTAGCCGAGAGAGTAATCCCTGTTCATATGAAGTACCCCCGCTGCGAAAGCTTAACTTAAACCACATTCCACAAATCACACACACCCCCCAGGAAAAACCTCCATCATAAAGAGATGATTGCACTTTTTGTTTTTCAAATAGAGCTCAAGCCCCTGTAAATTGTATCAGGGATTCTCCATAGGATAATGAGATTTGGGAATAGGATTAATACCAGAGCATGTATCCCCAAAGTTTCAAAGAATTATTATTTTCTAAATCCTGTTTTTCATTGTGTTAGAAAGTGAAGTTAAAGGGACAGCAAATTATTTGTTGGCTTGTTTTTTAGTTAAAACAGTATGGAGCAAGAATTTCATCTTTGGTCAGCTTATTTTAAAAAAGGATTCTCTACCCAACTAATGTACTCTTGAATTCTAGAATGTGATTGCTATTTGGTCTGGGCAAAAAAGTAAAATAAAATAAAATAAAATAAAATAAAACCAGGTATATACTGTCATCTGCTCGATTAGGTATGCTCACAAATAACCCCACTCTCAGTGGCATCACAGAAGACAATTGTATTTCTTACTCATGTAAAGCTCAACTGGCTGTTGGGGAGGCAGCCTAGGGAGCTGCCTTCTAGCTGAGTCTTGGGGTTACTACATAGAACTTCTGCATCTGGCCCGCAGAAGATGGAAGAAGGTAGAGCAAGGAGGAGCATGTGGGAGGATTTAGGGGCAGGCTGGAAAGAAGTAAGCATCACTTACACTCCTCTGACCAGAGCTCAGTGAGGAATCCCTATTAACTCCAAGGGAGGCTGGGAAATGCAATCTTGCTCTGTTCCCAGGAGGACAAGGACATGGGTTTCGTGAGCCTCCCACTGTTCTCTGTCACCTCTGCTATGCCCATCACTCTAAGTCAGCATGCTGGCTTCTCTTTCTTCTGGGTCTTCTCTGTAATCCTCATCAAAATTAGAATATTTGCATAATACTTTGTAATTTTTAAAGCTTTTGCATGACCATTATTTCAATTAATCCTCACAACCACTCTGAGAGATAGCAATCATTAATCCCCACTTTAAAGATGAGCACACTGAAGCAGGAGTAAATGAACAGCAGAGCTCAGTCTTGAACCCAAGTCTTACTGCTCTACTCTTCCAGGGAGGCAGTGTAGTGAGGTGGCCAAGGGAACTGGCTCTGGTTGCAGACTGCCTGGGATGAAATCCCAGCCCTGCCACTGGTTGACCACAAAACTAGGGCATGTTGTTAAGAAGACACATCCCTGGGGACCCAGCCTGAGGTGGCCTTTGAACTGGGGACTCACATGCACTTTAACTATTTCATTTTAACACCACGAAAAATCTCTAAGTATACCAACTCCGCACCAGGTTTCTGTGGACTGTATAATTTACAAAGACATTTTCTCATTTGATCCTTGCCCCACATTCACCCCATGAGGGAGGCATGGAAGATATTATTCCCCATCTCTAAGGTTAAAGAAACTGAGTTCTCAATTAAATGATCTTTCCAAGGTTATATGGCTATTAAATAGTAGGGTCCACACTAGAACGTGCTAGCGTATGAAGTGTTACTGCCTTTCTTAGTATGGAGTCTCCCAGAAGCATGCCGGAGACAAGGACTGGAGGGCAAGTAGTTAATTTTAGAGGCAATCCCAGGAAGTGAAGAAATGAGAGAAGAAAGGGAAGGAAGGCAGTGAAGCGTGCATTATTGAGCAGGTGACTCCTGTGGGCAACTGAGGCTTATCCTGCAGGGGAACTCTGGGAGATGGTGTAAGACATGCCCCTTGAGGGTATTTATCCTCTAGCCCCATCTCTGCTGTCATTGGCTGAGACCTCTTCCCAGGAGTATTCCCTCCCTGGCCCATTCATGTTCCCTCTAGCCAGGCTGAGAGCAACCCTTTGTGTGAAAAATCCCCAGGACTTGCAGTAGGTGACTCTGACATGTTCCTGAATGGTGAGGGTGACAGGGATGTAACTGGGCACCAATGCCTCTGCCAGCTTCCTATGTCTGAACAGAGGCCCCCACCACGCCCCTTCCTTTACCTGTACCCTATTCCTACTGCTTCCTCTACAGTGAGGGTCTTAGTAGAGATTGTGACTTTCCCAAGGGCTGCAAAGTGTCCTGAGTGGGAAGGAATTCTAAATTCTACATATCTAATAATGGTGTATAGATTAAATATTGAATCCAGGCCATTTCCTCAGGTAAATCAGCTTAACCTATTGGAGACTATTTCCCCACCTGTAAAATAGGGATAATACAGATTGTAATGGATTGGTAGGAGGATTTTTTTAAAAACTGAAGTGTAAGCCCCATGACAGCAGGGACCATGCAGGTCTCAATCATAATCATCAATGTATTCTCAGCACTTAACACAGTGCTTGAGACATATAAATGAGTGAATGGGTGAGCAAAAGAGGGGAAGGAAGGGAGGGAGGGAGAGAGGACAGGCTGAGAAACTAATGAAACTATGAAACTGCCTAGCATAGTACCTAGCCCACTGAAGGCTCTCACAAAGTGTTGATTCTTATCCCGCCTTCTGGTTTCTTGGCCTGCTGATATACAATATTATAATAGCTGAATCAGGGAGAAAATGGAAACTTTAAGCACCACTAAATATTGTTTTATTTCTCATGGAAACCATGAGGTACAGAGCTAGAAAAGCATTTCCCCAAAAAATGGGCTCCATGTCTCTACCCCCTGCAGCCTCTCAAGCATCACATGTCCCTGCCCTCTCTCCTTGCCCAGCCTCCATCCTGCTGTTCCTTCTCTGACTGGTAGTTTACCTGCCCAGGACTGTCAGGTGCAAAGTTCAGGGGAAGCCAAAAGCTCTACTTTTCTTGCTGCTTTTGCACCTTTCTCCTTAGCATCCTGTCTGCCATGCACCACCTCTACCTGTCTCCTTCTCTCCCAACCTCCACCATACCCCAGCTGTGTGCCAGAGGAGAACACAGACTCTTCTACCCATCTTGGGTTTCAGTGAATGTTACCGTGAATGCCTAAAACCTAAATATCATGAACCTTAAAGCCGGAAATCTCCACCCTTTTTTTTTTTTTTTTTTTTTTTTCACAAAACAGGTTCCGCATATTGATAGCCACAAAGCAATGCTGAGACACCACAGGGCAAATTCACTCATTCCACCATTATTAAGCAACTGTTATGTACCAGGCACTATGCTTGGCTCTGGGGATACAGTGGTGAATAAGTGGTGAAGAAAGGAGCCTCTCTCTCCTCTTCTGGAACTTGAAGTCTAGTAGGCGTGGGAGAGAATAAATAACTAATCACCAAATAAATATATAATTACAAAGTCATATGCAATGTGAAGGAAATGTACAAAATCTTATGGGAGCCTGTAATGGGGACATGCCACTTCATCTGTGAAGTTTCATTAGGTGTCCTCGTAGTCTGTTTAGGGCCATAATAAATACCATAAACCAAATGGCCTATAAAAAACAGAAATCTATTTCTTACAGTTCCAGAGACTGGGAAGTCCAAGATCAAGACACCAGCAGATTCATATATGGGGAGGGCCTGCTTTCTGGTTCACAGATGACACTTTCTCACTAAGTCCTTACATGGCAGAAGAGGCAAGCTAGCTCCCTCGGGCCTTGTTTATACCAGCACTAACCCCATTCATGAGGGTTCCACTCTCATGACTCAATAGCCTCCCAAGGACCCCACTTCCTAATAACATTACATTGGCAATTTGGAATCAACATATGAATTTTCAGGGAACACAAACATTCAGACCATAGCACTAAGAAAGTGGCATTTGGTGTGTAGATGCTAGGGGAGAAGATGTGAGATGTAAAAGGGAACTGCCTGGTAAAAACCCTTGAGAGAAAAAGGAACCACACAGATGCAAAGACCCTAAAGCCCAGTGTGGCTAACACACGGTAAATAGTCTAGGAGGGGTGGGACTCTGGATGAAGCCTGAAAATTTCAATGATTTTCCTAAGTCACATGGCCAGTTCACTGGGACTAGACTAGATCTCAAGGTAGATTACACAGAGCATTGTAGTTTAAGTCATTCATTGCAGTGTTTATTGAGCATCTACTGTGTGCCACGCATTGTTTACTGCTATAGAGGAAAGAAGAAAACAAGGCCTTATCTCTCAAGGAGTTTGGTTTTTGTCCAAGGAGCCCTAGGGGCCGCACTGAAAGAGAAAACACAATCAGACTTGTATTGTCACAAGACTGTGCTGTACTGCAGTGCAGTGAATGGGATGGGGGGACCATTTCAGAGACTGCTGCAGTTGTCAGAGAGAGAACAAATGGTGGCTTGG
Organism: Homo sapiens; assembly: GCF_000001405.40. Lineage (NCBI taxonomy): Eukaryota > Metazoa > Chordata > Mammalia > Primates > Hominidae > Homo > Homo sapiens. The sequence goes on from NC_000004.12 coordinate 52,572,766, forward strand.
ATCCAAGAGAGACAGAGAGGACAAAAAGAAGTAGATGAACTCAAGAGATATTTAGAAGGTAATGTTTATAAAACTTGGTGATTAATCGGATGTCAGATTGAGAATGATGAAGACATTACAGGTGCTAGGATTTGAATGTGTCACCTCCACAATCCAAGCGTTGCCAATGTGACAGTATTAAGAGGAGGGGACTTTAAGAGCTGATTAGGCGACAAAGGTTCCTCCCTCACGAATGGGATTAAGACTCTTATAAATCTGCGTGCTCTCCCTTCCAATGTGTGAGGAAATCGTGTTCCTCCCCACTGGAGAATGCAGCAACAAGGTACCATCTTGAAAGCAGAGCGCAGCCTTCACCAGACACCAAACCTGCTGGCACCTTGATCTTGGAACTCCCAGCCTCCAGAACTGTGAGAAAATTAATTCCTGTTCTTTATAAATTACCCAGCCTGTGGGATTTTGTTACATCAGCAGGAAAAGACTAAGATAGCAAGTAACTCCCTGATTTCTGAAGAATGTGGAATGCCTTCTGAGTCATCTAAGAATGATTAGTTTATATGCAATGCAGTTTAAATATTTGGATTCCTTAAAAGCATAGACATTGGTGTATGACATGGTAGCTAACTAGAACTTGCCCTTTTCCCAAATGCATTTAGTTTAGGGTAAACAAAAGATGTATCGGGGAGGTGGGTGTTTGTTCTGGTAGAAGTAGAATGTCTAGATTTGCCTCTAATTTCTTTAATTTTGATTTTTCTTAAATGTTCAGAGTATCCTCTATATCATGAGGGTTATATTGGCTTCCCAGGGCTGCCATGACAAATTAGCACAAACCTGGCAGCTTGAAACAACAGAAATGTATTCTCTCCCAGCTCTGGAAGCCAGAAGTCCAAAATCAAGGTGTTGGCAGGGTTGGCTCCTTCTGCGGGCTCTGTGGGAGAAGCTGCTCCATGCCACTCTCCTGGCTTCTGGTGGTTGCCAGCCCCTCTTGTCATTCCTTGGCTTGTAGACATAACACTCCAATCTCTTCCTGGTTTCACTGGCTTTCCCTCTGTGTCTCTGTGTCTGTTTCTCCTTTTCTGTCTCTTAGAAAGAAACCAGTTGTTGGATTTAGGATTCAGCCTAAATACAGAATGATCTCATCTTGAGATCTTAAACTTAGTTGTACCTGCTAAGACCCTATTTCTAAGTAAGTGCACCTTCCCACGTATCAGGGGTTAGGACTTGGATATATTGTTTTGGGGGATTCAATTCAACCCACTACAAGGGTATAACCACCTATATATTAGAAAATATAATTGCAGACTTAGGGAGAGAGATTTCTGGGTTTTAAAGATGTGCATAGAAATATATTTGTTTCCTCTTTGTTGCCAAATGTTAATTACTATATTCTTTTTTTTTTTTCTTCTTGATGCCCTAGAGCAGAGCTGTGGTTTCAGTAGTTACATTCCAAAGTTTATGTATAAACAGAGGAAACAAAAGATTTGTTCCATTGTGCACGGCCTTGGAGATATTTACAAATTCTTTCAAGCTGGGACTAATTGTTTAGTTTAAACACTGATAATTTATTTGCCGAAGAGTCAGAAAATAGCCAGAGATTAAAGAACGGCTGCGGATGAATTAATTTTACCCTCATCACACGAATAAGAGCTGGAAATGTACCAGGAGTAAAAGTGAATAAATGAATTGAAAATCCTGGGCATGTACATTAAACTTAAATTGATCATTTTCAATCTATTCACCATTGCAAAGAATAGTAATGGAAGCTTAAAATATTAAGCATTTACTCTGTGCTTGCCAACCACTTTTCAAAGCACTTTATATTTGTTATCTCATTTGGTCCTCACAACAACCCTATGCCAATTATCACCTCCATATTACAGAAGCGAATACTGAGGCACCAAGAAGTTAAATAACTTGTCCAAGGTCACAAAGCCACTAAGAAATGGACAGGCCAGGATATAAACTCAAGCAGACCATCAGAGCACCTACTTTTAATCAGTAAGCTATTTTAAAAGCCATCTTTGTTCAAAAACTAGATATAACATATATAAAATAGTAGAGTTTTTTCTGCTAAAGGCAAAAATATGGGTAAAATTCTGCCAGTCACTACCAAGTGCCTACACTTCTATTCAGCCTTGATCTTCCTGCCTTCCTAAAATGATTTGATTGTTTACAATATGTCTTTCTCCAAAAAACAAGAGGAGAAAATATAAGAGAGTAGAATGATGGTTACCTGAGGCTGGGAAGAGTTGGCAGGGAACAGGGAGGCATGGTTAATGGGTATTAAAAAATAGAAAGAATAAGATCTAGTATTTGATAGCACAACAGGGTGACTATAGTCAATCATAATTTAATTGTACATTTAAAAACAATTTAAAAAGTATAATTGGATTGTTTGTAACACAAAGGATAAATGCTTGAGGTGATGAATGCCTCATTTACCCTGATGTAATTATTATGCATCATATGCCTATATCAAAATATTTCATAACCCATAAATATATACACCTACTTACTATGTGCCCACAAACTTTCTTTATTAAAAAAAGAAAAAATATATGTTTCTCAGGGTAGGCAGTCTCTACTTGCATATCTAGCCAATGTATAAAAGACTCCGGGCATTGGGACAAGGTCACGTAAAGGATACTCTCCAAGATTAACAGTAAGAATATTCAAACTGTGGATTTTGTAAAAGAAAGGGAAGGGAAAAGATGGGAAGGGAAGGGGAAGGGAAGGGAGGGGAGGGGAGGGGAGGGGAGGGGAGGAGAGGGGAGGGGAGGAGAGGGGATTTTAAGGAAAAGAAAGGGATGGAGAAGAAACCTGTAAATTAAAAGAGACTTAAAAAATTAGCCAGACATGATGGCATGCACCTGTAGTCCTAGGCTGCTTGGGAGGCTGAGGTGGGAGGATCACCTGAGCCTGGGAGGTCCAGGCTGCAGTGAGCTGTGATTGTGGTACTGCGCTCCAGCCTGGGCAACAGAGTGAGACCCTGTCTCAAAAAATAATAATAACAATTTTTAAATGGTTAAGACTAAACAAACCATAGTGCTCAACAGTGTTCACTGGGTAATAAAACTATTTTTCAAAACACAAGACAATTATAGCTATAAAAGTCAGGAGAGTGTTCACTTCTGATTAGAACAGGGCAGGGGGAGGGGCTACTAGGGTGTTTGCCAGCATTCTGTTTCTTGTCTTGGGTGGTAGTTACAAAAGTGCTCAACTCACAACATCCAATTAAATCATTCATTAGTTTTGTGTGGTGTTCTCTGTGTCTTATTTTACCTCGAACGTATTTTTGCATTTTTAATAGTAACTTAATTTCAAAGTAATTTAATACAAGTTAGGTAATTTGTATTACTTATAAATACAGAGGTAAACACCAGAAGTGGCCAAAACCAGCAAGGGTGGTTATTTCTGGGGTATTGCATAGATTATGGCTGATAAGCTCCTATTTTGCATTGTAAATCTTTTGGCGCTAGTTGGGTTTTTAAATTATATGTGTATACTATGTTGATAAAAAAAATGACTTTTAAAATAAACTGTCCCAGACCGGGGAAGACTAAGAAGACATGACAAATAAATACAGGGTAGTAACCTGGATTGGATCTTCAGACAGAAAGAGAACATAAGTGGAAAACAAGTCAAATCTGAATAAAGTCTGAAGTTGTATTAGTCCGTTCTCACACTACTGATAAAGATGTACCCGAAACTGGGTAATTATGAAAGAGAGAGGTTTAATTGACTCACAGTTCCACATGGCTGGGGAGGCTGCCACCATCATGGCAGAAGGCAACGCGGAGCAAGTCACATCCTACGTGGTGGCAGGGAAGAGAGACAATGAGAAAGCCAAGCGAAAAGGGAAACCCCTTATAAAATCATCAGATCGCATGAGACTTATTCACTACCATGAGAACAGTATGAGGGAAACTGCCCCCATGATTCCATTATCTCCCACCAGATCCTCTCACAACACATGGGAATTATGGGAGCTACAATTCAGAACAAGATTTAGGTGGGGACACTGCCAAACCATATCAGAAGTTTAGTTAAAAATAACGTACCAATGATGGTTTCCTAGTTTTGACAAATGTACCAAGGTAATGTAAGATATTAAAATTAGGGGAAACTGTGTGAAGAAAATCAGGAACTCTCTGTAATATCCTTACAACTTCTCTGTAAATCTAAGTTATTCTAAAATTCAAAATCTGTGTTTGCCCTTCTGCCATGTGAGGACACATAAAAGGTGCCATCTCTGAGGAATCAGCCCTCACCAGACATGGAATCTGCTGGCACCTTGATCTTGGACTTCTCAACCTCCAGAATTGCATCTTTGTAAACATCTTCACCCCATGATACCCCCACACTGCTTCATCTCATAAAGCAACAGTAACACAAGGCTCTTCTGGGAAACAGACTTGTGGTGATGATTTCGAATGGAATTTGAGAAGACCTATTAGGAATAATTGCTTATGATTTCCCCAAGAATTCTAAATGGAATTATTTAACCAGATCATCTAGCTTTATAAACATGAATACACTTACTTTTTATAACTAAGGTGCCAAAAATATTTCAAATAAAAACATATAAAACATTTTTAAGTTATTTTTATGAGCTGCCTTTTAGATTGTCTTATTGCAAAAATTTTAGACACACACACATGCACACACACACACACACACACAACAACCAACTAAACCTGTCATATGGGAGAGGGGTGAGTCATACTTCTGAATATGTCAAGTACCAGAATGGCTTATTCTGACTTTGGAGTAATCCAAAAGCTGTAGGGGGGTAAAAGAAAAAATTTTAACAAAATTCACCTTGCAGTTACTTCCATTTCAAGGTAATGGCAATTTCTTACTCTATCTCTGTTCCATAGCTGAACTCCTGGAATGTACAGGCCAATCAACTGGAAGCAGAACAGAGTGAGGAAGATGTTTTAAAGGAGAGAGTTTGACCTGCTCAAGGAACTGGACAAAGCCCAGTGCGGCCAGAGCTCAGTGCAAGGAAGCAGCATGGGAGGATAGAAGGAGGGGCTGGCGTGTGTAGGACCTTAGTATGGAACAGCTGATTCCATGAGATGCCACTGGAGGATGATACGCCCGGTGGGAGCACAGTCTGACCCACTAGGTTCAAAGGTCCTTCTGCTCCTAATGTGATAACCTGAGAGGGGCCCTACCAAACATGCATCACCTAGATTTACTCATGAGGAAATCTCAGACAAACCCAAATGGGGGAGTGTAGTATAAATTACTGGCCTGTACTCTTCAAAAGTCCTAATGTCACAAAAGACAAAGAAAGCCTGAGATTAAAGAAGGCTGAAGACACATGACAAGCAAGTATCTGTCTAGGATTGGATTCTGGAAGAAAATAACTTTTTAGGTAGGACATTTTAGGGACACGTGGTAAAATTTGAATTTGGACTCTATAGTAGATAATAGTATTGAATCAATGTCAAATTTCCTGATCATTGTAACTGTGGTTATGGAAGAAAATGCCCTTGTTAGAGGTTACAGACTGAAGTAATCAGGAGCAAAGGGTTATGATGTCTCCACCATACTCATAAATGAATCAGCAACAATAATGTAATAACAGTAATTGTAAGAATCAAAATATGCATATATAAAGAGAGATAAGATGACAAATTATTAAAATTGGTAAATCTAGATGAAGGATAGATAGTTGCTTGTTGTCTATTCTTGCAACTTTTCTGTAGGTTTACAATTTTTCAAAATAAAAAGACAAAAGAAAGCCCTCAGGTTGCTGTGCCATGCATGGATTGAGGAAGCAAGACAGTATGGTGGCTTGGACTAGGGGGTTGGCAATAGACATGAAGAGATACCGCTGTGATTGATGTATATGTTGGAGGCGAAGGAATGAACCTGGAGGAATGAAGGAAAGGAGGTGTTTTATTTATACTTGCCATCATCACAAATCAACCTGGTCAGTTTTTTTTATTGGTCTATCAATATAATATCTTTCAAGGTATGACAATAATCATTAAAATCACTACAAGCATAAATATAATAAGTATTATCATTCATGTGACTATCACAAACTCCACACAAATAACTTATTTCCATTGAAATATAATTTACTATAAATGCTCATAGGTGAGCTGGATCCATGCCAGAGTCTGGGATTTGCTAAATGTTGTAGTCATCATCAGTGTTCCAGGAGTTCAGCTATGGAACAGAGATAGATTAAGAAATTGCCATTAACTTAGGTGAAAAATTTGATCAGGTCATAGTTTTTCATTCGGTAGATGAGAAACTATGTTATTGTTGCTGGTGCTGGTGGTGCTGCTGGTGCTGCTGGTGCTGGGGGTGTCACTGGTGTTGCTGGTGGTGGTGAAAGCATCCTGCTGGCTCTGACACAGTCAGGCTGGAGAACCCTTGCTCTAGGCATAGTCTGGGTTTGGAATTCAGATTCTACTCCTGCTGCACTTTGCCTCCCTCAGTGTTTCAGCACAAGCCCACCCTCAGGCTAGAGTGTTTTTATTAATCATTGACGCAGGGATTGTCTGACAGATGAACAAGATCATTCAAGAGACTTTCAAGTCAAAGCAAGCAGGTGATATAATCCCTTCATTAAGGATTTTGAAATGGTAGCTTCTTAAGTTCTCTTCCCAAGTCCTAGCCTTCAACTTTCAGATTTCCATGTTTTATCTCAAGAATAGCAGAATAAATTTTGTGGCATTTACAATTTATGTCATATGACTTTGGCAATAATTTCAAGAAAACCCCAAATCAAGGAAAAACATTTCAGCAAGAAGACAAGTTTCACAGTTAGACCAGTTGGAAATTCTAGACCCTGTTGAAAGGGCAACAGTGGAAAAACACACATTATCAACTTTCAAGCCTCTCTTGGGCCTGGAATACTCAAGAGGAAAGAATATCAAACACCAGATGAGGACAGACATCAAGCCTATTACACTGTCTTCCAGTAATCTTAAAATTATATCTCAAATTACTATACTCAGATGATGGTTCCAGGGCCTGTGTTCATTAAACAAATGTGAAACTAAAAATATCTCTTTTGGCATTCATGAAACCAGGTAGTTCTAGGGTTCAGTGTTAGCTCTTGGTCCAAAAGATTTAATGAGTTCCTCTAATTTCCCCAAGTACTTTCTCAGGACGAATTCAACACTTGCACATGGATACAGCTAAACCTTCTGAGGCTACTGGTGTAAGTCCCTCCTGCCCTGTAGGGAAAATTTTTAAGTTTAAAAATGAGGTTTACATATGTGCAAAGATATTCACTCCAAGGTTTTTGTTGCTGTTGTTGTTTGTGGGTTTTGTTTTCGTTTTTGTTTTGAGACAAGGTCTCACTCTGTCACTCTGTTGCCCAGGCTGGAGTGCAGTGGCACAATCATGGCTAACTGCAGCCTCAACCTCCCTGGGCTCAAGTGATCCTCCTACCCCAGCCTCCTGAGTAGCAGAGCATGCACCATCACACCTGGCTAATTTTTATATTTTTTGTACAGATGGGGTTTCGCCGTGTTGCCCAGGCTGGTCTTGAACTCTTGAGCTCAAGTGATCTACCCGCCTTGGTGTCCCAAAGTGCTGGAATTATACACATGAGACACCGTGCTTGGTCTTGCAAGTTTCTATGTATATATAAAAGTAGCTATGGTACATCTGTATTATGGAATTATATGCAGTAATTTTTTTTGAGATGGAGTCTCACTCTGTCTCCCAGGCTGGACTGCAGTGGCATGATCCCGGCTCACTGCAACCTCTACCTCCCAGGCTCCAGTGATTCTCCCGCCTCAGCCTCCCAAGTAGCTGGGATTACAGGTATATGCCACCATGCCCATCTAATTTTTTGTATTTTTAGTAGAGATGGGGTTTCACCCTGTTGGCCAGGCTGGTCTTGAACTCCTGACCTCAAGTGATCTACCCACTTCGGCCTCCCAAAGTGCTGGGATTACAGTCGTGAGCCACTGTGCCTTGTCCAATAATTTATTTTAAATGAAGTCACTCTAGTTGAAAGAAAGACCAAGTTGCAGAATAAAACTTAATAATCTGTTTTAAAAATTAAAACTAAAAACATATATATTTATATATATCTATGTGCAAATATACATGCATTAATGCAAAAACAGATCTGTAAGGGCCTACCACAAACTTTCATTAGTAGTTATCTTTGGGGAAAAAAATGGAATTGGAATAAAGGGGAACTTTCGGTTTTCACTCTATTTAACTGGATATTTTTGGTGAATTTTTAAATATGATCATGATTTATGTGTCAAAATTACTGCATACAATTTCATAATATGGATGTATCGTTATCTATTTAAAGAACATTTAGATCCTTTTGACATTATATGCAACTTTGCAGTGACTATCTTCACACATATGTAAACAGCATTTTTAAACTTAACACTTTTCTACATAGAGCAGGAAGGACTTACACTAGTAGGGTCAGAGGCTTAGCTATACACATGCAAGTGTCGAATTAGTCAAGTAACTTTATTTAAAAAAATGCATATGGAAGTCAAACTACAAAAATAATAAGAAAAAAAGCCTTGTGAAGATTCTTTTTTATGTTTTCCTAACTGTGGACAACAAGCATTTAGCACTTTCATCTTTTAAATAATACAAACATGTTTTAATAAAACCAAACACGTGATCTGACTGGAACTAGGGAAACCTAAGAGAGTTGCTGTATAAGAAATTTCCTAAATGGCTCAGGTAAGAGGTTGCCAAATTGCTATGATTTGGAGCCGTTGGTGTTGCCACGGCCATCTTCAGTAGATGAATAGGGGCAGAGAAGGCTGCCCTCACCATGGGCCCCACTGACTTGAAGCTCCGGAGAGGATCTAATAGCTGTGAATCTGGACCTATGTGAGTGCCGACTGCCCCTCTCTGAGTGGGTCCCTGGCATACATGTGAGGAAGGCTTGTGTCGGGCAAGACCCTCTGTCCTTCAAGAAGTGCAGAAACAGCACTTGTGAATAAAATGCTGACTTCAATGGACACTGGCAGCATGATTGACTCCTAGGGGCAAAATTTGTCCCAAAGCTAGGTATAGAAAAAGTTTGCTCAAAGAACAAGAAGCATGACTTGATGATATTAGCTCTTTCTGCCCTCTCTTTCATTGGCTGACCAAAGCAGCATCCATCTATGTGCAAGAGCCCAATCTGCAGAGTTTGTTGCCCTAAAAGAAAAGAAGATATTAGAGCTAATTTTGGAACCAGGCCACAGCAGAAACTGTATATGATCCAAAGGGTGATCGTACCTTCAAAGAATAAAGGAATTAAGATAAATGGTGTTAGCACAGTCTAATTTTGTTTCTTAAATTATTCCAAATAACTTATACATATTCCTATTTTAAACATGTGCTTCAGTGGAAGAGGCTCAGGACTAATAATGAGTTAATAATAATAAAATAACAGCTAACACTTTCTGACCACTTACATTCCAGCATTGAATATATTGAATGCACTGAACATAGTGACAGGCATCACGTTATGTGTTTGACACGCTTTATCTCATTTAATCCTCACAACAACACTTAGACGTAGGTACTGTTATTATCTCCCATTTTACAGATGAGGAAACTGAGTTTCATACAGTTGGTAAGTGGCTGAGCCAACATTCTAATTTGTGTTATTTTTACTTCAAAGACTGTGCTCTTAACTGCTGTGTTATTGGGGAAAGCTCTATTCTTTCAGATGAACAAACGTTGCTTCTAAACCACCTCACCATTTGTACCTGAAATTTGCAGCAGGTGGCCTGGGTGGTCACCAGAACAAAGGGTTCCAAAAGGACTCTCAGAAAGCTCTTTTAAATCCTGGCATCAGTGTTCTCATCCCTAGATGGGAATGATAATGAGAGAGAGAACCTATCTCACAGAGTTGTTGTGAGAACCCAATGATCATGTAAAGTACTCAGCTTATTACTCATTGCAGATTAATTGCTTAATAAATGTGTGAGAAAAATAACTAACATTGGCAAAAGAGCACCAGTAAACATATCAGCTGGATTAGCTTGCTACTGCGTATATGCTAAACATATTAGCTAGAAAACACCTAGCAGAAAGCAGTGTCTAAGTCATGGGACACTTCCCATTCTGTAAGTTTTGATAAGGCAGAAGAAAAAAATTTGGATCACAGACCCCAGGATCTCAGTGTGTGTTGGGGGCACAGGGAGCACAGAATGTCCAAATAGAGCAGCTTGCTACCACATCTTCCTAAAGGGAAGGGGATGCCAAAAACAGTGGGTGGACTTCCTTCTCACAGCTTCTTCAGTCCTGGAGCTGAAGTCCACCTGCTTCATGATTTTACTTGGGGCTGACTCGAACCCACCCCCTTTATGCTATGGGATGGAGGGGAAAGAAGGAAGGGAGGTGGGAATGCAAGGTCCCAGGCAGAACAAGCAGCCACTTTGCCCTTTTTTCCATCCTCCTACCAACAACAGTGCTAACTTAATGAAATTTAGTTAAAATGAGTTCAACACTGCTCTAAAGGGGAAAATAAGCCAAGAAAGGGCAGCGGGAAAGGCTGAAAAACGTTTGGGGTGAGGAAATAAAGGAGGCCTTACTTCTTCAACACCAGATTAGTGGTTTTCAAACTATGTTCTACAGACCCCTGCTTCAGGGGTTCCACAAATGTTTTCATTAGAGTTTCACTTTTAAAATATAACTTGGCTTAATAACCAACAGATACACTCAACTGTGTTATAAATCAAATTTGAACTCCTTGGAGACTCTAACCGAGGTAATCTGAGAGGTTAACTTATTTTAATGAGAAATCATAAAAATAAAAGTTTCCCCGCTATTTTGGTTTTATTGAAAAGATCTTGGAGATTGCAAGGCAGTTGTTTAAAAAACAAAATGAAACACAATATGCAACCATGTATCAGTGCAAACTTGAATTTTCATAATTCCATGTGAGTGAAATAAAAGTTCAGATGTAAATTGGGTGCTAAGACCAATAAAAGAATACTATTGTCACTGACAATCCTTGGTTTCAAAATTTCATGTTCCTCAGATAATTGCATTGTTCTCATTCTAAAAAGAATTTATAAAAGGAATGTATACTAATAAAATGCCACATAAAACACCATATATACACAAGTGGTCAACAGATATATGAAAAGATGCTTAACATTACTAAGCATCAGACAAATGCAAGTCAAAATCACAATGAAACATCACTTCATGCCTGTCAGGGTGGTTATTTCCAAAAAGTTGAAAGATAAGTGTTGGCAAGGATGTGGAGAAAAGGGAACCTGCTATGGTTTGAATGTGTCCCCAAAAAAGCACGTGTTAGTAATTTAACCCGCAATGCATCAGTGTTGGGAGGTGAGGCCTAAAGGAAGGTGTTTAGGTCACGAGGGCTCCACCCTCATGAATGGATTAATGCAAATAATAAAGTCCTTGAGGCCGTGATTTTGACCTCTTGTTCCCTCTTGCTTGCACTCTCTTCCCCTTCCATCTTCCACTGTGGAAGCACAGCACTAAAGTCCAGGCCCAGAGGTGGGCCCCTTGATCTTGGACCTCCCATACTTCAGAACTATAAGAAGTGAACCTCGGTTCTTTACAGATTACCCAGTCTCAGCTATTTTGTTATAAGCAGCACAAAATGGACTAAGACGGAACCCTTATATACTGTTGGGGGGAATGTACATTGGTACAGCCATTATACAGAAAAAAGTGTGGAGGTTCCTCAAAAAATTAAAAACAGAAATACCATATGATCCAGCAGTCCCACTATTGGGTATATATCCAAAGGATATAAATTCGGTAACTTCCAAGACATATCTGCATTACCATTTCATTGCAGCATTATTTACCATAGCCAAGATGCAAAACATCCTAAGTGCCCATTGACAGATGAATGGATAAATACATGTCATATATATATATATGTATATATACATATATACATATATATATACACATATATATATACCATGAAATATTATTCAGCCTTCAAAAAGGAGGAAATCCTGTCATTTGCAAGAACATGAATGAATCTGGAGGACATTATGCTAAGTGAAGTAAGCAAGACATGAAAAGGCAAATACTGCATGATATCACTTATATATGGAATCTAAAAAACTGGAACTCATAAAAACAGAGTAGAATGGTGGTTACTAGGGATAGAGAAGGGGAAAATGAGGAGGTATTAGTTAAAGGTTACAAATTTCAGTTTAAGATGAGTAAATTCTCATAATCTAATATATAGCATGGTGACATAGTTAATAATAATGGATTACATACATGAAATTTGCTAAGAGGGATCTTAAATGTTCTCATCACACATATACAAAAGAGTATTTGCTAATTAACTTAACTGTAGTCATCTCACAATGTACACATATGCCAAACCATCCTGTTGTACACTTTAAATATATACAATACTTATTTGCCAATCGTACCTCAATAAAGCTGAGGGAAAAAAACGCCATATACACAGTTAGGTTTTACATTAGATTTTATTTTTCAAAAAGGTTGTGCTACCGAAACAAGGGCTTGAAAACAGCCCTAGATCATTTGGGTGATGGACTGGAAAGGGGGAAATTCTATATATAAGACCCTCTGGTTTCTGCTCTACCTCCTGATTGCTAAGACCAGCTGTTTCTCTTTCCTTGCCCTAAACCCTGCAGCTCAGGCCTCCACATGCTCCTTTGAGCAGGCACCAGGGAGAGATGGAGATTTCAAGAGCTACAGTTGAGCTTGCATTCCCTTTCTCCTGCAAGTACCCACCACACAGAACAGTGACTCTGCTTCTTCTCTGGGCAACCGTCACCAGTCCCTCCTTTCTTGCTTTAGGTAAAACCAACTTGGAAAGTGATGCAAGCAAGTCTTGATAAGATCTCAGGGCTTCTGTTTCCTCATCTTGACTTTGGAAAGTTTGAACTGTTTTCCAGGAACTCTCTTTCCGCTCTAGCATTCTTTGATTTAACATATTGATCAGTAAAATCTTCTAATGACATGCCACAAGAGAAAACATCAACAGGAAAGGGGCAAGACAAACAGAAATTTTGAGTCTGGCCCCATCCTTTTGGGATAATTCCAGAAAAGTAAGGGGTAGATGGAAAAGTGAAAACCTAGAAGGCATGTAAAACAGCTGTGAGAGGTAGAAGTTGTCACTTTTGCATATATATATTCATAGAACTATATTCTATAATCTATATTAGTTATGAAGTGCTATTGTTTCGTTACAATTTTCCAAATAAATGTGGTTACTTCCTTATACTGCAGCTTCAGTCTCATTATTTTTTATATTATTTAGCCACTGTAAAAGTTAAGGCCATTTCAACAATTAAACCTCTGCATCACAAAAACGTTTTTGCATTTATGCTAATGATTATGTTACTTCAAGTTAGAGGAATGACAAAATACATGGAAAATCCCTTAGAGTTGGCTGTCAATCTAAACCACATCAACACCTTATACATTTGTCCTTTATGGGTTTAGAGATCCTGAATAGTTGAAGGCTTGTTCGTTTGGTAACTTTCCAGTACCATCTGAAAATTCCAGCAGTCTGAAACAAGACTGGCTATAATTAACTGTTGAAGCTGAGTCGTGGGTTCACAGAGGTTGTGTTCTATTCTACTTTTGTACGTTTAAAATTCCCCATGATAAAGTTTTAAAAATAAACTATATCTACTTTCCCAGAAATCTATTTTAAAATACATTCTATCAGGCAGCTTTCTTTAAATATTAGTGTGACAGAAGTCACTCACTCACCAGCCATGCCTAAGAATGCATGAAATCTCTGTTCCCTTCAGCTCTGCTTTACCATTTTTCTTTATTGAATATTCTCCCTACACTTCCATCATTCACTTATTCACAACACTTGTTCTCAGAATGTCACTATAGACTTTTTATTTTTTTGAGACGGGGTCTTGCTCTGTCACCCAGGCTGGAGTGCAGTGGCACAATCATGGCTCACTGCAGCCTCTACCTCCCCAGGCTGAGGTGATCCTCCCACCTCAGCCTTCCAAATAGCTGGAACTTCAGGTGCATGCCAGGAAGCCTGGCTAATTTTTCTAATTTTTGTAGAGATGGAGGTTTAACCATGTTGCCCAGGCTGGTCTCAAACTCCTGGGCTTAAGCGATCTGCCTGCCTTGGCCTCCCAAAGTCCTGGGATTACAAGCGTGAGCCACCATGCCCAGCCGACTTTCTGTCCAATACTTCATTCCTCCATATATGTAAATGGAGAAGAGAAAAAAATCCTGTACCTAATGTAATTAAAGTTCTATTATGTAGCTTATAGTCTGGGATCAGCTGACATAATTACAAATAAATGCCTCTAGCAAAATTAAAGCAGGAAAGCTTCAAAATGCAAAACTATTTTCCAGAAATTCTAAAACAGTAAATGAGTTCCTATCCCATATCACTTTTGAGAGGTCTCACAGTTTTTGCCTACAAAAATCAAAACTTACAAAAAATTGTAACCAAAACTTGAATAGCAGAAATAAAATAGGATATTTGTTCTCAGGTAGGGGAGGACTATAAGGATTAAAATTATGCTTTGCCACTTTAGTTGGCTTGCCATGAGGTTCTTTTCTTGTACCTCCGAAAATCAGAAAGTGGCTTTCAGATCTTTTATTTAAACCCTTACATCGATTTCTCAAATATTCCATTTTCTTTCCTTTCTTCTTCTTCTTTGTTCTTCCGTGAAAAGAAAATTTCAGGACCTTCCCTATTTATTATGCCAAGGGCAAAAGTTAAGCCCTGGAAACTGAGTCACAGTTGTTTTTCTTCTCTGGTGAATGACCGTTGCTTCTTGACCTTTGTGTTGAGATGTTATACATTAACGAGACTCCCTAATCTTTATGCAAACCTAAGCTAAATGAGATGGAGACCCTCATGATTTTCACCTCTTTACAATTGGATGTTAAGTAATCCTTTGGAGTGTAATCAATAGTAGCCAATCAAATCCTATAGCTCTGTGTTAGCCTTTGTATGGAGAATGTTGTGATTCTGTTCTACACCTGTTTTTGCCTATATAAATAATCTTCACTTATCCCCACACCGAGAGCACTAATAATCATTCTCTGGTATCCGGGTGTGCCTGGACAGCTACCCTCAATCTTTGCACTTAAACTCTTTTAATTGGATCCTGACTCCTTTATTTTAGGTTGACCCTTCCTTTCCTGCTTTGTAACATTAAAAAGCTAAATAGGAGTAAGAATCACCTCTCTTCTTCTTAGATTTCTCCATGTTAGCCCCACACCCCCTTGTCACGCATTTGTTTTAACTCGACAACCCTTTCTAGGCACCAGCTTCAGAGAGGGACAGGACACTGTCTTCATGGAGCCCGTCTTCTTCTCTCTTTTCATGATCTCTTGTTCCATTGCCCCGTCTTGCAGAAAGGTAAGGGCTTGTTTAATTTCAGCCTTGGTTTGGATTCAAGATCACTGTTGTCACATTTGGGAGTGTTTTTTTAAAAAAAAAACAAAACACATAGACAAGTAATGCAAACAAAGTAAGAGCAAGACTTGTGCAGCAGCTCTTTTGAGGACAATCAGGAGGTGTCTGGGGGGCCCTTCCCACTAGAGGGCACTGGACCCTGTCCCTGCATCTTCAGTCGTCTCTACTGCCACATGCCCTGTCCACACCAGGATGACCCCTCCCCACCCCAGCCCTATGACTCTGGAAAGCTCTTCAGCACACATAACAGGATCCAGACAGAACTTGGACCTTCTCTGCTGGAGCAAATTGGAATTCCTGAAATTGATTGAACCCTCCATACAGAGGGAGCTCAGTCCGCATCTCCTCGGTTTAAGGCCCTGCCTCAAATAGGGGTTCTGATCCCTCAGGAAAGCAAGGGCTCGAGACACAGACAAACCTGAGCCTGAGGGACTCTAAGGGGAGGTGTGGAGGTGCCAGGAACTATGAACAATGAGCAAAGCATGTCAGTTGTACCAGGGCATGCCCACCATCACACTACATGCTTTCCAGCATTTCTATTTATTACAAAACTGCTTTGACCTTGTTTTACAGGTTAGGAAAAACTGAAGTCTAGATTTCTCCAGTTACTTGTAAGAAGCCTTCTTTGGTGTCTGGGCCAAAACCACCAACCCCGTGGGCAGGACGAGTTGCTGCAGATCAATGAGGTGCCAGCACACCAGTAGCCATCCTGTTTGTGTGTATGACGCTCCTTTCCCCCTTGCCCTCATGAGAACAGCAGACCTCAGGAAATGACTTCTCAGTCTAGCACTTTCCAGCCAGACCATTAGGAAAACAACTGTGGTTGAACAAATGCTCAGTGCATTGGGAGACCACACACTGGGGGACTGTGGGGCATCTCAGTAAGCAGCTGTCAGAAGAACTTTGAGGATGGAGGCCTTGCTTAGGTCATTCGTGGGAGTGTTCCACGAATAGGGGTGTGCTTTGGATTGGGTGTTGTCAGGAAGTGGGGGAGATTATCTGATTGAGATGGTAGTAAATCTCATGTAGCACAGATGAGAGCAAAGCTAAAATGGGAACTGGTGAAGGGCAGCAGGCACTCGGATGAAGAGTTTGTGATTTCGTGGTTTACATAGTGACCTTGTGTTTGTCTATGCTGGGATAATTATTAAGTGGTCTTGTTTTTTGTCTAACTTCATCACAGTCACGGCATGACCTTGTCTGAGGGTGGTGTTCTGTGCGATTTACGTGGAACAAGAAACACCACAGCCCAGTGATGAACGCCAGGATGCCTCCTGACAACATCAGAGGGCGGCTGTCTCAGGCTAGCCCCTGGCTGTCAGGGGATGCTTGTTTTTCTCATGTCTTCAGCGTCATCTTTCATGCCTAGGAAATGTTAGGAAATGTTGTGGGGAATAAATAGAACAGTAGAGCCTAGTATCCCAGAACTACTTATGATTTAAGTAGCTAAGATTATATACTTTCCATTGTTTTGCCAATTGGTCTGTCTCCCTTGGGGACTTGTGTGGAAAATGGCCCCTTCACCAACTACCACTCATCAGCACCCTACCCCAATACTATGTCCAACATCTGACTTAGGCAAACCAGGAAGCAAAGGCCAGGACTGAACTAGGATCTCATGCCTCCTGATCCTTTGCTTTCCCATATGCTAGGGGGATTGCATCGGCTGGTGATCAACCCACACTGGAACCTGAACTCCACTGAATTGAATCTAAAATTCCATGGGAGAGCGAGGTCAGGGAAACAGCAGAAAGAGCAGAGAATGTGTAGGTTTCCTGTCAGCGACAGACAAAGTGGGGTCTACCTAAGTCCCAGCTAACCTTGCAAAGCACACACACACAGGTGTTGGGCAGGCGTTGCGGCAAGACCCAAGGCTAGAAGCTAAGCAGTATTAGGAGTCTTAACTTTATTCCCCTCCTCTTACCCCCGAAACTCACAGCCCCTTATTCTTCTACATTATGTACACATTTCCATCTGAGGGGAGGTTGTATGGTGAATTCATTCTTCATAAACCTTCACAGACTCCTCAGATGACATAATCAGTTAAAAGTCAAAGTCAATCAATAGCCATACAGGAAGAGGGTTTTCTCTCCCTTCTACAGCCTTCACCCTTCTGCTGAAGTGTCATACATCTGTGAAAGGAAAAGAACATCTTGGGACCCCAAACTCACTATACCAAAGGGAAAAGTTAAGCTTGGAAGCTGGGTCACAGAACACTGTCTTTCCTTTTGTTCCTAAACAGATAGCTACAAGAGGCCATGTCTCCCCAGGTGGCCTCCCCAAGTATGGGACAAGAGGAGAGTACAAACCATCCCCACTGCCCAGCCTGAGATAAATGCATATTTGACTTCTTCCCCTATTCTGTTTATCTTTTGTAAAGTGCAGTTTTACTGAGCAGGGGACATACATAATCGACTGTTCCTCTACCCATTCCTTGCCACGTGCAACACATGGATTCAGTGAGTGTGAATCAAAGCCTCCTAAGAATGTGACCATGCTCTCCCTCTTTTTTTTGTTCTTTCCTCCTTTCTCCTCCTGCCTACTTTTCCCCTTTAAATACTGAAGCCCTCAAAATCCTCTTTGGAGAAAGTAGGGGCCATAGATCATACTGTAGCTTGTGTCTCTTTTCCCTAGTGTGTCTTCAACCTTGGCAAAATAACCTGTACATTGATTGAGACTTGGCTCAGTCTTTTGGTTTACATGTCAAAGCTGCCACATATGACATACCTAGCCTAGCAATTTATACTTAATATTTGTTCTCTGGGCTTTGGGGTAGCAGAGATAGAACAATATACTGAAGCCATTTCTCTTCAAAGAGTTTTCAAACAATTTATTTCACAGGAGAGGTGGAGAAGGCCAATCTTCTTCACACAAGTTTTATAACCCATTAAAACAGTATCTTTCTAATCCCCTCAGAGTGGAAAACAGGTAATTCTCAACCTGGAGACAAGCTCTGAAGTACAGAGCTATCACCTGCTGCAGGAGGTGTGAAGGCTCATTCTTAAAGTTTTCTCACGTTTATTTTCCATTTTCTTAGCACAGAATGTTCTTTCCAGCAAGGTCCATTAAGAGAGACCGAAATATGAATATGGCTGCATTGGATTCCAGAGGAGGACTTGATCAAATACACAGAAATAGTGGCTTCAATGATCAAGTTATTTTGCTTCTGGTCAAGTCGGATACAAGTCTGAGTTTTCTTTTCAAAGCTCCCTTATGCTGAGAGGAAGTAAGAACAGAATCAGACTGCAGTCTACAACACAAGTGCCTGAACTCCTTTTCCAAGAAGAGCTTCTGTAGAATTCCACACTGCCTTAAGCACAACCTCACTCTTTCTCTCACTCTTGGGAAAGAAAAAAGTGAAAGATGCATCCGTGTAATTGACAACCTGAGTACGATCCCAAGGTTGTTAATATATAGTTTATTATAATCATGTGGGAAGTAAGCACACAATTAGAAGTCTTTTCTATACAATCTAATGTCATTTCTGACTCTGGTATCTCATAACCAAAATGAAGCTATTTTTCCTTTGTAAGCTCCTGATGTCTTTTGTTCAAATCCCTTTAAAACATAAAGGAACCTTAAAAAGCAAACAAAGGCTGATGCACCAATAAATCGCTTATGCCCTATCTTATTTTGGTAAGTCTAGATAGGCTCTAATTATTTGGTCATAATGTAAACAGATTGTTTAGAAATAACAGATATTTGATTCATAAAGCTCACTGTTGAGGCTTTCATGATACTGGCTCTTTTAACATGAGAAGAGGCAAAACGTGAAGTTCATTGTTGCAACATAATCGATTTATACTTTGTTTTTCAAAATGTGTTGTCCCTGAGCTAGAAGGCAGGCTGGGAAGAGTGTGGGGCTCCCAGGAAAAAAGATGGTGTGGCTTCATCCAACAGTGCCATCTGCATGTTGAGGCTGGGGCTGAATACCAAACTGTGCTGAATTGCAAGGAGTTTCCCCCACACGTGTTATTTCCACAACTTAAATTTTAAATTTCTTTCTCACCCAGACTTGTCTTCTGAGACAAAAAACGAGTCCATAAGAGGGACCCAATCTGTGTCACCTTTTTATCCCCCAGCTCCTATCACAATGCCTAGAATGCAATAGGTGCCAAATAAATGCCTAATTAAAAATCTCTCCACTTGGGGTATCTTCAGAAAAAGTCTACATGGGCTATCTTTAGTACTAACCCCACAACCAAAATTTTCCTTCAGTAAAAGAAAAATGACTGATACGGTTTGGCTCTGTGTCTCCACCCAAATCCCATGTTGAATTGTAATCCCCAGTGTTGGAGGTGGGGCCTGGTGGGAGGTGATTGCATCATAGGTGGTTAAGCACCATCCCCCTAGTACTGCCTCATGACTGAGTTCTCACGAGATCTGGTTGTTTAAAAGTGTGTAACCCCAGCCGAGCAAGGTGGCTCTTGCCTGTAATCCCAGCACTTTGGGAGGCTGAGGCACCTGAAGTCAGGAGTTCCAGACCAGCTTGGCCAATATGAGAAAACTTTGTATCTACTGAAAATACAAAAATTACCCGGGTATAGTGGCACATGCCTGTAGTCCCAGCTACTTGGGAGGCTGAGGCAGAAGAATCGCTTGAACTCGGGAGGCAGAGGTTGCAGTGAGCTGAGATCTCATCACTGCACTCCAGCCTGGGTGACAGTGAGACTCCATCTTAAAAAAAAAAAAGGAAAGAAAAGTGTGTAACCCCTCCCCCTTTGCTCTCTTCCTCTTGCTCCTGCCATGTAAGATGGGCTTGCTTTCCCTTTGCCTTCTGCTGATTGTAAGTTTCCTGAGGCCTCCCCCAGAACAGAAGCCTGTACAGCCCATAAAACCATGAGCCAATTAAACCTCTTTTCTTCAGAAATGACCCACGCTCAGGTATGTCTTTATAGCACTGCCAGAATGGACAAATACAACGACTTAGTAAGTATTTTTATCTTCATGTAAATATAAGGGAATGGAAATGGAAGGCTTCATTTTTTTAGTAAAGGTATTTTAAGTATCAATAAAAAGAGAG
The DNA here is from genome assembly GCF_000001405.40 of Homo sapiens. NCBI lineage: Eukaryota > Metazoa > Chordata > Mammalia > Primates > Hominidae > Homo > Homo sapiens. The sequence continues at coordinate 52,593,180 of NC_000004.12, forward strand.
GAAAGGAAATTTGAAGAAATGGGAAAATACATTCTCTAGAATTTGTGTCACCTTGGTAGTGACAGGCCTGTCCTATAAATCCCAGGACAAAGTGAGGCCTAGGAAAGAAAAACACAGTCCCAAGAAGGTCTTCTCTGCCTTTGGCCTTCGTGGCAGACAGAAGTGACCTTCCCAACAGTCTCTGTTCCAGCTCAGTCAGGTTCAACTGCACTGCCCCGAGAAGATGGACAGCAGCTGGGAGACTCAACACTTACTGGCACATTCCCTGCTCTTGGTCTATGAGGTTTTATTCCCATAATTGGGCCCAAGCATGTATTCCGATGACAATCTTCTGTCCACCCACAGGTGCCCTGGGTGATTGACAGGGAAAAGCAGCCCTACCCATAGTTACTGTAGGCTTCACTGAGGCCACATGGCATGGACCTGTGCCTGCCCTCCTTCTGGGGCAGGGAGTGGTGTGAACCCACGTGAGTATTTCTGAAGCTGGGGGGTCCCCCATGGCTCAGAAACAGGCCCAGAAGTCAGGGCACCAGGGACCAATCACAGTCCTACTCCTTCCTAGAAACCAGATACTGGAAGCTGCCTTCTTATTTGGGGAATGGATCTTTCATTTCATAACTGGTTAAAAGGATTTTATATGCAAAGTCCCCAAAAATAAATTCACTGTGATGCCTAGTTAACTATCCCTAAATTCTTTTCACTGATATTCTCAATTTGCTATTCTCCAGATACCATTTCCTGAATTAAATTCTGTTGATCTTTTTCACTCAAAAAAAGTGATGAGTTATCTCCAGAACATTGATTTTTATCAACCTTGAGAGTAATACTGCCTTTATATATTATAATGATCAGAATGTTCTGTACATTTCCACTGCTTCAAAATTGTTTGTAATAATTACTTGGACATAAGACCTGCCACTGACTCACACTTTATAAAAAGGATTTTAAGTCCATGTGTGTAGCATTACCCGGATATAATTCTCTAGAAAGAGAATTCCCATTTTATTCATTTATTTATTTTTTGCAAACAATTTTAGAGGCAGGGTGTTAAACTGATTAAAATTTCACAAGATTGACATTATTGCTTAAAGTGCTTGAATTGGTTACATTTTAAAAAATTAAGGTACAGATTATTTTAAATAAAAACTACAATATTTTTAGCAACAAAATAATAGGAATGCCACACAAATACAGTAACTATTTTGGTTATACAGAAATGGAAGCCAAAAATAAATTAATGTAATACTGGAAAACAGAAATTTAATTAGGCAGAAAAGTAGGAAATAATTTTCCCTGACCCATGCCACTTACATGAGTTCATTACAATAGTGCTGATAAATGCCTTGACCATATAATAGCAAACAAGGGCAAAACATTTAGTGCACAATATTTTAATACACGTGAATATACAAAGTTGATCAAAATGCAATGTTGAAAGATAAAATCCATCTGTAATAAAGCTACACTCCAATATCTAAAATAAGCCCTAAGCTCCAGTTAGAACATAGATCATTATTAGGCATGCCCATGAAATTAAGGGTATCCATGAAAATAAATGCATAGGGATCATTTCTGACATTTTTCCCTATTTTATCTTAAACCCAAAATACACCAGGCCATAAAACCAAATATGATTGACTTCCTATTCAAACTAATGCCCTGCTTGTGTTGTGCCTCACTCTCTTTAGACCAGTCCATTTCCTATGACCACAGAAGTGAAAATGCATCAACACAATAGGACCAGATGCCAGCATTTTACCAACATTTACTTTTAAACACATGATTTTTTAGCATGCTGTGCCATAACCTAGAGGCTAAACTAGTAAGTAACCAATAAAGCAAATGTTCCTTCTGTTTTTTTTTTAAAGTGTAAAACATTGTAACTTATTTTGTAACACCCAGCAGTTACAAGAAATACAGCAGGCCTACTCACTCCTGCAGATGACACACGGAATCCTTGGCCATTGGAGGGAATACTGCAGAGCCTTTGGGCTATCGCTGACCTCAGAATGGTCTCACATCTCCCACACCATTTCCTGCTTTACACTGTGAATGAGGGATGTAAACTAAAAGTGTTTGCATGTTACTGTCTTTACATAAAGAGACATGATTGGGAGAAACCTGCAGCTGCCCAGTGTTTGTTTCATTTATTGAGAAGGAAGAGGGAAAAAATTAGCAGATAGCTCTAAATTTTAAAAAGCTGATGGAGTGTTGCTGGAGAAGTGTGTTTTGGTCTTTTTCCAATCTTCTTTTCCTGCACCATACAACTGTTTTAATGTGTTTGCAATATTTTCTTATACTTACCCTTTTTCGTTCCAAAAATCTATCCATGAATGCTGAATTTTAACTGACTCTTTCTATTAAAAGGAATTACTTCGATTAAATAACTGGGAAAAACATTTTGCACAACCAAATAGAAAAGAAATATCCTGAACTTATGACTTAGCATTTAAACATTACTTCTACAGCCTTCCAACTGAAATATTTTTTCTAATAAATTAGCTTCAAGAGGTGTTTCAAAGATAATTTTAATAACTTTTCTTATGAATCAGTTCCAAATATATTAGAGACCAACCATCATGTTCTTAAAACTTTGTAACTTGCAGTCAAATATATGGATTCTATATAGTACAAACATTTCCCTACATCAATCACCTTCAGTTGGAAAGTGCCTCTCCTTAAAAAGAGATCAAAACTCACCTTCCAGGTAGTGATTACTGCGTAAGTTTCATGGAGGAAAAAAAAATATTTATAAATGTGAAATTGCCTCTAAACAAGGCAAGGTACATTTCCATCACTTGTATAAAACAATAACATGAAGATCACCCTGTTTTGTCTTCTCCAGTGAAAAGTAAAACATTTCACTTCAAGCATAAACAAACGAAATGTTGGCATGCTTACTTAAGTTCTGAGCAATAAACAGTTCAAGATATTTCAAAGATAAGAAATCCAGTTTTCATCTAGATAAAGTGCTATCCTCTTCATTGTTGCAAAATGGCCACTAACATTTTCCATTTCAATTTTAGTTCACATTATGCCCAAAGTTTGCATGTTCATCAGTGGATGCATTAGGTAACAAAAATATGTTCACAGTTTATTATAGTGTATGGAAGTTAAGTGGCTTCTAAAGGAAGCCAAGATCTATGACTCAAAAACCAGCTCAACAGCAAAACACCAAATGACCCTTTTAAAGGTACCAATATTCAAATGCTCTAATAAATACATATATAACAAAAGTGAAAAAAGTAACTATAGTGAGATGAGGTTCTTCCAAAAAAATTCTGTCTTGTCAAGCATTCTAGGAGTCTGAGCCAAAGAAACAGCGCCATTTTGTTCATTCCTCCCCCTGCCCACGGACACTTCCTTTGAGCCACCTCTATACCCAGCTAACTCTGGTATTCCCTCTAGGGAAGGTTCTGTATCAGCCCTGGGACTCGCCAGTGCCTCAGTAAACAGACGGACTATGTTAAAAAGTTAAGTTGTACAACGTGCTGATGGCTGGAAAGATGTAGTACCTTTGTTATTCCTGATAAGGAACAATGCCGTGCTGACTGGCTAAGGGGAGGTTTGCCAGCCCTGCAGCCATTGACTGCCACATCAGCAGGATTGGAAAGATACCTTGAAAAGCTTAGCAGTGCCGGATACAGGATAAATACAACTCACAGGGCCTTACATAAGTGTCACTGAAAATAAACAACATAGAGTTATTTTCCTGAAACTTGGTTTTGGTAGAAAGGTACGAAAATAACTTTTCATTGTCCACAAAAACTTCCTCCTCTTGACTTTGTCTGCCCTGAGCCTTCTTAGCCCCTGGAATTGTAATGGCTAGGTCAGCACAGCCCAGTGCCAATGCCAGCCAACACCAGCCGCCACGGACAGCTTCTCTTCACCCTGTTTCATGTCAAGGATGATTTTAATATCGAGGTTACTCACTTTTCAACATTTTCACTTGCACAAACTTAAAGCTATACTTGCACCCCTAAAAGGTGAATATCTACCCAATTCTTCTGTCCTTGTATCAGAAGAGAGGCAGAGAAGCTGAAAATGGGTAGCAATGCTTCCAGGGACAAGTTAAAGGAATGCATTGTAAGAAGACCCTGGAAGCCATAGAAGTTTAGCAAACACCTAAAACAGACCGTAGACATTCATAGGAAATGTCATTCTAATACAGCCAGACATAATGAATGGCATAGCTTTCACCCAGTCCTAAAATTAGCAACCGTTATTCATATAAATCAGACTACAATCTGATTGCAGTTAACTCTATGTCAGACTGAAATAAAACCAAGAGTAGTGCTGCATGTAAAAACACAAAAGGAGAGAGTCTAACACAGCCAGACCATTGAGACTCGGAGTGATACCATTAGTGGGCCACTGGGGAAGAGGAAAGCCTGCGGAGAAGCCGGGTGACAGTGCTGTGAACATTCTCCCCACGTGAATCAGTCCCGCAGGTCTTTCAGTTACTCTCTTGACTGATAGAATAAAATATATCCAGATTCTGAATTTTTTGATATATCTGACGTCAGGCCATAGAATTCTTCAATAGCTTGAGCATCTATTTTCTGCAATAAAGGAGAAAGAAAACAACACAATTACTTAACATGATTCCTGGGGAAAGGAAATAAAAACTAATGGAATATATATTAAAATGCAAGGAACACAATTTGTTATGAAATCATCATTAGGAACTTTCAATAGCAAATGGAGAATTCCACAGACTTGGCTAAAGGACATCATCACATAAATTGTACATCTCTGGGAAAGAAGGCAATGCCTTCATGCATTAGCAACCCTGTGTGGGCACTCTTTGAAGAACAAGCCAAGACATCTCCCAGATGGTAAACTGATGGGTCCTGGAAATAGCCCTAAGTCTTTTCGGCCACCAGAGTTCATCTCTTTTGGTGTTATTCCACTAAAACTGCTACCTTAGTGGGTTAAAATAGATCATGTCTTTGAGTGTAGAATTCATTCCAGCTAGTATTCTTTTATAACAAAATCAATACATAGAATGTATTGGTATAATATAAAGATTTCCAGATCCAACAGACTGAATAAAATATTTTAAACAATAATCAATACAAGAAAAATTTGTTATAATAATTTTAATACAACTTTGAAGTCTATTGTTTGCCCTGTATCAGAGGGGGCTTTAGTCATGATAAGAAACAAGACTTAGACTGAAGTCTGATTTACGGTGGCACAGATAGAGAGATCCCATGTCTATGGATGAACCGTGGAGAACACAGCGTCAGTGAGTCCATGATCACACCCCTTCTCCCTTTCCATGGAGCATGGGGATTAGCAGAATTTGGTTTTGAATACAAATTTAAGTTGTTTTCAAATTACATTATGGGGAAACAGGCCTATTTTAGAAAATGTCTATACATACACATTCTCCGAAATACTACTGATGCTCTATGACTACTGGAGAATAATCTGCAAACCAACCTCTACAATGTCATCATCAAACAAAAGCCAGAAGCCGTGACTTTTCACAATAGTGATATAATGCCCACGATTAGGACCACTGGAAAAGAACAAATAAAAGGCAGTTAGCAAGTTAACATTTATCTCTTTATAAAACTCTACTTAGCTCTTTATAAGCAGTGATTCTCTGGGAAAAAAAACTATGTCATCAGCGTAAAGAACTTGGCATATAGCTCATGTCTATGTTTACAACACCATGCTGGACACAGGGGAATACAAAAGTGTGCAGAAGAGATGTCTCCTAAGGACTCATAATCCAGCAGCAAAAACAGACACTCAAATTCAGCAAATATTAACAAAAAATTACTCTCTACGTATTCTGTGCCAGGCCCTATTCTAGCTGTCAGGGGAAGAAGCAGTGAACAAAACAAAGACCCCACTTACTTAGGACTTGGGGTAGGGGCTAGATTGGCAATACACAAACTAAACTTATAAATGTATGTCAAGTGGTGAGAAGTGTCATGGAGAAGGATGAAGCAGGGTAATGGGATATGAGTGATGGGAGGAGGTAATATTTGATGGAAAGTGAAGGGAGGCCACTTTGATAATGTGAGTAGAAGGAAATTTCCCTGAAGGAAATGGCAGGGGGAGGGGTAGGGGTGGGGGTCAGGGCGTGGAGAGAAGCCATGTGACTCTGGGATGGAAGTTTCAGAAATAGGGAATAGCAAGTGCAAAGGCCTGGGGTGGGCGAGTAGCACTTGGTGTGTTCAGGAAGAGCAGAGAGGCCAAAGGAGGCCAGAGCAGCAGAGTGAGCGAGGCGGGGAAGACCAGAGGGGGCTGAGGGGCAGGCGCAGTAGAAGGAATTGCAGGTAAGATTTTAGGCTTTGCTTGAGCAAGCCAGGAAGAAATGGGGAATTTTAAGGAGTTGTATGATCTATGCTTTAGAAAGACATTAATAAACCAATATGCATAGTAACAAGTGTTAAAAAGCCGTATACTATGCTATATGGAAAAAAGCAGAAAGGACAACTAAGCACCTGTTACTATGTAGTTAGGTTAGATTTGCACAAGTGAGGAGATTTCAATCCTAAACCTAAAACTGTTTTTTAATGCACTGTTAAAGTTGAAAAAGCCAAACTTCCCCCTCTGTTTACCCTCTTTCAACACAAGATGATGGCAATGATCTGTTCCTGCCCTTTCTCCAGCCTCCTCCAGCTACTGTCTCCCTTTCCCTCTGAGCTCCAGCCCATCTGGCTCCTCTCACACACTGCCCCCTTCATATTATGGGCCTTTGCATTGCTGTAAACTCTGCCAGAGATAATCCTCCCCCAACTGCATTCTATTTAGCCCTGTGCTCAAATGTCACCTCCCCAGATGAATCTCTGCTGACCAACTCACCTGAAGATGTATCTCCCATCACTCACTCCCTCATCTCCCTGCTTATTCCTGATAGCACTGATCAAAATCATAAATTATCTGCAGTGGTTTGTTTTTGGGGGTAGCAGGGTGGTGTGTTTATTTGTTCATTATCAGTCTTTCCAGATAGATTATAAGCTTTGTGAGGGCAGGGTCCCTGTGCTGTGTGTCTTTTCGTTACTCTATTTTCAGATCCTGGCATGGAATCCAGAATATATGAGCTTAAAAAAAAACTTGCAGCAGAAATCAGTGCATGAGGCTATGCACCTGCTGCAACTGTGGGCCAGGAGGTCCTGGCATGGAAGGGAAGGCAGGCCCAGCTCCCTAACCTCAAAGCTTTCCAGTGCTACCTGGAAGCCACCCAATCCGCAAGCATAGGCCAGCCCTGCTCCACATAGGAGAACAATGCTACTTCTGTGGGGAGGAGTTTGAAGAATCCTAGTTAGTGGCATGCATGACTTGGCACCAACTGAGCTCTGCTACCAGGGCTCTTCTGACCTTGTGCTCACATTACAGAAACTGACCTTAGAGAACCCAACCTCCCGCTGAACGTCCAGTTCCCTTACCTGTGTCTCTGCCAGTCCTCCCAAGGATTTGAATTGGGCACCCACAGAGACCCACACTGAAAGTCCTGTGTACCCTGTGCAAGGGGCCCTCCTGTCCACACCACCCCTGCCACCCACTTTAGCCACAATGCCCACCAGGTCCCAGGCTCTGCCTGCCCTAAGATCTTCCCCAACCCTGCACCAATGTGAGGCCTCATCCAGTGCTCAAGGCTGGGTTCCAGATCACTGGAACCCTGTGTTCTTCAAAAGAATAACAGGTGTTCTTTAGGGAGAACACCACAAAACTGGCATATAACTAGCCAATAAATATCATTTTACTGAGAATACAAGAAAATATCCAGTGACTTAAAGTTAATACACACAGGATAAAATATGGGGTGCTTCAGATGTGAAGTTATACAGTTTCTGATGCCATCTACCCTAGTACACAATTAAAAATATATCAACCTATTCCTCTGCGTGGCAATGGTAGTCTCCTGGTAATGGTGTATTCACCATAATCCGACCTTAACAGATGGAGGAGAAAGACTCTTGCTCTATGACATGCCCCAATCTAAAACCTATGAGGGCAGGGGGAAAGCTGTGCCTACTCCCAAGACAGAACATAAACCTGTCCCAACTGAGCAAAGAATAACAAACAGGTGAATTTTCAAGATACTTTTCTTCCCTTATACCAAATTATGGAATAAAAAATAGCTGCTCAAAGGAATTTTGGCAAAATGCTTTGCCTCTCCATATCTAGAGGCCTTCTCTCTCTTATCTTTTTTCTGATTATATACTTATTACAGAATGTTGGGGAAAGACCAAAAATAACAAAGAATATTTTTTAAGAATATATTTTTAATCACTCAAAGTGCCAAAAAATTATTAAATTTGATCCATTGCTTCTAGTCTTTATTTACACATCTTAAAATACTTTTGAGATCATACTGTAAATGCAACTTGGCTTTTTAAAAATTAAAATCATAGCATAGACATTTATTTCTCCATGTTATTTCAAATTCTTCATAACCATCGTTTTCATGCAATGGAGATTTATTAAGTAATTTCTCTCATGATAGAACATTTAGATTATCATTACTGGAATGCTCTTTATTTTATGTGCCTGCAGGCATGTTTATATATTTTTTGTGATGATCAGTAAGAGTTTGGCAGAGATCCCAAAACTATTGAGTGCCACGGCCCAGGAAAGGTGCAGCTGGGTATACTTCAGCGAAGAGGCAACCCTTACACTTACCCTGTATACCTGCTTCCAGTCTTGCCCTTACCTGCCACAGTGAACGACCACCGCAACCAAGTCATACATGCGGTCCAGGTTCACTGCATCACTGGAGGTGTTGAAGAGCCGGAGTTCCAGAGGGAAGACCACACGGTAAGACAGCTTGGTGTATCTGTGCAGCTGCTCCATGTACTTGAACCGCTTTAGGTGCAGGGCCAAGATCATGGGCAGCTTTTTTACCCTCATCCTAAGAAACCAAGAAATAGAAAATCAGTTGTACCCAACACCTATTAGGGGAAGAGAATACACTGTCATCTGCACAAACAGAATAGTAGGAGGTTCTATCCAACTTCAAACCAGCAAACAACCAAACAGTTTGCAAGGATAAAAGTATGCTGGCATATATAGAGCTGACTTATCCTACATCCCTGGCTCCCAGCAGGAGAAATGTACAATGGTGTGTGTCTGTTTGTTGGAAGGAGACGTTCCAGAATTTTTGTACAAATAAAAATAGGCTGTGCAATTGTTCTCCATCACTGCCCTGTGCCTTCCAGAGAGAAATGATATTTGGACAATCTACCCCCTGAGATGATGGAGAGGAAGGTTGAGAGCTTTTGAGAACAGGAAGCTGGGAAGAGGACAAGGTAGATGATGCCGACTGCTGGACTTACAGGTTCTGAGGACTGGCAGGAGGATGGATGCTTCTGACACACACTCTTGGGCATCGGGACACCAAGCGTGCCAGGCTCACTCTCATTCCGACCCTTGTGATCTTGGGCAAGTCACTTCCCTTCTCTAGCTCTCAGTTTCCTTATTTATAAAATGCAGGGGTTGGCTTAGGGCTACATTTCACAAACTGGGCTCAGGAGAGCACTGGAGATGTTAACAGATGTGGTGTTTCTGTGGCTAAGTAAGTTTGGATGATGCTACTTTCTGCTTTGAAGATCCTATGTGTACATTACCAGACTGAAGACTTTGAGAAATCCTGCAGTAAAGGAATTGTTCTGTTGTTTGATGTTGCACTTCCCAAACTTATATAAACATAGAAAAGTTTTTTTACTAGGTGACCATTAACATTTCTCAGTAAAAAGTCGCAAAGGCAACAGTTTATGCAGAGTACACTGCTAGAATAGAGGGTCTTCCAGTTACCTTCCAGCCCCCATTCCATGAATGTACTGAATTAAGTGTAAATGCCATTTAGTTTGTGTACATTTTTAATGCATAGTATGTGAAAAAGACAAATTTTAGAAGAATAGTTTTAAGGAATCTATTAAGGAAAAGCCCTGTTCATATAAATAAGCAAGTAAAACAACAGTAGAGAAATAAGAAGTATGGGGAACCCCATGTTTTATGGGAACACATGACATTGCAATATATAAACCCCCCAGGGCTGAACAAAAAATGTCTTAATGCCACAAAGGAAGACCCCAGGCCAGCCTTAGGCAGATTGAGGTTATAAGGATGGGGGACAGACATGAGTGACCTTCTTTACTAACAAAAGGTATCTACCTACCTCCTTGAGGACTGCCCGCTAAGGTGACTAACCATCTGTAAGTTTTGCAGCAAAGAAAAGTGTACATGTTTGGAGTGAACGCCTGGGAAGGCTGGGCAGAGAAATGATCTCAACCTCAGGTCTAGACCCCTGAGGGTTTTAGACAGCAGTATTGAGCATCTGCCAGCTGCCTTGAATACTCCAGAACCACTGACAAGATAGATTTAACTCACAGGAAGCCTTCGCAGGATGACTGAAATGGCAACTTTCCTGGCTTGTAGGAGCAGATTAATGGGGGTTATTCCAGATTTTCCAAGAACTGTAACTGTCTAGTGTGCAGGAAAGGTGGTGCAATAACTTTCTAACTTTCTTATCACCTGTTCTTTTTCTTTTTTCTTTTTTTGATACAGAGTCTCACTCTGTCACCCAGGCTGGAGTGCAGTAGTACGATCTCAGCTCACTGTAACCTCTGCCTCCTGGGCTTAAGTGATTCTCCTGCCTCAGCCTCCCGAGTAGGTGGGATCATAGGCACCTGGCACCATGCCCAGCTAATTTTTGTGTTTTTAGTAGAGACGGGGTTTCACCATGTTGGCCAGGCTGGTCTCAAACTCCTGACCTCAAATGATCGGCCTGTCTTGGCCTCCCAAAATGCTGGGATTATAGGTGTGAGCCACTGTGCCCAGCCTCTAATCACCTATTCTTATAACTGATGTGTTAATAATTTCCTCATGAGTCCTTATGAAATGATATATATTTTTTAAACCTCTGTCTCTAAATAAGAGGTCCTAATGTTTAAGCAATACAAACAAAAATAATATTGGGTGTCTACTATGTGTTATATACTCTGCTAAGTACTTTATATAATTTACCTTTAATCTCAAGAGAATAGTGATTATATTTAATCATTACTTGTTTATCTAGCATAATATCTGGCACATGGCAGGGCTCAACAAATATTTGCTGAATGACTGAATGAATAAACAAATAAGTAAACAATCGGACAGACAACTCTCCAAGTTGTTCTCTCCAAGGTCAGCGTTCTTATCCCAGTTTCACTGGTGAGGAGGATAACTGACTTCCCCAAGGCTCCATGGCTACAAGCCCAGGTAGCTGAGATTGATTCAAAGCCAACCCTGCTGGGCCCCACAGTCGGGATCCTTCTCACCACACAAAGATAACCCTGAGCTAAATCTTTACCTACCTTTTCTGGGCTTCTTGTTTGCTGCAGCATGTTTCACAATAATATTTTTGTTCACTACACAGTGTTTCTGTGTTGCTGAAGTCTCTGTAGAGGAAAATATTTCCATCTTTAAAAAATGTCCAAATCTACTTGGTATACTATGTTTTAAATCCCTCAATTAACCTGTAGGGTAATTTTTAAGTAAAAATGGAAGAAGAAGTAATCAGAAAAAAATCCTACTTAAGACTAGGATGGTAGAGAAACTACAGGATGAAAAACAAAAATAAGCTAAGACTGGGTGCCATTACGGTGGTAGACATGCTCTTTTCATCGAATCATGAATTTACCATGAGAGATTCAAATATAGTTTTATTTAATGGGACACAGGCAGATATAAATTAGGGTTTCCAACTGGATTCAGAAAAAAAACTCATGATTTAATGGAGAATACCTATAAGCTAGAAATTAAAATCGTAATAGAAAAATACTGTTGAGTAAAAGTTCACCGTAAACACTAAAACTTAGATCCAGAAAGTAAATCACATAACATGCAAGGTGACATTATTGTGTAGTTAATGAAAAATAGTATTTCTCTGGTAGTCCATATTTTCAAAGAGCATGAAAGTAAAGATAATGAAATTTAAACCACATACAAAACTGCCCTCTTAGTGAACTAAAGAAATCCTGAATTAATCAGATGACCACCTCCTACCAACCCCTGCTCCCCACTGCTCCCCCGCCGGAGGAGATGAACTTTTGCCTGCCTCCTTTGGAGAACAAAAGCCATTGTGTTTGTCATATGTGTATCTGCCTTATCATGAGGTTCTACTCTGCTACTTACGGTTTTTATTTTTTAAATGTCATGGTTTTTCATTCTTTTCCAGCCATCAAGATTCTACTTAACATTTCTGTGGTACTGCTTCAAAGGCTGAAAAGAACATCTGGACTAATACCCTATAGTTTTGAAAAATTCTGGGGCATTTCCTTGTTCAGTGTCCTAGTACCATAATGACCAGATTTTATTAAACAGAAAATGTTATTTAAAATGTGTTAAATGATTCTACCACTTACACAGAACACATCAAAAGAAAACACAGATTCTTTCATTCATTAAGTCCCCAAATGTTTCCTGCCAGTCCTCTGGGCTAGGTTCTGGGGATCCACAGAGAATAACTGCCTTCATACGGCTCACACTTTAACAGAGATGTGTGCAAATGAACCACTGACAACATGAAATGATCAGTGCAGCTTCAACAGAAAGCATTACATGATTCCCCTGCTGAAATCCTCCAGCAGTTTCCAGTGCACTTATCCACCCTGCCTCCTTCTCTCTGCTCCAGCCACACTGGCCCTGGGAAATCCTCTTCTCACCTTAGGGTGATTGCAGGTGCTATTTTCTCAGCACTGAGAGCTTCCTCCCAGAGGCTTCCATGGCTGGCTAACCCGGTTGTTCAGCACTCAGCCTAAACATCCCCTCTTTGGAGAAAACTTCTCTGGCCACTTTGTCCAAGCCTATCCAGCCCCTATCACATTGCCGTCTTATTTCTTCCCAGCATCTGAAACCATTCCTCTGTTCATTTGATTACTTGCCTCCCCTCTATGTGGGCAGTGCACTTGTCATTCCTATATCCCCAGCATGACACACAATGGAACACATTAATATTTGTTGGTTGAATGAATGAACCAACCAAGACAGAAGCAGGTGTAAAGTCCAGGAGAAAGCACAGAGAAAGAGGGAAAGTGTGCCAGGTGAACAAGTGAATAAGGGTCAATGACTCCTGAGAGAGAACACTGCAGTGCAGAGGCCTGGAGGTAGGGAACAGCAGCGGTGACGTATTAGTCTGTTCTCATGCTGCTAATAAAGACATACCTGAGACTGGGTAATTTATAAAGAAAAAGAGGTTTAATGAACTCACAGTTTCACATAGCTGGGGAGGCCTCACAATCATGGCAGAAGGCAAAGGAGGAGCAAAGTCATGTCTTACATGGCAGCAGACAAGAGACAGCAGGTGCAGGGGAACTCCCATTTATAAAACCATCAGATCTTGTGAGACTCATTCACTACCACGAGAATAGTATGGGAAAAACTGCTCCCATGATTCAATTATCTCCGCCTGGCCCCACCTTTAACACGTGGGAATTATTACAATCCAATGAGATTTGGGTGCAGACACAGCCAAACCATATCAGGCAGCAAGTCACATAGCCTGGACTATGCTACCAAGAAGCCAGCATGAACCCTAACCAACAGTCTCAACAAAGAAACGACATAATCAGGTAGTGCTTTTTAGAAATTCCACTTTTGACAGCATGGTGGAGGGGGCATTGGAGAGGGATGAAAGGCAAGAAAGCCATTAGAATGCAAATGTACTAAACTTTCAGATTTCAAGTACATGGTGCATAAAACAAACTCATACTTAGCTGAATGAATACTTCAATTGAGTAAGTGCTGTGGAATCTTGTTTTGGCTGCATGGGATTGACTGGAGTGGAACGGGGAGCCAGAGGCAGGGAGATGAGTGTGGGTGTGATGGAGCTTCATATCCTCCCAATGTCTACTGCAGAGAAGCTGTACTACCAAGCTAAAGGGTCACAATAGCCAAAGAAAGGCCAGCAACAAATAAGGAATCATTCATTCCTACTCATTCTTATTTTCCCCAAAAACTTATTTGATTTGTAGACCCAGACAGGTGGAAATATAGCAGAAGTTAATACCTAATGTAAAGACCCATTTTACAAAGAAGCTTGCTGACAGAGTAATGCTCTTAGGGCATCCATGAGTTGAGAATTAGAAAATGAAGGTAAGTTAGGAGAAGGCGAGGACCCCAGCAGTAAATGCTGAGGCAGAGCAGCTGTCAGTTAATGTTCTATACCTGTTGGAACAAAAGTGGGCAACAATGGTATAGGAAACTCTTCAATGAGAAAGACAAGAGGGGCACTTGCTCTTTCCAACACTTGGGATAAATTACCAAAGTACAGAGCAGAGGTTGGGAGAAAAACACAAAATTCTTTGTATTGCTTTAAAAAGAGGCAGAGCAGCAATAAAACATTACTTAAAAATACACTTTGGGGCTTGATATAGTTTGGATCTGTGTCCCCACCCAAATCTCATATTCAATTGTAGTCCCCAATGTTGGAGGTAGGACCTGGTGGAAGGTAACTGGATCACGGGGGCAGAATTCTCATGAGTGGTTTAGCACCATCCTCCTGGTGCTGTCCTCACCATACATCGTGGAGAGTTCTTGCAAGATCTGGCCGTTTAAAAGTGTTTAGCCCCTCCTCCAACCCCTGGCTTCTGTTCCAGTTATGTGATGTGCCTGCTCCCCCTTCATCTTCTGCCATAATTGTAAGTTTCCTGAGGCTTCCTCAGAAGCCAAGCAGATGCCAGCACCAAGCTTTCTGTACAGCTTGCAGAACAATGAGCCAATTAAACCTCTTTTCTTTATAAATTACCCAATCTCGGGTATTTATTTATAGCAATGTGGGAATGGACTAATACAGGGCTGGTCCAAAAGTAGTGAGTTATCTCAATTGATGGTTCACAGTCAGTTATAGATCAAACTCCTTGTTCTACTTTTACCCTCGTTCTCAGGAAGGAAGGAAGGAGGGAAGGAAGGAGAGAAAGAGAAGAAAACACACTTTGGGAACAAATCTAATAAGAAATGCACACTTTTACAAAAAAGGCACTAAAGCCTTATGCAAATATTTTAAAACTTTAAAAAATGCAGAAAGACTGTTTCTGGATGGGAAGGCTATCATTTTTTGTAAACACAGCTATCGTGTCCAAGTTAATGTCTATCTTTGATATATTTTCAATTAAAATCTTCTTTTTCACTCACCACAATAATTCAAAATTGATATTAAAAATCCTCAAGCAATGCTTCCCGATAATTTCCATGTCATGATCCACACAGAAATACTACATGAGAAACACACCAGGATATACTGACGAGGCTGCGCCTATGGCTGGCCATGGGGCTCTGGCACAGCCAGGCCTTCCCAGCCTCCCAGGAGCTGAGGAGATGAATACATCTAATCCATTTTCCCTGGCTCACCAGTTGGGAAGCTTTGTTCTAGAATCTAGTGCAGTGATTCTCCTTCTGCCCTCCTGGCTGCTCGATAGAATCATCTGAGAGCTTTAAAAACAATCCCAATGCCCAATCCCGCACCCCTCCACCCCCCACTCTCCCTCCATTCAATTACATCAGAATCTCTCCAGGTGGAACCCAGGCATTGTTGTTCTTAAATCTTCCCGGGTGATTCCAATGTGCTGCCAGGGCAGAGAGCCATTGCTCCAATGCTTCCCAATAACCTGGGGATCTCATCGGCACTGGGAGAATGGGAATTTAAAATGAGAGGAAGACAGAGGAAAGAGAAGGTGGTGGTTTTAGAGCACTGAGCATTTGGAGGAGTAAGGGGAGATTCTGGGAAGGAGTCATGGGGAGGGTCTAAGGCGCTCAAGTGGAAGACAAAAATAACCAAAAAGGCCATGCAAGGACAATTAAGATAAACTTCACATAGTTTAAGTTTTTGCCTGAGGCCACCCCTAAACTTTTCACAAGGAAAAAACATCTTTCTTTCTCAGTATTCTCCTATGACACAAATGGCTTACTCTGCCTAAGACACAGTACTGAGGTTTGAAATATTAGAATTATAACTCAGCTACCATACAAACTTAACAGCTTCTCCAGACCTGTATCCTGAATTTAAACACTATTTATATCATTTCTCTGAAACAAAAGTTCAGTCACCAACTAAAAACCTTCTGGAAGAAGGTGGCAGAGATCTTAGATTCAAATCCCAACATTTTAGCTTAACTTTTTATTTTTTAAAGTTATCAAAATGAAAGAAACATATCAGAAGAGATATGCAGACATAACATTAGAGAAGAAAATTCATAATTCTAGTTTAAAAAACAAATCCTCAAAAATGCAATCCACATTAAACCATGAAAGGGGCCAAGCAAGAGCCCACCCTTCCCTTATCTTTTGTCTGAGAGACAGAGAAAGCTAACGACTCCACTGGCATTATTTGCTCCCTGCATCTTTCTCCTGCACGTCCTTCTCCCATCACGGAACTCTGAGTGGTGAGTGGCAACACCTGGCAGGCTTCTCTTTCTGCTGTGGAGGTGACATCTCACACGCATGTTAGGGCAGGTATAGCCGAGTTGGTCAAGGTCTAGATTAGGTGTGATGTAAAACAGGGGATGGGGAGGCACTTCAGAGATATCAGCCTGCACAGTGCAATAAGACAGAGTTGAATATGTTTAAAGGGCATTCAGAGGCTACTTCATACTCACCCACCCTAGCCTGAACATTTCCAAGTGCCTCTAGCCTGCCTTCACCAGGTATGGATGACCAACATACACATTTCTCCAGGAAAAAAAAAAATTATGGAAACCTAAACCTCAATTCTATTTCTTTTTTTTTTTTTTTTTTTTTTTTTTTTTTTTTTTTTTTTTTTTTGAGGCGGAGTTTCGCTCTGTCGCCCAGGCTGGAGTGCAGTGGCGCGATCTCGACTCACTGCAAGCTCCGCCTCCCGGGTTCACGCCATTCTCCTGCCTCAGCCTCCCGTGTAGCTGGGACTACAGGCGCGCGCCACCATGCCCGGCTAATTTTTGTATTTTTAGTAGAGACGGGGTTTCACCGTGTTAGCCAGGATGGTCTCGATCTCCTGACCTCGTGATCCGCCCGTCTCGGCCTCCCAAAGTGCTGGGATTACAGGCGTGAGCCACCGCGCCCGGCCTCAATTCTATTTCTTATAACAAGGTTTCCCAAAGGTTGAAATTATCACCAATCACTTAACACTTTACCTGGCTGATCTCAAATCTACAGCCACTGCCACCTGCCCTTTTGACTAATGACTTCCATTTTATGCTCTTTTTTCTCAGTGGGACTCTTCTCCAGACCACATAATCGCTCTTGGGAAAGGAGAGATAGAAAATAATAGGATCATATTGGTTTAACAGAAGGGAAGATTATGTCCTGAAGAAATACAGGATTTTCTCTCCCACTTAGTTACAAGCCTGATCAAAAGCTCAAACTGCCTCAGAGTTCATATACCTTAGACAGTGGGTAATGGATGTATTCTGCTCCACATCAACAGAAAGGTCAAGAAAATCTTCATCTTTGCTACTAACCTGAAACAAAAAACAGAAACAATATATTAGGCATGAAATATGTAGTAGATAAAACTTTGAACATGTATAGGTAATCACCGACTGCAATAAAAACCATAACTGCAGTTAAAGTCCTGCATGGACATGTATACTCATTGGCACCCAGTTACCTCAAAAACAACCCAATCTAGAGAAAATCCCAAATTCTCAATTTAACCTCATCCCCTTCCCAGTTTTGACTCACAGCTTTTAATAGTTAAAACTCAACCAGATTTCTCTTCCTCTCCATTCATTTTTCCCATCGTTTCAAAGTAGGGAGTATTATTAAATATCCATATAGCCCAGATTGCAGAGTGATAAAAATGGAAATGGAAAAAGGACAAGAGACTTATAAAATCTACCACCCAGATGACCATCCCTTGTTGAGTCGTTTCCACTTTTTGCCAGTCCCTTGAAATCACTCCCTTTCTCCCTTGCCCCATCATTCAAACTGTGTGGTGGGCCAGGGAGCCTGACAGGCAATGGGCTGGAGAATCGCACTGACCACACACAAAGCTGTCCTTTGGCCAGGAAGTGGTCATCACATGCAGAGCCCTGTGCTGTCCATGACAATGACCAGACCTGGGGCTGGCCTGCAGCCTGGGCTCACACAGGCCCGCCATACCGTGGGCAGCTCTCAGCTGAGCCGGTTCGGTGGCCCCAGCTGTCTCTCAGCCTTCAACAGCTCACTCCACACTAATTCTAGATCTCATATATCTCAAGGCTCACTGAATAAGTGCTTACTTCCCACTAATTCACTGACAACCCTGGGGTTTTACTGTCTTGTTCCCGGAGTAGCAGGAACAGCTGGCAACAACCTTCAGGTGCTCAGTCATTTAGCAGCAAAATGAAAACAACATTCTTTTTAAAGTGTGACAACTACCCTATGACCCAAAATTCCAGAAGTTATCTGAAGAAATATTCAGAGATGTGAATACACTCTTTTATACTTTTAGAAGTACAAATGGGGGCCAGGCGTGGTGGCTCACACCTGTAATCACGGCTCTTTGGGAGACTGAGGCAGGTGGATCACTTGAGGTCAGGAGTTCAAGACCAGCCTGGCCAACATGGTGAAACTCCGTCTCTACTAAAAATACAAAAAATTAGCCAGGCATGGTAGCACATGCCTGTAAAAATCCCAGTTACTTGGGAGGCTGAGGCAGGAGAATCGCTTGAAGCTGTGAGGCAGAGGTTGCAGTGAGCTGAGATTGTGCCACTGACTCCAGCTTGGGTGACACAGTGAGACCCTGTCTCAAAAAAAAAAGTACACACAGGAATGGATACTGAGACACAAGAATGGTTATTGCCCAGATCCGTATCCCGTCTCTGCCGTTTATATAAAGTCGATGGCTTCAGGCCAGCTACTCAGCCTCTGTTTCCTCATCTGTAAAGTGGGGACAACAAGAGTGTCTATCTCATAAGGCTGTTGTAAGGAGGAAATAAGATAATACATGTGAAGTGCTTTAAAAAGTAAGGACTCAATAAATTAGGAAGGGATAAAACATTTTAAGTGGCCTAAAATGGTCAAAAAGTTGGGAATGGCTTTCTACATTGTGGTTATCACACTAATTGAAAAACTAGGTTATACAACTACATATAAGTTAATCCCAACTTCGTATAAAAAAGGCATCTTTATACTTACACACATGCATCCCCTCCCTTGGCATTCTCTACCATCCTGTTTTAATTTTTTAATGACGTTTATTTCTACCATGGTAGAATGCATTAGTAGCCCCAAATCCTCACCATTGCCTCTACTGGCTTCTTTGTCATATGGCTTCACAGATACTCTCATCAAGAGGTGATTATGTTTTGCCACCCTTAAGTCTGAGTGTGACCATGTGACTTGCCTTGGCCAGTGGGATGCTAGAAGGCAGGTTACCACCAGCAGAGGCCAGCCAGATCAAGCATTTGTGAAACTGCTCTCTTGCATCACTGTAAGAAGGATAACCCCAGGCTAGCCTGCTGTTCCCAGGAAGAGGAGAGATTCATGGAGGAAAGCTGTCCTAACCAAGGCATTCCAGCCAAGCCCAATCTAGAGTAAAACCCCTAGTGATCTTGCAGACACGTGAGTGGGCTAGCTGAACTACAAACACACAAGTTTAGCTGAGTCCAGCCTAGACTAGTCGACCACAAGCCAACCCACCATTGCATGAGTTATAATAACAAATGATAGTTTAAGGCTCAGAGTTTTGGGGTGGTTTGTGACAAAGCAATAGGTAACTGATACAACCACTTATCCTTTTATATGTTTTATTTTTATATGTTTACTGTCTGTCTCCCCCTCGCTAAAATGAAAGTTCAAAAGACTGGCTTCCATAGTAACTAAGATCCCAGCACACCAATACTCCTCCAGAAAACTAGAAACTATAAACTCACATAACCAAAAACTAAAAGCAGCTACCTGAAGGCACTGGAGAGTGAACACAAGCAAGCACATGGGGAGTCCACACTTGGAGGAGGAGAGCTGTACACAACGAGTTCATGGTTTCATGGCCTTTAGCTTGGGGTGCTGAGGGGGAAATGCAGTCTTTCCGGTCTGCAAGCCAGAAGACTAAATCTGGGAAACCATGCCCACTGGAAAGAAAGGAAAGAGGGTATCTCCAACTCTCCCCACATGTGGCTGACCCCTGATCCACCCATGCATGGAATACACACAAAGCAACCTGGCTATTAACAAAATGGCTGCCACCCAAGATTCAAGCTGTCACCCAAGAAACATAGTGAATAGTTTGGGTCCAACCAAGATAAGTGCCTGTTAAAACTAAAGAAACTCAATATGCATTAAAGAAAACTAACAGAATCCGGCCGGGTGTGGTGACTCACACCTGTAATTCCAGCACTTTGGGAGGTGGAGGCAGGTGAATCACATGGTCAGGAGTTGGAGGCCAGCCTGGCCAAGATGATAAAGCCCCGTCTCTACTAAAAATACAAAAATTAGCTGGGTGCGGTGGCAGGCGCCTGTAATCCCAGCTACTTGGGAGGCTGAGGCAGGGGAATCACTTGAACCCAGGAGGCGGAGGTTGCAGTAAGCCGAGATCTCGCCACTGCACTCTAGCCTGGGTGACAGAGCAAGACTCCATCTCAAAAAAAAAAAAAAAAGAAAAGAAAAGAAAACTAACAGAATCCAGAGTCTCTGCCACTTAACATTCTCAATGTTCTGAATAAGATCTAAATTTACACTATGTGACAAATGTCTTACCTAAGACATTGTTAAAAGAAAATAAACTAAGACCAATCCTGGGATGACCCAGATGTTGGAATTAGCAGACAAGGATTTTAAAGAAGCCATTATAACTATCATCAGTAAAATAAAATATACTCGCAATGCATCAAAAAACGTGAAACCCCAGTAAAGAAATAGAAACAATAAAAAAGAATCAAATAGAAATTCTGGAACTGAAAAACACAATACATTGAATGAATTTAACAGCAAAGTGGAGGTGACAGAGGAAAAAACAAGTGAATATGAAGACAGATCAGTGGAAATTATCCAATGAGGACTAAAGAAAAAAGATTGAAGTAAAAATTAACAGATACTCAGGAATCTTTTAGCTAATACTGTACATATAATCAGAGTCCTAGAAGGGGAGAAAAGGGAGAATAGGGCAGTAGAACTATTTGAGAAAATAAACGCTGAGTATTTCCCAAATTTGGTGAAAGACATCCATTAATAGATTCAAGATACTCAACCAACACCAAGCAGGATAAATACAAAGAAGGTCAGCCAAGGTGCCTCACAGCCAAACTGTTGAAAACCAAAAATAAAAAGCAAATCTGAAACATCTACCAAAGAAAAGGACAATAGGATGATCCAATTGGCAGCTGACCTCTCAGCAGAAACTATGGAGGCCAGAAGACAGTGAAGCATCTTTCATGTGCTGAAAGAAAAAAATGATTAGCCTGGAATTCCTATATGCCACAAACAGATCATTCAAGAATGAAGGCAAAATGAAGAGAATTCATTGATATAAGAGACCTGCATCACAAGAAAGGTGAAAGGAAATTCTTCAAGCCAAAGAGAAATGACACCAGTTTGAAATCCAGATCCTTAAGAATAAAATGCATCAATAATGATAAATATTTGTGCAAATACAAAATACTTTTTTCCTCTTAATTTTTGTATAATATTCACACCTCTTTAAAGGAAAAGGCATAACACTGTCCTGTGGGATTTATATTCTACATAAATGTAATATATATAACAACTACAGCATAAAGAACAAGGTAGAGTGGGAGCAGAGGGAATATACACCTATATATTTATATGCTTTCTACATTTTATGTGAAATAGTATCATTATTATGTGTAAGGATACTGTGAAAAGTGAAGAATGTCTATTGTAATCTCTAGCAAAATCACTAAAAATACACCCAGGCATGCGAAAATGTACTCAGAAAAGATCAAGAGGAAAATTAAAATGGAATTATAAAAATATATTCAAAAAATAATTCAAAAAGAAAATATAGAAGAGGAACAGAAGAACAAAAAATAGAGGAAATAAATAGAAAACAAATGAAATGGCAGCCCCAAACCCAACTATATCAATAATTACCATAAACATTAATGGACTAATAATTACAAGTAAGAGACAAAAATTGAAGGAAGTATTTGTTTTTTTAAGGCAAGACCAATTTCTATGCCGTCCGCAAGAGCTAAACTTTATATATAAAGACACAGGTTGAAAGTAAATGGTTGGAAAAACGACATACTATGCGAAGAGTTAGCGTAAGTTTGTAGAGGGCTAATATCAGATAAAATAGGTTTTAAGATAAAGTTATTAAGAGAAATAAAAGAGGACATTTCCTAATGATAAGAATGTCAACTTATCAGAAAAACACAACAGTCAAATATGGATAGCCCCCATAATAGAGCCTCAAAAACACATGAAGCTGGAACACTATTTCACCAACAAAAGGGAATAAACTCCTGATACATGCTACACCACCAATGAATCTCAAAAACGTTATGTAAGTGAAGGAAGTCATACATAAAAGACCACATATTGTATGATTCCATTTACATGAAACATCCAGAAAAGGCAAATCTCTAAAGACAAAAAGTAGATTAGTAGTGACCTCAAATAAAACAGGAATTAACTGCCAGTCATGAGGGATCTTACTGGTGTGATGAAAATTTTCTAAAACTAGGTTACAGTACTGGTTACACAACTCAGCAAATTACTTAAAGAAAAAAAATCACTAACTGGATAGGTTTATGGCACGTAAATTATACCTCACCAAAGTTGTTTTTAAAAAGTCAAAAAATTCATAAAACAAAAATTGACAGAATTAAAAGGAGAAACAGAACAATCCCACAAAAATATTTTAATGCTCCTTTCTCAGCAACTGGTAGAAAAGCTAGTAGGGGGAAAGTCAACTAAGACATAAAGGATCTGAATAACTTTATCAACCAACATATCTAACTAACAATTATAGAATGCCACACCCAACAACTGCCAAATATTCTTTTCAACTAAGTAGTTCTCAACAGGGGAAATTTGGCTTCCAGGAGACATCTGACAATGTCTGGAAACATTTCTCAATGTTGTATCTTGGGAGATGCTACTGACATCTAGCAGGTAGAAGCCAGAGATGCTGCTTAACATCCTATAATGCACAGGGCTGTCCCCAACAACAAAGAATTATCTGATTCAGAATGTCAATAGTTCTGACACTAAGAGATCTTTCCTTTCCTTTCCTTTCCCTTCCCTTCCCTTCCCTTTTCCTTCCTTCCTTCCCTTCTTTCCTTCTTTGAGACGGAGTCTTGCTTTGTCACTCAGGCTGGAGTGCAGTGGTGCAATCTCAGCTCACTGCAACCTCCGCCACCTGAGTTCAAGTGATTCTTGTGCCTCAGCCTCCCAAGTAGCTGGAATTAGAGGCATGGGCCACCACACCCGTCTAATTTTTGTATTTTTCGTAGAGACAGGGTTTCACCATGTTGGCTAGGCTGGTCTCAAACTCCCAACCTCAGGTGATCCGCCCGCCTCAGCCTCCCAAAGTGCTAGGATTATAGGCATGAGCCACCGTGCCTGCCTGAGAGACCCTGTTTTCAAGGGCAGATGGTACATTTACCAGGACAGACCATGTGGAAGGACATAAGACATATCTCAATAAATTTAAAACTGAAATCTTACAGAATATATTCCCTAACCACAACAAAATTAGAAATCAATACTATTAGGATATATAAGAAAATCCCAAATATTTGGAAATTAAACAGCATACTTCTAATTAGTGTATGGATCAAATAAAAAAGATCACAGGAGAAATTAGAAAATATTTTGAACTAATGCCAAAGAAAACATACCATCAAAATTTGTAGCATGCAGCTAAACCAATGCTTAAAGGGAAATTTATAGCTTTATATCTGTATGCTAGTAAACAAAAGGGACCATTTTTCTACTTTAACTGCTATATCCTTAGTACCTAAAATAATTCCCAGCATTTAATAGGAAATAAATATTTACTAAATAAGTAATAACTGAACAGAAGACTGAACAAATGGAAAGATATCTAAATGACAACAGTGGCATCTGAGTGGCAGAATCATGACTTTTTTATTCATTTCTGTTTCTAATTTTTAAAAATAATCCACAGTATGTTCCTTAATTAGCAGAACTTTTTTCTTAACCTAAATGGCCCTTCTCTGAAATAAGAGGATTATAGCCAACTGAAACCATAAATAAATTAGATAGCTAGGATCTCATTCTACTTAAGCTCTTATACAAAGAAGGTAATAAAAACAAAAACATTTTGTCCTGTTGGATGCAAATCTTTTTCTGAACTTAATGGTTTTGGAGAGAAGGAGAAATGGAACAAATATAATTCATTAACTGAAAAAAGTCACTGTACCTCTCTCAATTCCAAATGCAAACTGCTACTAGAATTAGAGTGTGTGAAAGCACTGCTCAGAGGAATCACCCCTGCAGGGGCTATCAAAACATGGCGCAAAAGCTTTCCGTTTGGATTTTTCTCTCTCCTTGCCCTAGAATGACATAGTCAAAAGCAATTAATGATCAAATAATGTGGTTTTTTTGGGGTGGGGCGTGGAGGAAGGGTGTTGGTTTGGGGGTTCTGTGGGGTTTTTTTGTTGTTGTTGGGTTTTCTTGCTTCTCTCTCTTCTAAGAAAGCTGCCAGAAAAGAAAACCATTTTCTTCCCACACACAAGGATCTCATTCTGGTCTAACTGAAAATACAGCTTGTCTCCAAGGAAACATCTATCACTAAGAGACTCCAATACTCTTAGCAAGTACAAGCTATATCTTATTCTCCTTTCTTCTCCCTCAATTTTGAGCATGGAGGTCTCTCAAAAACTCTTAGTTTAAAAGCATAAAGAGACCTCATTTAATATTCTTTTTAAAGTAATTAACTACAAATCAGTTAGTAAAATAGATTACAGAAAGGGTATACCTTATAAATCATGAGCTTTGCTAAATTCTTAAGTAATTAAAATCATATTCAGGCCAGGCACAGTAGTGGCTCACGCCTATAATCCCAGTGCTTTGGATGGCTAAGGTGGGAGAATTACTTAAGGCCAGGAGTTCAAGACCAGCCTGGGCAACATAGTGAGGCCCAGACTCTACAAAAACACCTGTAATCCCAGCACTTTGGAAGGCTCAGGTGGGCAGATCATCTGAGGTCGGGATTTTAAGACCAGCCTGGCCAACATGGTGAAACCCTGTCTTTACTAAAAAATACAAAAATTAACCAGGCATGGTGGCAGGAGCCTATAATTCCAGCTATTCGGGAGGCTAAGGCAGCAAAAGCGCTTGAACCCAGGAAGCAGAGGTTGCAGTAAGCCAAGATCACGCCACTACACTCCAGCCTGGGTGACAGAGTGAGACTCCATCTAAAAAAAAAATCTTATTGAATAGCCAGGCATGGTGGTGTGCACTACTGTATTCCAGCCTGGGCAACAGAGAGAGACCCTAACTCTAAATAAATAAATAAATAAAGTCAGCTTCTAAATCCCCATATTCCTTTCTTGGGTTCAGTAGAAAAGGTGATGAGGTGGCTGTTCTGCACTGTTCAATCATGAGCCGAAAATGTGCTGGCTTTAAAAGGTACCCAATGGTGGGCTTTGGAAAAGTGCAACTACAACCAATTTGAATGAATCTCTGGAACTCAGAATCTCCACTGAGTATCACACCTCCCTCCATTACCCAGCCCTACTCCTATCTGCGAAAGCCTCAGAAACTCTACTGAATCAATTTGAACCTCTGCAAACAAAGCAATGAGGAGCTGTAAAATTGGTACTTAATAAAGCAGTTCTTAAAACAACCTTTTGGCTCCAGTAACAGATACAAACATGTTAAAGCCACTGAGAAGCACGGAAAAATCAGAGATTTGTAGAGCAAAAGCTCAGCTTAAATGGAAAGAGGGAAAATTAAAATAAACAGTGGCAAAATTAAGCTCCAACTGGGCTAACAAATCTTACGAACCAAACAAAAGAATAACCAAGGGAGCATGCAAGGCTACAGTGGAAAATCCCCAAGACCCAATTCTGAAGTGCCTTTATCAAGGTTATCTGGAAAAGTCAGCAATGAATTACCCCTTAAAATAGTCTCTCCAAGTCTATTGCAGAATGAAACTGTCTCCATAAATCCCTCAGTTGACATTTGCACTGCAATCATAAGCAACATTTACAAAGGGTGAGACCCAGGAAAAAAAAAAAAAAGAAAAAGAAAATCATTGTTTTCTGAAAGCATGAAGGCTGGCAAAAAGGTTTTCCAGGATTGAAGGAACTAGCAGCTGAGGCAGCAACAATGGCAAGGTGCCCCCAGGGGCAAATTTGCTGCTCAGGATCTAGTGCCATTTAATCCTACAGTGAGACTTCATAAACATGGGTCTTGGCAATTCTGACTGAAGCACCATCTAAAGGCTGTCTGCCCTAGGCAAAGGGTGTTACTCAAAAGAGGCTCCCTGTTTTTCATCCAGGTGAAGGAAATCTTTCCCATTTGGTCTTCTTGCACACTAAGTCCTCAACACTTTATAGTAACAGAAAAAGCCTGCAGGCTCTGTGTTTTCTTAGAAAGTACAGGGCTTTCTAACAATTAGAGCTTTCTAAAAATGGAATGCAACGCCTTGGGAGATTGATTCCCTGCCTCTGGACGGGGTCCATCAGATGCTGTTGACCAACTGGCTAGGATATCATAGAAGGGACTCAGCACTGGTAGAAAAAAAAGATTAAATGACTGCTAGGATCCCATCCAGTTGAAGGATCTAAGAAAATGGAGGTAATTATCCAAGTAACTCCAGAGAAAAAACACTCTTGCCTAAAATCATCTCATCATTTCAGGGGGAAGAAAAGTAGGCTTTTCAGATTGCCCCATTTTCCAGAAAGACATACCTGCACACTCATCTACTTCTACAAAGCAAGTATAAACAGCTGGAATCCCATTATAACAAATACTACAGTATCATCCAAAATTTTCAAAGGCATTTTTGGGCACAGGCTTCCCACTCAAGATAACCCTCCAGGAAATAACAAGCTAGGTAAAAGCTTTTGCAATATAAATACTTGACAATGCAATATTTGCATTTATTGGGGTCAGCTGACCTTTTCATAGAAAAACAACAACAACAACAACAACTACAGATGTGTCTGAGCCCATCTTCTGAGGCTTCCTGAAAATCCACATAGAGTAAAGATGGATTTAGCAACAGTGTTACTGTAGAGTCTGGTGCAGGTTTTCTAGCTACAAATGTAGGAACTGAAGCCCCCTTGTTCTGGTTTCCATATCATAAACTCATGAAGTAATCTGTTCTTCTTCTTCACGGCATCTTGCAATTATAATTACTTAACTAATTATTCATTTTGTCATTAAAGTCTGTCTCCATGCTGGAAGTTCTAGAAAGGCAGGGCTCTCACTGTACGCTCAGTGCTTCAGGCTTTTACATAGCAAATGTGGGAAAAAAACCCCACATATTTACTGAATAAAAGAATACTGTACAAAGCCACTAGATTAGCAAAAGTGAAGACATGAGAATAGCAGGGACAGATGATGTAGAGAAATGAAAGCACTCGCTCATATACTCAGTGTGTAAAGTGGTATAACCATTTTGGGAATTTGACACTTTCTAATGATGTTAATGAAAAGCATACCATATGACCTAACAGATTTACCTGATGTGCACATCCTAGAGAAAATGGGTTCAGGTGCACTAGAGTAAATGTATTAAAATGCTCATAGCTGCATTGTTCATATTGCCCCAAACTGGCAATAGCCAAATATCCAACAACAGTAAAATGAATTAGTAAACTGTGGCACATTCATGCAACAGAATACCATACAGCAATAAAAACGAATAAACTAAAGCATCATGCAACAACACAAATGAATCTCACAAGGGATACTGAGCAAAAGGCAAAACACAAAGGATACATATTTATATGTATCAAAATATCAAAAACAAGCCAAACTGAACTATATATTTCAGATATGCAAAAATAGGTCACCAGTTCTATCAAACATTCAAAGAACAGATAGATAAAAACTTATAGAAGCTCTTCCAAAGAAAAGAGAGAACTAATTTTACAGAATGTTGATAGCAAAACCAGACAAGTACAGTAGAGAGAGGAAAAGTTCAAGCCAATCTCAGCAATAAATATAGTGGCAAAAAAATCCTAAAAATCGTAGATCTCACAATCCAACAATGTATATAAAAGATAAAGCCCCAATTCAGTTTATTACAAAAATACAAAGTGGGGTCAACATTAGAAACTCTATTAATGTTACTGCACACTGTGGCTCACGTATGTAATCCCAGCACTTTGTGAGGCTGAGGTGGGCAGATCACCTGAGGTCAGGTGTTCAAGACCAGCCTGACCAACTTGGTAAAACCTCATCTCTACTAAAAATACAAAAATTAGCCGGGCGTGGTGGTGCACACCTGTAATCCAGGCTACTCCAGAGGCTGAGACAGGAGAATTGCTTGAACCTGGGACGCAGAGGTTGCAGTGAGCCAAGATCGTGTTACTACACTCCAGCCTGGGTAACAGAGCAAGAGTCTGTCTCACACACATAAAAAAAAAAAAACCTCTACTAATGTAACTAACTTACCACCACTTTAGAAACAATTTGGCACTACCTAGGAAATCTGAAGATGCACATGCCCTATGGCCAGCAATTCTGCTCCCAAAAGGATACCCCAGAGAGAATTTTGCCCATGGGGACCAGGAGATAGTTTGTAGCAGCACTGTCTACAAGCCAAAAACTAGACACACCATAGAAGAACAGAAAAACAAACTGCAGTATATTCCTACAATGGTATACTACAAAATGATAACAATGAATGAACCATGCTACAAGAAATGGCCAATTCTCAAAAATATTAATATAACCTTTAATGATAATAGCAAGTTTAGAAGAATACATGTATGTGATTTCATCTATATAAAAGCCATAAACATGCAGAACTAAGTAAATGTCTAGAAATACACATGCGTATGTATGTACAACTACAAAGAAAAGATAGTATTGACACACAAAATGGAAGACAGTGATCACCTCCTGGGCAAAGGATGAGACTGAGAGGAAAATTAAATTGCAAAGAAGTACACAGTGGGTTTCAAAGTTATTGTTAATGTTCCATTTTTTTATAGGTGTTGGGCATATGGATTTTTTAAACTATTCTTTAAAATGTATATGTGGCCTATATATAAACATACGTTATACACACACACATATACTTCTTTAAAAAAATGATATATTTCCTAATTTAAAAAATAATTTCAAGACTTACCAGTCTAGACCAGGCTTTACTATAAATCATTCCTCAATTCTACCTCATGAAATAAATCAAAATCTTTTCCCATAGCATATAGTTTTCTTCTTCAAGAAACATGACAAACATTTTCATTTATTTATTCACTCAACTATTTATTAATTATTATATGTCAAATACTCCTTGGGCACCAGAGAGAGAAGCAAGACCGACACTATCCCTGTCCTCATCAATCTTACAGTTTAGTAAGAAAGATAGATGCTGCATACGAAATACATATAGATAAATATATAAATACAACAAAGTGCTATCACAGAAAATTAGACTATTGTAAGATGATACAAGGTGACTTCATTAAGTTGGAAGTTCAGAGAAGGCCTCTCTCGGGTTTTAACACAAGTTGAAACCTGAAGAGGATTTAGTCAAGCAACAGGGGCAGGTGGTGTGCATTCCAGACAGAAAGTGGCATGTGCAAAGGACCTGAAGCAGGAAGGGATTTGAAAGGCTTGAGAAGCTACACTGAAGCTAGAGTAAGAAACAGAATGGCAAAGATGACCCTGCAGAGACAGACAGAGCCAGCTTACATAAGAATTTGTAGGCAGTGGTATTTTCAGTGAGACTGCAGGCCACTACTGTACTTTAGGTAGGAGAGTAACATGGAGGAAGGCCAGAGGAAAAAACAGAGAATCCAGTAGGAGTTACTACAGTAGTTTAGTTGAGACTGCCAGCCAAGAGTTGATGGGTGCCTGAGCCAGGATGGGAGTAGCAGGGAGGAAGAAAAGTATCTTAAGGGAGATAGAGCAGACAGGGAGTGGCAACAGAATAGATTTAAGAGGTGAGGTAAGGATGGTGAGAAGGAGTACACCCTTATTAAATGAAAAAGACTGAAAATCTGTCAATTGTCATATTTACAATATAGCCCTAATTTTGATGTTTAAACGTATACAAAGTTATTCTGAAAATAAACTGAATATCAAAAGGAATAAAAAACTATAATGGATTAAAACACATGAAATATGTTAAAATTCATGAGTTCATCACAAAATGGTAACACAAAAGACAGAGGGCGATAAAGTATATTAAAGGCTCTAACTGTTGGAAAAGTGGAAACAAAATGAAATAAGTCAAGGATGCATGTTGTAATCTCTAGAGCAACCTCTAAATGAATTTGGAAATGTAATACATTAGATGCCAAAAAAATGAAAAATATTTCATTGATCCAAAAGAAGAGAGAAAAATGAATATAAAATAGATTAATTAAATAAAAACAAAAAGTAGGGGCCAGGTGCAGTGGCTCACGCCTGTAATCCCAGCACTTTGGGAGCCCAAAGCAGGCAGATTACTTGAGGTCAGGAGTTCGAAACCAGCCTGGCCAACATGGTGAAATCCCATCTCTACTAAAAATACAAGAGTTAGCCAGGCGTGGTGGTGGGCGCCTGTAATCCCAGCTCCTGCTTAGGCAGGAGAATCACTTGAACCCGGGAGGCAGAGGTTGGAGCGAGCTGAGATCAAGCCACTGTACTCCAGCCTAGGCAGCAGAGCGAGATTCTGTTTCAAAAAAAATTAAAAAAATAAAATAAAAATAAAAACAAAGAGTAGGGTGGTAGAAACATACTGCCATTTTACCATACATGTTAAAGTACACCACAAGAATGTTTCCAGAATGTGGGAAATGCTATAGGACAAACACCCTGATTTCTTTAAAAAATAAATTGCAAGGTAAAAAGGGTGTGTTGGGGTTGGGGGGTTGGCGGGGAGGATTAGGATTGGCCAAAGTGTTAACAATCACTGATCCTGAATAATACACACATGGGAAATACCATACTACTGCCTCTACTTTTGTATTCATTTGAATTTTACTGGAATGTAAAGTAGAAAGGAACAGAGGGAAAATGGGAGGGAGAGAAGAAGAGAAAGCAATACAGAGACAGTGGCAGGGAGGGAAGATCTCTGGATACTTATTGGCATATTTATGTGCAGAAAGTGTTTTGACAGGATATATTTTTAAATGTTCAAGTGGTTATCTCTGGGCTAATGTGATCACAAATTTTAGAACGTTACAAATTCACCATCTCTGGGTGGGAAGATTACCGGTAACTTTTAGTCTCTTTTTGTTTAGCTGTGTTTTCTCATTGCTTCTACAATGGGTAAAACAGAATGCTTGACTCAAAAATTGTTTAAAAGCATGGAAGAAAGACTGCCAAAACCTAAAAACTTCTCCCTTTACATAGATGTTGATGTGTAAGTCTACATTTCTTAAACATTTCTGGGTCACAGCTCGCAATGGACTGAATGTCTGTGTCCTCCCAAAATTCATACTTTGAAACCCTCATCTCTAATAGGATGGTATTTGGAGATGGGCCTCTGGGAGGCAAACAGGTCATGAGGGTGGAGCCCTCATGATAAGATTTGTACCCTTATAAAAGGAGACCCGAGAGAGCTTGCTTTCTCTATCTCCACCAAGTGAGGACACAGCCAGAAGACAGCTGTCTGCAAGGCAGAAAGAAGGTCCTCACCAAGAACCTGACCCTGCTAGCACCTTCATCTGGGACTTTCAGCCTCCAGAACTGTGAGAAATGAATTTCTGTTGTTTAAGCAACTCATGAGGGATTGCGTTGTAGCAGACCAGACTAAGACACAGGCTCTTTGCAAAATCTGACAAAAGCTACTACCTCTCTTTCCAGAAAAATGCACAATCTTATAGAATTTTCCATACAATGTCAGGAAACTCTGAGATCCTTAATGAACCCATAGACTTTCTATGCTGTCAGTAGTAGTTATAATAAAAAATAATACCTGACATTTATTGCCTACTTGCCATGTGCCAAGCATGGCTCTAGGTGTCAACTCATTTAATCCTCCCACCAACCCTCCAAGATGGGCATTCTCATCATCCCTATTTTATAGATGAAGAAAGTGAGGACAGAGAAGATTAATAATTTGCACAGGTTCCACTAGCTAACAAGCAGAAAAGCCAGCATACAAACTTGGGCAGCCTGGCTCCAGAGCTCAGCTCTTAAGCAGCAAAATATGAGGCCACCCACAGAGTTGAAGTTAAACATGCCAAGAAAATATGACATCCTGAATCATGCTCTGGAGAACATGTCTTCAAATTCAATTAACATTATGTACCTACCATGTGTCAGACCCATCCAAACACATAAGCTCATCCAACCCTCAAAACAGTGCTGTAAGTAACTCGCCCCAAATACCCAGTTAACTGCTGTAAAAACAGGAGTCTAGCCTGTCTTCTGACTTCAAGTTCAACATACCACAGCTGACTGCCTCTAAACTGGGGTGATGGTCCTGTTCTACATCACACAAGACCTCCCCATGACCAAAATCTTTGCAAGGTAACTGGTTGACATCCAATTCAATAGATTAAATCTGTAGACCCCAAAATTTCCCCATGGTGTAAAGCAATTCAGCATTTGAGGAGATTTTCCTTTATTATTCAGCTTTGGCCTGCTGAGACATCCTGGATGGATATGTGCTTCCAAAAGTTTGTACTTGAGTTTCATATGCATAAATAGGATTATTTACATACACTGCAAATAACTGCTAAATGCTATAATACGACATTGCAATCACATGCAACATAGCGTACATAAATATGAACATGCGAGCTACATAAGAGCTCCCCTAGTACTTACAGTTTCACAGTTCAAGCATCGAGTTTCATTGGTAAGCGTTCCCTGAAAAATCTCATGGACCCAGGTGAGTTCTGGTTTATTATTTTCCGCAGGTTCGTTCATGTTGCCATTTTTTAATTTTCCATTTTGTTTTTCCTGTTTCTTCTCCTCCTGAAGGATGTCCGCAATAGTGTTTAGCAAATAATTTAAAAATTCATGAGCATCCTGCTGCATGTAGTTATCAAAGAGATCTGGAAAGGAGAAGGTGGTTATTTCAGTCTCTGGTTCTTGAAAAGCAAATGGATGTAATTAGTGTTACATGCCATACTTAAATATTTTTTTTTTGAGATGGAGTCTCGCTGTGTCGCCAGGCTAGAGCGTAGTGGCATGATCTCAGTTCACTGCAACCTCTGCCTCCCAGGTTCAAGCAATTCTCCTGCCTCAGCCTCTTGAGTAGCTGGACTACAGGTGCATGCCACCACACCCAGCTAGCTAATTTTTGTATTTTTAGTAGAGACCAGGTTCACCATGTTGGCCAGGATGGTCTCAATCTCTTGACCTTGTGATTTGCCCACCCTGGCCTCCCAAAGTGCCGGGATTACAGACGTGAGCCACCGCGCCTGGCCCATACTTCAACTTTTATATTGAAAGGATGGACAGGTATGGAATATAAATATACTCATCTCTACCAGGCAGCTTCAATGAGTAAGTTTCCAAAGAGCTTTTTTAATTCATTTCCATTTTCTGCCATGCACCAAGAACAAAATTTCCCGTATCTCCCTAAAGTCATCACATTTATATAAAACTACCAAAAGTTCTATTTGTTCTACAAAGGAACAGAAGTTATCAGATAAGTTCCCTGATAAAATATCAATTTTTAATATGATGTAACTACCAATGATCAATTAATTATTCATTGGGTAATTTATTCAGAGCAACTGGGGTGTCCTCCCAAAGATCATATTAAACCCTGGACCAGCCTGGAAGCAGCTTAGATGAAACACAGAAGGGAGATGAGGGTATGTGTGAGCAAGCATCTATCTGATAGTGTTCCGAAACCAAATACAAATGATTCCAGAAGCCTAGTGCTGCTCCCTGCCATAAGGACAAACAATCAGAGATGAATGCAGCTGTGAACCTTCATTATTAATCACGTTCACAACTCGACAGAGTGCTCTGCTTCCTTCTCCACTGAAATTAGTTTTAATCTGGTATGTATAAACTGTAACTTCAAAATACAGCAATCAAATTAAAAGAGACTTTATAAAACAAATACCTGATTAACCATGCACGTCTGATGAAGTAAGGCTGAATCTAAGATAAATAGTAATTGCCATAACAAATATCTTTATAGTCATAAAAACTGCCAATACAAAACTTCTGGAATACACACCTAGTTTCTACTACCAATCCCCCAGAAGAAGAAGATAGAAAAACCAGAAAAATCAGGACTTTTAAAAACCATATAAAGCAATCAATTTGATATCCTTCAATTACCTCAGGCAAATGAAAATCAGAGGTATTGTATTTAAAACAGCAGAGGCTCTGATTAGATAACAGGCACTTATTTTAATCACCTATGACAAGTTTATAAGCCAGTACTATTTTATTTAATTATTGCATCAACCAATTTAGGCCAATGAGTATCCCACTCCGAAGGCTGCCTTGGACACTATTCTCTCTTACAATGATCCTGCCCAGAATGGAGCAAATAAAATGGTCATTCTAAATTGGAATAATAAATGTGCGTTTTTAAGCATGTTTCTAACCCAGTTTTGTTTTAAGTTTACTGGGCAGAGAAGAAATGTTGTTTCTTAAAAAATGACACCGAGTAGTTAACCATGCTTATTTTCCCTTTTCAAAAAAATGCCAGCTCTTCCTTTTGAGGAGATACAGAACCATCAATTCTCCTTATTTCAGAGGCTTAAATACATTATACTGCATACTACTCACCATTCTCTTTTCTCAGCCTTGAAATGAACTTCTTTGGTGGGATGACGCCAACCTTCTTCTTCTGTGTGGCAATGCTGTGGAAAAGGTCCGCCAGGCACGTCAGCAAGTTTTCCTTCTTCTTTTGCTGGGCCTTGTATGCCAACACATTCTCCCGGAATGGACGGCAGAAGTACAATGCCTGAAGCACGGAGTTACAGTAGCATGTGTTTCCAAACTGCCAAGGGACAAGAGGGATGGCTCAAGTCATTGCCTGGGGATGAGCCACCTCTGGAATAAGTGGTGAGGGTGAGAAGGTCCCTGCTCCGTGAACTGGCCTGGATGTCCCTGTATTGGAGTCCAGCTCACCATATTAGAAAACTAGTTAACTACTCTAAACACCAGTGACCATCTGATCCACAGAGAAATGAAGAAAAATGCACATCATTCCGGTGCTTCTCTAGCCCATCAAAGTCTCTAAAATGATAATAAGCACTCTACCTCAATAAAGAGTCTAACGAGACCTGCTGGTGCTTAAAAAACAGAGAAAGAGAAGGGGAAAAAAATCTACATACTGTGGAGACCCAGGAAAGCAGCTGGCTAAATAAAAGATGCACATTGCAACATATCAAAACTCCCATGACAGGGAAAATAAAAATATGAATCAAAAAGAAATCCAGTAATTAGGAACCACTTGCTCGGCTGAAACAGCCTAAACTGAACAGGGGCTGGTTTTCATTTTTCAATATTCCAGTACTCCTGCCCACTGGCTCAGACCACATTTCCTCACTTAACCCCGAGCAACACAGCAACGCAGGCAAAAATATGCTGCCTCATGTCACTCTCCCAGCTTCCCACCCTCTGGACTTCTAAATGGCCCTTGATCTTGCTTCTGCCAAGGCGGCAATTGTGCCAATGCAATACTACCCAAGTTCCTAGCCTGCAATCACATTAGGGCCCACCCAGTAACATTTTATACCTCTCACAAAGCATGGATACTGAGATTATTATTAAAGAGGGAAAACGTCTCACTGATTTTCTACTGACTATAAGACCACCTCTGTAGAAGAACACAGCTGAGACTATCACTTTAGAATTTGTTGTGCACAATAAAATTTAAAGAAAAAAATTCTAAGGAAATAACTAACAAGATTAATAACACAGATTATGAAATGCTATGTAAGATTAAAATAGAACATGAACACCTTCTCAAAACTGGTTGTTGGCTTGTGTGTCGTTTACCCAAGAGCGAGACAGATGCTCTGCCATACTTAACATGACATTTCTATGTATGCTAAGATAGAAGGCTTCCTATTTTTATATTTTAATCTACTTTGACACAATTATGTAACAGGAGACAAACCTCTTTGTACAGAGAAGCTGGAACTTTCATAAATTACCATTCAAAGGGAACATAAATGAAGCTATTAATAAACACAGATCCCACAAACCTTACACAAACTAGGAAATGGCCTTAATTCTTTCTCTTTTTTCTCTCTCTCCACTATCTGCATTTGTATTTTTCTTAGCCAGGGCAGAATCCCCATGCCTTGAATAACTCACTTCACAGGGCTAAGCAGAGGCCTGTGCAAAATGGCTAAAAAGTTTGTTTTAAAATCATAAGTCAGTATTTCACCAACACAATGCCCTATATTCCAGGGCTTAGCTTTCCTCCTTCCATTTTTTCCTCTCTTACTCAGTATCTCACCTTTCCCCAGACACCCTTCAGTAACGCTTGGCCCCAATTCAGTGGACAACTCCTGGGAAGGGAAAGGAACGAACATTTACCGAGTGTCCACAGTATGTCTCAGCTTCATGTCAGGGTTTTAAATAGGCGCTCTCATTTACCCTTCATTATCACCCAAAGGGTAGAAGCCATTATGACCCCCACTTTACAGATGGGGAAATGGAGGCTCAGAGAGTGCAAGTGACTTGCCCAAGATCACACAAGCTAGGGAGTAGCACAGGCAGAATTCAAACCGAGGTCTGTATTACATTAAAGCCAATGTTCTTCCTATTATATCATGGGCAGCATTTACTTGCAGAGAATTATTTCCAACTTTCCCAGTGGAAATTACTACTTACCACACCTGGGCATTGACAGACTACGTTCAGCATAATTATTCAGAAAACCAATTGTTTTTGAGTTAATATTTGATGTCACTTAACACCTACATCCCAGAGAAAAAGGATCAAGTGAAGAAGAAAGCTCACGAGGATGGAGGGCACACCGCCTCTACCGTGTTACTACTCCGTTATCATTAACCTGCCAAGGAAGCAGAGCTGCTGGGTCCAGCCTTCTACAAAGGAGGTTACTGCTGAGTGCAAAAAAAATGAGGCCAGGAATTCTGAGATAAAATGGTCCCAGTTTTCTCTCCCAACCTGTCCTGCTTCAGGTACACCAGCAAGTTACACTGTTAAAGAAAGACACTGGCAATGTGCTGG
This sequence comes from Homo sapiens, assembly GCF_000001405.40. NCBI lineage: Eukaryota > Metazoa > Chordata > Mammalia > Primates > Hominidae > Homo > Homo sapiens. The sequence continues at coordinate 52,630,371 of NC_000004.12, forward strand.
TAATGTTTTTAAAACACTGGTTGTACTGATGCATACTTAAACAAAGACTGGCTGAACAGTTCATCCAAATGACACAGGCAGAACATATAAAAGCAGATTTCGGGCCTGGTGCAGTGGCTCACACCTGTAATCCCCACACTTTGGGAGGCCGAAGCAGGTGGATCACCTGAGGTCTGGAGCTCTGGCCAACATGGCAAAACCCTGTCTCTACTAAAAAATTAGCTGGGCATGGTGGCGCATGCCTGTAATCCCAGCTACTCGGGAGGCTGAGGTAGGAGATCGCTTGAACACACGAGGTGGAGGTTGCAGTGAGTCAAGATTGTGCCATTGCACTCCAACCTGAGCGACAGAGCAAGACTCTGTCTCAAAAAAAAAAAAAAAAAAAGAAAAAATCAGATTTGGCTACAAAGACTAATGAAATTATTATGAAAGTTATGTGTGCAAAGGAAATTCCTTAAAGCATGGGGGGAAAATGTAAATTTGACCCAAAATGCAATAATTAAATGTTTTTTGCTGGGACAACTCATACTTTCAAAAATAGGTTAAGTTGCTTTCTCCCCAATATTGGCATTCTACTAACTACGGAGCATGACCAATCATTTAAAAATTGGTAGTGATAAAAATGCACTTAAAGTGGAGTTGCTTCATATACCCTAAAACATTTGATGAAAATAATACATTTTACATACTTACATTGACCAATCCGAAATAGTGTTCATTGATTGGAAACTGCTCTGGACCAATGTCTTTTTCCAGAGCAGAGGCATTGGTGCCCTAAAAGAGAAAAATAGCAAAAGTTCTGTTGCATGTAAAATAGACAAAAAGTAAAATCATACCTAAAAGAGTCTACTATTGAGACAAGCATCTTCCCTGGTCAACACGGTATTTGTTGATGTTTGCACTGAAGAAAAATGTGTCAGAAGTAAAGCAGAAGAGTAGTTAATAATGTCAGCCTTATTCTTCTTCTCATTCAACTTATTCATCCCCTAAAACCTACTCTACTTGACTTCAATTTTCTATTTAGAAAAGAAAGTTTGAGACAGGCAAATGAACAAACAATCGCCAAGAACTTCTGAATAAAACACGGGCATTTCAAACAGCTACAGCAGCTTTTGTAATATTTGATGGCATACAGAATCATATTACCACTATCAAAGTCAATGTATTCATTTTAATAAAGATTTACTGAGCACCCACTAAGCCAGACACACTGTTCTCTAGGTCTGGGCATGGATAACAGAACAGTGAGCTAAACACACAATGCCTGCTCTCATGGATTTCACATTTTAGCAGATGAAGACAGACTGAAAGGAAAAGTGTGTTGGAGAGTTTATTTAAAAATAATAGTGCAGGGGCTGGGTGCAGTGTCTCATGCCTATAATCCCAGCACTTTGGGAGGCCGAGGTGAGCGGATCACTTGAGGTCAGGAGTTTCAAACCAGCCTAGCCAACATGGTAAAATCCCATCTCTACTAAAAATACAAAAATTAGCCAGGTGTGGTGGCAGGCATCTGTAATCCCAGCTACTCGGGAGGCTGAGACATGAGAACTGCTTGAACCTGGGGGCTGGAGGTTGCAGTGAGCCAAGATTGTGCCACTGCACTCCAGCCTGGGTACAGAATGAGACTCCATTGGAAAGGGAAGGCAAGGGAAGGGGAAGGGGAAGGGGAAGGGGAAAGGGAAGGGGAAGAAGGGGAAAGAGAGGTAAGTGAGGTAAGTACTACTACTATCCCCATTGCACGGACAAGGAACTTAAGACTCAGAAGCATTTAAGAATCCACCCAAGGTCCATTGTAAGTGGTAGAGCTAGGATTTGAACCTAAGAGGCAGACTTGAGAGTCCACAATCATAAGCAAATGCTGTGCAGAGCAATTCTACTATTAAACCTTTTGTTGAGCCCCACTAAGGGTCAGTTACTGGCAAATGATTATCAGCACTCCCTAAGACCTGAATGAGTCTTCTAGGATTAGGAAAAGTGACCCATGTTCAGTCCAATAAGGTAAGTAGTTTGGGAAGCAAGTAAAATAAGGCTCCATTTGTACCATGGACTCTATCATCATTCTAGAGAAGGCTCTGTCTACCTTCACAGGCCATCATGGAAGACTAACAGCTCACAGAAACTCAAGACTTAAGAGACAGGTATTTTTAAATGAATAAGAAAAAAGTTTTGGCCGGACATGGTGGCTCACACCTGTAATTCCAGCACTTTGGGAGGCTGAGGTGGGCAGATCCCTTGAGCCTCAGTGGTTCGAGACCAGCCTGGGCAACATGGTAAAATCCTGTCTCTACAAAAAATATAAAACTTAGCAGGTAGCACAAACCTGTAGTGCCAGCTACTCAAGAGGCTGAGGTGGAAGGAGCCTGGGGAGGTGGAGGCTGTGCAGTGAGCTGTGATGGCACCACTGCACTCCAGCCTGGGCAACAGAGTGATACCCTGTCTCAAGAAGGAAAAGAACAGAACAGAACAGAAAAAAAAAGAAAAGACAAGAGAAGACAAGACAGAGAAAGAAAAGGAAGGAAGGAAGGAAGGGAAAGAGAAAGAAAGAAAGAGAAAGAAAGAAAGAAAGAAAGAAAGAAAGAAAGAAAGAAAGAAAGAAAGAAAGAAAGAAAGAAAGAAAAGAAAAGAAAGAAAGAAAGAAAGAAAGAAAGAAAGAAAGAAAAAGAAAGGTAAGTTTCATTTTTAAAAATTGATCTGCTGCTACTACTTATTTTGGACTCACAACTGGCATCTCCTCTCACAGAAAGAAATGACCAAAACGTAACTGAGAACTAGTTGAAATGGCCACTTGTCCCTAAGCAAACATTAAATGCAAAATGACCCTCCTCGGACCACAGAACTACAGTAGAAATGGCACACAGCCTCCCCTCATCATAACATCCTTCAAATTCCACTTGTTTCCTAGGTCCTTAATACTGTTGCACCAAACGAATAACTCCCTTTACCTGTCATGTGAGACTTACAGTTCAAGGATCATTTGCATCTAGGATAGTTTCCATGTCTTTTCATTAGTATGGGGGAGTTGGGGAGTGCTCACTGCCTTCACAATAATGTGACACTATATACAAGGCTGAATTTTTGAAATAACACAGCAAATTATGGTAGGACTTTTTGGTATAGACAAAAATCACTAAAAATTTTCAATAAAGTTATATCTCAAGCATAAATCAATGTAAATAATGCATATTAAATATACCCCCATAACCATTCTTCAAGCAAAATTAGGATATATGGCTTAGAGCCCGGGAGGAATGTCAGATATAAAAGTATAGCACATGGAGAGAGATACCATTAAATCTTTCTTTATGATGTAGGAACATATTCAAGTTATGGAAATTCTTAGGTTCGGTGTGCTTTTTCTACCTATCTTAATATTTTCCCATTTTGGGAGATGGGAACCTGGAGGTGATGACTCATACTAAGGATGGCAACCCAGGGGTCAGTGTTCAAGAGAAATATGCTGGAGACAGAGGCCTGGCCCACTCAGGCAGGAGGCTGAGTGTACCACAGCACAACACAGCACAGCACAGGACAGGACAAAACAGCACAGCGAAAAATCAAAGTGAGCTCTCTGTGCTTTCAGTGAAAACTGGCTCTACTCTGAGGCCAACACTTCCTCAACACCCCTCAGGTTAAGCTTGCTTGGATCTGCAAGGGTCATGAGGAGAAGTTGGCTGGGCCCTGATCCTTGGCGCTGCTTCTAGACCATGACACCCTTACCCTCTTGTAAAAACATTTTCGTGTCTTTTTTCTTTTTTTTTTTTTGAGACGCAGTCTCGCTGTGTCCCCAGGCTGAAGTGCACTGGCTTGATCTCGGCTCACTGCAACCTCTACCCCCTGGGTTCAAACAATTCTCCTGGGCCAGGCATGGTGGCTCACGCCTGTAATCCCAGCACTTTGGGACACTGAGGTGGGCAGATTGCCTAAGGTCAGGAGTTTGAGCCCAGCCTGGCCAACATGGTAAAACCCTGTCTCTACTAAAAATACAAAAATTGACCGGTTGTGGTGGCAGCCGCCTGTAATCCCAGCTACTCAGGAGGCTGAGGCAGGAGAATCACTTGAACCCAGGAGGCGGAGGTTGCAGTGAGCTGAGATCACGCCATTGCACTCCAGCCTGGGCGACAAGAGCGAGACTTTGTCTCAAAAAAAAAAAAAAAAAAAATTCTCCTGCCTCAGCCTCCTGAGTAGCTGGGATTACAGGCATTCGCCACCATGCCCAGCTAATTTTTGTATTTTTACTAGAGATGGGGTTTCACCATGTTGGCCAGGCTGGTCTCAAACTCCTGACCTCAAGTGATCCACCTGCCTCGGCCTCCCAAAGTGCTGGGATTACAGGCATGAGCCGCCACGCCCAGCCAAAACATCTCCCTTTCTGAGATCTATGCCTCCCACCACTGTGAAGCTCCTTCCTTGACCCTTGTCTTGGCTGACCCGACTCATGGAAGACCTACAATTATACTACAACTCTTGGTATCATCCCAGGTGATTTCAACACCCATGTGGATGGATGAGCCATCCCACCCATGCTCTCGCAGCAACTTGATGTCCTATTTTTCAATTGTCTTTTATTTCACTCCACTTTTTAAAATTCCATTCCACTTCAGCTACCCCTCCCATAGACACCCTGGATCTGGCCATCACCCTGAAATCCTCAAATGCAACTGCCCACAGTCTACCCAAACTCAGCTGTCAGCTGGCTGCTTCTACTTCTTCTTTTTTTTTTTTTTTTTGCCTCCTTATACCCTCCAGGCAATGTTACCACTGGCTTCTTTTAAGCCCACCATCACAGCCACATCTACATCTCTCCAGAACCTCTAGTCCTCTACTTTCTCATTCAACTTTGAGTATATGGATAACGGATCCAGCTGCTCTTCTAAATAGCCCTCACCCTGCCCTTTGGCCATACGATCTGGCAAGAAAGCCAAGCCAGTGTAAACCAAACATTTTCCTCTCTGAACATACACCCAGACAAATGTGCAATGCTAGATGGAAAAAAAGGTCAAACAACCAAGCCGACTAGATTCACTGGAATGCCCCCATTTCAAGTGGCCCACAACAGGTCCCACATTTCAGGGTTTCTCCAGTGCATTCACTCTCCACTCCATAGTGCTCATTTCCAATGGTCCCCAAGTTCCTCAAAACCTCGCCATCCCCTTGACCCTTCTCACTGGCCTTCCACTCAACAGAAAAAAACCATTAACTATTAGACAGGGACTCCCCCAACTTCCTACATGCCTCTTTCTTTCTTGCTAATGACAGAGAGATCTCTCTTGTCCAAGGGCAATCTCTCCTCCTCTATCAGATCCTTCCCGTCAGCATTTAAACATGCTTCAGCATCTCCCATATCAAAAATACACACACCCACACTGCCCCAAACATCACCTCCAGTTACCCTCCTCCTCACTTCCCCCTCAGAGCTAAACTTTCTTAAACAACTGTTTATTCTGAAACATTTATGGATGAATCAGATGATTTCTGAGATGGGTTTCAAACAAGCTGGTGGTGAGGTGGGGAGAAGTGGGGGTGGAGGATAAAGCTGTGTTGTTGAAGTTGAGTGATGGGTGTGTAGGGGTTCACTGTGCTTTCTGTTTATTTTTCACATCGATGTATATAGGCAGAATAGTAGTCCCCCTAACCTCCATAACTAGAAAATACATGACCTGACATGGCAAAAGGAAATTCAGGCTGTAGATGGAATTAATTTGCTAACCCAGTGACCTTACAATAGGGAGATTGTCCTGGATTCTCCAGGTAGGCCCAATGGGGTCAATCACAAGGGTCCTTCCAAGTGAGAGACAGAAGCAGAAGAGATCAGAGTGAGGCAATGTGTGAGGTCTCAGCTCACCCTCACTGGCTTTGAAGATGGAGGAAGAGGCCAGAGGCAAGCAAGGTAGGCAGCCTTTGGAAACCAGGAAAGGCAAGGAAATGGGTCTCCTTACAGCCTCCCAGAAGAACACAGCCTGGTACCACCTTGATTTTAGCCCGGTGAGACCCATTTCAGACTTCTGACCTCCAGAACTGTAAGATCATAAATGTATATTATTTAAGACACTAAGTTGGCCAGGCGCGGTGGCTCACGTCTGTAATCCTAGCACTTTGGGAGGCCAAGGCAGGCAGATCACAAGGTCAGGAGTTCAAGACCAGCCTGGCCAATATGGTGAAACCCCATCTCTAGTAAAAATACAAAAATTAGCCGGGCATGATAGCAGGCACCTGTAGTCCCAGCTACTTGGGAGGCTGAGGCGGGAGAATTGCTTGAACCCAGGAGGCAGAGGTTGCAGTGAGCCAAGATGGTGCCACTGCACTCCAGCCTGGGTGACAGAGTAAGACTCTGTCTCAAAAAAAAAAAAAAAAAAAAAAAAGACACTAAGTTAATGGTAATTTGTTACAGCAATAATAGTAAATTAATACAAAATGTCTCAGGTGTTCCATAATAAAATCTTTTTTTTTTTCTTTTTATGAGACAGGGTCTCACTCTATTGCCCAGACTGCAGTGCATGGGTGTGATCTTGGCTCACTGCAGCCTTGACCTCCCAGGCTCAAGCGATCCTCCCACCTCAGCCTTCCAAGTAGCTGGGACTTACAGGTGCATAACCCACACCCAGATAATTTTTGTATTTTTTTGTAGGGACAGGGTTTTCCATGTTGCTCAGGCTAGTCTCAAACTCCTGGACTCAAGCAACCTGCCCACCTTGGCCTCCCAAAGTGCTGGGATAACAGGTATGAGCCACTGCACCCAGCCTCCTAATAAAATCTTAAGACTTGTCTCTACTTCCTTATCTCCAAATCACTCCTCGAAAAGCCCCTTCTGGGCTCTACCCTCACTTCATCACTGTTGAGCTTCAAATCTGGCAAACTCCATGGCACTTTTAGGTGGCTGGCTTTTTCCAAGGGCTGTCTGGGGCCCTCCACCCTCTCCCAGGCCCAGGCAGGAACCACTCACATGGCTTCAATCAGCTGCTACATGCCAACCATTTCCAACTCTTTCTCGGCAGCCTGGACACCTCATTTCTGAGCTCCAGGCTGAATGAATACTGGCAAATCCACTTACTTGTCTTACAGGATCTCAAAATCAATTTAACTAAAACTAGATTTTTCATTTATCTGGTGTTTCCCTGCTCAGAAAAGAACAATACCCTCCTCTTCTTGGCTCATGTCAAAAACCTATGGGTCATGCCGACATCGTCCTCTGCACTCTCTGCCCATCCATCACTGTCCTATTGCCTCACCCTCACTAAATCTCTCAATCTCATGTGCTTCTCTTTTACTCTACTGCCACCAGCTAGGCCAGACTACCAGATCTCTCATCTGAATTACAACCACATCCTGAATGGCTTCTACTGCCCACCTTACCTACCTCTAACCCCACTGTCAACGCTGCAAAAAGTGCTCTTTTAAAATATGAATCTGCTTAAAATCCTCCAGTGACCTTCACTGCTGTTTCCAACCTCATCTCCTGCCCCTCATCCCCTGTTCCAATGGCCCTCCTGCTGTTCTCCGGTACCTCAAATGCCCCCTGCTTACCATCTGAGTGCTCCTCCTTCCCTGCTTCTTCAGACGCCTGTGTCCCAGCATCCTGCAAGGCCAGCTTAAAGGTCAGCTCCCAGGAGAATTCTACACTGGCACCCCTAGGTTAAGTCAGCCTCTGTGACAGAGAGAATACTGCCCCTCCCAAAGGTGTCCAGGCCCTAATCCCTAGAACCCATGATGACGTTACCTTATGTGGCAAAAGGGACTTTGCAGATATGATTAAATAATTAAGAACCTTGAGATGGGGAGATTATCTTGGATTATCCCAGGAGACACAGTATAATTACAAGTGACTTCAAGAGAGGGAGGCAAGAAGGTCAGAATCAGTGACGGGACGTGACAACAGATGTAGAGGTCAGACGGAGAGACTGAAGATGCCATGCTGCTGGCCTTGAAGAGGGAAGAAGGAGCCATGAGCCAAGGGATGCAGGCAGCCTCTACAAACTAGAAAAGGCAAGGAAATAGATTCTCCCCTAGAGCCTCTGGAAGGTGTACAGCCCTGCTGCACCTGGATTTTAAGGCTTGTGACCTCCAGAACTGTAAGATAATATATTTTTGTCTTTTTAAGCTACTAAGTTTGTGGTAATTTTTACAGCAGCAATAGGAAAGTAATATACCCCGCCCCATGCTCTACTCCCCACTCATAGCATCCTGTATGTCTCCCTTATATATTCCAGTTATTATTTATATAATTATTAACATCTGTCCAATGCCCTAAATTATATATATAATATATATAATTTTATATATATATTTTTTTTATGAAAAAAATATATATATTACTCGTGGGAGCAAAGAATGTGTCTGACCTGCCCAATACTGCGTTCTCAGTGGCTAGCACATAGTAGCCCCACAATACCTGCTGCATGGACTGATGGCTGGATGAATGCATGCATGGACAGGGATGGGTAGGGCTGTCTGGGTAGCTTCCATGTGCATGATAATTTGGAAACATATGTTCGTGCTCTCCCTATGTACTGTTCAGTGAGGCATAAGCGGTACCCTTCACCACTTCCCCATTCTCCCTTCCCTTTTATAGACACATACTCTAAGAATTGGTTTCCATGGATACAGAATGTCACTGATATTGACATTTGGAACCAAACTCCTACTTCACATGCTAGCATTTTTCATTGGTAACGTGAATCTTTGTGCATCCTTAACAGACTTAGGGCTTAAATATGTTAAATGTAAATGTTTGCATAATAAAAGAACACAGACATGATGGGGAATGTTTCATGAGATCATGATGATAATTGCTTAAAGATAAATTAAGCAGTAGCATCAAAGTTTTAAATGACCATATCCTTCAACCCTGCAATTTGACTTTTTTTATTCTACTATATTTTCACAGAAGTGGAAAAAGAGATAAAGGCTGTAAAAAGACCCAAATAATGTAAGTGTGGATTAAACAAGATGAAAATTTATTTTTCTCTCATGTAAGTATGCAAGAGGATGCAGCGTGGGCCTGATACAGCTGCTCTGCAGTGTTGAGGACTCGGGGTCCTTTTATCTTGTTGCACTGTCATCCTCAAGAGCCAGTTTCCATCTTTGGAACCAATATGGCTACTCTAGCTCCTACCACCAAATGCCTTCTGCCAGGGGGAAGCAGAAAAAAAAATGGGAAAGGACTGATCCTCCTCTAGGATGCTCCTGGAAGCTGCACACATTACTTTTGCTCACAATCCTGCTAGCTAGAATCTAATCTAGTCATATGGCCACACCTAGCTGCAAGGGAGTTTGGCAAAGGTGGTCTTTACCTGGGCAGCCACGACCAGGTAAAATGTCTCTAGAAATGAAAAGTGAATTTTTTTTTTCAGACAGGTTCTCACTCTGTCGCCCAGGCTGGAGTGCAGTGGTGCTAACAGGGTTCACTGCAGCGTCAACCTTTCAGGCTCAAGTGATCCTCCCACCTCAGCCCCATGAGTAGCTGGTACTACAGGCATATGCTACCATGCCTGGGTTTTTTTTTTTTTTTTTTTTTTTGGTAGAGTCAGGGTCTTGCCATGTTGTCCAGGCTGGTCTCGAAATTCCTGGGCTCAAACAATCCTTTCCCCTTGACCTCCTAAAGTGCTGGGATTACTGGTGTGAGCCATTGTGCCTGGCTGAAAAATGGATACTGAGGGGACAATCAGTAGTCATATCCCTGCAGCAAGCTTTCTAACAGGAAAAAAAAAATGGGAGTAACTTGAATTGGGTAAATAATTATAGTAATTCATATGATGGAATACCATGTAGCTAATTTAAAAAGTAAAGTTACCCTACAGGTACTGCTATGAAAATTTGCCTAAGATACAATGATAAGTAAAAACATGTTACAGAGTAATAACGTGTTGCATAGGACAATACTGTAAATGTGGTTCATTCCATCAACAGACACTGAGCCCTGCGACGTGCCTGGCTCTATTCTACATCTGAGGGACACAAGGTGAACAAGACCAGGCCACTGTATTCAACATCTACATTTAATGGAAATTTTTGAAAGAAGACTTGAGAGATTATAACAGTGGTCTTCAGCATCAGGGAGTAGGCCTAGAAGAAGAGGAGGTCAAGAAGTGGCTTTTCTTATTATCTTCTTAACTCTTCAAATTTTTACTATGAGCAATTATTATTTTTTATTAAAATTTTAGGCCAGGCTTATGGCTGTAATCCTAGCAGTTTGGGAGGCCAAGGTGAGCGGATCACTTGAGGTTGGGAGTTCGAGACCAGCCTGACCAACATGGAGAAACTCTGTCTCTACTTAAAAAAAAAATACAAAATTAGCCAGGCATGGTGGCACATGCCTGTAGTCCCAGCTACTCAGGAGACTGAGGCAGGGGAATTGCCTGAACCTGGGAGACAGAGGTTGCAATGAGCCAAGATCACGCCACGGCACTCCAGCCTAAGCAATAAGAGCAAAACTCCATCTCAAAAAAAAAAAAAAAAATTAACAAATTTTTAAAAATATAATGAAAGTTTAGTAAACAAATGTCCTGCAAACCAGTTGCCTAAGGCCCTCGGCAAATACCTCAGAGCTGTATTTGGCCATTTTTTTTTTTTTACCACTATGAAATGCCTTTGATTTCAGTCACTTTACCTCTCTGTGGCCTTAACTTCCTGGCTGAGAGGCTGGGCTGTTGATATCCAGCCTGACTATTCCTCAGGGCAGCAGAGAGAATGAAGCAAAACTGGGAATGTTATCAGCACTGTATAAATTGTAAAGTATGTTACAAACCCAAGAGATTGCACTTCTATTGCTAGCACCCTGCACAAGACACAAAAGGCAATGAGGGGAACTGAAAAATAATTGTTATATGACCAGATGGTGAACAAAGTACCGATCTTGGGGGGTAAATCACAGGGTCGGGAAGCATAAGAAACATAGGGTTCTTATTTCCATCAGTAAAAAACGTAGTAACCTTTGAAAAACAGTGCAGCCAACTTTATTAAAAATAGCATCTGAGCTGGGACAAGTTCCAACAAGACTATAATGTTAGCTCCTCAAAGCACCTCTGAAAGCAATTCTATGACTGCCAAGGGGTGCTACCAAAACACAAACAACAATAACAAAATCCCAGGAAGGATGATTCATAAATGCATAAGACGGATAAAGAAAGAAATGTTTTGAAGCAATTTACAAGGAAAACAAGTTAGAATTTCTTCCTTGGTCGAGGGGTAAAGGATGAAGACGGCCTTGCCCAGAAGGAGGAAATAATCAAAACAATGGCATTAAAAGGTCTGGAAAAACCAATGAGAACACTGTCAAAATATGGAAGAGCCTAAAACAAAAACACAGGGACCAGGAAGCATCCTTGGAGAAGAGCCAGACCATGCCACAGATTAAAAAACGAAGGCCCAGAGAAGTAAACTTACTTGCCCAAGATCTTTCTAAGGCACCTCATTTATCTGCATCCTAGGACATGCAGCCTTTCTTTCAAGTTTGTACAAGGAAGGGACACAAGAAAGGCCAAAGATAACATGTAAGGATTTCTAAGTACATAGAGAATAAGTCATTAATTATAGACCATAAATTAAAGTGGATGACAGAAGAGGTGAACATTGCTGCTAAACCCACATTTGTAGATCTATCGTTCAAAAGGCTACTCTACTTATCAACTATACTTTCAAAGTACAAAGCACATAAAGGACCTATTTTCAAAAGGACTAGTGTCCCCAGAATTCTGATGACAAAGATCATTCCTATAGTCTTATGAAGAAAGTGAAGCAAAAATGAAGTGACTCAGCCCAAGATCTCAGGATGAGTCAGAAGACACCTGACAGAATTCAAGGGTGATTACAGAGGAATTATGGCTACCGATGCCTCTGATGTAATTAATAATAATAGAGAACTCATAAATAGCATAGACTGTGTACAGTTACTGTTCTAGGGATTTTACTTGTATTTCATTCATTTTCATCTTCATAATAACTCTATGAGGCAGACACTGCTACTGGCCTTATTTTAAAGATAAGAAAACTGAGAGGGCAGGGAACTATTCAAGTTCACACAGCTACTAAGTACTGGAATTGGGTTTGAACTTGAACAATCTGGCTCCAGTGTGTGTGCCCCTAACTACTACATAATATTGACTCTCAGGGAGGCAGAGTCTCCTTGGAACCACAGAACTGAAAGAACTGAAGAAACCGAAGAGGTCACAAAGTTGTTGGGAGAACCCCCTTCCTTCTGAAGCACCCCTTGAAATTTTCTAGAATGAGAACACACAAGTCCTTTTCCATGGAATCTCTACAGAGTACTGGCAACTTGTTTAGAGAAAACATAAAATTGAGGTTGGGAGTCAGAGGAGACATGAGATGTAGTTAAGAGGAAAGCAGATTTTTTTTCAAAATCACTTCAAAGACTGTGGACCTTTTATCTAGCCAAAGAATAAAAACAAATAATGTCAACTTTTAAAATGCTAAAAGAGAAAACCGTACCAAAAAGCAAATTTGAGTTCTAGAGAGTAAACCATTCTACACCTAATAATGAAATAATGTGCAATCTTTACTAAATACTTGGATAGATACTGACAATAATATAACAAAAACAATGGAAAAGGGAGAGAAAGAAAGTGCATATGCAGAACAAAATGTGTTAATATATTAATGTAGCTTATCTCTTGGTAACATAGCTTATCTCTTGGATTATTGCAGGGAGAGGGTAGGGGAGGAGAAAACTGGCGATGAATTAAATAGAGGAACGAAATTATTTATTTTAATCCAAAGAAAGCTGCAGAATATCTGTTATGCCTTTAAAAGATACGAACCCACAGACCAGCCTGGAGCACCCTCCATCTCCTCCTCTGGCTGCCTCTCCTCATCATTTGGTTTCAATGTCACTTCTTCAAAGCTACCTTCCCTGACCCTTCCCACTCATAGAATCCTGTCTGTTCCTCCACAGCCCTTAGCACAATCTGTAACATCATAATTGTAATTATTTAACAACTGTCTTCCCACTAGACCACAGGTCTGCAAATTACAGCCTATGGGCAGAATATGACCCACCAATTGTTGTCATAAATAAAGTTTTACTGCAACACAGCCATGATCATTCATTTACTTATGGCAACTACTTTCACAATATTAACAGCAGAATTGCGTAGCTGTGATAGAGACACTACGGCCCACAAAGTCTAAAGCATTTACTGTCCAGACATTTACAGAAAAGCTTACCAACCCCTGTACTATGCCATAAGCTTTATAAGGGCAGCAATTAGGTCTGATTCATTTGCCAGCACCTAGTAGAATGTCTGGTTGTATAGAAGGCACTTGATAAATTTGCTCACTGAATAAACTTGGGAAGCAGGGGAAAAGTTAGCAGTAGGTGCCACTCATTCAGAGAACTTCACATCTACATATTCATTTAATCTTGCCTGCCACCCCAAGGCAGATTACTCTTAATATCCCCATTCTACACATGAAAAAAATGTAGGGAACCTGCCCAAGCTCACTCAGCCAATAAGAGCAGATCTGGGATTCAAACCTATGTAAATTCGGTTCCTGAGTCTGAGCTCTGGACCACAAGCCAGGAGAGGAGATATTTTCATTCACATTTTCAGTAATTCTTTAGCTACAGATGTAAGGCTTGGGCAGCCAGCCAGGAACTGTCTCTGAGTATGTCCACTTTGGCTGCTGGCTGTCACACATTACCTAACCACCGGGCACTTACCCAGAGTGGCTACGAATGCCTGACCTGTTTAGTTAGCAACATATCACCACGGAGCCCCTGTCCCACTGAGCAATACTGAATGTGACTCTCTCTGCCAAATAAATCACTGATGGGGACTCATTATCCCCATGTCATAGCTGAAGGAAATGAGGTTAACTAACTTGCCAAGGTCAAGTGTTAGCATGAGGCAGAGGTAAGTGGTGAACCTATGATCTTAACACCATTATTCCACAACCCTGGCTCCTGTTTCAACAGCCCACTCCTCTCCAGGCTTCAACAGGGAAAGCAATCATGAACAAGAAGGCAGTCAAGGGGCATTTTCATCCCACAGCATGACAACATGTCACTTCTATGTCTTATGTCAGAAGTCCCCAACCCCCAGGTACAGTTCTGTGACCTGTTAGGAACCAAGCGGCACAGCAGGTGAGCAGGCATTACCACCTGAGCTCTACCTCCGGTCAGATCAGCAATAGCATTAGATTCTCATAGGAGAGTGAACTCTATTGTGAACTGCGCATCAGAGGGATCTAGGTTGCATACTCCTTCTGAGAGTCTAATGCCTGATAATCTGAGGTGGAACGTTCATCCCAAAACCATCCCCAGCTCTGCCCAGGTTTGTGGAAAAATTGTCTTCCACAAAACCTGTCCCTGGTGCCAAAAAGTTTGGGGACCGCTATCTTACATGATATTGAATTAAAAAAAAAAAAAAAAAAAAACCTCTGAAAAAAACCTTGGCCAGGCGCAGTGGCTCACGCCTGTAATCCCAGCACTTTGAGAGGCCGAGGTGGGTGGATCACGCGGTCAGGAGTTTGAGACCAGCCTAACCAATATGGTGACACCCCGTCTCTACTAAAAATACAAAAAATTAGCCGGGCGTGGTGGCACGCGCCTGTAAGCCAAGCTACTAAGGAGGCTGAGGCAGGAGAATTGCTTGAACCCAGGAGGTGGAGGTTGCAGTGAGCTGACATCGTGCCATTGCACTCCAGCCTGGGTGACAGAGAGGGACTCCATCTCAAAACAACAACAACAAAAATTAGCCGGACATGGTGGCATGCACCTATAATCCCATGTACTCGGGAGGCTGAGGCAGGAGAATAGCTTGAACCCGGGAGGCAGAAGTTGCAGTGAGCCGAGATCGCGCCACTGCACTCCAGCCTGTGAGGTGAAGACAGACTCTATCTCAAAAAAAAAAAAAAAAAAAGAAAACCTCAACATGACTTCATTTAATAATTGTACACAGAAGCCAAAACATCTGCCACTGAAGAAAGCTGACCTGGGATACTTGACTACATGACCATCCCAAGTCATTCTAGCAAGGAGCATTAAAGAACATCTAGAAAGAAGCTGTGGCTGGCAAAACAATTCTCCATATATTTAGAGATAACAAAATGAAGTCCTCATGCAAAACTAAAACTTCAAGTCAAAAGCAGAACAAAGAATCTTGAGACCATGCCTGTTTTCTAGCTGCAGGTGGAAGACAAGGAAATAGCCACTTATGTCACTGAACTCAGTGAGCTAGAAGCAAGAACCTCATTTCCAATTCAATCCTTCTACAAAGCCACCAAGATGCTGCCTGAATTATCATGTCCCCTAAGCTCCTACTTTACCCACAAATACACTTCCCATCTGTTCCCAGAAAGGCAGCAGAGGAGGCTGGGGTCCTTGCAAAATCCTAGGTCAAAGAGGCCTTGATATGGTTTGGCTCTGTGTCCCCACCCAAATCTCATCTAGAATTGTAATTCCCACAATTCTAGGGGCCTGGTGGGAGGTGATTGGATCATTGGGGCGGTCTTTCCCCTCGCTGTTCTCATGATAGTGAGTGAGTTCTCACAAGATCGGGTTGTTTGAAAGTGTGTGGCACTTTCCCTTTCTCTCTTGCTCTCTCCTGCTCCACCATGGTAAGATGTGCCTGCTTTCCCTACACCTTCTGCCATGATTTTAAGTTTCCTGAAGCCTCCCAGTCATGCTTCCTGTTAAGCCTTTGGAACTGTGAGTCAATTAAACCTCTTTTCTTCATAAATTACCCAGTCTCAGGTAGTTCTTTATAGCACTGTGAGAATGGACTAATATAGGCCTGCTCTGTAAATTTTATTAATAGGGTGATTTCATCCTCCCATCTTCTCATCCAAGCTCAAGGTCTTCATCAGTGAAAATCACAACACCTGCATTCCCACCTTACAGCATGGGGAGCACTGCAGGAGTCAACATGCCTCAATGCACTTGTGCGGCAACCCGGCCCTCGGGAACCAGTCCCTCCTGGGTCAGTATTGCACCATCAGAGATATTTTCCACTAATGTAACAAAACCATCCTGAAATGTGCTGATTATGAAATGTAAAATATAAAATTCTGGGCTCTCTCCTCCCATCCTCAAATAGAGTAGCAATGGGAGAAAAAACATGAGTAAGTTGTTCTTTACAGCAATGTTATTTACTCAAAACTCTCTGTGGTGAGCTACATCCAGAAACTAAAAACATGGAGATAAAATGAATGGATAGAGTAATTTTGTATCTGTCAAGTTTAGTAACAAAAAAATTAAGGCTTGCATTTTATTTCTCTTTGGGTTTTTTTAATTCCATTTTGCTAGTTATTCCTTTTTATTGTATTTTACAAATATATTGGTCTGAGACAGATTGAAAATAACAATAAAACTGGTCCTTCCCTACAGACTCTGAAAATAATTACCAACAGCAAGGTATTTAAATAAAATTGAGTTTATTTTCCTAAATATGTGAATAGCTGCTGAAGCTCACTTCTAATAAGAGAAATGCAAACTACAAATATACTAAGACACCATCTTTCCCCTGACTGGCAAAGATCAAAAGGTTTCTGGGTAGCACACTGCTTTGGCAAGGCTGCAGGCAGCCAGAGTCACACATATTGCTGATGGAGGGCAATTTGGCAAAATCCATCCCAGTTACAAATGCAAATCCATTTTTAGGAAGTCGGTCCACAGATATACTCCCACATATGGACAAAGTTGTTCCTTACAGCCTTGTTTGTAAAAACCGAAGACTAGAAAACTACCTACAACATGTCCTGCTAGTCAGTGAGGGCCTGGTTCAGTGAATTCAGTAGACTCAAGCAAGTGAATACTCTGCAGCCATAAAAAAAGAATGAGGTGGCTCTTCCCACAGACCCTCCTACAAGACACAAACAGCAAGGGGCAGATCAGGACAGATCAGGGTATACTCTATGTACTCTTTGTGTTTTTAAAAACTAAGAGAGAAATATAAACACAGTTGCTTGTATATGCATATAACTCTAAATGGAAGCATAAGAAACTATAACTATTGATAGATGCCAGAGATAAGAATTGGACACTGGGTCTATTTTCAACATACAACCTTGTGCACATTTTGAAATTTCTGCCACATAAACTCATAGTACCTATTCAGACACTTTACTTAAAAATTTAGAAAAGAAACTGCGCTTAGCTACTTCATGTATTTCTCAGTTAGGAAGGCTGTGTGTGCCAAATGACACAAAAGAGTGTGGTATAAGCTCATTCAAAGACAACATATCTTTTACTACAGAATGTGCTCTCATTCTCAGGAAAAGGAAAAACATTGTATCTTGACTAGTGACAACAAAAGCTTGGCCACACACCACCAGCATGTGTCTTCCAATGGCATTTTTGTCAGAAATCATAGCTTCTTCCTCCTTTTGTCCTGCAGCCCTTCCCTAGTTCTCCTTGACTGAAAACCATAGCTGGTTTATAACACACATGCTCGTCTTCTTGCCACTGCTCACCAGCAGGAGTGGTTCTTATTTTATAGACCCAGAGAGGCCTCAGTGACCTGCCCAACACCGCTAAAGCTGGAAAGCAATCAGAGCCTGGGATTTCTGAGTCCTAGCTCAGGGCTCTGTCTACTACAGTGTTTGGTGGACTCTTTCACTAATGGAAATAAGAAGGGCACTGGAAGAAAGTGGTAATGCAATGCCCAGGCAACAGGCTAAGCACTAGACATCAATCTCTCTGCTTAAGCCCCACAATGACCCAGGAAGGTAAGTTCTCTCATCACCCACAGGCTATGGATAAGAAGCATGTCTTTACAAGGGTAGAGAACATCAAGCTCTCATACCCAATCAACAGTGGTGTAGAAAGTCCAACCATATCTCAGCCATGTGCTCACTTGCCTCCCAAGGAAGCTCACCGACCAGACCATCATCTACAAAGTAGTTCAACAAATGGTGCTCCTCCAAGAGCCGATTATTTGAGCCACTACAAAAAACCTCTTATCTGAGCCAATGTCACCCAAACTATGGGCCATGAATCCTGGAGGGAGGGGAGTTACTCTTAGGTGGCACCAGTATGAACAGTTTTAAGTGTAGCAATAATGTTTTTGAAAAGGATTAGAAAAGCATAAAATTAGCTCATCAAACCCATCATTTTGCAGATGTTTCAGAATAAGGTCAAATTAGGGTGAACAGATTTAAGGAAAACTAAGTAAATAAGTTCAAGTGATACACAGATGTAGCAAAAACCATGAACAATGATGACAAACTGACATTTGAGTATCACTGACCTAAGCAACTGGATCCATCCCACAGTTTTTCTCTAGAGTAAGAAAAGCTTGGAAATAATAGGTTATCCACCCCTACACTGCCAACCATACAATATGCATTCGTTCTGAATGTTATTTTTTATTTATTTATTTGTATTTGCCTTCTCTCCATTACTACATTACCCTCTGATTCATGAGGCAGGGAAACCCAGTTCCTGAAGCATACTGAAACTCTGCATTTAAATAGGAGTGTCCTATGGTAGCTTAACCTTAGAGGGACCTACCTCTAGTTTGCCCTGAATAGCTCAGATTACACCTACAGATCAATTAATATTTTATAATTACTCTGAGCATTCTTTTCTCTTTGAAAAGTATCTGACTTGGGAACCCAATTAGACAGTTTCCTGTTGTCCTGTCATCCACTACAGCAATGATTAGAAGAGTCCTGTGGGCCTCTCTCTACCCGTGTCTCCCAATACCACAGAAACAGGGCCACAGGGCCCCCTCACCACCACAGCACCCAGTCAGAACCAAACCATGCTGTGAATTTGGCCTCTGCTTTTGCCAACTTCCTTCCCCAATGTCACTCCTCCCAAAGTGCCCCACTAAATGTGGACAGCAGGTCAAAATGGAAGTAGAATTTCACTGGATCCTGAAATACCAACAGCTTTGCACTTTGAGCAAACAGAAGGAAAATAATGATGAACTAAAAGAGTGAGAATAATTATGAAAACTAACAAGCATGAAGGCATCATAGCTCACACAGTGCTTCCATGGGCAGGATCTCTTCTGATGCTCCCCAAAAAGCTTTAAAGAAGGTATTTCATTGACTACCTTTGTTGTAAAAAGATAAATAGGATCTGAGATTTACCAAACAGGATTCTGAATTCCAAACTCCTCCACTTTACAACTATATGGAAAATAGAAGTTGTTTTGTTTTTCCCAAAGCCTTGCTGCTCTAAAAATGGTCCCGAAACCAGCATTATCTGTACCACCAGAGAGTTTGTTAGAAGTGCAAAATCTCCGCCCTGCCCCAGACGTGCTGAATCCAAATTGACATTTCAACTAGACCTCCAGCTAATGCCTATGCATGATAAAATTGGAGGCATACTGCTTTACTCCAAGGCAATTCTTCCATTCTACCAAATTACATCCCTTCATTCATTTATCAATATTTATTTATTGAGCACCAACCACATATGTGCTAGGCACTGTGCTGACAGCTGGGAAATCAACACTGAATAATACAAATAAATACAGTTCCTGCCCTCATAGAGTTGTCAGTCTAACATGGTGGTTTATCAACCTTGGATGCTCACATCGGAATCAACTGTGGCACTTAAAATACACACACACACATACACACGCAGGTGCCTAAAATTCACCCCAGACTACCTATATCTACATACTGTCAGAAACGCTGGAGACTGGGACCCTAGAAACTGCATGTCAATAAAGCTCCAATTGGTGGAACCACTTTGGAGAGCAATTTGACACACCTAGCAAAGCTGCAGATGGGCGCATCCTAAAAGCAGCATATTGACTTCCAGGATTATACCCTAAAGAAATGAAGACACCTGAGCAAAGAAGACAGAAGCAAGAACATTCGCTGCAACACTGTTTCCAGAGAGAATATTGTAGAAACTACCAAACTGCCCCTAAATAAGAGAATGAATAAGTAAACCATGGTTAAGTCAAAGAATCCTGTTACAGAGCAGTCAGAATGAATAAACTCGACCTCTATGTGTTGACATAATCTCAAATATACTTGTTGAGTAAAGAAAGACAGTTGCAAAAAGCTACACGATTTTATCCACACACAAACGTTGCAATCCATTGCTTATGAATTCATAAATACAAAGTAAAGTATAAGACATGTTTGGTAAACACCATATCAACTTCAGGAAAATGGTTTGCTCTGGGAGGA
Organism: Homo sapiens; assembly: GCF_000001405.40. NCBI lineage: Eukaryota > Metazoa > Chordata > Mammalia > Primates > Hominidae > Homo > Homo sapiens. The sequence continues at coordinate 52,650,477 of NC_000004.12, forward strand.
AGAGAAAGGAAAGAGATTGGGTTGAGTTAGTGTCTGTTTTTAAGGTAAAAGAGTCTAAAAAGAGTTAGTGCTGTTTTTACAGTAATATGTCTAAAAATAAAAGTAACCAAATATGGCTACATTTTAATATCTGTTAAATCTGAAGGGTAGGTAAACATATATAACATTATTTTTTCATGCTTTTTTGTATGTTAATGTTTTGTGATTTAATTATTATTTTTAAAATTTCTTTTAAAAGCTTCACAGGTGATATGATATAAAGCCAGTGCTGAAAATCTCTGTTCTGAATATATAAACTAATACAAAACCTGGCTATTTAATACCAAGAAAAAGTTAAGTTGGCCGGGTGCAGTGGCTCACGCCTGTAATCCCAGTACTTTGGGAGGCCAAGGTGGGCGGATCACGAGGTCAAGAGATCAAGACCATCCCAGGCAACATGGTGAAACCCTGTCTCTACTAAAAATACAAAATTAGCTGGGCAAGGGGGCACGTGCCTGTAGTACCCTACTCAGGAGGCTGAGGCAGGAGAATCGCTTGAACCTGGAAGCAGAGGTTGCAGTGAGCTGAGATCATGCCACTGTACTCCAGCCTGGCAACAGAGTGAGACTCCATCTCAAAAAAAAAAAAAAAAAAGAAAGAAAGAGAAAAAAGAACAGAAAAAGTTAAGTTACTAGCTTAAATAATTTTACATTCATTTTTTTAAAAACTTTCACATGGCAGGTAATTTCTTAAGCAATATTTTTTAAGAGGCTGAGGTTATTACCCAAGGGAAGCAATATTTCTCCAAGCATGGTCCTCAGCTCACCTATAACAGAATGTGGAGGGAGTAGAAGGAGGAGGGAACACTAATTTAAAAGGCAGATTCCAGAGCCCCAACTAAGACCTACTTAATCAAACTCTCTGGGTGTTGAACCCCAGAGTCTAAATTTTTAATAAGAGAATGCACATGTGGGAACCATTCTTTGGTACACCAAAGAACCTAAAACCATACATTTCTTTGTTTAATGAGGTAATACTCATCATACTCTGAAAATTAAAATGAAGTGTAGAGAATACTTTCTAAATATTTAAGACAGTAATTCCACCAGTATATATTCAAGCAGATCCAGATAAAAATTTTCCTGCACTGTGTACCTAACCTGAAGGACAGAGAAATGTATTTTAGGAAGATGACCATCGTTTCACAATGCCTTTCTAAAAGAACTTGAAAAAGCAACTGGGTAAACAGGAAAACTCTGCAAGTCCAGCTTTGCTGCTGTTCTCACCAGAACAGGCCCCAGACACGATTTTCACTAAAGCCAATGTCAATTAAACAAAGCAAATGTGGCTTGAACAAGGCCTTGCTGGCACAGGCAGGTCTCCCAAATTTACTCTCAAAATTCAAGGTATCTTCTCAGTGCTACTCTATTATCTTTTTGTTACTAGTTTTCACCCCTCCACAGTGATTATCTTGTCATCATTTTTTTCACCTGCATCTTCCAATCCATCCCTACCTTTCATGACTTTTGCTTTGGTCTCCTTGATTTTCCTCTTCACTGTCCCTTCTTCATTGTCCCTGTTTTCAGACAAAACCAAAACTACAATCCTGACTTTCAAGACCTGGAAAACTGTTCTCAGGCCCCTGAGTTGAAAACAAACCAGCATAACAAACACATGAAAAGATGTTCAACCTCCCCTAGCAAACAGGAAAAGTGCAAATTTTAAACCACAAAGGCACAATGTCACACCCATCAGACTGGCAAAACATCAAGTCTAGCAATATCAAATATCTGCAAACATGTGAAGCAACTGGAACCCCCAAACGCTGCTTGGTTGGAATGCAAATTGGCATAACTTCTTTGGAGAGCAATCAGGCAACTTATTAAAGAAGACGATCAAATTCCTTTGACCCAGCAATTCCCTTCCAGGTTTACACCACAGAGAAACTGTCAACTGTCAACTGTGTATACTATACACAGGGAGATGAGTTCACAACTGTTCATTGCATTAAAACAGCACACTCACAAATTTGTAAACCTGCTTACAACATTAAAATGAATGTGTCATAGCATATTTATATAATGGAATGTTATACAGCAGTTAAAATAAACTAGGATTATGTGTCTCTCAATGGATAAATAGCAAAATCACAATTTAAACAATAAAAGCAAACTGAGAGGAATGTTTAATATTATAAAGCATGTTTAAAACATGAAAAAATACACTATATCTAGTTTATGAATGCATACAAATCTAGTAAAAATATAAAAATATACAATAAACACTAAATGCAGAATAGTGGTCACTCTGTGGGGAGAGGCAATGAGATCAGGAAGGACTCATAGGTGGTTTTAAATGTATATATAGTATTTTATTTCTTCACTGGGTGGGGAGTACACGAGTATTCACTCTATTATTCCACATTTCTGTATGTCTAAAATTCACCATCACTCAGAAAAAAAGGCAAAGTCTGAGCTAATTTAAAAAGTATCTGAGGGTTCTAAAAGTGACATTGGAACTTGAGGAAGAAAAGGAAGGTTGGCCCTATGAGGGTAAAGTGAAGCTTTGGCGACCACAGAGTCCCATCACCATGATCTTAAAACTATCCATTGCAAAGAATCATTCTGAGAATTGGGGTAAACTTCCATGTACAGCACTTACAGCATCCCTCAAACTTCAAGCCATAGTCCCAGAAGAGAAATATTCCAAAAACCCTTTACTGTTAGGGTTGTTCGCTAACACAGAGTTCGTCTCAAGAATGTTTTCGTGGCAGGGCACAGTGGTTCACACCTATAATCCTAGCACTTTGAGAGGCTGAGGCGGGCGGATCACCTGAGGTCAGGAGTTTGAGACCAGCCTGGCCAACATGGTGAAACCCTATCTCTACTAAAAATGCAAAATTAGCCAGGCATGGTAGCAGGCAACTGTAATCCCAGCTGCTCAGGAGATTGAGGCAGGAGAATCACTTGAATCCAGGAGGCAGAGGTTGCAGTGAAGCCATCGCACTCCAGCCTGGGCAACAAGAACAAAACTCTATCTCAAAAAAAAAAAAAAAAAAAAAAAAGATTTTGCTGATTGATTTTTGGGTGGCCTTTTCTCTTAAAGACCACCAAGGCCTTTCAAACCCTTAGATCAGCATTTGGTTCCACCACAACTGAAGGTTTGTTATAAGAAGCTGCATTAAAATAATTAGACCAGAAAAGTTAACTAGACTAAAAGACACCATCTTTTACATCTCTTCCAGTTAGTTAGCTTTGGGTGGCTTCATGGGTAAGCTAGAGATAGAGATAGGTGGTTACCAAATACCTTTCTGATGATACCACAGAATTTAATACCATCATGGAACCCCAATCTATTCACACTAACTAGAAAGACCAGGAGGGGGAAAAAAAAGACATCTGAGCTAGAGAAATTTCTCTTAATTGCTAAGAGAATCAAAATTGAAAATGCCTTTCAATTATAACCCAAACATACCAAAATTCCACTTAGTGAAGAATAAATAAACAGATTTTATGGTATGAGTGAACTGAAGCACATAAAGTTGTTATACAGAAAAGGTATCATAATCTTTCATTCTAACTAAATACCAGCATTCAACTTTGTTTTCTCTGAGGAGTCCAAGAAAAACAGAAAAATCCGCAGAACTAATTGTCAGGTCCCGACCTAATATAAACCTCTGCATATGAGACCAGTGGGGCCAGAAAAACAGAATTTCTTTTCTTTAAACATTAATCCACCTCACCTCAGACTGTATTTTCTAATCCCAGCAACTATCAGAGTAGACCCTCATATGACTTTACACCTAGCTGATATATTAACTAAACTTATAATTGCCAACTATCTTTGAGAATGGAAAGCATGAATAACAGTAACAGAGGAAAAGGCAAGATATCTGTTCCCCCAAATCACAAGATGGACATATTTTTTAATAATTAAAAAGTTGTTTCCAACCATTCTCAAAATACTTGCCTTAGGTAAGTAGTTGACTTATCAAGATAAAACTATAAAAATACTCTAGTTTTGTTTCAAAATTGTAATGTTTACTTTCCCTTTATTTCCAGATAACTTCATTTATTTATATGATACATTTTTATTTACATGATTTTGTTTGTTTCTTTTTGGTAGAGATTGGGTCTCACTATGTTGCCTAGGCTGATCTTGAATTCCTGGGCTCAAAGAATCCTCTTGCCTCGGCCTCCCAAAGTACTGGTATTACCAGTGAGCCACCATGCCCAGCCTACCTCATTTATTTAAAAGAACTAAAATCTGGCACTCAAACTGATGTCAAAAATTATCCTGAGGCTGTTCTACAGACGCTAAAATGCTAACATGTCATAAGTTCAATACAGTTTTAAACAAGGTAGTTAGGTAATGAAGTGGTTGCTAACCAATTAAGAGGTGCAGATTTTCATAAAGCCTTTATCTAAGGAATTCTACCATGAAGTTTTTCATGACCAAAAACAGAAAATCAGTTTTACAAGATGAGAAAAACTAAGGTCTCCGGAAATACAACAGTTTGCCCAAAAGCACCATTAGATTCATGCTTAACTGGAGAGACACCCAATGGTGCAGATTTCAATTCTAACTCACATTGACTACAATCATGTCCTCATATAAAATAAAAGCCAGAAGCAGAATGTGTATACAACTTTGGTCAAACGAGAATGTATTTTTGAAATGTCCTGTTGTGTTAATCGGTCTTTCCACTGTACAGCTGCTGGGAGTTTATTCAACTTCTATCTGTGCTGATATAACACTGTATTGAAATTGTTTCATCTTTACCAATGTTAACACCCACAAGATAAGGAACAGCTGAGCCCCTTGGGGACAGGGACTCACCTCATTCATTTATTAAGCACTTGAGTATAGTCTGTGCCAACACCAACATAGCAGGTCCTCAACAGATGGCCATTTATCGGAACAAAACTCGTAATCATTTGATACACAGCATTTTCTCAGAGGTACATCTTACAGCATTATTAACAAATGAAATAAGATTAGATGATCTGAAGCAACTTGCATTGGTATGTCACATTTGGTTTCTTCTAACTAATGCTTCCTTTTTAGAAAATTTCTCAAGCTCTTCAAATAGGAAACTTAAAAAACCCAAAAACAAAAACTTTCCATTTGCAGGGCCATAAAAATATATAGGAAGTTAAATCCATTGGTCTGGACAAAAATCAGAGGATTATCAACAGAAGACATTTCCTCATGCTTGGTAGCAGCTAGTGCATTATGAAAATTACAACACACCAGCCAAACAAGCTTTACTATCTCTGAACCACACACTGCTGTGTGGCCAAGCTGCCTTGCCCTGAGCAAGTTCATCAAGAATTACCATGGCAGGAATTCACATGGAAGAAAAATTAAAACAAATAGAAACTAGTACTAAACTTCCAGTGAACAATAAAACTTCAGCAAGTGGGTGGGTAAGTGGAGGAATGAAGATATTTTCCAAGTTTCCTATAACTAAAACTGGCACAAGAAGTATGGGGAAAAGAGGGGATGTTTAGTTCTCAATCACACGAAGTATCTGCTACAAATTTGATTTCTGCTCTGCTGGGTCCTTTCTTATCTGGTGGAGGAAACAAATCCACTTTCAATGATAGATCTTCGTTTTTTCCTGTTACCCAGAAAAATGGTACCTTCTAATATCCTTTCTGAACACATATCAGCCTGTTCAAAATATGTTAAACGATGTGCTTAAGAAAAAAATGCAATCACCATTTGCTCTTACTACAACTACTCAAACCAGCTGGGACCAAAGTTAGGAGCGGGAAGGGTCAGTAAGAGGCCCACAGAGGAGCTAAGCAGTGAGAAGGGACCTGTAAGACACCTACCTGAAAACAATTCATTATTGAGCAAAGAATCTAAAGAGAGGTCCAGTTAATATTTACGTCTGATCCAGTGAAAAGACAGCAGTTTCCTCATACCCAGCCTTCTCCTCTGGGAAGGAAGACTGGGAGGGACAGTGGGGGCGGTGGGTGGGGGATTGACCTGAGCAGGGGGCGGGGTTAAGGATTCCCACTCCAGCCTTCCTATACATGGGAGGTGTTTATATTAGTGGTTGCTTCCACCAGGTCTGAAATGGCATGATCTCCACTGTCCCTTAAACACCTGGTAGATGACATAACAATGAGAAAGATGATGTTGACAATGACACTCACTGAGTTCTAGCCATGTACCAGGCCCTGTGCCCGAGTAATACAACAATATTAACATCACCTTTTGGTAGATAAGGAAAGTCTAAGACCGGACAACTTGTTCAAGGACACAAAGCCAACATGTGTTAGAACCAGGACCTGCCGGGTATGGTGGCTCACGGCAGTAATTTGGCGCTTCGGGAGGCTGAGGTGGGAGGACCACTTGAGCCCAGGTATTAGGGACCAGCCTGGGCAACATAGGGAGACCCAGTCTCTATGGAAAATTTAAAAATTAGCCAGGCATGGTGGCACGTGCCTGTAGTCCCAGCTACTCAGAAGGCAGAGGTGGGAGAATCACTTGAGCCTGGGAAGTGGAGGCTGCAGTGAGCCACCATGTTCATGCCACTGCACTCCAGCCTGGGTGACAGTGTGAGACCTTGTCAAAAAAAAAAAAAAAAAAAAAAAGAACCAGGACCTGAACCCAGGAAGTCTGACATTAGAACCCAAACTCTGTCACTCTCTAGACATGGCGTCTAAATACAACATCAGACTCCTTACTTAATGAATTACTGGTTCCTCACTTCATCTGGGTGATGGTCCTAAATTTGGTACCTTTTTAGGTCTCCACCTGAGATGTCAACTCTCAGGGCAGTATTGGCCTGCTCCTCTCAGGTCCTCCCCACACCCTGTCTCCCTGACTGAGTTTCACTGAAACACGTTGTGACATTCAGCCCAGGTGTGCCAGAAAGCCCCCGCAGCACTGAGGGTGGGTGGGGGGACGCGTGGGGGGAGGTTGGGGGCTGGCTTCCTCTAGGGGCATGCTAGCTCTCAAGTTTCCAGCCTGCTTCTACACAGAGAGGTGTAACCACACACAAGCAGGACAAGAACACCACCAAGGGCTGGGTCGGAGCCTCACTACCCTGTAGTATCCTTAGGCCTGCGGCCACACCAACAGACATAAAAGAGTATTCAAGCTGCTCCCGATTCACAGTTCCCTCAGGAACTGGTCGTAGGAGAGAAACTGAGAAGGCATCACCTCTTCACAAGCAGCCCCTCCACAGGAATAAGAGGAAATCTGACTCCTCGCAGAGAAAGGAAAAAAAGAGAAAACAGAAAGGCTCTAGGATCCACTCCCCGTATGGAACTCGCCCGGCACCAACCAGTACCTGTGCAGCTATCACTCTGGGAGGCCCCAGCATTTGCTTTGCTGGCCGTGACAGTGGCACGTCCCATTGTGCTGAAAGCTGAAGCCAGCGGGTCTCAATTCCACCCCTGAGCTAACACAAGGCTTCTTAATGCTCCTTTGCCATGTGTTGATCTTGCAACAGAATGTGGGACAGAAGATTTAAAAAGCTATGTGATGGGGGAAGGGCAGCCAGATCACCTTACACCAGGGCTTCTCCATCAAGCTTCCTTGGATTCCCTTTAGGGGCCAGTATTACTAGCTTCAAGGGAGGTTTTCCTCAAACTGGCACTGTAAGAGCACGTGTTGCCTCCGGGGACCCGCTTGGGAGGGGGCTAGAGGGGAGGCGGGGTGCAGTCTAAAGAATGTAGGCAAAACACACATCATCTCACCCTGCAAGGGACAGCAATGCCTTACTCCAATCTGAGCTCCCCAAAGGCTCTGACAAGTGGAGGCGCCAGCAGGGTCCAGCCTGGGGACCCAAGGGCTGGAGGTTCTTCCTACAGAAAAAGGGAAAGCAATGGGGGAAACCCAAATTAAAGTGACCACCGCATCATGGGCTCGGACTGCATCAGAACCCAGTGATGTCCCTGGCTGTATCCATGCCCGCCAGCCTCCCCTAGGTCTACAGCGGATCAGGCAGGATAACCCTGGAGACCTCCTCCAAGCCCACAGCCCGCCCCACCCTTAGGGCCTGCAAATATTACCGCCACAGAGCCTTGTCCCTTTTTCACAGATGGGGAAACTGAGGCATGCGGAGCAAATTACGGTGCTTTTTCAAACCAGGTTGAAGTTCACTTCTCCAGCCACAATTTTGCACTTTTTTTACAGCTTTATTACATTTCCGATTTCTCCAGATACACAATTGCTATTGCAAAGTGAATTTTAAACACCTCGGAAGGACTGAACTCAAAATGAGATGAGGGCAGTCTGGACGTCCAATAAGGCTGTCTTGACCGCAAGAAGAGGATGGGTGCCCCCCACCTCCAGCTTATCCCCCACCCCCTCCCCGGGGACGTTCAGGTTCGGTCGCTTCCCTTCCCTCAAGCCGCTTCCACCGCAACCCGAGGGCGGGGGGCGCAGCAGCGCGGCCCCGGGATCGCCGGGCGGGTTCCGAGGTCCCGGGGCTGAGACGGGCGCCGGGGGCTCGGGGACCCTCCCCGGCCGCTGAGGTGGCTGCGGCCGCGCGCCCAGCTCGGGGGCCGGGAACTTCTGGCGGCGCGGACCCCGCCGCCCCCGCCGCCCCAGCCACCGGGCGTGTGTGCAGCTCGGGCTTCCCTTTCTTTGCCTCGCCGCGAGTCGGGCGCGACCCCGAGGCGGCTCGGCCACTCACCATATTACAGATGGAGGCGATGTTTCGGACAGTCATTAGTCTAAAGGTTGCAGCGATCCCTCACCGCCATCTTTACAAGGGGAAACCGGGACTGCCCATGGTGGCGCGCTGGCGGGGAGGCCGGGCGGCAGCGCGGCGGCCTGGGGTCCGGCTTTCAGTTTGGCTGGGAGAGGGAGGCCGGGAGGAGGAGGCGGCGGCGCGGGGAGGGCGGGGAGGGAGCGCGGAGGGGCGGGGAGTGGCGGAGCGAGGGAGCCTGGGCCGCGGCCGGCGGCGCGGGGAGGAGGGGCGGCCCGGGCGCGCCGCGTGAGTCCGAGCCGGCCGCTCAGAGCGCTCCAGGCTGGGTTCCCGGGCCCCGCCGCGCCGCCTCCTTCCCAGCTCGCCCGCCCAGGCCTGGCCTCCTGCTTTTCCATTTGATTCCCTGCCTCTTTCTATTCGGACTGGAATGCCGGGCCAGGCTCCGGGGCGCGCCGCTGCGGCAGCCGCACCTCGCAGGTCCCCCGGCCGACCCCGACGCGGAAGCGGCGGCCCTCCTCGCCGTCGGGGAGCCAGGGAGCCGGGGACGGTACGGTGCGCGGGGTGGGGAAGCGGGCGGCCCAGGCCGGGGCGAACCCGGGGCCGCCTTCCGTCCTCGCTTTTTCCTCGTCGCCTTCCTCCTGGCGGGCCTCGGCAGCCCCCGGTGTTTATTTTTTGGCGAGGGGTAGGGGTGGCGACGTCCAACTTTTAGTTCCTCCCGAGGGTTCCAACCAGATGGCACCGGCGGGGACCCAAGAAGTAAAATGGGGCGAGGACACCGGAGCGGTCAGAGAGCCCTCGCCAGCTGCGGGCCGGGCGCCCGAGAAAGGGCGCCGGGAAGGGGGAGGAATCCGGGTCTGGGCGGAGGCCAGCAGCGGCGCGCTCGGGCGGCTTGTGACATTAGCGGGTCCAAAGGAGACGTCCCGGTTCCGCGCAAGCACTAGGGACTGTCCAAGGAGTGGAAAGAACGAAAACAAAACTTTTCCATATCTTCAAGGCAGGCATACCCCTCTCGGGTGCACCCAGCCTCTAGTTGTTGAGATGGGCGCTGTATGGGATCATGCACATTTCCCGCATTAAAGGTCGTGGCTGCGGGCTCAGAGCGCGAGTCTGTGCACCACTTAGCAGATAGGTCCACGCGAATTGAAGGGGCCCGTTTCTGAATGTGTGGAACAGTTACACATACAAGGTTGCAATTCGATGCTTTCAAAGGAGAAATTGTACAAGTGAGATGCGTGATAAATTCTTAGATCAGTGTATTTAATGACAAATTGAATCAGAAGAAAAATTAGTTGAAGATAGCTTTTATCTAACCAAGAGTAAAGATTTGAGAGCCGTTGATTGCTAATATCCCTAGAATCTGGGGAGGAAACAGTAAGACAGACTTGTTGACTGAAGGTTTTGGGAGTCATGTCACTGTGTTTTCCAGTGGACATGAGAAATAATATTCCTGCTTAAGTCTTTCAACCTAAATATTATTTCCAAATACATCCTGATGATAATTTCTTCCATTGTAAGTCATGACTGATTTTCTTCTCTCTCTCTCTGTTTTTTAAGAGACAGGTTCTCGCTATGTTGCCCAGCCTGAGGCTGGGCAGCCCCGAGTCATCCCAAACTCCTGGGCTCCAGCAATCATCCCACCTTGGCCTCCCAAAGCGCTGGGACAACAGGCGTGAACCACTGCACCCAATGTTTACATTCCTGATCTCCTTTAATCGCCACCATAACTATCAGCTGGTACATGCTATTATCTCCTTTTTTGCAGATCAGTCACATAAGGCTTAGAGGATCAAGGATCCTGCCCAGATGACTTACCGAAATGTTACAGATTAAGTTGGTGTGGTAACCTGGGCTGAGCACTCTGGGAGAGGAAGAGAAGAGAGAAGACAGGAAACAACTGAACTATGACCAATCCCAGCACGGAGGCCCAGAAAACTTTAAGATTTGAGTATTAATGTCTCAAGGTCAGGAGCAACCTCAAGGCTAAAACTCAGATCTCAGGACTCAATTTCACAGAAGTTCCACTATAAAGGCAATAATCTAAAGCTTTAAATGATATGAAAATTTTGTAATAAGAGTTCAGTATTTCTGCCAACATTGGCGCATGGATTGCAAAGTTCACAGGATTGAAAACACCATCGACATAATGGAAATTGAACAGCATCTGATTACTGAGTGCTATATCAGCAAGTTAAAAGGATCTTTTGCATACCTTTTAATGGTATATATCCTAAAACTGAAGTGTTCAATATAGACATCCAGATTGAAACTCAGGCAGTGAATTACATACACAACAAATCAGTTGAACATGGCAGAGCTTGTCAGACTTATGAAAGATTAAATACATTTTACATTTCCACAAGTGTGGTATTCACAGGTCTAAATTGGAAAATTCTTGGGTTGAAGAAGAATAATCATAATCTTAGCTTCACTCATTGAGGAAACATTATTCAGGGATGATAAGAGGTAAAATCTTAAAAATATTGACAAGCTAATGAGAGAACTTTGAGGTAAGCTGATATGCAGGTATAGTTAGGACTGGGAAAAGCAAGAAAATGGAAGGATGGGTTAGAGGGTGGCACTACACGGCTGATATAGTTTGGATATCTGTCCCCATCCAAATCTCATGTTAAATTGGAATCCCCAATTCTGGAGGCAGAGCTAGAAGGCAGAGCCTGGTGGAAGGTGTTTGCAACATGAGGAAGGATCCCTCATGGCTTGGTGCTGTCTTAACAATAATGAGTGAGTTCTCCCGAGATCTAGTCATTTAAAAGGGTGTGGCACCTCCCCCCCCCCCCGCCCCCGCCAACTCTCTCTTGCTCCTACTCTGCCATATGAATGTTTGTTCCCCCTTTGCCTTCAGCCATGATTAGAAGCTTCATTAGGACTCCTCAGAAGTAGATGTTGGTGCCATACTTCCTGTATAGCCTGTAGTACCATGAACCTCTTCGCTTTATAAATTACCTGGTCTTGGGGATTTCTTTATAGCAATGCAAGAATGACCTAATACAGAAAACTGGTACTGAGAAGTGAGTCATTGCTGTAGAGATACCTGAAAATGTGGAAGCAGCTTTGGAACTTGGTGACAGGCAGAAGTTGGAAGAGTTTGTAGGGCTCAGAAGAAGACAGAAAGATGAGGGAAAGTTTGGAATTTCTTAGGGACTGGTTAAATGGTTGTGACCAAAATGCTGATAGCTAGGACATGAACAGAATGCACCCAAGCACTTTGCTAAGGCAAAACATGCGTGACCTTTGCTCTAGTTCCCAATAATTTCCTTATTTCCATTCGAGACCTCAGAAGCCTGGACTTCAAACCAAAATGCTGATAGTGATGTGAACAGTGAAGTCCAGGCTGCTGAGGCCTCAGATGGAAATTAGGAACTTACTGGGAACTAGAGCAAAGGTCACACAATGTTAACGCCTTAGCAAAGAGCTTAGCTGCCTTCTGTTCATGCCCTAGGAATCTGTGGAAGTTTGAACTTGAGAGTGATGATTTAGGGTATCTGGCAGAAGAAATGTCTAAGCAGCAAAGTGATCAAGAAGTGGTGTGGCTGCTTCTAGCCACTTATATTCAGATGTGGGAGCAAAGACAAAAGGTAGAACTTATATTTAAAAGGGAAGCAGAGCAAAAAAAGTTTGGAAAATTTGCAGCCTGGCCATGTGGCAGAGAAAGAAAAAAGCTTTTTCAGTAGAGGAATTCAAGCAGACTGTGGAACAATTACTTGCTAGAGATGTTTGCAGGATTAAAGGGGAGCCAAGTGCTACTATCCAAGACAATAGGGAAAAAGCCTTGAAAGCATTTCAAAGAACTTCAGAGTGGCTTCTCCCATCACAGGCCCAGAAGCTTAGGAGGAGAGAATAGATTCATGGACTGGGCCCAGGGCCATGGTACCTTGCACAGCCTTGGGACACTGCTCACCACATCCTAGCTGCTCCTGTTCCCACTCTTGCCATGGCTCAAAGGGGCCTACATACAGCTTGGACTGCCACTTTGGAGAATGCAAACAGTAAACCTTGGTAGCTTTCATGTGGTGTTAAGCCTGCAGGCACACAAAGTGCAAGAATCGTGGATTCTTGGCAGCCTCTGCCTAGATTTCAGAGGACATATGGAAAAGTCTGTTTGTCCAGGCAGAAGCCTGTTACAGGGGTGGAGCCCTTACAAAGAACCTCTACTAGGGCAGTATAGAGGGGAAATGTGGGGTTGGAGGCTCCAACAGGGTCACCGCTGGGGCACTGCCTAATGGAACTATACGAAGTGGGCCACTGCCCTCCAGACCTAAGGATGATAGATCTACCAGCAGCTTGTATTCTGCACCTGGAAAAGCCACAGGCACTCAACTGCAGCCCATGAGCGCAGCCTTGGATTCTTTACCCTGCAAAGCCATAGGGGCAGGACTGCTCAAGGCCTGGGGAGCCCACCCCTTGTACCAGTGTGGCCTGGATGTGGAACATGATGTCGAAGATTATTTTGGAACTTTAAGATTTAGTGACTTCCCTACTGGGTTTTGGAGCTGTGTGGATCCTGTAGACCCTTTCTTTTGGCCAATTTCCCCCTTTTTGGGATGGAAACATTTACCCAATCCCTATACCCCCATTGTATCTTGGAAGTAAATAATTTGTTTTTGATTTTACAGGCTTATAGGTGAAAGTGACTTCCCTTGTCTCCAATGAGGCTTTGGACTTTGGACTTTTGAGTTAATGCCAGAATGAGTTAAGATTTTGGGGGCCTATTGGAAAGGCATGATTGTAGTTTGCAATGTGAGAAGGACATGAGATTTGGAGAGGCCAGAGGTGGAATGGTATAGTTCAGATATTTGACCCAGCCCAAATCTCTTGTTGAATTGTAATCCCCAATGCTGGAGGTGGGGCCTTCCTTGTATGATGTGTTTGGAACATGCAGGCAAATTCCTCATGGCTTGGTGCTGTTTTCATGATAGTGAGTGAGTTCTCCTGAGATGTGGTCATTTAAAAGTGTATGGCACCTCCCCCCACTCTCTATCTCTCTTGCTCCTGCTCTGCTATATGAGACACCTGTTCCCCGTTTGCCTTCCACCATGATTGAAAGCTTTGTGAGACCTCCTCAGAAGCCAAGCAGATGCCAGTGCCATGCTGCCTGTATAGCCTGCAGAACCACAAGCCAAGTAAACCTCTTTTCTTTATAAATTACTTAGTCTCAGATATTTCTTTACAGCAATGTAAGAATGGCCTAATACAATAGCCTAAACTAATTTGAGGGAGGTGATGTGTCTCTTGCTACACAAAGTATGGTTCATGGACTAACAGCATTGGCGTCACCAGGAGGTTGTCAGAAGTACAGACTTTCAGTTCCCTTCCCAGACCTAATAAATCAGACTCTCCAAAAAGTTTTGGGAGCACTGCTCCAGCCAATGACTTGTGGTAGAATTCTGTTTTTGCCTCAACAGCATCCATTCTCCTTTCAGTAACAACTCCTAGCTTCTACTTTGGGGAACTTTCCATCTCCCACACTCAGACCTAGGGTTCAGATGTGGCTAACCTAGCCCTGTGCAGCCAGAGGAAGGCACATGATCCAGGCCTGGCCAATGACAGTGCCTTATGACCCAGCCAGAGTGACTGGTTCAGCAAAGAGGGTGTAATATGAGCTGAGCCAATGAGACTTAGTCCTGGTACTTTTGGGAAAGAAATGCTCCCCTTCCTGAGTTTGCTGAGCTGATAAGATATTCATCTACAGCAGCCATCTTTCCACTACCTGAGAATGAAGCCAACATAGGAAAATGGAGCTGAGAAATGAGAGAGATCCTAACAAATTCATTTATCCACTCACTACCGGATCTAAATCCTGGGCTTTTTAGTAACTCAAGCCAGTATAGTCTTCATTTCTTTGGCCAGTTCAAACTGGATGTCTACTAGTTACAACTGAAAGAATCCTAATACATCAGTCTCTTCCTGTCCCTGAAATTCATTAGGCTCATTTTGAATCTTTGATATTTCCTTTTCCTCTCTTCTTTGTCTGTGTTTAATCCATTTTGCATTGCTGTAAAGGAATACCTGAGACTCGGTAATTTATAAAGAAAAGAGATTTATTTGGCGCACAGTTCTGCAGGCTACACAAGCATGGCACCAGCATCTGCTCAGCTTCTGGTGAGGCCACAAGAAGCTTTAACTCATGGCGGAAGGCGGAGGGAGAGCAGGTGTGTCATATGGCGAGAGAGGGAGCAAGAGAGAGGGGAGGGAGACTTCTCTTTTTTTGGCAATCAGATCTCGTGGTAACTAATAAAGCAAAAATTAATTCATTACTGTGGCAAGGACACCAAGCCATTCCAAAAAGATTCACCCCCATGACCCAAACACCTCCCACCAGGTCCCACCTCCAGTGTTGGAGATCGCATGGGAGACAAATATCCAAACTATATCACTCCTCTCTAAACCAGTTTAGAGGGTTCAAACTTTGCCTTCTCCAGATTTGCCTCTTCCCTGAGACCTTCCCTGATAGCTTCCCACACATACTGCTCTCCCCAGTCCATCAATGAATTCCTGCATCCAGGTGGCTAATGGTTCCATACTTACCCTTCAGCTGTGACCAGTTTTGTGTCCACCTCTGTCTTCCTCCCTCTTTTTGCTTAGATGACACCCACTCAACCTCTAGATGTCCCCTGCTACAGGTGGGATGCCCTTGTTATATGTTCTTATAGCACCACCTGTCTTCCCTTCATGGCACTTATATTTGTAAATGTATTCATGCCATAGAGTACTGCATGAAGGCAGTCGAGTGGGTGGTTCAAACGTAGACCCTGGTGTCAGCCTGCCTGGACTAGCTATATGACCTTGGGCAAGTTTCTTAACCTCTCTATACCTCAATTTCCTTACTTATCAGGTGAAGATATTAAGAGTACCTCCTCAGAGTGTGATTTTGTTAATTTATGTAAAGTACTGAGAACATGCCTGGCATGTAATAGGCACTGTATAAGTGATATCTATTATTATTGTACATGGGATTATTTGATGTCTGTATCCCATCCCCCATCAGACATGAAAAAATAGGTCTGCTTTTGATCACCATTTTACACTTAAAGAAAAGGGTCAGGCTGGGCATGGTGGCTCACACTTGTAATTCCAGCCCTTTGGGAGGCTGAGGCAGGTGGATTGCTTGAGCCTAGGAGGGAGGGAGGGAAAGAAAGGAAGAAAGAAAGAGAGAGAGGGGGAGAGAGAGAGAGAAAGAAAGAAAGAAAAGAAATAAAAGAAAGAAAGAGGAAAAAGGGAAGGAGGGAGGGAGGGAAAGAGAAAGAGAAAAGAGGGAGAGAGAAAGAAAAAGAAAAGAAAGAAAGAAGGGAGGGAGGGAGGGAAAGAAGGAAGGAAGGAAGGGGAAGGGGAAGGAGAGGTCCATAGGAGTAGCCAATAAATTGAATACTGAATATTTGGACAATTGCCTCTCTCTAAGTGCTCTAGAAGCTTCTAGAGGGAAGGAATCTTGTCTTATACATTAAAAAAAAAAAAAAAAAGTCTTATCCAGTCTGAAGTACGGTGCCTGGCACATTAATTCCTTTCCTCTTTTCCCCTCACTGCCAAATGAGCTATTGCCACTCACTTGATATGCAAACACTGGCTGTCTAGTATGGAAAAATATTTTTCTGGCTGTAGACTTGAGTTTGATTACCAAATTGATTTCTGTGAATTACATTTCAATTCTGTGCAGAACTTTTTGACAGCCCTTTAATCACCATGTATCCAATAAATATTTATTAAAGACATATTCTGTGCCAGACACTGTGTGAGGCACTTGCCATCCTGGGATAAAAGAAGGTGGAATCAGCGCTTACATAACTCAATTTCTAATGCAGCATACATTGGCATTGTTAATTAATGTCTTTGCTACTTTTTGTGTGCTATTAGTATAAGGATAAGATAACTTTGGCATGAGTATCAAATTAGAATTCCTACAATGGAAACTACATCTAAAACCATGGGGGTATTTACGGGTGGTTAAGATTCCCTAAGTTAGCCAAGTAGGGTGGTACACGCCTATAGTCCCATGTACTTGGGAGGCTGTGACGAGAGGATCACTTGAGCCCAGAAGTTCGAGGTCAGCCTAGCTGACATAGTGAGACACCATCTCTATTAAAAAATAATAATAATAAAAGTTGTTTAAGCCTTTGAACAATTGGCATATTGTGAACTGCCAAGTAAAAGGCCATTGAAGGATTTTTAAGCTAAGTTGGAACGTGATTAGATTTTTATTTGATAATACCTTTTGATTAACTGAAAGAATGGATTCCTCTAGTTGGCTACACTCTGGGGAAAGAGGGTTAAAAGATAGCAACATTTTTCTTGGTGAGGCCAGTTAGAAATCTGTGGTGAGAGAGTCCCACAGTTGTTGATAGTCTGAATTTAGGGGAGTAGCCGTGGACAAAGAGAGGTGGACATACTGAAGACCTTTTTTGGAGGTAGTCAGCTGAATTTGTGATTGACTGGGATGAAGGACAAGGGCTAGTCCCAGATTTCTGAGATTTCTGACTGGAATGAAGAGATATGTCATTTTGGGTTTTTTGTTTTGTTTTGTTTAACAATTGGGAATGCTGAAGGAGAAGGTTCAGGTGAGGTAATGAGGGAGAAATGAGTTTGGTTCAGAAATGTCGACTTTGAGATAACCGTGAAACACCTGAATCATTATATCAAGTAAGCCCTTCACTATACACATGTAGGGCTCAGAAGAAAAGTCTGCACTGTAGAAATAAATCTAAGAGTGATTAATATATAGAAGATAATGGAGGACATGCAATTATGGATTAAAATGCCCAAAGAGTGTCAAGTGAGATACAGACAAGCGTGTAGTCATGAAGAGCTCCACCATGCAGAGAGCAGGTGGATAAAGAGTTACCAATGAAAATCAAAAGAGAAATTCCAAAGTGGCAGAAGAAAAGCCAAATTGGCCTGGCACAGTGGTTCATACCTATAATCCCAGCATCTTGGGAGGCTGAGGCAGGAGAATCGCTTGAGGCCAGGAGTTCGATACCAGCCTGGGCAACATAGTGAGATACCCATCTCTACAAAAAAAAAAAAAAAAAATTTAATTAGCCAGGCATGGTGGCACATGCCAGGAGACCTAGTTACTCTGGAGGCTGAGGACAGAAGATTGCTTGAGCTCAGGAGTTTCAGGCTGCAGTGAGCTATGATCACACCACTGCACTCCAACCTGGGTGACAGAGCGAGACCCTGTCTCTAAAACTAAATGAATCAATTTTTTTAAAAAAGAAAGTTGAAATTAACACACAACATCCCAAAAGCCAAAGAGTATTTCAAGATGGAGGGAATAGTCAAATGTATCAAATACAGCCAAGTGATCAAGGAAGATAAATAATAATATTAACAATGGTCACTTCTTGAACAAGACTTTAAGATGCATTTAATCCTTTTGATGACCCATGAAGGAGGTAATATTAAAATCCCTATCGCAAGGACCACTTGGGGCCAGGAGTTTGAGGCCAGCCTGGGCAACATAGCAACACTCTGTCTCTTAAAAAATAAAAAAATTAGCCAGGCATGGTGGCACACACCTGTAGTCCTAGCTACTCGGGAGACTAAGGCTGAAGGATTGCTTGAGCCCATGAGTTAGAGGCTGCAATGAGCTATGAACATACCACTGCACTCCAGCCTGGATGACTGGATGACCAGAATGAGACTCCATTTCTAAAAAAAGACGTTTTTAAAAAAAACCCGCTGCAGAGAAGGGAAAGCTGAAGCTGAGAACTTAAGTAACTTTCCAGAGTCCAGTGAGTATTGTCTAAGGAGAGCCTATTACTAAAGAGTTCTTTGAGTTCTATCAAGGGCAATCTGGGTGGAATGGTTGGGAGATAATACCTATGGGAATGGGTTGATCAGTGAAAAGCACATGAAAAGACAGACTCTACAGATGTTTGGCTGTGAAGGAAATGAGAGATAGGTGGTAGACAATTGGAGACCTCAAAAATGCCTTCAGTGGGTGATTCTCTGCCTGGTCTGCAAAGACCTCTTCTGATCTGGCCCTTTCCTGCCTCTTCCAACTTTTAAGCCAAAGACAGCACTCACTTCATACTTCCAGGCCTATAGGCTCACAACTCCTCCGGTCATCTTCCTTTTGTTTCAAGTTGACTCGTTCCTCAAAACTCAGTTCAGACTTCACTTCCATAGGAAGTCTTCTCAGCCTCATCTTCCTCAGTAAGTTTTCATCAAAAGTCACTTTTTGTAATTCTTTAAAAACCTAAACTGCCCAGCACAGTGCTAGGCACCTGCACAAGTGGTTCTCAGATACTCAGCGGGTAATGAATGATTTTACCTGAAATACTTGGCTCACTTGATCAGAACCAGCATACTCACCACCCTGCTTTCCTGATGGTTCTCTCTCTTCTCCACATTCTGGTCTGAATTATATGGAGCTGAGAGCCCTTGAGTGTATGGGAGGATGGAATTTAGAAGGTAAGTGCATGGTAAGGAAATTGAAGCCAAGAAGTTTCCATAGAAATGAGACTTAGAGAGGTTTAGCCATAGAGAGATCTCAGAAAATAAATAACCTATTTATTTTCAGGAGAGAATAAATAGGTTTGTTGATTTATTTGTTCCTTTTATCAAAATAGTTCATGTGAGAAACCTTGAGTATGTTTGTCATCAAAAGGTGAGGGGCTCATGAACAGGGGGGCTTGATGGGGGAAGTTATTAGAAGGAGTGGGGGTGGGGCAGATCAAGAGCCCGGAAGCTTTCGAAAGGGGGAAGTCCTTCCATTAGGTTGAAGAAATTAATCTGAGATGCCCTCCATCTTCTCCGCAGACAGAAATATCTTCTTCATTACCCCCAAGGAGTTCCACCGCCTTGTTTACTGCTCAGTCCCCCAGAATGGCAGGCACGTAGTAGGGCTCAGTAAATATTTGCTGAATGAAGTTATGATCGAAAGAATACTAAGCATAGACTCCAGGATAAGGTAAGTAATATAGAGTTCCACAGTGGGCAGGTCTATGCAAACCTACCCCAAAGTCCGAGGAAGCTGAGAGGGCGAAGAAAGAGGCTGAGAAATCTGGTTTCTTAGAAAGAAACATTTAATAGATACTTATGAACACTAGCCTTGTATGTGTCTCAGGTGGCATGAGGCAATATGGTGGATTCCCCACCATTACGCCCATGACCCAGGGCTTAAATACTACAGGGAAAGGAGTGGCTCAGAAGGGATTTGTAGAACAATTGAAGTATTATAACATCAAGGTTATTTGACCTAAGGGCAGGACTGAGGGTTAGTATGTACTCTTACACAGGGAACAATAGATAAATTGGAAATCTCAGAGGCCTTCCCAGAACTGGGGTTAATCAGAAGCTAACATGGTGAATTAGCACCCAAGATAGAATTGCTTGGGCCTCCACATGTAGCCTGGTCTTATTTAGAACAGGATTTCTTTGGGAACATTTACATTCCTTCCATGTCCACAAACACTTTTTACAATAAAGGCAAAGCTGTTTTTTCTAACCAGATTATACTTCAGTGTCCTCCCAGCCCCTCACTATGGGTCACTTCCACAGCTTTAACAATCCCACCACCACCTGGTGGGAGGGTCAGGATTCCGAAGCGGCACCCTGAATGAGACTTCTCTCAGAGGGGCAGCACCCTATAATTCTCTTTGGTCCTGTCCTCCTAGAAAGCTGTAACCCATGTGGCCAATTGAAAACAAGGTAAGACTGTTCTAAATGCCCTTGCTGCACAGTTTTTCCCCAGTCAGGACTGAGGGTTTCACTCTTCCACTTCTCGGAAAATTAGGTAGACAGCCAGATTAGGGTTTACACTGGCAGGGCCACAGGCATAGCATCCTCCTAGCGGTGGCTGTGGTACTCTATAATCATAAAGCACTAAGAAAGTGCTGGACATAGCTTACTGTCACCAGTGGCCAAAAAGAGGTAGGCTGTAAGGAACTGACCAGCACAAAATTCTTTACTCAATTGTTAAGCCTTTCAAGATCTACATGAATTAGGTAAATGGATTCAAAAGTCTCAAGGGTGCTAATGGATTCAAATGATCACAAATGTCTTGTGCTTTTTTTTAAACGGAATTCTGGTTCAACTGAAACCTTTGAAAAATGTGACACTGCAGATGTTTCCATTTTCAGCATTGTATTCATTGCCATTTGGACTTTTTAAATAAAAAGGGAAACACAAGGATAGCTTAATTATCTTTGAGGAGCACAGTCATTTTGACCATTTGACAGAAATCACTGATAAAGTAAGGAGTTTCAATTTATAAATAGGGTAGATTCCTATAGGTTATTACAACTTTTTAAAGAGCTATTGTTTTTATGTCTAAGCACAAAGCATCACAATTTCTGTATGTTTTTAATATTTTTAATTAAATCATAACATGCATACAGAAAAGTACATAAATGTTAAGTAAATTGTCACAAAGGAAATACACTTGTGTAATTACCAGACAGGGTGAAAGAACAAAACATTATCAGCATCACTAAACCCCCACCCTTCTCTGATTCTTCCAATCACTATCCCCTCTTCCCCATGGGTAACCCCTATTCTGACTTCTAACACCATAGCTTACTTTTGCTTGGGTTTTTTGTTTGTGTATGTTTATATAACTAAAACCATGTAGGGTGGGCTCCTTTAATCTCAGCTACTTGGGAGGCTGGGGGAGGAGGATACACTTGAGCCCATGTTTGAGTCAGGCCTGGGCAGCAAATGAAATCCCATATATATATATATATATATATATGCGGGGCGCAGCGGCTCATGCCTGTAATCCCAGCACTTTGGGAGGCCGAGGCGGGTGTATCACCTGAGGTCAGGAGTTCAAGACTAGCCTGGCCAACATGGTGAAACCCCATCTCTACTAAAAATATAAAAATCAGCCAGGCATGGTAGCAGGCACCTGTAATCCCAGCTACTCAGGAGGCTGACGCAGGAGAACCTGGGAGGCAGAAGTTACAGTGAGCTGAGATCGCACCACTTCACTCCAGCCTGGGCGACAGAGCAAGACTCCATCACAGAAGTAATAATAATAGAGGCTGGGCGCAGTGGCTTATGCCTGTAAACCCAGCACTTCAGGAGGCCAAGGCAGGCTAATCACAAGGTCAGGAGTTTGAGACCAGCCTGGCCAACATGGTGAAACCCCATCTCTACTAAAAATATAAAAAATTATCAGGCGACCTGCCCCAATAATCACATAGGTTCTTTTCTGTTTTTCCTAAGCGTCAGCTGGCTTGAGAAATAAAAGGACAGAGTACAAAAGAGAGAAATTTTGAAGCTGGGCATCTGGGGGAGACATCACACGTTGGTAGGATCCGTGATGCCCCACAAGCCACAAAAACCAGCAAGTTTTTATTAGGGATTTTCAAAAGGGGAGGGAGTGTGTGAATAGGTGTGGGTGACAGACATCAAGTACTTAACAGGGTAATAGAATATGACAAGGCAAGTGGAGGCACGGCGAGATAACAGGACCACAGGACCAAGGCGAAATTAAAATTGCTAATGAAGTTTCGGGCACAATTGTTATTGATAACATCTTATCAGGAGACAGGGTTTTGAGATCAACTGGTCTGACCAAAATTTATTAGGTAGGAATTTCCTCTTCCTAATAAGCCTGGGAGCGCTATGGGATACTGGGGTCTATTTCACCCCTGCAGCCTCAACCATAAGAGACAGACCACGCCCAGGGGGGCTGTTTATAAGCCAATACCTCCAGGTGTGTATTCTCTTTCTCAGGGATGTTCCATGCTGAGAAAAAGAATTCAGCGATATTTCTCCCTTTTGCTTTTGAAAGAAGAGAAATATGGCTCTGTTCTGCCTGGCTCACCAGTGGTCAGAGTTTAAGGTTATCTCTCTTATTCCCTGAACAATTGCTGTTATCCTGTTCTTTTTTCAAGGTGCCCACATTTCATATTGCTCAAACACACATGCTGCACAGTTTGTGCAGTTAATGCAATTATTACAGGGTCCTGAGGTGACATACATCCTCCTCAGCTGACAGGATTAAGAGATTAAAGTAAAGACAGGCATAGGAAATCACAAGGGTATTGATTGGGGAAGTGATAAGTGTTCATGAAATATTTACAATTTATGTTTAGAGATTGCAATAAAGACAGGCATAAGAAATTACAAAAGTATTAATTTGGGGAACTAATAAATGTCCATAAAATCTTCACAATCCACGTTCTTCTGCCATGGCTTCAGCCGGTCCCTCTGTTTGGGGTCCCTGACTTCCCGTAACAAAAAATTAGCTGGGCGTACTGGTGGGCACCTATAATCCCAGCTACTTGGAAGGCTGAAGCAGGAGAATCTCTTGAACCTGGGAGGCGGAGGTTGCAGTGAGCCAAGATCTCACCACTGCATTCCAGCCCTGGTGACAGAGTGAGACTCTGTCTCAAATAATAATAATAAATAAATAAATAGTAAAATAATGCAGGGTATACTCTCGTGTCTGGATTCTTTTGCTTAATATTATATTTATGAGATTTAGCCATGTTGCTCAGAAAAGCTGTAGTCATTAGTTTTCATTGCTGTATAGTATTCTATTATATGAAGATGCCACAGTTTATTTACAAATTCAACATTGATGGATTTGGGCTTGCTTCTAGTTTGAGACTATTACCAAAAATGCTACTATGAACATTCTTCTGTGTATCCTTTGGTGTACATATGCACACATATCTGATTGGTAGATACCTAGGTAAAATTGCTGGGTCATAGGATGTGCATATGTTCAACTTTATAATGCCAAGCAGGTTAAAGGTATCATATCAACGTTCCCACTAGCAGAGTGTCAAGAGTTCTGATTGTTTCACATTGTCCTCATACTTAGTATTGTCAGGCTTTTTTTTTTTTTTCTTTTTAAGACAGAGTCTCACTTTGTACCCCAGGCTGGAGTGCAATGGCTTGGTCTCGTCTCACTGCAACCTCCAGCTCCCAGGTTCAAGTGATTCTCCTGCCTCAGACTCCCAAGTAGCTGGGATTACAGGTGTGCACCACCAGGCCTGGCTAATTTTTTTTTGTATTTTTAGCAGAGACAGAGTTTTGCCATGTTGGCCAGGCTGGTCTTGAACTCCTGACCTCAGGTGATCCACCCACCTCTGCCTCCCAAAGTGTTGGGATTACAGGCATGAGCCACCACACCTGGCTGGCTTTTTAACTTTAGCAATTTTGGTGAGTATACAGCTGTATTTCATTGTGGTTTTAATTTAAAATACTGTCTTTTAATAAGGAACCAATTGGGTTTCCTTTTATAGCAGAAAAGAGGGAACCATTTATAACTTGGTAATGCTCATAAAAATATTTTTGGCAACGAGTCCACATCATCCTATTTCCTTTTAGGATGGTGTTGATGATCAGTCCATGTCCCAACTAATACAAAAATAACAACATAGGATGTGACAGGGCCGTCCAAACCATCTGTTAAGCAGAAGGACTCATTTAATCTCCTTGAAACAAAGAATGATAGAAAAATGAAGAGCAGCCGGGTACAGTGGCTCATGTCTGTAATCCCAGCACTTTGGGAGTCCGAGGCAGGAGGATTGCTTGAGGCCAGGAGTTTGAGACCAGCCCTGGCAACATAGCCAGGCTAAAGTTTGCTAAAGTTAAAAAGCCTGACAATATTAAGTATGAGGAGAATATGAAACATTCCTTAAACTCTCATCTCTATAAACAATTTTTGAAATTAGCTGCCACTTAGGAGACTGAGGTGGGAGGATCACCCTTAAGCCCAGGAGGTCAAGTCCACACTGCAGCCTGGGCAACAGAGCAAGACCTTGTCTCAAATAAAAAAAAAAAAAAAAGAAAAAAGAAAAATGAATAGTCAAAAACTATAAGCAATAACAGAGAACCACCTTTTAAAAAATTAAATGTAAAATGTAGAATAATTGTATAGTTCAACTTGGCTCATCTAATACAACCAAATGAAAGCCAAGAGATTAGATGATTAAGACCCATACCAGTTATAGACAGAGCCAGAACTAGAAGTCTAGTCCATACACCCATGGCTTTTTATACCCTACCCAGAATTTTATTCAACATACTTAAGTCTAAAATTTCTCTTTGAACTCAATTTAATTGGCCAAAGTTCAGATTAATTCTGTAAATGCACTTAGCTAAGCGTGAAAAAGATCAGTATGTTCATATGCTGTAATTATATAGCCATGCTTTCTCTCCCTGACTAATTAGGAGACAACTCAACACTGAAATCCAGTCCCAACAGAACATGTTATCTGGCTATCACTCTGCAGAAAGACAAAAGCAGTCTATCTAAATTCCCACTACTTTCTTTGCCAGCAAGTCAAGGCTTAGAGTTTTATAAAGCAATCCATGTATATACTTAGCTTTCTTTTCCTCTGTGAACTCGAGGGGGCTAGCTCCATAATGCAATAGCTTTCTTATAGGAAGATGTCACCGCTGGCCAACTGTCAGTGGAGCATGGACTTTAAGTCAAGGCTCTGCACCAATCAAATACATTCATCCAGAACTGCTAGGTAACAAAATAAAGCTAATTTGTCCCTATAAGGTTTATGGTTTGAGTCTCTGCTAACAGCATCAGCAAACCAGCTACAGACTCTTTCACTCACCTTGAACTGGAAAATAGACATTGTTTTCTATTTCACTGTGGCATTCAGGTACTATACCCCCTAAATCAAAGGCCCCACAATGGTAGCTCACAGAAATATTTGGTTTCACTATCACTGGTTTAAATTTGAATTAGAGCCAACACTTGAAATCTAGCAAGTTTACACAAAAATTCAGATTATCATCTTCTCTTAAACCATGAAAAGCTTTAGCCATTCAGGGTCAAGATTCCTGTTAAGGGCCAGGTGTAGCTGAAAGAGAGTGGCCTCCCTGAGTGGAGACAGGTCTCAGTAGTTCACCACAGTCTCTTGTCCAGGCCTCTTCACTGCTTTATTCTCCCTTCCCTGCCCTCCATAGGCATTTGAGTTTATAACCCCTTCCCTAATCAAATGGCCTCAAGATCAGATTTCTGCCTGGAGAAAACAATGGTTGCACATTGCCAGCAATTTTTTAAAGTCTCAAAACAGGCTGCATATGATTGTGATACCTGCAGGGCCCTGGTGGATTGCCCAACCCTGCCCTTATTCATTCCCTTTCTATGGATTGGATATTGGTATCACACAGAGCTCCACTGGCGAACAACCCAGCCAGAGAGATCGGGAACTTCTGTCGTGCCCCATGAACCCAACTTCCATTCCTTCTTCCCAAGTACTGCACATGGGCAGAAAAGTGCTGAGAGATGTAATTCAGTTTTCTGTAATCTGCAAGAAATTCAATGGACAAGGAGATCTGCGTGTCTGACTCTCCTTTTAAGCCTCTGTATGTTTCCCCTGTGAACCAGTGAATTCAACAATGCTATTTAAAATTCAATAAAGACAAATGAAATTATAAAAATGGATAATCACTTTTATGGAAAATCAACTAAACAAATATTTTGCTCAGAATGTCAAGTATTAGGGGACTTGAATAAAATATTGAAAGTGCATTCCCTAGGGGAGAAGAACAATTCAAAAATAGAGCATATGGCAACAGTGCTAATTGATATTTCAAATACAAATGGCACTCCATGTCCTAATGGAAGAGGAGCTGTGTTACCTGATGAGATGACACAAATTGCGCAGTGGGGGTCTCAAGGGCCCAGTGGACAGCAGCTGTGCAGGATCTGAGGCTATGGATATGAGCAACATTGTGTCCCTGGCAATCCACAGGGGAAATTAGTTCACATATAGAACTATATTTTACAGGATTTACTGTGGTAAAAGCTTCTTAAGTTCCAGTAACAATAGACAGGCCAGGCACAGTGGCTCACACCTGTAATCCCAGCACTTTGGGAGGCCGAGGTGGGTGTGTCACCTGAGGTCAGGAGTTCAAGACCAGCCCGGCCAACATAGTGAAACCCCATCTCTACTAAAAATACAAAAATTAGCTAGGCATGGTGGCAGGCACCTATAATCCCAGCTACTCAGGAGGCTGAGGCATGAGAATCGCTTGCATCCAGGAGGTGGAGGTTGCAGTGAGCCAAGATCGTGCCACTGCACTCCAGCCTGGGTGATAGAGAAAGATTCTGTCTCAAAAAAACACACAAAAAACAGATAGCCAGAATCCAGGTTGTCTCAACAAAAATGCAGCACCACAGGGAGTTCAGTACTGCATAGAACTACTCCTGTCTGTTGGGCTCTTGTTGAAGGATCTAATTTATCTACCCTCCCTTCTCTTGAATCACCAATAGTTGATCGTGTGGTATCATTTTGGAGTCTCTGTTAAGAGCATCAGCAAACCAGCTA
Organism: Homo sapiens; assembly: GCF_000001405.40. NCBI lineage: Eukaryota > Metazoa > Chordata > Mammalia > Primates > Hominidae > Homo > Homo sapiens. The sequence goes on from NC_000004.12 coordinate 52,677,396, forward strand.
CAGACTCTTTCACTCACCTTGATCTGGGAAACAGACGTTCTTTTCTATTTCACTGTGGCATTCAGGTAATATACCCCCTAAATCAAAGGCCCCACAATGCTGGCTCACAGACATATTTGGTTTCACTATCACTGGTTTAAATTTGAATCAGCGCCAACACTTGAAATCTAGCGAGTTTACACAAAAATTCAGATTATCACTGAATTATCACCTGCTCAGGTGTGCATCCACTCAGTCATTTATTCCCAAGCTCTTTTTTGTGGGTTTTTTTTTCAACCTGTCTTATGCAGCTGACATTCCCAGGCTCTAATGAGGTTGCCCCATAAGGCTATCCATTCCACAGCCATTTTAGAAATCTCTAGAAAAGTGTGTTAGAAGTGAAGATTATTTTTATTTTTCTTTTCTTTTTTTTTTTTTTTGAGACAGAGTGTCTCCCAAGCTGGAGTGCAGTGGTGTGATCTTGGCCTCACTGCAACCTCTGCCTCCTGGGTTCAAGCAATTCTCCTGCTTCAGCCTCCCTAGTAGTTGGTACTACAGGTGCATGCCACCATGCTTGGCTAATTTTTTGTATTTTTAGTAGAGAAGGAGTTTCACCATGTTGGCCAGGCTGGTTTTGAACTCCTGACCTCAAGTGATCTGCTCACCTTGGCTTCCCAAAGTGCTGGGATTACAGGCGTGAGCCACCATGCCTGGCCCAGAAATGCAGATTTTAGGGCTCTACTCCAAAAGACTCTCACCTAGTAGGTCCAGGTGGAGACCAGGAATTTACATATGAAGCAGTACCTCCAGAGGATTCTGACTTACATGGTCTGTGGCCATACTTTGAGAAACACTGTCTCAGAAGGCTGATGGCAAAATTTCATAATTCCATCTCCAGCATCAATTTTTAAAACATGCATTTAATACATTGTCAAATATGTGTTTAGAATTCATAATAATACAAAACCTGTCCCATCATTATTGGAGGTTGTTTTCCTATGAAATTTGATAAATAAAGGAAAAGAAAAATAATGTGTCCTGCCTTTGCTATATGAACTGTTTTTCAGAGTAACCAAATAGTATATGAGGAAAAGTCCATCCTTATAGAAGCCCGGCTAATAAATACGGAAAGAATGATTTAAAAATTTTTAAATCACTATTTTACAATTACTAACATAAAAAGTTGTATAAGGAATGAACATAAATGGATGTCAAGGCTAAAGGGTGATGGCTAACTTTATTTTATTTATTTATTTTTTTTCAGATGGAGTTTCACTCATCAGCCAGGCTGGAGTGCAATGGTGTGATTTCGGCTCACTGTAACCTCCACCTCCTGGGTTCAAGCAATTCTCCTGCCTCAGCTTCCTGAGTAGCTGGGATTACAGGTGCCTGCCACCATGCCCAGCTAATTTTTGTGTTCTTAGTGGAGTCAGGGTTTCATCATGTTGGCCAGGCTGGTCTCAAACTCCTGACCTCAGGTGATCCAACCGCCTCAGCCTCCCAAAGTGCTGGGATTATAGGCGCGAGCCACAGCACCTGGCCTGGGTGATGGCTAACTTTATACTGAAGGGATCAGATTTACACCACCTGAGCCCACTGATGAAGCCCAGAAAAATGGGGCAAATACGACAATGTGTACCTCGTGATATGATGCGCCAGGAAGTATAAAGTTTTCTTGTACAAAAAAGTCAATGTGAATTTCATCAAGTCACTTTATAGGAAATATGAGAGAAAAAGAAATAAGTTAAATTACACTAAAATGATGTAATAAGACAAATCCAGAACGTGGGTCATGTGTAAAATTTGGACAATTAATCCAGTTTCTACAACAAATCCCTCGTCAGATGAGGGAAGACGGTCGTTACAAACTAAAAGAGACTAACTAAATGCTATGTATAGGTCTTATTTGAAACCTGATTAAAAGAAACTGAGTGTAAAAAGACAGCTCTGAGATGCTCAGAGGAATCAAGTATTTTTGCAAACACTTGAGCAAAAGTAAGGGTAGATGGTCAGATGAAATGAGACTAACAAAATATTGCTAACTGCTGAAGCTTGATGCTGTGTATATGGTTTATTATACTGTTTACTTTTGGGTATGCTTGACATTTTCCACAACAAAAAGTTTTTAAAATATGCTTTAGCTCTAGGCACCTGCCTCTTCCAAGTCAGGCTAATGAAGTCAAGAAGACTTAGCAAGAAGTTGAAGTTCTTATTACTCAGGAATTAAACATTTCTTTCAGGTAATAACTCCCCTATAAATGTCCTTCTAGAAAGTCAAAACTCAGTTTTCATATCCTGAAATCTATTATTTTTCTCAAAGCCCAAAAAAGCCAGGCATGGTGGCTCACGCCTGTAATTCCAGCACTTTGGGAGGCTGAGGCGGGCCGATCACTCGAGGTCAGGAGTTCGAGACCAGCCAGGCCAACATGGTGAAACTCTGCCTCTACTAAAAATACAAAAATTAGCCAGGTGTGGTGCCGTGCACCTGAAATCCCAGCTACTCGGGAGGCTTAGGCAGAAAATTGCTTAAGCCTTGGAGGCGGAGGTTGCAGTGAGCCGAGATCACGCAATTGCACTCCAGCCTGGGTGACAGAGCGAGACTCCGTCTCAAAAAAAAAAAAAAAAGAAAAGAAGTCCTTGAGTCAAAGCCTAAAAAAGCACTGGTGGTTTTTTCCTGTACTGCATTACTCTCTTCTCTAAAAGCTTAATGAGATGCATGGAGTAACTGGAACTCCATTTATATTGTTGGCTGCTCGAGAACCATTGAAAGACCCTAAAAAGCATCACATAGCTATTAAGTGAAAGCAAACTCTTTGCATTAAATAAGGAAAAAAAACAGCTGTCTAGACTCAGAAGTTTTTGGTGTTGTAAGATGCACTATTTAAATAATGATAAAATGTTGAAACAAGAATGGTTGTACTTCACTGTCACATATTTCTAGAATAAAAGGATAGTTACCTTAGAATGCTGCATCTATAACTTACTTTGTTCTTGTTCACCTTGAAGAAAATGGATTCAGAATTTAAATTTCCTGAATGAAAACTACTCTAATTAATTAATCTGATTGCATTTGTAAATTCTGAAGTCACTACTGTAAAAATGTGTGTAGTAATTTAATTCTTAGAGACCATTTGGTTTTCATTGCCTTTAATGTTAAATTGGCTACTTCACTCACTCCCGGGTAGTTAACATTCACAACACAATTCTCTTGTCCAACATTCTTTCAAATGTCTGTTTCCACTCCAGAAGACATCAGCCAGTATGCTTAGGCCGTTTTTAGTAATTCTGTAAGTAATATTTCTAACTTTACTTTTTAAAAAGTCTTCATCAAGGCTGGGTGCAGGTCTCATGCCTGTAATCCCAGCACTTTGGGGAGGCCAAGGTAGGAGCATTGCTTGAGTCAAGGAGTTCGACATTAGCCTGGGCAACATAGTAAGACCTCATCTCTACAAAATATAAACAAAATTAGCTGGGCGTGGTGGCACATGCCTATAGTCCTAGCTACTCAGGAGGCTGAGAGGAGAGAATCATTTGAGCCTGGGAGGTCAAGGCTATAGTAAGCTGTGATGTGCACTGCACTCCAGCCTGGGCAACAGAGTGAGATCTGTCTCAAAAAAAAAAAAAAAAAAAAGTCTTAGTCAATAACCTTTTTGTGGCTTTCCTGTGAAATGCCAAGTGCCATTAAAATAAAAATTTTGGATACCTGCCAGTGTTGCCCACATTGTGTTCTGGGAATACCTACATCAGAATCAAGAGGTATGTTAAAAATGGGCCAGGCAGTGGTGGCTCACATCTGTAATCCCAACAGTTTGGTAGGCCAAGGTGGGAGGATTGCTTGAGCCCATGAGTTTGAGACTAGCCTGGACAACATAGGGAGACCCTGTTACTATAAAAAGTAAACAAAATTAGCTGGGTATGGTGGCATGCACTTGTAGTCCCAGCTACTTGGGAGGCTGAGGGAGGATTGCTTGAGCCCAGAAGGTCACAGCTGCAGTGAGCCATGATCAGGCCACTGCATTCCAGCCTGGGCAACAGAGTGAGACCCTATCTTTAAAAAAAAAAAAAAAAGTAGATTCTTGGGTCCCCTCTTGAGCCTATGAAATCAGACTTGTGATGGGGCCTGGAATTCTTTACCTTCAGCAAGTGTGTCAGGTGACTCTTTCACACACTAAAGTTTGACAAACAAGTTTCCAAGATCATGAGGTTCATGGGGTTTCTCTTGCATTTACAAGAAAAACAGAGGATAGAGAAACAAGTTTAATGGTACCATGAATAAAGCAACCAGCGAAATCTGGCATGTGGAAAACTCTGCAGGAAAACTGACCTGCTTTCTTAAAAAAGTCCAAGGCATATCCATCAACTCATGAATAGAGAAACAAAATATGGGCCCATAGAATGCAATATTATTCAGGCATGAAATAGATGTACTGATATCTCCTACAACATAGACCTTGAAAACATTACGCTAAGTGAAAAAAGACAGTTACAAAAGGCTACATCTTGTGTGGATTTCATTTACATGAAATATCCAGAATGGGGCAAATCCATACATAGAAATTAGGGTTGCTGAGGGGAAGAGAGATGGGGAAAAGTTAAACATAAAAATGTTCTGGAATTAGATCATGGTGAGTGATCACATAACTCTATGAACATACTAAAAGCCACTGACTTGTGCATTTAAAAGGGTGACTTTTATGACACCTGAATTATATGTCACAAACTGTTATTAAAAAGTTAAAGGCATAAAAAAGGGTCATTTTTTCTAGACTAAAAAAGGCTTAAAAAATACAAAGGAGGCATAAGAACTAAATAAAATGAATAGACTTTGTTTGAATCCTAATTCAAGTAAACTTTAAAGTGACATTTTTAGACAATGGGGGAATTTGAATGTGGATTTGGCAATCATCTGGCTTTGTTGTCAGGTATGATTGTTATTTTGTATTAGGGTTCTCTAGAGGGACAGGACTAATAGAATAGATGTATATATGAAGGGGAATTTATTAAGGAGTATTGACTCACACGATCACAAGGTGAAGTTCCCCAGTAGGCTATTTGCAAGATGAGGAGCAACGAATGCAGTCCGAGTCCCAAAACCTGAAAAGTAGTGCCGCCTTCGGTCTGTGGCCGAAGGCTCAAGAGCCCCTGGCAAACCACTGGTGTAGGTCCAAGAGTCCAAATGCTGAAGAACTTGGAGTCTGATGTTCAAGGACAGGAAGCATCCCGCATGGGAGAATGATGGAGGCCAGAAGACTTAGCCAGTCTAGTCCTTCCACTTTCCTCTGCCTCCTTTTATCCTAGCCGTGCAGGCAGCTGATTAGATGGTGACCACCCAGATTGAGGGTGGGTCTGCTTCTCCCAGTCTGCTGACTCAAATATTAATCTCGTTTGGCAACACCCTCACAAGCACACCCAGGATCAATACTTTCTATCCTTCAATTCAATATTAAGCATCACACTTTTCTTTTGAGATGAATACTAAAATATTCAGGAGTGAAATAACATAATATCTGGGATTTGCTTTAAAAATACTTTGACAAAAAGGGGTGCTAGATGGGACAAATATGCAAAGTAAATGTTTTTGGTTAATGATTGTTGGCTGGAAGATAAATATATAGGGGCTTATTGAACTTTTTTTGTGTATGTTTGAAAATCTTCATAATAAAAAGTTCAGAATAGCCCAGAAGTTCAAGACCAGCTTGGGCAACATGGTGAAACCCTGTTTCTACAAAAATTAATACAATTAGCCAGGTATGGTGGTATGCACCTGTAGTCCCAGCTACTCAGGAGGCTAAGGCAGAACAATCACTTGAGCACTCTTGTGATCAAGGCTGCTTTGAGCTATGAGTGCACCACTGCACTCCAGCCTGCATGAGAGAGTGATACCCTGTCTAAAAATAAAAAAGTTAAGACTAAACAAACTCAGGATTTCTTGATTGTCTTATTTTGCTGTGATTCAAAAAATTGCACTTGTACTACTGAACACCAAAGGTGTTAGGGTAAGATTGAAGGGCAAATATTAGAAGCTAGTTCTTACTTTTTAGCTCTTCTGCAAGGAAGGGCCAGAGGGATGAATTTTGAATGCTTCTATTAACTGGGAGAAATTAATGGACAGAATAGTAAGGCATTGGGTTTAAACTTTCTTGGTCATTTTTTTTTAAAGAAAGACCGCTTAAATTGACATTCTAAGCCACTTGAAATTCTAAGAGCATGAAATTATTGTTTACTAAGTGTTCTGTTGATATCCATTCTAAGTAATGAATTAATTTTGCATCAAAATAAACTTGTGTTGGATTCAACATTTTATTTTGGAGGGCTTCCTATGGTGATATATTGCTTCTAGAACCTAGTTTTACTCTTATAATCTTGTTAAAGATATTTACCTGCCTTAAAAATATACTACTGTTTATATACATACACACATAAACATATGCACTGAGAAAAGAAAAATAGTTTAGAGCAAGTAATCCCATTACTGAGTATATACCCAAAGGAATATAAATCATTCTATTATAAAGACACATGCACATGTATGTTCATTGCAGTACTATTCACAATAGCAAAGACATGGAATCAACCCAAATGCCCATCAATGATAGACTGGATAAAGAAAATGTGTTACATATACACCATGGGATACTATGCAGCCATAAAAAGGAACAAGATCATGTCCTTTGCAGGGACATGGATCCTCAGCAAACTAACACAGAAAGAGAAAAACAAACACTGCATGTTCTCATTTATAAGTGGGAGCTGAACAATGAGAACACATGGACACAGGGAGGGGAACAACACACACTGGGGCTTCTCTGTGGGGGTGGGGTGGTGGAGAGCATTAGGATAAATAGCTAATACATGCAGGGCTTAATACCTAGGTGATGGATTGACAAGTGCAGCAAACCATCATGGCACACGTTTACTTATGTAACAAGCCAACATATCCTGCACATGTATCCCAGAACTTAAAATAAAGTAAAATAAAATTTTTTTAGAAAAGAAAGAAATACAGTTCAGGACAGTTTGAGCTATGTGAAGTACACAAAATTTATAGCCCAGAGAGACACGAGTATGGAACTTCAGTCATATCCCCTGACCCAGTGCCTATGCCTTGGGGATCATTGTTTAAAGTCATTTTGTTACTAGCTAGCTGCCTCACCCATTATCTTCATGTTCCTAGAATTTGTGACATAAAGAACTATTTGTAGCCAATCAATAGCTTATGTTATTTTAATGTAAATTCTTGATAAACAAGTTACAAACTGCTTCTTTTTTCCTTTTAAAACCCACTTGTAATTGCCACTAATCAGAGTGTATATTCAGGGCAACTTGAATTTATTTGAGCTCAGAGCTTGAGGAGGCCATCCTCAAGCTCTGAGCTCAAATAAATTCTCTACTTAATTATATTTTCTGAATCTCATTCTGTAAAGTTGACATTTTGGTGATCCAGCTGGGACCTGAAGCAGATCTCCAGTGATCCTCAGCGTTTTGCCTACAGCCCTGGTATCAGCACAAATGACTTTGTTCATCTGACCTTGCCAGAGTCACTAGGGTTCTCTGGTAAGGCCCTTGGTGGGTTTAAATCCTCTGTGATGGTTAAGGACTCAGAATTGATTCAAGCTACACACATTTCTACCCAATGGGGTTGGAATTGAAGCTCTACTTTAAGGTAGGTGGTACATTTGTTATTCTCTAGAGATTCTGCTGATTGCAGATTTGTGACTTTCATATTTCTCTGAGGTTAAGGGTTTGTTTCTAATTACTCCTTAAAGTTCTTCAACTTTTCTGTATTTGAAATTTTGGTCAGGGAGAAAACAGTTTCCCTCCGAAAAAAGAAAGTGAAATCTCTGTGGCTGAAGCAAAAAAATTATAATTTGAAAAACTGGCCAGATTCTGAAGCTCAGTTCAGTTGACAAGTCTAAACTTTTTTCTTGAATGACCAAAATTTCTCCCAGTAGGTCTTTCAGAAGGAAAGTCTAAATTACAGACATTAGTACTATGATAACCAAGTTCTGTTAGTCCATTCTTGTGTTGCTATAAAGAAACATCTGAAGCCGGGTAATTTATAAAGGAAAGAGATTTATTTTGGTGCATGGTTCCGCAGGTTGTACAGGAAGTGTGGTATCAGCATTTGCTTCTGGTGAGGGCCTCAGGAACCTTACAATCATGGCGAAAGGTAAGGGGGAGTAGGCGCATCACATGGCAAGGTGGGCGGGGGAGGTGCCACATTTTTTTAAACAACCAGCATTCATGGGAACTGCCAGAGCAAGAACTCACCCTTTACCATGGGAATGGTATCAAGCCATTCAAGAGGGATCTGCCCCGATAACCCAAACATCTCTCACCAGGCCCCACCTCCAACATTGGGGATTACATTTCAACATGAGATTTGGAGGGGCAAACATCCAAACTATACCATGAGACTTTCTCTTTAAGAAGAAATCGACCACTAGAAACACCAGCTGAATTCATGTTTAATACTTACGTTGCCTCTTCATGCAAGTATTTAGAAAAATATGGGTCTCACATAACTTGAGATGATGACCCTGAGTTACAATGGTCAAAATGGGGTGCCTTGGAAATACCTAAACTAGTTTATCTGCATGCTCAATTGGAAAAACCCAGCTCTAAAATAAAACAAAATAACTGGGAGAGCTATTTTCAATGGAAAGTAGAAACTTTTTTAGAAGCTTCTAAATAAGTTTCTAGTAAAGGCATTTGTTTGCAAGTGGAAAACAAAGGATTGTCTAAAACAATTTCTAAATTGAAAAAGACTGCTGAAATTTCTCCCCCTTTTTCAACTCTTCCTTCCCTTTTGTTGGAACATCCTTGTCTGGACTTTACCTCCCCTTCCTCTTCCTCCTCTTTCTCCTGCTGTTCTGGTTCCATTTTGGGAACACCCTCTGTCCAGTACAGAAGAAACTGCCTTGGTTTATCAACTATGGTAAAAATAGAACTTAAAGGGATAACTAAAGAATTCCCAGATCCTTTTCAGAACTCTGTTGGATTTGCTAGAGGTTTTGAATTAAACATTTGAGCTTATGATCCAGGAATTTCTGATTTATATCAACAGGTTCACATTTTAGTGTCAGAAAATAAAGCCAAAGATTGGATAGCAAAGGCAAACTGGAGAAATCTTTTAAAGGACTTCCATAATTTTTTTGAAGCCGATAGCAAATGTGCTCACAATACTGTCAAAGCTTTAGTTGACTCTATCCCCTTAGTTTTCCAAAAAGTGGTTGATTGGAACAAAATACAACACGCTGAAAAAATCCTGTTGATCACATAATGTCATACTACGGGAAATTTGAAAGAATGTTTAAACAATATTCAGGCCTATCAGAAGAAAGTTATGCTAACCATCAAAATGATACTCTCCTTAACTCAAACTTTATAAATGAATCAGATGAAGAAATGGCAACTATAATAAATAAACAATGCCCTGGTTGGGCTACCTCTCAAACTCATAATCTAGTTAATTTTGCCAATCCAATGTTCTATACTATAACCAAAGAAGAAAAGGAAAGGGAAGTTAAATCAAGAGGAAAAGTAAATAAGTCATGAGTTTACAACTAAAACAATTGTCCAGACCAGGTGTGGGGGCTCATGCTTGTAATCCCAGCACTTTGGGAGGCCAAGGTAGGTGGATCACTTGAGTCCAGGGGTTCAAGATCAGCCTGTGTGACATGGCAAAATCCCATTTCTACAAAATAAAAATAAAAATAAACAATTGTCCAATCAATTTATAACCCCTACACAACCTAATAATTTCCCAAACTGACCCAAATGAACCACTTTTCAACTACTAAAAAAAGCCTGAACATTTCAGAAAGGATTGTATAATACTCACATCTCCTTTCAAGAAGAGGGATATGCATTTAGAATTAGAATATAAAATAGAATTATTACGTTCCAAAAAATGTTCAAAACCTGATCATTTTAAATCATAAATTGCAATTCATATTGTCACAGAGGAAACTAAATTGGTAAATAATTAAAAATTATAAGAGCTGTTAAAAGTAGTATCTGATCTCACAGGGCCAGGTGGCTCATTCCTATAATCGCAGCACTGTAGGAGCTCAAGGCAGGTAGATCACTTGAGGCCAGGAGTTAGAGACCAGCCTGGCCAACATGGCAAAACCCCATCTTTACTAAAAACGCAAAAATTAGCCAGGCGTGGTGATGCATGCCTGTAATCCCAGCTACTTGGACGATTGAGGCATGAGAATCACTTGAACCTAGGAAGTCGAGGTTGCAATGAGCTGAGATCATGCCACTGCACTCCAGTCTGGGTGACAAAGTGAGACCCTGTCTCAAAAAAAAAAAAAATAGTAATATCTGATCTCTTTGGTTTTGGGGAACCAAGGATTACTTTGTGCTGTGAGAGAGAACTTGACTTCAGTGTATGCAGTGTCTGACAAGCCACTGCAAAAGCTGCAGTTTGGGGAGTGGCTGACAATGGTCTCAGTGAATGCTTGTTAATGCAGAGTGCTACTTATTTCTTTGTGCACTTAGGTAAAAAGGCGGGTTTGAACATTTGGAGGTTGTGGGGACACTTGCCACCAAGAGATAAGACTCCTGACAGGGAAGGGCTGATCACAGAAGGGGCTGATCGGCATCATTTCACCCGCCAGCAACAAAGGAATGTCTTCATGGTGAAAGGCACTGTGGAAGCATTGCATGGCCCAGTCCCAGGGGATTTCCTTTTATTAGGGGACCTGGGATTGTAAAAGTGGGATCCTTGATTTTTTGTTTGTTTGTTTTTGAGACAGAGTCTCACTCTGTCACCCAGGCTGGAGTGCAGTGGCACGATCTTGGCTCACTGCAACCTCCGTCTCCCGGGTTCAAGTGATTCTCCTGCCTCAGCCTCCCGAGTAGCTGGGACTACAGGTGTGTACCACCACACCCAGTTATTTTTTTGTATTTTTAGTACAGATGGGCTTCACCATGTTAGCCAGGAAGGTCTCGATCTCCTGACCTTGTGATCCGCCTACCTCGGCCTCCCAAAGTGTTGGGATTACAGGTGTGAGCCACCACACCCGGCCAGAGATCCTTGATTTTTAAAGATCTAGATGTGCTGCATTCCAGCTGTGCCTGCTTTTCATATATTTAAATATTAGGCCCTGGTAACTGCAAAGGCTTTCTTTGTTTGCCTTGTTCATTAAAGGGCTCCACCTTGAAGTCAGTAATCTAATCAAGAGACAAATTAAGTGGAAAAGAACACCTATCTAACCAGATTGGTATCCAAAATACAATGTTCTTAGCTGGCTATACTGAAACTTTTTGTAAAATAAATCTACATCTATAAAGGAAACCTCCATTTGTAAGGACATCTCCCTCACTGTACCTAAACCACTAGAAACTTTTGGGAAAACATTAGTTTAAAGTTTACATGACAAATCTTGCCTTTATTTAAGATACTTAACATAGGCCTTTACCTATGCCCTTCTTTGTCTCAGCAAATAATGGTGTTTACATCTAACTTCTGTGTCTTTAAATAAAAATTCTCACATAAGAGTCATGTCTTTAAAAGTACAAATTTAGGGTTGCCTAGCTAATATTGTTTAGAGCTTGATTGTTTATAGATGGTAGAAAAACCATTTGATAATTGGCCTAAAAAGGATGTTATGAAGCTGTAAAATATACTTCTGTGTGTATGTCTATATGTTTATAAGTGTCATGTATGTGATATTTCCTTACAAAGATATATGAAAAAGCTCTAATCATTGGCTTTTAAAAAGTAAACACTTAAATATTTAATCAGAAAAATAGAAACAAACTCAAATGCCTTTAGTTTACATGACTTGGGTAAATGCTTAGTAAATAAGACTAGTTTAATATTGTTGGTTTAATGAAAACAGCTGTGTCTTCTAATCAACAAACTATGCATGTATTTAACTTTAGGGTTCCTGCTTAGGTGGCAAATACCTAACATTCACAAGCTGTAAAAATGATTAACTAATAAATAGCTTGAGATAATAGCTAGCTTTGTTTAATGAACTATTCAAGCATAATTGTTAAAGATGAATAAATTAGGCCAGTTGTGGTGGCTCATGCCTGTAATCCCAGCACTTTGGAAAGCCAAGGCAGGTGGATCACCTGAGATCAGGAGTTTGAGACCAGCCTGGGCAACATGGTGAAACTCCATCTCTACTGAAAATACAAAATTAGCCAGGCATGGTGGCACATGCCTGTAATCACAGCTACTTGGGAGGTTGAGGCAAGAGAATCACTTGAACCCGGGAGGTGGAGGTTGCAGTGAGCTGAGATTGTGCCACTGTACTCCAGCCTGGGCAATAGAGTGAGACTCCGTCTCAAAAAAAAAAAAAGAATGAATAAATTACATGAATGTAAATAGGATACAAGTTTATAAATGAACTCCATAGTTCCAAAAATCTTTTTAGTAACTTGATCTTAAAGTCATGTTGTGTTAAATTAAGTAATAGATAATCATAAAATGTCTGAGTCATTTATATGATATAGAAAAGCTATATCTAAATCTGTTAATTAGAAAATTGAGGAAACATCTTTCTAAAAATTATGAAATGGTTTAAATTTACAAATACAGGCATAAACTATACACCAAAAATAAAATTCTAAGACCCCACCAACCAGCTGGACCCCTGCTTGGCTAAGGGCATTCTAAAGTAAACCTGATTGAATAGGAGAATACATAAGGGGAAAAATACATAAGGGTCCAGGTGTGGTGGCTCATGCCTGTAATCCCAGCACTTTGGGAGGCTGAGGCGGGCAGATCACCTGGGGTCAGGAGTTTGAGACTAGCCTGGCCAACATGAAACCCCATCTCTACTAAAAATACAAAAATTAGCTGGGCGTAGTGGTGGGTACCTGTAATTCCAACTACTCAGGAGGCTGAGGCACTATAATCGCTTGAACCCAGAAGGCGGAGGTTACAGTAAGCCGAGATCACGCCACTGCACTGCAGCCTGGGTGACAGAGCGAGATTCAGTCTCAAAAACAAACAAAAAAAAACAAAAAAAGGGGGAGAAATATTAAGGAGAAAGAGAGAGAGAGAAAAGAAAAGAAAAGAAAAGAAAAAAAAGAAAGGAGAAAAGAAAAGGCAATTTGGAATTCAGGCACAGCTGACCAGTATTAACATAAAAACAGAGACTTTAAGACTGACAAAACAGACTTTTTGTGGTAACAAGACATCAGCATGACAGATAGCAGGCCCTGAAAGAAATTGAAGTATTTTACCCCAAAATATATTTCTTTTTTCTTTTCTTTTCTCTTTTTTTTTTTTTTTTTTTTTTGAGACAGGGTCTCACTCTGTCACCCAGGTTGGAGTGCAGTGGCGCAATCTTGGCTTACTACAACCTCCACCTTCCAGGCTCAAGCAATCTTCCCACCCCAGCCTCTCTAGTAGCTGGGGCCAAAAGACATGCTCCACCACACCTGAATAATTTTTTTTTTTTTTTTTTTTTTTGTAGAGATGGGTTTTGCCATGTTGCCCAGGCTGGTCTTGAACTCCTGAGCTCAGGAGATCCACCTGCCTCAACCTCCCAAAGTAATGGGAGTACAGGCATGAGCCACCATACATGACCTCCCAAAATATATTTTTTTGACATATTTTGAAATGGCACTGCAAAGCTATCTCTTGTACAAAAAATATATCTTCTGTCAAGAACCCCTTTCCCTTTCCAGGTCTTCTTTCTGATCCAGGAGTGAATTAACAGAGTTTGGCACCTTAAAGAAACACAATCTATTTATTTTAAAGCCTGCTACCTGGAGACTTCATCTGCATTATAAGATCCTTGGTCTGCACGACCCCTTACCTTAGCCCAGATACTCTCTTCTACTGATTTCAGGTCTTTCATTAAGATCTCCCAACCAACTGCCAATCAGAAAACCTTTGAATCCACCTATGACCAGGAAACCTCTTCTTTGAGTTGCATGAGGGGGAACTTTATGTGTTCAAAATGACAATAGGAAAAAAAAGTAAATTTTTGTCCTAAGGTAAGATGCCAATATAAAAAGGAAATACAGGACAAAACTGGCGCCTTAAGCAAATTTTAGAAAATCTGTGGAAAACTCATCTTGTGAAAGGAATTTTGTTTGTGATCAAGTTGGCTAAAATTAGAATTATTTTTCTAAAAATTGAGCCATAGGAGCACTAATGGGCATAGAGACTGCCAGGCCCGTACCCACCAGTGCCCTGTCCCCATGACAACATTGCTGCCAGTGCAAAACTGTGCGGGAGACCACTAGACCCATCCCCACCCCCAGCAGCAGCTGCCGGCTGCACAGAGGGTACACAGAGTTTCATGCCTACCAGCACCCACCCTTGTGCTAACACCAGCCCTGGAGCAAACACATGCACAGACACTGGGGGGACCCCTGGCTGGCCACACTATCCTGCCACCATCACCACTGTGAACACCCACACAGAAGTTGGCACCCCTGAACCTACCAGCACCTCACTGCAGAATGAGTGTGCACCCTGCCATGCTACCCATACTGCTGGCACATGCAAACAAGGATGGATCCCATTGCCACTTCCCTACAAAGTTCTGTGGCTGGCACCACCCATCAGACTCTTGTGAACACTGCTTCAGGAACAACTTGGCCCTTCCAGCATGGCAGGTTCCTAACTTCCAGGGACCACAGAACAAAGCCAGAGGTCTGAAATCAACACCCCAGAGTTAGAACACACAGTCCAGGAGTTCTGAGCTGAGCCTTGGTTCCCTAAAATCCTCCAGAAACAAACCCAGTCAATTGAACCCACCTTATACCACAATTAAATCTCCCAGAACATAAAATGGAATTAAAGAAAAAAAAACTTATCTAAAAGTCAGCAACTACAAAGATTGAAGGAATATTAGCCCACAAAGATGAGAAAGAACCAGTGCAAAAACTCTGGCAACTCAAAAAGCCATAGTGTCTTGTTACCTCCAAAGGATTGGACTAGTTCCCAAACAGGCTGAGATGGCCAAAATTACAGAAATAGAATTCAGATTCTGGACAGAAATGAAGATTATTGAGATACAGGAGAAGGTTGAAATCTAATCAAAGGAATCTAAGGATTACAATAAACTGAACAGGAACTTATAGACAAAATGGCCATTAGAACAAAGAACCAAATTTATCTGGTAGAGCTGTAAAACATTCTATGAGAATTTCACAATGCAATCCCAAGTATTAACAGCAGAACCGACCAAGCTAAGGAAAGAATCTCAGAGCTTGAAGACCTCTTTGAAGACCTCTGAAATAACTCTATCAGAGTAAAAGAGAGGAAAAACAATAAACAAGAAGGAACAACCTCTGAGTAATATAGAATTATGTAAAGAGACCCAATATATAACTCATTGATGTGCCTGAGAAACAGGGAGGGAAACCAAGCAACTTTGAAAAACATATTTCAGGGCCAGGTGTGGTGGCTCACGCCTGTAATTCCAGCACCTGTGGGAGGCTTGAGGTGGGTGGATCACTTGAGGTTAGGAGTTCGAGACCAGCCTGGCCAACATGGTGAAACCTTGTCTCTACTAAAAATACAAAAATTAGCTGGGCCTGGTGGTGCATGCCTGTAATCCCAGCTACTTGGGAGGCTGAGGCAGGAGAATTACTTGAACCCGGGAGGCAGAGGTTGCAGTGAGCCAAGATCATGCCACTGCACTCCAGTCTGGGCAACAGAGTGAAACACCATCTCAAAAAAAAAAAAAAAATCAGGATATCATCCATGAAAATGTCCCCAACCTCACTAGAGGCCAATATTCAAATTCAGAAAATACAGAGAACCCCTGCAAAACACTACATAAAAAGACCATCCCCAAGACACATAGCCATCAGATTCTCTATGGTTGAAATAAAAGAAAAAAAAGCAGCTGGAGAGAAGGAGCAGGTCGCCTACAAAGAGAACCCCATAAGACTAACAGCACACCTGTTAGCAGAAACCCTACAAGCCAGAAGAGATTGGGGGTCTATATTCAGCATTCCCAAAGAAAAGAATTTTCAACCAAGAATCTCATATGTGGCCAAACTAAGCTTTATAAGTGAAGGAGAAATAAGATCCTTTTCAGACAAGCAAATGCTAAGGGAATTTTTTATCATCAGACTTGCCTTACAAGACATTTTGAAGGGTGTGCTAAATATGGAAAGGAAAGATTGTTACAAGTTGCTAAAAAACACATTTAAATACATAAACCAGTGACACTATAAAGCAACCACACAAACAACTCTGCATAATAACCAGCTAACAACATGATAACAGGACCAAATCCACACACATTAATACTAACCTTGAATGTAAACTGGCTAAATACCCCAATTAAAAGGCACAGAGTGGCAAGCTGGATAAAGAAGCAAAACCCAATTGTATGCTGTCTTCAAGAGACCCATCTCACATGCAATGACACCAATGACATCCCTTCAAAGTAAAGGCATGGAGAAAAACTCTACCAAGCAAATGAAAAACAGAAAAAAAATGAGAGGTTGCTATTCTAATTTCAGACAAAATAGACTTTAAACTAACAAAGATAAGAAAAAGACAAAGAATGCATTACATAATGGTAAAGGGCTCAATTCCACAAGAAGATCTAACTGTCTTAAATATATACTCACTCAGCACAGGATTGCCCAGACACATAAAGCAAGTTCTCAGAGACAACTGAAGAGATTTAGATAACCACACAATAATAGTGGAAGACATTAATACCCAACTGACAGTATTAGATGGATCACTGAGGCAGAAAACTAACAAATATATTCAGGACCTTAACACTTGACAAAATGGACCAAATAGACATCTACAGAACTCTCCACCTGAAAACAACAAAATATATATTCTTCTAATCTGTACATGGCACATCCTATAAAATCAACCACACAGTTGGGCATGAAACAACCTTCAGCAACTACAAAAATACCAAAGTCATACCAACCATGCACTCAGACAACAGTTCAATAAAAATAGAAATCAATACTAAGAAAATCATTCAAAACCATACAATTAAACAAAAATTATACAACCTGCTCCTGAATGACTTTTGGGGAAATAATGAAATTAGAGCTGACATCAAGAAATTCTTAGAAACTAGTAAGAACAAAGATACAATGTACCAGAATCTCTGAGACACATCCAACACAGTGTTAAGAGGAACGTTTGTGTAAGTAAATGTCCACTTCCAAAAGTTAGTTCTCAAATTAACAACCTGACATAAAGTCTATAGAAGCAAGAGAAACAAAAGCATACTAACCCCAAAGCTAGGAGAAAACAAGGAATAACCAAAATCAGAGATGAAATGAAGGAAATTTAGATGCAAAAAATAAATAAATAAAAATAAAAAGATCCATGAATCCAGGCGCTTATCTGAAAGAATTAATAAGATTGATAGCTTGGTAGCTAGACTAATTAATAAAAGAGAGAAGACTCAGATAAATACAATCAGAATTGACAAAGGGGATGTTATCACTGAACCCACAGAAATTACAAAAATACCCTCAGAGACTATTACAAACACCTGTATGCATACAAACTAGAAAACCTAGAAGAAATGGATAAATTCCCGGAAACATAAAATCTCCCAAGGTTAAACTAGAAAGAGACTGAATCCTTGAACAGACCAATAATGAGTTCCAAAAGTGAATTTAGTATTAAAAGGCTAACAACCAGAAAAAGGCCAGGACCAGATGGATTCACAGCCTAATTCTACCAGATGTACAAAGAAGAGCTGGCACTATTTCTACTGAAACTATTCCAAAAAACTGAGGAGGAGAGACTCATTTCTAACTCGCTCTATAAGGTCAGCATCATCTGATACCAAAACCTGGCAGGGACACACATAAAAAGAAATTTCAGGCCAATATCCTTGATGAACATTGATGCCAAAATACTCAGCAAAATACTAGCAAACTGAATCCAGCTGCACTTCAGAAAGCTAATCCACCACAATCAAGTAGGCTTTATCCGTAGGATACAAGCTTGGTTCAACATACATAAATCAATAAATGTTATTCACCACATACACAGAACTAAAAACAAAACCATGGCTGGGTGCAGTGGCTTATGCCTGTAATCCCAGCACTTTGGGAGGCCAAGGTGGGAGGACCACTTGAGCCCAGGGGTTTGAGATCAGCCTGGGCAACATGGTGAAACTCCATCTCTACAAAAAATACAAAAGTTAGCAGGGTATGGTGGCATGCACCTGGAGCTGGAGAGAAGGAGCTCACCTACCAAGAGAACCCCATAAGGCTAACAGCACATCTGTTAGCAGAAATCCTACAAGCCTATTATCATTTCCCCAGAAGTCATTTCCCAGTCATCCCCCAGAATCATTTCCTCAGTTACTCAGCAGGCTGAGAGGGGAGGATTCTCTGACTGGGAGGTTGAGGCTGCGGTGAGCTGTGATCACATCACTATGCTCCAGCCTGGGCAACAGAGTGAGACCCTATCTCAAAAACAACAGAAAAACAGGCCAAGCATGGTGGCTCACACCTGTAATCCCAACACTTTGGGAGGCCGAGGCAGGCAGATCACAAGGTCAGGAGTTTGAGGCCAGCCTGGCCAACATAGTGAAACCCCATCTCTAATAAAAATACAAAAAACTAGCAGAGGTTGCAGTGAGCTGAGATCGTGCCACTGCACTCCAGCCCAGTTCAAGACTCTGTCTCAAAAAAACAAAACAAAACAAAACAAACAAATAAAAAAACAGAAAAACAAAATCCATGATCATCTCAAGAGATACAGAAAAGGCTTTTGACAAAATTCAACATCCCTTCATGTTAAAAAATCGTTGCTGGGTGGGGTGGCTCACGCCTGTAATCCCACCACTTTGGGAGGCTGAGGCGGGCAGATCACGAGGTCAGGAGTTCAAGACAAGCCTGACCAACATAGTGAAACCACGTCTCTACTAAAAATATAAAAATTAGCTGGGCATGATGGCGTGTGCCTGTAATCCCAGCTACTTGGGAGGCTGAGGCCGGAGAATTGCTTGAACCTGGGAACGGAGGTTGCAGTGAAATGAGATCGCGCCACTGCACTCCAGCCTAGGCAACAGAGCAAGACTCTGTCTCAAAAAAAAAAAAAAAGGGAAAGAAAAAAAACCTCAACAAACTAGGCATTGAAGGAACATACTTCAAAATAATAGCAGTCCTCTATGAAAAACCCACAATCAACATCATACTGGCAAAATATGGAAGCATTCCCCTTGACAACTGGCACAAGACAAGGATGCCCTCTCTCACTACTCCTATTCAACACAGTACTGGAAGTCCTAGACAGAGCAATCACGTAAGAGAAACAAATAAAAGGCAGCCAAATAGGAAGAGAGAAAGTGAAACTATCTCTGTTTGTAGACAATATGATTCCATACTTAGAAAACCCGATAGTCTCTGCCCAAAACACAACTTTACCAAAATCTCAGGATACAAAATCAATGTACAGAAATTATTAGCATTCACATACACAAACTGGGAGCCAAATAATGAATGCAGTCCCATTCACAATCACCACATAAAAAATAAAATTTCTAGGAATGGCTGGGCATGGTGGCTCACGCCTGTAATCTCAGCACTTGGAGGCCACAGTAGGCTGATCACCTGAAATCAGGAGTTCGAGACCAGCCTGGGCAACTTGGTGAAACCCCATCTCTATTAAAAACACAAAAATTAGCCAGGCATGGTAGTGCACACCTGTAATCCCAGCTCCTTGGGAGAATGAGGCAGGAGAATCGCTTGAACCTGGGAGGTGGAGGTTGCAGTGAGCTGAGACAGCGAGACTGCACTCAGCCTGGGTGACAGAGTGAGATTCTGTCTCAAAAAGCAAACAAAACAAAACAAACAAACAAACAAAAACACCTAGGAATACATCTAACCAAGGAGGTGAAAGACCTCTACAACAAGAATTATGAAACACTGCTCAAAGAAATCCTAGATGTCATAAACAAATGGAAAAACATTTCATGCTCATGGATAGGAAGAATCAATATTGTCAAAATGGTTATACCGCTCAGAGCTATTTATAGACTCGATGCTATTCCTATCAAACTACAAATGACATTGTTCACAGAATTAGAAAAAAAAATGTTAAATTTCTTATGGAACTAAAAAAGAATTCAAATAGCCAAGGCCATACTAAGCAAAAACAAACAAAACAAAACAAAACAAAACAAAAAGTGGTATTCATCACATTACCCGACTTCAAACTATACTACAAGGATAGAGAGCCCAGGAATAATGCCACACACCTACAATAATCTGGTCTTTGACAAAATCAACAAAAGCAAGCAATGAAGAAAGGACTTTCTATTCAATAAGTGGTGCTGAGGTAACTGGCTAGCCATATGGAAAAGACTGAAACTGGACCCCTTCCTTACACCATATACAAAAATTAAGTCAGGATGAATTAAAGACTTTAATCTAGAACACATAACTATAAAAACCCTGGAAGATAACCTAGGAAATACCATTCTGAACCTAGGACCTGGCAAAGATTTCATGATGAAGACATCAAAAGCAATTGCAACAAAAACAAAAATTGATAAATGAAACCTAATGAAACTAAAGAGTTTCTGCACAGCAAAAGAACCTATCAAGAAAGAGTAAACAGACAACCTATACAATGGGAGAAAATATTTGCAAACTATCCATCCAACATAGGTGTTATATCCAGAATCTATAAAGAACTTAAATTTACAAGCAAAAACAACCCCACTAAAAAGTGGCCAAATGTCATTAACAGATGCTTTTCGAAAGACATGCTGCCAACAATCATATAAAAAAATGGCTCAACTTCATTAATCATTAGAGAAATGCAAACCAAAACCACAATAAGATACCATCTCACACCAGTTATACTGGCTATTAATAAAGTAAAAAAAAAAAAAAGATGCTGGTGAGGTTGTAGAGAAAAAGGAATGCTTATGCACTGCTGGCAGGAATGTAGACTTGTTCATTCACTGCTGAAAGCAGTTTGGCAATTTCTCAAAGAACTTAAAACAGAACTACCATTTGACCAGCAATTCCATTACTGGGCATATACCCAAAGGAATTATAAATCATTCTACTGTAAAGACACATGCATGTGCATGTTCAACTCGGCAGCATAGCAAAGACATGGAATCAACCTAAATGCCCATCAGTGGTACACTGTATAAAAAACATGTGATACACACACACACACACACACACACACACACACACACACACACACACGGAATACTATGCATCCATAAAAAAGAATGAGATCATGTCCTCTGTAGCAACATGGATGGAGCTAGAGGCCATTATCCTAAGCAAACTAATGCAGGAACAGAAAACCAAATATCACATGTTCTCACATGTAAGTGGGAGCTAAACATTGAGTACATATGGACGCAAGGCACGGAACAAGAGACACTGGGGCCTACTTGATGTTGGAGGGTGGGAGGGGGGTGAGGATTGAAAAACTACCTATAGGGTACTATGTTTATTACCTAGGTGGCAAAATAATGTGTACACCAAACCCCTGTGACATGCAATTTACCTATGTAACAAACCTGCACATGTACCCCCAAACCTAAAATAAAAAATTTTAAAAAACAGGAAAAAAAAATTATTTTGCTGAGCCCTAACAAAAAATAAACAAAAGTCAGAAGGGTCATAAGTGTCTAATCACTCAACAAAACTAGCATCACTATCTTCAGATCACAAAAAGATGATAAACTCAACACTGATTTTACTTTTCCAGAGAGCATAAGTTCAGCTCCACTACAAGGAATCTTTTTTCACTGTTGTATATCTTCAATTATTTAAAAAGGTTAGCTTCCCATTCCAGTAGATATAGCTGAAAAAAAAAATATTAGTCTTCCTATAACTTCTTCAATCCTATGGGACCCTCTGATATATAAAAGGATAATTTCCCTCTTCTATAGAATAATATATCCACAAGTATATATATATATTCTTGCACACAGATCATGTTCATCAACACCTTAAATGTTTAGTGTCATGGAAGAATTTGGCATCAAAATTTGTGTATGTTAATTTATTAAGAAAAATATTTTTAAATAAAATGGAAATTCAGCATCCTAAATAGAGTATTCTAAATGTAATTTATATTTTGTTCTGTGGCTTTAGGTTATCACCATTATTGAAATAAATTTTTGTATTGTGCTCTCATTAAAAAATAATAAAATAAAAATTGAGCAAATTGATTCAAGACCAGAGTCTAGGACCCTATGTAAAACAACACAGTTTTCTTAGAGAATTGATCTGGTCTTTAATAGATAATTGTTAAGAGGTTATAAAATGTTTATAGAAATCTCATCTTGTGTGGCCAAAGCTGTTAGATTGGATGAATTTGTTTATCAGGCTTTATTAAAATTAGCTTTATTGTTATTAATATACTAATATGAAAGTAAAATTTGATTTTCTCCTTCGAACAAGAATTTCACATAGTATTAATAAGACATTGTAACATATTTATTTACCTTTTGAGTAAACTGCAAAAAAAAGTAGAGGAAGACTTTGCCTCATGCTGCCTTTTTTTTTCTTTTCTTGACTGGAAATGGTCTCCTCTCTATCAGAGTAAAAGTTTTTGCTTTTTGAAATATGTTAATTATCATTTTGGGTAAATGAATGATTATTTTTTACAGTGACCTGTGATTCTATTTTGATCATATGTTTTAAACTGTTCTTATTTTAATATCAAATACTAAACCTTTAATATTTGACATACTTCCCAAAATTAAATTTTGAATTCTAAAATTAAGTCTTTTTGACCTGAACTAACTTGCACTTAACAAACAGGAACTCCTGAAAATCCTCAAGAGACATGTTAGGCTTATTTGGTATGTTAAACTCATAGGAGGCAATGTTAAATAAGAAATGGTGTTTAACTTTTTCGAGTTATATTTGCATAAATGTATTATTAATATGTGTTCCAAAATTATATGAGGTTCTTAAAATTCTGATATGTCTTGATATATGTTATATCTTATGTATGTATGTAGGTATGTATGTTTTTGAGACGGAATCTTGCCCTGTCACCCAGGCTGGAGTGCAATGGCGCGATCTCAGCTCACTGCAACCTCCGCCTCCTGGGTTCAAGCAATTCTCCTGCCTCAGCTTCTCGAGTAGCTGGGATTACAGGTGTGCGCCACTATGGCCGGCTAATTTTTTGTATCTTTAGTAGAGATTGGGTTTCACCATGTTGGCCAGGCTGATCTGGAACCCTTGACCTCAGGTGATCAGCCCGCCTCGCCTTCCCAATGTGCTGGGATTACAGGTGTGAACCACTGTGCTTGGCCTATCAGTCCTATTTATAATTATTATGTTAAATTGTTGTATGCCACAGAAACAGTAGAATTGCATTTTCAATTGCATCTTTAACCATGGCTATTCTAAGTCTTTTTTCATTCACAATCATTGCTTTACTTTTATTCTACTAAAAAAGTGGTTTATAATAGATTATAGTCTATATTTGCTTCTTCAAGTGAATTCACTTCTTTTTTTGTTTCTTCAAGTAAATTCAGTGAAAAGAGCCCTGACAAGTACCCTTGAGAACAGGCTTCTGATAACTTTAGAGATCATACCATTAGACCAAGTCAAAATTTCCAGAACTCTAATAAAAAGCTTATGTGTTCATGAAATTGCTAACAAAACATCAGGCAGAATAAGAATTATTACATGGTACTGACTTGATAGAGGACTAAAATTACTTTTATGACATTTTTTGTTTGAAACATTCCTGGTTCTTTTTATATTTCATTTTCTAGAGTCAAGAAAACATTTTTCTTTTCAGTTATTTATAGCTCACAGCAATTGACTAAAGTATACTTTTGTAAGCAAAATTGAAACAATTACCTTTCTGTCTACCTGATTTTTCCAAAATTTGGAAACTATTGGTGACTATTCCTATTTTATGGAAATATAATTATTTGAATAGGTTCAATAAAAATATGTTTTCTTTTGTAACAGGACATGTTAGATGAACTGGTAATTTTACTAAGGCTTGACGGGAATGGCATGTTTTACATATGACCAGACTGCTTTGAGGAATTGAAACTGATTTTATATAGCTGCTAAAAAGCTGTTGGAAAGACTGGCCAGGTACCTTGTCTACACTGTTTCTGACCTTGTGGTAAATGAATAATATCACTTTCTGAAGATCCGGGAACCTCAAGATATTTTTGAGACCTTGAGAAGAGAGGAATTCACCCAATTCATACAGGTACTACACGCACAGTCTGATGGTAAATCCCTGGCTTGGTATCCTAACTTCAAGAAGCTTTTAAAAGTTTAATCTTAAGTGGCTGGGCATGGTGCCTCACACTTGTAATCCCAGCACTTTGGGAGGCCCAGGCGGGCAGATCACCTGAGGTCAGGAGTTTGAGACCAGCCTGACCAACGTGGAGAAACCCCGCCTCTACTAAAAATACAAAATTAGCCAGGCGTGGTGGTGCACGCCTGTAATCCCAGCTACTTGGGAGGCTGAGGCAGGAGAATCGCTTGAACCCAGAAGGCAGAGGTTGAGCTGAGCCGAGACTGCGCCATCACACTCCAGCCTGGGCAACAAGAGTGAAACTGTCTCAAAAAAAAAAAAAAAAACTTAAATTCCTTATTAAAATGTTCCAGCAGGCCAGGTGCGGTGGCTCACGCCTGTAATCCCAGCACTTTGGGAGGCTGAGGCGGGCGGATCACAAGGTCAGGAGACTGAGACCATCCTGGCTAACACGGTGAAACCCCGTCTCTACTAAAAATACAAAAAAATTAGCCGGGCGTGGAGGTGGCCTCCTGCTGTCCCAGCTACTCCGGAGGCTGAGGCAGGAGGATGGCATGAACCCGGGAGGCGGAGCTTGCAGTGAGCTGAGATCGCCCCACTGCACTCCAGCCTGGGGACAGAGCAAGACTCTGTCTCAAAAAAAAAAAAAAAAAGAAGTTCCAGGAAAGCCAACTTAAAATATGGCCATTCACTATTCTTGTTGAGTTTTATGCAAATAATCAGGCCAAGTATAATACTAAAACTTATTTTGCAAGTAAATTGGTCCTATTAAAATTTACCTTTAGGAGAAATGTGGAGCTGAAGAGGGAAAAAATATGTTTCAGAAGAAAACTATAGCACACCTTTTCCTGTATACCAGTCCTGAACACTGTTTTTAACATTTTATTATTTCTCTACAATTTGAACTAAATCCTAAATTATTTCCTGGCTATAAGAATTTTCTGAAGAAGGACCAGGTTTTAATTTTCTTCATAATATTTGTAGTTGACTCCTTTATAGAATAGGGTTTTCTTTTTTTCATTTTGGCATTCAAATTCTCTTTTTTATTATAATCTTTATGTGTATTATATTTCTACTATGTATCCCTTGTTTTACTTCTGAGAAAACTAAACTCATGGTAATCTGAATACTAGAGATGATTCAACAAGTGACAGCAGCTATATAAATCAATGACTTGACTGAGGTCTCATTTTTGCCACCCTGTGATGCCATCCCAATTAGCCTTTGGGGACTCTTAAAATTCCTCATGAGATGTATCCTGTTTCTCCCACCCCCCATGTGGAACAGGACCACCTGGGAATGAGTTTTCCTGATGACATGGGACTAAACTCCTGAACATAACTGAAGCCAAAACTGTTTGAGTTCACCTACAATGCTTTCTTTGAAAGGTCTTGATGAAAAGGGGGGAAATGAGAAAAAAAATAGGTCAGAACAGTCTGAGCCATGTGAGGTATGCAAAAATCTATTTGGCCCAGAGGTACATGAGTATGGAACTTCATCACGTCCTACCCCTGCTCCCCACATCCATTCCCAGGGACAATTGTTTAAAGGCATTTTGTTCCTGACTAGCCCCTTCCCCCATTATCTTTTTGTTTGTTTGTTTGTTTGTTTGAGACAGAGTCTCACTCTGTCACCCAGACTGGAGTGCCCTGGCGTGATCTCGGCCCACTGCAATCTCCGCCTCCCAGGTTCAAGCGATTCTCCCGCCTCAGCCTCCTAAGTAACTGGGATTACAGGTGAGCGCCAACACTCCCGGCTAATTTTTTTGTATTTTTAATAGAGATGGGGTTTCACCATGTTGGCTAGGCTGGTCTTGAATTCCTGACCTCATGATCCGCCCACCTCAGCCTCCCAAACTGCTGGAATTACAGGCTTGAGTCACCGCACCCAGCCTAATTTTTGTATTTTTAGTAGAGATGGGATTTTACCATGTTGGCCAGGCTGGTCTCGAACTCCTAACCTCAGGCGATCTGCCCGTCTCAGCCTCCCAAAATTCTGGGATTACAGGTATGAGCCACCACTCCCAGCCCCCATTATCTTCATGTTCCTGGAATTTGTGACACAAAGAACAATGTATAATCAATCAGTAGCTTGTGTTACCTTAATGTAAATTATTGGTTTACATTACAATTTAGGAACTGCTCTTCTTTTTTCCTTTAAAAATTCACTTTCAGAATAAGGATCATTGAACTACCAAAAAATAAAAATAATAATAAACCCACTGTGGCCATAATCCCAGCACTTTGGGAGGCTGAGGCAGGATTGCTTGAGGCCAGAAGTTTGAGACCAGACTGGCCAGCCTAAGAAGACCCCATCTCCACAAAAAATTTTTGAAAAGTAGCTGGGCATGGTGGCACTTGCCTGTAATCCTGGCCATTCAGGAGGCTAAGGTAGGAGGATCACTTGAGCCCAGGAGTTCAAGGTTACAGTGAGCCATGATTATGCCACTGCACTCCAGCCTGGGAAAGACCCTGTCTTTAAAAAAGCTAAAAATTAAAAATAAACCCACTTGTAACGGCTGCTAATCAGAGTGTATATTCAGGATAACTTGAATCTTTGCTCCT
The DNA here is from genome assembly GCF_000001405.40 of Homo sapiens. Lineage (NCBI taxonomy): Eukaryota > Metazoa > Chordata > Mammalia > Primates > Hominidae > Homo > Homo sapiens. The sequence continues at coordinate 52,704,150 of NC_000004.12, forward strand.
GGGTGGCCACCCTCAAACTTTGAGCTCAAATAAATTCTATACTTAAAAATATTTTTTGAATCTTGTTATTTAAAGTTGACAACACACACACATACACACACACACACACACACACTCACACATACACACGTATGTCTATGACTAAATGCTGAATCTTTGGCCAGGGAACTAACCCAAATTACCACATCTTTGTTATGGGACATGCCATCTGTTTTTAGCCATTGATTTTACTATTACAGCAGAGTGTAGCCTATCTGCTTCACAATCAGTTAAAAGTCCAATTTCTTCCCCAAGTTTCACCTGCATGACAGATAACTCTCTTGCCAAATGATAATTGGGACTTGAAAAACATTTTGTTTTAATTGAGTTCAAGCAAGCAAATCATCTTGGCTAGGCATCAAAAATCCTGGACACCCAAAAGCTAGAGAGATTAAAAACATTTTTTTTCTTTTTTTTTCTTTTTTTAACACACCTATTTTCCAAGTAAAAAACTATTCTCTTTAGATTATCGGTATTGAGGAGGTTGGTTATAGTACCCTCTTTATAAAGACCCACGGAAGAAATTTCTTTCAGGAATATTTGTGTTTCTCTTGAGTGTCATTTTTTTTTTCTATTTTCTGATGTTTTACATTGACTGCCAGGCAGCTCAGAGCAAAATTTTTGGCCTTCCTCCAGCAAGTATTCCCCATGGTTTTATTTTGTGTACTAGCCCTGGACTTTAATCATATTTTCCCTGCACTCCAACTTTCTCACTGTTCTTTGAAAATCTCATTGTAATGTATTTGTGTAAATTACACTCAAATCCTTTTTGGACTAAACTGGGCTGTAAATAATAAATAAATGACCAGGTGCGATGGCTCACACCTGTAATCTCAGCACTTTGGGAGGCTGAGGCAGACGGATCACTTGAGGTCAGGAGTTTGAGACAAGCCTTTCCAATATGGTGAAACCCCGTCTCAATTAAAAATACAAAAATTAGCTGGGTGTGGGGGTTCCTCCCTGTAATCCCAGCTACTTGGGAGGCTGAGGCAGGCGATCGCGTAAACCCAGGAGGCAGAGTTTGCAGTGAGCCGAGATGGCACCACTGCCCTCCAGTCTCCGCGACAGAGAAAGACTCTTTCTCAAAACAAAAACAAAAACAAAAACAAAACGCAATGAATAAATAATAAATCACAAATAATCATCAATAAATACAAAAAGTAGAAATTAAAAAGCACAAATAAATTGCAAATACAAGTTGTTTTCAAGTTCTTGGTTAACTCCATTTCACTATTAACATGTACTACTTCCCTCTCCCTTTATACAGGGATATCTGAAGCTCTCTTCTGATATTTATCAACGATAAATATGCTGGTTTTTTACCACGCAAATGAAATTAAATTAGAGAGGGTAGAACTAAGGGGGGTTTAGTTTTGTTATTAGGGCTTTCCAACATTGGGGAAAAAAAGTGACTTAAATGCAGGTCTGAAGAAGACATTGGGATTAATGTGTTTGTGTGCAAGACTAAAAAAGAGGACGAGCATGTGATGTATATTTATCCCAAAGAGGGTGGAGAAAGGTGGCATTAAACTGTTCCTAGATGACTTCTCAGCAGCTTTATTGTCCAGAGAGCTTTGTGGCTGCTCAGAGTGTACAAATGGCAATTTTTATTTTGAGTTTGTGGACGTCAGGAAACCTTTCTGCCCATTGACCCCTCATCTCTGAATCTCTAAAACCAATCTTATGTTATATAGTGGAGGTTCCTGGGGCTCAGAAGCAAGCTTCCCTACCCCCAACTCCCCGTATTTGGCTGAGACCTTCTGTCTAGTTCTGGAAACTGGATTTTTCTCCTAGTGACCTATCAGGTCACTTATAGTCCTACCTGCTTTCAACAAGCTCACCCCACAGCAGAGGTCAGGTTGTTGAATCTCAGTTTGGTGGCTTGGGCCTCTCTTTCTGCTACTGTTCTTAGATAGCACAGACCCAGGAATTCAACAGCTGGCAACCCATTCCCACCTCTGCCTGTTTTTCAGCACTCAGTGGGTACCTCTTCTTGGGCAAGTTATTCAATATCTCTGGGTCTCAGTTTCCTATCTGTAAAATGAAGATCATCTAGTACATATATCTCAGTGTTAGTATGAGGAATCAAAAGAGACAATGCAAAAAAAAAAAAAAAAAAAAGCTTAGAACAGTGCCTGGCACAAATACTAGGTGTACAGTAAACTGGGCCGTTGCTGATGATTAAGGAAGAAGCCCTTGTGTAAGCATGGAGTTTCCTCCTTAGCTGTGCTGTGCTAAGGATGGTATTAAAGGATAGCCAACAATTCCCCTTTCTAGAGCATCTGAGCAGCCAAGGTAGATTTACCCTAAAACTGTTGAAGTAAAGTTTAGGTGTCAATTTCTTTATTTGCATGGGCCTCACCTAGGGCCCAAGAGGGGCTCTAACAATGTGTCCATGGGGTTGCATATTTTTGTAAAATTTTGCATTGTTTCTTTTAAGAAGAAGGACCACCCAAATTGTATAAGCTTTCACACCTCACAAAGGCTGGCTCCATTCCGGTATCCAAGTCACATGACACCTCTGGAGCCGCCAATACATGAGGTGGGTGCTGCCAGTAGTAGATTGATAAATAGATATAGAATTATAAATATGATCATACATGTACAAAAGGATGATTTGCAACACTGAATTTTGGGCCGGGCACAGTGGCTCATGCCTGTAATCCCAGCACTTTGGGAGGCTGAGGCAGGTGGATCACGAAGTCAAGACATTGAGACCATCTTGGCCAACTTGGCGAAACTCGTCTCTACTAAAAATACAAAAATTAGCCAGGCGTGGTGGCGGGCGCCTGTAATCCCAGCTACTCAGGAGGCTGAGGCATGAGAATTGCTGGAACCTGGTAGGCAGAGGTTGCAGTGAGCCCAGATCGTGCCACTGAACTCCAGCTCTAGCGACACAGCAAGACCACGTCTCAAAATAAATAAATAAATAAATAAATAAATAAATAAATAAAATAAAACACTGAGTTTGTTACTTATTTAGATAAGCCAACTTGTTTTAAAATAAAGAATATAAATTTCCTTCTATCTTTAGAATTGAATTGGAACTTGTACAATACCCTTAATAATAATAATTTGATCTAACCCCCCAAAATGCCTCCCTCACCTTGCTGCTTAATCAAATTTCACAACATCCTGTTATTTTTGCAAATTAGTTACTGTGCAGAATATAAACTATGTCTTGGCTCCAGGCTATGTTGTCTCCTCTATTCATTCTGGTGGCTTTTTGGGCCTTACCCTACCACCAGAACTCTATACCCTATAACTGACTTCCACAGCTGAGCACACTAAGATCTGCAGAAATTGCATCCCATAGCTCAGCAAAACACATTTTGCCATGAATTTAAAATAACCTCTCAGGTAATTGTCATCTTTTTTTCAGTAAAGAAAAAATTGCCAAAATTTAGAAAAGAAATACAATAGCCAAAAAATGAAAACATTCGTTCTTAATAGAATATTTGATAGAACAAAACCTTGATGCTAAGGACCAAACGAGATGTCATCTGAGTCACCCAACATATCCATATACTTCTGCAGATGCTTCTAGTGATTCCAGGTGACCTTCTCTGTACACCTAAGGCCCCTTTTCAGACTCCAGCCCTAGCTAGGAGTCAGGCAGGGGATGGAGAAGAGGTGATTGTCGTGGTGCTAGGACCATGTCTGCTGTGGGGGTGGGAGGGTAGACACAGGAGACAGCAGTGGAGGCATCACAAGAGATCATTCTTCTGCTTTCAGGTTGGTTGTTGCCTATGCCATGCCTACTGCCCGCTCTTGTGTTGTAGACAAGGGAGTGTCTCTAACTGTGGAAGGTGGGGGCTCTCCTTTTTTGTAAAACGCTATACTTTATTCCGATATCGTGTTCTTGAAGTTACTTACAAAAGGCTAATATAGCCCTTATTTTGTTTTCTGTAATGAAAATTATTATATCAGTAATACATGCTCTTTGTAAAGAATTTGAATGATACCTCAAAAATATTTTTAGAAAGTAAGACACATGAAATCCCATCACCTTGAGAGAAATACCACTGACATTGTAGTAACCATATTTTCACACACACACACACACACACACACACAAACTATACTTGTACATGTATATACATAGAATACTATACATATATACATACTATACTATAAATATATACATAGTATGTATGTATTTATATTATATAGCTACATACATATAGTTATTTAAGATTACAAGATACAAGTGGTTTTATCATAGATATTTTCTCCTTCCCTCTCACTCCTCTCCCCCATATCCTTCATCCCCTACCCTCTGGATTACCATATTAACAGCAGGTTGTGAGTGTAGATAGGTCTAGGGATAAGTAGGAGTTAAGGAAAAAAGAACAGGTGACAGGCAGCCCAGACGAAGAGAACACCACATGCAAAGGCAAGGAAGCAAGAGCTTATTAGAGCTGTGGCTCTTGAAACTTTAATGTGCATACAGATCACCTGGGGATCTTGTTGAAATATAGATTCCGAATCAGCAGATCTGGGATGAGGCCTGAGATTATGCATTACTACAAGTTTCCAGGGAATGCCCAGGCTGATGGACCACGCTTTGAGAAGCAAGGATGTAAACTATTGTGCAGTTCAATGTAGTATCTACCAGCCACATGTGACTTTTATTTTTATCTATTTATTTATCTTAGATGTCTTGCTCTGTCACCCAGTCTGGAGTGCTGTAGTGCCATCATAGGTCACTGCAGCCTTGAATCCTGAGCTCAAGTGATCCTCTTGCCTCAGCTGCCTGAGTAGCTGGGACTACAGGCCTGTTCTGCCATGCTTGGCTAATTTTTTTTTTCTGTAGAGATGGAGTCTTGCTATATTGCGGCAGCTGGAGTGCAGTGGCTATTCACAGGCACTGTCTGAGCACACTGCAACCTCAAACTTCTGGCCTCAAGGGATCCTCCCACCTCAGACTTCTGCCCACGTAGCTGGGATTATAGGCATACCACCACCAGGCCCAGCATGACTATTTAAATTTAAATTAGTTAAAAGTAAATGAAGTTTAAGATCCAGGTCTTGTGTTGTGCTAGTCACATTTCAAGTACTCAATAGCCACATGTGGCTACCATACTGGACAGCAGAGATATAGAACATTTCCATCACTGCAGAAAGTTGTATGGGAGAGTGCTGGACAGCATTCAGGGGACTGCCATTAGTTCAGCATGGTTGGATTATAATAGGTATGTGGGAAGTGAGAGGAGGAAGTAGATAGGTGGAGGTTGGTTTTGTTTCTGGTGGCAGTAAAGAGCCATTTAACAATTTCCAATGGAGATGACAGCAGTGTGGAAGAATTCATGGGGAAGGGAACACTGGAGACAGGGAAGCTGAATGAAGGTGGAGGCTACTGCAGTGGATGATGCTGAAAGTAAATGATGGAGCTAGAACTAAAGTACAAGCAAGGGCTGGAAAGAAGAGGCAGAGTCATGGTGGTCAATAGGAAGAACTGCCCGCATGGAAGAAGATGAGGAAGTAGGAGGCTGAGAAATGGAGGAGGAGACTGAGAAAGGAAAGCATTTGCGCTAAGTCCTGGACAGCTGGGCTAAGGAATTGTTATTCTTCAAGACAGAGGACACAAAAAGGAAGTGGAGGGGTGGAAGAAGAGAATAAATTCTGGGCCAAAAGAGTGATTTTGTGGTGTCTCTGGGAAATCCAGCTGAGAATATCTGGAGGGCTGGTGGGTATTCTTCTAGGTCCCTTTATTCAACTTCCGACAGATTAAATTTGGAGAGACTGAACTCCCTCAAATTGGACAGATTGGCCAGTCGTGGTGGCTCACATCTGTAATGCCAATGCTTTGGGAGGCTGAGGTGGGAGGATCACTTAAGCCTAGGAGTTGGAGCCTGACCCGTGAGCTATGATTGTGCCACTGCACTCTAGCCTGAGTGATAGAGTAAGACCCTGTCAAAGGGAAAAGAAAGGGAGAGGGAGAGAGACGAGAGAGAGAGCAAGAAAGAGAGAGAGAGAGAAAAGAAAAGGAAGGAAGGGAGGGAGGGAGGGAAAGAAAAGAAAGAAAGAAAAGAAAGAAAGAAGGATTGATTAGACATACTAATTTCTCTAAAAAAATTAGGCCTAATAATAAACCCAATTGAAACAATTCTCTTTAAACTGCATTATAAGGATTTTTAGTACCAAATATATATTATCTTGAACCTAACTCAAAAGCAATTATAAATCAGTTTATTTTGTTCTATTGTCTCTGTATTTAATAGACATTTCTCCTCTAAGCCCAGTGAACAGTTTTACTATTTCGAATGAACTGTTTGTAAGTTCATTGAATTGAGGTATTTGGCCAGAAATGTGAAGCCTTCAGATTAAGGTGAATTTCTCTTAAATCAAACACAAATATAATTCTTTCATAATTCCTTCCCATTTTTATCCCCTGATTTGGGGAGGAGGGAAGACATTCTGCACAACTACCCCCAGCCCCTGCTAGGTTGCTGCTGAATTCCTGCATTAGTCTCTTTACTAAGGAGATTTACTTCTCTTTTCCTATATTTTCCCATGTTGCCTGACCACATGCATTGCCATAGTTAAAGGAAAGGTAATATCTCTCAGCTATCCAAAGGGACTATAAAAAGAACAGATTCCAACTAGAGATATGTTTGGAAGACTCTTGAGAAAGGTGAAGGGACAACAAACTGGTATTCACTCTCCAATTTCAACAAGATCCTATGAATATCTGCAAGATGATGACTAGGTGCTAGGGTTTATTGGTAAATTTTACTCAACTTCTTCTTCCCACCAAAACCACCTTAATCACACCCGAAACCACACCCTACATCAGATCCTATCATTCCCCTGTTAAAACACACACACACACACACAACAAACAAACAAAACACTTGAACAGCTTTCCATCATTCTTAGCACAAAGTATAAACTCTTTCACAAATACAAAAATTAACCAGGCATGGTGGTGCATGCCTGTAATCCCAACTACCCGGGAGGCCGAGACGAGAATAGTTTGAACTTGGGAGGTGGAGGCTGCAGTGAGCCAAGATCGTGCCACTATACTCCAGTCTGGGCAACAGAGCGAGACTCCATCTCAAAAACAAAACAAAACAAAAAAACTCTTCCAGGGTTTCCTGCATGGTCTGGCCCCAAGCCATTCTCATCTCAGGCCACTCTGCTCCTTAAGTTCCATTTCTGGGAGTCCTTAAACAGGTAAAGCCCTTTCCTGTTTTATCTTGGGGCTCTGGACGAGTTGTTCTTTCTGTTTACAAAGCCACACCCCACCAGAGCTGCCTGTCTTGATCTGTTAACCAAGTGTAGGCTATTTTTTGGTTTCCCTTCCTGCTCCACCCCCAACACCTGGGGAAAGGCTAGGTAGCATGTTGTTTGAGGGGCTCTGCCTTCAGGCTGCTTGAGTTCAAATCCTGGATCTACCACTGGCTAGCTGCTCTGTGACTTTGGGCAAGTTACATAACATAATTATTTCCCCATCTATAATTTGGAGATGATTAAATATATTTTGAGGATTAGATTTGTTAGCAGATGGTAAGTACGTGAAACAGCAATAGAAGTTCTCCTTTTAGCATATACTCCAATTTTCTTCTACTTATTTGTTTGCCAAGTTTGAGCCTGTTACCTTGAGATTGCTATGGTTGCCTTCTCAACCTCCCCAACTCCTACCCTCCAGCTGATTATGGTCTACTTATTGGACTCTGTAAATGAATAAAGAGGGAGCATGAGGAAAGGAGGTAGTCCTTCTAGCTTTAGGAGAGGCCACGGGAGTGAGCTTGTTGAACAAGACATGGTCGTGGCTTCTCTTTAAGCTTACGGTTTAGGCGGACACAGATGATGAACACACACCGGATTAGTGTGGCTTTAAGAAAGGGAATCCCAGGGCCTTAGGCCAACCCTGGAGTAACCTCGATGCCCTCTCCAGAAGGGCACCCGAGGAAGGGTCTAGGGCCCAAGAGCACCAAAATCACCAACGCCGGGGATTGGTAGGTAGCCTGAAAAATCTAATTCAGAGAAGGATGCTCCGCGCGCAGACATGGCTTATCCCCGTGCTACTGCATGAGCCACACCTAGGCCGGCCCCGGACACCGACAGCCAATGGCCGGGCCCGTCCCGCCCCATCCGGGATTGGCTGTGCGTGCCGCGGCCCTCCACCCCGCCCCGCTCAGGATCTTCCCGGGATTGGCTGAGCTACCCGACCTCTCCAGGGGATCGGCTGCGCGCCCCGCCCTTGCCCAGAGTCTTCCCGGGATTGGCTGCGGGCCTCGCGACCCTCCTGCTTCCCTCCCCGCCCCGCGCCGCCTCTCTGGTTTGTGCGCCCGTCGCAGGTCGCAGGCCTCTTTGTCAGCTGGAGTTGCGCGGTGAGTGCATCTCCAGTCTTCGGCTTTCGGTCTCCCGCGGGGAGGGCGCCCGGCCGGCCCGTGGGTCCGATCAGGGGCTGGGCTCGCCCGGTGTCCCCACGAGCTTTGCCCGCCTCGAGCTCCTCTGCTCCCGGCGGCCAGAACGGAGGGGTAGAGCAGCCCTCGGCGGCCCGGGGGGCGGGCGGCGGTGCCCGTCCCGGGGCTGCGCGAGGCACAGGCGCCGCGCCCAGCGGAACAGCCGGAGGTTCCCGGCGCAGGTCTGGGCACCGTAACAATTTTGCGCTTTGCTTCCCCAGGGCTGACGCGCCACTATGTAGCGGGTTTCGGGCGGGCCACGCGTGCGGGACAGGAACCCAACCCCAGCCGACCTTGAGCTCCAGGAGTTCGTCTCTTACGTCTGCGGAAGTGCAGCTGCCTCAGTTCTTAGCGCAGGTATGTTCCTAGCCTTGAGCGGGGTGGGGGAAGGAATGAGTCAGCCTGGAGCACGTGGCCAGTGGGACCGGAGGGTTCCCCGGCGTCTGTTTGTCGCCAAGGTCCGAATCCGGCTCCCCTTAACTGGAAGGAAACATCCATGTAGGGGCTCACCAAACAAAACAGCTGTGTTTCTAGTGTGGTTTCAGACTTAGAGAAGCAGAGATCCACGAGGTATTGAGAGCAACGCGGAAAATAGTAGTGAACCCTGTAAAAATCAAAGAAAAAAAATCACAAAGCACCCTTTCCTGTGCCCTTTTAAGGTTGACCCAGTGCTTTAAGAGGCTAACACAGAAGGGTAAAGTAAGTCTCCATAAAACCCAGAGAAGAGACTGGAAAGCTCCTCTTTGGATCCTGTCTGGAGTCACAACTGAACCAGAAAAAGTTTCGTTACAACTTGAGCGCCTTTGTGATTTTCTTTACAGTTTATAGAACAAGCAATACATTTCAGTTTTCTTTGGTTAAAACGTCATTTTAAAACTTTTCTTTCTATAGGTTGACAACTACAGGCACAAGCCATTGAAGCTGGAATGTCCTGTTGCTGGTATTTCAATTGACTTAAGCCAACTATCCCTTCAGTTACAATAGGAAAGTGCCTCTAATAAGGCCAAATATGCGTACTAACTTGTAGCAACCACGTGTCCGTGCAGTGCCACAGGAGCTAGAGCAGTGACAATGCTGGTGGCAACAGGGCAGTGTAGCAGGTGCTTCATGTTCACCTTTTCAACCTTTTCATTTAATTGTCACAACTCGGAGGTGGATTCTGTTAGGGACAGGCTGCCCCAGGACCACTCCGCCCCCGCTAACTCAATGCAGCTGACCCTTACCCTGAATACTCTGCAGCTGCATTCCTGAACCGTTATCTAGGCGCTATAGCAAGGTCACCAGACTTGCTACACCGAAGCCCTCTGGGTGGCACGGGGGAGGTCATGAGAAACGTGGATTACACCCCCTTGTAAATTCCTATTTTCACAAGATAATATATTGTAAGCCGGTCATGAGATTATATGTGGTAAAGTTAATTGACTAACAACCCCAGGGTCTCTCTCCCCCATATAAACCCCTCATTTTGTAAGCTCAGGGCTGCCACCTCCGACTGGTGGAGAAGCCTGGCAGGTTAATAAACTTACTTGGCCTGACCTTGGGTCTCTTGTCTTTTCTCTCGGCTAACCTTACAGATTCTATTCTCCCATTTCACAGGTAAAGAAATGGATTAGTGATAACTCAAGTTTCATCACCTGTGAGTATCTCTGAATGAGAGGCTTCACATGTATAACTTTTAGGCAATGTGACTTCTGGAAAGTCACTTGTCTCTTGAGATTTGGTGTCCTGGTGTAACAGTTAAGAATTATTTCAACCAAACTAGGAAAGGACCACAGTCGAGCTGTTAAGAATATAAACTCTTCATATTATTTCATTGCATTGAGCCTAAGAAGGTTCACAAAATTTGGCACAGAAGGAGTATCTGTCAGCATATTCTGTTTTTTTGTGTGTGTCTATGTAGCAAGTATTAATATTTATCTTGGAGTCATTCTTAATTCATAGCATTGTTCTTACCTTTTTATCTAAACTTTTATGTTCCATATTGTAAAGTCTAGCCTCATAAATTTAGGTAATTGCTCACAAGTTTGGATAATGTTGAATTGTAATCCCGATGTTAGAGGAGGGGCCTGGTGGGACGTGATTGGATGAAAAGGGTGGATTTCCCTCTTGCTGTTCCTTGTGATAGTGAGTTCTCATGAGATCTGGTTGTTTAGATGTGTAGTGTGGCTGGGGCAGTGGCTCATGCCTGTAATCCCAGCACTTGGGAAGGCCAAGGCAGGGGGATCACTTGAGGTCAGGAGTTAAGACTATCTTGGGCAACATAGTAAGACCTCGTCTCTACAAAAAATGAGGCAGAAGGATTGCTTGAGCCCAAGAGGTTGAGACTGCACTGAGCCATGATCTTGTCACCGTGCTCCAGCCTGAAAAGAAAAATTAATAAAAATAAAGGTTATGCAATTGTGCACATGTTATCTCAAGGCAGAGGCAGAAGAATGGCAGAGTTTAGATTAAAAGTGTGGCACCTCCCCTTCCTCCTACTCTGGCCATGTGCTTCCTGTTAGACATACCCCATGATTGTAAGTTTCCTGAAGCCTCAGCAGCCATGCTCCCTGTGCAGCCTGCTGAACCATGAGACAAACCTTTTCTTTATAAATTACCCAGTCTCAGTTCTTTATAGCAATGTGAGAACAGACTAGTACAAAAAATACATTCAACTAATGTGTTAGCTGGCTATAATTGCTAAGGGGGTAAGGAAAGGGAGATGACTTAACATGGCCGGCAAGGGAGGCCTCACTCAACATGAAAGAGCTGAGGGAGATGCCATGGCCTTATCTATAGTTGAGGGAAGAGCATTCTAGGCAGAGGGAAAACTAGTGCAAAGGCCCTGAGGATAGTTGTGTTTAAAGGTTTGGAGAAGCAGTGAAGCTGTAGAGAAGTGCCCTTAAGGAGCGGAGGACTTTATGTCTGTAGTAGTGGAAAGTTGGTTATTTTCAAACTATGGTAAAATGGCAACGTGCTCTGGCCTGCGGGGCTCTGAATGTTTTAATTTAATTGGAATGCTCCCTATTGCCTTATACTTTACTGCTCTTAACCTAACTTTTCTCTGACCACCATCAGCCCTTCTATGTGTTCTTGATTTTCTTTAGCACCCTGTAATGGCCCTGTAGCATCAGAACTACATTGCGCATCGCATGCAAACTTACCTAACTGCCTCTGCTTCTCTCCATTCTGTAAAGTCCACCTTAGTTCCCACCATATTACAGAGGGTCTAGTCAGGTGCTTGACCTTTTGTAGGTAAGTGGCTTACAGTCCCCTTCTAAGGGCCGCATAATGTTGAGCCTAGGTTCAAATCTCTGTGTGTGATCTTAAACCTCTTAGTGTTAGGTTCTATTAACAAGTAATTAAAATGAGTTATATGTGGTACATCAGACTACTTGGTAAGTAGTAAATACTCAGCAAATGATATATTAGTTGGTAGTACTATTTAATCATTTTTATAACACCGTATAGTCATAATGTAAGAACAAAATGACAATACTGATATTTAGTACTGTGTGTGTTTCAGCAGCACATCTACTAAAATTGGAACTGATACTTAGTATTTACATAATACTGGAATAGCTCTAATGTTCTTTTAATGGAGCATTAACTATGGGCCAAGTACTATTCTAGGTATCACGAGAATCAGTGAGCAAGTATACAAAAATCAGTGGATATGGTTGGTTTTGACATTTCAGATATTCGATAGCTGCATGTGGCTAGGGGCAGCACAGACATAGAACATCAATATACAGAAAACAACCCCAGAGCCTTAAAAGGCCCTAGCAAGTTCTGTCAGAACAGTGGTCCAGTGAAGTGGGCCAAGAGAATGGCAAGGTTTTCTAGGTACTGTCAAGATGAAAGGTGTAAAAACTGTGTTAAAAGTCTGAAGGCTCTAGCAAATAGTTGTCAAGAATAACCACTGGTTTCACAAAGCACTCCACGGAGTCCTGGTGGTGGTCCTTTGCCCCTTGAGTTACTTGGGCAGAGGCCCTGTAACACGTCCATGGCTCAAAATCCACATGTGGCTAGGGGCAGCACAGACAGAAAACATTTCCATTACTGCAGGGTTTTATTAGCAGTACTGTTGTAGACATTGCATGAATCAACCAACTTTTCAGAAGAGAAAACCTGTCAGAACCTGGAAAGACAGTGTAGTCTGAATGACCGCCTCTCGAGATAATCAGGCCTAATCTCTCGAACCTGTAAATGTTACCTTATTTGCAGATATTAATATAATTAGATTAAGGATCTCAGGATGGGGAGATTACCTTGGATAATCCTAGTGGGCCCTAAATGCGATCACAAGTTCCCTCATGAGAGGGAGGCTGAGGGATATCCACACACAGCAGATTGGAAGATGCTGGCCTTGAAGATCAGAGTGAGGCAGCCCCCAGGAGCTGGGAGATGCCAAGGAACACATTCCCCATCAGAGCCTCCTGAGGAGCATCATTTGATTTGGCTCAGTGAAACTGATTTCTGACTTCTGGCCTTCAGAACTGAGAATAAATTGCTGTTTTAAGCCACCAAGTTATAATTTGTTACAGCAGCCTCTAAGATCACAAATATAGCTGGGGCAAGAACCCCACCACCTCAGCCTTCCTCCCTTGTTTTTATTAGTGCCGTGTGGGTGGTTGGGAGTAGATCCTATGTATATTCATTAGTCCTTTTTATTTTATTTTATTTTATTGAGAGAGTCTCACTCTGTCGCCCAGGCTGGAGTGCAGTGGCGCGATCTCGGCTCACTGCAAGCTCCGCCTCCTGGGTTCATGCTGTTCTCCTGCCTCAGCCTCCCGAGAGCTGGGACTACAGGCGCCCGCCACCACGCCCGGCTACTTTTTTGTATTTTTAGTAGAGACGGGTTTTCACCGTGTTAGCCAGGGTGGTTTCGATCTCCTGACCTTGTGATGCACCTGCCTCAGCCTCCCAAAGTGCTGGGATTACAGGCATGAGCCACCGCGCCCGGCCCATTAGTCATTTTTTAAAGGTATAACCATGAATTTAAAATGTATTTAGACTTTAATCTTGAGATACATGAGCATGTGCATGTGGCTAAAATATGTGGGGTCAGCACATACCTCCTAATAAAGCATTGTGAAAAGTAAGGAATCAATTTATGGTTTATTGGAAAGTCACTTATGCACACTTGTATTTATACAGCACAAGACACCACATTTTAAAAATTCAATAACTGAAGCAAATTAAGACAATAGGAAAAGCATTCTAATTATAATTTTTGCCCTGCGGGCTGTACAGCTTCAGCCAGCAGTGTCCTGGAGGTAATACAAACTGCTAAAGTGAGATAATGTTTTCATAAACCTCAGTTTTGGTTTGTGTTTTAAGAAATGTAAACTTGAATCTCGGCAAGAGAAGGTTCTCAAAATTTGGCACAAAGGGAGCATCTGTCAGCCTATTAGGTGTTTTTGGTGTATGAAACATGAGATGTAAAAGAGGACTTAAAAGGACATAATAGTACTAGTGTCCTTTAAAAATATATATATATATATATCAGCTAGGCACAGCCTGTAATCCCAGCTCTTTGGGAGGCTGAGGCATGGGGACCGCTTGAGGCCAGGAGTTCGAGACCAGCCTGAGCAACAAAGCAAGACCCCATCTCTACAAAAAGCCAAAAACTTAGCTGGGCACAGTCATCTAATCTACTTGGGAGGCTGAGGAGGGAGGATGGCTTGAGCCCACAAGTTCAAGGCTGCAGTGAGACATGACTCACTGCTCTCCAGCCTGGGCAACAGCAAGACCCTGACTCCAGAAAAGTAGTATGACTAATGAAACCAGTCTTCCCAGGGTCAGCTACCACAAGGCTCTGACTTAAGTCCTTGCCACTAGGTTGCAATAATACTAATTCTGAATTACGGGATACTACACTTAAACAGCACTATACTAGAGACTGAGAAGGAAATTGGGGCAAAGAACCTAAGTTTTTTAATGAGAAGTTCATATTGAACTCAAATTTATTATGTGATGGAATAACACATGGTTCACCTAGCTCCCTAAACTAACATGTTAATTGACAAAAATACTATCTGAAATCCTTTACATTTTCTAGATGTATCAAAATTTCTTCTGTGTGAAACCATTTTTCACCTATTCTGTGTAAGAATACCTTATCTATATCAACTGACATGAATTACTAATGCTTTTTTATTAAAGTGTTTGAGCAAAACCATCATTTGACTGGACCATGATGTACTTGAGGCTATTCGTGGGCTCACGAATATTCAAGTAATTCAAGCTTTCCTTTATTGAATGCTGTAGAGCTGAAACATAGCATATGAAGGTCAAAACTCAGTCACTTGAAAAGATTGTATATATTGTTTACTTGTTAATACCCTTTGAAACTTCTCAAACTATAGAATCTCATTCTCATGATGAAAGGATCAGACTGAACCCTATTTGCCCTTTATTCTAAATCCTAGAGATGAACAGTTTATATATAAAAATCCATTTAAAAGTGAAATTTAGATTATTTAAAGAACAAAGTATCGTGAGATTCTGAACATAATCAGGTCCTCACGTTTTGGTGGGTGGGAAGAGTGAAAGAGAACAGTGTGTGTGTGTGTGTGTGTGTGTGTGTATATATATATATATATATTTTTTTTTTTTTTTTTTTTTTTTTTTTTTGAGGTGGAGTCTTGCTCTGTCTCCCAGGCTAGAGTGCAGTGGCATGATCTCGATTCACTGCAAGCTCCGCCTCCCAGGTTCACGCCATTGTCCTGCCTCAGCCTCTAGAGTAGCTGGGACTACAGGCGCCCACCACCACGCCTGGCTAATTTTTTGTATTTTTAGTAGTGACAGGGTTTCACCGTGTTAGCCAGGATGGTCTCAATCTCCTGACCTCGTGATCCGCCCGCCTTGGCCTCCCAAAGTGCTGGGATTACAGGTGTGAGCCACCACACCCTGCGAGAACAGTATATTTTTATTTAATGCTTAAACTGCCCACAATTCTTCATTGCTTTTTCTTTCTTAATCGAATCCCTGTTTCCAACATCTGAGCTCCATCTTCCACTCCCAAAAGAAGTTTCATTATTACAAGTTAAATATTTCTGCCCAAGTATGGCCAGTCTCAGACTACTTTTGAGATGTGTCCGTACAGAATAACAATTGCTAGCTCCCTGTTGAAGGTTTAACTGCTTACCCTGCAGGTAACCTGATGAGCTCACTTTGAAGAAATAAGGTAGAAATTCTCCTACAGTTAGTTCCTTACTGTGAGATAACAGTTTGTTCCTCCTAATAAACTGGTTCCATCCTCTTCTTTTGGTCATATCCAGCTCTACAAGTTTCACGCTGTTTAAGTCATGAACCTACAAAAGCCTGTGAAAAAATCTTTGAAGATGCTCAGCTTGTTTCAGTCTGAAATTTCTCCAAGACCAATGAACAAAACAGGATCATGCCCTGAATACACACCCAAGCTGCAGGCTCCTGCTTAGCCCTATTTTGGTTTGGCCTCCATGAGATCTTCAGCCACAATAGCAGGAGATAAAAATCTTCCTAGAAGCTTTCATCAGCTGCAAGTTTTCTTACAGAATGAAACTTTTCTGCTATTTTTCTCATAGTTAATTGGCTATTTGAGAAAACCGAATTTCTGGCTCTCAGCATTTAATTGGATTCTGTGGGTGACTGGATGACCGCTTTGCACATCACCATGGGTATCATCCTTACCTTCTTTAAACCTTTTGTGCCAGTCAAAAATTCTTGCTCTTGATATGTCATCACCGGAAACTACTTTTTTTTTTTGTTTCTCTTTTGTGACAGGGTCTTCCTCTGTCACCCAGGCTGGATGGAGTATAGTGGAACAATCATAGTTCACTGCGGCCTTGGTACCCTAGGCTCAAGCGATCCTCCCACCTCAGCCTCCTGAGTAGGTGGGACCACAGGTGTGTACCACCAGACCTGGCTAATTTTGTTATTGTTGTTTTTTATAGAGGTGGGGGGGTCTCCCTATGTTGCCCAGGCCTGTCTTGAACTCACGGGCTCAAGTGATCCTCCTGCCTCAGCCTCCCAAAGTTCTGGGATTACAGGGGTGAGCCACTGGACCCAGCCAGAAACTACTTTTAACAGTTCTAATTGCCACTTGTCTTGGCTGTATATTCAGAAATAGCCAGATTGGAATTATGGTTTTTTGATTGCTATTGATAGGGAGGTTCAAATGCAATATACCAAAATAGTCTATTTCAGGTGTCTCACTGACATATTTAACTTTACACAAAATTTAATATGAATTCTTTGCTCTAACAGTCAACAATTTTTAGGTCAACAAAAGAATAACTCTATTCACATCTAAGAAAGTTAGTTGGCAACCTTAAAAGCTCTGTTGTAGCCAGCTGAAACATAACCTATTCCAGCAATTTCACAAACTACACAAAGAAAAATTGGTAAATATTTCAACAGATGAGTACAAATAATCTTTGGAGAAGCTGATAAAGATTTCAGTGCTATATCATCTTAGCCTGCTATTTTCCCACCTACAAAAGGGTCGAAAATAAATCAGCTTTTTCTTGTCCAATTAATAGGAAAATGATATATGAAATACTTTAATTATTAGTCGGCACTGTCCCACCCCGAAAGAACCTAAGACTTAAAAATACATCCTAATAACATGTATATTGCCACTTGGCTGTACACTGAAGACTCAGGTATCTACAGTATTTTGTATTCTCTTCCCGATTGCACGATTTTTTCAGTGCTTTGCTTTCAGGGAAAACAGACTCAGGCTGGTCTTTCTTATGGTATTAAGTACAGGCTACTTTAAGATAATTTTGTGGTGTTTGCTAAATTCAAGAAATCAATACAGGCCGGGCGTGGTAGCTCACACCTGTAATCCCAGCACTTTGGGAGGCCGATTCCGGCGGATCACCTGAGGTCAGGAGTTCAAGACCAGCCTGGCCAACATGGTGAAACCCCGTCTCTACAAAATATACAAAAATTAGCCGGGCGTGGTGGCTGGCGCCTGTAATCCCAGCTACTTGGGAGGCTGAGGTGGGATGATCGCTTGAACTCGGGAGGTAGAGGTTGCAGTGAGCCGAGATCGCGCCACTGCACTCCAGCCTGGGCGACAGAGCGACACCGTCTTAAAAAAAAAAAAAAGAATTCAATACATAGTGTCATGTGCCTTTACTGGGGGAATCTCCTTTACCTTTTGGGGAGGCTGATAGGGCTGCTTAAAATATTTGTATTAGGCACTGGAAGATGTAAACGGGACCTTATCCTATTTAAACTCTCTTTAAATTAGCTAGAAATGGGCTGGGAACAACAGGAACCCACCATTTAACTACGGCGGCTAATCCCCCAAGTATGGTAACATACTGTACTGCACCCCCTAAAAGTGTGTTACCAACAGGACCACAAACAAGTTTGCCCACTGTTTTTAATGCAAATGTTCCTTTCAAGATCGCAAACCCTTCAATACACAGGGCCTAATCCAGTCGCGCTTTACTACTACGGGTTACTCCCGCCAACTGGCAGGGGAGCCGCCCCGGGCCCCGCGGAAAAGGCAGGTGCGCGTGAGGGAAAGCATGAGAGCCCGGGCCGCGCCCACCTCGGCCCCAGGCACTACGGGTCCTGCGGGTCCCGCGGGTCCCGGATTCGAGGCGAAGCGGCCCAGAGCCTGCGGCTGCTCAGACCTCCTCACCGCGCCCACCTCCCAGCCACCTCCTGGCTCCAGGTCCAGAGCAGGAGCAGGACTACCGGGGTCCCTGGCACACAAGGAGCAGAAATACCTTGAGGGGCGGGACCAAGTAGCCCAGCGCTGGAGGAAGACCCGCACCCTCGCGGGAGTTCTGAGAGCCTTAGCAGGCCGCGACAACACTGGGAGACGTGTCTGCCAATCACCGGATGGGGGCGGTCCTGGGGGGGGGGTCATGCAATTGGCTAAGCACGGAGAAGCTCTCGTTCCATTGGCCATTTTTCCGGCCTCAAGCCCACCCCTAGGCCTGAATCCCCGTCGCGTTCCGCCGGTCTGCTTCTCGGCCGAAAGGCTGGGGAGGAGGAGAGGAAACGCCTGGGTTAGTTTTGGTTCCTTCTGCTGGCGCTCAGGCTGCTGGAAGAGTCCTAGACCTTCACCCGTGGTCCCTTGGGCCCGTTTCACGCCCACGTTCTGACATGTCCTGTGGTATTCTGTACCTCTGCCTTCTACCCTGTGTCCCACGCTGATCCATCCTAGGCAGGGAGAAGGCAGCGTCGCAGGGACAATGCCAAAATCAAGATATTTCTCTTAGAGCTTTCTAATATTAATACCTTATGTCTAGGTATGGTATACAATAAGCATATATATATTTTATAAATCTAAAACCACTCCCCCTCATTAAATCATCAAACTAGTCCCAATGAAGTAGGTACTGTTATTCCTTATTTTTCAAGCAAGGAAACATGAGCAGGAGGATTTAGTGATCGGCTCACGTCCTGTCATGTTTACTTCCTAAATATCAGCTGTATCCTGTCCTCATTCCTATTCCCTTGCTCTAATTCAGACCTTCATAATTGCTTGCCTGGATTAGTTCTACAAATAGCTCCCAACTCCTTTCCCGGTCATCCTCCAAAGCCAAAGATTAATCTTCCTAATGCAAATCTGATTGTGTCTCTTAAACCCTTCTCAAGCCTCTCAAATGTCAACTCCTTCTGTGGCACCTCATTGCCTGTAGGTTCTGGCAGAGACTGCTTTTTATTGAAATATAACATGACCACAGATGAGTACACAAAAATGCACATTCGGCTGAAATTTCACAAACTAATCACAGTCCTGCCACCAACAACTAATTTAAGAAACAGAACATGGCGGGGCGTGGTGGTTCATGCCTGTAATCCCAGCACTTTGGGAGGCCGAGGTGGGCAGATCGCTTGAGGTCAGGAGTTTGAGACCAGCCTGGCCTACATGGTGAAACCCTGTCTCTACTAAAAATACAAAAATTAGCTGGGTGTGGTGGCACACGTCTGTAATCCTAGCTACTCCGGAGGCTGAGGCAGGGGAATCGCTTGAACCCGGGAGGTGGAGGTTGCAGTGAGCGAGATCATGCCACTGCACTCCAGCCTGGGTGACAGAGCTATACTACATTAAAAAAAAGAAAAAAAGAAATAGAAAGAAAGAGAGAGAGAAAGGGAAGGAAGAAAGGGAGGGAAGGAAGGAAGGAAGGGAGGGAGGGAGGGAGGGACGGAGGGAGGGGAAAGAAACGAAGAGAAAGAAAGGAAAGAAAAGAAGGGAAAGAAAGGAAAGAAAGAAAGAAACAGTACACCAGAAGTATTTCCTTCCGGTAGCTAACCACTCCTTTTCACCCAAAGGTAACCGCTAGCCTGACTTCTAACAGCATAGAGCAGTATCCTTGTGTTTGTGCATTATATACATGTGATTTTTTGTGTCTGGTTTCTTTAACTCACTATGATGGTCATGAGGTTCATCCATATTTTGAGTATAGTCACAGTTTGCTCATGAGAATGCTGCAGTGCAGTCCATTTTGTGAATATACCACAATTTATGTATTCAACCAATTGTTGATAGGCATTGGAGTAGTCTACATTTTGGAACTATTAAAAATATTGCTGCTATGAACATTGTAATAAACGTCTTCTGATGAACATGATAAAAGATGATTGCATTTCTGTTCGGTGTATACCTACAAATGGAATTATTGGATCATAGGTTATATACCATGTTCAAATTTAGTAGATATTAAATATTTTAAAACAGTTTTTCAAAGTGTTTGAGCCAATTTACACTTATCAGCAACATATGAGTATTCCAGTTGTTCCACATTCTCATCAACACTTGGTATTTTCCATCTTTTTTCATTTTAGCCATTTTGGTGGGTGATAATTGTGCTTCAGGTGATTTTGATTTGCAGCTCCCTGATGATTAATGAAGTTGAGCACCTTTTCATCTCTTTATTGGCTATTAAGAAATAACTTCATGAAGTGTCTGTTAAAATCTGTGCCCATTTTTAGTGTCTTTTAAATTTGTATTTTCCTAACATTTGATTATGAAAAATTTCAAATATTTAGCAAAGTTTAAAGAGTTTTACAATAGCGTCTGTAAACTTACCACATAGATTATTCTACCATTAACATTATATAACACTCACTTTAGGATATTTCTACATTTACCTGTATCTATCTTAATGTTGTTGCATTTCAAAGTAAATTGCAAACAGCAATACATATTTGGCCATTTAAATATTAATATTTCAGCATGTATATCATTAACTAGAATTTAATACTTCAGGTTTCTTTTGATGTAAAATTTACATGAAATGAAATGCACAAATCTTTAGTGTATATATTTGCTGAGTTTTGACAAATGCATTCATTTGTATAACCCAAACTTCTATCAAGTATAGAACATACTATCACCCCGGAAAGTCCTTCATGCTCCCTACCATTTCCACTTTCCCAGGGACAACCAATGTTCTAATTTTTTTCCTCACTGTAGATTAGATTTGCCTGTTTCAGAAGACCATATAACTGGAATCATACAGTATGTTCTTCTGTATAAGGCTTCTTGCACTCAGCATGCTGTGTTTGAGATTTATTCATATTGTTGCATGTGTCAATAACTTATTCCTCCTTATTTCTGAGTACTATTCCATTGGATGAATATATCACAGCTTGTTTATCCATTGTAAGAAGATTTTTAAAAATGACTTTATTGAAGTATGATTGGCATGCTAAAAAGCTATACATATTCAATGTACACAACTTCATAAGTTTGGAGATAAGTGTACACCCTTAAAACCATCAGCACAATCTATGCCATGAACCTAATCCATCACCTCCAAAAGTTTTCTCCTGACCTCTTTATTATTATTATTGATAATAACCCTTAACATGGGGGGAGGGAAAGAGAGGGAGAAAAGTTGGAAAAACTGTTGGGTACGATGCTCAGTACCTGGCTGAAGGGATCATTTGTACCCCAAACCTCAGCATCGCGCAATATACCCAGGTAACAAGCCTGTACATGTACCCCTGAGTCTAAAATAAAATTTGAAAAAAATAAAATAAATTTAAAATAACACAATGTAAGATATATCCTCTTAGCAATTTTTTAAGTATACAGTATTATGTTTTTGTTTTTAGAATTCTAAATATTCATCCTTTGTCAAGTATATATGTCACAAATATTTTCCCCCATTTGGTTACTTTTCATTCTTTTAATGGTATCTTTTGAAGAAAACTTTAATTTTGAAATATTCAATTCATTAGTTTTAACATTTAGTGTTTTTTGGTTTTATTTAAGAAATCTCTGCCTACTCCAGGTTATAAAGTTTCCTCCTGTTTTTTTTTTTTTTTTTTTTTTTTTTTTTTTTTTTTTTTTGAGACGGAGTCTCTCTCTGTCACCAGGCTGGAGTGCAGTGGCGCAATCTCGGCTCACTACAATCTCCTCCTCCTGGGTTCAAGCAATTCCCCTGCCTCAGCCTCCCAAGTAGCTGGGACTACAGGTGCACACCACTATGCCCAGCTAATTTTTGTATGTTAGTAGAAACATGGTTTCACCATGTTGACCAGGATGGTCTCCATCTTCTGATCTTGTGATCCACCTGCCCCAGCCTCCCAAAGTGCTGGGATTACAGGCATGAACCACCACGCCTGGCCCCCCAAAAGCTTTAATGTTTTAGTTTGCTCATTTAGATCTGCAATCCATTTGGAATTGATTGTTGTGAATAGGGACATAGAGGTAGGTCCAGATGCCTGTTGTTTCTATGTGGATAGCTAATTGATCCAGCATGTTTATTCAAAAAATCCATTTTCCCACTTGCAATTGTCGTAAGTCAAGTGACCACGTATGTGTGGTCCTGTCTCCTGACTCTGTTTTGTTCTATCAGTTGGTTTTTCTACCTTTACAACAATGCCAAACTGACTTCATTACTTAGCTTTATCGTAAGCCTTAATAGTGTATCAGTGAACCGAATTTTCAATGTAATTAAATTTAAATTTAAATAGCCACCTGGCTATTGGCTACTGTATTGGACAGCACAGATATAGAACATTTCTATCCTGGCAGAAAGTTCTGCTGGATAACACTGTTCTAGAAAGCATGTAGAAGGCAATACCAGATGCTTCATTTCATAGCTGCATGCCGGGCTGCTCTTCAAAAATATATATGTAAAACCTTTTTTCAAAAACTCAGAACACAGCCTCCTATAGTTACGACACCAATTCTTTTAACCTTGCACTTTTTGCAATACAAATACTATGTCAGGTGCAGGAGAGCTTAGTGAGTTGGGAAACATTTTCTTTGATCAGACACCAAAAAATAGTAGCCCCAAATCATAGGAAAAGATTCCTGCTGAATTACCATTACTTGTAGTTCGTTACCTGCTCTCATCCAAGGTCACACTTAATTCTCTTACTGCTCCAGGAAAGCCCTGGGCTGTCACTAGCTGTATTTGAGAGAGCTTGCCTTCAGACTTGCAATCAGGGGTCTGAGTCAGATCTGGCTCCTGTAAGGGATTCCTCAAGCCATATGGTCCTAGTCTATCCATGACACTGTAGACTTGTGACTGTAAAATGATGCATTGTACTTATTTTATCCTTGAGATGTTACTTGAGAAATTGTGTGTATTTATTTCTCCCTATAATGTTTGTATTTGATAACTATTTCTTTTCCAATGTTTTGTGTTTTATACTACTGTGATGGCTATTTTATCATCAATTTCCAGACTGCAGTCTAGCCCAGGGCTTTATTTTTATTTTTAGAGACTGGATCTCGCTGCACTCCACCCAGGCTGGAGTGCAGTGGTGCAATCATAGCTCACTCCAACCTCAGCCTTCTGTAGCCTAGGGCTTTAGGCACGATCTAAATCTCCATTGGGCAACAAAATGTTTGTGGAGCACTTACTCTGTGAGAGGCACTATGCAAGGCCCTGAGCAGATAGATGACAAATAACAGATCACTGTTACCATTGAGCATCTACTATAGTCCAAGCTCTTGTATTTGTTATTTTTCATGATCATAACAACTCTGCAAAGGTAAATGTTGCTTCTTCATTTTCAAGATGATAAAGCTAAGGTTGTGGAGTGGGGGGGAGTCAAACTCCTGTAGATAGTAAGTGCTGGAGCTGAGATTTAAGCTATGAATTCACCTTACAGAAATGGGCCCTTTGAGAAGACCCTGAATGTGAATGTGGTGGCTGGATCTCTAGCTGCTACCTTGGGCCACAGGGATGAGAATCACATCCTAGACGTTATGGTCTGAATTGTACCTCCCTCAGATTCATAGGTTGAAGTCCTAACTCCCAGTACCTCAGAATGTGATCTTATTTGGAATGTGACCTTTCAGATGTAAATAGTTAAGATGAGGTCGTACCGGAATAGGGTATGACCAACTTGACTGGTGTCCTTATAAAAATGGGAAATATGGACACAGACAGATAAACACAGGAAGAATGTGATATGAACATGAAAATGAAGACAGAGGTACTTCCACAAGCCAAGGAATGCCAAAGGTTCATAGCAAACCCCTGGAAGCTAGAGAGGAGTCAGGGAACAGATTGGTGCTCACAGCCCTAGGAGGAACCAACCCTATTAATAGCTGATCTCAGAATTCTAGCCCCTAGGACTGTGAGAAGATACATTTCTGCTGTTGAAGATACCAGTTTGTAGTACATTGTATGCCAGCCTTAGAAAACTAACACACTAAGGGCTGGGCATGGTGGCTCGCACCTGTAATCCCAGCACTTTGGGAGGCTGAGGCGGGTGGATCACCTGATGTCAGGAGTTTGAGACCAGCCTGACCAACATGGTGAAACCCCATCTCTACTAAAAATACAAAAAATTAGCTGGGTGTGGTGGCAAACGTCTGTAATCCCAGCTACTCAGGAGGCTGAGGCAGGAGAACAGCTTGAACCTGGGAGGCGGAGGTTGCAGTGAGCCGAGATCATGCCATTGCACTCCAGCCTGGGCAACAAGAGCAAAACTCTGCCTCAAAAAATAAAATAAATAAAAAGAAGAAAACTAACACACTAGAGATGGCTGAGAAACTCACACACTAGGATGGCTGAAAAACTCTCACACTTGCGATGGCTGAGAAACACACACACTAGGAATGAAGTGGAAGGAACTTGAGACCCTGAGGATGCTGTGAAGCACAGTCTCCACATCAGCACTGGTCTGAACAAAAATGAATATTTTCTTATTTAAATGACTACTATTAGGGCCTCTGTTATTTGCATTCAAACCTAAATGACAGTTAGGATAAAGTCCAAACACCTAATTATGACATACTAGGCCTATCAAGAGTTGGCCCTTGCCTTCTTTTCTACCTTCCCCTTTCTAACCCCGCATATTCTTCAGTCATATAGGACTACTCCTAAAGCTCTCTCCCCACTGCTTTCCTCTGTGCACACTTCTTCCTGTCCTATAAGTGATATCTTTTGTATCTTTTTCCCTCTGCCTGTGTATTATTTATTTATTTTGTTAAGCCTTCTTAGCTTGGCCACATCTTAACATAGGTTTTATATCCTCCAGAATTCCTTCCCTGACCTCATCAGGCTAGATCTCTTATCTCATGGTACCAGTGCTTCCTGCTATCATAATGTTTACCAATTACATTGTAGATTGTAAATTTCTTTTAGAGCTCAGTGCCTGTTTCATCATAAATACTCATTAAATCTTTGCTCGATGGTTGAAAGAGCACTACTGTTTTTCCTTGGCCTTCTATGGAAAGATATTCTCTGAATTTCTAAAAAATAAGATCTTACAAATATTTTTAATGAGCAGCTCAAAAACAAACCAAAGATAGCAATAAAATGAAGCATCTGGTACTGGCTTCTAGATGTCTTCTAGAACAGCGGTGTCGATAGACTTTCTGTGAGGAGGGAAATGTTCTATATTTATACTGTTCAATATAGTAGCTCCTAGACCTATGGCTAACTACAATAAAATAAAGTTAAAAATTTAGTTCTTTGGTATGAAAGGCTGAATAACGGCCTCCAAATATCTCCACATCCTAATTCTAGGAACCTGTGATTATTACTTCACATGGCAGAAGGGACATTGCAGATGTAATTAAACTAAGGATCTTGAGATGGGGAAATTATCCTGGGTTATTTGGGTGGGCCCTAAATGTAATTAAAGGTGTCATTACATGAAGGACACAGGAGGAGATTTTACTACAGGCCAAAAGAAGGCAATGTGACAACTGAAGCAAGAGGCCATTCTGCAGGCTTTGAAGACAGAGCTGGAGTAAGGGGCCTCCAGTCAAGGAATGCATGCTTCTGCAAGACTAGGTTGAAAACAAAACAAAAGGAATGCATAAAATGCAACTCTAGAATCTGGAAAAGGTAAAAAAACAAAAAACAAAACCAAAAAAAAGAGATTGTCTCCTAGAGCCTCCAGAGGGAGAGTGACCCTGCTGTCACCTTGATGATGGCCTAGCAAAACTGATTTTAAACTTCTGGGCTCCAGAACTGTAAAACAATAAATGTATGTTGCTTTAAGCCACCAGGTTTGTGGTAATTTGTTATTGCAGCCATAAGAAATTAATACATTCAGCAGAACTGGCCACATTTCCAGAACCCATTTTAGATGGTGCAGCTCTAGAGTTTTCTGCTTGCCACAGACACATATGTGGGAGATCTCTCGGATGCTACATCTTTCAGACTTTAGACATTCTGAATATTAATTTGCTACATTCATACATGAATTTATGGTATAATTGTTTTGCATGTGGAAACCAAGCCTAGAAAGCTCACCTATCTTCTGCTAAAGCAGAACACTAGGACTACAGTAAATCAAGGCCTTTCTTCGACACTGTGATCCCTTACTTTTTACTACTCAAGACCATTTATAAATGGCCTCATTTTTCTCATGAACGTTGATACCAAAGAGAGGTGTTCCAGTTCAATTCACCTTTGGAACGCCAGAAACATCATCAAGTCAGATACAAATCATATTTCTTTGACATATGTCTCATTTAATAAAAAAATGACTTTGATGTCTTAGTTTTGCTTGGTGTGTACATGTACAGTCCAGGCAGGAGCATATCTAAGGTGTGGAGGTGAAGGAGACTCACCTCTAATCTCTGCTTCAAAAGGCTCCACACACAATAACCCTCACAGCAGTACAGCAGTGCATTGCAGAGTTCAGCTTTGTGCCTCTACCTGTCTGCACACATGTGAAAGTTTTATAATGGGTAAGAATTGTTAGCAAAATGTAAGTCCTGCTTTCCTTGGAGATGGTAAGAGGAAAAAATAACCACTAAACAAATTCCATTAAAGCAATTACTATAATGCCTTGTATTATAATCCTTAGCACTCTAGTTAATGTTAACTAGTTGGGAAAGGATGTTCATAGCCTACCCACTTCCATTAAAATTTTTTTTTCTTCTCGTAAAATATGCATAACACAAAATTTATCTTTTTAACAATTTTCAAGTGTACATTTCCATGGCATTGAATAGACTCACAATGTTGTCCAACCACCACCACTTCCATTTCCAGAACTTTTTCATTATCCCAAACTGGAACTCTGTGCCTGTTAAATAATAATTCCCCATTTCCTGCTCCCCCCCCAGCCCTGGGAATCACTATTTCTACTTTCTGTCTCTATGAATTTGACTATTCTAGGTAACTTATGTAAGTGGAACCATATAGTATTTGTCCTTTTATGTCTGGTTCATTTCACTCAGCATGATGTTTTCAAGGTTCATCCATGTTGTAACGTGTCAAAATTTTCTTACTTTTTAAGGCTGAATTATATTCCATTGTATGTATTGACCACATTTTGTTTGTCCATTCATCTGTTGATGGACATTTGGGTTGTTTCCTCCTTTTGGCTATTGTGAATAATGTTTCTTTGAACACTGGTGTACATGCTGGTGTATTTTATTAGTGGGCTACACAAACCTATTAACCAGAGTTTGCATAATATGGGAAATAGGTTTAAAGTCTCCACTAAATAAGTGGTTATACAGTTTGATCATACATTAGAATTACTGGGGGTTTTAAAAAGTTCCCAGTATCTATGTTGCACCCCTGAAAAATTATGTGACATTACCTGGGAATGGGACCCAGGCATCAGTGTCTTTTGTAAATCTTACCTCATGATTCCACTGTGCAGCCAAGTTTGAGAACTAGTGCCCTAAACAATTGCCTCATAAATATTGTTTCATCTAAGGCTCTTTTCCTTTCCCTACAATCTCTAAACCACACTCAGGTTTCCCATACTTACAAATCCAATTTAGCTGAATTAAATTCATTGTCATGTTTTCAAGCTCTTTCCACCAAAGCAGTTACTCATATAATTTAAGCTTAAGGGGGAAAATCTCAGCTCTGTCTAAAATTATTAAGGAAATGTTTGCTCCTATCAGCAATAGGATGCATATAGTCAAATATATTTTAAAAAGTTAATCTACTAATGAAACTCTAAACACATTTTAATTGCAGGACTGATAATTAACTTTTTATTTATTTATTTATTTATTTGAGATGGAGTCTCGCTCTGTCACCCAGGCTGGAATGCAGTGGCGTGATCTCAGCTCACTGCAACCTCCACCTCCAGGGTTCAAGCAATTCTCCCTGCCTCAGGCTTCTGAGTAACTGGGATTACAGGTGCCTGCCACTACACCTGGCTAATTTTTGTATATTTATAGAGATGGGGTTTTGCCATGTTGGCCAGGCTGGTCTTGAACTCCTGACCTCAGGTGATCCACCTGCTTCGGCCTCCCAAAGTGCTGGGATTACAGGCATGAGCCACCATGCCTGGCCACAAAATTAACTCTTACTAATACAATTACTAAATACTGCCTTGGGAATGTCATGCTAATGTAATTTTATAGGAAAGAAAGAAAAGCATCATTATTTGCAGGTGACACAATTGAAATGCTTGGAAAATTCAAAATAATCAGCTTTTAAAAAGTTCTGAAGGTATACAAATAGTTAATGGCAAGAAAAAGAGATAATCCTTATATAGGATCCTTAGATAGCCAGTCATACCAGCTGAAAAATAAGAGATCCAATGTATAACAGCCACAAAAATTAAAAGACTTAAAACAAAAGATGCAGTACACATTTATTTGTTTAATTATAAACCATATTGGACAATGCTTCAGAAAGTGGCTTGTAGAACAGGCTGCTTAGGGGATACTCCTGGCTTCCAGCACTTAGTAGCTGTGGGAACTTGGGGAGTTATTTAACCTCTCTGTGCCTGAGTTCATCTATGTATAAAGTGGGGAAATAACAGTACCTACTGCATAGTATTAGAAGGATTAGATGAGTTTAAAATCTACAGTGCTTAGAACAGTCCCTGCTACAATAGCATCATTTCAGTGTTAGCTTTTAGGTTTATTATGAGGAGTCTTTTGAGAAAGGAAATGACTACGTAGAGGGCTATAGCATATTGTTGAATAGAGTGAGTTTATAGGTGGGAAAGGAGACAGAAAATAAATACACAGTGGATGACTGGGTGCGAAAGAAACAAGTCTGAAGCTTGAGACTAAATATTTTATATATTTGTCCTCCCTATATAATATGAAATTGCATGAATGTGTATAAGATTTTTACATCAATACAACTCCAGTTAAATACAGAGAATGCTAAATATAGTATAAAGGGAATTTATAAAAATTAACATGGCAAAATAAATGGATTTAAATATAAAAGAATATTTGAACAAGAAGGGCTGTTATCAGCTTTTACAGCCTATTATGCAGCACTTACAAAACAGTAGTGGCATAGTAAATACTATTTCAAGAACTAAGAATCTAGAAACAACTCCAAGTTTAAAGAAAGCAAGAGGAAACATGGCTGTATAAGGTTTTTCAAAACTGAAGGGGATGTACATATATATCCTATGTATACACAATATGTATGTATATACACATACACAGTTTTCTATATACTATATATATGTGTGTATATATTTATACACATATATACATATATACACATATGTATACATATATACATATACACATATGTATACATATACAATATGTATACATATATACACATATGTATACATATACACACATATGTATACATATACACACATATATACACACATGTATACATATGTACACACATGTACACACATGTATACATATGTACACACATGTATACATATATGTATACACACGCATATATACATATATACACACACACACACATATGACTGTGCCCAACTAATTTTTAAATTTTTAAAAATTTTTACTTTTTGTAGAGACAGAGTCTTGCTACCTTGCCCAGGCTGGTCTTGAACTCTTGGCCTTAAGTGATCCTCCCACTTTGGCCTCCCAAAGTGCGAGGATTACAGGCATGAGCCACCATGGTTGGCCAATATAGTTGAATAATTGGATAGAAACTTGAAAAATACTCTGAAGGCCTTAAACATTACAAAAATAGGGAACCATTAGAAAACAACTTTTAAAACAAACTATGAAAGAAAAATTAATTTCTTTCTGCTTTGAAGACCTCGGTAGAAACAGACTGGAATATATATTACAATTTTAAGTATCTGTAAAATACTTACACAATGGAACACACAAAAGCACAATAACAGAATAGGAAGATTTAAAAATCAAGTATGACCAAAAAATTTATCCATCTCCACTTCCATCCTGGACATGGTGTGTCTTGCTTTAACTTCTGAAATAGCTCCTACTCGAATAGGTTTCTCTGCTTTTACCCTTGCCTTCCTAAAAATCCACACTCCACATGGAAAGCCAAGTAATCCTTTTTAAAGAACTTAATAAGGCAGGGTCAACTCTCACACTTAATACTCTCCATTGCCTTCCCAGTGCACTAAAATAAAATCCAAATCCCTACTCATGGTTCATAAGGTTTCACATGATCCCTCACCTTATGCCAGCCTACTTCAGCCATTGATATGTCCCACCTGAGTCTTTGTACCAGCTGTTTCTTTTCTTTTCTTTTCCTTTCTCTCTCTCTCTCTCAACCAGTTGTTTCTTTTCTTTTTTCTTTTCTTTTCTTTTCTTTTCTTTTCTTTTCTTTTCTTTTCTTTTCTTTTCTTTTCTTTTCCTCTCTCTCTCTCTCTCTCCCTCCCTCCCTCCCTCTCTTTCTTTCTTTCGAGATGGTCTCACACTCTTGTTGCCCAGGCTGGAGTGCAATGGCACAATCTTGGCTCACCGCAACCCCCGCCTCCCAGGTTCAAGCGATTCTCCTGCCTTAGCCTCCTGAGTAGCTGGGATTACAGGCATGCACCACCATGCCTGGCTAATTTTTAGTAGATATGGGTTTCTCCATGTTGGTCAGGCTGGTCTCGAACTCCTGACTTCAGGTGATCTGCCCGCCTCGGCCTCCCAAAGTGCTAGGATTACAGGCGTGAGCTACCGCACCCAGCCACTTTTTTTTTTTCCCCAAGATGGAGTTTTTTTCTTTCCCCCTGGCTGGAGTGAAATGGCCATCTCAGCTCATTGCAACCTCCGCCCCAGGGGTTGAAGCGATTCTCCTGACTCAGCCTCCCGAGTAGCTGGGATTATAGGTGCCCACCACCATGCCTGGCTAATTTTTTTGTATTTTTAGTAGAGACAGGGTTTCGCCATGTTGGCCAGGCTGGTCTTGAACTCCTGATCTCAGGTCAACCACCCGCCTTGGTCTCCCAAAGTGCTGGGATTACAGGCGTGAGCCACCATGCCCAACCTCTACCAGCAGTTTCTTTTGTCTGGAATGCTCTTCACAATCCCCCATCTTTACAAGACAGGATTCTTCACATGCTTTAGATTCCAGCCTACATAGTTCTTTCTCTGAGAAGCTTTATCTGAGCCCTCAGTTTAAAGTAATAAAAACAAAACAAAGACTAGAGGCTGGGTATGGTGGCTCACACCTGTAATCCTAGCACTTTGGGAGGCCGAGGCAGGTGGATCATTCAAGCCCACAAGTTGAAGACTAGACTGGGCAACATGGTGAAACCCTGTCTCTACCCACAAAACTACAAAAATTAGCTGGGCATGGTGGTGCACATCTGTAGTCCCAGCTACTTGGGAGGCTGAGGTGGGAGGATTGCTTGATCCCAGGAGGCAGACATCAGAGTGAGCCATGGTTGCCACTAC
Organism: Homo sapiens; assembly: GCF_000001405.40. Classification (NCBI taxonomy): domain Eukaryota; kingdom Metazoa; phylum Chordata; class Mammalia; order Primates; family Hominidae; genus Homo; species Homo sapiens. The sequence goes on from NC_000004.12 coordinate 52,735,590, forward strand.
ACTCCAGACTAGGTGACAGAGTGAGACCCTGCCTAAAAACAACAACAAACCTAAAACAAAACCAAAATATATTTCTATATGCCAGGCACTTTCTAACCCTTTACATACAAAACTCAAAATATTCTCACAAGAACCCAATGAGAGAGATTCTATTATCATTCCCATCATATAGCAAGAAAACTGAATCCCAGCAAATTTGGGTAAAAATCTCAGTATACAGCAAGAAAGTAGCTTATAAGCACCTTTATTTAATTGCTGTGCTCTGCTGCCTGTACAGGGAGCCTTCCAGCTACTCTCAACCATATCACTGTTTTTATTTTCACTATGGCACTTTTCAAAGTGTGATTTTTAAATTTGTGAATTGTTTCTATTGACAGAATGTCTGTCTTGTTCACTGCTATATGTCCAACACCTAGAACAATGACTAGCACATTGGAAATACTTAATACTCAATTTATACATATATATATATACACATATATATACACATATATACACATGTATATACATACACACATATATACACATATACACATATATACACATATATACACATGTATATACATACACACATATATACACATATACACGTATATACACATATATACACGTATATATACACATATATACACACATATATACACATATATACACATATGTATACACATACATATACACACATATATACACATATATATACACACATATATATACACACACACACATATATATATAGTGTGTTTTTTAGATGGAGTTACACTCTTGTTGCCCAGGCTGGAGTGCAATGGTGCAATCTCGGCTCACTGCAACCTCCTCCAGGGTTCAAGCGATTCTCTCACCTCAGCCTCCCGAGTAGTTGGGATTACAGGCACCCACCACCACACCCAACTAATTTTTGTATTTTTAGTAGAGACGGGGTTTCATCATGTTGGCCATGCTGGTCTTGAACTCCTGACCTCAGGTGATCCACCCACCTCGGCCTCCAAAATGCTGGGATTACAGGCATGAGCCACTGTGCCTGGCCAATTAATATTTTTTGAACGAATGGATGAATAAGTGAAAATTAAGAAATCATTCAACTTGATAAAAATAAAGATTATGAAAGGACCAATTTTATTCCCACTCAAAAGTTCCTACTTTCTTTTAATGCTATGCTGTCTGATGGCTATAGTACCTGCATCCCTCATTTATTCTAGAGAGGAAAGATAAAATACCAGGTAATGCACCATGCCATTAAGGGACTACAGTATTTCTTCAGATTGGGAAGCCTCCCAAAGGTAATATTTAAACTGAGACCTTAGTGACAATAACTCAAGCCATGTGAAGATGGACACAGGGGAAGTATTCCAGGCAGAGGAACAGCTATAACAAAAGTCTCAAGATAAGAACAAACATGGGAAATCGAAGTATCTGATCATATATGGGTTTATGGGCTGTGTAAAGAGTTTGGATCTATTCTTCAATGATAAGCCCTTGAAGACTTTTCATATAGGAAGTTATGTGATACTGGTTATGTTTTCTTCTTTTCTTTCTTTTTCTTCTTTCTTTCTTTTTTTTTTTGACTGGGTCTCACTCTGTCACCCAGGCTGGAGTGCAGTGGCACGATCTCGGCTCACTGCAACCTCCGCCTCACGGGTTCAAACAATTCTCCTGCCTCAGCCTCCTGAGTAGCTGGGACTACAGGTGTGTGCCACCACACCCAGCTAATTTTTTGTATTTTTAGTAGAGACAGGTTTCACTGTGTTAGCCAGGATTGTCTTGATCTCCTGACCTTGTGATCCACCCCCCCTGGCCTCCCAAATTGCTGGGATTACAGGCATGAGTCACATGTCTGGCCCTCATTTTTGTATTTTTTTGTAGAGTCGGGGTTTCTCCATGTTGGCCAGGCTGGTCTTCAACTCCTGACCTCAAGTGATCCGCCCACCTTGGCCTCCCAAAATGCTGGGATTACAGGCATGAGCCACTGCGCCTGGCCAAGTGATACTGGTTATGTTTTCTAAAGTCCGCATTTGCCTAAAGCACAAAGAATAGATTTTTAGGGGGATAAGATTAAACACAGTAGGTTTCCGAAGTGGCTAGAGGAAGTGGTGGTTTAAAGTGGGGTAATGCTGATAGATTATTCTGACTGTGTTGTGGAAATTGAGTTGAAGGAGCTTGCTGGTTGATTGGATGTGTTGGAAAAAAGGGAAAGAAAGGAATAGTGAAAGACCACCTGAGTTTTGGCATGAGCAACTGGGTGGAATAGTGTCATTATTCATTGAGATAAGGAAAACTGAAGAATAAGTCTGGGGGAGGGAGCTGAAAGTGAAGTTTGTTCATGCTAAGGTTGAGATGCCTCTTCAGCATCCAAGGGGAGATGACAGATAAGTACAAAGAGACATGAGTTTGGAGTTGAGTAGTGAAATCCAGGTTTGAGATACAGATTTGGGAATCATTGCTGGAGACTCAAGAGAGCCAATTGTGTAGTTCCTGTTTAAGGGCTGGTAGGCTTGAGACCCAGAAAGAGCTGAAGGCAAGGGGGAAAGGTCAAATTCACAGGCAGTCAAGCAGGAAGAATTCTCTTCCTCAGGGGAGGGTCAGCCCTCTTATTCTCTTTAGGCCTTCAGCTGATTGGATAAGGCCCACTCACATTAGGCAGATAAATCTGCTTTACTCGGTATTCCCATTTAAGTGTTAATTTCGTCCCAAAACACTTCTACAGAAACACTCAGAATACTGTTTAATCAAATATCTAGGTGCTCTGTAGCCCAGTAAAGTTGACACAAAAATTAAGCATCACACTGTGATTCAGGGAAGGTGTTTGGAAAGAGGGAGTGGCCAACCATTAAGACTGGCACTGCACGATGTGTTAAGAAGTTTATAGACCATTTATTTGGCAAAAGGGTTTTTTGAATATCTTTGTAGAAATTATTAGGAAGACAGAAGGTATGAAAGGGCAGAGTATTTCCTTAAGATACATTTCCTGTGAAATTACTCTGCCAATGAAAATGAAATTTTAAATATCCTATTATACATGGTACATTTGCTTCAACCTTTCTGAAGGATAGTTTAATACAGAAAAAAAACTCATTAAAAAAGGCAACTAGGTTTAACATACATAAACTATATATGTATATATTTACACATCTGTTTAATTTGAGGATGTAAAATACTATTACTTTTTAAAGCTTTTTACTCTGAATTATATATTTAAAAAAAAACAGTGCAGAGAGATTCCACGTAGCCTTCACCCAAATTCTCCCAAGTGGAAGTCACTATAGCACAAAAACAAAACTAGAAAATTGACATTGAGCTGTGTGTGCCAATATTACATCATTCTGTGTCATTTTGTCATGTGTAAATTCATGGAACCATCACAACTCAGATATAGAATTATTATGTCACCACAAAGATCTCACTCAAAAAGTGTTATGTCCTAAGGCTTTCGTTTGGAAAACAGAAAAAAAAATCATCCACATTTCCTCCCAAACAATTATTTTTATTGCATATATTCCCTCACAGTTGTAATTACTGTATATCATAATATTTTCTTAACAGCAAATGCACATTTTCTTCACCTTTGACTTTGTACACCTCTAGGTTTTGAAAGCAAATCGACCCATGCTGCAGGATTATCACAGGGTTGTTGCCACCCCTGAAATATTCCTTGTGGTAGTACTGATTGCTGGTTAAGATGGCTACATTTAAATACTCATCTTCTGAAGCTTTCTGTGGAGAAATTAAAAAACATATATCTTGTATAAAGTCATAGATAACAATCAAAAGAATAAAAAGTATTTGTTCTTCAGTAGTCCATCTGTGTAACTATCATTAGAATTGTATGAGGAGCCTAGCCCAATTACTTTTCATGATTTAAGTGAATTTAGCATTTTCTTGTTGCTTGTACTTTGTATGTAGATTCTCTAGATGCCAATAATGATGGGTTAACTTTTAAAGAAGTGAATATATATACACATATGTGTATATACCTATATATAAATTGAGGAGACGATTTAACTTTTGAAAACGATGTCTTGACTGAATACTGCAAAGCCAAAGACAAAAAAGCAAACGCTGTATTCTAATTGGTTACTTTGTTTCTCATAAAGGGACAGGTTAGCAATTATGTAACTATGTTATGTAACTAGTTTACACATATAGTAGAGTTTAACAAATAAGCAAATAAATCTTAGCTAATAGGAGACAGGTTTCTCAGCAACAGAAAAGTTACAAATAAGCAAGGGGTAAGGTGAGGCTAGAATGAATCCTGTGGTGCTGAGAGTTGGAGATATCAGTATAAACTCGTTTATTTCAATAAACTGTAGGTATATATGTATAGGTATCTGTGTATACATACAAACATTTCCTAGCTGTGTCCACTGAGGGGGCCTACACAGTGATAACCTAGTAGCAGTAGCAATGAGCACATCTTGTGCCCAGATCTTGGTTTCTAAAACCATTTTTCAGTACAGGGAACAATGGTTTCTTGGGAAAAAAAAATCACTGATTCTAGGGCTGGGCAGGAAAAATAAAAGATGAGCTTGCAGCATATTGGAGCGCTGGAGAGTAAGGAAGTGCTGAAAAAAAAAAAATAAGGCCAAACAAACAAAAAACACATAGGGAGAGGCATGTCAAAAGGAAACAGGAACAAATTTTCCAAGAGCTCTCAAAGGCCAAAGCTGCAACACTTTGAGCAACAGTATGATAGTACTGGATTACAACCCAAAGAACAATGTATATATCCATGAGTCCACACTGATAAAAAATATTGGATAACAATTTTCCTTAAGTAAGCTTCTAATTAATAAATGTATCAGGAAATAGGAAGGTGAAACATCTGGTGAACCTTTGAGCTGGCTAATAAATGTTTTTGCCAACCAACCTATTTTGTGTTCCTTCTGATGCATAACAATGGAAAGAGGATTTTTTTCCCCTATGAGTTTTGAAAATCAGAAATACCTTTGTGTCCATCACCAGTAATGTTGAAACTATTTTCTATAACTTGTCATGCCCTACAAACCTTACTTTAATCAAATATTGTGCAGCTTAACACACCTCATAATCAGTCATGCTATTTGATGAAACTTTATCCTTTTAATAAGACATTTTCTAACATTCCAATGACTGCCCCTTTATTTCATATTTCCTCTTCACTTTGTATTCGTACTTGACATTGTGAAATGAGGACCAGGCCAGGTGCGGTGGCTCACACCTGTAATCCCAGCACTTTGGGAGGCCAAGGCGGGCGGATCACCTGAGGTTGGGAGTTCGAGACCAGCCTGACCAGCATGGAGAAACCCTGTCTGTACTAAAAATACAAAAAATTAGGTGGGCATGGTGGTGCGTGCCTGTAATCCCTGCTACTCAGGAGGCTGAGGCAGGAGGATCACTTGAACCCAGCAGGCAGAGGTTGCGATGAGCTGAGATTGTGCCACTGCACTCCAGCCTGGGCAACATGAGTGAAACTCCGTCAAAAAAAAAGGAAAGAAAGAAAGAAGGAATGAGAGAAAGAGAGAAAGAGAGAGAGAAAGAAAGAAAGTAAGGAAAGAAAGAAAGAGAGAGAGAGAGAAAGAAAGGAAAGGAAAGGAAAGAAAGAAAGAAAGAAAGAAAGAAAGAAAGAAAGAAAGAAAGAAAGAAAGAAAGAAAGAAAACCAAGTACCACAAATACCCAATACTGAAAGTTGCATTTCTTTTAATGGCTTCTCTAGTTTCAATGCATATTGCATAACAAACACAGGAAGTCCTATATCTTTCAGCTCAAGGAGGCTTTCTCTTGTGTCCTATATTGCTGAAAGTTTTTATTACCTTCTTTTGTGTGTGTGTGTGTGTGTGTTTTGTGCTTTTTGGGGTTTTTTTTTGAAACAGAGTTTCGCTCTTGTTGCCTAGGCTGGAGTGCAATGGCATGATCTTGGCTCACCACAATCTCCGCCTAGTGGGTTCAAGTGATTCTCTTGCCTCAGCCTCCCGAGTAGCTGGGATTACAGACATGCACCACCAGGCCTGGCTAATTTTGTATTTTTTTTTTTTTTTTTTTTTTAGTAGAGATGGGGTTTCTCCTCGTTGGTCAGGCTGGTCTCCAACTCCTGACCTCAGGTCATCTGCCTGCCTTGGCTTCCCATAGTGCTGGGATTACAGGCATAAGCCACTGCACCCAGCCTACCTTCTTTTGATATCAACATTACTATGAACAACAAACCCATCTATAAGGGTTCTATTGTTCCAGAGTATGAGTTTTCTTTTCTTTATCTTTTTGAGACAGAAGCTCACCCCATCACCCAGGCTGGAGTGCAGTGGCACAATCTTGGCTCACAGCAGCCTCGACCTCCCAGCCTCAAGTGATGCTCCCACCTCAGCCTCCTGGGTAGCTCGGACTATAGGCACATGCCACCACACCTGGCTAATTTTTTGTAGAGACAGGGTTTCACCAGGTTGCCCAGGCTGATTTCCAACTTCTGGGCTCAAGCGATCCACCTGCCTCAGCCTCGCAAAGTGCTGGAATTACAGGCATGAGCCACCACACCCAGTCTGTGCTTTTTTTTTTTTTTTTTTTTTTTTTTGCCACAGAATCTCACTCTGTTGCCAGGCTGGAATACAGTGGTGCGATCTCAGCTCACCGCAACCTCCGCTTCCTGGGTTCAAGCGATCCTCCTGCCTCAGCCTCCTGAGTGGCTGGGACTACAGGTGCCTGCCACCATGCCCAGCTAATTTTTGTACTTTTGGTAGAGATGGGGTTTCACCATGTTGGCCAGGATGGTCTTGATCTCTTGACCTCGTGATCTGCCCACCTTGGCCTCCCAAAGTGCTGGGATTACAGGCGTGAGCCACCGTGCCCAGCCATCCATGTTTTCTTAATGTAACTTGAAATGATTATTCTGTTAATAAATTATCAATCTGCTATGTTCATAAATTTGTTTATGTGCAACCTTAAAAAGGAGGTGAGAATCTCACAGTCCATTCCTCTTACATGTGAATCACTTTCAATTGTGAATGGCTTTTCCTGTTTTATTTGCAAATACATACACATATACATATCATTTCCCCTTTTTTAAAATAAAAAGTAACATACGAGGCTGGGTGCAGTGGCTCACACCTATAATCCTAGGACTTTGGGAGGTTGAGGTGGGCGGGTCATGAGGTCAGGAGACTGAGACCATCCTGGCTAACACGGTGAAACCCCGTCTCTACTAAAAACACAAAAAATTAGTCAGGCGTGGTGGCAGGCGCCTGTAGTCCCAGCTACTCAGGAGGGAGGCAGGAGAATGGCATGAACCCAAGGGGGCAGAGGTTGCAGTGAGCCGAGATTGAGCCACTGCACTCCAGCCTGGGTGAAAGGGCCAGACTCTGCCTCAAAAAAAAAAAAAAAAGAGTAACATACTAGGTATGCTGTTCTGCATCTTGCTATTTTTCAGTAATAGTATAATCTTTAGCAAGCTATCTACCCTTTGAGTTGATTAATCTGTAAAATATGAACACCGAGAGGATTAACTAGAAAGATGCATGTAAGGAACTCACCAGAGGACTGGGCAGAGTGAAGCATTTGATATAATAGATGCCACCTCAACACTCCCTGCATCCTACTTCCACCTGCGGCCCATTTCATAAGATGGCTAAAATGCATATCAGACTAATATTCCATTAGACCACTAAAATGCCCATGGGAAATCAGGAAAGCTCAGATCATACCAGCCTAAATTATTTGTGGCTTTCTCCCTAAAGTAAGTTTTCAGTCAATTCTGATGACTACCCAATATTTATTCTTTGAGACAAATTTAAGGACATAGTTTTGTGTATGTGTACATTGGATTCTTCTACCTTCAACCAAAATCAAGGGAACAAAATTCCCTTATCTATTCAAACACACTCTTTGGTCTATCCAGAAGCCTACAAAGTGCTGTTGGGAGAAACTATCCTGCCCCCAACTTAGTTCCAGTGTTTGGGGGCTTGCAAATTAACAGATCAATAGAAAAAACATTTATTATATATGCATGCAAGAACACTACAAAGAGTAGCTCTCTGAACAGCAAGGGGTAAGGGTTTACAGATCAGCTTTATGGTGTGTGTCTTAAGGCTTCAGAATGAAACTACAAAAAGTTCTGATAAGGCTTATTTACAATACCTTGGGAGGTCCTAGTGCTAAGTGCCCTTATAAGAGGAACACTCAGAGGAGGGTTTTGGCAGCTGAATTCTCGGTAAGACCTGCTTTACTCATCAAAGTTTAGCTAAGGCTTTTTGTCTGCAGCTGCTGTTTGTTCAGATATTCTCAAAGTAGACTTGTGTCATATTGATGGGTTGTTAGTCCCTTCATTGCCCTATTTGAAACTTGACATGAAGTTTCACTGACAAGGAGCTGTGCTGATTGCTGTGGAGATAAGGCTAGGTTCAGAGGTTGGGAGTTAAGGGATCTGCGAGATTTGCGAAAGACACGAACATAGATTAAAACAAAGATGAATAAGCAGAAAAGAACAATTAAAAGCACATAGCCCCATGATCTGAACCAGTCTCCCACTTTTGCAAATATGCCTTGCCAATCAAGTAACGGTACATTCTTCAGGTTCTCGGATGCTTCGTGGAGACGCTGTATATTAGACTTTATTTCTTCCGAATAATTTATATAGAGGCAACACTGTTTGCCAACAGTTCCACAAGCCGTTTGTCGTTGGGTGGTCGGTATATCCAAGACATGATCCTTTCGGGATGCAGAGGCTAAACTGCTAACTTTTGATTGGTGTGCTTCCAAGGTCTGCTTAGTGGCACTGAATTCCTGTTCCATTGCTTTGGAAATGTTTAGAATTGCCTTTTCTAAATCATAAGTTCCCAAACTTGGAAAAAGGGCCCTTATTGTTGAATTGTCCTTGGGGTTGCAATACAGAGGTGGATTGTCTGTGTCTCCTTGGGTGCATCTATGCGGTGTTACTTTATGAATGAAGGATCTCAGGTTTGTAATTTGGCTAGCATTTAAGGTGAGGTATCTGGTGAGGGAAGGTACAAGATACCCAAGTCCACATCGCCCAGACCATTTAGGTGGAAACCCTTTGTACACCCCATTGCCGCACAAAAAAAAGAGGCCAGAGTTGTTCACAGACAAGGTCAGATTGGAACCTGTGAGCCACCAGGTGGGGGTCCGGTGTCCATCATGACCTTTGTCATTAGTTATGCTGGCATCTGCACATCTCCATTTCCCATGTGCCTCTGTCAGGCCATAAGAGCAAAATAGGTTGCGAAATAGCTGGTACAGAAGGCCTTTGGTTTGGTTTTGGCAGCTATAGAGACAGGTGTCATTACCTGACCAGGTCAATCCAGAATTTCGATCTACCCATTTGTAGTCTTGGGTATTGGGCAGACCAATCAAGGGAACAGCTGAGCTGTTCCAGGTCCGGTTTGTGCAACCTGCAAACCAGGAACATTGTCTAGTGCCTAGGCAAACACTTGTATCATCATCATCGTTCCTGGATTCATTTGTAACATCTATAGAGGGCATGAAGGTGCCATCTGTAGAATCAAACCATAGTATTTGATTACAGTATTGTTTAGGTATATTACCTAGGAAGGGTCCACTGCCATTTTTATTTTCTACGCAAAGAGAAAAATTTCCCTCCAATAACCTTACTTGAGCAAAGGATAGACCTTGAGCTTCCATGGAGGCTTCCCAGTGCCAAGTCACTTTACGATAGGAGGAAGTAGAGTGATTCTGTACTTCTGCTTGTGGATACCACACCCTTTCATACATCCATTGTCCAGAATAGGTCCACCAGGTGCTTGCACTGGCAGGAACAAAAACTAGTTCGGGTTGTTCTGCATTATCTAGATGTTCACATAACCAGCAATTAGACTGATTAGTCAAGATAGATAGTGTCCGGAAAACTGGAGCAAGCAGGTGCTGAGGTTGTACTAGAATTGTCAAAAAAGCAGTAAGGGTTAGTTGAAGCAGGGCATAGTTTGAAAGGGAGCCCATAGTGGAGGAACAGGCTAGATTAAAACAAGCAAACTCCAGACAATGGAGATTCAATGAAAGGGGAGGGTTTTGTTTAAATTTCTAAGTCAGAGAATTTTCCAGGTTGAGGAGGGAAGATGTTTCAGCTAGTTGGAGATGGAGATGAAGTTCTTGGTCTGAGATACTGAGTAAAGCTGTCTACTTCATCTGCTCATGGAGCCTGTGAGTAGGTGCCAAAATTCCTCAATTTGAGGTAACCCATAGCCTTGGCCTTCCAGTTGTCATATAATGATCTCAATCTAGCTTCCTGTGGCTTGTACAAATTCAGGAATTTTATTTTGATGACTATGTAGGTGGTTAGCAGTACTTCATAAGGTCTCTTCTTTTTCCAGGGAGGTTACAACACATCTTTTCTTCTAAAAACTTTCAGATATACTTGATCACCTGGTTGAAAAGATGGCAGGGTCTGTTAGTGAAAGCCACACATTTTTACCTGTTGAAAATATGCTCCAAGTATACTAATTATTGTATATAATTAGTCACAGTTTTGAATTGTTCACTGAAGTCCTCACAATGCACATTCAATCTATGAAAGTTTTAGAGATGCCAGTAGGCACAGAGTAGCCAAAAACTATTTCAAAAGCAGTCAGTCCTCCTATTTGGAGTATTCCAGACCTTTTTTGTTTGTTTCTTATTTTTTGTAGCGATGGAGGTCGCACTTTGTTGCCCAGGCTGGTCTGGAACCCCTGGCCTCAACTGATCATCCTGTCTCAGCCTCCCAAAGTATTGGGATTACAGCCATGAGCCACCATACCGGTCAGTATTCCAGATCTTTATAAGGACCAAGGGTAATGCTTCTGGCCGTCTGAGTCCAGTTTATTGACAGATTTTTTCCTAGAGTTCATTTTATGTTTAGATTTTTATGTTTCACTTGCCTTGAGGATTGAGTATAGTAGGGGGTATACAATTTTAATGAATATCCAAGAGTTTTGCAAGTAACTGATTTAATTCTGCGTAAAGTGAGTTCCTTTATCTGATTCAATTCATAAAGGAATGCCAAAACAAGAAATAATCTCAGTTGTTAGTTTCTTTTCCACTGTTATGGCCTTAGCACATCTAGTTGGATAGCACAGTCCATCCATTAAACATGCAGTGAGAACAGTCTAAGGCTGGAGACAAATCTATAAAGTCCATTTAGAGTACCATAAAAGGCAGTGTGGGTCTTGGAAGACTCTTTGCAGTATGCTTACCATCTCTAGAGTCTTGGTGAGATTTACAAGTACTGCACTGGGAAATAATTTGATCAGAAATGCTATGGATGCCAAGAGCCAACTGTCTTTTGGCTCTTTTTGGCTCTTTTGATCATCCTATTCACACATATGTAAATACCTTAAAATTTTCTGTATACTAATTATGTTCTGACGTTTGGAAAACCTTTCCAGCTGAGGGCCGGGCACGGTGGGACACACCTGTAATCCCAGCACTTTGGGAGGCTGAGACGGATGGATCACTTGAGGCCAGGGGTTCAAGAACAGCCTGGCCAACACAGCAAAACCCCACCTCTACTAAAAATATAAAAATTAGCTGGGCATGGTGGTGTGCGCCTGTGGTCCCAGCTACTCGGGAGACTGAGGGAGGAGAATCGCTTGAACCCAGGAGGTGGAGATTCCAGTGACCCAAGATCACGCCACTGCACTCCAGGCTGGGTGACAGAGTGAGACTCTGTCTAAAAAACAAAACCAAAAACAAACAAACAAAAAACCTTTCCAGCTGAGGAGAGACTACCTTTCTTAGGGACTAGCCAATTCTCAGAGATAACAAGGGGCCAACCAGGAGCATGTCTTTGATATACAAACTAATCAATCCAGAGCCATACCTCCTCTATCTGGCCCTTACACACATGTAAGCAATTATTTGTCTGCCTTAATCATCCCAGGGCCAAGTGCTATGCAACTAGGGGACAACCTCTACAATTTGAAATCCATTGAAATTATTCAAACTAGCCAATCCTAAGCTGTTCACCCTGCCCTGCCTCTTCTTTCCCATGGAGGTTAACATATACATCCCTGGCCTTGAGTGAAATGAAATGACCCAGGCCACAAGCGCATGACCAGTGGGACTGGAGGGTTCCTTGGTGCATTTGTCACCAAGGCCCGAATCTGGCTCTCTTAACAGAAAGGCAATTGACACCCATGGGCTCACTTAGCAAAACAGCTGCTTCTAATGGGGATTGCAGACTTAAAGAAACTGAGATGCAGCCGGGCACAGTGGCTCATGCCTGTAATCCCAACACTTTGGGAAGCCAAGGCGGGCGGATCACCTGAGGTTGGGAGGTCGAGACCAGCCTGACCAACATGGAGAAATCCCATCTCTACTAAAAATATAAAATTAGCCAGGCGTGGCGGCATATGCCTGTAATCCCAGCTACTCGGGAGGCTGAGGCAGGAGAATGGCATGAACCTGGGAGGTGGAGGTTGCAGTGAGCTGAGATTGTGCCATTGCACTCCAGCCTGGGCAACAAGAGGGAAACTCCATCTCAAAAAAGAAACTAAGATTCATGAGCTGTGGACCAGGGAGCAGTGCAGGGAGTAGTAGCAAACCCTGTAAAAAAAAAAAATCTTAAATCACCCTTTCTTGTGCCCCTTTTAAGGTTGACACAGTGCATTAAGCAGAAGGGTTAAGTAAGTCTCCATAAAACCCAGAGAAGAGAATGTAAAGCTCCTCTTTGGAGGAGCTAGACTCCTGTCTGGAGTCACAGCTGAACAAATTCCTTACAGTTTAAGCACATTTGTGATATTTTTGCATATCACATATGATGCATTCAAACTTAACCTTAGCTTTGACAGTGCATAAAAACCAAGTGTTGGTATTTGACACTGTAAGCAGTAATGGCCCAGCAGAATAGTATAGACTGCTTTCACCTGAGAACATCTGAAGACTGGCTGACTCTGGTCATAATGCCTCCCAGAACCAGATTTCAATGGGTACGGACATTTGAACTGTTACCTACTTAGGCCATGGAATGTCTCAAGTTACTCAAACTCACCCGCAAAGGCCTTGCGTCACTTGCGTTCCTCCTGATCTCGAAGGCAGGTGTGCACACTTAGCAGCTGGCTGTTGCTACCAATGGATTCCCAGTTGTGCTGCCTTTGCCTAACCTCTACATGCTCTCCCAGGCATAACCACAGAAACCTTCACTGAGATATTGAAATTAGCATTAACCACCCCACACACCTGTTTTTATTTACTCAGTTTTGACAAGCCTTTCCGTGTATATTGCTGTGAAAACAATGAGATAGCTGTAGGTATTCTAGGACAACTTTCTTCCTCTCAGGTAAGTTGCATAGCATATTTTTTTTTCTTTTTTTTCCTTAGAAACAGGGTCTCACTCTGTTGCCCAAGCTGGAATGCAGTGGTGCAAGCATGGCTCACTGCAGCATCGAACACCTGGGCTCAAGAGATCCTCCCACCTCAGTCTCCCCTGTAGCTGGGACTACAGGCATGCACCACCATACCTGGCTTCCTTTTTTAAAAAAAATTATTTTTAATAGGGACAAGGTCTGGCCATGTTGCCCAGGGTGGTCTCAAACTTCTAAGCTCAAGTGATCCTCTCATCTTGGCATCCCAAAGTGCTAGTATTATAGGTGTGAGCCACCATGCCCGGCCTCATAGCATATTTTTCATGTCAGTTGGATCCCGTGGTATCAGGCATGCTCCTATGCCTATGTAGTGACCTCAGCTGCCATCCTAATTGACAAAGCCATTAACCTTACAATAGGTTCTCTTATTTACCTTTGTTTCCCATTCTGTGTCAACTCTTACAGTTCCATAAAAGAGTGCCTTTCTACTTGACAGACCAACCCCTCCTCATCTTGCAACTCTGTAATGCTCTAAACCTGTACCTCTCCCTGATGGAGAACCCCACTCCACATCACATGATTGCCTTACAGTCACAGAGTTGGCTTCTAAACCACAAGAAGACCTCTTAAGATACTCCTTGAGCCATCCACACTTACTCTGGGCCGGGTGTGGTGGCTCACACCTGTAATCCCAGCACTTTGGGAGGCCGAGGTAGGGCAGATCACCTGACGTCAGGAGTTTGAGACCAGCCTGGCCAACATGGTGAAATCCCATCTCTACTAAAAAATACAAAAATTAGCCAGCGTGGTGGCTTGTGCATGTCTTCCCAGCTACTCGGGGGATCACTTGAACCCAGGAGGTGGAGGTTGCAGTGAGCCGAGATGGCAGCCTGGGCAACAGAGCGAGGCTCTGTCTTAAACAAACAAACAAAAACAGACTTACTCTATCCTGTGACAACTCTTATAAACAAAATTCTCAGAAAGATAATAACCAGCTATGACATAGTGAGCTTGTACACTGGTGAAAGAGAAAACGTACACTACTTACACTGACTAGGTATACCCTGGGACTCTGCCATGTCCTTGGCAGTTTGGAAACCCCATAGATGATGATGATGATGATTTGAGACGGAATTCTTCTTATTATTATTATTAATTGAGATGGAATCTCACTCTGTTGCTCGGGCTGGAGTGCAGTGGTGCGATCTCCGCTCACCACAACCTCTACATCCCAGGTTCAAGCAATTCTCCTGCCTCAGCCTCCCGGCTAGCTGGAATTACAGGCATGCACCACCACGCCTGGCTAATTTTTGAATTTTTAGTAGAGATGGGGTTTCACCATGTTGGCCAGGTAGGTCTCGAACTCCTGACCTCAGGCAATCCGCCCACCTCGGCCTCCCAAAGTGATGGGATCACCGGAGTGAGCCACTGCGCCCTACCCCCCCATAGATTCTCGACCTCAGCATATACTCCCATCACCAATGGGCATATAATTGTTATCCTATTACAGTCTATTTATTTTCCTACATAAATTATTATTGTTCATTGCGCAACACTTAGGAAACTGATAGAGTATCTTTATGGAATTGTAGGGCTGAGAAAGCTGCTAAATGGGCAGGCAAAAATGGACTCCCTGTCTCTCCTCCACCCAGCTTGCGACCCTCCTCTTATCTCTGACTCACGTTCATTGTCGGGCAAATGCCCCACAACCTAAAACAGACATGGCTACCAAAGGGGGCCAAGCAGTTATGCGATGGATTAGACATGGGACCAAATGGACTTCTTTGGCCACTGTGCTCACAAAGGGGAGACATAGGAGAAGCTCAGGAAAAAATAAAGCGTTATACTCACAAGTCCTAAAGACAGGAACCATGCCAACCATACAGGGCCACATGGGAAAGACACCAGGATGGTCAACAGGCAGAAGATCATCGTGAGGGAAAGGTTCAGAGCACAGCCTCTATTGCCTTCCTGTTAAGCGAGCAGGATTCAGACACCAGGAACCCTCCGGTCCCACTGGCCACGTGCTCAGGGCTGGGTAATTTCCTCCCGCTCAAGGGTAGGAACATACCTGCGCTTAAAACTGAGGCTGCCGCACCTCCGCAGACGTAGACAACGAATTCCTGGAGCCCAAGGTCGGCCGGGGTTGGGTTCCTGTCGCCGCACGCGTGGCCCGCCCGAAACCCGCTACAAAGTAGCGGCGTGTCTGCCCTAGGGAGGCAAAGCGCAAACTTGTTACCGCGCCGGGACCTGCCCCGGGATTCTCCCAGCGGCTCCGCAGGACGCAGCGCCTGTGCCTCGCGCGGCCCTGGGACGGGCACGGCCGTCCGCCCCCTGGGCCGCCGAGGGCTGCTTTACCCCTCCGTTCTGGCCGCGGGCAGCAGAGGAGCTCGGGGCGGGCAAAGCTCGAGGGGACACGGGGCGAGCCCAGACCCTGCCTGGGAGCCCTCCCCGCCGGAGACCAAAGGGCAGAAACGCACTCACAGTGCAACTCCGAGGGATAAACTGGCCGACGATCGCCGCCAGGCCAGAAGACCAAGAAGAAGGCTCGCGGCGGGAACTGAAGTGAGCGGGGACACACGAGGGCTGGGAAGATCCTGGGTTGGGGCGGAGCGGGGCTGGGAAGATCCTGGGTTGGGGCGGGGCGGGGCACCGCAGAGCGGACAGCCGGATTCAGGCACCAGGAACCCACCGGTCCCACTGGCCAGGTGCTCCGAGCTGGGTGATTTTCTCCCGCTCAAGACTAGGAACATACCTGCGCTTTCGGCGCAGGGAAGACTCTGGGCGAGGGCGGGGCTGGGAGGAGGGCCGCGGGGCAGGCAGCCAATCCCAGGAAACTTCGGGACGAGGGCAGGACGGGGGCTGGACGGGCCCAGCCATTGGCCACCTGTGTCCACTGCCTGCCTAGGTCTGGCTTCCTAGGTCTGGCGGGTGAGACACAAGGCGAGCCTGCACGAAGCATCCTTCGAACCTCAGGTACCCTGGGCAGGAGAATCGGCTTCTTCAGGCATCCTGCTGGGCCTTGGCCCTCGTCGATCTGGTTCTCTCAGCCCCTCGGTTTCTCCCCTGGGGAGACTTCGCGATTACCCTCTCCTCCCCTTGGCGCCTAGGCTCTCAGTCACGCGACCGCCTAGAGCCCTGAGCTGCTATTTATGCCGCGTTTTTATTCACTTAGGTATTCAGCACGCCTTCATCAGGTGTGTACTCTGTGCCAGGCAATCTTCTAATCCTTAAATGGACGAAACAAAGGCCTCCCTTGGACTGACATTTTTAATGAAGAATAAAAACCCATAATGAAATATAAAAATATTAACGTTATAAGAGCTAAGGGAAAAAACATGTGTTACAACTTGAAAATACAAAAATAGGAAATCATCTTTCTCTGTGGACGAATGAAACCCCTGATTCTAAGAAACAAAGAAACAAAACTCATCATGACTGGTGTTCTGTACTCTTTGGAAAATACGTTTTACTGTAGAAATGACTAAATGCGATGAAAGACTCTTTACCAGAAGCAGTGGCTGGTTGGCGGCGCCTGTACGCCTGAGGAGCACCCTTTTTGTGTCCATGTTTGATAAAGCAGAAGAGACCTAAAGAGACAAGGGGCGGCCGGGCGCGGTGGCTCACTCCTGTAATCCCAGCACTTTGGGAGGCCGAGGCGGGCAGATCATCTGAGATCGGGAGTTCGAGACCAGCCTGACCAACATGGAGAAACCCCGTCTATACTAAAAATACACAATTAACCGGTTATAGTGGCGCATGCCTGTAATGCCAGCTACTTGGGAGGCTGAAGCAGGAAAATCGCTTGAGGCAGAGGTTGCGGTGAACCGAGACTGCGCTATTGCACTCCAGCGGGCAACAAGAGCCAAACTCTGTCTCAAAAACAAACAAACAAACAAACAAACAAAAAAAAAACCACAAGGGCCATCGCTCTGGGGCGTGGGACATATGGTCCGCAGTTGGGATACTAACTGTTGTATGGATGGGGGAGTGGTCCTCAAACCCTGGAGCTTCTCAGTCCCTGCCTCTTTCAACCTCTAAATGGGCCCACTGCTTTTCCCTTCCCACTGTTCTGCCGGCTGGAGCACCCCCAGCACCAGCAGCGCGGCTCCCACGCCTCTGGTCTGGGCTCTGCCAGCCCCACGGGTCTAAGCTCTCCCCAGGCCATTATTTTTTGTCTCCTCTTTCTTCATTGAGGTCCTCTCTCTGTCACTTGCTCTTTTGCCTGGCTCAAGACATGGGTTTAAACACTGTTTATACTACCCCTTGCTAATGTTGACTCACTACCCCATATCTTTTTCTTTTTTCTTTTTTTTTCCAAGTAGCACTCTTTGAGATGTCCTTTTATTGATGTTTCTTTACACGTTGTTTTTACATGCATTACAGTGTGATGAACATATCCATCCACTGAAATAACATTATTCTCAACTACGCAAAAGAAAGCAATACTCTTAGAAGAATCCTTTCTGCATATGTCTTTAGACACTTTTACATTCATAACACTGGTCACCAACCCATTTCTATGTTTAAGTAACTTGACTTTTTCTCCTTCTCCCTTTCTCTACCTATTAAATTCACATTTTATTTTACCCCAAGCTACTTTTACCTAGTACAGTGTCTATGTTTTTCACTGTAAGATTGAGTAAGGCCAGAGATGAGGAGAATAGTGATTGTGAAATAAAATGAAAGATATACTCAATTCTTGGGAGCAATAGCCTTGTTGTTGGGTTATGTTTATTCATTTATAAAACTAATGAGAACCTACCATAGTCAAGCACTGTAGTAGACCTGAGAGAAAATAGTGAATAAAACCCCAAATCAAGGACCTTGCCCTTGTGGAACTTTTAGTATAGTATATGGAACAGGCATTGATACACGAATCCTGTATAAATGTAAAATTACCACTTAAGAGCTGGAGTGGTGGTGTCAGGGACCTAGCTGTCAGTTTGAGGGAAGGATGATTAAGCACAAAATTGAAGATCATTTTATAAAGCAAAAGAGTGGAGCTTGGGGTATAGGTAGAGGAAAGAGGATGTACAGTGTGTGTGCTCTAGGAAGGAGCTCACTGTATCCATGGACATGTAGAAAGGCTGCCATGACTTTCTACACAAAAAGCCAAGGGGTGAGGTGGGGTGGAGAGAGATATAGGATAAGGCATGATATAATCTGGGCTACAGAGGGGATGTGGCTGGAGATGCTGGTGACTGCCAGACCATGCTGGACTTTGTAGACCATGTTTAAAATGTCCATAAATGATGCTCATTAATAATGTGTTGTATAAATGCATGTCAATAAAAGTTGATGTTTGCAAGACCAGCATGTGTTCAGGCCAGCATGTTCACAGCTAATAATAGCTAACCATTATTGCACACTTATTTCATTCTTTGCACTCCTTTAACTGCTCTGTATAGATTATCTCATTTAATTTTTCCAGCTACTGTACCCAATAGGCAAGATTAAATTCCTCATTTTAGGCAGAGTGTGGTGGCACATACCAGTAATTTCAGTGTTTGGGAGACCGATGTAGGAGGATCACTTGAGGCCAGGAGTTCAAGACCAGCCTGAGAAAAATTAGCCTATTGTGGTGGCATGTGCCTGTAGTCTCAGCTACTCAGGACGCTGAGGTGAGAGGCAGTGAGCTATGATAGTACCACTGCATGCCTCGGTGACAGAGCAAGATCCCATCTCTAAATTTTTTTTTTTTTTTTTTTGAGACGGAGTCTCGCTCTGTTGCCCAGGCTGGAGAGCAGTGCTGTAATGTCTGCTCACTGCAACCTCCTCCTCCCGGGTTTAAGCGATTCTCCAGCCTCAGCCTCCTGAGTAGCTGGGATTACAGGTGCGCATCACCATGCCTGGATAATTTTTGTATTTTTAGTAGAGACAAGGTTTCACCATGTTGGTCAGGCTGGTCTCGAACTCCTGACTTCATGATCCACCCGCCTCAGCCTCCCAAAGTGCTGGGATTACAGGGGTGAGTCACCACACCTGACCTCTAAAAATTTTTTAAAAAATCTTCATTTTGCCCTTGAGGATCCACATATTGCTTTTTTTTTTTTTTGAGATCTAGTCTATTCCCAGTCCAATAGTGTAGATGGTTAGTAAACATATTAGGAGTTCTGAGCACATCTAATCAGTGTAGTAGCTCGTGACTCAAATGCCACTCTAACAGTTGCACATGTGTGCACAAACACAAATTTAGAAAATTGAAATTACAGCTGCAATGGCAAGACGGTAGACACAGAATTCCATGGCAGCATGGAATTCTCAATTTCTGTAACTTTGAAGGTGCTTTTCTTTAAAAAATTGTGGGTCTTAATTTGGAATGCTTTAAAATACAGAATTATATTAAGGCAGTCATATTGGAAGATGCATGTTGACCTGCTGAACCTAAATAATACAGCTTCCTCTCCTGTAGGATTTGATGATATGGATTTTAAATAGTGCTTTTTCTTTAAAAAAAGTTCCTTAAAATGATTACATATTATCCATTATGCTTAGCATCCAATGTATTCTATGAAATCACTATATAAATTAAAGTAATAATTTATACAGTATGGTCAGACTAATTAGCATAAGGCACTCAGTTGAAAGTAGAGCTGAAATAAATGATTGAACTCTATTAAAGAAAATTGAGTGAAGAGACAGACCAGCTTCTTCTGTAGCATGATTTTAATGAGGCTGCTGAGTTGAGTTCTGTTCTGTATCAAAAAGGGAACACAAATCTCTTGAGGTTCTATTTCTGGCTCTACCAAAGGCTTTGCTCTTATACCTAGAGCAAGATGGAACCTGTTACTTTTTTTCAATCTGCAAAATGCAGGCAATGTTTTTAGCTTTTTTCACAGGAGTAGCAGGATTAATGAGTACCACAAATGGCTTTCCCTATTTTGTAACTGCAAATGCATTCTTGTTGCCATATTTTCATGAGAAATGAACATCTGCTGGTTTTTTCCAATAAGGCTAAAACTTTCAAATGTGGAATATGTAGGTTATGAGCTCCACTTTAAAATTCCAGTTCCAAGTTTAAACAAAAGGAGAATAAGATAAATATTTCAAGTACTAACAAAACAGTAAAGAAGGAAGTGAAAGTGTTCTTATAAATGGAGATCTTTTTTTTTTTTTTGGAAATCTATTTATTTTCGGTAAGATTAGTAAGAGTATCTGAAATATGTTATTAAAGCTTATGTTGAACGAGGCTGGTTTGCTGGAAAAGATAATTTCAAAAGTAAATTGGTATGTCCATGGGAATTAATATGGCAAGCCTGTTGAGAAGTTTGTAATTTGTTAGTTTTTATTTTATTTTATTTAGAGACAGAGCCTTGCTATGTTTCCCAGGCTAGAGTGCAGTGGCTATTCACAGGCATGATCATAGCACGCTACAGCCCTGAACTCCTGCGCTTGGATGGTGGGCATGTCTTGCCAGATAGCAGTAACTCGAGCAGACCCTGCGAATTACCCTATGTTTCTTGGTGAATGTTTGTTCAGTGTTCTGAGGTATGGACCCCAGGAATGGCTAAATCAGATGTTTACACCATACCTGTAAGAACACCAGGACCCTGACTCGTTCCTTGGAACACAAGTCATACAAGGAAGCGAAGGCCTTTGTTTTGAGCGGAGTAGAGGCTACTAAGTAGAGGCTGCCAAACGAAAATACCTTTATAACTTACATGTTATTCACAAAATAGCAGTGGTTTTCCTGTCCAGCATGCCACTCCTGGATGCCCGGTATGTAAGCCCCCGGAATAAAACTCCATGTCTTGCCTGCTGTCTCCGGATCTTTTTTATTAGCCTCTCGGCGACTGTACCCTCCCAGCTTGCCAGCCTGGGGATCCAAAACGATGGGGCTCAAGCAATCCTCCTGTTTCAGCCTAGCTGGGACTACAGTCATGTGCCACTGTATAGGGTAATACACTTTAGAATGACTCTTGATAACTCTGAGATCTATCAGTCCCCGTACTGGGCTGGGCGTGGTGGCTCAGGCCTGTAATCCCAGCACTTTGGGAGGCCAAGGTGAGTAGATCTCTTGAGCTCAGGAGTTTGAGACCAGATAGCAGTAACTCAAGCAGACCCTAAGAATTACCCTATGTTCCTTGGTGAATATTTGTTCAGTGTTCTGAGCTACGAACCTGAGGAATGGCAAAATCAGATGTTTACAGCATACCTGTAAGAACACCTGGATCCTGGCTCATTACTTGGAGTGCAAGTTGTACAAGGAAGCGAGGGTAACATGGCAAAACCCCATCTCTACAAAAAATACAAAAAATTAGCCTCGTGTGGTGGTGCACGCCTGGAGTCCCAGCTACTCAGGAGGCTGAGGTGGCAGGATTGCTTTTTGAGCCTGGGAGGCAGAAGTTGCAGTGAGCTGAGATCATACCACTGCACTCCAGCCTGGGCAACTGAATGAGACCCTGTCTCCAAAAAAAAAAGAAACCTAGCATTGATGCTGAGGGTCTGGGATTGATGATGTACATGAAATGAGAAACATTCTTAAACTTCGTGATTACACAGATTTCCAGCTAGTCAACGATACTTTTATCCATCCTAGGTGACTCTTACTGTCCTATACTACTGTAGGAGAGCTCAGTCCTTATTTCAGCAATTGGGTGAGACACACATTGTGATTGTGCTTGTTTTTGAAAGACAGAGTCCAGGTCGGAATCACAGGGAAGGAAATCAACTACTTCAAAATATTGAACTGGTTAGTGGGAAGCGCTCAACTTCTCACTCAGAAATTCCAAGTGGAGAAATTTGCAGTAGAATAATGTGCCTGGCTTGCCTCGGCTCCTTCTCTCACTCTTCCCCAGGGAAGGAGGAGCATTTTCTCTGATTGGTGAGTTTCAAGAAGTAACTGAACAGGGAATGGCAGACTCTCCCTGCCTCCAGGCCTCTGAGATTGCTGACCTGCAAGAGCTAGTGTAAATTAAAAAAAATTTTTTTTTGCATATTTTTTATGCATATCTATGGAAGTCTTTTTGTTTGTTTGTTTGTTTCCTTAAGATGAAGTCTTTCCCTGTCATCCAGGCTAGAGTGTAGTGGCACAATCGTGACTCACTGCAGCCTCGACCTCCTGGGCTCAGGAGATCCTTCCCACTTAGTCTTCCAAGTAGCTGAGACTACAGGTGTGCACCACCATGCTTGGCTACTTTTTGAATTTTTTTGTAGAGATGGGGTCTTGCTATATTCCCCAGGCATCGAACTCCTGGACTCAAGCCATCCTCCCACCTGTGCCTCCCAAAGTGCTGGGATTATGGGCGTGAGCCACTGCACCTGGGTAGTGTGAATTCTGTTTTCTGCAACTGAGCCCATTCTACATACTTGGTGCTTCTGGCCAAGCTGTTATTAATGTTCATTATGTGGACTCCAGGATGGATTTTACGTAAAGAATGAAGACAACATCTATTCATAAAATTCCCCCAAATCAACTATCACCTCATTTCAGTAACTTACAGGAGAAATTGCCCTCTTCGTATAGGCTGATATTCAGATGAAATTGGACTTAATAAATATTCTGTTTTTTTGCTTTTGCTCACATTCTTCTGTACCCTTGACGACAGTGGCTGTGGACATGCAGAATGAATGGAAAAAGTGTCATGTTTTTACATTGGACCTTTCCTACTATTATAGCACAGTAGCTAACAAATATTTGAAACTTAACAAATATTTGTTGATTGAATGAATTATTACATTCAGGGATAAACTGAAAATGTTTTATTTATTTATTTTTGAGACAGAGTTTTACTCTTGTTGCCCAGGCTGGAGTGCAATGGTGAGATCTTGGCTCACTGCAATCTCTGCTTCCTGGGTTCAAGCTATTCTGCTGCCTCAGGCTCCTGAGTAGCTGGGACAACAGGCATACGCCACCACAGCTGGCTAATTTTGTATTTTTAGTAGAGACGGGGTTTCACCATGTTGGCCAGGCTGGTCTCGAACTCCTGACCTCAGGTGATCTACCCTTGGCCTCCCAAAGTATTGGGATGACAGGCATGAGCCTCTGTGCCCACCCAAAAGTGTTTAAAAATCACTGTAAAATATTCTATAATGCCCTTAATCAGATTCTAGTAGCATGGTGGGTTACTTACTGATTCAGCCTGGGAGTCTTACCAAGCTAATTTTGGGACAGATCCATCATGGAGGCCATGGGTGTGCAGTACTGAGAAAGCTTTTAAGCATTTATCACATGAAAGAGGGCACTACCACATTAGCCTGGATCTCATGTACACACATAGATACAGGTTCTCAACCAAGGTTTCCAGGTGCAAATAGTTAAAAACGTTAGAGTCCATCCTGGACAGGCAGCAAAGAAAATGATATAGCTTTCTGCTCTCTGGGGTCTGAAGCTCCAGCCTGTGTCCCATAATGGCTGTCATCTTGTCATTCACTTCACCTTTAGCCCGTGTTTAATAAGCCCCTTTCTGCTAAATATGCTGCCTGACTTCTTGGACCTTCTAATGTCACATATTCCAACTGCCCATCCTTGCTCTAGTTGACCTGTTTCCCAATTGTTCTCTCTCTTTCTTCCCAGACTCCTGAAGACTCTCGCTTTTAGCCATATGGGTGAAGGGTGATCTGCACATCCATTCATGCTCTTAATCAGACAACAGGTACTTGGGAGCACCAACTGTGTATTGGGTAGTGGGCTATGTGCTAGGGATACAAAGATGATCAAAACATGGTCCTAACTCACAGGTGATGATTGTACAATAAGTGATAAGGTCAAGGTAGCACTGGGCACTATGGGGGACAGAGATGAGGCATCAAACCAGGCTGGGAAGGGTTCCAGGAGCAAAGCTGCCTTCCTCCGGTTGCCATGTCCCAAAGAGCATCTATTTATAAAGGTGAAATTGAGAATCCTGAATAAGTCCTAGAACAAGACCAGAAGGCTTTGTGCTTCTGGGAGAAAATGGATAGGTAGACATGGGCTCTGAGGAGGAAGGAAAGTTCTACACACATTAGAGAAAATGTTAAGTGTTTAGGTTACTGGGCTTAGAAACAGCATTTGTACATCTTTGTGATGGGGCCTTATTGGCACTCTTTTAAAATTAGTCTTGGGGAACAGGGTTAAGTGGGGAAAAATATATCAACTAAAATTTGTTTATAATGCATAGGAAAAAATTGTGTGTGTGTGCTGTAGGTATTTTTACTGCCATTTTGGAGGAGGTTTATGGTTTCCTAACAAGCTCTGATTATTAAAAAGCATGTACTTGTATAGACAAGTTGAGGGAAAAGCCTGATTGACATTAATCTCACACATGTTGCTGGGAAGAATTTTTTTTCCTGGTTGTCTTTGAAGTGAAGATCAGAGGTGATTCTTTGTTACCGAAAAAACTTTGATGTTTTCCTGCACTACTGCTCACAGCCAGGATGTAAACACTAACATCCACAATCATTTTATGATTAGAAATTTGTTCAGGAAAACATAATTTGTTATTGCTCAGTTGTGACTTTGAAATGTTCCCGGGTGTCTTGAAGGGAAAAATAGTTCTAGAACAGAAGCATTGACATCCATTAACGAAGTCTATTTAAAAACTTGTTTAGCTGAAAATGAATGCATCAAAGTGGCAACAAAAGAACTTGCTTTAGTACAGTTGGAGTGGGAGGGAATCAGGATGCGTCCGACTGCCGAGCGCGTGGGACTGAGCCTGAGGTTTTGGAGCTGGACAGGCTCAGCTTTGAATCCTGGCTCTGTCATTTATTAGCTATATGTCCTAAAGCAACTTACATTATCTCAGGTTCTTCATAAAGAAAATGAGCATAATAATATTGTTAGAATTCAGTTCCAGTACGTATTTAAGGTGCCTAATATGAGTAGATGCTCAAAATGGTAGCTATGTTGATCTTGAACAAAGTCATTTCACAAAATTTTTACTCTGAAGTGTCAAATGATATGGCATGAGTTTTAAATGTACTAAATGGTCCAAATGTCTTACCTTGCACAACTCCTCCTGGTATGATATTGGCTTCTGTTTTTCCTGATTGATATAGAAGGCTGAAGGTGCTAGAATGTGACTCATCGAAGTGCATGGGTGAGACCTGGCAGAGACCCTTTGGACCAGTCCCACGTGTTGACATATATACCTGTGGTTTTCCATATGCTATATTGACAGATGCACAGATGATTTCTGGTTATTGCTGGCTGTTTCTCACAAATGCTATCCTCTCCTTAATTTATAACCTAATAGATACAGAAAGAGGTGAAAGTAGTGCCTATACTTTAATCAGCTGAATGGTCCTCCAAGCTATGAGAAAATCCTACTGTGCCACTAAACTTCCAGAGAAAATAATAGGGAATTGATGGAGGAGAGAAACCCCTTTCTGGCCCACCAGCACAACCAAATCCATCCACCCAACCTTTCATCCACTAACATGTGCTCAGCAGTGGGGGACGCAATGTGAAGCAGATATCTGCCCTCACAGAGTTGACAAGCTGGGGATCACAGGGTCAACTGATTTGTTAGACAGAATGCCTTCATATCAGGTGAGGAAAAGAACATTTCATCCCAAATATGCACTCTTTATAGAAAACTTAAAAAAAAACACAAATAAATGAAGAAAATGATAATCGCCTTTAACTTACTTCCTAGAAATAATCATCATTAGCATTTTGGTGTAGTTCCTCCTTACGTATTTTTTTTTTTTTTTTTTTTTTTAGATGGAGTCTCGCTCTGTCACCCAGGTTGGAGTACAGTGGCATAATCTTGGCTCACTGCAACCTCGACCTCCTAGGTTCAAGCAATTCTCCTGCCTCAGCCTCCCGAGTAGCTGGGACTACAGGTGCCTGCCACCACACCCGGCTAATTTTTTTTTCTTTTTTTTTTTTGGTATTTTTAGTAGAGACGGGGTTTTACTGCATTAACCAGGATGGTCTTGATCTCCTGACCTCGTGATCTGCCCACCTTGGCCTCCCAAAGTGCTGGGATTACAGGCATGAGCCACTGTGCCTGGCCTCCTCCTTAAGGTCTTTGTGTTTGTGTATGTGTGTCTAACATGCAATCCATATTTTCTGTCTTGTTTTATTATTCACTTAATATTATATCATGAGCAGTTTCCTGTGCTGTTAAATATCTTTAAAAATATGATTTTTAGTGGTTGCTTGATGTTCCATTTCATGGATCTACAAAATTAATTTTTACCATTTAGACTGCTTTTTTCCTTATTGTTTGCTACTGTAGTTAATAGTAAAATAACATCTTTAAACCAAAAATTGTGCCCAAATCTCCAGTTTTTCTTTAGGGTATATTTCTATAGGTGTAAATTTTTGGATCACTGGATATGAAAGTTTTGTTGCTTTTGCCAAATTACTTTCCAGAATGGGAAATATTTGGTTCTAGAACATCTGGATAATTTAAGCAGTGGTTTGGTTTAGTACTTGCTGTCATGTAAATCAATCACAATGACATACTTAGCTGAATGATGGTGCTTTTTTTTTTTACAGGTGAGTTTGGACAGAAGCTTTTTAAATTACAGGTTACAGAGGGTGGCTTTGAGGACCCATGCTGAAAACAATGGTCCTTTTTTAGTGTTTTTCTTTTTCTTTTTTCCCTTTCTTTCTCCTCGCCTTTCTCATTCCCTCTTCCTCTTTTATTCACAGCAATTCAAACTTCCCCATCTCCACCCATGCTCTTCCACTTATGCTGGTAACCCACATTCACAGCCTGGTATGTCTCCTTCCATAATTTTCCTCTTATACATGTAATTTTTTTTTTTTTTTTGTGAGGTGGAGTCTTGCTCTGTCACCCAGGCTGGAGTGCAGTGGCACGATCTTGGCTCACTGCAACTTCGACCTCCTGGGTTCAAGCAATTCTCCTGCCTCAGCCTCCTGAGTAGCTGGGACTACAGGTGCCTGCCACCACGCCCAGCTAATTTTTGTATTTTTAGTAGAGATGGGGTTTTACCATGTTGACCAGGCTGATCTCCAACTCCTGACCTCAGGTAATCTGCCTGCTTTGGCCTCCCAAAGTGCTGGGATTACAGGCATGAGCCACCACACCTGGCCATTGTACATGTAATTTATGCACATATATATGCACACACATGCATACATAATGTCACTATCTTACAGAAATGATGTTTCATTATACTTTTCCATGTTTGAAAAAAAAAAAAAGGTGAAAGGAAAGCAGTGTCTGGTGGTGAATTCAGCGGTGATTTTCTGGCGGCCATTGCCAGAGGCGCAGCTTAGAGCCAACTGCTCCAGCCCTTTCAATAATAGGTGCTTAAAAATTATTTTGTATTTCAGGTTGGGTGGTTCATGTTTCCTGCACTGCAACCTGATATATACACTTCATTTAATATGTCTTTTACATTATAATTCCTGGTGTTCCATTCCTTTCTAATTACCTTAGTCTGTTCTAGCTGCTATAATAATATACCATAGACTGAGTGGCTTACAAACAACAGAAATTTATTTCTCACAGTTCTGGAGGCCAAAAGTCCAAGATCAAGACTCTGGCTGATTCAGTGTTTCGTGAGGGCTGCTTCCTCACAGATGACAGCCTCCTTCTCACTCTAACTTAGCATAGCAGAAGGGATGAGGGACATCTCTAGGGCCTCTTTCACAAGGGTGCTCACCCCATTCACAAGGGCTCCACCCTTTCGACTTAATCACCTCACAAAGGCCAGATCTTCTAATGCTATCACCTTAGGGATGAGAATTTCAACATATAAATTTTGAGAGAACATAAACATTCTGCCCAACCATAACACAAATTAAAACAGAATAATTTCTCTTTTTTAAACCTGAATCCTGACCTTATTCAATCGCCCTTTTCCAATTCCCACCACTGATATATGTCATTGCTCTTTAAAATTTTTGCCAGTCTGATGGGTATAAAATAATATCTCAGTATTGGTGAATTTTGGTCTTCTCTGATAACTAGTGAGTTTAAACATATTTTCTTTAAAAATTGCCATTCATGTTTCTTTTTCTGTAAATGCCTATTGATATCCTTGGCCATTTTTCTTTTCAATTGCTTACTTGTTTCTTATCCATCTTTAATAGCTCCTAATGTATTTTAAATTATATGTCTTTGTCTATCATCAGTGTGGAAGTTCCCAGCTCACAGCCCCCAAATATGTTGCTTTTGAATGAACTTTGTTTGCTGGACATGATTTTGCCAGTTGATGTAGAGAAACCCTTGATATAGAACCCCTTCTATGTACTCTTTTGACCACAGGTGCTGGCAAGATAAAGACCACATTCACAGATTCTCCTGTAGCTAGGAATCTTTTATTATTATTATTATTATTTGAGACAGGGTCACCCAGGCTGTAGTGCAATGGTACAATCATAGCTCACTGTAGCCTTGAGTTCCTGGCTCAAGCAATCCTCTCTCCTCAGCCTCCTAAGTAGCAAAAACTACAGGCATGCGCCATCACTCCCGGCTAATTTCAAAAATATTCTTAACAAAATAAATAAAATAAAATCCTGTCTCACTATGTTTGCTCAGGCTGCAGCAAGAAATGTGGCATGAGTTAGGTTGCATCAAAGGGATGCATTCTTGCAAGACCTGGAAGATGGAAGGGAGGCAGAAGCCATCTTCTTCTATTTCTCCTGTAAAGCAAGTTTAGAGAATTATGAATGTTTGTAAGCAGACTCTGCATTCCAGTGTCTGATCATCCCCTTCCTGACTTTGAGAACTGAAGAAGCAGCAGTGATAGTAGCAATAGCTTTCTGACGTCTCTTTGTAATTTTGTTGATGTGTCCTTGAAATGGGTCATACGGTGGCAGACATCTGACTTCTGGTTCTTGTTCTGTAACCTTCCGATACTTTTGTAAACTCCTAATTTCCTGTATTAAACTCTTCACTTCTTAAAATATCTAGGGTGGTTCATGTTTCCTGCACTATATTCTCACTGACGCACTTTGTTTTGTTTAATGTATCTTTTACTCTGTAAAGTTCAAAATTTTTATACAGTCAAATATTTCTATTATTTTTACTGCATGGTTTATGAGATTCCTGACTTGGTTAAAAAACATCTGTGACCCTAGATTATACCATACATGGAGTCCAGATTATCTTTTACATTTTTATAATTTAACTTTTTATTTTACATTTTTATTTACCCTGGAATTTAGTTTTAATATTATGTAAGATAAAGCCTGAATATTACTTCTTTAGGTGGTGTTGTGGACTGAATTGTGTCTCTGCAAAATTCCTACATTGAACACCTAATTCCCAGTGTGACTGTATTTGGAGGTAGGGCCTTTAAAGAGGCAATTAAGGTAAAATGAGGTCGTTAGGTGGGGTCCTAATCCAATATGACTGGGGTCCTTATAAGAAGAGGAAGAGAAACCAGGGATGTGCATGCACACATTAAGAAGGCCATGGAAAACCGGGCACAGGGGCTCATGCCTGTAATCCCAGCACTTTGGGAGACTGAGGCCAGTGGATCACTGGAGGTCAGGAGTTTGACACCAGCCTGACCAACATGGTGAAACCCCATCTCTACTAAAAATACAAAAATTAGCCAGGGGTGGTGGCATACGATTGTAATCCCAGCTACTTGGGAGGCTGAGGAAGGAGAATTGCTTGAACCTGGGAGGCAGAGGTTGCAGTAAGCCAAGATCGCGCCACTGTACTCCAGCCTGGGTGACAAAAGCAAAAAACTCTGTTTAAAAAAAAAAAAAAAAAGAAAGAAAGAAAAAGAAAAAAAGGAAAGGCCATGGAAGAAACAGTGAGAAAGTATCCCATTGACAAGACATGGAGAATGGCCTCAGGGAAAACCAGACCTGGCAATGCCTGATCTCAGGGCTTCTGGCTTCCAAAACTATGAGAAAATCAATTCCTGTTGTGTAAGCCACCCAGTTTGTGGTATTTTGTTAAGGCAGTTGTAACAAACTAATACAAGTGCATAGACAATTGAATTAGCATTATTTATAACTTAATCATTTCTCTTGTTGAATTGAAATACCACTTGATCATGTAAAAATGTATATATGTATAAGGCTCACTGTAGCCTTGGCCTCTGGGGCTCAAGCAATCCTCCCACCTCAGCCTCCTGAGTAGCTGGGACTACTTGGGGATGCACCACCATGGTCAGCTATTTTTTTTTTCTTTTTCGTAGAGATGTGATCTTGCTATGTTGATTGGGCTGGTCTTGAACTCCTGGCCTTAAGCAATCCTCCTGCCCTCCAACCTCCCAAAGTGCTGGGATTACAGGTGCGAGCCACCTCACCTAGCTGAGGTTTTTTTGTTCTTGTTGTTTAATTTTTGTGGGTACATAGCCGGTGTTTGTATTCATGGGGTTCATGAGATAGTTTGATTCGGGTGTGCAATATGTAATAATTGCATTATGGTAAATGGGGCATCCATCCCTCCATTATTTGTCCTTTGTATTACAAACAATACAGTTATACTCTTTTAGTAATTTTTAAATGTATAATTAAATTATTATTGACTATAGTTACCCTGTTGTGCTATCAAATACTAGGTCTTAGTCATTCTTTCTAACTACTTTTTGTACTCATTAACCATCCCCATTTCTCCCTCTGCTATTCTCCCATCCTGCCCACTACTCTTCCCAGACTCTGGAAACTGTCTTTCTACTCTCTGTCTCCATGACTTTAATTGTTTTAATTTTTAGCTCCCACAAATAAGTGAGAACATGTGAAGTTTGTCTTTCTGTGCCCGACTTATTTCACTTAACATAATGACCTCCAATTTGATCTATGTTTTGCAAATGACAGGATCTCATTCTTTTTTTTTTTTTTTTTACGGCTGAATAGTACTCTATTGTGTATATGTACCATATTTTCTTTATCCATTCATTTGTTGGTGGACACCTGCATTAATTCCAAATCTTGGCTATTGTAAACAGTGCTGCAACAAACATGGGAGTGTAGATATCCCTTTGATATCCTAATTTCCTTTCTTTGGGGTATATACCCAGCAGTCGGATTGCTGCTTTATATGGTAACTATATTTTTAGTTTCTTGAAGAACCTCTAAACTGTTCTGCATAATGGCCATACTAATTTATATTGCCACAAACAGCGTATGAGGGTTTACTTTTCTCCAAATCATCGCTAGCATTAGTTATTGCCTGTCTTTTAGATAAAAGCCATTTTAAGTGGGGTGAGATGACATCTCATTGTAATGTTGAGCACCTTTTAATATGCCAGTTTGCCATTTGTATGTCTTCTTTTGAGAAGTGCCTTTTTAGAGCTTTTGCCCTTTTTGAATCAGATTATTAGATTTTTTCCTATAGAGTTGTTTGAGCTCCTTATATATGCTGATTATTAATCCCTTGTCAGGTGGGTAGTCTGCAAATATTTTCTCTCATTCTGTGGATTCTCTCTTCACTTTGTTGATTTTTTCCTAGCTGTGCAGAAGCTTTTTAACTTGATGTGATCCTATTTTTGTTTTGGTTGTCTGTGCTTATGGAATATTACTCAAACATTTTTTGCCCAGACCAATGTCCCGGAGAGTTTCCCCAATGTTTTCATTTAATACTTGATAGTTTGAGGTGTTATATTTAAGTCTTTAATCAATTTTGATTTGGTTTTCATATGTGATGAGAGGTATGGGTATAGTTTTATTCCTTTACATGTGGATATCCTGTTTCCCCAGCACCATTATCGAAGAGATTGTCTTTTCCCAAATGTATGTTCTTGGCATCTTTGTCAAAAATGAGTTCACTGTAGGTATATAGATTTGTTTCTGGGCTGTCTATTCTGTTCCACTGGTCTACATGTCTGCTTTTGGCCATACCATTGCTGTTTTGGGTACTGTATCTCTGTAGTGCAATTTGAAGTCAGGTAATGTGATTTCTCCAATTGTTCTTTTTGCTTAAGGTAGCTTTGGCTATTCTCGGTCTTTTGTGGTTCCAAGTAAATTTTAAGGTTTCTATTTCTGTGAAGAATGTCATTGGTATTTTGATAGGGATTGCATTAAATCTGCAGATTCCTTTGGGTAGTACAGACATTTTAACAATACTGATTATTCCATCCATGAAAATGAAATATCTTTTCATTTTTTTCTGTGTATGTCCTCTTCAGTTTCTTTCATCAGTGCTTTATAGCTTTCATTGTAGAGATCTTGCACTTCTTTGGTTAACGCCTAAGTGCTTGATTTTATTTGTGGGTATTGTAAATGGGTTACTTTTTAATTTTTTTTTGAGGATTGTTCACTGTTGGCATATAGAAATGATACTGATTTTTGTATGTTGATTTTGTATCCTGCAACTTTACTCAATAGTTTATCAATTCTAATAGTTTTTTGGTGGAGTCTAGGTTTTTCTAAATATAAGATTATATCAGCTGCAAATAAGGATAATTTGACTTCTTACTTTCCATTTTCGATGCCTTTCAGTTTTTTCTCTTTTTTTTTTAAATTATACTTTAAGTTCCAGGGTACACGTGCACAATGTGAAAGTTTGTTACATATGTATACATGTGCCATGTTGGTGTGCTACACCCATTAGCTCATCATTTAGCATTAGGTATATCTCCTAATGCTATCCCTCCCCCCTCCCCCCACCCCACGACAGGCCCCAGTGTATGATGTTCCCCAACCTGTGTCCAAGTGTTCTCATTGTTCAATTCTCACCTATGAGTGAGAACATGCAATGTTTGGTTTTTTGTCCTTGCGATAGTTTGCTGAGAATGATGGTTTCCAGCTTCATCCATGTCCCCACAAAGGACATGAACTCATCCTTTTATATGGCTGCATAGTATTCCATGGTGTATATGTGCCACATTTTCTTAATCCAGTCTATCATTGATGGACATTTGGGTTGGTTCCAAGTCTTTGCTATCGTGAATAGTGCTGCAGTAAACATACGTGTACATGTGTCTTTATAGCAGCATGATTTCTAATCCTTTGGGTATATACCCAGTAATGGGATGGCTGGGTCAAATGATATTTCTAGTTCTAGATCCTGGAGGAATCGCCACACTGACTTCCACAATGGTTGAACTAGTTTACAGTCCCACCAACAGTGTGAAAGTGTTCCTATTTCTCCACATCCTTTCCAGCACCTGTTGTTTCCCAACTTTTTAATGATCACCATTCTAACTGGTGTGAGATGGTATCTCATTGTGGTTTTGATTTGCATTTCTCTGATGGCCAGTG
Organism: Homo sapiens; assembly: GCF_000001405.40. NCBI lineage: Eukaryota > Metazoa > Chordata > Mammalia > Primates > Hominidae > Homo > Homo sapiens. Next base: position 52,768,927 of record NC_000004.12, read on the forward strand.
ATGATGAGCATTTTTTCATGTGTCTGTTGGCTGCATAGATGTCTTCTTTTGAGAAGTGTCTCTTCATATCCTTTGCCCACTTGTTGATGGGGTTGATTTTTTTCTTGTAAATTTGTTAAAGTTCTTTGTAGATTCTGGATATTAGTCCTTTGTCAGATGGGTAGATTGTAAAATTTTTTTCCCATTCTGTAGGTGGCCTTTTCACTCTGATGGTAGTTTCCTTTGCTGTGCAGAAACTCCTTAGTTTAATTAGATCCCATTTGTCGATTTTGGCTTTTGTTGCCATTGCTTTTGGTGTTTTAGACATGAAGTCCTTGCCCATGCCTATGTCCTGAATGGTATTGCCTAGGTTTTCTTCTAGGGTTTTTATAGTTTTAGGTCTAATATTTAAGTCTTTAATCCATCTTGAATTAATTTTTGTATAAGGTGTAAGAAAGGGATCCAGTTTCAGCTTTCTACATATGGCTAGCCAGTTTTCCCAGCACCATTTATTAAATAGGGAATCCTTTCCCCATTGCTTGTTTTTGTCAGGTTTGTCAAAGTTCAGATGGTCGTCCATGTGTGGTATTATTTGTGAGGGCTCTGTTCTGTTCCATTGGTCTATATCTCTGTTTTGGTACCAGTACCATGCTGTTTTGGTTACTGTAGCCTTGTAGTATAGTTTGAAGTCAGATAGCGTGATGCCTCCAGCTTTGTTCTTTTTGCTTAGGATTGTCTTGGCAATGCAGGCTCTTTTTTGGTTCCATATGAACTTTAAAGTAGTTTTTTCCAATTCTGTGAAGAAAGTCATTGGTAGCTTGATGGGGATGACATTGAATCTATAGATTATCTTGGGCAGTATGGCCATTTTCACATTATCAATTCTTCCTATCCATGATCATGGAATGTTCTTCCCTTTGTGTCCTCTTTTATTTCCTTGAGCAGTGGTTTGTAGTTCTCCTTGAAGAGGTCCTTCACGTCCCTTGTAAGTTGGATTCCTAGGTATTTTATTCTCTTTGAAGCAATTGTGAATGGGAGTTCACTCATGATTTGGCTCTCTGTCTGTTATTGGTGTATAGGAATGCTTGTAATTTTTGCACATTGATTTTGTATCTTGAGAATCTGCTGAAGTTGCTTATCAGCTTAAGGAGATTTTGGGCTGAGATGATGGGGTTTTCTAAATATACAATCATATCATTTGCAAACAGGGACAATTTGACTTCCTCTTTTCCTAACTGAATACCCTTTATTTCTTTCTCCTGCCTGATTGCCCTGGGCAGAACTTCCAACACTATATTGAATAGGAGTGGTGAGAGAGGACACCCCTGTCTTGTGCCAGTTTTCAAAGGAAATGATTCCAGTTTTTGCCCATTCAGTATGATATTGGCTGTCGGTTTGTCATAAATAGCTCTTATTATTTTGAGATATGTCCCATCAGTATCTAGTTTATTGAGAGATTTTAGCATGAAGCGGTGTTGAATTTTGTCAAAGGCCTTTTCTGCATCTATTGACACAATCATGTGGTTTTTGTCTTTGGTTCTGTTTATATGATGGATTACATATGTTGAACCAGCCTTGCATCCCAGGGATAAAGCCAACCTGATCGTGGTGGATAAGCTTTTTGATGTGCTGCTGGATTCAGTTTGCCAGTATTTTATTGAGGATTTCGGCATCAAAGTTCATCAGGGATACTGGTCTAAAATTCTCTTTTGTGTGTGTGTGTGTCTCTGCCAGGCTTTGGTATCAGGATGATGCTGGCCTCACAAAATGAGTTAGGGAGGATTCCTTCTTTTTCTATTGATTGGAATAGTTTCAGAAAGAATGCTACCAGCTCCTCTTTGTACCTCTGGTAGAATTTGGCTGTGAATCCATCTGGCCTGGACTTTTTTTGGTTGGTAGGCTATTAATTATTGTCTCAATTTCAGAGCCTGTTATTGGTCTATTGAGAGAGTCAACTTCTTCCTGGTTTAGTCTTGGGAGGGTGTTATATGTCCAAGAATTTTTCCATTTCTTCTAGATTTTCTAGTTTATTTGCATAGAAGTGTTTATAGTATTCTCTGATGGTAGTTTGTATTTCTGTGGGATCGGTGGTGATATCCCCTTTAACATTTTTTATTGCATCTATTTGATTCTTCTCTGTTTTCTTCTTTATTAGTCTTGCTAGAGGTCTATCAATTTTATTGATCTTTTCAAATAACCAGCTCCTGGATTCACTGATTTCTTTGAAAGGTTTTTTTGTGTCTCTATCTCCTTCCATTCTGCTCTGATCTTAGTTATTTCTTGCCTTCTGCTAGCTTTTGAAGGTGTTTGCTCTTGCTTCTCTAGTTCTTTTAACTGTGATGTTAGGGTGTCAATTTTAGATCTTTCCTGCTTTCTCTTGTGGGCGTTTAGTGCTATAAATTTCCCTCTACACACTGTTTTAAATGTGTCCCAGAGATTCTGGTATGTTGTTTCTTTGTTCTCATTGGTTTCAAAGAACATCTTTATTTCTGCTTTCATTTTGTTATGTACCCAGTAGTTATTCAGGAGCAGGTTGTTCAGTTTCCATGTGGTTGAGTGGTTTTGAGTGAGTTTCTTAATCCTGAGTTCTAGTTTGATTGCACTGTGGTCTCAGAGACAGTTTGTTATAATTTCTGTTCTTTTACATTTGCTGAGGAGAGCTTTACTTTCAACTATGTTGTCAATTTTGGAATAAGTGTGATGTGGTGCTGAAAAGAATGTATATTCTGTTGATTTGGGGTAGAGAGTTCTGTAGATTTCTATTGGGTCTGCTTGGTGCAGAGCTGAGTTCAATTCCTAGGTATCCTTCTTAACTTTCTGTCTCGTTGACCTGTCTAATGTTGACAGTGGGGTGTTAAAGTCTCCCATTATTATTGTGTGGGAGTCTAAGTCTCTTTGTAGGTCTCTAAGGACTTGCTTTATGAATCTGGGTGCTCCTATGTTGGGTGCATATATATGTAGGATAATTAGCTCTTCTTGTTGAATTGATCCCTTTACCATTATGTAATGGCCTTCTTTGTCTCTTTTGATCTTTGTTGGTTTAACGTCTGTTTTATCAGAGACTAGGATTGCAACCCCTGCTTTTTCCTTGTTTTCTATTTGCTTGGTAGATCTTCCTCCATCCCTTTATTTTGAGCCTATGTGTGTCTCTGCATGTGAGATGGGTCTCCTGAATAGAGCACACTGATGAGTCTTGACTCTTTATCCAATTTGCCAGTCTGTGTCTTTTAATTGGAGCATTTAGCCCATTTACATTTAAGGTTAATATTCATATGTGAATTTGATCCTGTCATTATGATGTTAGCTGGTTGTTTTGCTTGTTAGTTGATGCAGTTTCTTCCTAGCATTGATGGTCTTTACAATTTGGCATGTTTTTGCAGTGGCTGGTACCAGTTGTTCCTTTCCATGTTTAGTGCTTCTGTCAGGAGCTCTTGTAAGGCAGGCCTGGTGGTAACAAAATCTCTCAGCATTTGATTGTCTGTAAAGTATTTTATTTCTCCTTCACTTATGAAGCTTAGTTTGGCTGGATATGAAATTCTGGGTTGAAAATTCTTTTCTTTAAGAATGTTGAATATTGGCCCCCACTCTCTTCTGGCTTGTACTTTCTGCCGAGAGATCCACTTTTAGTCTGGTGGGTTTCCCTTTGTGGGTAACCTGATCGTTCTCTCTGGCTGCCCTTAACATTTTTCCCTTCATTTCAACTTTGGTTTATCTGACAATTATGTGTCTTGGAGTTGCTCTTCTTGAAGTGTATCTGTGTGGCATTCTTTGTATTTCCTGAATTTGAATGTTGGCCTGCCTTGCTAGATTGGGGAAATTCTCCTGGATAATATCCTGCAAAGTGTTTTCCAACTTGGTTCCATTCTCCCCGTCACTTTCAGGTACACCAATCAGACATAGATTTGGTCTTTTCACATAGTCCCATATTTCTTGGAGGCTTTGTTCATTTCTTTTTACTCTTTTTTCTCTAAACTTCTCTTCTCGTTTCATTTCATTCATTTGACCTTCAATCACTATACCCTTTCTTCCACTTGATCGAATCAGCTACTGAAGCTCCTGCGTGCATCACGTAGTTCTCGTGCCATGGTTTTCAGCCCCTTCCAGTCATTTAAGGTCTTCTCTATACAGTTTATTCTAGTTAGCAATTCATCTAATCTTTTTTCAAGGTTTTTAGCTTGTTTGCGATGGGTTCGAACATCCTCCTTTAGCTCGGAGAAGTTTATTATTACCGATTGTCTGAAGCCTTCTTCTCTCAACTCTTCAAATTCATTCTCCGTCCAGCTTTGTTCCGTTGCTGGCGAGGGGCTCCATTCCTTTGGAGGAGAAGAGGAGCTCTGATTTTTAGAATTTTCAGCTTTTCTGCTCTGGTTTCTCCCCATCTTTGTGGTTTTATCTAAGTTTGGTCTTTGATGGTGGTGACGTACAGATGGGGTTTTCGTGTGCATGTCCTTTCTGTTTGTTAGTTTTCCTTCTAACAGTCAGGACCCTCAGCTGCAGGTCTGTTGGAGTTTGCTGGAGGTCCACTCCAGACCCTGTTTGCCTGGGCATCACCAGTAGAGGCTGCAGAACAGCAAATATTGCAGAACGGCAAATGTTGCTGCCTGATCCTTCCTCTGGAAGCTTCGTCTCAGAGGGGCACCCAGCTGTATGAGGTGTCAGTCGGCCCCTACTGGGAGGTGTCTCCCAGTTAGGCTACTCGGGGGTCAGGGACCCACTTGAGGAGGTAGTCTGTCCATTCTCAGATCTCAAACTCCATGCTGGAAGAACCACTTCTCTCTTCAAAGCTGTCAGACAGGGACGTTTAAGTCTGCAGAAGTTTTTGCTGCCTTTTGTTCAGCTATGCCCTGTCCCCAGAGGTGGAGTCTATAGAGGCAGGCACGCCTCCTTGAGCTGTGGTGGGCTCCACCCAGTTTGAGCTTCCCGGCCGCTTTGTTTACCTACTCAAGCCACAGCAATGGTGGACGCCCCTCCCCCAGCCTCACTGCCACCTTGCAGTTCCATCTCAGACTGCTGTGCTAGCAGCGAGCGAGGCTCCATGGGCCTGGGACCCTCCAAGCCAGGCACAGGATATAATCTCCTGGTGTGCTGTTTGCTAAGACCATTGGAAAAGTGCAGTATTAGGGTGGGAGTGTCCCTATTTTCCAGGTACCATCTGTCACAGCTTCCCTTGGCTAGGAAAGGGAATTCCCCGACCCCTTGGGCTTCCCAGGTGAGGTGATGCCCCACCCTGCTTCAGCTCACACTCAGTGGGCTGCACCCACTGTCCGACAAGCCCCAGTGAGATGAACCCCCTACCTCAGTTGGAAATGCAGAAATCACCTGTCTTCTGCGTCACTCACGCTGGGAGCTGCAGACTGGAGGTGTTCCTATTTGGCCATCTTGGAACCTCCCTTAATGTCAGTTTTTTTCTCTTGTCTGATCGTTCTAGCTAGAAATTTCAGTATTATGTTGAATAACAGTGGTGAAAGTGGGCATCCTTGTTGTGTTCCAGATCTTAGAGGAAAGACTTTCAGATTTTCCCCATTCAGCATGATACTAGCTGTGAGTCTGTCATGTATGGCTTTTATTATGTTGAAATATGTTTCTTCTATACCCACCAGCTGAGATTTTTTAAATGTCTTTAATATTTATTGGTTCTGATGGATTTTTGTTTGTTTATTTATTTTTTGCTGTCTAACATCTAAACTACCTTCCTGTTTGAAGAATTTTCTGTTGCATTAGTTAGTCTTGGCCAAAGGCAGTGCCTGTCTTCCATTATAATAGCTGAAATGATCAAACATATGCGTTCCTCTACCTACTAACATCTAGGATCTGGGAAAATGCTATGTGTTCAGTGAAGGAGGGCCTCTTGCCTAGTATTTTAAACCTAGAGCAAATTAGCAAAGAATCAAGGAAGTATAGAGTTTTGTTTTGTTTTTCTATATGTGGCAATGGTCCAAGAAATAGCATCAAGTGTCTAGGGACTGCAATGTCTAGTTATATGATATCCTCTCCAGTTATAGCATCATTTTGTCTTTAGAGTTTTAAAAAACTCATTGCTAAATTCAATGAGCTAAATCTTTTATAGGTGACCCTTGAATAAAATGAGTTTGAACTACCTGGGTACAGTTTTTTCAACCAAACTTGTATTGAAAATACATTATTTGGCTGGGCGCAGTGGCTCACGCCTGTAATCCCAGCACTTTAGGAGGCCAAGGTAGGTGGATCACTTGAGGTCAGGAGTTCGAGACCAGCCTGGCCAACATGGTGAAACCTGTCTCTACTAAAAATGCAAAAATTAGCTGGGTGTGGTGGCAGGCGCCTGTAATCCCAGCTACTCAGGAGGCTCAGATAGGAGAATTGCTTGAACCCAGGAGATGGAGGTTGCAGTGAGCTGAGATTGTGCCACTGCACTCCAGCCTGCACAGAGCGAGACCGGTCTCAAAAACAAAAACAAACAAAAAAGGAAATACATTATTTGTGGGATGTGTAACCTGTGTATATGGAGAACATTTTCTTATATGTGAGTTCAGCAGAGCCCACTGCTGGACCTGAGTATGCAAGAATTTGAGTATATGCAGGAGGTCCTGGAACCAATCCCCACGTATTGGGGTAACTGTATTTTGGCTATTTGCATATATATGCATAAGTGAGATTGGCTGGTAACTCTTTTCTTGCCCTGTGGCTTTTTTCAGTTTTTATAACTGAAATTTCAGTTTTTGTAACTGATTTTGTAAAGTAAGCCAAAATCATTTTCTGTTGCTTGAGCAAAGGAACCCTGGCTGACAAAGTGTTCTCTTCAGATCTTGTTTTTCATGTAATTTGGTAATTCATAATTTTCTATTTGTTTCAAGTAGAATCAAGATTCTGTTTTTTTTTTTAATCTGTAATCTTGACTAGAGGTCACTTGTTTGATTTTGCATGTGTGTGTGTGTGTGTGTTTGTGTGTGTTGCCAATACACTAAGTTCCTAACTTTGTTTTCATTTTTTGGAATTAATTTGTTATAAAAATGTATTCTTGACTTATTCCTGAAGAGCAGATAGATATTCATAGGTGGTTAGCATCATCTCTAGTGGCTTCCAGCTGTCCCATAATTACTCTCTGGGCAAAGATCCTCATCTCAGTGCAGAGAAAGTACCCATGCCCTAGGAGAGTGCCTCTGCGCAGCATCTTCATTAATTCAGAGAGGACTGTGGAGATCTCCTCTGGGAGAAGACTGGGGGTTTCTGTATGGACAAATGTCCCTAATTACCATATGACTCAGGAGAGATTGTCACAGACAGAATTTCACAAAATGGGATTGTTCCCACCCATTCCCTGTTTCCTTCTCCTGCCCTTGTCTTGCCTTTGTCTGGCCACCTTCTCCCCGTTCCCAACTCCAAGTCCTGTCTTGGCTTGCTGATTTTTGGGAATTTGGGATCCAAAGTAGAGAGAATGATGCCCAGGCCAAGACCTAGCTACTTAGGAGACTGAAGCAGGAGGATCCCTTGAGCCCAGGAGTTCAAGTCCAGCCTGGGCAACATGGTAGGACCCATCTCAGAAACAGAGAAAGAGAGAGAAAGGGAGAGAGAGAGAGAAAGGGAGAGAGAGAGAAAGAGAGAGAGAGAGAGAAGAAAGAGAGAACAAGAGAATGGGTATGAATGACAGAGTAAAAAAGAAGGTAGGAAAGAGAAAATAAGGCTTCTGAGAAAGGGAGGAGCATCAGGACTTAGAATAGGACCACCAGGTTCTAAGGCAGTGTTAGAATGCAAGCAATAGGAGCCCTGCTGAGATGATGGGGAATTATTGCTGTGGGATATTAATTGGATTTCTTTACTGTTCTTCCAAAATACAATCAATGACTATAATTACCTTTTAATGACCTGATTTCTTGACTTTTTTCCTTAAATATGCTTAATGTTTAATTCAGCAATATGAGCCCCAGGTTCATTTTTAAGGAGCTGAGCATAGATTGGCTTCTCCTTGGTTGGCACTTTTCATCTTTCATTTGTGCTAGACTTTACAGTGAGGCTCAAGAACTCCATGTACTATGCATTGAGTATTGTTGAAAAAATCTTCTTGTTGTTATTGTTATTGAGATAGGGTCTTGCTTTGTTCCCTAGGCTGGAGTGCAATGGTAAGATCACAGGTCACTGCAGCCTCAACTTCCTGCGCTCAAGCAATCCTCCCACCTTGCTCTCCCAAAGTGCTAGGATTACAGGCATGAGCCACCATGCCAGGCTGTTCAGTAATTCTTGAAATATATTTTATCAGAGGTCATGGAGATCTTCAGAACTTGTATTTCATTGTGGCATTGTTTCCTAACTACCCCCAATATCCTTTTCCCCTTTCTTCCTTACTAATAAAATTCCCAATGTTTAGGTTGTATCAGTGATGCAGAATAAGGATTACATTTTCTAGCTTCCCTTACAGCTAGGTGTAGGCACATGAGTAAGTTTCAGCAATGGGATCTACGTGGAAGTTGTATGTGGTCCTTCCAGGAAATGTCTTTCAAAGGAGTATCCACCCTTCTTTAGGTCTTCCCATCTTTCTGTTGGTTGAAATGTAGGCATAGTGTTTGGAGCTGAGCAGCAAACTTGGACCACAGAGTAAAGAGCCAAATTTTGAGGATGGTGGAAGAACAAAACACAAGAATTCTGAATACTTAATAATTGTGGAGTCACCCTATCAGCTGGGCCTGTTTTCCTATGGCCTTTTTACATGTATAAGAAAAGAAATTTTTGTCTTTTAAACCACTGTTTCTTGGGTCTTCTGTTATATGCAGCCAAATCTAGCTCTAAATTATATATATCAGGTATGCAACCATATATTTTTTGATATGACAAAAAAGCACACTTCATTTCTGTTTGTTTGTTATGTATATTGCCTAGTCCTTGGAAATCCCAAAGAATGTGGCATCACAGTTGCAGACTGAATAACTGGAGAACTATTTAAGAGTATAAATGCAGCCTAACCAACATGGAGAAACCCCGTCTCTACTAAAAATACAAAAAATTAGCCAGGCATGGTGGTGCATGCTTGTAATCTCAGCTACTCAGGAGGCTGAGGCAGGAGAATTGCTTGAACCTGGGAGGCAGAGGTTGCGATAAGCCGAGATTGCCCCATTGCACTCCAGCCCGGGCAAAAAGAGTGAAACTCCGTCTCAAAAAAAAGAAAAAAGAAAAAAAAAGAGTATAAGTGGCAAAGTATGCAAGATGATTATTGTTAACACTGATGGGGGCCTAACCAACAGCAGGAGCGTCCATTCTTCTGATAGAAACTTGATATTTTTCAGATATTCACCCACCCCTGTCAACACAGTGCAGGGAAAGCTGACTGTGTTAGTCTGTACTTGCATTGCTATAAAGAAATATCTGAGACTGGATAATTTATAAGAAAAGAGGTAGAGGTTAACCTGCAGAGGCTGTACAGGTAGCATAGCACTGACATCTGCTTCTGGGGGAGACCTCAGAATGCTTTTACTTATGGCAGAGGGTGAAGTGGGAGCAGGCACAACACATGGCTAGAACAGGTCAAGAGAGAGTGAGAGCAGAGGTGCCACACATTTTTTTTTGTTTTTTTGAGATGGAGTTTCGCTCTTGTTGCCCAAACTGGAGTGCAATGGCGCGATCTCGGCTCACTGCAACCTCTGCCTCCTGGGTTCAAGTGATTCTCCTGCCACAACATCCCGAGCTAACTTTTTGTATTTTTAGTAGACACAAGGTTTCACCATGTTAGCCAGGCTGGTCTCGAACTCCTGACCTCAGGTGATCCGCCCACCTTGGCCTCCCAAAGTGCTGGAATTACAGGTGTGAGCCACCACGCCTGGCCGCCACACACTTTTAATGACCAGATCTCGTGAGACTCACTATTGTGAAGACAGCACCAAGCCATGAGGGATCTGCCCCCATGACCCAAACACCTCCCACCAGGCCTCCCACCTCCAGCATTGGGGATTACAATTCAACGTGAGATCTGGGCAGGGACAAGTGTCCAAACTACGTTATTCACCTCTTCCCAGCTCTTGGGATGATCTAAGTGTTATCTCACATTTCTGGCAAGAATTTGGTACATGAATGGCTACATGACCCAAGGTGGGCTACTTAGACTCAAGAAGCAGTTTTCTGGACCTTCTAGGAAAGTTACTTCTCACTTCCTTGGAAAGTTTCTGAAAGCGACCCTTTCTCCCTTTGCTTGGCTATTGCTGTTCAGATCCAAGGCCCGACACTGCTGTAACCATCAGCACATGCTTGAAGATGATGCTGACACAGAGGACAGCAAAGCCAGTCAAGTCACAAGCACATGGAGTCATAGGCACTGGATTTAATACTTTTGAAGCAGGTTCTACTTCAGGACTTTCAGTGAGGTAAATCGATCAATTTCCAGGTAAGTGATATTGAATTGGATTCTCTACTACTTGCAGTAAAAAATATTCTAAGCTGATATGACCATATGGTGGAAACAAGCCCTCAACTTGGAGCTGAATACTTGGATTCTGCTCCCAGCCCCACCACCAAGTGGCATGTGCCCATAAGCAAGTCACTCCACCTCTCTGGGCCTTACCTTCCTTATCAGAAAAGGTGAAGCTTTGGGGCTAGATCAGTGATTCTCAATCATGGGTAGTTCTATTCCCATAAGATATTTGGAAAAATATGGGACATTTTTCATTTTGACAATAATTGTAGACACTACTGACATTTAGTGGACAGGAGACAGCAATGCAGAATTTCTTCAATGCTTGGAATGATTGCATATGATGAGAATTTCTCACACCTGACATGCCTCTTGAAACACTGCATTAGATGTTCCTTTTATCTCTTTCTTCCTTATGAATCTGGGGGGTCATTTATTAATCTCTCTTGATTTGCTCTCTTGCTTTTCTCAATCTTTTGGCCTCTATTTGGCTGTCTAAATAGAAGCTATAGAACAGGGTTTCCTAGTTGTGGTCCCTAGGATAATATGCAACAGAATTACCCTGGAGAATTGCTAAGAATTCAGATTCCTGGGCCCAATCTGAAACCTACTGAATCAGCATCAAGATCCCCAGGTTGGGGCACAGTGGGATATGCCTATAGTCCAAGCTACTTGGAAGGCTGAGTGAGGAGGATCTCTTGAGCCCAGGAGTTCAAGTCCAGCCTGGGTAATATAATGAGACCTTGTCCCTAAAAAAAACCAAAAACCAAAACAATGTCCCTAGGTTACCTTTATGCAAGCTATAATTCACTTTACATTTTGTCTACCTAGGCCACAATGCCAACACTGTAAGTTTTTTTTAAAATAAAAGTCACTTACAACATTTAAAAAAATAAAGTATTATTCATCTTGGTAGTATTCGAGTTCCTTACATAAATTATTTTACTTAGCCTCACAGCAACTTCATTTAAATAAGCTACTATCCCCATTTTACAGAAAAGAAGAACTAAAGAACTAAAATTCGTGTCTTCATTTCATAGGTTAAGGAAAGAACTGCTACATCTTTACAAGCTAGCAAATGTTAAGGGCTGGGACTTGAGCCCAGATTTGCTTCAGCCCAAAGCCTGACTCACGCCATTACACTCTGCCAGCCCATGCTGTTCCTTGTCTTTGATAGTGTCTAACAAAGACACACACTGGAGAAATGCCCCAGCTACTATTTGCAGCCACACTGTTCACACAAATGATGTACATTAAAAATATATGTGACATATGTTATTCAATATACTGTTTATGAATAAAATTCAGTTAATAAAATAACATGTACAGTATGATGCCATTTATTAGCTATATTCCAAAATGTTAACAGTAGGAGGGACTATAGAATATGTATTTTTAATGTACTGACATAACTCAAGCATGGCAGAGATGGCTGGCTGAAACTCATGTTTCCCTCTTCCTTAGTTTGGAGTTATCACTTGGACACAGATGTCCAATCAGGGACTACATTTCCCAGCCTCCTTTGCATTCAGATCAGAACATATGGCTAATTCTCACCAATGCAATGTGAGCAAAAGTGATGTATTACTTCCGGGGTGGGGCTTTTTTATGCTTCCCTCCACCCTCTGTTAGCTGGGTGCAGAGGATTCCAAGGAAACAGAAGCTATTAGACCCTCAACTTGAAAAGATCCTAGGTTCCTAAATGACAATGTGGAGGAACAGCCACTGTCTGAACTCAACTGTTCAATTACAGAACTGAACTGTTCAGTTTGGTTACCCACCTGAACTGTTACATGAGCAAGAAATAAACTGTTACCTGAACTATTACATGAGCAAGAAATAGACTGTTGTGCTATGTCATGGAAATTTGGGGGTTATTTGTTATAGCAGCTAACGTTACCCTACCTAATATGAGTAATACATACTGACAATTACACTTTTAATTTTCTTCTTTTTATACATGTGTGATTTTAAAAATAATGATAAACAACATTTTTGGGATTCAAAGTTGTAGTTACAGCAAGGAGTCTCCTTACTGGTTTTTAACTCTCAAAACTCGCATCGTTTAATGAAAACTAGAGGGATCTATGAAGGAAGGAATAAAAAAGGCTGGCAGATTGACTAGCTGCCTCTCAACATTTCTTTTTACATGAAAGCTGACCATGCATAGAAAGCCATCTAAATATCCTTCAGTTATTACTGCACCAGAGGGACAAATCAGTGTCAAAAATTTGGGAACTTGTTACCCAAAATTTTGCTTTTTCTTGAGTTGAATGGCATTCTTCACATAATAAGTACGTGTGAACATGGGTCGACAGATTGCAAAGTGCTCTTAAGGGCATAAAGAAGAATGAATAAAAGATTTTCCTGTCCTCTGTCATGGTACCTTGCATGGATGAAGCTTAATGTAATACCTAATTAGCTACAAAAGAATCACAGGCCTGTAATCCCAGCACTTTGGGAGGCCCAGGCGGGCAGATCACGAGGTCAGGAGATCGAGACCATCCTGGCTAACACGGTGAAACCCCATCTCTACTAAAAATACAAAAAATTAGCCAGGCGTGGTGGCGGGCACCTGTAGTCCCAGCTACTTGGGAGGCTGAGGCAGGAGAATGGCATGAGCTGGGGAGGCGGAGCTTGCAGTGAGCCAAGATCACGCCACTGCACTCCAGCCTGGGCGACAGAGCAAGACTCCATCTCAAAGAAAAAAAAAGAATCACAGGGTTTTAGAAAAGCTGAATGGTGCCTTGGGTTTAATTTCCAGGGAGTTATGCTGCAGCATCTTATCCAACAACTCATAATGAATTGCAGTAACATAATCCAAAGGCATTGAACATGAAGCTGACTTCACCGTGAGGCTGCATGAGAACCCTGAAGAGTATATGACAGCCACATTGTAGATGGGTTTTAATAGGTTTAAGGTTTCATCAAAAATGAAAAAGAAGATGAAAGAAAAACCTGTAATTACTTCAACAGAAGAAACCAGAATAGTTTAATTACTTGGAATGAGAATTAAAGCACAAAATAAATATTTGGTGAGAGTTTAGCTATAAATACAGGGGAATATTTCATGGGCAAGATCAAGGTAAAATTATCATTTTTATTTCTCATGGTTCAGTGATTACTGCGTTGTTTGCTTTTAGTGTCTGTATGACGACAGAGATAGATCTTTGTGGACAGAGGTTTTGTTTCAAATGGATCATTCCCGCTTCCTGGCTATGTCCACACAAAACCAAAATATCTAGATAAGTGCTATCAAGCTGAAAAAATGGCAAATGATGTCAAGGTTTCTGGTGTTTCTAAATATCTTAGTGTTTGTACAAATGTTTCCAAATATGTAGATGTAGGCATTGGCAGTTTAGTTGACAAAACTCAGATAAGTACTGGACTTTCTATTTTTAGCATACTTATTTTTAGCACAAGATTCTACCTATGCTTAGTAATGGATGATAGAGTAACTGCTTCAAATTCTTGACCCCAGGAAAGGCCCACATATTCAAGGAGGTCTGGGAAAAGCCGCTTATCCCTTCAGCCGTCTATGGGTCACCATTTCCCTGTCACATGAAATCTAGTAAGTCCTGCAAATAGTCCTGAGTTATTACTGTCCTAGAGAGGCAAAGGCACACCAAAGATGTGGAGAACCTGTTGTAATGACCTAATGGGCATCCTAGTCCTGAGCACCCAGTAAGTACACAAGAAAATCTGCCAATAAAGAGAATGTTCACAGACTGCCTTTACCACATCTGTCCACTTATCAGCATCTGAAGCTACATCTTCATATGGATGAATTTCCTGTGTTCCTATCTGAAACCAATCCTTCCACTTTGCACTAGACCCCTTTCCCTCTTGCCTACCCAAGACATTGTTCCAACAGTTCTTCTTTCTCCTACATTGGAATGTTTCCTCTTCTTCTTCAGGATCATTCCCATCTGCAGACACACATGCTCTTGTTTCTCCTGTTCTTCAACATGCACAGGCACGCAGGCATGGGCACACACTGCACTTTCCTTTGACGAATACTTCCCCAGCTAGCTACTGTCATACTTGTTTGAGAGTGAAAAGCTTTCCAGATGTGTCTGTACTCACTGTCTCTAAGCTTCGTCCCCTCACTTTCTCTTAAACCCGCTCTTACCCAGTTTTTAGTTCTACCCATTCCATCAAATCTGCCCTCCTTGGCTGAGGCTGCTGGATCCACCCATCAGTTCTCAACCCTCCTTTTAACTTGATCCCTTAGTAGCATTTGATACTTTGGGTCACTCCTTTTTTTTTTTTTTATTATACTTTAAGTTTTAGGGTACATGGGCACTACGTGCATGTTAGTTACATATGTATACATGTGCCATGTTGGTGCACTGCATCCAGTAACTCATCATTTAACATTAGGTATATCCCAAATGTTATCCCTCCCCGCTCCCCCCACCCCACAACAGGCCCCGGTGTGTGATGTTCCCCTTCCTGTGTTCATGTGTTCTCATTGTTCAATTCCCACCTATGAGTGAGAACATGCGGTGTTTGGTTTTTTGTCCAAAGGGCTAATATCCAGAATCTACAATGAACTCAAACAAATTTACAAGAAAAAAACAACCCCATCAAAAAGTGGGCAAAGGCTGTGAACAGACACTTCTCAAAACAAGACATTTATGCAGCCAAAAGACACATGAAAAAATCCTTATCATCACTGGCCATCAGAGAAATGCAAATCAAAACCACAATGAGATACCGTCTTACACCAGTTAGAATGGCGATCATTAAAAAGTCAGGAAACAACAGGTGCTGGAGAGGATGTGGAGAAATAGGGACACTTTTACACTGTTGGTGGGACTATAAACTAGTTCAACCATTGTGGAAGTCAGTGTGGCGATTCCTCAGGGATCTAGAACTAGAAATATCATTTGACCCAGCCATCCCATTACTGGGTATATACCCAAAGGATTAGAAATCATGCTGCTATAAAGACACATGCACACGTATGTTTATTGTGGCACTATTCACGATAGCAAAGACTTGGAACCAACCCAAATGTCCAACAATGATAGACTGGATTAAGAAAATGTGGCACATATACACCATGGAATGCTATGCAGCCATAAAAAAGGATGAATTCATGTCCTCTGTAGGGACATGGATGAAGCTGGAAAAACCATCATTCTCAGCAAACTATCGAAAAGACAAAAAACCCTTCTGATCTTCTTTCTGTTTCACTTGGTTTCCAGGACACCAGACCCTTCTAGTTTTCTGCCTACATTAGTGCTTGCTTCTTCTCAGTCTCCTTTGCTATTTCTTCCTTTCTCTCCAACCTTATTTTATATTTTGTTTTTATAGAACAAACTGTAAAACAAACTTTGTCATCCAGGGTGGAGTGCAGTAGTGCAGTCATAGCTCACTGCAGCTTTGAACTCCTAGGTTCAAGCAATCCTCCCGCCTCAGCCTCCCTAGTAACTGGGACTACAGGAGCACACCAACTCCCAGCTAAGTTTTTTATTTTTTTGTAGAGAGGGAGTCTCGTTTTGTTATCCAGACTGGCCTCGAACTCTTGGCTTCAAGTGATCCTCCTACTTCGGGCTCCCAAAGTACTGAGATTACAGGTGTGAACCACTGCACCTGGCCCACACAACGTAGCTGGAGTATCTGAGAGTATAAACATCAGAACTTTTCTTCGTTTGATCTAAATACATTTTATTGGAGACTTTACTTAGTCTTATGGTATATTCTGAATGTTTCTATCCCCCTCAAATTTAAATGTTAAAAATGTGATCATCGGCTAGGCGCAATGGCTCACACCTGTAATCCCAGCACTTCAGGAAGCTGAGGCAGGCGGATCACAAGGTCAGAAGTTCGAGACCAGCCTGACCAACATGGTGAAACCCCATCTCTACTAAAAATACAAAAATTAGCTGGGCGTGGTGGTGTGTGCCTGTAATCCCAGCTACTCAGGAGGCTGAGGTTGGAGAATCGCTTGAACCCAGGAGGCAGAGGTTGCAGTGAGCCGAGATTGCACCACTGCACTCCAGCCTTGGCGACAGAGTGAGACTCCATCTCAAAAAAAAAATAGTAATAATCAATTCAGTGGTATTACGTGGGGCATCATAGGACCAAAGCTCTCACTAATGGGATCAGTGCCCTTTAAAAAGAGGCCCCAGAATGCTGCCTGGCCCCTTCTGCCATGTGAGGACAGAGCGAGAAGACATCTGTCCATGAAGAAAGTGGGTTCTCACCAGACCCTGAATCTGCTGGCACCTTGATCTTGGACTTCCCAGCTTCCAGAACTGTGAGAAATAAATTTCTCTTGTTTAGTCATATTATCAGGTATTTTGTAACAGCAACCTGAATGAAGTAGGGTATATAGCTTTAAAACACCATGCTGACGACAATAACTCCTGAATTTATTTCAAAATTCCAGGCCTTTCTCCCACACTCCAGAAGTACATCTATTAATATCTCCACTTGGATGTCTAATAGACAAGCTCAACTCCTGATGTCCCATCTCAGTTAAAGGCAACTCTGTCCCCAAGGTGGTCACATCAAAAGCCATGGAGTGAATCCTGGACTCCTATTCTTCTCAC
The DNA here is from genome assembly GCF_000001405.40 of Homo sapiens. NCBI lineage: Eukaryota > Metazoa > Chordata > Mammalia > Primates > Hominidae > Homo > Homo sapiens. The sequence continues at coordinate 52,785,841 of NC_000004.12, forward strand.
AGCCCACATCCAATTCTGGCTCTGTAGAAATCCTGTTGGTGCTACCTTCAAAACATATCCAGTGTCCAACTACTTTTGGCCACCTTCACTACTTCCATCCTTTCTGGTGTCACCATAACCATGTGTGTGTGTGTGTGTGTCTGTGTGTGTGTGTTTTGAGATGAGCTCTTGCTCTGTCACCCAGGCTATGCTCCATCATAGCTCACTGCAACCTTGAACTCCTGGTCTCAAGTGATCCTCCTGCCTTGGCCTCCCAAAGCACTAGGATCACAGGCATGAACCACCATGCCCAGCTCAATTACTTGATTTTGATGCTCATATTCTATTGTTTGTCTCCTGTCTCCCCACACTGGAATGTGAGTTCCATGAGGGCCAGAATCTTCGTCTGTTTTGTTCACTGATGTACCACAGATGGAGAGAACAGAGCTTGGCATACAGAGGACACTCAATAAATATTTGTCAAATGCATTAAATCAATAAGTAGAAAAATCAGGTGGTAAGATTTTCCTGGTAATGATGATGATGATGATCATGATGATGCTGATGATAGCTATCTTTTATTGAGCACCTACAATGTGCCGTTGACAGGCTATGCACTTTATCTCATTTCATTTTCAAAACAATCACCTAGCATAGATACCTTTATTTACCCTATTTTTCAGATGGAATCTGAGGCACAGAAAATTTCTGTAATGACGCTGGTCCAAGTGCAGTGGTGTTTACAACTAATAGATCACAACCAGTTACATAACTCTTTGTTCCTTCTCCATTCCCACTGCTTCACTAGACTAGCCTTTAAAAACTTTAAAAAAACATTTAAAAAAGAGAAAATTTTTGTAATTTGTCCCAGATCACCACCACTGGAGGAGGCAGAGCCAAGATTAAACCCAGAGCTGAGTGCTCAACTTCCCCACTATTCTTATGCATTTCTGGAGTGAGTATTAATTAGTGCAGGTTTTCTGGAGGGTAATTTGACCTCAGCTTTAAAAAGGATATGTTCATACATTTTATTGCAGAGAACTACTGACAGATATGCACAAAAGTCTATGCACACCAACGTTATAATAAACAAACAACCAAACAAATAAAAAATCAGGAAGAACCCAACTTATTCATAGCAGGTACATTCATACAATGGAAAACTACGTAGCCAATGATACAACACTTTAAAAGAATGTAATGACATGGAAAAACCTTCATACCATGTGGTAAGCAGAAACAAAAGAATAACAAGAAACCAGGATATAAAACTGCGTACATGTCATGATCTCCTAATTTAAAAAATTTATGCATAAAAAATAACTGGAAGGAGGACACCAAAATATTAATAATGGTTCTCCTGATACTGTGATTATGGGTGCCTTTTATATTCTCCTGAATAAATTTAAGTGTAGCTTTTTACAGAAAAATAATAATTATTATTATTATTATTATTACTTTAAAGATGGAGTCTGGTTCTGTTGCCCAGGCTGGAGTGCAGTGGTATAATCATAGCTCATGGCAGCCTCCAAACTCCTGGGCTCAAGCAATCCTCCCACCTCAGCCTCCTGGGTAGCTGGGACTGCAGGTGTGTGCCACCACACCTGGCTATTTTTAAATTTTTTGTAGAGATAGGGTCTCACTTTGTTGCCCAGGTCAGTCTCAAACTTCTGGCTTCAAGAGATCCTCCTGCCTTGGCCTTCCAAAGTGCTGGGATTATAGGCATAAGCTACCATGCCCAGCCAGAAAAAGTTATTTTTTATTTATTTATTTTTTTGAGATGGAGTCTCACTCTGTCGCCCAGGCTGGAGTACAGTGGCGTGATCTCCGCTCACTGCAAGCTCCACCTCCTGGGTTCACACCATTCTCCTGCCTCAGCCTCCCGAGTAGCTGGGACTACAAGTGCCCACCACCGTGCCCGGCTAATTTTTTGTATTTTTAGTAGAGACGGGGTTTCACCATGTTAGCCAGGATGGTCTCGATCTCCCGACCTCATGATCTGCCTGCCTCGGCCTCCCAAAGTGCTGGGATTACAGGAGTGAGAAAAAGTTATTTTTAAAAGGAGTCTCTGCTTCAACATTAAAATGTGCTTTTCCATTTATAAAATATGTTAATAAAATTTATTACAAAATTACACATACCTGAATAGCTGAAATAAAAGATTAGATATCCGTGAAATATCAAAGGGCTCCTAAGAAGTTAGAATGCAACAACTATATTTCATATACCCAATTTTTTCCAATATATATCCATATATCAATTTTTCCATATATCAAATTTTTGTATTGCATATCCTCATCTGGATAAAACATATTGAACCATTTCATTTAAGCACACTAGATTTTCAATGTTTTAGTAAGGTTTAGCTTCTCTTTCCCTTTCTTTTGGAGGTATATTCCTTAAAATGATGTTAAGTTCTCTTTGGAGCACTTGGTTCTCTTAACCAGGAGAGAAGTAATTCATTCCATAGCAGAGTGCCTTGATAAGTTGTTTCAGACATTGCAAATAAAATGTATTTACACTGTTTCATCACATTAAGAAGTTACTGTATTAAACGCATTCCTAGGCAATACTTACATGTAATCTCTCTTAACTCCATTCCTGGAGAATTATCTTCTTTACTTGGAAAACATCACTTTTTTTTTTCCTGATTACAAGTCATTCTGAGAGATGTCAGAAACCTATATGGTGCAAGTGAGTACTGTGGGTTTTCTTAACATCAAAAATAAGATCAATGCCTGAATGATTAGTTAACTTACTAAACAAAGAAAGAAAAGAAAAGGACACCTTTGAATTCGCTCATAGAGCAACTTGAAAGATTCAAAAATGTTAATGTTTCTAGGTTAATAGTCATGCGACTGAAGTGACTTTTGAAATATATAATTCCTGAAGCCTAGATAGAATCTTAACATTCTTGTGGGTTTAAAGGTGAAATGTTTCAAAGGATTGGGAATGAATGTATTAACAGAGAGGCTATGAAGAGAATGAAAGAGCTAACAGAAAGTGCCACACTGGAGGGGAACACACACACACCAGTGTGCACACACGTGCACAGCCACACACACACACACACACACACACCTGTTCATATAGCTCCTACAGCAAACTGGGCTCAGTTTTGAGAACTTGAATATGAGCCAAATGCCTGCTCAAGGGAATGAGTCCAGCCTAGGTCCGCATAGCCCGAGAGACGGGGCCAGCTATCGAAGAAAGAATGTAGGAGCCATCAACATCGAAACCAGAAACAATGACTGGAGACCTGAATTCCAAACCTGGAATGTAGAATATAAAGGAATGGAGAAGCACATTGTTTTCAGAGAATCCCAGAGCTGAAACACTGGGAATAAGAGGAGAAGAATAATTAACATGTATGAAATCCAGAAATCCTGTGGACCAGTAATGATCAGCAAAATGCCTGGCCAGGGCTGGAAGCCCCAAGGGCCACTGCCTATGGCTAGTTTTCCCAGCATACCCTAACCTCTTTCAGTGCTGCTGGGACCTCTGCCCTTCTCATCTCAGGCCCACCTTCCTGCAACCCCTTCAGCAGGGAAGAAATGTCTGCCTGGGAGATCCCTCTCCTAGGATCACGACCTTCAGGGAGCAGTCAGGCCAGAACATCAGGGTTTCGGAGGCCATAGGGAAGGGAAGGCCACCAGTGCCCTCTCAGAGGCCCCTGCATGGAGCCCATGGTGTCTGGCATTTTCACCTTTCTATTTGGGTATTATGATATCCACTTTTATTCGTGAGGAAATTGAACTTATTCTGGGTCATTCAGTTCAAAATTAGCAATATTAAGTTTTAAAATTTCTTCTACTGTTCTCCAAAACTCAGATTCTGTTTTTTTTTTTTTTTTTTTTAGACTGAGTCTCACTCTGCCGCCAGGCTGGAGTGCAGTGGCACAATCTTGGCTCACTGCAACTTCCACCTCCAGGGTTCAAGCCATTGTCCTGCCTCAGCCTCCCAAATAGCTGGGACTACAGGTGCGTGACACCATGCCCAGTTAATTTTTGTATTTTTAGTAGAGACCAGGTTTCACCATGTTGGCCAGGATGGTCTTGATCTCTTGACCTCGTGATCTGCTCGCCTTGGCTTCCCAAAGTGCTGAGATTACAGGCATGAGCCACTGCGCCCAGACCAAAACTCAGATTCTTTTACTTATGACATCATCAAAAGCACATCAGAGTTCTACTCCTAATAACAAATGTTTAATTTTTAATGAAATGTAGGTGTTAGACCTTTACTAAGTACGGGCAGGAATTTCTGACAGAAGCGGATTTTAGAAACCCTGGTTCTTATGTGTCCTCCCTCTCTCTCTTGCTCTGTCTGTTCATTCATTATTTATTTATTTATTTTTGAGACAGGGTCTCACTCTGTCAACCAGGCTGGAGTGCAATGGCGTGATCACAGCTCACTGTAGCCTCGACCTCCCAGGCTCAGGTGATCCTCCTGCCACAGCCTCCTGAGCAGCTGGGACCACAAGGGTGCACCACACCCAGCTAGTTACTTTATTTTTTGTAGAGACTGGGTTTCACCATGCTGCCCAGGCTGGTCTCAAACTCCTGGATTCAAGCAATCTGCATGTCTCAAGCAATCTGCCTTCCGAAGTGCTGGGATTATAGGCATAGCCACTGCACCCCACCCATTTGTTCTTTCTTTCTCTCTAGTCTTCTTTTATTTCTCCCAATCTTAAGAGAGAGCTTTAGCTCCTAGGCCTTCATCCAGCCATCCATATCTCTGGTATGGACAAATGCAGTTTTCACCATCATATATCAAATATGTCCTCGAAGCCAACCCTTTCCCCGACCCGCACATCCAGCCTGGTGCCTTAATCTCACCCTTTGTGGAATTCCGTGCCAGGCCTTATGTTCTAGTGCACACCTTAAAGGGGATCTGCATATCCAAAAAGCTGTGCTGCTCAGGAAGCAAGGAGGCCAGCCCCTCCGGCTGCTCCCACCATCCTCTCTGTGCTCTTTTCTGGATCTTACTTGCAGTAGGGCAGGAATTCCAGGCTTTTCATTTTTCCTACCTCTATGAGGAGAAAAAAAGAAAGAATGTTCAGATGGGTGGATAAGGCACATGGATTCCTCCACCTGAGGACTCCCAGAAAAGCAACTGAAAATGGAACACATGTTTTAATTTTTTCAGATTCAAGCCTCATGTTTTCCAACAGAACACAAATGTGACATGACGCTTCTCCACGGAAGCAACAAGTGTGGGGTTAAGCAGGGAGAACGAAGGTGGTAACAGAGGCCGGTGTCAAGGGAGTGTGAAGGGAAGGAAGGGCTCTTTGCTCACACCATGGGGGGCAGGGGAAGGTGTGGACTTGCCCTTTGTCCTCCTCTGGACTCTTATATGAGGCTGCCTTTTGCTTCCAAATCTGCCAGAACTTGAGATGAATGCCCAAGCCATAAAATAAATGGGCTGAGGTTCAAGAAAGCCCACCTAGCCATTCTTACCAATGGTGACCGGAGTTACGTTCATAAACAAATTAGGAGGATCAGTCACACTGATGGACCAAAAGGTCATACTTATACAGCAGTAATGTCTGTGTGGATATGAAGCACATATGCTGTTCATATTGGTATTAAAGTGGCGGTGGATCAGACATCGGACCTGGCTCAGGGGTTGCCTCCTCAGGAAGCCTTCATTGACTGCTCCTGGCAAGGCCTCCAGGATAGATGGGACTTTGCTCATGCGGCAATCCCTCCGGATACCCAGCAGCACATTTACCTGGGATATTCACTCTGTTCATCTATCTCTCTTCTCACTAGCCTGTGACCTCCTTGAGGATGAGAACAGTGTCCTTCTTGGCTCTCCAATACCAGCACTCAATCTAGGGCCTGGCACACAGTAGGGCTTCAAGACCTGTGTCTTGAGGCACCTTAAGCCTTTAGGTAGTTGGAGACAGGATAATTAGTGGTTTATTTTCAGGGACCATGGACCCAGACCTCCTAGGGCTGAATCCTTCTATCAGCTCACAATAACTGTAGGCTCTTAGTCCTCAATTTCCTCATCTGTAAAATGGAACTCTGATTGGTACCCACCTCTTTAGACTTTTGAGTGCTGAATGAGATAATTATTTTAAAAGTTTAGCCCAGGGCCTGCCTAGTAGCAGTTCAGTAGTGATTCATTTAACAATAGCTAATCTTACTATATCATTAGGCAGAGAGCTTTTCTGAGCAAGAGCAAATGGAGTCTAGTTCTGTCCCTTTCTTTGCCTTGAATCCAGGTTTCAGAGAGTGATTCATCCTAAATCCTGCTTCTCCCTATATGGCATGTAAACCCTTCCAGATTCCTGGAAACTACATCCTGGTTGTTTATCTCAGCAAGGTGAGCCGTCGACCGAAGGCTCGTGACCACTATCTCGAAAAGCAGGTCAGTTTAACTTTGGTATTTCTGAGGAAGCTGATGACATCAGTCCATTTCTGGCTATTTGATGATTTCCTCCTGGTTGCTGTATGTCTTAGTCCATTTTCTGTTGCAATAACAGAATACAATAGACTGGGTAATTTATAATAAACAGAAATTTATTTCTCACATATTTCCAGAGGCTAGGAAGTCCAAGATCAAGGTGCTGGGATCTGGTGAGGGCTTTTGTGCTACATTAGCTCATGGCAGAAGGTGGAAGGGCAAATGAGTACACAAGATAGGGAAAATTGGACCAAATGCATCCTTTTTTCAGGAGCCCTGTCCCACAACAACTAATCGGCTCTGGTGATAATGGCATTAATCCATACATGAGGACAGAGCCCTCACGACCTAATCACCTTTTAGAGGTCCCACCTTTTAACACCATCACAATGACAACTAAATTTAAAATGGGTTTTGAAGGCCACATTCAAACCATAGCACTGGGTTACAGGATGAACACTGGAAAGATGGAGCCATGTTTAGTTCCTTGGTACTTCTAGATATTTAAATAGCTCACAGATTGGGTATTTCTCAAAATTAACATCCTCCTTAAAAATGAATACTCACTCTCACCCTCTGCCAAGTCCTTTTATTATTATAACCTCATTAATTGTCGTAACACTTCTATGAGAAGGGCCAGATAGCCTCCCTTTTACAAATCAGATATTAAAGTCCCAGAGAAGTTAAGTGAATTGTCAGGGTCACACAGAAAACAGCAATGTGTGTGTTGCGGGAACACTATAGAACTCAGGACTCTTGACAATGAGACCAGTTGACTCAGTTTGGATACCTGTCCTCCCCAAATCTCATGTTGAAATTTGATCCCCAGTGTTGGAGATGGGACCTGCTGGGAGGTGTTTGGGCCGTGGGAGTGGATCCCTCATGACAGGCTGCAGAGAATTGCCACTCTCCCATCAAGAGTACAGTCTATTTCTCCACCTCCTTGAATCTGTGTAGGTCCTGTGACAGATGCACTCACAGAATATGGCAGAAGTGACTCTCCACCTGTTCCTGGTGTGACCCTTCACTGGCCCATACTTGTCATAACACTTTGGCCTGGCAGCTTCGGTTTCTACCTTTAGAAGCCAGTTGTCAAGTAAGAAGCGCAGGTACACTGAAGCCACCATACTGCACGAAGCCCAGGTGAAGTGGGGGAGGCCTGGGGGGCAAAGCACTACATGAAAAAAGAAAGTCCAGAAGGCACTGAGGCACCAGCCATATGAGGGAGCCATTTTGAGTGTCCCGCTTGGGTGAGCCTTTGGATGACTGCAGCCCCGGATGCCATCTGATTGTGATCTTGAGACTCTAGATGAGAATCTCCTGTCTGATCCCAGCCAAAGCACAACTTTGTGAGCGGTAATAATACATTTTGGTTTAAATCCATTTGGTTTTGAGGTGGTTTGTTATGCAGCAATACATAATGTGAACACTGGCACAGAATAGGCAGTTGGTAAATACTTATCAAAAGAACAATTAATAGATTTTGTTCTTTTCATTCTTTGATTGCTGGAAGCTAAAAGGCCCACAGTAATTCTTAGTCAGACCGAGGATCAGAATGTCTTCCAGGGTGGAAGTCTGTCCTGTATCACAACATCCTTACCAGAGGCCTGTGATTTAATCCTTGCAAGACTAGACCAAGAAGAAGACAACTTCTGCAAGAGTAGGTCTGGGAACTGAGGGTGCATCATGGGAGATAAGACCAGGGCAGTTGGCAGGTTGTCCCTGGCCTCTTTGCTTATTGTGGCATATGTCATCTTTATTTTTTTAGTGGTTTTTTTTTTTTTTTGAGACGTAGTTTTGGTCTTGTTGCTGAGGCTGGAGTGCAATGGTGCGATCTTGGCTCACTGCAACCTCCACCTCCAGGTTCAACTGATTCTCCTGCCTCAGCCTCCCTAGTAGCTGGGATTACAGGCATGTGCCACCACGCCCAGCTCATTTTGTATTTTTAGTAGAGACAGGGTTTCTCCATGTTGGTCAGGCTGGTCTCGAACTCCAGACCTCAGGTGATCCACCTGCCTCGGCCTCCCAAAGTGCTGGGATTACAGGCATGAGCCACCACGCCCGGCCAACATGCCATCTTTAAATCATCATACACATAGCTGAGTGAGACAGGCAGAAGGCAAGGAAGTCCATGGAATGCAAAAGATAGAGAGGTGAGCAGTGGCTGTGACTGTCTCTGGGCAGTGGAGTTACAACCAATTTAAAATATGTCCTTCTTTTTGTTAATTTGTATTTTCTAAACAACCTTCAAAGTATGTCTTACAGTTTTACCAAAAATAATAAATATATATATATTTTTTGAGAAGGAGTCTCACTCTGTTGCCCAGGCTAGAGTGCAGTGGTGTGATCTTGGCTCACCGCAACCTCCCCCTCTGGGGTTCAAGCAATTCTCCTGCCTCAGCCTCCCAGGTAGCTGGGATTACAGATGTGTGCCACCATACCCGGCTAATTTTTGTATTTTTAGTAGAGATAAGGTTTCACCATGTTGCGCAGGCTGGTCTCAAACTCCTGACCTCAAGTGATTGACCTGCCTTGGCCTCCCAAAGTGCTGGGGTTACAGGTGTGAGCAACACACCTGGCCAATAAACTTTTATTTAACAATTTCACTTGTGCTGTGAACTTTGCAGAAGGCCAAAACAACCACACCAAAATTGTAACAAGACAAAACAACCAAATAGAAACCCAGCCTCCAAAATTACATTCTCTTCCTCCAAAAGATTAAAGCAAGAACTACCATATGATTCGGCAATCTCACTACTGGGTATATATCCAAAGAAAATGAAATCTGTATGTCCAAGAGATCTTTATACTCCCACGTTCACTGCAGCATTCTTCAAAATTGCCAAGATACAAAATCAACCCGATGTCCATGGATGGATGAATAAATAAAATGTGATGTATATATACACACACTATTCAGCCTTAAAAAAGAAGGAGGCTAGTCATGGTGGCTCACACCTGTAATCCCAGCATTTTGACAGGCTGAGGTGGGAGGATCACTTGAGGCCAGGAGTTCGAGACCAGCCTTGGCAACAGAGTGAGACACTGTTTCTTGAAAAAAAATTTGTTTTTAATTTAGCCAGGTATGGTGGTATGCATCTGTAGTCCTAGCTACTTGGGAGGCTGAAGCAGAAAGATCACTTGAGCCCAGAAGCTCAAGGTTACAGTGAGTCATGATCATGCCACTGCATTCCAGCCTGGGCCTCAGAGCAAGACAAGAAGGAAGGAAGGAAGGAAGGAAGGAAGGAAGGAAGGAAGGAAGGAAGGAAGGAAGGAAGGAAGAAGAAGAAGAAGGAAGGAAGGGAGGGAAAAGAAAGAAAGTGAAGAAAGAAAGAAAAAAGGAAGGAAGGAAGGAAGAAAGAGAGAGAAAGAAAGAGAGAGAGAGAGAGAAAAAGAAAGAAAGAAAGAAAGAAAGAAAGAAAGAAGGAAAGAGTCAGCTGGATGTGGTGGCATGCACCTATAGTCCCAGCTACTCTAGGAGAAGCTGAAGCAGGAGAAGGAAGGAAGGAAGGGAGAAAGAAAGAAAGAAAGAAAGAGAAAGAAAAGAAAGAAAGACAAAAAAAGAAAGAAGAAAGAAAAGAAAAGAAAGAAAGAAAGGAAAGAAAGAAAGAAAGAAAAAGAAAGAAAGAAGAGGAGAGGAGAGGAGAGAATAGAAGAGAAAGAGAAAAACAGATTCAGCTGGGCATGGTGGTGTGCACCTATAGTCCCAGCTATTCTAGCAGAGGCTGAAGCAGGACAATGCCTTGAGTTTATAAGTTCAAGTCCAGCCTGGGCAACATAGTGAAAGCCCATCTCTGAAACAAAACGAAACAGAAAAAAGAAAGGAAGAAATTTTGTCATTTTTGACAATATAGGTGAACCTAGAGGACATTATGCTAAGTGAAATAAGCCAGGTACAGAAAGATACATAGTGCCTGATCTCACATGTGGGCTCTAAAGAAAGTCTGAAACTCACAGAAGCAGAGAGTAAAATGATGGTTAAACAGGAGGAATAAGTTCTAGTGATCTATTGTACAACATGATGACTGTAGTTAATAATGAATTATATATTTCAAAATTGCTAGAAGAGTAGATTTTTAATGTTCTGACTACAAAGAAATGATAAGTATTTGAGGTGATGGATATGTTGATATGCTTGACTTAATCATGCTGCAATGTGTATGTACATATAACATCACATTGTATCCCATAAATGTATAAAATTGTTTGTTAATTAAAAATAAAAATTAAAATTAAGTAAATATCATGAAAAATTACATTCTCACCAGCTAATCATTTTTTTTCAGTCTTCAAGGCCATTATTTCAGGAAATAAAGAAATATGCCATCCTAAAGTAGCTTATAAAGGGCAAATGAGAGTGAGCCTTGGGTAGGGTGTGGCAAGGGGGTGGCAACTGTCTGGAAGCCAGGTGCAGAGGACTCTCTCATCTTTATTTTTCCATGGAATATTTAGTTTCCTCAGCTTGGTCCCTTAGTGTCCCATCTAGCAGCATCTTGGATTCATCAAACACTCTGATTTATAATTATCCAGCATTAAGTTGCTCTTTGGCAACAATTTTTGGTGATTCTGCTCATTGGTGTGTGATTAATTACACCCTATTAAGAGACCAGTATATATTCTGTGGGAGTGTAACCTTGTCTAATTTGTGGAGAGCAGCTTTCAGTGCAGCCAGCTCAGGAACCATTTAATACTGAATCACCAGCAAAGAATCATTGCTTCTAAAGCAGGCAGCTCAGGATTTGGAAATCTGATGAGGAAAAAATAAAATAAAACCAGAAAAATTAGTTTGGGAAGGGAACAACTCCACCTCCCCAGTTAGGTACTCCCAGGGGTCTCCTAAGGGTAGGTTCACAACTATTTAATGTCATTTGATTCAACTGACACTTACTGACTCCTGCTTTATGTCAGGAGCTGTTTGGGCCACTGGCTCCACATAACACATGGCATTCATTCATTCATTCATTCATTTAGTAAGAATTTAGTGAGCATCTATTATGTCCCAAGCATATTCTAGATCTAGATTCTTTTCTTACATCACACCAGGGTAGGAATTTCTGTTTTGTGCATTGATATAACACAGGAATCTAGACCTAGAACAATGCTTGGCACATAATAGATGCCCACTAAATTCTTACACACACACACACACACTCCTCCTGATGCTCTTTACCCTCTTCTAGTGGAAAGGAAGAATAACAATAAATCTTATACATAAGCAAATAATCTAGTATATTAGCAGGTGGCAAGTGCTACAGAAAATAAGAAAGACAGGAGGAGATACAGACAGAGGAGTGACAGAGGGATGAGGGAAGTGAGGAGGCCAGAGCATGCAGGGCCTCTCAGGGTGTTGTAAAACCTTGGGTGCGGCCAGGCGCGGTGGCTCAGGCCTGTAATCCCAGCACTTTGGGAGGCTGAGGCGGGTGGGTCACGAGGTCAGGAGATCCAGACCATCCTGGCTAACACGGTGAAACCCCGTCTCTACTAAAAATACAAAAAATTAGCCGGGGGTGGTAGCAGGCACCTGTAGTCCCAGCTACTCGGGAGGCTGAGGCAGGAGAATGGCATGAATCTGGGAGGCGGAGCTTGCAGTGAGCCGAGATCTCGCCACTGCACTCTAGCCTGGGCGACAGAGCGAGACTCCGTCTCAAAAAAAAAAAAAAACCCTGGGTGCAACAGTGCATGTAGAATTCATCATAAAAGCACCATTACTGAGCACCTATTGTATGTCTAATACTGTACATAGTTACTTCTTCACCTACACCATCTCAGCTATTCCTCACAAGGGCCACGTAAGGAAGATTTCCTCCCCTTTACTTCACAGACAGGAAACTGTATTATTTAACACGGTTGTATAACTAGTGAGTGTTTGAGTTGGGACCCAGAGCCAGTCTCTTTGCCCCAAAGCCCACACTCTTTCTACTCCATCACATAACCTTGCAAGAAGTGCAATAAAAATGCAATGACCTGGGCAATACTGAGAATAACATGAATACACCTGCAGCTTCAAATCATCGTAACAGAGCAAACACTTTTCAAGAGCTTTATACATCATACATATCAACTCATCTCATCTTCTCCACAATCCTATGAGGGCCCATCAGGATGTTCCCCATTTTTTAGATGAAGAATCTGAGAGGTCAATTGACCTGCGTGTCATGCAACTAGTAAATGGTGGATCCAAGCTCTGAGCCAAAGTGGCTGGCTCTGTGTTCATAACCACCGCACTCTGTTGATTCATTCATTTATTCAGAATTATTTGTTGAACACTGTGGCAGGAAGGATAATTGCCCCCTCAAAATGTTCATATTTTAATCCTGGAACCTGTGAATATTCTATTTTACATGACAAAAGGGACTTTGCAGGTGTGATTATGTTAAGAACCTTGAAATGGATATCTGGGAGTATCCCAGCAGGCCCAGTCTTTAAAAGCAAGTCCTTAAAAGTGAGAAACCTTCCTGACTGTGGTCAGAGGGAGTTGTAACTGTAGAAGAAGGGTCAGAGCAATGCATTGTGAGAAGGACTTGACCCCCCTGCCCTGATCAGTTGCTGACTTTGAAGATGGAGGATGGACATGAGCTAAGAGGCAAGAAAATGGATTCTCCCCTAGAGCCTCCAAAGGAAACCAGTCCTGCTGACACTCTGATATTAGCCCGGTGAGATCATGTGGGACTTCTGCCTTACAGAACTGTAAGATGATACATTTGTGTTGTTTTAAGCCATTTAGCTTACGGTAATTTGGTAGCACAGCCATAGAAAATAAACATGACCACCTACTATGTGCCAGCACTGTTGTAGTCACAGAGGATATGGGAGTGAAGAAAATACAGCAGAGTAACTCATGGTGCCTATGATAGCAAAACACTGGGAAAAATTGTGGAGAGAAGCAGCATGAAGTCACCGTGGCCTAGGAAATGCCTTCCTTTCCCTCCATACCCTAAGGTTGGAGTCAGCAATCCTGTGCTACTGGAGAGGAGAAGGCTGCACCTTCTGTCCAGAGCTTTACTCAATTAAGTACAGTCTGCCTTCTGTGTCCTTGAATTCAGCATCTGGAGATCCAATCAAATGCAGATACAAAATCTCTGGGGAAAAAAATAGAAAATAACAATAAAACAATACAAATAATACAAAAAAATATAGTGTAACAACTATTTACATAGTTTTACATTGTATTAAGTATTACAAGTAATCTAGAGATGATTTAAAGTATACAGGAAGATGTGCATGTGTTATATGCAAATACTATGCCATTTTATATAAGGAACTTGAGCATCTGCAGATTTTGATATCTTTGAGGGTCCTGGAACCAATCCCCTTCAGATCCTGAGGGATTATTATATTTGCTTTTCAGGCTTTAAGCAGTCTTGAATTTGAATCTGAGCTCCTCACTTCTTGGCTTAAGCATGTCTATGAATCTTCTGAGACCATCTCCTCATCTGCAAAATGTGGGTATTGAAACATACTTTACAACTACATATGTATGTTGTATTATGTATCTGTTCTTATACTGCTATAAAAAGAGACTGGGTAAGTTATAAAGAAAAGAGGTTTAATTGGCTCACAGTTCTGCAGGCTGTACAGGCAGCACAATGCTGGTATCTACTTGGCTTCTGAGGAGGCCTCAGGAAACTTACAAACATAGCAGAAGGCAAAGGGGAAGCAGGCATGTCTTACATGGCCAGCGCAGGAGGAAGAGAGAGAGAGGGCAGAGGTGCTGCATGCTTTTAAATAACCAGATCTTAACAGAACTCACTCACTATCATGAGAACAGCACCAGGAGGTGGTGCTAAACCATTCCTGAAGGACCGCCCCATGATCCAATCACCTCCCACAAGGCCCCACCTCCAACACTGGGGATTACATTTGGACATGAGATTTGGTGGAGACACAGATCCAAACCATATCATATGTGTATAGACTTTTATAAAAAAATCTGTGTCTATAGCTATAATTTAAATGACACTTGTGGGGTTGCTGTATCAACCTGCTATACCTGGTTTTAGATTTCACGCTACAGTAAAGAGTTAAAAAAATCATCTTATTTAAGGACCACACAACAAATCAGAGTAATATACATGTCAATCTCTTACCTTTGGGGGTAAAATAATGGGACATTTCCATTTTCTACTTTTATATATTGTTAATTAAAATAAAAAAACTTTAATATTTTTGTAAGCAGGAAAAAATAAAGATAAAATGAAAATGATAGTAAAGACCCGAATTACATACCTGTCAGGCTTCTTGGGAGCATTAAATAAGCTCTTGGTGCTTGAGAAAGAGCATCAAGGGAGGACGTGGGAAGAGATACAGCACTTGAGCCATAAAGTTCAATGCTAATCAATATTGTGGTCATGAACCTGAGATCCTGTAGGATTCTGAAGCAGAGTCTGTTCAGTGTTGGATACTTTCTGGACTAGTACATTTAATTTTATTGTAATTATTTGGAGGATGGCAAATTCTTTGTAGATAGAATCAGAGTTTTATTTCTCTTGAATCCCTGACAGCTCCTAGGGTAATGCCTAACTACATCATAGGTGGTGAATACTTTTTAACTAATTGATGAATTTATGTTTCATGTACATTACATATAGTAACTTATTGTTGAGTGAGCTAGAATACTCCATATGGGAAGTGGACTAGAATGTACTATATTGTACCCTGGTGTTAAAGAACAAGTGCCACTTGGGGCTTATAAAGAACTATTTGGAAAAATTCATTACATCTAAAGATAAACTTGGTGGGAACACTGCAAATAACTTATGAAGCCATCAATACCTTGATTCCAAACCAGAAATAGCAGACAGTTTGAGAAAAGAAAATTATAGATCAATTCTATTCATGAATATAGACATGAAAATTTTTAACAAAATATTGGTTAACTTAATCCAGCAATTTATAAAAAATAATAATAAAACAGCTGTTTGAGAATACTAGTTTAATATTCAAAAATCAAACCATGTGTTACATTGTACTAACAGTCTAAAGAAGAAAAACCACATGATCATATCAATTGATGTAAAAAAAGCACTTGACAAAATTCAACATCCACTCATAAAAACATTCAGAAAACTAGGAATAGAAACCAATCCAAATTTCGATATCTAATTTTACTAGTTTTAATTATAAACACTCAGCAAACTAGAAAGAGAAGGAAACTTCCTCACTCTGATAAACGATATCTACAAAAACCTATAACTGGCATCATACTTAATGTACTTAATGGTGAAAGACAGAACACTTTCCCTTCAGGATTGGGAACAAGATAAGGTTTTCCATTCTCAATGTTCTTGTCCATCATCATATTGAAAGTTTCTAGCCAGTGCAACAAGGTAAGAAAAAAAATAGGCATATAGATTGGAAAGGAAAAAAAAAACTGTTTGCAGATGACCTGACTGTTTACATAGAAAGTTCAAGGAATCTGTGGGTTGCTGGCAAGATGGCCAAATAGGAACAGATTCAGTCTGCAGCTGCCAGTGAGATGAATGCAGAAGGCGGGTGATTTCTGCATTTCCAACTGAGGTACACTGTTCATCTCAATGGGACTGGTTAGGCAGTGGGTGCACCCCACAGAGGGCAAGCAGAAGCAGGGTGGGGTGTCACCTCACCTGGGAAGTGCAAGGAGTGGGAGAGCCTCCCTTTCCCAGCCAAGGGAGGCCATGAGGAACTGTGCTATCCGGCCCAGATACTATGCTTCTCCCACATTTTTTGCAATCCACAGACCAGGAGATTCCCTTGTGTGCCTTTACCACCAGGGCCCTGGGTTTCAAGCACCAAACTGGGCAGCTGTTTGGGCAAACATCGAGCTAGCTGCAGGAGGTTATTTTTTTTTCTTATTTTTATTTTTTTAACCCCAGTGGTGCCTGGAACCCCAGCAAAACAGAACTGTTCACTCCCCTAGAAAGGGGGCTGAAGCTAGGGAACCAAGTGGTCTCACTCAGCAGGTCCCGCTCCCACAGAGCCCAGCAAGCTAAAAACCACGGGCTTGAAATTCTCACTGCCAGCACAGCAGTCTGAAGCCAACCTGGGACGATCAAGCTTGGTCGGGGGAGGGGCCTCTACCATTACTGAGGCTTGAGTAGGTGGTTTTCCCTTGACCATGCTCAAAACGCTTGGAAGTTCAGACTAGGCAGAATTCAACACAGCGTGGCAAAGTGGCTGTGGCTAGACTGCTGTTCTAGATCCCTCTTCACTGGGCAGGGCATCTCTGAAAGAAAGGCAGCAGCCCCAGTCAGGGGGCTTATAGATAAAACTTATAGATATAACTCCCGCCTCACTGGGACAGAGCACGTGGGGGAAGGAGAAGCTGTGGGCATAGCTTCAGTGGACTTAAACATACCTGCCTGCCAGCTCTGAAGAAAGCAGTAAATCCTGACAAGGAGGGTTCTCCCAGCACAATGCTCAAGCTCTGCTAAGGGATAGACTGCCTCCTCAGGTGGGTCCTTGACCTCCGTTCCTCCTGACTGGGAGAGACCTCCCAACAGGAGTTGACAGACACCTCATACAGGAGATGTCTAGTTGGCATCAGGCCAGTGCCCCTTGCGGGATGAAGCTTCCAGAGGAAGGAGTAGGCAGCAATCTTTGCTGTTCTGCAGCCTCCAGTGGTGATACACAGGCAAAAAGAGTCTGGGGTGGACCTCCAGTAAACTGCGGCAGACCTGCGGAAGAGCGGCCTGACTGCTAGAAGAAAAACTAATTAACAGAAAGCAATAACATAAACATCAACAAAAGGAACCCCCACAGAGAAACTCCATCCAAAGTTCATCAATCTCAAAGATCAAAGGTAGATAAATCCACAAAGATGAGGAAAAACCAGCACAAAAAGACTGAAAATTCCAAAAACCAGAATGCCTCTTCTCCTCCAAATGATCACAACCCCTCTCCAGCAAGGGCACAAAACTGGAGAGAGAATGAGTTTGATAAGTTGACAGAAGTAGGCTTCAGAAGGTGGGTAATAACAAACTCCTCTGAGCTAAAGGAGCATCTTCTAATGCAATGCAAGGAAGCTAAGAACCTTGACAAAAGGTTACATGAACTGCTAACTAGAATAACCAGTTTAGAGAAGAACATAAATGACCTGATGGAGATGAAAAACACAGCACAAAAACTTTGTGAAACATACACAAGTATCAACAGCTGAATCAATCAAGTGAAAGAAAGGATATCAGAGATCGTAGATCAACTTACTAAAATGAGGCATGAAGACAAGATTAGAGAAAACAGACTGAAAAGGAACGAAGAAAGCCTCCAAGAAATATGGGACTATGTGAAAAGACCACACTACGATTGATTGGGGTCCCTGAAAGTGATGGGGAGAATGGAACCAAGTTGGAAAACACACTTCAGGATATTATCCAGGAGAACTTCCCCAACCTAGCAAGACAGGCCAACATTAAAATTCGGGATATACAGAGAAAACCACTAAGTTACTGCTCTAGAAGAGCAACCCCAAGACACATAATTGTCAGATTCTCCATGGTTGAAACGAAGGAAAAAATGTTAAGGGCAGCCAGAGAGAAATGTCAGGTTACCTATAAAGGGAAGCCCATCACACTAATGGTGAATCTCTCTGCAGAAACCCTACAAGCCAGAAGAGAGTGGGGGCCAATACTCAACATTCTTAAAGAATTTTCAACCCAGAACTTCATATCCAGCCAAACCAAGTTTCATAAGTGAAGGAGAAATAAAACCCTTTACAGACAAGCAAATTCTGAGGGATTTTGTCACCACCAGGCCTGCCTTACAAGAGTTCCTGTAGGAAACAGTAAATATGGAAAAGAAAAACTGGTACCAGCCACTGCAAAAACACACCAAAATATAAAGACCAACGACACTATGAAGAAACTACATCAACTAATGTGCAAAATAACCAGCTAGCATCATGATGACAGGATCAAATTCACACATAGCAATATTAACCTTAAATGTAAATGGGCTAAATGCTCCATTTAAAAGACACAGACTGGCAAATTGGATGAAGAGTTAAGACCCATAGGTGTGCTGTGTTCAGGAGACCCATTTCATGTGCAAAGACACACATAAGCTCAAAATAAAGGGATGGAGGAATATTTACCAAGCAAATGGAAAGAAAAAAAAAGCAGGGGTTGCAATCCTAGTCTCTGATAAAACAGACTTTAAACCAACAAAGATCAAAAAAGACAAAGAAGGGCATTACATAATGGTAAATGGATCAATGCAACAAGAAGAGCTAACTATCCTAAATATATATGCAACCAATACAGGAGCATCTAGATTCATAAAGCAAGTTCCTAGAGACCTACAAAGAGACTTAGACTCCCACACAATAATAGTGGGAGACTTTGACACCCCACTGTCAATATTAGACAGATCAACAAGACAGAAAATTAACAAGGATATTCAGGACTTGAACTCAGCACTGGACCAAGTGGACCTAATAGATATCTACAGAACTCTCCACCCTAAATCAACAGAATATACATTCTTTTCAGCACCACATAGCACTTATTCTAAAAATTAACTACATAATTGGAAGTAAAACACTCCTCAGCAAATGCAAAAGAATGGAAATAATAACAAACAGCCTCTCCAACCACAGTGCAATCAAATTAAAACTCAGGATTAAGAAACTCACTCAAAACTGCACAACTACATGGAAACTGAACAACCTGCTCCTGAATGACTACTGGGAAAATAATGAAATGAAGGCAGAAATAAAGATGTTCTTTGAAACCAATAAGAACAAAGACACAACATACCAGAATCTCTGGGACACAGCTAAAGCAGTGTTTAGAAGGAAATTTATAGCATTAAATGCCCACATCAGAAAGTGGGAAAGATCTAAAATTGACACCTTAACATCACAATTAAAAAATCTAGGGAAGCAAGAGCAAACTAATTCAAAACCTAGCAGAAGACAAGAAATAACTAAGATCAGAGCAGAACTGAAAGAGATAGAGACATGAAAAACCTTTCAAAAAATCAATAAATCCAGGAGCTGGTTTTTTGAAAAGATTAACAAAACAGATAGACAGCTAGCCAGACTAATAAAGAAGAAAAGAGAGAAGAATCAAATAGACCCAATAAAAAATGATAAAGAGGAAGCACCACTGATTCCACAGAAATACAAACTACCATCAGAGAATACTATAAACACCTTTACGCAAATATACTAGAAAATCTAGAAGAAATGGATAAATTCCTGGGCACATACACCCTTCCAAGACTAAACCAGGAAAAAGTTGAATGCCTGAATAGACCAATAACAACTTTGGAAATTGAGACAGTAATTAATAGCCTACCAACCAAAAAAAAAAAAAAAAAAACCCAGGACCAGACAGATTCACAGCTGAATTCTTCCAGAGGTACAGAGAGGAGCTGCAACCATTCCTTCTGAAACTATTACCAACAATAAAAAAAGAGGGATTCTACCTAACTCATTTTATGAGGCCAGCATCATCCTGATTCCCAAACCTGGCAGAGACACAACAAAAAAAGAAAATTTCAGGCCAATATCACTGATGAACATCAATGTGAAAATCCTCAATAAAATACTAGTAAACTGAATCCAGCAGCACATCAAAAAGCTTATCCACCATGATCAAGACAGCTTTATCCCCGGGATGCAAGGCTGGTTCAACATACACAAATGAATAAACATAATCCATCACATAAACAGAACTAATGACAAAAATCACATGATTATCTCAATAAATGCAGAAAAGGCCTTCAATAAAATTCAACACTCCTTCATGCTAAAAAGACTCAATAAACTAGGTATTGATGGAACATATGTCAAAATAATAAGAGCTGTTTATGACAAAGCCATAGCCAATATCATACTGAATGGGCAAAAGCTGGAAGCATTCCTTTTGAAAACCAGCACAAGACAAGGATGCCCTCTCTCACCACTCCTATTCAACATAGTATTGGAAGTTCTGGCTTGAGCAATCAGGCAAGAGAAAGAAATAAAGGGTATTCAAATAGGAAGAGAGGAAGTCAAGTTGCCTCTCTCTGCAGACGACATGATTATATATTTAGAAAACCCATTCTCTCAGACCCAAAACTCTTTAAGCTGATAAACAACTTCAGCAAAGTATCAGGATACAAAATCAATGTGGAAAAATCACAAGCATTCCTATACACCAATAACAGACAAGCAGAGAGCCAAATTATGAGAGAACTCCCATTCATAATTGCTACAAAGAAATAAAATACCTAAGAACACAACTTACAAGGGACTTGAAGTACCTCTTCAAGGAGAACTACAAACCACTGCTCAAGGAAATAAGAGAGGAAACAAACAAATGGAAAAACACTCCATGCTCATGGATAGGAAAAATCAATATGATGAAAATGGCCATACTGCCTAAAGTAATTTATCGATTCAATGTTATTCCCATCAAGCTACTATTGACTTTCTTCACAGAATAAGAAAAAACTACTTTAAATTTCATATGGAACCAAAAAAGAGCCCATATAGCCAAGTCAATCCTAAGCAAAAAGAACAAAGCTGGAGGCATCACGCTGCCTGACTTCTAACTATACTACAAGGCTACAGTAACCAAAACAGCATGGTACTGGTACCAAAACAGAGATATAGACCAATGGAACAGAACAGAGGCCTCAGAAATAACACCACACATCTACAACCATCTGATCTTCGACAAACCTGACAAAAACAAGCAATGGGGACTGGATTCCCTATTTAATAAACGGCACTGGGAACTGGCTAGCCATATGCAGAAAACTGAAACTGGATCCCTTCCTTACACCTTATACAAAAATTAACTCAAGATGAATTAAACACTTAAATGTAAAACCTAAAACTATAAAAACCCTAAAAGAAAACCTAGGCAATACCATTGAGGACATAGGCATGAGAAAAGACTTCATGACTAAAACACCAAAAGCAATTGCAACAAAAGCCAAAATTGACAAATGGGATCTAATTAAACTAAAGAGCTTCTGCACAGCAAAAGCAACTATCATCAGAGTGAACAGGCAATGTACAGAATGGGAGAAAATTTGTACAATCTACCCATCTGACAAAGGGCTAATATCCAGAATCTACAAAGAACTTAAACAAATTTACAAGAAAAAAACAAACAACCACATCAAAAAGTGGGCAAAGGATATGAACAGACACTTCTCAAAAGAAGACATTTATGTGGCCAACAAACATATTAAAAAAAGCTTGTCATTATCAGTTGTCATTAGAGAAATGCAAATCAAAACCACAATGAGATACCATCTCATGTCAGTTACAATGGCAATCATTAAGAAGTCTGGAAACAACAGATGCTGGTGAGGATGCAGAGAAATAGGAAGACTTTTACATTGTTGGTGGGAGTGTATATTAGTTCATTCATTGTGGAAGACAGTGTGGTGATTCCTCAAAGATATAGAACCAGAAATACCATTTGACCCAGCAATCCCATTACTAGGTATATACCCAAAGGGTTATAAATCACTCTACTATAAAGACACATGCACACACATGTTTACTGCAGCACTATTTACAATAGCAAAGACTTGGAACCAACCCAAATGTCTATCAATGATATACTGGATAAAGAAAATGTGGCACATATACACCATGATACCATGCAGCCATAAACAAGGTTGAGTTCATGTCTTTTGCAGGGACATGGATGAAGCTGGAAACCATCATCCTCAGCAAACTAACACAGGAACGGAAAACCAAACACTGCATGTTTTTACTCATAAGTGGGAGCTGAACAATGAGAACACATGGACATAGGGAGGGGAACATCACACACTGGGGCCTATCTGGGTGTGGGGGTAAAGGGGAGGGCAAGCATTAGGACAAATACCTAATGCATGCAGACCTTAAAACCTAGATGATGGGTTGATAGGTTCAGCAAACCACCATGGCACACGTAAGCCTATGTAACAAACCTGCACATTAAGCACATGTATCCCAGAACTTTAAGTAAAATTTTTTTTAAAAAAAAGAAAGTTCGGCCGGGCGCGGTGGCTCACGCCTGTAATCCCAGCACTTTGGGAGGCCCAGGCTGGCGGATCACGAGGTCAGGAGATCGAGACCATCCTGGCTAACACGGTGAAACCCCGTCTCTACTAAAAATACAAAAATTTAGCCGGGCGTGGTAGCGGGCGCCTGTAGTCCCAGCTACTCGGGAGGCTGAGGCAGGAGAATGGCGTGAACCCGGGAGGCGGAGCTTGCAGTGAGCCGAGATCGCGCCACTGCACTCCAGCCTGGGCGACAGAGCGAGACTCCGTCTCAAAAAAAAAAAAAAAAAAGAAAGTTCAAAGATTCTGATAACAGCAACAACAAAATCCAAGAACTAATAAGTGAGTTTGGCTAGTTTGCAGGATGCAAAATAAACACACAAAAGTCAACTCTATTTCTTTATATTAGCAATGAACAATTGGAAATCAAAACTTTAAAAAAATACCATCGACAATAGTTACTCCCAAAATAAAACACTTAGGTATAAATCTAACATCATAAGACATGTATGATGATCACTACAAAACACAGATTAAAAATAAATCAAAGAAGACCTAAATAAATGGAGAGACATATCATACTCATGGATTGGAAGACTCAACATAGTAAAGATGTCAGTTGTCTCCAGTTGATGTACAGATTTAATGTCATTTCAATCAAAATTGTAACAATTATTAAAAAGATAGAGAGAAGCTGATGCTAAATTTTATATGGGGAGGCAAAAAAGTAAGATAACCAAAACAATTCCGACAAAGAAGAAAAAGTTTAGAGAAATCATACTATCCAATTTTAATACTTACTCCAAAGCTATAGTCATCAAAGCAGTGAAACAATTGTGAGTACTAGCAAAGAGAGACACATAGTTCAATAGAAAAGAAATGAGAGTTTAGAATTAGACCCACACAAATATATCTAACTGATCTTTCACAAAGGCAAGTCAAAGGAGAAAGAATAGCCTTTCAACAAATGTGGTTTGGACAAGTGAACATCTATATGAAGAAAAAGAAAGAAAGAAAGAAAAGAAAGAGAGAGAAAGACAGAGAAAGAGAGAGAGAAAAAAAGGAAAGAAAGGAGAGAGAAAAAAAGAAAGAAAAAGAAAATAACTTTAACCTAACCCTCACAGCTTACAAAAAAGTTAAAAAGAATCATAAATCTAAATGTAAAACTTAAAACTATAAAGTTAGTCTTCAGTGGAATAGATCTAAAAAGTTAGATCCTTTCAGTCCATTACATTTTAAAGAGAAAAAATTAAATTAGCTGGGCGTGGTGGCATGTGCCTGTAATCCCAGCTACTTGGGAGGCTGAGGCTGGAGAATTGCTTGAACCCAGGAGGCAGAGCTGAGATCGCCCCACTGCACTCCAGCATGCGCAACAGAGCGAGACTCCGTCTCAAAAAAAAAAAGAAGAAAATTTAGCAAAAAGGCAATCTCCCCTTTAATTTAGAGGAACAATCGGGAGTAAAAAGGAAAGAAAACATACTGGGAAAAAAAGAATTGGTGAATCACATGGAGAAATGTGGCCTGGGAGATCTACCTGGGAACACGAATCCCCAGAAATAGCAGTGTCTTGACAGCCTTTGAACTCATTTATTCATTCACCAAATATTTACTGAGCCCCTTCTATATCTGAGATTCTAAGTACACAACAGTAATCAAAAAAGAACCCATCTTGTTCTATACCCATGGAGATTACACTGAAGCAAGGGAAATAGGCTTTAGACAAATACTAATAAGTACATAATAACAACCTGTGAAAAGTGCTATGAGAGAAACAACAGTGTAAAAAAGTAACTAGGTGAGGTGATGGATGTGTTAGTTTGCTTGACTGTAGTCATCATTTCACTTTGTGTATGTATATAAAAGCATCATGTATACCTTAAATACGTACAATACAAACTTTTTAAAAAGGGAACGGGAAAGGGGAGAAAAGAGGAAATAATAGATTATCATCCTAGGAAAGACCAAAAGGGAGGCCTGCTTTAAGTTGGGATGGGGATCAAGGAAGGTGTTCCTGAGGAGGGGTCAGAGCAGTTGAGCAGGAACAAGCCAGAGAAAGACTGATGGGGAGAGGGCTCCAGGCAGGGGTGGGCTACACATCAGACCTCAGCTGGAAAAGTGCTGAGGGAATATGAGAAATGGAAATATAAGAGACGAATTGCCTGTGTGGATGGGGAGGGGTGGCATGAGATGGGGCCGAAGAAGACACCCAAGGGCTTTTATGCAAGGGAGTGACATGATTCAATGCAAGCTGTCAAAAATTTGCATTGTCAATGTATGAAAACTGGCCTTGTGAGAAAGTAAGGTAAGTGGTTGGAAAGTCTTGACAGAGGTCTATGGTGGACTTATTGGTGACATGTCAGTGAAGATGAGAAAAGTGAACAGATTTGAGAGGTGTTTTGAAAGCATTAGTTTGAGGATGGGGCGCAGTGGCTCACACCTGTAATACCAGCACTTTGGGAGGCTGAGGTGGGCAGATCACGTGAGACCAAGAGTTAGAGACAAGCCTGGCCAACATGATGAAACCTCGTCTCTACTAAACATATAAAAAAAAATTAGGTGGGGCCGGGCGCAGTGGCTCATGCCTGTAATCCCAGCACTTTGGGAGGCCGAGGCAGGCAGATCACGAGGTCAGGAGATCGAGACCATCCTGGCTAACACGGTGAAAACCCGTCTCTGCTAAAAATACAAAAAATTAGCTGGGTGCGGTGGCGGGCACCTGTAGTCCCAGCTACTCAGGAGGCTGAGGCAGGAGAATGGCATGAACCTGGGAGGCAGAGCTTGCAGTGAGCCGAGATAGAGCCACTGCACTCCAGCCTGGGTGAAAGAGCAAGACTCCGTCTCAAAAAAAAAAAAAAAAAAAATTAGCTGGATGTGGTGGCAGGCACCTGTAATCCCAGCTACGCAGCTACTTGGGAGGCTGAGGCAGGAGGATCACTTGAACCAGGGAGGCAGAGGTTGCAGTAAGCCGAGATCGTACCATTGCTCTCCAGCCTGGGTAACAGAGTGAGATTCTGTCTCAAAAAAAGGAAAAATAAAGTGTTAGTTTGAACACTGTAAATTGTCCATATTTGGCCTTTTTTTTTTTTTTTTTTTTTTGAGATGGAGTCTCTCTCTGTCACCCAGGCTGGAGTGTAGTGGCTCTATCTTGGCTCACTGCAACCTCCACCTCCCTGGTTCAAGCGATTCTCCTGCCTCAACCTCCCTAATAGCTGGAAGTACAGGCGCGTGACACCACACCCAGCTAATTTTTGTATTTTTAGTAGAGAAGGGGTTTTGCCATGTTGGCCAGGCTGGTCTCGAACTCCTGACCCACCTCAGCCTCCCAAAGTGCTGGGATTAGAGGTATGAGCCACCATGCCCAGCTGGCTTTTTTTTTTTCTACAAAGATGAAAATTTCATATGATTTGGTCTAACAGATTTCGCAGGACTGGTGAAGGAGTTGGAGGGAGGAGTTAGGAATAAGAATGACCCCCATGTTTCTGGCCTTAGCTGCAGAGCATATGGAAGTTTATTGAGATGGGGAAGACTGGGGGAGGGAGAGGTGCTAAGGTGTGGGGGTTGGTAGAAGAAGCTCAGTTGACAGATGTGAAGTTTGTGATATCCGTGTGATGTCCAAGTAGAGATGTCCATGAGGCAGTTGTTACAGGATTTGGGAGCTCAGCAGAGAGTTCTAGCTAAGACACACATTTAGGATTTTTAGCATATTAGATGATATTGATATGTGGGAATGGATACACGCATCTAGAAGAAAGTTTAAAATGAGGAGAGAAGAGGGCCCAGCACCTCCAATATCTGGAGACTGGGTATAGGAGGAGGAGCAGCAAGAAACTGGAGAATGAGTCAGAGCTGCAGGAGGAAAACCAGGAGAGTGCAGCCTATGAAGGCCAAAAGAAGAGCAGGAGTCAACAAAAAAGAGAGAACGGTAGACTGTGTTGGATGCTCCTGAGGGGTCTAGCAAGAGGAGACATTGATTATTTGTTGTTTAAACTCCAGGTTAAGGCCAGACATGGTGGCTCACACCTGTAATCCCAGCACTTTGGGAGGTTGAGGCGAGTGGATCGCTTGAGCTCAGGAGTTTGAGACCTGCCTGGGCAACATGGTGAAACCCCATCACTACAAAAAATACAAAAATTAGCTGGGTGTGGTTGCACACACCTCTAGACCCAGCTACTCAGGAGACTGAAGTGGGAGGAATTGCTTGAGTGCAGGAGGTGGAGGTTGCAGTGAGCCGAGATTGCACCACTGGATTCTAGCCTGGGCAACAGAGCAAGACTATGTCTCAAAATAAATAAATAAATAAATAAAATCCAAAGTGAGAAAATATACCTGCTACTCTGTAAAACACAGATTTGGTAACATCACAGAAAAGAAACCCTACTATTGCTGTGAATGGATATAACAATATAAACATATACATTGTGTTTGCTCTGTGCCAGGCACTGCTCTGAGTATTTCTTATATATCCACTCATTTAATCCTCACCACTCCCAGTTTACAAACAGGACAAAGGTAAATAACTTGTCCCATGTCAAAGGGCTAAATGTAATGGAGCTGGAATTAAATCCAGGCATTCTAGCTCTGGGGTTAGTGCTATTAACTATTATACTCTCATGAATGATTGACAGATTCCTTAACAAATTTGAAAGCTGTCATTTGAAATACAGAATGTCACTGCTGATGCATTCAGATAGCTGCCAAAGGTGAAACAGTTTTCAGTTTAGAATTTTAGTGGATTTGCTATAAGGACGTGTTTGTGTGTGTGTCCACGTGTTTTAACTTCTCTAATCCTGGGCAGACCTATTGCCATATGTGGTAGATGGTTTCAGAGATGCTTACAACAGTCTCTCCCATCCAGCATGCCCTTAGCCTCTCCTCCATCAAGAGGAAGGGCCTATTCCTTTCCCCTTAAATCTGGGCTGCCCTTTGTGACTTGCATCAGCTGATTAAAACGGGGTGGAAATGATGTTCTTGGACTGTCAAGGCCTGGCCTCAAGAAGCTTTTAGTTAGTTTTTTTGTTTGTTTGTTTTTTGTTTTTTGTTTGAGACAGAGTCTCGCTCTGTTGCCCAGGCTGGAGTGCAGTGGCGCGATCTTGGCTCACTACAACAACCTCCTCCCAGGTTCATGTGATTCTTGTGCCTCAGTCTCCCAAGTAGCCGGGATCGCAGGTGCCTTCCATCATGCCCAGCTAATTTTTGTATTTTTAGTAGAGATGGGGTTTCACCATATTGTCCAGGCTGGTCTCGAACTCCTGACCTCAAGTGATCTGCCCACCTTGGCCTCCCAAAGTGCTGGGATTATAAGCATGAGCCACCACACCCAGCCAAGAAGCTTTTAGTTTCTGTTTTCACTTAGGAAAAGCAGCCATCATGTAAAGAACTCAAGGCTCTTCTGCTGGAGGGAAAAACATCTGAAAAGGAAGGCCCTGGAAGATGAGACAAAATGAATCCAGAGAGGTCAAGGGAAGAAAAACTGAGGCGTCTCAGTTGAAAGCCAGCACCGCAGCCCGAGATAGATGAGTGAGGCTGTCTTGGATCTCCAGCCTAATGAAATGCCAGCTGGACACAGCTGTGTGAGTGAACCAGCAAACACCATGTAAAACAGTCTTTATGCTGAGCCTGGCACAACCTCCTGACCCACACAGTCGTGAACAATAAGAAATGGTTGTTGTTTAAGCCACTAAGTTTTGGGGTGGTTTGTCTTGCCACAATGTGTAACAGATAAATTCAATCTCAATCCTCTCTCTATGTTCCTGAGAAGAGTGTTAAAGTCAAGGAAGGGCCTTTTACTTTGACTCACAAGTCTACAAGACCTTCAACGCCTGGGTTAGATCCTCTTTCCTCTGTCTCCACTTGGCTTCATGTACCCAATAAAGAAGATTTTGATGTCCTCAGACACCAAAATGTCAGTGGATTTCTTTGGGTCTTGTAGTTATAGGTAACTTCCTGTATTTTTCAATTTTTCTAGAATTAGCAAAAATTATTTTAATAATGAGGAAAGATATACCAAAACTCTTTTTCATAACCGTGGCAGCATGGCAACCACTGTTTGTGGGTTGCACAGCAGCCACTCCCAGACTTTGTCTTTCTTCCCAAAGAGCCTGAAAGAACCAGGTGCTCATCTTCCCAGTCTCCTTTGGTGCTAGAGGCAGCCATGCAATCAAATACCAACAAGATGCCAATAGATACGAAGGTAAGTCTGCTGAGAGGCTTCTGACCAAGAGTTTTCCTTGTTGGGAAGGAAAGAAGGAAGGAAGAAGAGCTCTCTCTTGTTTTGCTCCTTCTGCGCCCTGCCTTTGGTTGTGGACACGTAAGATTGTGATGTTTGGAGCTCTTTAGCCATTTTGCAACCATAAGGTAATGGGTTTACAGTTTAAAAAACTAAAGAAAACAATCTACTCAAAAATAAAAAGGAGGAAAGAAACAGAGATTGAAAAGCACTTGGCTTCTTGATATCATCATTGGTTGCTGAACCAACGCTGAGACTTCCCGTCTGTTGACTACCTGTTAACTAATTGACGAATGTCCGTATAGTTTAAACCAGCATTAATTTTTTTTTTTTTTTTTTTTTTTTTACTCACAGCTGAAAGCATCCTAGCTAATACAGCATCTCTCTGGGTATTGAACATTCTCTTACTGGTACAATCGTCCCTTCAGTATACATGGGGGATTGGTTTTAGGACCACTGCATATACCAAAATCTGCATATACTCAAGTCCTTCAGTCAGTGCTGTGGAACCCATGAGTGCCAAAAGGCAGCCCTCCATATACACAGCTTTCATGTCTTGCCAGTACTATATTTTTGGTCCATGTTTGGTTGAAAAAAAACCTATGTATATGTGGACGTACATAGTTCAAATCTGTGTTGTTCAGGGGTCAACTGCACTTAGTTTTCCCATGCAGCTAAATTCAATTCTTCCCGCTGTAAATTAATCCTTTTCCCTCTTTTTTTGTCACAGTGGGGACAAGACTTGCTGCTTATCAATCTTTGCAGTAGAGGGAATTCTGTGGCAGGCAGCTATCAGACTTGAACTGCAATACCGGCTCTTCCTGGCTTTCCAGCTTGTGGGCCCCGCCTCCATAATCATGTGAACCATTTCCTTAAAATCAATCACCCCCTGTGACTTATTTATATATATATGTATATGATCTGTTTCTCTGGGGAACCCTGACTAATACAATGATCTAAACCAATTTTCTGTTTTGATTTTAGCTTTGTATTACGGCAATTTGCTATCTATCCAAAAATCAATAAAATAGAATTAAAAACTCCCATGCATCTAGCACCCAGCTTCAACAATGGTTAATTTGCAACTTTTCTTTCTCATGCTATACTCCCACCCACTTAACTACCTCCCATATTATTTCCAGGCCAACCCCAGACATTTTATCATTTTACCTATATACCTTTCAGTATGCATCCCTAGAAACTAATGACTTTTAAAAATATAACCACAATACCATTTCCACACTTAAAAATAATTCCTTAATATCATCAAATATTCCATCATGTTTAAATTTCCACCAATTATCTATCTCTTAAAAATTGGGGCTGAGCATGGTGGCTCACACTTGTAATCCCAGCACTTTGGGAAGCCAAGATGGGTGGATCACTTGAGCCCAGGAGTTCAAGACCAGCCTGTGCAACATGGTGAACCCCCATCTCTACTAAAAATACAAAACATTTAGCTGGGAGAGTAGTGGTGTGCACCAGCTATTTGGGAGGCTGAGGTGGGAGGATCACCTGAGCCCAGGAGGTCGAAGCTGCAGTGAGCTGAGATTTTGCCACTGCACTCCAGCCTGGGCGACCAGAGTAAGACCCTGTCTCAAAAAAAAAAAAAAAAAAAAAAAAAAAAGTTATACTATGTATCATTTTTTAAAGTTAATACAGAAGTAGGACCTACTCATTGAAGAAGTTTTGGAAAACATGAGAAAGCACATAGAATAAAAATGAAAATCACCTGCAGTCCCCACCAGCCTATAAGATGCCATTGTATGATTAGAAAAAGATGGACCTTTCCAGCAGGCACAACCTGTGCCAAGATGCCAGCCACCACTTATTGTCTCAAGTGGTACCCCCGCATCCTGCACAAACTGGGCCATTGTACACTCATGGCCCTGAATATTCCACCAGTGTTTACATTTTGAAGTAGAGCCTTCCAGATTGTTTATGGATATAGGCATAATTTTTGTATAATCAGTTCCATGCTATACATTCTGTTTTGTAAGCAGCTTTTTTTTTTTCACTTAATAACAGACCATAGAGAGTGGAGCCAAGATGGCCGAATAGGAACAGCTCCGGTCTACAGCTCCCAGCGTGAGCGACGCAGAAGACGGGTGATTTCTGCATTTCCATCTGAGGTACCGGGTTCATCTCACTAGGGAGTGCCAGACAGTGGGCGCAGGCCAGTGTGTGCACGCACCGTGCGCGAGCCGAAGCAGGGCGAGGCATTGCCTCACCTGGGAAGCGCAAGGGGTCAGGGAGTTCCCTTTCCGAGTCAAAGAAAGGGGTGACGGACGCACCTGGAAAATCGGGTCACTCCCACCCGAATATTGCGCTTTTCAGACCGGCTTAAGAAACGGCGCACCACGAGACTATATCCCACACCTGGCTCAGAGGGTCCTACGCCCACGGAATCTCGCTGATTGCCAGCACAGCAGTCTGAGATCAAACTGCAAGGCGGCAACGAGGCTGGGGGAGGGGCGCCCGCCATTGCCCAGGCTTGCTTAGGTAAACAAAGCAGCCGGGAAGCTCGAACTGGGTGGAGCCCACTACAGCTCAAGGAGGCCTGCCTGCCTCTGTAGGCTCCACCTCTGGGGGCAGGGCACAGACAAACAAAAAGACAGCAGTAACCTCTGCAGACTTAAGTGTCCCTGTCTGACAGCTTTGAAGAGAGCAGTGGTTCTCCCAGCACGCAGCTGGAGATCTGAGAACGGGCAGACTGCCTCCTCAAGTGGGTCCCTGACCCCTGACCCCCGAGCAGCCTAACTGGGAGGCACCCCCCAGCAGGGGCACACTGACACCTCACACGGCAGGGTATTCCAACAGACCTGCAGCTGAGGGTCCTGTCTGTTAGAAGGAAAACTAACAACCAGAAAGGACATCTACACCGAAAACCCATCTGTACATCACCATCATCAAAGACCAAAAGTAGATAAAACCACAAAGATGGGGAAAAAACAGAACAGAAAAACTGGAAACTCTAAAACGCAGAGCGCCTCTCCTCCTCCAAAGGAACGCAGTTCCTCACCAGCAACAGAACAAAGCTGGATGGAGAATGATTTTGACAAGCTGAGAGAAGAAGGCTTCAGACGATCAAATTACTCTGAGCTATGGGAGGACATTCAAACCAAAGGCAAAGAAGTTGAAAACTTTGAAAAAAATTTAGAAGAATGTATAACTAGAATAACCAATACAGAGAAGTGCTTAAAGGAGCTGATGGAGCTGAAAACCAAGGCTCGAGAACTACGTGAAGAATGCAGAAGCCTCAGGAGCCGATGCGATCAACTGGAAGAAAGGGTATCAGCAATGGAAGATGAAATGAATGAAATGAAGCGAGAAGGGAAGTTTAGAGAAAAAAGAATAAAAAGAAATGAGCAAAGCCTCCAAGAAATATGGGACTATGTGAAAAGACCAAATCTACGTCTGATTGGTGTACCTGAAAGTGATGTGGAGAATGGAACCAAGTTGGAAAACACTCTGCAGGATATTATCCAGGAGAACTTCCCCAATCTAGCAAGGCAGGCCAACGTTCAGATTCAGGAAATACAGAGAACGGCACAAAGATACTCCTGGAGAAGAGCAACTCCAAGACACATAATTGTCAGATTCACCAAAGTTGAAATGAAGGAAAAAATGTTAAGGGCAGCCAGAGAGAAAGGTCGGGTTACCCTCAAAGGAAAGACCATCAGACTAACAGCAGATCTCTCGGCAGAAACCTACAAGCCAGAAGAGAGTGGGGGCCAATATTCAACATTCTTAAAGAAAAGAATTTTCAACCCAGAATTTCATATCCAGCCAAGCTAAGCTTCATAAGTGAAGGAGAAATAAAATACTTTATAGACAAGCAAATGCTGAGAGATTTTGTCACCACCAGGCCTGCCCTAAAAGAGCTCCTGAAGGAAGCGCTAAACATGGAAAGGAACAACCGGTACCAGCCGCTGCAAAATCATGCCAAAATGTAAAGACCATCGAGTCTAGGAAGAAACTGCATCAACTAATGAGCAAAATAACCAGCTAACATCATAATGACAGGATCAAATTCACACATAACAATATTAACTTTAAATATAAATGGACTAAATTCTGCAATTAAAAGACACAGACTGGCAAGTTGGATAAAGAGTCAAGACCCATCAGTGTGCTGTATTCAGGAAACCCATCTCACGTGCAGAGACACACATAGGCTCAAAATAAAAGGATGGAGGAAGATCTACCAAGCCAATGGAAAACAAAAAAAGGCAGGGGTTGCAATCCTAGTCTCTGATAAAACAGACTTTAAACCAACAAAGATCAAAAGAGACAAAGAAGGCCATTACATAATGGTAAAGGGATCAATTCAACAAGAGGAGCTAACTATCCTAAATATTTATGCATCCAACACAGGAGCACCCAGATTCATAAAGCAAGTCCTGAGTGACCTACAAAGAGACTTAGACTCCCACACATTAATAATGGGAGACTTTAACACCCCACTGTCAACATTAGACAGATCAACGAGACAGAAAGTCAACAAGGATACCCAGGAATTGAACTCAGCTCTGCACCAAGCAGACCTAATAGACATCTACAGAACTCTCCACCCCAAATCAACAGAATATACATTTTTTTCAGCACCACACCACACCTATTCCAAAATTGACCACATAGTTGGAAGTAAAGCTCTCCTCAGCAAATGTAAAAGAACAGAAATTATAACAAACTATCTCTCAGACCACAGTGCAATCAAACTAGAACTCAGGATTAAGAATCTCACTCAAAGCCGATCAACTACATGGAAACTGAACAACCTGCTCCTGAATGACTACTGGGTACATAACGAAATGAAGGCAGAAATAAAGATGTTCTTTGAAACCAACGAGAACAAAGACACCACATACCAGAATCTCTGGGACGCATTCAAAGCAGTGTGTAGAGGGAAATTTATAGCACTAAATGCCTACAAGAGAAAGCAGGAAAGATCCAAAATTGACACCCTAACATCACAATTAAAAGAACTAGAAAAGCAAGAGCAAACACATTCCAAAGCTAGCAGAAGGCAAGAAATAACTAAAATCAGAGCAGAACTGAAGGAAATAGAGACACAAAAAACCCTTCAAAAAATCAATGAATCCAGGAGCTGGTTTTTTGAAAGGATCAACAAAATTGATAGACCGCTAGCAAGACTAATAAAGAAAAAAAGAGAGAAGAATCAAATAGACACAATAAAAAATGATAAAGGGGATATCACCACCGATCCCACAGAAATACAGACTAACATCAGAGAATACTACAAACACCTCTACGCAAATAAACTAGAAAATCTAGAAGAAATGGATACA
The DNA here is from genome assembly GCF_000001405.40 of Homo sapiens. Lineage (NCBI taxonomy): Eukaryota > Metazoa > Chordata > Mammalia > Primates > Hominidae > Homo > Homo sapiens. Next base: position 52,819,735 of record NC_000004.12, read on the forward strand.
TTCCTCGACACATACACTCTCCCAAGACTAAACCAGGAAGAAGTTGAATCTCTGAATAGACCAATAACAGACTCTGAAATTGTGGCAATAATCAATAGTTTACCAACCAAAAAGAGTCCAGGACCAGATGGATTCACAGCCGAATTCTACCAGAGGTACAAGGAGGAACTGGTACCATTCCTTCTGAAACTATTCCAATCAATAGAAAAAGAGGGAATCCTCCCTAACTCATTTTATGAGGCCAGCATCATTCTGATACCAAAGCCGGGCAGAGACACAACCAAAAAAGAGAATTTTAGACCAATATCCTTGATGAACATTGATGCAAAAATCCTCAATAAAATACTGGCAAACCGAATCTAGCAGCACATCAAAAAGCTTATCCACCATGATCAAGTGGGCTTCATCCCTGGGATGCAAGGCTGGTTCAATATACGCAAATCAATAAATGTAATCCAGCATATAAACAGAGCCAAAGACAAAAACCACATGATTATCTCAATAGATGCAGAAAAAGTCCTTTGACAAAATTCAACAACCCTTCATGCTAAAAACTCTCAATAAATTAGGTATTGATGGGACGTATTTCAAAATAATAAGAGCTATCTATGACAAACCCACAGCCAATATCATACTGAATGGGCAAAAACTGGAAGCATTCCCTTTGAAAACTGGCACAAGACAGCGATGCCCTCTCTCACCGCTCCTATTCAACATAGTGTTGGAAGTTCTGGCCAGGGCAATCAGGCAGGAGAAGGAAATAAAGGGTATTCAATTAGGAAAAGAGGAAGTCAAATTGTCCCTGTTTGCAGACGACATGATTGTTTATCTAGAAAACCCCATCGTCTCAGCCCAAAATCTCCTTAAGCTGTTAAGCAACTTCAGCAAAGTCTCAGGATACAAAATCAATGTACGAAAATCACAAGCATTCTTATACACCAACAACAGACAAACAGAGAGCCAAATCATGAGTGAACTCCCATTCACAATTGCTTCAAAGAGAATAAAATACCTAGGAATCCAACTTACAAGGGATGTGAAGGACCTCTTCAAGGAGAACTACAAACCACTGCTCAAGGAAATAAAAGAGGACACAAACAAATGGAAGAACATTCCATGCTCATGGGTAGGAAGAATCAATATCGTGAAAATAGCCATACTGCCCAAGGTAATTTACAGATTCAATGCCATCCCCATCAAGCTACCAATGACTTTCTTCACAGAATTGGAAAAAACTACTTTAAAGTTCATATGGAACCAAAAAAGAGCCCGCATCACCAAGTCAATCCTAAGCCAAAAGAACAAAGCTGGAGGCATCACACTACCTGACTTCAAACTATACTACAAGGCTACAGTAACCAAAACAGCATGGTACTGGTACCAAAACAGAGATATAGATCAATGGAACAGAACAGAGCCCTCAGAAATAATGCCACATATCTACAACTATCTGATCTTTGACAAACCTGAGAAAAACAAGCAATGGGGAAAGGATTCCCTATTTAATAAATGGTGCTGGGAAAACTGGCTAGCCATATGTAGAAAGCTGAAACTGGATCCCTTCCTTACACCTTATACAAAAATCAATTCAAGATGGATTAAAGATTTAAACGTTAGACCTAAAACCATAAAAACCCTAGAAGAAAACCTAGGCATTACCATTGAGGACATAGGCGTGGGCAAGGACTTCATGTCCAAAACACCAAAAGCAATGGCAACAAAAGCCAAAATTGACAAATGGGATCTAATTAAACTAAAGAGCTTCTGCACAGCAAAAGAAACTACCATCAGAGTGAACAGGCAACCTACAACATGGGAGAAAATTTTCGCAACCTACTCATCTGACAAAGGGCTAATATCCAGAATCTACAATGAACTCAAACAAATTTACAAGAAAAAAACAAACAACCCCATCAAAAAGTGGGCGAAGGACATGAACAGACACTTCTCAAAAGAAGACATTTATGCAGCCAAAAAAAACATGAAGAAATGCTCATCATCACTGGCCATCAGAGAAATGCAAATCAAAACCACTATGAGATATCATCTCACACCAGTTAGAATGGCAATCATTAAAAAGTCAGGAAACAACAGGTGCTGGAGAGGATGTGGAGAAATAGGAACACTTTTACACTGTTGGTGGGACTGTAAACTAGTTCAACCATTGTGGAAGTCAGTGTGGCGATTCCTCAGGGATCTAGAACTAGAAATACCATTTGACCCAGCCATCCCATTACTGGGTATATACCCAAATGACTATAAATCATGCTGCTATAAAGACACATGCACACGTATGTTTATTGCGGCACTATTCACAATAGCAAAGACTTGGAACCAACCCAAATGTCCAACAATGATAGACTGGATTAAGAAAATGTGGCACATATACACCATGGAATACTATGCAGCCATAAAAAATGATGAGTTCATGTCCTTTGTAGGGACATGGATGAAATTGGAAACCATCATTCTCAGTAAACTATCGCAAGAACAAAAAACCAAACACCGCATATTCTCACTCATAGGTGGGAATTGAACAATGAGATCACATGGACACAGGAAGGGGAATATCACACTCTGGGGACTGTGGTGGGGTCGGGGGAGGGGGGAGGGATAGCACTGGGAGATATACCTAATGCTAGATGACACGTTAGTGGGTGCAGCGCACCAGCATGGCACATGTATACATATGTAACTAACCTGCACAATGTGCACATGTACCCTAAAACTTAGAGTATAATAAAAAAAAAAATTAAAAAAAAAAAAAAATAACAGACCATAAACATTTTCCCACATCACAAAATTTGCTTCCCAAGCATGACTCTCTGTGGCTACACAGGGTGCCGTGTATGACTATACTATAATTGGTGTAGCCAGTGAGAAGTTGTTTAAACCTATTGCCCTTGCAGTGCAATGCTATCTTAAAATACAGGCAAGAACATTATGTTCTTTTTGGTAGGAACATTAAAACATGCAGGGGAGTTTCTGCACATGGATTGCATGACTATGAGGTTTTAAATTGATTCCACCCATTGGTTTGGGAAGACAGAGAAAGTATGCTTCCACTTAGTGCAACTCATGTCTTGCGGGGTGGAGAGAGCTGTCTCTTGATGCATTTAGATTCTTAGCTCTTCCATAGTAAACAAGAAGCTTCAGCGAGGGGCAGTGAGTCACAAAAATGGAACATATTTATTTGTATGGTTATTCCCAAAGTGATACAACCAGGAGACCTAGGGTTTGGGGAGCCAACCTCAGCTGATGTGTGAGGCTGGCAGAAGGCCACAGGCATGAGGGTTCTCTTGGACTGGCATTGCTGGGTGTCAGGGCATGAACACACCTCTCCCTGGACGAAAAAACCTGCTAATTGCCTTGTAAGAAACATCATCACAGACTCAAGGAGTTGACTAATGGATTCTCGGAAAATTGCCAGCTCATAATCTCTGTGCCTTGAGAATTGGGATAAACATTGAGGTCAATTGCAAAGCCCTATTTGACCAAACCCACAGCCCACAGTCAGTCCAAAGCTAGAGCCCTAGTGTTTTCTATGCCAGCTCTTTTCATTTTTTCTGAATTCACAAAACTAAATGACTCAGTTTAATGAAGGCATTCGGACTAGGGGAGGTTAAAGGGCAGATGCAAAGCAGGAATTCCTAACCCCAGAGGCCACTCCTAAGGGTCACGGTATTTGGTAAGTGTGTTGAAATACCTCAGATGGGAAGGCCACATACATGAAATCATCAGAAGGATGATTTCACATTAATCCACAAATTAAACTTTAGGAGGAGAGAAGGAGTCCATATCACTGGGCCTTGATGGAGAGCTTTTCTCAGGTAACAGGAAACACAGAACATCAAGTTCTCCTCAGAGATGACTCACATATTAAACATGACCTGCTAGGTACTCTTGAATCTGAAACCACAATGAGCTGTCTCTCATCACTTCCAAGGAACCGCATTTTCTAGAATTTCACCCAGTTCTTGTATCAGAGACACTATTGGATGGTATGAGTTTTCTAGGACTGCTGTAACAAAATGCCACAAACTGGGTGGCATAAAACACCAGAAATTCCTTCTCTCACAGTTCTGGACGTTAGAAGTCTAAAATCAAGATGGTGGGCAGGGCCACACTCCCTCCAAAGCCTCTAGGGGAGGATCCCTCCTTGCCTCTTCCAGTTCATGGAGGCTTCATCCAGGTGTTCCCTGGCTTCTGGCTGCATAGCCCTAATGTCTGCCTCCTTCTTCATATGGGCTGTCTTCCCTCTGTGTATGTCTGTGTCCAAATTTCCCTCTTATTATAAGGAAACCAATCATATTGGGTTAGGGTCTGCTCTAATGACCACATTGCAACTTGATTGCATCTGCAAATACCTTATTTCCAAATAAGGTCATATTCACAAGTACCAGGAGTTAGGATTTCAACGTGCCTTTTTAGAAGACACAATGTGACCCATGATAGCTGGAAAGTCGAAGGTCCAGAATTATAGATACAGCTGCATCACCAACTGCTGTGTGATCCTAAGCAAACTGCTTTTCATCCCTGGGCCCAGGTATCCTCATCTGTCCCCACAATTACCCTCATGACTCGCAGATTCAATTTCTTTCAGATCAGTCAAAGGGAATAGACTCATTGTAGAAAGGGTCTACCAGGCGGGAGCAGCATCACAATGCTAGCAGGCAATGCCAGGACTGGTGTGGAGGGGTCTGTGTGATGGCCCGGGTGTGCCGAGTGGAGAATGAAGGGCACCAGGATACCCCCAGAAGTCTCTGGCTAAGGCCTTTTGTGGTGCCGGCAGCCACGCCATACACTAAAGAGCAACCAGCCAAATTGCCATGCTCCTTCCCCCTGGCCCTGTAGGCAGCCAACCCCTGGGACAGCAGTCATGATACTCAGTTCTAAGGCCCAACAAGCACAGCCAACAGCCTTTGGCTTCCAGAGCTCATCATGAAACTGACATGAGCAGGTGAGATCCAGTTGGCTTAAACAACTAGCGTAATCAATCCAGACTAAATATACCTCCCCTTGGCCCAGCTTAAATATTTAGACAGCCACAATGCCTGTGTGCAGAGGCAGTGAGTGGATGAGAAAGTTTTAGCTCTGGTGAGGCTGAAGGGACTTGACATGTTATTGAATCAAAGGCTGTAGAAGGTGAAGCTGGGGCCGCCACACATTCCAGGAATGCGGATATAGCACTCTCAGTGTGTATCTGAGGCTGACAGGGTTTGACAATCTCCATCTGGGAACAATAACCTCGAGCAGCAGGCCAGGCCATGCTGAGGGCTGCTCTGCCTCCCTCCTGGCTCTGCCCCTCGTCTCTGGCCCTGAGCTGTGCACTCTGAGATGGATAGTGGAGGGGAAGTCCATGTACCATGGTCCTCTGCAGCACTGCTCTGCATGCAGGAGCCCTGGAGAAGCCAGGGGTGGGGGCCAGCCTCACCGAATGCTTGCAATTCCAGGAGCAGTGGGCTGAGGACAGAATCCATTTCCCCCCTCTGGGAGACCTGAGTGGAATGCCACAGGGGAAGGCAATTTGGGACGCTGACTGATCACCCAGCCAGCTGCAAAGTCTCCTAGCATCGGGTGGAGAAGCCAGGGGGTGGCAATGTGTTTACGTCACGTTTAATACCTTGGGCTATCTTTGTGTGAACGGGGGAAGTCAGGAGGCTTTCATCTGTGAAGTTCAAAGCACTGTTCACAAACTACCTCGGCTAATCCTCACTCTGATCTGAATTTTGTTGTGTAGTTAAACTGATCACAAGAATTTGGTGGATAGGGCTAGGGTGGGCCTCTGGGACAGGCTTCCCCATGCTTGGTTCCCACGTGGCCAGGCAGTGAGGTGGGGGGAGCGGGTTTATGGTGCAGAGAGTGCTGGAGCAGGAAGGAAGACCTCAACACCACATCACACAGCCCAGGAGTGTCCTGCTTTATACGGGTGACACTGAGTGCAGGGAATGTGATGAGACATACTTTCCTGAGCTCCAGAATGACAATCTCTGACTACCTTCTGGGCATGTCCACAGGTCTTTCAAACACAGCCTGTCCAGAACTAAGCTCAGTGTCTTTCCCTATCTGGCTTTCTCCCTGCAGTACTGCCCTTAGCCTGGGTTTCTGGGACCCTGCCCAGAATGGGGGACATTGAGGCCCCCATTCTTTTCTCTTCTGGCTGTGCCCCTTTCCACAGGAACATCCCATCACCTTCCACACCAACCCCTCAACTATGTTTATGCTCCAGGACCCCAGAATTCCCTGCCCAAACAGCTCCAGGCTTCTTACAGGGCCTATGCAGGCCTCTGGCACTGGTTTGTCCTCTGGAGGGTGCCATCTGCTGCAGGGGCAGTTCTTAGTGTGGATGGGGCATTGGCGGAGCTTGGCTGTGCAGACTGGAGTGCCACTTGTTGGGCTCCTCATGGTGCAGGAAGACGGGTAGGCTTTGGGTCACTGGCCTCCATGGATAGTGTGGTCCCAGGTCCTGGCCTGTCACCCTGTATTATCCAGCTCTGTGACATATCATCATCATGTTTAAACCCCTCCTGCCATCTTGATCAGATCATCCTGATTAGCCAGTTACTAACTTCTCTTGATGCCACCTCCACAACAGCTCTTGGGCACACTCCCTTCTCTCCACCCACACTGCCTCGGCCTCTCCTCTGTTCTCCTGGGTAAAGCAAAATAACAGCCTCCTCCCTGGTCTCCCTGCCTCTACACCTGCCCCTCCCCAATTCATTCTCTGCACTGTGACCAGATGATCTTTTGTCCTCTAATCTTGTGACTTCATTGTTATTCACAATCAGAATAACTTCTACTTGACCTTCAGCTCCCAACTTGGAGGTCAAAGATCTACCAGTGAGGTACTGGGGAGCCTCACACTCCACCCCTCAGCACCCTACACCATGCATGTGAATTGTCTATGACCCCCACTGGACTGTGAGCACCATGAGGGCAGTGTCATTGCTTGTGTTGGTTCTTGGGGTCACAATGTCCTATGTAATGCCTTGGGTAGGTTAGATGTTGTGATGGTTATTGTAGACATCAACTTGACTGAATTAAGGAATATCTACAAACTTGATAAAGCATAATTTTGGGTGTGTCCTTGGGGATGTTTCCAGAGGAGATTAACATGACAGTCTGAGCGGACTGAGTGGGGAAGATTTGCTCTCAGTGAGGTGGGCACCATCCAATTGTCTGGGGACCCAGAAAGAACAAAAACAGAGACAAGGCAAATGTGTCTATCCATCTGCTGGAGCTGGGATACACTCTTCTTCTCCTGTTCTTGGACAAAAACTCCAGGCTCTCCAGCCTTTGGACTCTAGGACTTACATCAGTGAACCCCTGAGTTCTCATTCCCTTAGCCTCAAACTGAGAATTACACCATCTACTTCCCTGGTTCTGAGGCCTTCAAACTTGAGCTGAGCCATAAGCTCAGCTTCCCAGCATCCAGTATCCAGGGTCTTCAGCTTACAGATGGCCTGTTATGGAGCTTCTCAGCCTCTATAATTACGTGAGCCAATTCCCCGAATAAATTCCCTCTTAGCCGAGCGCAGTGACTCATGCCTGTAATCCCAACACTTTGGGATGCCAAGGCAGGAGGATCACTTGGGGCCAGGAGTTTGAGACCAGCCAGGGCAACAAAGGGAACTCCATCTCTAGAAAAAATTTAAAAATTAGTTGGGTGTGGTGGTACATTCCTGTAGCCATAGCCTCTCGGGAGGCTGAGGTGGGAGGACTGCTTGAGCCCAGGAGTTCAAGGCTGCAGTGAGCTATGATTGTGCCACTGCACTCCAGCCTGGGCAGCAGAGTGAGACCAGTCTCTAAATAAATAAAAATGGACTGGATGCAGTGGCTCACACCTGTAAGGCCAACATTTTGAGAGGCCAAGGTGGGCAGATTGCTTGAACCCAGTAGTTCAAGACCCACCTGGGCAACATAGGGAGATCCTACCTCTAAGACAGATAATAAATAAATAAATAAATGTTTTAAAAGCTCATCTCAGATATCTATATATTTATACTATTGGTTCTGTCTTCCTGGAGAAACCTGACTAATACAGATGTTTGACAAATATTTGTTGAATGCATAAAGGATCCAGACAGACAGTACCATTGCAAGAACTAGAATCTGCCAGGTGCAGTGGCCCATGCCTGTAATCCCAACACTTTGGGGGGCTGAGGCAAGCAATCACGAGGTCAGCAGATCAAGACCATCCTGGTCAACACGGTGAAACCCCATCTCTACTAAAAATACAAAAATTAGCTAGGTGTGATGGTGCATGCCTGTAATCCCAGCTACTCGGGAGGCTGAGACAGGAGAACTGCTTGAACTCGGGAGGCCGAGGTTGCAGTGAGCAGACATTGTGCCACTGCACTACAGCCTGGCAATGGAGCAAGACTCCATCTAAAACAATAAAAATAAAAATAAAAAATAAAAAAAACAAATTAGACTCTAGGTCTGCTAGTCAGTGTCAGACTTATGAGTGCATCAGCCAGGTAACTTCACAGGCCACAAATCTTTTTTCTTCCAAATTTATTTACCTTATTACCAGCAATAATAATAATGATAATTTATGTATGCGATATAAGTTATTATTGATAACTGAGTGACTAGGTGGGGTTTCCAAGATACCTTAGACTGTTAATATTCTAAAATTGTGAAACTTCTCCTTATCTGAAAATGGAAGAATTCAGATGAGGGCTAACTTTGTGCAGACCTATTATTAAAGGGCTGGAAACTTGAAAGTGTTGAAAAATCTATGGTTTCTTTTTTTATTGATGCATAATAATTGTACATGTTTATGGGATACATGTAATATTTTGATACATGCATACAATGTGTAACAATCAGGTCAGGTAATTAGGATATCCGTCATCTCAAACTTTTTTTTGTTGTTGTTATACTTTAAGTTCTAGGGTACATGTGCACAATGTGCAGGTTTGTTACATATGTATACATGTGCCATGCTGGTGTGCTGCACCCATTAACTCATCATTTACCTTAGGTATTTCTCCTAATGCTATCCCTCCCCCCTCCTCCCACCCCACGACAGGCCCCAGAGTGTGATGCTCCCCACCCTGTGTCCAAGTGTTCTCATTGTTCAATTCCCACCTATGAGTGAGAACACTGTCATCTGAAACTTTTATCATTTCTTTGTGTTGGAAACATTTCACATCTCCTAGCTATTTTGAAATATGCAATAAATCATTGTTAACTATAGTCACCCTACTGTGCTACCCAACACTAGAACTTATTCCTTCTGTCTAACTGTATGTTTGTACCTATTAACCATGCTTGCTTCATTCCCCTCTTCACCCTTCACAACCTCCGGTAATGATCATTCTGCTCATGAGATCCACATTTTTAGCTTTCACATATGAGTGAGAACATGTGACATTTCTCTTTCTGTACCTGAACCACCAGTCTTTGAAGGGAGTTTAAACATTGCTGTGAAGCTAAAGCATCCTTGGAAATGTGCCAACGTGGAACCAACTCTATTTACTAGAATTTCTCTCTAGGAGAATATAGTATAATATGTCTGGAAAAAATGTTCTGACATTTTCTGGGGAGTATTTGAGTAACAAGGGGTAGTAAATATGGTGACTTACAAAGTGCTTCCTTTTTTGCTAGGCAGGTATGCAAGTTGGGGGCCAGAGCAGAGTTGTTGGGGACAATAAAATGGAAGCTGAGCTGCTACGAATACTCCCCATTCTTCCTATTTCCCTCAAATCACTGTCAGTGTCTCCTCACGTAGCACAGTCTCCTCTGTATCTAGGTGTGCTTGTGCGTCTGAGCTCTCACCACGGAGATGTAAGCAGAATTTTTGTATAGGACTGCTGGGAAGGCTTTATAAAATGTAGAGGATGTGAATACTTTTTTTGCCCTTCCTTGGTTCCTCCTTCATGCTGCCTGGAATGTGAATGTAATGGCTGGAGCTACTAGCAGCTATACTGGATCACGAGACAACCTTCAAGAAGGAAAGCAATGAACTAGGTTGGTGGACCAGAAAGCTAAAAGGAACCTCAGTCCCTTTTGAGTTTATAGAGCCACTACAGAAACCCTCTAGATTTCTTTTATGTAGGAGAGGAATAAGCCTCTTCCTGAAGGTACCACACTCAGGTTTCTGATGCTAGCAACTAAATCCAATTTCTAATTGAGTCAGGGGCCAAATGATTAGCTTGCCCTGGGGTCCTACATGCCTCAGTTAAGTTCATTCTGATCCTGGCCACTAGCCAAGGACTCCCCTTCCTCTTCCTTTCTCCTTTTTCTCTTCCCACATTGGCAAAGCCCCAGGCACCTGATGTCTCCCATGAGCAACCCGTGAACAATTCCCTTCCAACTTGGCAAGATGCACCCAGTCTTGCCAAAACAGTGATCAGTAGGGGGATTCAAACATAAGCAAGACTCTACAAATGTTGTAACAAGAAAAACTCTTTCTCAGAAGTTTGGGCCTTTTCATTGATTATGGAATCTGTTTCCTGGAATAAAGTCGATGAAATGTGGTAGTATTCTTGAAACTGTAGACACAGACAACACTAGTCTAGGATGTTCAGAGCACTTTGTACAGCTCTTCCAGGGATCCAGGGTGCAAGGGAGAACAGTGGGGAAGTGGAAGAGACATTGTTCTTCCAGTGGGAAAAGGCAGAGTGTAGGAGGTGCAATGGCAGACCTTTCCCATGGCAGTCATCCCCCTTCTGATGGTACCATTGTATTTCCCATACATATGACTTCCTGAATGTGCACTGGTGGGGTTGTGCCCCATCCTGGAGCCTGGAATGGAGGGCTATTCACTGACTTCCATGGGAAGCAAGAGTGCCTCAAAAGGCAGGGCTTTGAAAGGTGAGCTGACTTGCCTGAGGTCACAAAGCTTGTTGGCACAGAGTCCATTCAATAATAATAATTAATAATAATAATAGTAACTAACAGTGATATTATTACCATAACATAAAATATAATAACTTATTTTATGACAAATATCCTTCTTTGTACTTTACACATTTCAATTCTTTTAATCTTCAGAACAACCTTATGCGGCATTCAAATCTGCATTTTATAGATGAGGGGATGAAGAACAAGTAAATTAAACATCACCCAAAATTACCTCGCTGACTCATGGCAGAACTTAGATGGGGAGGGCCCTCAGTCCAGTGTTTTTGCTACCATAGCCCAGGTGCTTAGGAAAAGTTTCCAGATCAGAGTAATTTTTAAAATTTTAACTTTTATTCTTTTTTAAAAAAATTTTATTTCCATAGGTTTTTGGGAAACAGGTGGTATTTGGCCACATGCTATAAACATGCATGTTTATAGCAGCAAAATTCGTGATTGCAAAAATATGGAACCAGCCCAAATGCCCATCAACCACCATGAGTGAATAAAGAAATTGTGGGATAGATAGACAGATAGATAGATAGATAGATAGATAGATAGATAGATAGATAGATAGATAGACAGACAGATAGATATGATGGAATACTATACAGAGTCATTTTTGCAAGGGCACTTCTCTTTAGTGTCTTCTTGGGATAGTGCATCTCCATCTGCACATGACCAGGCTTCGGTGACAGGCTGGAGTCACACCTAGGGTTGGGGAACATGATCCCAGAAGCAGAGAAAGCTCACTTTCTTCCTCTCTGCTCTGTCTTTGTCTTCCTCACAGGCAAGGAGGGCCTTGATGGGCAACTTAGCAAATGTCATTCCCTGGGGGTGGTCTGAGAAGATGACCATTGAGTATTTAAATCCGGGGACAGGAGAACTTTTAAACAACAGGTGCACTGATAAAAAGCTGGTGTCTTATTTTTATAAACAGGATTCTGTTTGAAATGCACAAGAAGGATGTATGTGGAGCTTGACTGTTAGCACGTCTGTGGTGACTCATTTACAAAACCTACTATCAACTATCACCCTCTACTTGATCTTTCTTGAAAATGTAGGGTTTTGATACAGGTATTATTTAAATATCTCTATATTTATGATTCTGAAATATAATCTGATGCTCCAAGGGTGGGGCTTCTGGGAATTATGACACACCCTGTGACCCCATCATAGGTGAGTGCTCTGGGGACACAAAAGTGGACCTCGCGTAGGTCATTGGGAAGACACCCCTATGGCTGGCGGGGTGCCTCAAGCCCAGCCATGCTTCACTGGACAAATATTTTTGGATCTCTTTTCTCTCTTTTTAAAAAATCTTTACTCACTCCCTATATGATCTCATATTTTTGAGTGACATCTTTTCACTTAGGACTTCCACATTTTTATTAAAGTATCTACTTGGCATTTTCTCTTGGATGTCCAATGGACATCTCGAACTCAGCATGTCTAAAACTACTTCTAATCAATCCCTTGAAGATAGCTCAGTTCCAGCTTTCCCATCTCAGTAGATGAAAACTGTCTTCTTAGACGTCAGGTCCGAAAACTTGGAACCATTCTCGACTTTTCTCTTTCTTTCAAACCCGACATTCAGACTCTCAAAAAAACTCTTCTTGGCTCACCTATCAAAATATTTCCAGAATTTGATCACCCTTCACCACCACTACCTTGGTCCAAGTGCTAACTTCTCTCACTTGGATTATTTCAATAACCTTATAATTGGCCTCCCACTTCCACTCTTGGCCTCTTTGGTCTACTGTCAACATGGGAGCCAAGAATAAACCTGCTAGATAAAAGTGCAATCATGTCAACCCTCTGCTCAGAATCTTCCAGTGGCTTCTTAACTCTCAGAAGGAATGTACAGTCCAGGTTCTGATTTACAAGTGTCATATGCTTTTCTTGCCTTCTTCTTCATTACATTGCACACTGCGTCTTCTTTGCCTGTCTCTCATTCCTCCACTCCAGCCTCCTTGCTTTTTCTTTAGCATGCCAAGACCACTGCCACATCAGAGACTTTGCACCTGCCATTCCTGCCTACGGACAACCCCCACCTCTCAACACACAACTTCTCCCCATTGGCCACACAATGGGTGCTCTCACTTCCTTTAGGCATTTCTTGAAGCCACCTTCTCAGTGAGGTCCCCTGTCCATCCGATGTAAAATGTTACCTCCTACTGGTATGTTGTAACCCCTCCTCCTGAGGTAGACATGGCAGTTGCTCCATCCAGAATCTTTTCCTCCCAGTGCACCCACCCTGAGCTGCTGTGAAGATCAGCTGCCAAAGACTCCCAGATGTCCTGCTTCCCTGGAGAATTTCACTCAACTAACAGGTACTGCCTTGATGGGAAATCACATTCCCTTCTGCACCCACGCTAGGGCAGCCTGCAGCCAGTGATGGAAAGATACCGGAACACAAAAGGCCGCTTCCTTCACCTTAAGGGGAAGGGGGAGAATTCTGCAGTGTTATGTGAATATTCCAGAGTCCCTGTGGATCAGACCTAAGACCACATCTTGTTTGGCTTTTTTCCCATTCACTCCTTGATTCCTTCCTTCACTCTTTTTCATCTGAGAGCTCTCCCTCAAAACTAAATCAGGGCTGGGTATGGTGATTCATGCCTGTAACCCCAGCACTTTGGGAGGCTGAGACAGGCAGATCACCTGAGGTCAGGAGTTTGAAACCAGCCTGGCAAACATGGTGAAACCCCGTCTCTACTAAAAATACAAAAAAAAAAAAATTAGCCTGGCATGGTGGCAGGCGCCTCTAGTCCCAGCTACTTGGGAGGCTGAGGCAGGAGAATCACCTGAATCCAGAGGCGGGGGTTGCAGTGAGCTGAGATTGTGCCATAGCACTCCAGCCTGGGCGACAAGAGTGAAACTCTGTCTCAAAAAACAAAAACAAAAACAAGAACAAAACAAACAAACAAACACCCTAAAAACTAAATCAGCTGCCCTGAATCCCTGTCTCAGGCTCTGTTTCTAAGACATTTCTGTTATTCTTTTCTTCTTAGTGATCACCTAACAAACTATATATTTAACTTTATCCATCTCTATCACTGCAATGCCACTCTGTGAGGACAGTCACTTTGCTTTGTTCACTGACGCATCCTCAGTACCTAGCACAGTACCTGGTACATAGTAGATGCTCAGTAAATATATGTGGAAAGAAGGAATGAGTCCTTATATCCCTGTGAATCTTGGAACTTACAAAAATCCTGCTCTTGTTAATCAGGCGGGGGGCCTGGACTCTTAATTCTGTTGCCCACACACTCTTCCCACTTTCTCATGCATTTTCTCTGGCCTATTAAGGTGGCTTTGGATTGCAGTGGTCTACTCTGCCCTATCTTGGGTGACTTCCCAGTAACCTATATCACTTGCTTGTTTGTCCAAAGGCACCTGTCAGCTCCTCTTTGGACTACTTTCCTCATTCAATCTGCCCATCCACTCCCAGTAAAATAACAAGGTAAGCAAGAGAAATCTATTCATCAGCATCCAGGTGTGGTATGAAAACTAGGTAGATGAGGAAAGGTAAGAGGTAGAAGACAGCCAGTGGCTGTTCTTCACAGTTGGAGTGAGAGATCAGAATGTGTGATAGAGATGGGAATGACCACAGACAAGGGGAGAAGCTCCCTTTTTGGTGTGGGGGTGGATTGGGTATAACCCTGCTAAAGCAAGCTGAGAGCCACTGCCTGACTCATGTTAAAAGTGAATTTTGGCATAATTACAAGAGGATATCTTAGCACTGTGCTCCAGCCAAGCTGTGCTGCTATTACCTAGGAGTGATTAAAGGTCTAGAGACGTGAAATCAGGCAATCCAGGCGGGGCTCAAATCTTGGAGGTTCTGCACTCTTGACTAGTCAGCGACCTCAGTGCTTCCCTGGGCTGTTCTGGTGAGTAGTATTCATTGGTTTCAATAACAGCAAATGCTTCCTGCTGCTCTTTATGTGATAGGCCATATTCTGAGTGCTTGCTAAGTACTAACTTATTGATCCTTCTGATAACCCTGTGAGCCACATACCCGTATGTCTTATTATTATACACACTTGTCAAAGAGGAAGCAATGGAAGTACAGAGAGCTCAAGCAACTTGTCCAAGACTGCAGTCAGTGGTGGAACTGGGATTTGAACCCAGTTTTCTCACTCCACTGCTTGTGCTTAACTGAAGCAAAAGGAAATGCATTGAAGGATATTCGGTGCTTGCAGAATTAATGGGAAGCCAGTGTCAGGCCTCTGAGCCCAAGCTAAGCCATCATATCCCCTGTGACCTGCACGTACACATCCAGGTGGCTGGTTCCTGCCTTAACTGATGACATTCCATCACAAAAGAAATGAAAATGGCCTGTTCCTGCCTTAACTGATGGCATTATCTTGTGAAATTCCTTCTCCTGGCTCATCCTGTCTCAAAAGCTCCCCTGCTGAGCACCCCACTCCTGCCTGCCAGAGAACAACCCTCCTTTTTCCTTTACCTACCCAAATCCTATAAAACGGCCCCACCCCTATCTCCCTTCACTTTTCGGACTCAGCCCACCTGCACCCAGGTGAAATAAACAGCTTTATTGCTCGCACAAAGCCTGTTTGGTGGTCTCTTCACACGGACGCGAGTGAAAGCCAGGAGGACCAGCTCCAAAATAGGCAGGTGTGAAGGTATTCTAGAGAACTAGGAGGCAAGATCAATAAGGAAAAGTCTTTAACAGAAAAAGTCTCATCAGGATGAATAAGCCCCAGCCATTCTTACTCTGCTGAAATTCTAACAGGAAAGGGTGGGCTTGGTCTAGCTCAGGTCATGCACCTCCTCTTTGGATCAAATGAAGAAAATAACTCCTTTAATGGGTACAAAAAATAGTTAGAATGAATGAATAAGGCCTAGTATTTGATAGCACAACAGGGTGACTATAGACAATGATAATTTAATTTTACATTTAAAAATAACTAAGAGAGGCTGGGCATAGTGGCTCAAGCCTATAATCCTAGCACTTTGGGAGGCCGAGGTGGGCAGATCACCTGATGTCAGGAGTTCAAGACCAGCCTGGCCAACATATTGAAATCCTGTCTCTACTCAAAATATAAAAATTAGCTGGCTGTGGTGGCACGTGCTTGTAATCCCAGCTACCCAGGAGGCTGAGGCAGCAGAATCGCTGGAACCCGAGAGGCAGAGGCTGGAGTGAGCCAAGATCACGCCACTGCACTCCAGCCTGGGTGACAAAGTAGGATTCCATCTCAATAAAATAAAATAAAATAAAATAAATAAAATAAAATAAAATAAAATAAAATAAAATAAAATAAAATAAAATAAAATAAATAAAATAAAATAAAATACTAAAATAATATAATTGGATTGCATTCAAAGGATAAATCCTTGAGGGGATGGATACCCCATTCTCCATGATTATTTCACATTGCATGCCTGTTTCAAAACATCTCATGTACCCCACAAATACATACACCTACTCTGTACCCACAAAAATTAAAAATAAAAATTATATATATGAAAAGAAAATAACACCATATTTTTTAATCTGTTGCTACATAACAAATTACTCCAAAACTCGGCAACCTAAGAAAACAACAAACACTTATTATCTCACACAGTTTGTGTGTGGGAATGCAGGAGTGGCTTTGCCAGGGAATTTTGGATTGGGGGCCCTCATGAGGTGGTAGTCAAACTGTCAGTGGGTGGCTGCAGCCATCTGAGAGCTGGACTGGGGGCAGAAGTTCTGCTTCATAGGTGTCTCCCTCACATGGCTAGCAAGCTGGCGCTGGCTGTTGGCAGGAGGCCTCAGTTTCTCAGCGCTTGGGCCTCTCTGTGGGACTTCTTGAGTTCCCCATAACACAGCAGCTAGTTCCCAGGGTGAGTGATCCAAAAGAGCAAGGTGGATGCAACCTTGTCTTTTATGACATATACCACTCTTTCTACAATCTCTTTTTGATTACACAGATCAGCCCCATTCATTGTGGGTGGGGACTGTCAAGAGCGTGAATATCAGAAAGTGAAGTTCAGTGGCCATCTTAGAAACCAGTTACTACTTTCCTCAAAAAGAATCCAGAGCATGGTTAGGAATGGGGAGCAGATGTTACAAAACCAAAACAAAATCACACACAGACACACACATGCACGCACGCGCGTGCGCACATACACACACACACAGAGATATCTTCTAGTTTCCTGCAAGTGAAATGGGAAAATAATAGTATCTACTTTACATGGTTGTCCAGAGAATTGGTGGATTAGCTGGCTACATGGCACATTGTCAGCAATAAACAGATGTTAGTTATTATTGTTGTGGTTGTTCGTTAGGGTCATCAACTTGTTAGTCACCTTCTGGTTTAATAAAACTCTTTCCGTCAAGTTTCAATGGTGCTTTTGCCCTAACTGGCATTTGCTTTATTCACTTCTCACTGATTTCTGATCACACAGCTCTCAGCATCCACTGCAACTGTGGTTTCTAGGTCATTCCATTCCTTGCACAACCTTTGCTCCTCTTTTCCTGAAATGTATAAGCTCCTCCATGCTGCCTTTTCTTTTCTCAATTTGAATATTTATCTCTACACAATTTCTCATCTTATCCTTCATTCTTTCTTCCTGTGACCAAATGGCTTAAATTCTCACCTGGAAATTCTATCTGTGCCCCAGTGTTAACAGGTCTTAAAAAGGAAAAACTCTAAAATTCTTCACTGCCATTTTAAGCAGATATAGAATGTGGGCTTACCCATGCAAAGAGTAATACTTTTTACTATAATCTCTAACATTAAAGCATCATTTTACAGTTTATAAAATGTGATAGTTATTGAGTAGTATTAAGTACCAGTAACTCCTGGTAATGGAGTTACATCTATTTACATTCTAAGATCTTTTGCTGAAGTTGAATGCAGTTGAGCTCTCAGGAGTGCCATCCCAGGGGCTGGGTGATCTAGTCCTTTCAGAGCTTGTGGTGAGTCTAAGTGCTACTTCCACTATATCTAAAATCCCACAAGCCTACTCTAAGAATCAATTGTTTGCAAGATGGACAGTACACAACAATTCATTCACTCAGTTATTTGTAACCAACATTGTAAATGAAGCCACCAAGGACCTCTTACTGTGCTAGATGCTGGGGATATAACAAGGAATAAAGCTGACTCCATCCCTGTCCTCATGGAGCTGAGTTTGCAGGGCTAGGGCAAGGGGAAGAAGACATTCAACTAATAATGGCACAAATATTTTGTTTTGCGGTTTAGTTCTGGTTGTTGCAGAGGGAAAAGCAGCAGATGCTGGGAGAGTATTCTACAGAATCTCCAACTCACTTACTCTGTCTCACTTGCCCCAACTTGCCCATGCCCTGGCTGTTTCCCAGGCTCCATGACAGCGCAATTCCTGCTTGGTTCAGCCAGGCAGAGGCACTGACTGGAGGCAGTCTGACTGGAGACTGGAGGACAGGGCAGAAGGAGAAAAGCCAAGATGCTTCTGTTCCCTTTTCTTACTTGTGTTGGATGGTGTCCTCCCCATTGCTCCCCAGCAGCCCCAGCTGCTGGTGAGGTGGCTGTCCTTTGGTTGTGGTTTCTTTCTGGGACTCCTGCCTTGGCTCTGATTACACCATCTCCTCGCTTTGTCCCTTAAGCTGTGGGGTAGCCGCAGCTTCCTTCTGTTGCCTATTTCAGGTGGTCTCATCATCCCATTTGGCTGCTTGTCTCTTCCCTCACCAGTGTGACAAATTCCCTTGAATCAATTCCCTGTTTTAAATACAGAGTGGTTTCTGTTTTCCTAGTGGGACTAGACTGATATAATTGCTCTCTGTATTTTTTAACCCCAATGACTGCATTCGCTGCAATGTCTGTTCCTGTCGTGGAGCTGGGCTGTGGCTTTCTCACAGACATTGCCTGTCTTAGGTCATGGCAAAAGAATGTGGCCCAGGGCTGCAGGCAGTAATGGCTAATAGCACTGAGCAGAAAGAACTCAGGTGGGATCGGAGCAGCACTAGTTTTATTAATTTTTCCACCTTTGAGATGAGAAACCTATCCTAAAACCTCAAGTCTCCTGATTCTCAGCCCATTTCCTTTTGGAACCCACCCATTACCTCCACAGTCCCACCCATTGCCCGAGCCCATGGGATCATTCCACACCTACTCCCAGTTTCATCTGGCTTCATGGCCACCATGCAGAAATTATTTGTCTGCCCACCCCGTAACTTCCACCCTGAAAGTACTGAGGTTTCTGAAGTGCCCTGGGGCAGGTGAGAAGGGGTGGGGGCAGAGGTGAGGGGACAAAAGATGGGCTGTTATTTAAGCAGAACAGAGGTCTCAAGTCCAGGGGATCAGCTAGCAGCATGATCAGAAAGCAAATTGGGACTGGAGATCAAAGGGCGTGAAGCAGGGGCAGGAGTGGAGAGACATGTCTGGAGCTGTGTCCTCCAGCTGCGGTTCTCCTCTGTCTTCAAGCCCAAACCCTCCCAGGCAACTGCCCATTGTGCCAAGCAGTGGCAGCAGGTTTCAATCTAGTAATCTCTTTTCTTGGTCTGGAATTGCTTCTGGAGCCCAAGGGAGGATAAGGACCAGTCAGCATTTTCTACCAGATACAAATGTTTCTCTCATTTACCTCTTTGTGCAGAAAGCCTGACCTCCTCAGAAATGTCAGCCAGAAAAATCCACACTCTTCATAATCCTACAATTTCCCACTAATCAGATGTCTAGACAAGAACGGTCTCTGCCCCCTTTCCTGTTTGCAAATCTGCCTCGACAAGTTGTATCCTCCTGACAATACCGTTAAAATGTTCTTTATTTGCTCCGTGGGCCTTCTGAGACTTGGTTGCTGGAAATGCTATCAGTTCCTGGACCAATGCAATTCTCTTGAAATCGCGCTTTGATATTCCTCTGGTTAAATTTCATTCTCATGAGAGGAGCTCTGTTAACAAGGCAATTAGTACAGCTTTGAATATAAGTAGAGTACTGTGGTGTTTGCTGCCAGATGGCCCATGAGCCAAACTTGATTCAGGGTTACCGTGACTTTGGAGAGAAAGCTATTCTCACTGTAGCTTGAACTCATTTAGAGAACACAACGTGCTTCTTTAATTTGGTAAGAAAACTGTGGTGACCGGTTTCAATTTCTATCCATCCATTAGAGATCTGGAGAAGCTATCATTTGATTTCTCCTCCTTGGTATGCTACCCATATCTAACAAGGATAGCAAAATCACATAATGGAGGCTTAAAGCTAATTTATATAGAGTACATTGTTTAAAACTTAGCAATAAGATAATGAGGATCAAAGGCTGTCGGAGAATGAAATTCCCAGCTTCTTCATCAAGTAGCTGGGGAACAGGGCACTGGGTTAAGGGATGGACCACCCTCACCTTCCCACAAAATCCCACCCAAACCACTTCTTACTTGGCATCACTGGGGACCACACTGGCAATCACTGAGCCAGGGATGGTGCCACCCTCAGGGTCGAGGGTGGCTGCAAGTACTCCCTTCCACATTGAGAAAAAATAGTGACTTCATTCTTTAAAAGCAGTACATGCATATGGTATTGGATTTTTGGAACCTCTCTACTTCGGTTCAGATGCTAGAAGTATAAGCTCTGCACCTCAGTTTTCTCATCTACAGAATGGTCATCCTAATAGTTCCTACCTCTTAGGTGTGTTGAGGATTAAATGAGTCTATAAATGTGAAGTTATTAATGTGAAGCAATACCGGGTATGTAATATGTGCTAAACCAGTGTTAGCTATAATAAAGATATTTTTTAAGTTTTAAAATTCAAACATTATAAATGGGTATCCAGTGAAAAGTAAATGTTCTTTTTACCTCTGATCTACAGGCCCCTCATTTTCCTCCCCAAAAACAACCACTGTCACCAGTTTATTATGTATCACTCTAGAGATATTCAAAGTATATTTATTTATAGATATAGCTACTGAAATAGATAAACAAATGGAGAAAAAAGATAGATACAGATAACTCCCAATTTAAAACAACAACAGTAAATATTATACCCTGGCCTGCATTTTAAAAAATTTACATTGAAAAAAATGTGCTGTAAATAAAACATATTTACAATAAAAAGATTGTTCCTTATCAGTCCCTACAGATTCAGCCAATCTTCTCACCAGCTGTACAACACCCCCTTCATCTGGATGTGCACGTGGAGTGATTCATTTAGCCAGACCCCTGCCGATGGGCAATTAGGGGGTTTTTCACTCCCTTTCCTTTGATCACTCTGGCCCTTCCCCCTTCCTTTCCTTCATTGCAGCTAAGTGGGAGAGGCCTTCATGAGTCTCTTCATGAGGGCGTTGATACAGATCCTCGTGTCTTCTAAAATGATCAGGGCCAAAGTTATTTACAGAAGTGACCGGGCAGCTTCTAGCAGAGGGTTCAATTTCCAGCCTACTGCCCGTACTATCCATAAGAGAGGAATTCAGAGCACCTGGGTCTTGCCAGACTTACAAAAGTTTATCAAGTTTTAAAATGTCTTTAAAATATCTTCAGATTATTTTTCAGAAGCCATGTCACGAAGATATAGAATCGATGTGTATATAATTGTAAATTACATACAGATTATAATCTGCAGGTGTATTTGCATACCGACCTTGTTTTTCCAGTCTTTGGGAAGTCAAAGAACAAGTCATTATACTTGCACAGCCACTTATCTCAGTTTTTGATTTTTTTAAGTTGCTTTAAAAGAGCACTTAATTTTAGTACTGCAATAATGATGGCTCTGGAAAATAGTCTCCCTCCACACCCAACAGGCTTTGAAATACAGGAATTTCAGGTATAAATAACAATTGGCATGTTACAGTATTGTCCAAAGATTCAATAACAAGTCATGAAAAAAAAATGTTATGTCTCGATTTCTTTCTAGAACAGGAAACATCTTTTTTTTTTTTCTGAAAGCTAAGCCCTGAAGCAAAATTTTGAATGTTGGTAAATTTGTCTGAAATAATCAAAAGGTCATCTGGGAGGTAGCTCTGTAACAATCAAAGGTCAAGGTTTTTGGCCAGATGGGTCTGCATCTGAACCCCAGCTGGCTGGGCTGCTCCATCATTTTTTATGTGGAACCTGGGCTATGGGAGCCCCAGAAACCTCAGCGACCTCATTTTTGAAATGGGACTAAGGTCTACCATGAAGATCAAGTGAGGACTGAAAAGCACTGTGAATGGGCCTGGCCCGTAACAACATCCTGTGTTCATCACTCAAAGTACCTGACGTTACTCTGTTTCTAAGCCCTTGGAAGCACGTGGATGAGAGAAAAGAGACTGGCTGCCTTGCTTGTTTCCTTTTTAATTCTGTCTTAGTAGAATGGGAGTGAGGGAGCCAGTCCCCGACCTCACAAAGGGCCAGTGTCTGTGGGCTCGGTGATGTCTGGCAGGCCCATTAGTCTGAAATGGGACCCTGCCAAGTTTTCATATGGTTTTCATATCACCAGGCTTGTTTTGACTTCTGCGAGCTTTCTTGCCACAATCCCTCTAGAAGCAAGGAAGTGCAGGTGATATGAAGCAAGGCTGCCTGCGCAGAGGCAACCAACGGTACAAAGACAGAAACACCTCCAGGGCCTTGCGGAATCCCTGAGAACTGTCTTCCCCAGTGACTGTCTTCCCCACTGACTGTCTCCTCACTCCCCTTCCAAGTCTCCCAGCCTCTGGCATGCGTCGGCCTCTGAAGGACTCTGTCCGGTCTGCTCTTTCTTCCCAGAGGAGGATGGGCAGTAGAATTGGCAGACGAACAAAAGCCATTAGCAGCGTCTGGTCTGGCGGAGGCACAGCATTTGGGGCAGTCCTGGGCTCCACCGGTCCGACGTGGGCTGGGCTGTCCATCAGCTGCCTTTTGACAATTGCACCCCAGGTCCCTTCCAGCTTGGGCAACTGGTTGTCCAGAAATAAAGTTGGGTTAAATTAGGCTCTTCCTAGGTGCTATGTAAATGGAGTGGGCTCTTGATGTCGCTTGTGGGTCCTTTGTGGCAACAATAATAATGATAATAACTAATTCACAAATATTTATTGAGCTCCAACTATATGCCTGGCATTGTACAAGTCCTGAACAAAACAAATAAAAACAGCCAAGGCTTGCTGTATTGACACTGTTGCAAAGAACTTTTCAGGTATTATTTTAATTAATCTGCTCATTATCCTTGTGAAATGGGTATTGCAATTACTCTTCTTCTTCAGATGAGGAAACTGAGTCTCAGAAAGATTAAGCAACTTGCCCCAAATAACATCACTAGAAAGGGGGCCACAGGTAAGGTGGTGGGCAGGAAAATGAAGCCAGGACCCTGACAACATTGTGCAGCTTTTGTGACTGTCTACCAGGGGCAGCCTGCAGCCTGAGAGTGCTCCTCTAAGACTTCGGTTCCAAGCTGCTGCATCTAACCTTAACTGATGCACTGTAAAGACCTTTCCAGCTGGGAAATCCTGACTCTGTAAACACAATGTCCTGCTTGCCTCTCAGCCCTTTGTGCTCTAACCTTTACAGCTTTCACTTCCGCCTCAAACTGGGGGCTTTCTCCAGGCTAAACAAAGGAGAGGGGTTCTCAGCCCCAGAGCAGGAGAGCCAGGCTTCCCTGCTCTTGCGACCACTAACTACTAAGTCTTCCTCTTGTTTTGAGACTAAGCTGCCATTCCCACCACACCCCCTCCTTCCAACCCTCCTCCCCCAAGGCCCTGTCTTGCTTCTCTGTCTGCTGCTGAGTTCCTCTTGAACATGGCTCCAGCTTGGAGTTTGCTAATAGGGATAGGAGGGAAGGAGAGAGGTTTGGAAACTCTGGGGGATCCTATTGTCTGCTACATGGAGAAAAGCTTCCAATGAATGGCTCAAACCGGTCAGTTTTGTGGGAGATGGGAGGATAACACTTTTGCGTTTTCAGGCCTTAGGTCTGTTATCTAAATTCAAGGAAGTGGGAGAGCATAATCTCTTTGACCTTCATTTTCTACTCCAGACACTGCATCTTTATCATAATCCAGATGTGACTAAAGCTGCATCTCCTCCTTAATCTCAGTTTCAAACATCCCTCATGCCCCACATCTTCTACTCCCCTAGCTGGCTTCCTCTAGTTGCTCAACAGAAACCATTCTTTGGCCCTAGTGGGTAGAAGGTCCCATTAAGTTTACTGCCCTCATCTCCCTCCTTTCCTCATTTCTCCAGCTGAGTGTCCACTATCCATGTCTAGAGTCACTTCTTTGCAAAGACCCTCAGCCTCTTTACCTCTCTCTCTTCGTTTATTATCCTGGCAGAACACAATCTAGTCAAATCCTATTCTGTGCCTGCATGCAGGCCAAATGACAAGACCTGAGAAAAATACTCAGCCATGCTGGCTAGTCTCATTTTATGTTCCTGACCACCAATCTCAAGTCGGTCTTGAGTTTGCCCAATAATCCTACCATGTATCCCTCGTTTATTTACGTCCTTCTACCCCACCCTGTGACTGTTTCACACTTTTTCCTCCTTCCTCAACTCCACAACACCTCCTTCCCCATCACCATCTCAGCTGCTGCCCTTGCTTTCTGCTTCACTGAGAGGATGAAACAGTCAGGGGAGAACTTCCGCACTCTCTCCCCATTCGCATCCACCCTCCTTCCGGCTTCAGCATCCACATTCTGACTTCCTCCTGAAAGGGGCAGTGCCAGGGGCAGTGCCAGCTGCATCAGAGCTAAATGTTTTCCTGAAACTGTCAACAAACTTCCACTTCCTCTATTTCATTGGCCAGGACTGTGTTATAATTGTCCTCACTATGATAGAGATTGGGAAATGAGAATTTACCTTTCTTTGCTTCTGTAACAGAATCTGTAAAGGCCCAGGAGTTGGGATTGGCTGTTGGATTAGACAGGTAATCCTGTCTGCCACAAATAGTCTTATTCCCTAAGACTCATTCATGGCAGCAAGGTGGTTTCCTGTATTTAGTACATTCTTTCTCCTGAAGGTTCCCTGCCTCATCAAAGTGTGGGGCCCTCACAGGCACTGTTGTCCTAAGTGAGGGAATGTTTTTCAGCTAAGCTAAGAAGGAGATAGCTATTCCAAGCCTTTTGACTTCCTAACTCTAAGTCTTAACCTTAATCAACACTTTATTAAATTGATCAGACTCAATTCACAACCAAAACATGAGTGTGTGGTTTATGTTTATATTCCTTTCTTCAGGATGTGTAGATAGTTTCTTTTCACTCCCTCAACTACTCATTTATGATGGGAATTGAGATTGGTTTCTAAAAAAACAGAGGCAATGAAACTATACACTAAGCAATGATAAAAGAACAAAGGCTTAGCTAAAGGCCTAGCAATGAAGGTGTGAACGAGTCATACCAGAATATTCAAGATGAGGAATATGGATCCAGTTAAGCATCACTCTTAGGTCTGAGATTCCTGGGAATTGTAATGAATAGTGCATGGTTGTCTTGTAGAATGAAAGGATGGTTTTATGAAGCATCGGCTTGGTTCATAAAATAAATAAGTAAGTTTTGGTCAGGTGCAGTGGCTCAGGCCTGTAATACCAGCATTTTGGGAGGCCAAGGCAGGAGGATTGCTTGAGCCCAGGATTTTGAGACCAGCCTGGGCAACATAGTGAGACCTTGTGTCTACTAAAATTAAAAAAAAATTACTGGGTGTGGTGGCATGTGCCTGTAGTCTCAGCTACTTGGGAGGCTGAAGTGGGAGGATTGCTTGAGCCTGGGAGGTTGAGTGAGCCGTGATTGCACCACTGCACTCCAGCCTGGGTGACAAAGCAATACTGTCTTTCAAAAATTAAAAAGTTAAGCTTTGGCACCTGTGTCTTGGTCAGCTCCTTCATGTCATAAATGCCCGCTGGGAAGGGTCATGGCGATGCATGTATCTGCTGCTGTTGTGTAGAAATCAGTGAGTTGCAGAAGCTCCTCATTGGGGATGAGCTGGGAGATGACCAAAGGAAGCCCTATGAGCTATTTTGAACAATAGTGCGTGCTTACCAGGTATGAGGTGCTGGGAGAGGCAAACACCAAACACACCAGGGACACTGCATTTGTCACATATACCACTGTGGAGCTATTTCTTTTTATCTAGCTAGAAGATGATTTTCAAAAGCTCCTTCATAAGAATTCCTCTTACATCTCATTGGCCACTTCTGTGGTGAGGCATGCTGGAAAAGGAAATATCTAACAATGGGAAATGGGATAGCTATGGTGGGCTTAGACCAATCATGATGCATTCTTTAGGGCTGAGCACATTTCTGACCAGAACAAAACAGAATGAGAAAACCAAAAAGAATTGGTTAGGAAGAAAGGATGGCTGGGGAAGGGGCTGGCTCCTGGAGGCCACCTACAGGGTCTGCCACAGAGGCTGTTTAGCGTTGTGGAGGGAAGGCAGGCTTTGGAGCTAAAAAGACCTGGGTTCAAATCCTAGTGCTACTGTTTTCCAGCCAGGCAACTGTGGCTAAACTCTCTAGTCTCTCTAGGACTCATTTTTCTTAACTCTAAAATGTAAGTGATATGAATGAATAATCTGTGTATTGCCTGGCACATAGTAGGGGCTCAGTAAACTGTAGCCATTATTATTAGTACTACTAATCCGTCAAGTCCTTTCTTGAAAGTTTTCACATCCTCACCACAGTCACCGAGGTGGGAAGTATATGGTAATTCCCATCTTGGCAAGAGGCTCGAACTTCAGAAAAGTTAGAACTAACCTAAGATCACATGGGAAGCTGGTGGCAGAGCTGGAACTCAGATGTGGAGGTGTGGATTTCCACCTTCCCCACCTTCTTCCTCCCCATGAAGTTTTGATCCTCCAGTGCATGTGGGCCAACCACTGGGGATGAAAACCCTTTTTAGAAATGCTTTCTGAATTCTATTTTTCTGTATCCCAGAGAGACACACTAAATGTGAGCAAGAGAAGCAGAAAGCTTCCGGAGGGCACCAGGGCAGCATAGCCTGGTCTGTGCAGGGCCCCTTCTATTTCAAAATGTGAGCCAGGGCCCCATACAAATCAATTAAGATCCCAGAAGAGATTGTTTATTTACACATGGAGGGGAGCGTAAATTGGAGCTCTGCTCTTTTACCTGTCTGGCATTCATTTCTCATTAATAACCATCCTGTTCCCATTCCTAATCCAAGTGGTTCAGTGTGGCCGACCTCAACTTCTCTGCTCCAGGGCTGGGCATGTGGTCTAGGCTTGGCCAATCAGCAATTTCTATCCTCTTGGCCAGGACACTTGGTTCTGGAGTGGACCTGTGACCAAAGCCAGCCAACTCAGGCTCAACTCTGGAACTTTTGCCAGGAGTCAGGTCTTTTCTTTCAGCTGGGAGCTGCTAGCTGTAAGGTTGATATAAGCTTGGAGCTTCCAAGGACAACTGCCTGGCCAGAGACTGCTTAAGAATAAAGACAAGCAAGAGATGAGAAGCAGGCCTGAGACCTATGGACCTGTGGAGATTGTGGGAGACTATAAAATCCAGCCATGCCTAAACCTACCGAATCCACCTTTAGATTTTCCCATTTAAAAAGCCTATACATTTTATTTTGATCCTTAAGACAGCTTAAATTGGGGTTCTGCTATTTTTTTTCCAAGGAGTATCCTGACTAATTTGCAAAGATTCTTTTCCCATCCTCCCTATAAATCTATTAATCTACATGATAAAATGAAAACCATTCCAGCCAGCGTTGTTACTCTTCTGCTACTTAACTGAGACAGGTCCTTCTTTCTTAGCTAAAGGCATCACGAATTAGTTTTTAGCATCAAAGGATGACACCTTGTCTGACACTATCTGTAACAATAACCCAAAGATCGAGAGATTTAAGTTTGAGTGGGAGACAGTTATGAGAAGGGGGTCATTGCTGACTCTGCTTTTCTACAGAAATTTCATATTTTTAAGCAATTAGACATCTGTTGTAACATTATGGCCAGCTTAATACCAGATAAGCCACCAATGTGACATTAGTATTGACTTCCTCAAAGCATTCTTGTGCCAGGCTTGTGACTATTAATGCATATTCAGTAAATCATGCAGCCAATGAGAAGGAAAAGTCAAAGTTTTGCAGAAATTAGGACAAGACAGTCCATAAATTTTTACTGACTTCACCTTTCTCACTCAAGTAAGTAGAGAGAAAGGTGTGATCACAGATTAGAAATTATTCCCCACTATTAACCTCCCAGAGGGAAGAAAGAAAGCCATTTATCCATCTATTCCATAGCACAGGCTTGAGAATTCTATTTCCAGCCATTTCAGATGTCCAGCCTGTCTCCTAAAGGTCTGACCTTTCATCACCAAAGGAAGGCAACTCACCCAGGGGCTTTGTAGAGGATACTTTATCAATCTAGCATCTGTCTTTAAATGCACTTTCATTTTCACCTCTCTTTCTATGGGAAAAGCTGCCTTCAGCTCTCCTTGAACCTATTCTAAATGTGAGGACTAGAATGGGTGGGCAGAAAGAGCTGGCCCAGGCCCTGGTGTCTGGCAGGATTTGTTTTGGGGCCTTGTGCACACATCTGTTGCTCTCCTTTCTGTGCTCTTTGAACTTCCAACTTTGATTGGTTGGCTGCTTCCTGTTCTTGGACTCATCCCTGAACCTACATTCATCTGCATCTACAACAGTGCCTGGGGCATGTAGTAGGCATGCAATCTGGGCCATCCTGATGCATAGCTCCAAAAACACTGTTCGTATTTACTCTACATGGCACTCTAGCAATGCCCTTTATATACAAAACCGTATATGTGGGGCCCCCTGTGATTGGGTAACTGAATGACTGCACTCAACATATTTTGTTGATAGATAGATGAATGAATGAATGAATGAATGAGACCCTGGCTGGACATGCTTTGACTTCTTTCCTTGGGCGTTGAAGGTTCTCCTTTTCACTAAGTTCTAGCTTGCCTTTTCCTAACATGCATCTGACATACAGTTGGCACTTTGTAAATATTAACTAGATGACATCAGCCTCGTAATTAATTCTGTTCCCACGTCTACCTGCTTTCCACTTAGGTGATTTGACTGGTTATTCTAGCTTCTGAACAAGTTCTGCTTAAGGGCCCAATTATTTTTTATTTATTTTTTCTTTTTTTTTTTTGGAAACCGGGTCTTGCTCTGTCACCCAGCCTGGAGTGCTGTGGTGTGTTCTCGGCGCACTGCAACCTCTGCATTCTGAGCTCAAGCAATCTCCTTACTTCAGCCTCCGGAGTAGCTGGGAACACAGGTGCATGCCACCATGCCTGGCTAATTTTTTTTATTTTTGGTAGAGACAGGGCTTTACTATGTCGCCCAGGCTGGTTGGTCTCAAACTCCTGAGCTCAAGCGATCTGTCCCCCTCAGCCTCCCAAAGTGCTGGGATTAAAGGTATGAGTCACCGTGTCCAGCCTCAAGCAGCCAATTTTTTATCTCATGGCTCTCACCATGCTCCTGCAGGTTCGTGGCTCCCTAGGGTTGGCCTTCACCCCCTCACCCCATCTCTCCTTTACTCTTCTTCATTCCGCATGCGACTTCTGCCCCTGGAACGTGAAGGCACTAGGGGGAGTGGTTATAGCTTGATTTTCACAGAAAAACAAAGGTAAGAAAGGGACCATAGTTCAATGATTGACTTAAGTTGTGGCCTATTTTTGACAGTAGCCATAGTCACAATGTTTCAAATGCTTTCGTTTTGGCAGGTTCTGGAGTGCACCTCTCCTGCCAATAGGCTCTAGCAGGGGTAGCGGGCTACTGTGAGAGTGGGGAAGCCTGGGGTCCCCCACTCAGTTTGGGTACTAGCAAGTATCAAGACTAAAGCCTAAATGTCCTGCCTTTCAGCTTCCAAGTCCTTCCACAATCTGGTAACATCTTACTCATTCAATCTGAGTTCCCATTCCACCCTAATACAATTTCGTTGATCAGTGCAGCCTCTTCCGCTTCCTCCACAAGGCCACTTCCATTCCCCCTCAAATGTACCCTCTTATCCAAATCTCATCCATCCTTCAAATTTCTGCCCAATTCCTCCAGCTCCTCCAAGAAGCTTCCTACAGCCACTCCAGCACTTATTCATCTTCCACTTTCTCCTTAGATACTATTGGACATTATTTTTATAGATTATAATATATCGTTCCCTCTTTCCTGTGTGGATCTTGCTTTCTCAGCAGACTATAAATTCCTTCAATGCAGGGATCATGCCAAAGTCTTTCAGTGACCTTCACGTTGAACTCACATGCACATGATGATTTAAACAAATAAACTTGACTGACCTGCATCATAGTTAAACACTTAGTATTTTTGAGGTATCTTTCCTGGGAAAATTTCATTATTTTAACATTTGAAACAATATCAGCTTTTCAACTTTTCAGCATCATGTTAATGAGGACAATTGAATGTAAGCATGTTTGCTGAGGAAGTAGAATGAACTTTCTGTCCAAGATGGAAGTAGAATCCTTTCTTTGAGACCTCTGCTGGAGGCTGTTACGTATACATAGTTGTCAGATTGGTAGGGCATACAAAATAATCAAAGGTTCTGTTGATCAATATAAACTCAAGTGGAGCTGTGGCATTTGTCAACAGCCACTAGTGTTCAGCAAATGTGCTCCTCGTCATTTAATGCTGGCCCTGTTTTGAAGCATTATTCCTTTTGTGAATGGGGCTAGCATTATGTAATAGGACAGAAGGTAGAAAAAGCAAAACATCAAGAAATAGACAAATGCCACTTTTCCTTTCTTAAGCACCTTGCAGAGCCTTTGCTTATGATTGGAGTTAAATTAAATTCTACTCCACAGATTCAATTTTGAGGGGCTTCTTTTTCAGGCCTTGGAACTTCTGGGTAAAATGAAGAGGTGTTTGATCGAATGCTTAAGTTAAATTCAATAAGTGATGCTCTTCCCCCCTTTTCCATGGGGAAGAGGCTGAAAGTCTTGGTAGGGCGTTTGCTTTTCTGGGGAGCCAGTCCTAAAGTTTCTGTGCTCTGACTCTACATTGGCAGAGGTAACATCATGGTCAAATCACTGTTCTGTAGCTCTGATCCATGCAGCTCTAGGGGGAAATATATGAGAAGCCATTTTTAGCAACTACAGCCCCTATCACAATACACACACACACACACACACACACACGCAAGCACATATGCACACACATTCTTCGGACTCTGGTCTTCTGCTCTCTCTTCATCTTAGAATTTCACATATTCCATTCCAAATACAAACCTCCTCTACCTGTGAGTCACAGAAAAGATAAAGAGGGGAGATAAAGGCTGAGAATAAAGGGGACTTTGCCCTGGGTAACTAGACAGTAGAGCCTACTGAGAAATGGGCAGCAGATTTAGAGTTGTGGGTCTCTGGAGCCAGGCTGTCTGGGTTCAAATTTTGCCTTTCCCACTTTCTAAAGGTGTCATCTTGAGCAAACTGCCTAACTTTCCTGGGTGTGAATTCTATGTCTGTAAACAGCTGCCAACAGTACTGGCCTTGTCTCATGGGTGTGTCGTGACAATTAAAAGAGCCAATACATATGGAGCACTCAGAACAGTGCCTGGGACATGGTATGTGCTTAATTCATATTAGGGAAAGGGGTGTAAGTTCCTTAAGTAACAGTGCCTGGGACATGGTACATACTTAATTCATTGTAGGGAAAGGGGTATAAGTCCCTAAGGTCCAGGAGAAGATCCACATGAGACAGCAAACAATAGAAAACCGTATCTGCAGCTGGGTGCGGTGGCTCATGCCAGTAATCCCAGCACTTTGGGAGGCTGAGATGGGCAGATCATGAGGTCAGGAGATTGAGACCATCCTGGCTAACACAGTGAAATCCTGTCTCTACTAAAAATACAAAAAATTAGCCAGGTGTGGTGGCAGGCGCCTGTAGTCCCAGCTACTCAGGAGGCTGAGGCAGAAGAATTGCTTGAACCCGGGAGACAGAGGTTGTAGTGAGCCGAGATCACACCACTGCACTCCAGCCTGGGCGATAGGGTAAGACTCCATCAAAAAAAAAAAAAAAAAAAGAAAGAAAGAAAGAAAAAAAAAGAGAAAGAAAACCGTATCTGCCAGTTCTTGCATAGAACCTGCTCTTGCTCATTAATTTTATTCAGCAACTATTTACTGAGTGCTTAATATATACCAGCCACATGCTAGGTGCAGAGAATAAAGAAGTAGAAAAAAATCGCACAGTCCTTGCCCTTGTACAGTCAAATACATGTGTCCTTTCACAGCCACTCTTGGTATGAGATGCTGTGCCACTAGACACTTGGTGTGCAGCACAGTGCCTGGCCTACAGGAAGGCTCCAGAATTATTCACCATTATAGGCTCCTGATGGACATCCCTGATTCACTTCCCACTTGGAT
Organism: Homo sapiens; assembly: GCF_000001405.40. Taxonomy (NCBI): domain Eukaryota; kingdom Metazoa; phylum Chordata; class Mammalia; order Primates; family Hominidae; genus Homo; species Homo sapiens. The sequence continues at coordinate 52,851,781 of NC_000004.12, forward strand.
TCCAGAATCAGCCATTCACCAAAATTCCAGATAAACTCACTTTCTTGGCTCTCTGAGATGCCTCCCCACCCCGCTTTGCCTCTCCTTCCCCATAGAGAATGCTGCTGCCCAAATCACACCCTCCAAACTCCTGTTTTCTCTTTTCAGCTGGTCCTTTGGCTCTTGCCAAAGCATTTTCAGTGGATGTCGCCTGCCTGTCCTGCTCTCCCTCTGACTTCCCCACCACCAGCCTGCCATTCCTAGTCTTGCCTCTCACTCTGTTCTGGGCCAATGACCTAAATTCTACTTCCTTGAGACCTGAGTGGGCCACAGCAGCATCCTCTCACCCTCTCCATCCTCTCCTCTTCACAGTCACCTCACCCTTCAAGCCCTTCCCTTTCATCTTTCCACTGGTGCCAGTGGAAAAGTGAGCCAAGATTAAGCCTACATCTGGAGCATCCTGAGAGCTTGCCTCATCTCCAAAGCCAGCCTCTGCTTCTGTGATCTCATCCCCATCACTCCCTCCCCACTCCAGCCCCGGCTCCCCCATCCACTTCCACAATTCCAGCTTCCTCAGGCTCTTCCCACTGCCTCCTTTCTCATTGCATACAAAATGCACAGATTCATTCATTCATTCATTTACAAATACCCATTAAGTGCTAGCATGTGCTGTGTGTTAAGCACTCTAGGTTCTGGGGATAGAGCAGTGAGCAAAACAAAATCTCTACCCTTACAGAGCTTACACTCTAGTGTGGAGAGTTGGACAATAAACAGCCCACCAAATAATGCAGCATGTCAAATGGCGAAAAATACAAGCTTGAACCAAGCCTCCAGGCAGCGCTGGGCCTGCATGTGAACTGGAGAGAAAGGATGGAGGAAGAGAGAGGGAGGTCGGTCATTACTTCAAAGGGCTCTCCTTATGGGTCGAACTATTTCATAGTGGTGGGGGAAGAGCTGCTAAGGGTCGTATTGCTTCACTGGTTTGCTGAGAAACTTCTGGAGCCTGCGCTGGACAGGACTACAGTCTGGATATTGTTCTCTACAAGGTTGTGGGGCTTGGCAGGCAAGGCTGCTGTCTTCTGCCCTAAAATCACAGTAGGTCTGAAGTTGATAACACAGTGTGCAAGCTTGTCCAAGAGGAATCATTCCATCTCTTGCCTGGGGATAGAGAGCAGAGGAATGCCTTGGCTCTTGGCTGTACTGTGTATTTTGGCAAATGAATATAAGAAAGGCTTCAGCGTGGTCTTTCTGCCTATCTCCTCATCTAAGTCCAGGTAATGAGGAATTTGGGAGAAGATTTGACAAGTTTATGAAAGTGCTACCTCCCAACCACTAATTAAAGGACAATCCAGGCTGGAAAAAGAGCTCTTTGTTTCACTTTCATTATGAACATATCAAAGTATTAAACTTTTATAATTTACCAGGCTATTTTATATGACAAATTTTGTTGGGCATTCAACATATTGTACGGCACAAAACCTGTTGTAGTTTACTTGTCATTGAGCTGAATATATTTCCCAGTTAGCATGGGGGTACACATACTTTGCAAAACAATATTTTGTTGTTGTTGTTTTTTGCTTTTAGAGTTAGTTAAAATCATCTCAAATGACACTAGAGCTTTTCTATCTTGCAACACTTTGGAGCAGATAGCTTTACATTCCAGCTGAATTAATAATAATTAATTATGGACTTCACACAACATTCTCAGCAGAGATGTCCCAGCATACCAGCCTTCACACTACTGATGCTTGGAATGTGCAGTTCCTCTATCAGTTACAATCTGCTGTGCACAACTTCTATTTTGGGCCTAAGTTGTTTCTTTATATAGAAACCAGTACCCTTGTCAAATCAAGTGAGTGCATGAGTCATTTGTGCATTTCCTAAAAACCATCACATCAAATTTTCCTCATCTGTTATCCATTTTCTTTTTTAATTAGAAGGAAAAAGCATTAACAATGCATATATCTTGGTGAAAATCCTAAGTGTTCACAGACTACTGTTACAGTAAAAATGTTTCTTGGCCAGGCACGGTAGCTCACGCCTGTAATCCCAGCACTTTGGGAGGCTGAGGCAGGTGGATCACCTGAGGTCAGGAGTTCAAGACCAGCCTGGCCAACACGGTGAAACCCTGTCTCTACTAAAAAATACAAAAATTAGCCGGGCGTGATGGCACTTGCCTGTAGTCCCAGCTACTCGGGAGGCTGAGTCAGGAGAATTGCTTGAACTCAGGAGGCGGAGGTTGCAGCGAGCCAAGATCACACCATTGCACTCCAGCCTGGGTGACACAGCAAGGCTTCATCTCAAAAAAAAAAGAAAAGTTCCTTGGTGGTGACTGAATTTCATACTTGTTTAAGAGATGATCAGTCTCCATTTGCATTTTCATCAACTATGTAACTTAAATACCTCTGCTAACTTGGGGCTCAACTTCGATCGTTCATACTGTGACTTGTGATATTTTAGACACTATTGAATGGCTGGAGACGGTGTCACTAATTAGAGTTTAGAAAGTATTTGATGGTTACCCTGATTTTTGAGCCCGATAAAGCAATGAGAACCAGTGTGGCCCCAGACAAGACTTAAATTCTCACTTTCCAGGTGACTTGAGGTATGGGGGGATATGAAGCTTGTTCTTTCCCCATATCATGGATGGATATTTTTGAAAAGCTTTGATTTCCTTTAGGTCTTAGTACATTATGCTAAGGAGCTGATGCTTTGGGGAGAGGATACTGCCTTCTATGCGAAGACAAACAAGGACGCCTAAAATGTCCTTAGGTAGCCCTTTCTGCACTCTAGGGGCAGTTAGAGGCAAATATGAGGTATGTCTAATCTACTTAAGAATTTGAACCCAAAGAGGTCTGTTAAACAATTGGCCCATTCGTCTGAATCTTTCTGAACTTTTCCTGCTTGTGCATATCTTCTGATCACAAAATCTTGTCAAGTATCCCAAGAGTACTCGGTCCTGTGAGGCCAAGGCCAATGCTCATTTCTTTTGCTCTTTTATCTTCTGAACAAATAACGAGTTAGAAGGAGAAGAGGCAGAGGGATATTCTTGTAAGATTCTTCCCACTGGAGAAGAGAATGATCCCAAAGAACATTGCCACTGTCTATTTGCAATATTATTAGACCTTACATTTAACTGAGGGAACTTCTATCAATGGCTTTATTAATAATGTAGTAATGTCCGTTTGTAGGGTCATTCAATGTTCCAAAGGCTTTGTGAAAATGGGCACTGAGACTTTTCCTATTTCCAATTAAAACAGTGGATATTTACCAGTTGTTTCATGGACTATTTAATATTTGAATTTATTCTGACCTATTGTCATGAGATTGCTTATCAAATAGGTGTTCTATGTTCCCATAAAAATGACTGAGGCTATTAAGATTCAAATCATTGAGAGGAGAAGAAAATCTCAGATTTTAACTTAAATGAAAAAGAACTAATTTAACCTTTTATTTTATCTTTCTTTAATATATTACATTGAAATAGAGAAAGAGGGTGGAAGAAGCCTTCCAGAATAAGGAAGATAAAATCTTACTGAATAGCAGGGGAATATAATACTAGTTCTTCTTTCCTCCCTGGTGTGGAAAGGGGGACATGTGGGCCGTTTTGCTGCCATGGAAACCAACCAAGGTATGTGGGAGGGGGAGGGAAGGCCCCTTTGAGGCCCATCCTCCCCTTCTTGGAACTTAAATATCTTTCTTACTTTTCTCAGAGTTAAAGTGTTCTAGTCAGGAGGTGATCTTCCCAATGGCAAGAGGGGTGTGTGTGTGTGTGTGTGTGTGTGTGTGTGTGTGTGTGTATTTTATTTGAGTTCCAATTTGCCTTCTTTCCTACTTTACCTTTTAAATCTAGTGATTCTGGCTGTCTTTAGTCTAGACTTACCCAGAAGGAAAGTTGACAGTTAAAAACAAAACAATCGTTGAGCATATATTGGGTATCAGCACAGCCTTCTGTTGTGGGGATGCACGGACTGCAAGATATCTAACACATCACATAGAGTCACTAGATACAAACTCTCTGTTATGCTAAGTTATATCTGTCCTGTTCCTATTTCCATACTCAGAGATCTCTTAGAAAATAAGCAGCTCAAAATGAATTTCCTCTCCTCTTTAATTCAGAGGATGTTTCTGAGCCACAGTTCTCTTTAATTTTTAAAACTGAATATTAAAAACTGTCATCCCCAACACAGATGCAGAAGCCTCTCCTCCTGGGTTTGCTATTTCTTTACAATCCTATGTCACAGGCATCCACCTTTCCTCTTCTTCCTTCCCAGTCCTTTCTAAGCTGCAGTGGAAGGCGAAGGAGCAATGAACCAGGTATTTGGAAAGCTGGTGAGCATGCCAGTCTGTTTTTCTGGAAGGATGTTATAGGAGAGAAGAGATCAGCTTGGTAGAAATGTGCTGCTGTGGATGGTAGGAAGTTCCCGTCACAGGAAGCATCCTAGACTAGGTTGGACAATCTCAGAGGAGGAGTTGGATTAGATGCCCAGTAATCTCATTTTTTAAAAAATAAGCATTTTATTTTTTAGAGCAGTTTAAAGTTCACAGCAAAACTGAGCAAAAGGTGCAAAGATTAGCCCTCTCCCCACCAATCTCTCCATTATCAACATCCCACACCAGAATGGTGCATTTGTTACAGTCCATGGATCTACATTTACATGTCACCATCACTCAAAGACCACTCTACATGACTCTACGTGAGAGTTCACTCTTGCTATACATTCTATGGGGTTGGATAAATGTATGACAAGTATTCACCATTGTTGTATCATACAGAGTATTTTCACTGCCCTAAAAATCCTCTGTGCCCTGCCTGTTCACCCCTCCCTCCCCAGATTTCCCGGCAACCACTGATCCTTTTACCACAGTCTTACCTTTTCCAGAATGTCATATACTTGGAATTAGACAGTATGTAGCCTTCTCACATTGGCTTTTCTCACTTAGTGATACACACTTAAAGTTCTTTCCTGTCTTTTCATAGCTTGATAGCTCATTTCTTTTTAGTGCTAAATAATATTCCATTGTCTGGATGTACTAATATCCTTATGTTAATTTCTAGAGATTGCAGGATAGCACTGCTAGGGTATCCACAGAGATGAAATAAAAAGGATGTAACAGCCTGATATCTGTGACTTCTACTGAGAATGAATGGCTGAGTTTCAGAGTTCTGAATGAGGAACATTGCTGATGCTAGGGAGTCAACCTCAGCATGGCTTGTGTGGAGCCCATGACTCTGTGCAAACAGGATGTGGGAGGGCTTGTGCAGTCCAATGACAGAGATGCAGCACAAACCAGCTGAATCTAAACAGGGACTGTATTGACTCCTGTAACTTGGGGTAAGTCTGCATTTTCAGGCATGGTTGAATGTAGGGTGGGAAAAGGTGCTATCAGGGTCCTGGCTGTCTCTGCCTCTCAATTGTCTTTTCTTCCGGGTTGGCTTCATCCTCAGCTGACTTTCCACGAGGTAGCCAAGATGGAGCTCCAGGCTCACTTTCTACCAGCCAGTTGACACCAGCGCGAATGAAGCAGCTCTTTCCTAGCAAAACTCTCAGGGATGGATTTAATTGGCCCAGCCGTGAAGGAGTCCCTGTGGTGGACGCCCCTTCTTCCGCAGAATTAGGGATTGGGATCATCATACCACCACCACCTGGGCAATATGAAAGTGGGGCAGGGGAGGTTTCTAAAGGAAAATTGGGAGTGCTCTTATTAAAAGAATGGAAAATGATTCTGAGCAAGGGAGGTCAACAGACGTTCTTTGTAGCCAGACTACAGGAAAACAGTCCAAAAGAGTGGAGATAGGTGTTGATATGGCTTGGATATCTCACTCAAATCTCATGTTGAATCGTATTCCCCAGTATTGAAGGTGGGAGTATTGTGGGAGGTGTTTGGATCAATAGGGCAGATCCATTATGAATGGTTTGGGCCATTGCCTTGGTGATAAGTGATCTCTTGCTTTGGCTGGCACCTCCCCCCCTGCTTTCTCTCTCTCTGTGGCTCCTGCTTTTGCCATGTGATGTGCCTGCTCCCCACTCACCTTCTGCCATGATTGTAAGCTTCCTGAGATCTCCCTGGAAGCCAAGCAGATGCCAGCACTGTTTCCTGTAAAGCCTGTGGAACCATGAGCCAAGTAAACCTTTTTCTTTTCTTTTCTTTTCTTTTTTCACCTTTTTCTTTATAAATTACCCAGTCTCAGGTATTTCTTTAGAGTAATGTAAGAACAGCCTAACATAGGTGTCAATACATACTACATAAAAGCAACGACAACAGTGGTCTTGAATATGGTCTCAAAGCAATCAATTCAAAAAGAACCTCATTATACCCTTTTATAACTGAAAGTTAAATGTCTACTGGGACATGATCTGTCCTTTTCTGGGCCTTTGTGTTGTTTGGGCTGCTAGAGAAGAGTGGAAGAAATGGTGAATTCACACTGAGTTCCTGTCTATCTGTTTCCAGTGTGTCTTCATGTACTGCCAGGACTAGAAAGGTAAACATGACATTTCCTAGACTCCCTTGCAGCTAGAGTAATAGATAAAATGAATTTCATTAATTAGATGTGCTCAGAGATTTGAAAGGCAGAAGCAAGGAGGAAAGATTCTTTCTGCTGCTTGATTGCTTTCTGCTGCCATGCACAATTGAGATATTGGGCTTCTGTGCAGCAACTTTCCAATGTCTGGTCTCTAGCTTTGTGAGTTTTGAGAGAGAATAACAGAGGCAGCCACTGTGTTCCCCTGATTATGGAAGAGGCAGCAGCTTCCTGCGTGGGCCAGTTCTGCAGTGCTGCTCTGGGAGCCATTTCTGCAGGTCCAGCCTAGAGCCTGCTACTCCAGCCCTTCCAAAGACATTGAAAGCAGGTAATTTCCTGTATTAAATCGTCTTCTGCTTAAAACCACTAAAGAGTGTCTGTTTACTGGATCTAAACAAGCAGAGTTGACAAAAGTCTCAAGAAAAAATAAAGTCTGGTTCTTGCTCAAGGCCTGGATGTTCAGAGAGGGCTGATTTGGGAGCAACTCCTGGTGATGTGGGCAGAGGAGCAGCTCATTTGGCTTCCATGCGGGCATGTTCCCATGGAAGAAGGGAGCACCAAGGCAACTTCTGGAGCTTTTCTTATCAATATGAGGGCTCCTCCACAGAAATCACCAGGGCTTTTCTCTCTGTTCACCCATCAGGAACTATCCTCCGTTCCTTTAATTCATTTTCTCAATGTGAGGCCTTTGCTATATTCACTTATGCTTTCATTTATAATCCACAACTATTTACTGAGCACCTATTGGCAAGTGCTATTCTCTTGCGAACTAACCCATCTTGCCCCCTCCTAACTCCCTGCTCCATACTCCCATGTACATGCACACACATACATGCACACTGTACACAACACACAAACTTCTCAACTCCTTCACCACCCCCTCCTTGACTGCCACAACCCAGGTTTTTAGTCCTAGTTTGTGCTTCTGTAATTCCTGAATTTTCCCTATCAAAGTGTTTTCTCACACTGTATTGAAATTGCTCATTCACTTCAGTCTCTCATGCTAAATGTAGCTGCAGGGATGGCAAAGGTTGCATTTCTTATTTGCCACTGTAGACTCAATACCTAGCATAATGTCTGGTATACACATAGCCCAGACATCCAATAAATATTTATTGAATTCATATTCTGGCATTCTAAGGGCTTCCAGGGACTGAATTGTCTGGGCTAAACCTCTTAAGATCAAAGGAAGTGCTAGAAACTCCAGATGCTGAGGTAAAATTGAACCTTGGCAAAATACTTCTTTCTTTTCTTCCCAAACCCCTCCTCATGTTTCAATTCCCCATCCTCATCTCTTTTAGCTTGACAAAAAAAAAAAAAAAAAAAAAAAAAAAGAAAAGGCTCTGTCCCTTGCAGGATATGTAACTTTGGAAGAGTTTTTTAACCCGAGACTTTGCTTTCTCACTTGTAAAATGGAAGCGTAGTGAATTACAGATGGCCACACATTCTTTGACACCATTCCCACTTAAAGATAGGATCGATGTTCCTGCCCCTTGATCTTTAATCTGGGTGGGCTCTGTGACACTTGACCAATAGAACAGAGCAGAAGTGATGCGGTGCCAATTTCCAAGTGTAGGTCTTAAGAGACTAGCAGCTTCTACTTGGTTTCTTAGAATGCTCACTCAAAGGGAAGCCCGTCACCATGTTGTGAGAGAGCCTGAGCTAGTCCCAGCTGTTCTGCCCATTCCAGCTGACACACAGACATATGAACGAAGATACCATCTTGGATGTCCAGCCTAGTTGAGCCTTCAGATGATAGCAGCCCCAGCTGCCATCTGACTGCAACAACATGAGAGACCCTAGGTAAGCACTCCCCAGCTAAGCCTAGTCAACACACAGAACTGCGAGCCACTAAAGTTTGGGGTGGTTTACTAAGCAGCAATAGATAACGGCAACTAGAAGTAATGGTAATACCTACCTCATAGGACTGTTATGAAGGTAAAATGAGATTTTTAAATGCAAAACCCCTGTGTACAACCTAGAATGAAACAAGCGCTCATTATGTATCGTCACTTCTCCTGCCTTGCCTCCTTCCTCTTTTTAACTCTATGAATGTCCCAGAAGGAGAGGTAGGTGGAGTGGAGATGGGCTATATGCTAGGTATTTGGAATTTGAATAGCTCTCTTTTCTTTTTTACATCTTTCTCTTGCTTCTCTCTTTTCTGTGTTCTTTAAAGCATAGCCAGATCATTTAGATCTAAAATAAGAACACCAAATCAAGCCTTTGCGTTGCAGACAGAAAAATCACGGGTTTTGTATGGGCTTATGGTAATGAAAATCAAGCCCAAGAAACTAAATGATTCAAAGCAAAATTCCCCTTGACAGCTTTTGTCATGTCTCTGTGTGTGTGTGTGTGTGTGTGTGTGTGTGTGTATGTTAAACTAGTACTTTAGCCTACATCATTATTTTACCATGTAAGCATGATAGAATAGCAGGCTTTTTGGAGGGGAAAGATTTTAAAAGTACATGGTTACCTGTAATTACAGTCTTGCAAAGTTTGATTTTATAGAAGTGACATTCAAGTCTGATTTAAACCATGCAGAAAGACATGGTGCATATTGGAAATGCTTTTTCTTTCTGACTCAAATGGCTGTTTCGTTCTAGTGATCTCCCTAGAAGTCAGCCTTTTATTATGTTTATTGTAAGGTTGTGTGTCTTTCTAATTACGTGGCCCATCCTAGAAAACTTGCTACCTTGAGATTACCTTTCTATTTCTCCTTGCATTCCTGCAAACACCTAAACCTCTGTAGACAAGAGGTTCATCTCAGAGTCTGAACTGGCTGAGGATCATAAAATTCTGTCAAATACCTGGTCAATTAAGTTCTGGCTGGAAGAGGGGGTCAAATTAGATGACTGACATGTGCGGATAAGGGCACTGGTTTATTTCACATTTTAGCCTTTAATGTGGGTGGGTACACAAAGCCACAGAGTTTGTTGCCATACCCCAACATAAAAGCCTCTGGGACAAGGTTGAAAGGGTAGCGGGGAGAGGGCCTTGGATAGCGGATGGGGTGGTTAACCCGCGACTCTGGTGACATTTTGCCATCAGCCGCTGGTGACATCTTGCCATCAGCTGCAGCTACAGAATGTTGCTCGCAGGAGGAATTTGGCCTGCCGTTGAAGATGTGTTTCTCAGATGAGACTGTAAGGGGCCGGAGCTTGGGATTTTAGGAGTGCAGGGCCCACCTCTTCCTTGGTATCAAGCCACTTAACTAAACTCTTGCGGTGTCTTATGACCAGGGACGAAGTGCGGGGCCCCTTCAGACGTCGCAGCTGGAGTAACTGTTTTCTTTCCATTTCACAGCTCTTGAAGGAGGTGTGACTGAGTGAGGCGCTGGAAAGCTTGTTCTATAATTACTTCTTGATCCGCTTCTAGGCGTGCTGTGCATGCGTCCGACCATGTGTGTTTGCGTTAGCTTGCGCCGTCGACAAGAGCCAGAGAACGTGGGTCTAGGATAAAACGTGGATGATATTTTTGCTTCAAATGTCACATTTTACGGGGGTCTAAAGGTCTTAGGCTGGAGTCTTTGCGGATGATTGCCAACTGTAGCTGAATCTATGAGCTGGGATGTACCCAAGCCAGTGCAATCGCTCCAAATCAGGGCGGGCGGCACTAAGCCGGGGAGCAAACACCGCTCCCGGCCCGCCCAGAGCAGACGCCCTAGGTTGGGGCTGCAGCGAGTGCGCGCGTGGGCTGTGGAGCCGGCGGAGGCAGCGGTCCGGAATGGCTCTGTGGAGGCTGCGCTCTCTTCCTGGCCCCGCAGCCACAGCAGCTGCCCCATGCTCGCGCGGCAGGACCTACCAGGCGCCCACCCTGGGCTGCGCCGCCTCGGACCACCCGCTGCTCCCCTCCGCCCGCTGCCTCTTCTCCCCGCGCCTCACGGGGCTCCGCACTGACTCCAGGCGCCTCCGGGGGCGTCGCGCGCGCGGAGCGGCGCCGGGGGCGGGGCCTCGTGTAGGGCGCCCCGGGATTGGCTGTGGGGAGAGGGGGCGGGGCCGGCCGCGGAGAAAACAGCCGGCGCGCCGCGCGAGTGCAGTCTGGGTCTGGAGCCTGAGCCCTGCGGAACCTCGGCGCTCGGCCCCACCCCGCCCGTACCTGCACTTATTTATTGTTGTTATTTCTTACCGCGGAGCCCCGCAGTCGGGTCCTCCCGCCCGCTCCCGCGCAGCGCTAGCATTCTCCAGTCCCTCAGTCCCTTCCCGCGCGGTGCGCCGCAGCCGAGGCGATGCGCCTCATTCAGAACATGTGCACCATCGCCGAGTACCCCGCGCCGGGCAACGCCGCGGCCTCCGACTGCTGTGTGGGCGCCGCCGGCCGCCGCCTGGTCAAGATCGCCGTGGTGGGCGCCAGCGGCGTGGGCAAGACCGGTGAGTCGTCGCGCTTAGCCCTGGGTCTGGTCTTGGACGACCCCTGACGGGAGTTGAGGCTGAACAAGGCGTGGGGAGCGGTGGGAGCTGCAGCCCGACCGCTCTCCGTCCCCGCGCAGGGAGCCGCTGCCCCTTGGGAGTGGGCTTAGCCGTTGTCTACGCCACCCGCCTGCTTCCACAGACGGGGGAAACAAGGATCAAGAATGGCCAGGCAGCTTTCTGGGGACCACCGGCACCGCCGCCATCAGAACTTTGGGGTGTTTGAGCCTCTGGCAATGCCTGGCACAGAAAGGGGAGTTAGTGAAGCTAGCCCCCCTGGGAGGTCTTGAAGGTTAGGAAGACATGGGTCTACTGGAAGGCTTAGGTGTGGCTCAGCCGGGCTCAGAGGAGGGGGTGGGCCCAGTGAGCCTTCCAGCTGCACAGAGCCATAATTCACGATGCCTTCTAGCCCCCTCCTTTTTGTCTGGAAAGAAGGGTCAAGGAGCTACAGGGTAGGAATTTCACTTGGTGGCCATCTATGGCTTTCTTTGGGAGAACTGTTTTCCAGGCAGGGGGTGGGGTGGAGAACAATCTAACTTCCAAGGTTAACACTTTGACGTTCTTTTTTCTGACGTGCAGCACTGGTGGTCCGGTTCCTCACCAAACGATTCATCGGTGACTATGAAAGAAATGCAGGTGAGACAATGCATTTGAGAAAAATTCTGTCCCATTGCAGGAGGACTGCGGTTCCCATTTTCCAGCGCTTCCCAGGGAGGTTCTTTCAGTGACAGTCCGAGCCTGAGGATCCCGCCACTTAAAACTTTCCCCAGTCCCCAGCCCTCCATGGCGCCCCCCTCCCATAACTACCATCTGGCCTCATTCCATTCCAAGCCCATTCATCATTTTATCAAGTGCCTGAAAGTATTCCCCTTGGTATGTTTTAACTATAGTGACCCCAGTTGGAAGCACCCTTTGTAGTCAAGAACCTCTCCCTTCAAAACACTCCTGCAAAAGTCGTAAAAAAAAAAAAAAGGAGTCCCTAGCTCCTTCCCCCACCCCTCTCCTTCTCTGCTGGCTGCCTTTCAGAGGTGACCTTTTAAAGCAAAGGCCAAAGGAGAGCAGTTGTAAACCTAAAGTTCCTCCTTCTTAACAAAGACAAACAACTGGATGGTAGAATTTTAGGAGGAGAATTCCCGAATAAATGAGAGGACACATTTTTCAATCCTTATGATTAAGAATAGCCACTGGGGAGGCTTAAGAGCTTTCTGCCTATGCTCTGTTAGCAAATTGCTTAACTCTGTAGACCATATGAGTACCTATAGGGGATTATTTGAAATGAGCTGTATAAGCTATCCCAAGATAAGACATGGCAGCCTTCTGATTTGATGTAGAGTTGATTATAATTATATCACATTTTTATTCCAACTGATAACATTGGCTGTGTGTTTACTAACAGTATTTGTCTAGCAAGCCATTATATCTAACGGCCAAAATACAAAGTTACAGTCAAAGAATGAATCAAGTACTCAAGAAAACAGAAACCTCACATAGGCTGAGCAAGATAATTTGCATCAAGGGAGTACTCTAAAAATGGAAACTTTGTTTAAAACTAGATAAATAAGTTTTCAAAAACTTGCAAACTTTGCCCTGGTTTTAATAAATCTAACATAGGGTTAAAATTGCTGTTGTTTTTTAAAAAAAATCTGAAGTAAGCCCACCAAATAGAAATAAACTATCGCTGTTTTGTGTGCATTTATGCATTGTGCATTTTTTTTCTAGCTTAAAACTCACAATGTTTTAAAAGTTGTACAAGAAGGAAGAACATAATCTCTTTTATTTGCCTTCATAGGTAATCTCTATACTAGACAAGTTCAGATAGAAGGTGAAACCCTGGCTCTTCAGGTTCAAGACACTCCAGGTATTCAGGTGAGAAGCTCTGAGACTCTGGGTGAAAGGGGAACCTACTTGGCTGTGGAATCACTCACTTCTTCTCAAAGTTCCTCATGCTGCAGGATCAGAGAAATTTGGGGAGTCACATCTAGACTTTTACATGTCTGACAATTCAATTGTATCTGGCTGTTGGTCGATCTTAGCATGGTTTAGTTTGGGAGATTTGGCTAGGGGGCAGAAATCTTCCTTTAGAAGGATTCAACACAGCCGGAAAGCCCAAACCGAATGCAGTTGGAATTGGTGTTTTCCTTGCTGTGGTTTAAAAGTCCAGTTTTAATATGTGTGTCTTTGGCATGAAAAACCAAGCTTCTGGGTATAGTCTGCAAATACTTGGAATCGCTTTTGTACTGGAAAGTTGCTCTATAGACAAAAGCGCCATGCTAGGGTTTTTCCCCCCGCCTCCTGAACTGGGCAGTTATCCAGGTTTAAATGCTTCCAGCTCCTATCTTTACTTCCCCAGACTTACTGTCTAGCCAGTTAATTTCCCATTTTGTGCAACTACAAAGTCGCTCTGCATGGAGTTCTCTGCAGGTCAATTTTCCACTTGAGTGTGGTAAGCTGCACTGTTATTTATTCCCACTCTGTGCAGCTGGATCAACATATTGTCAAGAAAGCTGAAGTGTGTGGGATATAAGTTGTTTATGGCCCTCAACCTGGCACTACTATGAAGGGCTCTTTTGAATTTGAAATCTACCCAAGCCCAGGCTCTTTGTACAACTGGCCAGCATTCACCTTGCCATCACTCCTCTCTTTCAGGTCCATGAGAACAGCCTGAGCTGCAGTGAACAGCTGAATAGGTGCATTCGCTGGGCAGATGCTGTGGTGATCGTTTTCTCCATCACTGACTACAAGAGCTATGAACTCATCAGCCAGCTCCACCAGCACGTGCAGCAGCTACACCTGGGCACCCGGCTGCCTGTGGTGGTCGTGGCCAACAAAGCTGACCTGTTGCACATCAAACAGGTTGACCCTCAGCTTGGACTGCAGCTAGCCAGCATGCTAGGCTGCTCATTCTATGAAGTGTCTGTCAGTGAAAATTATAATGATGTCTACAGCGCCTTCCACGTCCTCTGTAAAGAGGTCAGTCACAAACAGCAGCCTAGCAGTACACCCGAGAAGCGAAGAACCTCCCTCATTCCCAGGCCCAAGTCACCCAACATGCAGGACCTGAAGAGGAGGTTTAAGCAAGCCCTCTCTGCCAAAGTGAGGACTGTCACCTCCGTCTGAAGCAGGAGGAGCACTCAAGGGGGTTTGGTCTTCCCAGGAAGAGGGCCTGAGGTTCTCCTAGTGCAGGAACGTTGAATATTGGCAATGATTCCTGGTTCCAGAAAGGGCTGGAGCAGAAGGGCCAAGAGGGCCTGTGGAACTGCTACAGAAAAGGAAGTGTTGTTCTGAGCAGGGGGACAGGATTGATGAGGCTTGAAAGAGCCCACTGAGCCACTCTCTGAATATGTGAAATGTACTCTGTGTCTTTTCCTTTAGAGTGGGGAGGGGGCATAATCGTTTCGGTTTCTGCATTCAACTACCTTGTAAATGGTGGTCCGTTGCAGTTTCACCAAATGTATTGATGTGATTTACAGTGGGAATGAAAGAACAGATTAAGCATTGATAGGCTTTCTTTTTTCCCCCTTTTTTCTTTTTTCTCTTTTCTTCTTTCTTTTCCTCTTTTTCCCCAAGAGGAAGAATTGCTTTTCTCTTACCAGTATGATTTGTAACTCTGGAACACTATTCTTACAGAATGCCTTTCTAACCTGAAGGATACCCAGATTTCTTTCTTTATGTACAAGATGGAAAATCCCCTACCCCTCAAAAACAGGTTGAGTTTATGGGCCAGAATATTTTGTATACCAGACATTGGTAAGCTCTCATGGTTTACAGGAAGGCTCTGGTTCCCCCTCACAGGATGAGCATGCTCAGTTGGGCGTGTGTGGAGGAGCTGTGAACTTCACGCTCTTCAACCCCAGACTTTGACTGTATAGTTTTTTGTTTTTTTAACTGTTCCATCAGGAAAAAAATGTGTCAGTTGATTTTGGTGTGACTTGTGTAAATGGTTCATGGCAATGACGTTGGGTTGCTTCCTAGGCCTGGCTGAGTTGTGCCTAAGGGTGGCTGAAATACTAAAACACTTATCTTACAGCAAGTGAACAGGGGCTACCTGCCACATCCCCTCCACAGATGCACTTTAAAAAGCCACTCATGCTTTGGCTTAAACTGTAATTAATTTATTTTATGTACAATAAATCGCATTTGAAAAAGAGCAGATGTCTAACTTCGTCTCTATTGAAACGTTAACTTTCTGCCGTTTAGACAAAGTATGACCTAGTATCCTGTGATTATTGGGCACATTGAATCTGGCATTGTGCCTTTCAGGGGTTATCTCTCAAGGATCACAGCAATCCAAGGAGGTGCATTCTAGTATTATCCCCATAATACAGATGAGGAAACAGGCTTATAGAACAAGATCAGTAACTTGTCAAAGGCCACAGCCTGTAGCATTGTAAACTGCAATTTGCTGCTTTATATTCAAGAGTAGCTGATCTTCTATTCACTAACTTTGTGGTCTTCCAGGTATACCTAAGACAGATGTCTGGCTCCACATAGTCAGCACAGCCTCGAGCGTATTCTTTCTTGGACACTGAGATGACTGCTTCTTTACACATGCTTTGTTGGCAGACCTCTTCTTTGGGTATGCTGCTTTCAGGAGATTCACTTTATTCTCACTGTAGAAGCTTGCAGTCATTGATCTGGGGCTGTGAAATCAGGAGCCAGTCCCATGGACCTTTGCCACACGTGTCTCGCTAAAGCTGCCAGCTCTCTCATCTATGCCACTTGGGCCTAGAAGCTCTTTCCTGCAAGCTAAGTGAGCCACCATCTACAGGGGGAAATAATCACAGCTGACATTTCTTTGAGTAGTGCTTTCACATACCTGATCTCATTTAAGGCCCAGGAGAACCCAGGAGAATACTGTGGGGTATTGACACCATTTTACAGATGAGGAAGACAGGCTCTAAGTTTTGAGTGATGTCTTCAAATTCACACAAAGGAGCTGAACCAATGCCACCTGACTATATTTACTGTTCTTAGTCTTTTAGAGCATGTCATAGCTAAGACACTCTGGCATGCGTGGGGCGATGGAGCCACAGTGAATAGCAGTTGAGGGGCTACTGTGGGGTGGTGCCAGGATTTCCAATCAGTGTTCCCACAGGGTACAGATCCTCACAGCTGACAGCGTTTCCAGTGATGCCTCAAACCTTCCTAATATGCAAGGTAACTTTCTATGCTTTCAGCCTAACCTCATCTCTGAGAAGGGTGTGTGTGTTGGGGGTGGGCAGGGAAACGGCGCTAACATGGGACTGAAAACATCTCAGTTCAAGGGTAGTGACAAGTATCTCCAACTGGATTCTATTCACTTTTATTTCTATTCAGCCAATGTGGTTGTGTTAACAATGTCCAGTGAGTGAGAGGTTGATCTTTATATATTTACTGAAGAGCCCTTCCCCACATTCTGGAATTAAATAAGAGTTTTCCTGCAGGTGGCTTTATGCTCCCGAGGCACTGAGCAGTGCTGCACTTCAGTGACCACTGCCGCGCCACCGCCCCCTTTTCTTCCCACCAGCTTCCAGGCTGCAGGGCTCTGGCAGCCCTTGTCTGCTCCCTTGCTGAGCTGTGAGCTCCACCTTCTCCCTTCCTGGCCCCGCAGCTAGCGATTGCCCCTTACTTCCTCACCCCTGTACTGGACTCAGTGCCTCCTACTGCACCTTAGACAGGCTGGAAGGGAGCTCAGAGCTCTGGCGCACCCAGAGGGATAAAGTGGCTTGTGCAAGGCCACTCTAGGAGAGAGAGAGTGGGGAGAGAGAGACAGAGAGAGACACACACAGAGGGACAGAGACAGAGTCGCAGCTGGAAACCACCCAAGTCCCCATTCTGTCCACTCTCTCAGGCGGACTTGTCTATTTATAGTTCTGGAACACATTTTTCTCTCTTCTAATAAATCTAGCTTTATGTGGTATTACTTTTGCTCATCTCTTTCCTTGTTGGTTAACTCTTCAATTAATGTTTTTGTTTTGTTTTGTTTTAAAATTTATGATCTACCACCACCTGGCCCTGAGAAACGACTCTCTCCACCTAGGAAGGGGAAAACCTCCTTTGCCACCTTGGAAAGGGAAGGCAGGGATGTGTATGCATCTGGGGTACCGGGGAGCAGAGAAAGGGAAGGAGTTCGAATTTACTGAACATTTAAAACACGCCAGATTCTACGTTATCCCCGTTCATCTTTTGAAGAATCCTGTAAGGAAGGGTAGTAATATTGCTTCTATTTTAAAGATAAAGAAACTGAGGCACAGAGAGATGAAATTTACCTGCTTAGGGCCACATCGGTTATAACAATTATTATTTCTATTTATGGAAAATCTGTGTGCCAGACCCCATAGGAGGGTTTTTGAAATAACTGATGTTTGCTGTGATAGCTCTACAATCCATCTTTAGTCTCCTCTTCAGAAAAGCAAAAGGGAGGCTGAGAAGAATTGGCTGGCCCAGGCCCTAAGGGGCGGATCCAGAACTCCATCCCAGGTCCGTCTGATGCCACTGCCTAAGCCCTGGGCTGATGGCTCAGCAGAGCCCCACCTCGGAGCCCTCCTCTTCCCTCCCCTGGCCAGGTCTCCTGTCCTGCTGTTCTCATCTCCCCTTTGCTACTGTGGGCTCCTGGATTCTGCCGGGCTCCAGGCCCCCCTGGCTGCCAACCACATCTGCTGTTGCCATCAGCCAGCTGCTCACTGGCCTCCAGCCCTGCTCAGTCATAAAGACGTCCAGGCTGGGAGGGGGAGGGGCGTGCAGTCCGGCTGTCTCAGAACCAAATCCACTTCTGTCACGATGTCTGGCTTTTGAGTTTCCTCCCTTGCCTCAAATCAAAAACATTCGCAACACTCTGCAGCCTGCCTGGCGCTGCGTGGTGTGCAGAGAGGGCTCAACCCTCAAAGTCTTCCTGGCTGTTCCCGGCTCCAGCACTCACCAGGCGCCGCAGATCCGGGTTTGCCTGCCCAGCCAGCTCCTAACCCCAGGTTTAGGAGCCATGGGTGTATTTATGGTGAGCCCCTCGCTTTGGTGGAAAATGAGATTTTGACATTCATCTTACACTCCAAGAGGGAGAAAACAAATGTGTTTTCTGGGCAAATGAACAAGTTTGTAGGCACATCCCTCAAAAATGAGCCCCTGATAATCTCTGGTGCTACCTCTGCACCCAGGGGAAATGGGCACTGTCCAGCTGTCTCTGTGGATAACTCATGACAGGTCCCTTGGGGAGTGGCCCAGGATGAATTAGAGAGCTTGTCTGGTTATAATAACCAGGAAAACTGGTGTTGCACAGATTCCCTTTCAAGTCTAAAGAGAGATGGTTCCAGAAAGTTCTTACTATCCTCACTACTCTCCTGAATTTGCAATGAGAATGGGATTAGGGTTATTACTGACTGTGGCAAGATCCCAGCCACCACCCTCCAAGCTTTCCCTCTCAAATAGTTTGCAAACCCTCCATCGTCTGGTTTTGTCTTTTTAAATTCCTTTTAAGACAGAGATGGAGTCTCTTGATGTTTCTTGGGCTGGACAGCAGACATTTGTAATACTGGATTCTGTGTTGTTGAGATTCTGTTTCTGGTAACCAGGGTAAAATAAATAATAGTGGTCTTGGGGGTAGTTTGATGGAATTCTTTGTTATTGGGATCCCATTGTAATGGAGGGGTGGCATAAACAGAGCCATCTGCATAGGGCCCGGCCTGCTAGGGACAACTCTTGGCTGATGTAGCCTGGAGTGCTTCCAACCACTTGGCCGTGCCCATGCCCGCTATGTCTGCCCTGAGGTAGACTCCAGAAGAGGGTTTACAAAGGCAGGAGTCAACTGCTACAAAGTATTTACACTTCTATCAATTATGTTTATAAGGAGTGTGGCCAGTGAGGTCGCTGGCAGAAGGTTTGGATTTGTAAGTGCTTGTTTAGGTGATAAACACTCAGACCCAGGCCCCAGACAGGGGAAACCAGTCTTATCACTCAGCTCAGCCTTTTAAGTCACCATCAGGTGGTTGACAGCTGCTGGATCCCTTTCGAATGGATACATTTGGAGGGGTTGAAATGGGAAATCAGTAAGTCCATCTCAGATTCTGCCTGACTTCGTGGCTAGCATTAGTGATAGAGAAAGTTCTATCACAGACATATGGCCCTGCATGAGCAATCATCAGACATTTATTACCAATAAATTCTTATGTGCTCTGTATGAGCCCACCATGTGCCATGTTCCAAATGCATCACACATATTAACTCTTTTAATTCTCCCCCAACCTAATGTGGCAGGTCCTATTGTTACACAACTGCATGGTCAGCGAAGACCAGGAGAGGTGGACTACGAAGTGGAAGAGGTGGGATTGGAATCCAGCCATCGGATTGGGCTCTTGACCTCTGGGCTATGCTGTCTTGGACCTATGTTGGACCGAGTTGTTATTCCTCCTCCATTTTCTCATCTCCTTGTAGACCCCATGAATGCCTCCAAATTTCCTCTTCATTTAGTATTATTCTCCTGTTGACGTTTTATAGTTTTGAGAGGTAACTTCCTTGGCGTCCTCAGTGTGAAAACCCACATTCCTTGAGATTCACATGCTGGCCACTGTGTTAGGGATGGCTCCACAGCAACCCCCCCATGAGGCAGGTGCCATAGTTATCGTTTCTTACAGATGCAGACACTGAGGCTTGGAGAGATCCACAGTGCTTGGAGTGGCAGAACTGGGACTTAGGCCCAGAGAAGCCTTCAGAGCCCTTTTCTGCCTGCTGCTCCTTCCGGGGGTGGAGGGCATGACTTGCTTCTCCTCCAGCCTCTCCCATGCTGAGAAGTGTGCCCACGAGCCTGGCAGCAGCAGGGAGTTTCCGGGAGGCTCTGCCATGGCCACAGTCCTCCTTCCCCCAAGCCCCCCTCTTTTTCCTTATTTGTTGGAGGCCCTTTGCAGGATTTATACCAAATGTCTATTGTGTTCCTGCTTGTTAATCAAGGAGCAGTGAACGTCCTGTGCCTCCTGCTTCATCTTCACCCAAACTCTGGTTACGAAGAAATTCTTCCAGCTCACCTTTCCTCCAAAGCCTTCCACCACCTGACCACCGGCCTGGCTCAGCTCCTCAAGCCAGCCTCCAGAGAAGAAAAAGATGACCATAAGCCAAACTTCTGACACTTCTCCCACCATTCACAGACTGCCCCTGACCATACTAATTACAGTATGGGGAGCATTTTCAAGACAAAAGAACTGCTGAATAACATTTACAATCAATACCTTCCTCCTTTCATCATTTCAGATTAGAGGCTTCTGAATTTTTTTTTTTTTTTTTTGAAATGGAGTTTCACTCTTGTTGCCCAGGCCAGAGTGCAGTGGTGCGATCTCGGCCCACTGCAGCCTCTGCCTCCCAGGTTCAAGTGATTCTCTTGCTTCAGCCTCCCTACCTGGGATTACGGGCATGCACCACCACACTCGACTAAGTTTGTAATTTTTTTAGTAGAGACAGGGTTTTTCCACGTTGGTCAGGCTGGTCTAGAACTCCCGACTTCAGGTGATCCACCTGCCTCAGCCTTCCAAAGTTTAATATTTCTTAAAATAAAAAATTAATTTGTAAAAATACAGTTTTCTGCTATGGCCGATTAAAGTCACAAAAGTAATACACAAATACACATTTGCTGTAAAAAAAAATAAAATAATACAAAAGTATACTGAGGGTGAGACTCTCCCTTCTCTTAGCTCTCCCATTCGATATTCCTTCCCAGAAGTACCATTATATATGTATTTCCAGAAAGTTTCCTTTGCATATAGACATGCGGTTTACAACTTCACCTTCAGTAGATGCTCACGTCGGGCCAGACCATCAGAGAAGCGCCAGCTACTCATTCTGAGTGCCAGAGAGTCAGGGACGCATCTTGTTCTTTCATCACAGTGGCCCAGAACCTAGCACAGTGCCTGGAACATGGCAGGTGCTCAGTCATCAATCTTTAGGAATGAATGAAGGAGTACAGATTTGAGTCACGTAACAGGTTACTTTCCAATTTTTTATTTTAGAAAAGTCGTCTCCTCTTTAACATTTCTTACGGATGGCTACCATTAACTTCCTTATTCAAATTCAACACTTTAAGATTAGTAGAATGAAAAAGGCACCTGCGGTCTCCTCTATTTCATGAAAGAACTGATATTATGTGGAAAACATACCTGGGCAAGAAAAGAGTGTCTGTGTCCACAAAAATCCTGCTTTGATTACATCTTAAAATAATCTCCAACTTCATGGTTCTTTCAAAAATGACAGTGTTTTATAGAGAACTAAAATCAGAGACATGTGAGTGTTTTGGTTTACATGTTATTTCCTCCACCTGTGTAATCCACAATAAAAACCTTTTCAGTTTTATCTCTTTATTACCAACATGGATGCCAGAAACTTCCATCGACCATACACCTACAAACATGTGGGTTGCAAGTGGTTCGTTTTTGCCCTGGAGTTCTTACAAAGTTTCACTAGGTGGGTCTAGGTTTTTCTGCTATGGTCAGATGGAAAACTTAAACTTACAGAAAAGAAAGCTTTATATTTCAATCAAAACTCATACCCACAAAGTCCACAGGGGTTGCTGTTACAATTTAGACTCCCTGGGACCAGGTATCTTGTACTGGAGTCTTTCTTTGGAGGGGAGAAAACCTTTTATATACAGATAACCCTCCAATCAACCACCTTCCCACTACAGTTCCAAGTAGCCTGGCAGACCTGCCCAGTGGGCCAGCTAGAACAATGCAGTCCTTTGTTATGGCAGGATGATTTACAACACATGCAGGCTACCAGCACTGCCCCAGACACTACCCCTCCCTTCCTTGCCTTTTCAGAAATGTTTCAGAGCAAGAGAGAAACAAAGCCTCAGACCCTATTTGCAATGTTCCCTCCTCAGTTATATAATCCTAAGGAACATCAAATTTTCCCCACACTCATAATTCTAAAGCATGTCTAACTTCTCGAGCAACTTCAAATAAAAAGAGTTGTAATCTACCAACACTTGCCAACAGGCTTTTATTTAGAACTAATGAACTTGTAGGTGGAATCAGGAAGATCACAAACAGAGGGTTAAGGATAAATGGAAACGATCACTAATTGGACTCGCCAAAAGACAGACTGTCGCCTTCAGGAAAATAAAAAAACTTTTTTTTTTTTTTTTTAAGAATCACAGCAATCCAAGCAAAGTACCTCACTGAGTAGGTATCAAGACCCTTCAGGCAGAATTCCATCATTCTCGCAATTAGTGACAGGGACGCTGGTTGTGGAGGAGTATTTGGAGTGGTGGCAGAAAATTGCATCGGCATTTCCAGCTTGAGTAGGTCTTATCTTCTTAGCGGATGCTCAGAAGCCAAGGTCTGGATGCAGTCGGTCAGTTGCAAATAACAGCTCAGGAATGTTAAGTGGCTTCAGGAGTCGTGTGGACAGCACGATTACCTAACAACAGGAGAGGGCAAACACACCGCAGGGAATTAGGGGGGCCAATCTCAGGGTATTGGATGATGAGAAATAGAATGCAACAAATGTCTTTGGGGGAGGGCATGAAGTGAAGTTCTAGGAAGGAAAAGTAGAAGGCAGCCAGCTGAATGGCACCTGGCGCTAGTGCCCTGCCTGGAAGGAGGGGGGCACAGTCTGGGACAGATGGCCTGTGGGACAGCCGGGCTGTGTCTACTGAACCTTTAGCCAATGGGGCACTCAGGATGGCTGAGACTGGCACTAGGTACATTTGACAGGCAGAGCCCAGCCACTACCTTGCTGCTAAATTGAACTGGATCATATTCTTGCTTTGTAATGCAGTAATTTGACGTCAATATCAAGGTTTCTCCCCATTTCAGGGAGCCTTTGCTCCTCCAGGGAGCATGAGAAGGCACATCCAGGAGGTGGATGTTGTTAGTGATGATGGTGATTGTTAGTTTCCTAGTACCACAAACTGGGTGGCTTAAACAATGGAAACTTACTGTCTCATAGTTCTGGAGCCTAGAAGTCCAAGATCAAGGTGTTGGCAGGGTTGGCACCTTCTAAGGGCTGCGAGGGAATCTGTTCCATGCCTTTCTCCTAGCTACCTTGTGCCTTCACATTGTCTCTCCCTATGCATGTCTGTTGCTGTGTCCAAATTTCCCCTTCTTATATACATACAGTCACACTGGATTAGAGCCCACACTAAAGACCCTATTTTAACTTGATCATCTGCAAAGATCCTATTTCCAGTAAGGTCATATTCACAGATACCAGTGGGGAGGTTAGGACTGCAAGACATTTTAAAGGGGACACATTTCAACTCATAACGATGATGGGAATGATAGTGATAACTAATACTTGTTAATTTCTATGATGTGCCAGGTTCTGAGGATTATCTCATTGAATATCCATTTGATCCTGATATTGAGCTTATGAAATAGATACGTTTATTTTTCCTGCTTTGTAGATGAAGAAAATAAAGTACAGAAAGGCTCAGCAACTTGTACAAGGACACACATACAGTCAGCGGCTGAGTCAGGATCCCAGCGCAGACAGGCTGGCCCCAGTGCCCCCGTGCCTCCCTTCCCTGTCATCAAGGGCTCTGGGCCCTTTACTCCCTTACTCCACATGCACCTTTGGGCTCCTCTGGCTTCTTTCATGGTGACCCTTTCTGCTTCCCTCAGTCTGGATTTTATTCCAGGACAGATTTATCTCTGCAAAGGTGGGAGAGCCTATTCCCTGGGTCTGGGCTGGGGGCGTGATGTGCTTTGCAAGGGCCTGGTTAGGTTTTGCACAAGCAGTATTGTATGCACCCTAGAAGAAGAGGTGACTATGGGAAAAGCTGTCCTAGAGCCTGAATTCCACAGCCCACATCCCTTGGAAGGGGATTCCAAGGCCCACAGCATGACTACATGGCTACGCTCCTTTGGAGTGGTGCAAGTGGGCCCACACACTTTACTATCCTCCTTGCCCACTCCCAAAATTGTCCCAGGTATAATTAAATTAGTGAATTAACCAACCCCAAGTCCACGAGCTCATTGATGGAAAACAAAAAGTCTATACTCCAATGAAGAGAAAAAGTAGAAGAGGAAGAGAGAAGGAAGTATTTCTTGTTGTTAAAGAAAGAATTTTTCAACAACCTTATGAGAAAGTTTTCTGTTTAAAAAACTTAGTCTTTGGAAGCATCTATGTTACTTCTTGAAAGAGGATTATCTTTAACTATATATATATATATATATATATATATATATATATATATATATATATATATATAGTTAATGTCAGCCAAGTCATATTTTTGGCAGAAACAAATTCACTGAAATCTGTGTTTCACGATTTTCCTTGAAAATCATGCAAGGAGCCTTTGAGGACAGTGGGTGAAGATTGGCCTTCTCTATCATCTGCATGCATGATTTAGACACCGTTTGAATGTGTGTCTCCCGAGAGGGTCTCTACGTCTTTCAGGTCTTCCTCACCAAACCTAGTAGGTAATTGAGCCTGGCGGCTTCCAGGCGAGTGCCATCAGCAGACCCTGAGGAGATCCCAGCTCCACACTGACTGGCCAGATGCCTCCAGAAAGTCACAACTTACAGCCTTGCTCACCTCATCTCTCTCAGAAGGAAAATAACAGTGCCAAGCTTGAGGCAGTATGGCAAGGATTACATAAGATCGTGTATGTGGAGCACAGGAAGTGCTCAGCAACTGTGAGCTGCTGTATTATTGTGGTTTTGTGATTTGGTCCTAGATCTCCTTTTGAATCTTATGAAAGCTAAGAACTTTCTAGAAAAATACACAGACATTCATACAAGATTTTGTGTTATAGTTTTAGGGATGGTTCATGAACTCCTAGGAATTCACAGACCACAATTAAGAAGCCCTTTTTCGAACTGGGTGCGGTGGCTCACTCCTGTAATCCCAGCACTTTGGGAGGCCGATTTGGGTGGATCACCTGAGGTCAGGAGTTCAAGATGAGCCTGGGCAACATGGTGAAACCCCATCTCTACTAAAAATACAAAAATTAGGTGCGCGTGGCGGTGCATGCCTGCAGTCCCAGCTACTTGGGAGGCTGAGGCAGGAGAATAGCTTGAACCCTGGAGGTGGAAGTTGCAGTGAGCCAAGATTGTGCCACTGCTCTCCAGCCTGGGTAACAGAGCGAAACTCTGTCTCTGTCTCGAAAAAAAAAAAAAAAAAAAAAAAAAGAAGCCCTTCTTCAGAAATCTTTTTAAATGTACACCTAAAGACAAACACTGGGCTCCTTGGAAGTAGGTTCTTCGGAGGTGGTAGAGGCCAGCAGTCGTTCATGCAAAGGGCCCTCTCCTCCTGCTGTGACTTGGTGGTCTCCAGCACACTGCTAGCCCTTGGGGTCTTTAATTCTAAAGCAAAGACGGTGGATTCCTCTCTGGCTGGGGTGAGGGTGGGCCTGAGGGCTAGGGTACGTCTCCATCCCCATGGGTGCTAAGTCTTCTCAGCAGGTTTGAGGAACTTGGAGTGAAAAGGCTAAAAGTGTTGACTTCCAGAGCAGCAATAACTGAGCCCAAAGAATCTGTCACTCTCGGGTAGTGTGCTGGGCTTCCAGCCATGGTTGACAGAGACCATGGATTTGGCTACCGCCACTGAGCTGGAACAGTAAGGCCAGCCCTCACATCTGAACAAGCAGGTGTTTAACAGTAATCAGCCTACAGCTTCATGAGGGCTCAGCCAGAGGCTGTCTGGGGCCTGCTCTGTGGAGGGGTGAAAAGAAACAGATGGAAAACAGGGGCTTCTCAAGCAGTAGGTTAGGGGGCCTTTGTGGAGGGGAGACTGCAGGACTGAGGACAGGAGGCTTTGGGATAGTACAGTGGTTAAGAGCACAGGTTTAGGAGGGTCCAGTCTGCGCTGGACCCTGGCTGGGCCACTTGCTAGATGAATGACCCTGGAGAAGTTGCTTAACCACACTGAGCCTCAATTTCTTCATCTGTAAAGTGGGAATGATACCCACCCCACATGATTATGTGAGGATCAATGTGAACATCTTCGTAAAATATCTGACACAATGACAGGCTCTAGAGGGGCTTAGAATGGCAGCTGCCATGACTGCCTTTGTCACCGTCACTGTCCTCATTATGTGCATCCCCGGCTGCATCCTTCCACCCAGCTCACAGTAGTTATGGGGCGGATGCAGGGAAGGTGGAGTTGCCAGAGCCAGTGACCCCAAGTGTGAATCTGATCGCATTACTCACAGGCTTAAAATCCCTGCAGCTTCATCACTGCCCTCTGGTAAGCCCAGCCCTCCCGGAGAGCATCACAGGACTTCAGAACCTGAATGCTGCCAGCACTCCACATCCGGCCCTTGCCTCCACACCCCCAAATCAGTCCCACATTCCAGCCTCCCTAACTCCTCGCAATTTCACACCTGGCACTTTGGGGATGCTTCTTTGTCTGGGAGAGGAGCTCCCCACTCTGCCCAAAGACCCCTCCTCCATTGCCCTTCAACAATCAGCTCAGGCATCACTCCCCACAGAAAGCCTTCCCAGACCACCCCTCCCGCAAGCCTGAGTGTGTCCCCCTGGCTGTTGGTATCTCACGGTATTCCCTGTCAACTTAACTGAGTCTTTTCATTGTTTCTTAGCACAGTGCCTGACACATAGCAGGTCTTTGATTGAGTCAGTTAGTGCCTGATTGAGTGAACAAAAACCATACAGCAGTGAAGGAGGCAGGGAGTGTAGCCACGGTCACTGGGAAGTTTTCACTCAGGGCAGCTCTAGTAGAAGATGCTCAGACAGCTCCAGGTAAATGTGTTTCCTCTCCATTCGATGAAAAACCTACTTGTCTCTAATTCCTATTTTGAAGAGCAAGCAGGATCATACTGCTGACATTTCACATAGAGCATGAAATATAATAGTTGGTGCTCTTTAAGTATGTTTGCATCTTAGGCATCTTTTGGTATTGGCTACTTTTTTGAATTTTCAGAATTTTTAAAGCACATTTTACTAGAACATTTCTACATTATTTGGCTAAGATCACCCTAAAATTCTAAAAAGTGGGCCCTAAACAGGAACAAAGATGCTCAAAAATGAAAAAGAAAATAGAAGAGTTTGAAATTGGCTGATCAGATATGACATTTAATTTTTAAAAAACATAATCATCAAACATGTGATAGTGGACAAATTAAGCACTAGAGAATTCCTTTCAGAGAACTGGTCTTTTCTCAGGCAACCAAGGGCACTGAAGAAAATTCCCATGGGTGATGCTCAATGCTTGCCCATCATACGTCTACTTTTCTCTGCATTTTCTAAAATGCTTCTTTTGATTCTCAGTATTAGAAATCAGAGGTACATAGAACCTAAACCTGGTCTTCCCTGCTTCCTCTCCCTTTCCCCTTTTCAGGGTCCCTGCCATCTCTTCTTCTCCTCCGTCTCCTTCCCCTCCCTCTCTTTCCTCCTGTTCCTTTTTGGGGGTTGTTTTTGTTCTTCCTTCTCAACACAGGCCTGAGTGTCATTCAGGGCTAAAGAGTCAGCTGACTTTACTCCGACCCATCAACTCCTAGCCACCCCACTTTCACCTGCTAATAGCCAAGAGGGCTGGTGGCAGTGGTCAGCCTCCTTCTCAAGCCAGAGGCATCCAGGACACTCAAGAGCACCCCGCAGTGCTCAGAGCTTGGCCCAGCCACCATACCTGCCCTGCACCATCTACCCACCAGAATACCTTCCACAAAAACAGCCAGTGGGGAGAGAATCTTTGCTGATTAAAAATAAATTTCACACTTAAATATGAGAAATGGGGTTTTTAATGAAAACAAAAAATTGTTTTTGAAGAGCCTGAACGACACTGCAACTGCAGGGCAGTTATGACTTAGGTGTCACATGTGTTGCCAACTGCAGGCAGTTCTATCAAGGAATGTTTGAAGATGCAGCTCATTCACCAACAGCAAGCCTCTGTGTCAAAGCAGATAACTTGACATCAAAAAAATATATCGACTGACTGTGAGATGGGGTGGAGGACATCAGCCAGGGAACCAAGTCCCTCCAGCAGCCTTCAGCCCACACTTGATATCTACTCCAGCTGGAAGGGGGATGTTCGGTCTTTGTTCTCAGGCCTGCCCTGAACTCCACATGGGCAGCCCAGCCCTTAGGAGTGACCCAGCCCTCTGGGCTTTCCGTTGCTCCAGACCATGGCTGTAATTTGTAGGTGCCAGCATCTTCCTGTTCTATTTCTGCTGAACACAGAGGAAGCAGGGAAGTCCAGGATTTACATTCCATATCCCCCTGATTTCTAACACTCAGTATCAAAAGGAGCAAGGGGTACATTTTTCTCTCTCCTTTTCTTTTACATTTGGGAGATTCTTCCCCAAAGTGACCCACATATGCACAGGCACCAACATGCATATTCATTCGATAGGCAGCTTTTGGAGCATATATTGTATTCATGCTGTATAGGCACACGCACACATACACACACACCTGTGTTAAACCCAGAAGGTTTGTATCATTAAGCCAGTGGCACAGTGGATTAGCCTTACTGAAAAACCTGGAAACATCTGACCTGACTACCGCTGCCTCAGAGCCACTGTGCTGTGCTTATAAGGCTCTCAGAAGATCTGAAGTGTGATTCAGATCTTTTCGCTGTTGTCTCCCTGGGGCTTCCCATCAATTTTAGAATAACCTGGAGGCAGGTTTTGGAGCCAGGATGAGGGATCCTTGAACCTCTTAAGTTGTGTGCAAAACTATTTTTTTTTTTTTTAATTATTGTGTCTTCACTAAATATTCAACTCTGGGTTGGGCATGGTGGCTCACTCCTGTAATCCCAGCACTTTGGGAGGGCAAGGCGGGTGGATCACTTGAGGTAGGAGTTCAAGACCAGCCTGGCCAACACTGTAAAACCCCGTCTCTACTAAAAATACAAAAAATTAACCAGGAGTGGTGGTGGGCGCCTGTAATCCTAGCTACTCGGGAGGCTGAGGAAGGAGAATCACTTGAACGTGGGAGGTGGAGGTTGCTATGAGCTGAGATCATGCCACTGCCCTCCGGCCTGGGTGACAGAGTGAGACCCTGTCTCAAAAAAAAAAAAAAAGAAAAAGAAAAAAAGAAAAAAAAGTATTGAACTCTGTAAATGTAGAACTACAGGAAAGTGTGGGTGCGGCAAGCACGTGCCTTGCTACGAAAGCAGTGGATGGGGGTCAACTTTCCCACTGGCCTTCCCCTTTTTCCTGAGCTGGCCGTTCCCTGTATTTCCTCAGAGATTCCCTCCCTGTTATTTTCTTCTTACAATCACAGGCTTCTGCTAGCCTCTCGGCTACCATCCAGCTGCAAAGTTCAGCCAGGCAGAGCTGTCTGGCCATGGAGTCCCACAGTAGGCATCAAGTGAGTGAGGAGAGAGGCTGGTGTTGGGCACATGCGGATCAGAGCAGGAGAAACCTGGAATCTCCCACTTGGTGTTTGTGGCAGTTTGGGATGGGGGAGGTTGCCCTCTTGATCCCTTTTCTGTAGATAGGAAAAAGGACCTTCTCCAATGCACCCATTTTCTCTCATCAGCACATCTCCCAACAGCCACAGGCAGGAGAGTGGAGAAAACATGTCCCTTTTAGAGCAGAGCAGTCTTCAGAGGCTAGCAGGTGGGCATGTGGTTTCTGGTTTCCTATGTTTCATGCTATTCTTGCCACTTTTTGTGAAAGACAGTTCATTTCTGGAGGTGCTGTGAATGGATTCTATTCATTTCCTTTGAACAGCTGATCCCCGAATGCTTTTTAAATCTCAGCTCCAAAGCCTTCTCCATGGGAGTCTGTGCTATCTAAAGGAAGCTCTTCCTCCTGGTTTTTCTACACTAGCACCCATCTATGTCTGTTGTCCACTTGTCATGAGGTGGTGCTTCCATGTTTATTGTCAGTTACTACCCAGTAGAATGGAAGTTCCATAAAAGTAGGAATGTCTCTAGCTTGGTCACTGTTCTGTCCTTAGCATAAAAGACAATGCCTGGCACAGAGCAGATCATGTTTTTGCTTTTTAGATAGTCAATAAATGCCTGCTGAATCATTAGTTAATCCAGCTTAATAGGAATGATTGCAAGTTCCTGTACGTGGTTCCAAAGAGCACCCACACAGCAGTAGAACAGGGAAGATTTGGAATAATAGCAATAGATACAAAAGACAAAGTGGTTTTAATTGTCTATAATGTGTCAGTCAATAGGTTGGTGTGGTTTTTGTGGTCTTTTCCAGAAAAGCTGCTTTTCTGTTATGTTGGAATGGTACACGTAGAGTCTCTAATGTTCAGTATTGGACATTCAATTAACATTCATGAATATCCACTAAGTGGCAGACTCTGTTTGT
This sequence comes from Homo sapiens, assembly GCF_000001405.40. Classification (NCBI taxonomy): domain Eukaryota; kingdom Metazoa; phylum Chordata; class Mammalia; order Primates; family Hominidae; genus Homo; species Homo sapiens. Next base: position 52,881,884 of record NC_000004.12, read on the forward strand.
GGTGCTGAGAATACAATAGTTGAGAAATGCAAAGTCCTGAGGCTGGAGGGGCATATGCAAGGAGAAGAGTGGTAGGAAAAGAAGCCCCAGACGTAGGCAGGGGTGAGATCATGTGAGCTTTGTAGGCCATGGTAGAGAGGAGGAGGAGGTGACCCTAATTTTCTCTGAGCTGATCAGTCCACACCAAGGTTTGGCTTTTGGTTCCAATCAAGTGCGAGACAGGGAGAAAAACTGGGGTTGAGGAGAGCTGCAACATCGTCAGGGGATTCAGGTCCATTTCACAGGGTAAGAGTGGGGTGGCTACAGGAACTGATGATATTCAGTTTGGAGAAGAGAAGACCTGGGGGAGGACATGGGAGCTATCTTCATATGTCTGCAGAATTGTCGTGGGGAAGAGGGATGAATCTCATTTTCTTTTAAATTCTATGTGGCACAAGAGCTAGAACCAGCACTGGTGAGTGACAATGCCAAAGAGGCAGATTTGGGCTTCATCTAGAGGAGATATTAGAACCAAGAATGAAGCCCTCCATGACGGTTAATTGAGTGTCAACTTGATTAGATTGAAGGATGCAAAGTATTGTTCCTGGGTATGTCTGTGAAGGTGTTGCCAAAGGAGATTAACATTTGAGTCAGTGGACTGGGAAAGGCAGACCCACCCTCAATCTGGGTGGGCATAATCTAATCAGCTGCCAGGACAGCCAGAATAAACGCAGGCAGAAGAACGTGGAAAGACTAGACTGGCTTAGTCTCCCAGCCTACATCTTTCTCATATGCTGGATGCTTCCTGCCCTTGAACATTGAACTGCAAGTTCTTCAGCTTTTGGACTCAGACTGGCTTCCTTGCTCCTTAGCTTGCAGACGGCCTATTGTGAGACCTCACCTTGTGACTGTGTCAGTCAATAGTCCTTAATAAACTCCCCTTTATATCTACATTTATCCTATTAGTTTTGTCCCTCTAGAGAACCCTGACTAATACACCCTCCAAGCCTCAAATAGGCTGCAGTGGGAGGGGACAAATCCTCATCCTGGGAGATGGTCAAGTAAAGGCTGGATAGTAAAGCCAGAATGGAAGCACTAGCTATGTCTATTATTGCTGTTTACACCAATGATCAAGTGAGGGTTACTCCCTTGCTTGCCCAAAGGTCTTAGACAGTCTATTGGGTATAGATTCCATAGAACCTATCCCCTTCAATTAGGTCACATGTGTTCTCGAACAGAAGTCTGAGTCTGAGCAGACAATGGAACTAGCACGCATCCCACTTCGTGTGTTGCTAGGGCAGCAAGGCATGATTTCCGCTGCACTCTAAAAAGCAGGAAGCTGGTCATGTCTCAGATCGGCAGAGTTTGCTGTAGGGCCAGGGCAGCTGTGTGTCTGTCAAGGTCTAAGAAAGGGAGACCCGCCACAGCATGTGTCACTCTGCAAACATCCAGGTAATTCACCTCCTTTCAAAAATGTGGAGATGAAGGACTTCATGATAAAGAATGCCTTTTCTGTTTCCCCTGCTGCCTGAGGAATCTTCCTAGGGCCTGCTAACTCTTCAGGGGAGCTTTTTGCACAAAGGGCAAGTAGCAGTCAAGGCTGATCCTTAAGCTCAAAATTCTTTGAGAAGCTCTCTCTGCAGATGACTGAGCACAGGGTCAGATTGCAGCAAAGTCACTGTAGATTCCGGGGCTCTGTTGTCAAACTCAGGTCACAGGACTTTGAAAACGTCTGCATTTTATCCTTTTAGAGTAGGGATTAACATGTCTGTCAGGCTATTACAATGCATCACTGTTCTGAAGAGCTAAGAATTTGGTTCACCACGTTAGGGGCAGCAAGAAGTGTGGTTTCTGATGAAAAAAGAAAAGAGGTCTTGCTCAAAAAGGCAATCATTCATTAAACAGAACCTTATCACTGCTGGCAGGGAGGGTGTTAAATGAAACAGAATTTACAAATTTATCAGAAATCTCATCAGCTATGACCATAACAGGTGATAGTAACAGAAGAATGGTCATAGTCAAAAACTGGCCACTCCCCTGCTCAAGAGTCTGCTGTAGCTCTCTAGGTACCCAGGTCCCATTCCTCCGTTGGGTGTCTGGAGACCAGCAGGGACCAGACCTTCTTGGCTTAACCTGGTAGCTCAGCCACTCCAACAACACAGACTGTTCCTACCAGGCCAGTTCTCTTGGAGTCAATAAACCCCTCAAACTACAAGGGTTACTGAGCCACTGCCATGTGCTCCAGCCTGGAAAGCCCCAGCCTTTGTCCTCAAGGAATTTGTATTTGATTGAGGAGACTAGGCCAGCAAATATGAAGTAGTCAGGGAGAAGTCCAGAGCTGCATTGCCCAGTATAGATGGGGATGTGGGTAGATATGTGGAAAGAGCCTGGAGCAACAGGGAGGATGTCACAAAAGGGAAGGATGCAGCTCCTGGAGCTGGCTGTGTGGATATGTACAGTAGTGGGTGGAGGTAGGAGGTGGCACAAAGCTGTAACCCCAGAGCACTGGGAAGATAACACCCCCAGAGTCAAGTCTCAACCTGGGAGGATGAGAGTGGAAGGGAAGACATCCCCAGGCTCTCTGACCTCTGGCATGACAATTCTGAGTCATGTAACACCACCTCCTCAGGGGCCACCAGTGGACCGCGCCCAGAGCATACCCAGCTTGGCAGTGTGTCGTTTTGTGGCTTTTCTTCTTCACTGTCTTTTTTTTTCTGAGTTCTTCACTTCACTTCTGCTTCTTGGGATCATCTGCCAAGTAAACTACCTGCTCTCTCATCCCTGGCTCAGGGGCTGTTTTGGGGAACACACTAAGGCAAGGGTTTTACATCTTACTGATTTAACAGGCTGTGCATCCCCAGTCACAGGAGAACTTCCAGAAGCAGGGGTTCTCCTCTTCCAGAAGCCTCTCTCCTTGGGCTCCTGCTGCATCATGCTGTGAGCCTCAAACCCTCCAGCACAGCAGTGTGGTGACTGCTCAAAAACGGCCGGGAATAACTGCAGCCATCATTGACTGAGCGTTCTGAGCCAGGCACAGTGCTAAGAAGCATATTCTCAAGCCTCTTCTGATTTAAGATTCACAGCCACCCTGGCACATTTCCTAAATGAGGAAACTGAGGGCTTTTCCCTCCCAGATCACCTGATTAGTCAAAGGCAGAGGCAGGATTGGAACTTGGGCCCATAAAATAGAAACGTCTATGTTCTTCACCACTGGGCCACAGAGCCAGTTTTCTTGTTTAGGGGATGGGATGGGGCCTGACAGGAGGTATAGAGAAGAAAGCTACAACACTAGTCATTGTCTGGACAGTGATCCTTCCCACACTCCTCTGGCCCCGCCCTCTAATTGCCACAGTTGGGAGGTGGTTCCTGGAGTTATCCCTCCATATCTGGAGCCTAGAAAGCAGTGAAAACTCCTGAGTGATTCAACACTGATTGGACACCAGAGAATATAGGCCCCTAAGGAATCAAGAATAGGGATAACAGTACCTTAGCCCCAGAAGCCCAGAGCTAGAAAAGAAGAGCTCTCCTCCCTCCCTTCACCCCACCGGACTCCACCCTGCCCCAGATTATTTTGCAAAGAACAGAGTTTCCATTTAAGGCTCATTGGCTTGGTGTCATAGCATTTAACCTGTCATGATAGACTTTATCAAAATGACCCAGTCCTCCACCACTGAGAACAAAGGAACTCCAGGGCATGTCGGGCTGGTTCTGGCTGCAGGAAGACATTGTGAAACAGGCGGTAGCAGGAGGGAGGGAACAAAGCCAAGAGGGTGATGGGCAGGCAGGCTAGGAGAGGGGCACTGGGACCCATAGGTGGAGGGCCCTCACCCACCCTTCACACCCCTACTTCTGAGCTCTTGTTCAAAGCATGGAGGACTCAGTACCTGGGTTCCTGGCTTCAACGATGCCACAAGATCTTTGACCATTTTCACTTCAGAGACTGTGACCCCACCTACCACAAAGAGGATCAGGAGGGGGTAGTCACTAGGATGAGGCCGGCTCACCTGCAAAACAAAACACCAGCAATATCAGATGGATGGCAGTGATGCAGGCACAATGCAGCTGGGTACCATCTTCATTGTCCCTCTGTAGAAACCTCAGGACTACTACTGATAGTGGCAGGAGGCAGACAAATCCTAGGCAGACAGGGGTGGGTCCCTGGTGAAACCTGATGACAGTTTAAAACCTAGCTACAAGTCCCGGGTAAATCCATGGACCGGATTGAGAACTTGTCTTCCCATTTGGTGTGTTTTCCTCTGATTGATCCCTACCCTTCACCTATTTTACATATACCTACCCTTCCCTAATTGTTTGTTTACACTGTCATGTCCATCTTTGAGCGGTGACTTTGTTTTAGCCTTTTTTTTGCTTACTTGCAAACCAATCAGCATGCACTCCCCATTCTGAGCCCATAAAAGCCCTGGACTCAGTCACACACAGAGAAAAACCACCTGACTTCGGTTGGGGGACCACCCTTGCATCCCCTCTCTGCTGAGAGCTGTTCTGTTGTTCAATAAAATTCTTCTCCACGCTCCTCACTTTTCAATTGTCAGTGTGACCTCTTTCTTCTTGGGCATGGGACAAGAACTCAGGAACCACCAAATGTGGGTATGAGCTATAACATGGGTGAGCTGGGGCATGCCTGCCTAGCCACAGGCTAAGCCAGTGCACAAGCCAGGTATGGCCCAGTGGGCCGAGTAGGTGGGGCATCTCCTGTGGCAGGCCCAGGGCCTAGCAAGGCCTGGGAGTGGGGCATTGCTGGCTGTGGAGGACCCTGGTTGGCAAAGTGGGTGAGAAAAATCCTGCATCACTACCTCCATTATGCAGGTGTGATAAACAGCCCTTAGAGAGATGATGACTTCTTAGCTACCAGATGTCCCAGTGGTCTGTGAACTCATTGACCAGGAAAATGTATAACACAGTACCTTATTATGTCTCTTTCAATAAAGATTTCATTGAAAGAAAAGTTAAAGGAGCAGGAGCTACTAAAAACAAGAGAAGGCTGAGGGACAACTTCTTTCTTCCTTGTTAATCTTCAGGTCTCAGCATAAATGTGCCCCCTTCTTTGTTGCATGGCTCTGTATATTTCCTTCAAAGCATCTACAGCAGCCTGTGGCTACTCTATTTGTTTGTTTATTTATTTGTTTACTTGTTGGCCATCTTCTCTACTGGAACATAAACTCCATGAGGCAAGAGCCTCATCCTCCTGGTTTATGCTATTCCCACCTTACCTAGTACAATTTCTTCTACATAATAGGTGCTCAATAAATGTTAGTGGAATTAATAAATAGTTAAAGCTTTAGGTAGGTGGACGCAGAGGGTATACAAAGATGAAAGAGAACAGGGCCCATCCTCAAGGTGCTTACAGTACAGTACCGACTTACAGCCCTTAACTTCTTCAAGCTAGCCTGAGCTGAGGGTCCATGTTGCATGGAACCTACACTAGATGCTGTGGAGAATTCCTCCTGATTCCTTATGATTTCATCAACGAGGCAAAAATATTCTTATATACTAAAATGAGAATAACTCAAAGTAACCACTCAGGAAATGCAAAACGACCAATAACTAGACTCAGTGATGGAGACACTGAGGGGACAAGAAGGGATTCCTGAAGACAGTATGTTTTGAGCTGAATCTGGAAGCCACAGTTGGTTTGATGGAGTGGGCAGGAGAAATAGTGTGAGTCAAGTTCCAGAGAAAATCAGTCACCAGAAGGGTGGAGCGGGACAGGGAGGCCCAGCCAGAATGGAGCATGCATGGAGTCCTTGCAGGAAAAAGTCTGCCAGCTGCCTGCGTGGCCACCAAAGCCAGAAGGTGGGCAACAGGCTTCACCTCCAGCAAGGAGAGAGGGAATGAAGGTAGTAAGTGTTCTTGCCCAACACAACGCATCTGTGGGTCACAGGCAGTCCCGAGGAGTGCCTGGGGGAGGAGCAGGTCAAGAGGAAGCCCTTTCTCTTACCATCCCCCAACTCCTTTCTCAGCTGAACTCTCTGGCTCCCTTGCCTGATTATACCCACGTCTCAACATCTTATTCTTTTTTTTTTTTTTTTTTTTTTTTTGAGACGGAGTCTCGCTCTGTCGCCCAGGCCGGACTGCGGACTGCAGTGGTGCGATCTCGGCTCACTGCAAGCTCCGCTTCCCGGGTTCACGCCATTCTCCTGCCTCAGCCTCCCGAGTAGCTGGGACTACAGGCGCCCGCCACCGCGCCCGGCTAATTTTTTGTATTTTTAGTAGAGACGGGGTTTCACCTTGTTAGCCAGGATGGTCTCGATCTCCTGACCTCATGATCCACCCGCCTCGGCCTCCCAATCAACATCTTATTCTAAAAGCACTTGAAAGGATGATGCATTAAGTATTCCAAGTTATGTAAGTTATTCCTTGGCTTCTGAAGAGGAAATTCAGAATGCAAAGGCAGGCAGGCAGGAGGAAAGGAAGGACAGAGAGAAGAGAGAGGACTGGGGGACTATCTAATGACCTCAAAATAGGTGGTGGTGAATACTGGAAAAAGTTTCAAAACACTCTCATCTTTAGAAAAAGACTCAAGTCCGCATCCTGCTCTGCACCTCTGTTTCCCCCGACCAATTTGTCAACTGCTTTCTTCCAATCTGCATACCAGACACCATAGCAATGCTGCTTTTGTCCTACTGTACCCTGGAATTGCTCTCATCGGAGTCACCAATGGCTATCATATTGTAGGAGTCAATGGACACTCCTTTGTCATCATCTAACCTGACATTTCTATGGCATGTCACAGCTGATGACACCCTTCTTAGGTACCATGACAGTACTTTCTCTAGGTAGTTCCTTCTACCCTTCTAATTATTTCTTCTCAGATTTCTTAATAGGTTCCCTTTCTTGGTCTGCCCATTTAAATGTTGTTACTTACAGCTCCATCCTTGGTTCCTTGCCCTTTGCACTCAATGCAACATCCCTGAAGGACCTCATCTTCTCATGTGCCTTCAATATCTTTTATGTACCTCTCAAACCTATGTCTTTTGCTCAGTCATCTCTATTGAGCTCCTGTGGACATCACCACCCAGCTCCTGCAGACGACACCTCCTGGGATTTCTGAACTCAACAGGTTTCAAATGTGATCCATGATCTTTTCCCCAAAACCCTTCCTTCTCTTGAATTTCTAACAGCATCACCACCTTCAAAGTCACCTGAGCCAGGCACATGAGAGACATCTTAGACTTTGCTGTCTCTTTCATCTCCCAGATGACGTTCTATTCATTCTACCTACTTAAGGTTATCAACATCTCCTTGATTACTTCCACATTAGATCGCTGCTATAGCCTTCAAGTTTGTCTCCCCATCCGCAGTTTGGCCATACCCCATCCATTCTCCTCATTTCTGCCAAGTATGTTTTCTAAAATACAAATATTTATTATTGAAAATAGCAAACATTGTACTAACTATTTTTGTGTATTATCTTATTTAATTCTCAAAATATCCTTAGAAAGCAAACACAATTATTAGTGTATTTTGCAAATGCAGAGATTGAGGTTCATGCACAGTAATGGATCCAGGAGCAAAACGCCAGAGGCCACACTCTTAAAACACCTCTCAGCTCCATCACACACTCAGATTATCTGCATAGAGTCTCATAGCTCTTAGGATAAAGTTCGAACTCTGTATTTCAGCATATAAGGCTTTTACAACTTGGCTCTGGTTTATGACTCTATTTTCATCTCCTCCACACACATTATTTGCTGGAACCATTCACAGTGGCTTGTGCCATACCTGAACACCTGGTGTTTATTTTTTGGAATATCTGTTAAACATATGATAATTTACTGAGTGTATGCATATCACCAGTGTGCTGCTCCATTAATTTTAAAGTAAACAAACCAGTGTAACCAGTACCCAGACCAAGAAACAGAAAACCAGCACCCTGAAGAGACCCTCTCATAACCTACTCCTGTCACTACCTCCCCACAGGCAATCATCATCTTGAACTCTAACACTCTACCTTATACTTACTCAACCATACACCTTGGGGATTTTCCATATCAGTAAGAAAAGCCTGTAACCTATGGACATGGTGTGGACCACACCAGTGGGTTTTGGCCTGTTTGTGCTTAGTACTTAGCACCTGGTAAGCTTTCAGTAAATGTTGCATGAATGAAATAGTCATATGAAGGAATGAATCATATCCACAGGTTAACAGGAAAGGCCCTTCTTTTCTTAGAAACTCTCCCTTTGCTTTATGCATAGTTCTTCTGGCTGAGTAAGTAACCCAGACCTTCCTTCCAGCCCTACAAACAATTGTTGTTTCTCAGTTAATCCTGGGACAGAAATAAATTGGCTCCAGAACTTGAACGTGGTGCAATATGTTCCCAAAGACATATGCTTTCTATAAGAGAGTCTGGAATCCAAAGTACATTGGGAGAATCTTGGAAGGATGTATTGACAGATGAAAAGGGAAAAAAAGAAACAAACTGCAACAACAAAGAACAATACCCTGGGGCTAAGGAGTGGGGGAATGTTGGTTTTGGTACAAATAAATGGGTCCAATTAATGCATGTTGGTGTTTGCTATTTTGGTTTCTGTTTAGATTCATGTTTTGATACCAGACTTTTCTTGTGGAGCCGTTCAAGTCAACAGACTGTTGGGAAGTGGAGTCTTTTCAGCCTTTTCCATCAGAATAACACATTCCTTATAATCAGCCATACATGACTGAGTCCTGTTTGCATGTTTGCATGTTAGTTCATGGTATAAGGCACTTTGAAGATGAAAGACTGAAGCATAACTACTGCAATTGCAAATGCACAGATTAATAAAGCAAGTCCGAGTCACTGTTCTTTCTTTCATTTTCTAAATCTTTGCTGGCTGTGATTTTAAGACATCAGTTCTGGTGAGAGAAGACAGTTTCCTTCCACTATTCCATCCCAACCTTTGCAGCAGAGGTTGCTGAGACCCCTTTTGAGGTGTGCGCCCCTGAGAGAGCTCTTTGATGTGTTGATTGTCGTCTATCACTGGGGTTGTCAAAAGAAGGGTTTCTGCTGCTGCTTCCAGTTTCTAGGCGCCCTCTAAGAGTTTGGGATCCTGATTCCTCCTCCACATGGTGCTCCTCCACTCAGTTTCTCTTTATTTGTGACTCATTTGTCCCTACAACAGGCAAGGGGCAGGTCATTCTCCAGCTATGGGCAGGGCCTTGTAGAAGGAAGACAGTTCAATAGGAGCTTTGGCCTTAAGGGGTACTAAGCCTAGGAAGCACCCAGGTTGACACTGAAGTTGGGCCTTGGTAATGGCTTTTCTCCCACCAAGAATTAGTAACAGCACTGCCACTCCCTCCGAACACTTCACATCTCATGTTTCATTCATTTATTCATCCATTCAACAAATATTTATTGACCAACTACTGTGGGGCCAGACACCATTCTAAGCATCAGAGATTCATCAGTGAACCAAAGAGAAAAGAACCCCTGCTGTCACAGAGCTTATGTTTTAGTGGAGGGAGAGTGACAGTCAATAAAATCAGTAAGTCAGTGGGTAAGTAAGGAAGGTGGTGAGTGCTATGGAGGAAAATCAGGTGGGGGAGGGTAAGTGACAAGCATCACTTTATGCAAGCCTTAGAATCTATGAAGCAGGCAGAAGCCCCATTTCACACAGAGACACAGAGGCTTAACGAGGTGAAATAATTTGTCCAAAGCGGCTGAACTAGTAAGCTGTAGGGTTGAGGTTGAAATCAAAGACCATCTCACTGCAGAGCAGTAACCGTTCTACCTTTCATTCCACATACCGCCTTTTCCCAACAAATTCTTCAAACGAAAAGCATTTTTATTAGCATTCATCTCTGAAAACTCTGTATTTTTAGTTCTTTAGAAATATCAGCCAATCACCAGAGCCTTGTGGGACTTACTTTTACTTACACTTAATCCCATTGCAAAAGGTTTCCATGCTGCTAGAGCCTGTCGGCTATTCAGCTTGACCTCTCATCTGCTGCAGTTGATGACTTCCTTTTTCCTGAAATGTCCCCCCTGCCCTCCACTTTCTAAGCCCTCTTAGCTTCTCTCCCTCCTTGGAGGGCTCCTCTTGCTCAACTTGCTCCATGACAAGCTGTGTTCCTGACTGCTCTGGCCTCTGGCCCCTGATCTTCTCCCAAACATCCTCCCTTGGTGGCCCTGGCCCTGTCCATAGTTCAATGCCTCACACATGCCAGTGTCCCCAGATTGCTACCACTGGCCCAAGCTCTGCTGAGCTATAAGGCTGTCTCTCAGGCTCCTAAATTCAACAAGTCTGAAGTGCAAGTTTTCTTCTTTTCCAGTTCTGCTTCCCAATAGAAACAATGTTAACACTGTCCATTCAGTCACTCCAAACTAAGCAAATGGCCCTAGACAGCCTCCACTCATTTACGGCTGCATCCCCTCAATCCCCGTCCGGTGGAATCCACCAGACTTCATCCCTGCCCCCTTGTCCCCTTGGCCCTACTTGACCTTAGACTTTCATCTTCTCACCTTCCCTCCCCAAGCCAGTCTGCTCTTGTTTCTGTCTTGTGCACTGCTGCCAGGGTGAACTTCATAAAATGTAAACTGGTTATATATTCCTAGCAAACATCCAATGGCACTTCAGTGTTTCTGGTCAAATGTCAAAACTCCAGCCCTCTGGGATCTAGTGTCTGCTTATCTCTGTCTTCCTATTCTTCTACTCCCTGCAGGTCACCCTTAGCTCCAGCCATTTGGAATTGCCTTCACTCACCTCAATATATGATGGCATTTCATTACTTTGGAGTTCCTAACTCCTGCTGGTCTGGCAAAATCCAACTCCCCTGGGAAGCTTTCTCTGACTCCCTGACTGAGCTACTCCTCTGTGTCCTCACATCCCATCCACCACACCACTTATCTCTCCTCTCTGCAATCCTCAATTTTCTTATCCATCTCCTTAACAAACTGTAAGCTACATGATATAGCTGTGCTTTGGCAGGTAGGGAACCTGGTTTGTCTCTATATCTTCCTTAACCGCAACAATGACTAGCATACAAAAGAGCCTCTCCATCACTGCACACTGTCAGATGCAATACGCAGACTGCCAAAATCAAGTTTGTGTTTTTGCTTTACAGTTCATACCAAAATCTATCTCACTTGAACTTATGGATCATGTTTAGCTAATGTTATGCAAATACTGAACCCTATTTCATAGCATGGAGTATGATTAAGAAAAAGAAAATATAAACAATGGTTTCAAATAGTGTTGCAAAGAGGAATTCCAGGACTTGTACTCATTTAATCAACAAACGTGAACACTGAGATATTTTCCTCTTGTCGGAAATGCCCTTAAGTCCAATGGACCTAATCCAATAGTTCAACCCTCTGAATCTTGCTTTTTCTTCTCTCCTCTCCTCTCCCTTTCTTTCTTTTCTTTCCCTTCTTTCTCTCTCTCTCTCTCTTTCTTTCTTTCATCTTGCTATGTTGCCCAAGCTAGTTTCAAACTCCTGGGCTCAAGCGATCCTCCTGCCTCAGCCTCCCCAGCAGCCGGAATTACAGGAGCACTACTGCACCCTGTCTTGTTTTTCTTATATGAACAATGTGGAATGGGACTAGATGACCTCCAAGGCATGTTCAGCTCTCACCATCCAAGGACCTGACATCAGTCTTTACTGACAGCCCATCATTTTTGCTCTGCATTCCAAAGCATCCTTTACCCCTGCTGTATATTCCTCTGCAGGTATCTGTCCAATCCACAAGCCAACAATCTCCCCTGCCCACATGGTCATAGGAAAGGCTCCTAGCATCCATGCAGTTACAATGTGACCCTGTCCTTCAGCCACAGTTGATTGGTCCTGGAATGGCCCCCTGACCCAGGGTGGGCCAACTAGAGGCCCTTCCCTGGGAATTCAGGCTTGACCTAAGATAGATAAGGTTCAGTCAAAGCTGTGGCAATAGCTACTCAACCATTCATTTATACTATTTATTGAGCATCTACAAAATGCAGGGCGCTGTTCTCATGCAGGGCAGAATGGGTCTCACAGAACTGCCTGGTTTCCTGATGGCTTTCCAGTTCTTAGTCTCAATCCTTACTGAGGCCTCTCTCATTGCTGTCCTTGGGCTCCCCAGGACATCCCATGGGCCTCATAATAAATTTTCCTTTCTTTAAGTTATTGCAATTTGTTGGCATCTTACTTCCAATGGAAAGACTTTTAACTTACCCCCTCACCACCAGCAGCTTTTCAAAGCCTACCTGAGCTTTGAAACTACCTTGCTCTAGTTCTCTTTGTGGTCCTCTTTTTGTTGCCACTTAAGGCAATGGGGGACTCATATCCACTCAAACAAGGGACCCAGAGGTAAGCACTGGGCTTTCTGTGAGTCTTTTTCATAGTTTTAAAATTGTTTTCCAATTAAGCATGGCCACATAAGAAATGAAAGAACAAAAAAAGAACTTCTTAAAAAGCACACATAAAAGGAGGTAAAAGGGCCTCATGCAGTTTCATTAGATAAAAACCCACCCTTCTCATGTCAATTTTAGCAGAGAAAGCATCTTGACAAATCATGTCCTTTAGTCAAAACAAGCTGAGGTCCAAACATATGGAGTAGATAGAAAATAAATTATTTTCAGGAGACTGAGATCCAAACCACAAATTCCAGAAATGCACTTTAAAAGTGCTGCCTATTAGACATGCTAGTTTTAAATTAAATTAATGTTGTAGGGAGAGGGGTAAGGTATGTCTTGATTTATTTGTTAGATCATTATCAAGCTTTCCTCTAAGGAGCTCAAGGTATTCCATGCACAAGGATTTTAGAGAAAAGGCTGTTTGAAGAATGTCAGGTTCTGCCAAAGCTGTTTCTCCCTAGTTTGCTAGAACCACTCCCTAGTGGGCTTCACACACTGCCCTTTGAAGCTGACAGCTTTGTGTGGCTAACCGCAAGTCTATCCTCTGGTTGAGAAGTACATCAAGTTACTTCAAACACTTTCTCAGAACTGCTGGAAAATGATCTAGTGGGTATACCTGCTCTTCTCCCCAGCTCATCTGGCTTACTTTATGGGACTTGATGGAGCAAACTTGGGAGAGGAAAGTTCCCTAGCTCAGTTTCTTATCCGGAAGTATTTTTAAAAATGTTATATTGTTAAAAAACATTATGGAAGAATAGCAAACAGGTCTTTCACTAACAAAGCCTTTCTGGGCTCACTTATTTTGAAACCAGCATAGAAGCATGAGTGACTTTTCCATCCTCTAGATTGGAGGGAAAACTCCTAGGATTAGCCAAACACTGCCTTGCCTAGCTGGACAGCCAAACATATTTAGGTGGGGTACAGATTGTATTTTCCAAAAGTGCCCATGACAGTATTTTCTGCTCCTCATGCTCTTGATCCACCTTTTTTTTTTATACTTTAAGTTTTAGGATACATGTGCACAACGTACAGGTTTGTTACATAAGTATACGTGTGCCATGTGGGTGTGCTGCACCCATTAACTCATCATTTAGCATTAGGTATATCTCCTAATGCTATCCCTCTCCCCTACCCCTACCCCACAACAGTCCCCAGTGTGTGATGTTCCCCTTCCTGTGTCCTTGTGTTCTCATTGTTCAATTCCCACCTATGAGTGAGAACATGCGGTGTTTGGTTTTTTGCCTTTGTGATACTTTGCTGAGAATGATGGTTTCCAGCTTCATCCATGTCCCTACAAAGGACATGAACTCATCCTTTTTTATGGCTGCATAGTATTCCATGGTGTATATGTGCCACATTTGCTTAATCCAGTCTATCATTGTTGGACATTTGGGTTGGTTCCAAGTCTTTGCTATTGTGAATAGTGCCGCAATAAACACACGTGTGCATGTGTCTTTATAGCAGCATGATTTCTAATCCTTTGGGTATATACCTAGTAATGGGATGGCTGGGTCAAATGGTATTTCTAGTTCTAGATGCCTGAGGAATCGTCACACCGATTTCCACAGTGGTTGCACTAGTTTACAGTGTGTAAAAGTGTTCCTATTTCTCCACATCCTCTCTAGCACCTGTTGTTTCCTGACTTTTAAATGATCGCCATTCTAACTGGTGTGAGATGATATCTCACTGTGGTTTTGATTTGCATTTCTCTGATGGCCAGTGGTGATGAGCATTTTTTCATGTGTTTTTTGGCTGCATAAATGTCTTCTTTTGAGAAGTGTTTGTTCATATGCTTGGCCCACTTTTTGATGGGGTTGTTTGTTTTTTTCTTGTAAATTTGTTGGAGTTCATTGTAGATTCTGGATATTAGCCCTTTGTCAGATGAGTAGATTGCAAAAATTTTCTCCCATTCTGTAGGTTGCCTGTTCACTCTGATGGTAGTTTCTTTTGCTGTGCAGAAGCTCTTTAGTTTAATGAGATCCCATTTGTCAATTTTGGCTTTTGTTGCCATTGCTTTTGGTGTTTTAGACATGAAGTCCTTGCCCATGCCTATGTCCTGAATGGTATTGCCTAGGTTTTCTTCTAAGTTTTTATGGTTTTAGGTCTAACATTTAAGTCTTTAATCCATCTTGAATTAATTTTTGTATAAGGTGTAAGGAAGGGATCCAGTTTCAGCTTTCTACATATGGCTAGCCAGTTTTCCCAGCACCATTTATTAAATAGGGATCCTTTCCCCATTGCTTGTTTTTGTCAGGTTTGTCAAAGATCAGATAGTTGTAGATATGCGGCATTATTTCTGAGGGCTCTGTTCTGTTCCATTGGTCTATATCTCTGTTTTGGTACCAGTACCACGCTGTTTTGGTTACTGTAGCCTTGTAGTATAGTTTGAAGTCAGGTAGCATGATGCCTCCAGCTTTGTTCTTTTGGCTTAGGATTGACTTGGCGATGTGGGCTCTTTTTTGGTTCCATATGAACTTTAAAGTAGTTTTTTCCAATTCTGTGAAGAAAGTCATTGGTAGCTTGATGGGGATGACATTGAATCTATAAATTACCTTGGGCAGCATGGCCATTTTCACGATATTGATTCTTCTTATCCATGAGCATGGACTGTTCTTCCATTTGTTTGTATCCTCTTTTATTTCACTGAGCAGTGGTTTGTAGTTCTCCTTGAAGAGGTCCTAAACGTCCCTTGTAAGTTGGATTCCTCGTATTTTATTCTCTTTGAAGCAATTGTGAATGGGAGTTCACTCATGATTTGGCTCTCTGTCTGTTATTGGTGTATAAGAATGCTTGTCATTTTTGCACATTGATTTTGTATCCTGAGACTTTGCTGAAGTTACTTATCAGCTGAAGGAGATTTTGGGCTGAGACGATGGGGTTTTCTAGATATACAATCATGTCATCTGCAAACAGGGACAATTTGACTTCCTCTTTTCCTAATTGAATACCCTTTATTTCCTTCTCCTGCCTGATTGCCCTGGCCAGAACTTCCAACACTATGTTGAACAGGAGTGGTGAGAGAGGGCATCCCTGTCTTGTGCCAGTTTTCAAAGGGAATGCTTCCAGTTTTTGCCCATTCAGTATGATATTGGCTGTGGGTTTGTCATAGATAGCTCTTATTATTTTGAGAAACGTCCCATCAATACCTAATTTATTGAGAGCTTTTAGTGTGAAGTGTTGTTGAATTTTGTCAAAGGACTTTTCTGCATCTATTGAGAAAATCATGTGGTTTTTGTCTTTGGTTCTGTTTATAGGCTGGATTAAGTTTATTGATTTTCATATGTTGAACCAGCCTTGCATCCCAGGGATGAAGCCCAGTTGATCATGGTGGATAAGCTTTTTGATGTGTTGCTGGATTTGGTTTGCTAGTATTTTATTGAGGATTTTTGCATCAATGTTCATCAAGGACATTGGTCTAAAATTCTCTTTTTTTGTTGTGTCTGCCAGGCTTTGGTGTCAGGATGCTGCTGGCCTCATAAAATGAGTTAGGGAGGATTCCCTCTTTTTCTATTGACTGGAATAGTTTCAGAAGGAATGGTACCAGCTCCTCCTTGTACCTCTGGTAGAATTCAACTGCGAATCCATCTGGTCCTGGACTTTTTTTGGTTGGTAAGCTATTAATTATTGCCTCAATTTCACAGCCTGTTATTGGTCTATTCAGAGATTCAACTTCTTCCTGGTTTAGTCTTGGGAGAGTGTATGTGTCGAGGAATTTATCTATTTCTTCTAGATTTTGTAGTTTATTTGCGCAGAGGTGTTTATAGTATTCTCTGATGGTAGTTTGTATTTCTGTGGGATTGGTGGTGATATCCCCTTTGTCATTTGTTATTGCGTCTATTTGATTCTTCTCTCTTTTCTTCTTTATTAGTTTTGCTAGCAGTCTATCATTGTTGATCTTTTCAAAAAACCAGCTCCTGGATTCATTGATTTTTTGAAGGGTTTTTTGTGTCTCTATTTCCTTCAGTTCTGCTCTGATCTTAGTTATTTCTTGCCTTCTGCTAGCTTTTGAATGTGTTTGCTCTTGCTTCTCTAGTTCTTTTAATTGTGATGTTAGGGTGTCAATTTTAGATCTTTCCTGCTATCTCTTGTGGGCATTTAGTGCTATAAATTTTCCTCTACACACTGCTTTGAATGTGTCCCAGAGATTCCGGTATGTTGTGTCTTTGTTCTCATTGGTTTCAAAGAACATCTTTATTTCTGCCTTCATTTCGTTATGCACCCAGTAGTTATTCACCAGCAGGTTGTTCAGTTTCCATGTAGCTGAGCGGTTTTGAGTGAGTTTCTTAATCCTGAGTTCTAGTTTGATTGCACTGTGGTCTGAGGGACAGTTTGTTATAATTTCTGTTCTTTTACATTTGCTGAGGAGTGTTCTACTTCCAACTATGTGGTCAATTTTGGAATAGGTGTGGTGCGGTGCTGAAAAGAATGCATATTCTGTTGATTTGGGGTGGAGAGTTCTGTAGGTGTCTATTAGGTCTGCTTGGTGCAGAGCTGAGTTCAATTCCTGGATATCCTTGTGAATTTTCTGTCTTGTTGATCTGTCTAATGTTGACAGTGGGGTGTTAAAGTCTCCCACTATTATTGTGTGGGAGTCTAAGTCTCTTTGTAGGTCTCTAAGGACTTGCTTTATGAATCTGGGTGCTCCTGTATTGGGTGCATATATATTTAGGATAGTTAGCACTTCTTGTTGCATTGATCCCTTTACCACTATGTAATGGCCTTGTCTCTTTTGATCTTTGTTGCTTTAGAGTCTGTTTTATCCAAGACTAGGATTGCAACCCTTGCCTTTTTTTGTTTTCCATTTGCTTGGTAGATCTTCCTCCATCGCTTTATTTTGAGCCTATGTGTGTCTCTGCATGTGAGATGGGTTTCCTGAATACAGCACACTGATGGGTCTTGACTCTTTATCCGATTTGCCAGTCTGTACCTTTTAATTGGAGCATGTAGCCCATTTACATTTAAGGTTAGTATTGTAATGTGTGAATTTGATCCTGTCATTATGATGTTAGCTGGTTATTTTGCTCTTTAGTTGATGCAGTTTCTTCCTAGCCTCGATAGTCTTTACAATTTGGCATGTTTTTGCAGTGGCTGGTACCGGTTGTTCCTTTCCATGTTTAGTGCTTCTTTCAGGAGCTCTTTTAGGGCAGGCCTGGTGGTGACAAAATCTCTCAGCATTTGTTTGTCTGTAAAGGATTTTATTTCTCCTTCACTTATGAAGCTTAGTTTGGCTGGATATGAAATTCTGGGTTGAAAATTCTTTTCTTTAAGAATGTTGAATACTGGCCCCCACTCTCTTCTGGCTTGTGGAGTTTCTGCGGAGAGATCTGCTGTTAGTCTGATGGGCTTCCCTTTGTGGGTAACCCGACCTTTCTCTCTGGCTGCCCTGAACATTTTTTCCTTCATTTCAACTTTGGTGAATCTGACAATTATGTGTCTTGGAGTTGCTCTTCTCGAGGAGTATCTTTGTGGCGTTCCCTGTATTTCCTGAATTTGAATGTTGGCCTGCCTTGCTAGATTGGGGAAGTTCTCCTGGATAATATCCTGCAGAGTGTTTTCCAACTTGGTTCCATTCTTCCCGTCACTTTCAGGTACATCAGTTAGACGTAGATTTGGTCTTTTCATATAGTCCCATATTTCTTGGAGGCTTTGTTCATTTCTTTTTATTCTTTTTTCTCTAAACTTCTCTTCATGCTTCATTTCATTCATTTCATCTTCCATCGCTGATACCCTTTTTTCCAGTTGATCGCATCGGTTACTTAGGCTTGTGCATTCGTCACGTAGTTCTCGTGCCGTGGTTGTCAGCTCCATCAGGTCCTTTAAGGACTTCTCTGCATTGGTTATTGTAGTTATACATTTGTCTAATTTTTTTTCAAAGTTTTTAACTGCTTTGCCATGGGTTTGAACTTCCTCCTTTAGCTCGGAGTAGTTTGATCTTCTGCAGCCTTCCTCTCTCAACTCGTCAAAGTCATTCTCCGTCCAGTTTTGTTCCGTTGCTGGTGAGGAGCTGCGTTCCTTTGGAGGAGGAGAGGCGCTCTGATTTTTCGAGTTTCTGGTTTTTCTGCTCTGTTTTTTCCCCATCTTTGTGGTTTTATCTACCTTTGGTCTTTGATGATGGTGACGTACAGATGGGTTTTTGGTGTGGATGTCCTTTCTGTTTGTTAGTTTTCCTTCTAACAGTCAGGACTGTCAGCTGCAGGTCTATTGGAGCTTACTGGAGGTCCACTGTTTGCCTGGGTATGAGCAGCGGTGGCTGCAGAACAGTGGATATTGGTGAACCGCAAATGCTGCTGCCTGATCGTTCCTCTGAAAGTTTTGTCTCAGAGGAGTACCCGGCCGTGTGAGGTGTCAGTCTGCCCCTACTGGGAGGTGCCTCCCAGTTAGGCTACTCGGGGGTCAGGGACCCACTTGAGGAGGCATTCTGCCGGTTCTCAGATCTCAAGCTGCGTGCTGGGAGAACCACTACTCTCTTCAAAGCTGTCAGACAGGGACATTTAAGACTGCAGAGGTTATTGCTGTCTTTTGTTTGTCTGTGCCCTGCCCCCAGAGGTGGAGCCTACAGAGGCAGGCAGGCCTCCTTGAGCTGTGGTGGGCTCCTCCCAGTTCGAGCTTCCCTGTCGCTTTGTTTACCTACTGAGGCCTGAGCAATGGCGGGCACCCCTCCCCCAGCCTCGCTGCCGCCTTGCAGTTTGATCTCAGTCTGCTGTGCTAGCAATGAGGGAGAGGCTCCGCGGGCGCAGGACCCTCTGAGCCAGGTGTGGGATATAATCTCCTGGTGTGCCGTTTGTTAAGCCCATTGGAAGAGCACAGTATTAGGGTGGGAGTGACCCGATTTTCCAGGTGCTGTCTGTCACCCCTTTCTTTGACTAGGAAAGGAAACTCCCTGACCCCTTGCACTTCCCAGGTGAGGCGATGCCTCGACCTGCTTTGGCTCATGCACGGTGCACTGCACCCAGTGTCCTGCACCCGCTGTCCGGCATTCCCTCGTGAGATGAACCCGGTACCTCAGTTGGAAATGCAGAAACCACCCATCTTCTGCATCACTCACGCTGGGAGCTGTAGACTGGAGCTGTTCCTATTTGGCCATCTTGGCTCCACCCCCGGCTCTTGATCCACTTTCAAGAGGAAGAGTGCAGGTCCCCTCCACTTTAACCTGGGTGGGCATTTTTGATGGCCCTGACAAATAGAGCACAGTGCTGTGGAAGTGATGTTATGTGGCACTTAAGGCTAGGCCATAAAATACAATACATCTGAATCCTGGCTGTCTCCTAGGATGCTGGCCCTTGGAATGCAGCTGCCATATTGCAAGAAAGCTTGGCCACATGAGAATGGCCACATGGAAAGAAACTGAGGCCCCTCACTGCCAGCTGCCACTCAGCATCTACTTTCTGACTATATGAATGAGCCATCTTGGAGGTGAATCCTTCCCTACTGAGCTCTAACCAGAGTGCAGATTCATGAGTAAAATGAATGATCAATATTATTTTAAATCAATGATTTGGGATGACTTGTTATGTAGCAATAGATAAGCAGAACAGGTGGAGATGAAAGGCTTCTCTGGACAATCTGATTTCAACAGGAATGCATGCTAAATGCTGCAAAGAAAGTAAGTTCAACCAGTTGCAATATGATGCAAATGAAATTCTGACTCTAGTAAAGGCAAAATCCAGCTACCCTGACTTTCCTATCGCAGAGGATTTGTTTGATGCAGATAATCTTACATACACAGGTATTTTTCTTAACTTTCGCTGCCTGCAAAAATGTACATAAATAAGATTGAGTTCTGTGAGCCATTTCCAAGTACCTGGAATGGAGGTCTCCATTTCCCTGCAGTGCTGAGGCTGCCCAAGGAGCAGCAGCAAACCTTTGCAGAGCACAGCTCTTGCTCATTCCCCATACGTGGAGACTGCACTGCTGAAGTGCTCCTGGGAGAGTTGGGGGCCTGAGTAGCTTGGGGCTTCTGCCTCTGTGTTGGCCAGGGTCTAGCCCTGCTGACCTCCATTCCTGTGAAACAGCTTGTCATGGCATGTGTCCAGAATTTCACTGGCTCCCTACAGTTTGCCCCAGAAGGACAGTCTATATCTCCCAAGACTGAGGAGCTCAACAAGTTACTCACAGTGGAGAAGAAAAAGGGGAGTCTGGAAAAACACGTCACTGCCTTATAAACATGGCTTCCCACAGGCACAGCAAAAGAAGAGCACTCAGCACTCTATGTCTTTCTGACAAGAGCAAATCAGTAGTGAAATATGAAATGTTTGTGACTTCTTCTTTGGGGGGCAGTGTATCTATTCTCTTCTATTTAATTCACTTATTCACCCAACAATTAGGCTTTGTGCCCCAAATGCTTGAGCACTGGCTATGTACAGGCATACAAGGGTATTCAAGGTGGCTCTTTTCAGACATCACAGTGTGGCAGGGATACAAATCCATAAAAATAATAATAGCAAATACTTACGTAGTACTTACTACGCGCCAGACACTGTTCTGAGTGCTTTATATGCATTCATTGATTTAATTCTCATAATAGCCCCCCAAAGTAGATGCTATTATCATCCCCGATCTATAGATGATGACACTTAGGCACAAAGATGTGCCCAAGGTCACATAGTTAGTAAACGGTGGAGCTTGGGTTCTAACCAAGGTAGTGTGACTCCAGATGTGTTACCACTACTTTCTGTTGGCTCTTGTAAACAAACACAGTAGAATGAAGTGATTGCTATTAGCATAGCTTATAGTAGACGTCATGAGGAAGGAATGCATGAAAAGAGACAGCTGTCTATCATTTATAAAATCTAACTTAAAAAATAAAGATGTTAAATAGGAAAGAGCCTCAAATCTCCCTTTGTGTCACTCATCCTCCTATGTGACCACTCTGTGAGGTCACATTTTTCCTCTCGATTCCTTGAATTTCTCAGTCTACAAAATACACCCCTTTATTTCTGTTCTGTTCTCTAGAGAAACAAAGAAGTTGGAAGAAACAGACTTGCACACTGTCAGCGTGGAAAGGAGAAGAGAGCATCAGATTTCTTTGACAGAGGTAGAGGCAGGCTTCCTTCCCCTTGTGCACATCAATGCATGGTGGGCGAGGCAAGAGCGAGTGGGCTGCTGCTTCTTTGGGGTTACCTACAGATGAAATAATGACCAGCTTTGCCTTGCTTAGTAGCTGCTGGAAAGGAGGGTCAGGGCCTCCTTTGAGGGTCACTGGAGTTCAGTGATGGGGCTGCTACCTTGCATCCCCTGTGAAACTGAGATAGAAGCTTTTGGCTTAAGGGCAGTAGTTGGAAAGAGGAACCAGTGACTTGAAGCTGTGCTGCATTCTGAATAAGGACTAAAACAGGTCCAGCCTAACCACTCTCCCAACTTTTGGTGAGCCTCTGTTGTTTGTAAGGCCTATACAGGTGCCGACCGCTGAGGATGCAGAAAAGAATAAGACCCAGATCAGCTTTCTGATTCTCACAGTGATAGCTCTCACATTCTTTTGATAAATAAGAAAACATTTAAATCATGCGTGTGTATCTATGTGCAACTGGGTTGTGTTATTTTACCTTGCTAGATGCAGTGAACTCTGATCTAATCTGTTCTATTCTTTTTCATTTAAAAACATGCTGATTAAAACCATTAAATTGATATCTTGACCCACTAATGTGCAGTGAATCAAGTTGTGCAGTTAGAAAAACGCTAGCATGAAGAAAAACATTAGTCTGGAGAAAGGTACCTAATATGTATAGTTACAAAACAGTGTATGAGTGCAGCTACAAAAGTATGAACAAAATGTATAGAGCCCTGAAGAAGCCACATGGGGCCTGGACAACACTCTCCTGTATTCTTTTCATCACCCGCTGTGAGGGCACACACTCCACACCCCACGGGAATAACTGCTGGCTCTCTTTCCCAGCACATCTCTCACCAGCCTCTCAATCTGCCCTCATCCCCGCACAGTCTATAGACCCTGCTTCCGGGTGTCCCTGAGCCAACATCATCACGAAACCATCTATGAGTTCAGGAACAGGACAGAGATGGATGAGCGGCTCAGCTAGAGCCTTTCAAGTTCTAGAATTATCCCATTTGTACGGCAGCACCCTGAGCACAGGAAGGATTCCGCATTGATAACTTTATTCACCAGGCTTTGCCTTTTTGTGTCTTTCTGGCTCAGCACTGGTGGGTCTTCAGTGAGAAGTGGAGGAGGGAGCAGATTCCAGAGGAACAGAGCAGAGCAGCAAGCGACAAGAAAGAAATGAGCAATAACTGTTGGTAGCTAATACACAATGAAGATGCAATGTGTACACGCAACTCAACTCTAATGCACACATTTATTCTCCTGGGGAGCGCTGCCAATGAGTCCCAGGGCCAAGTCGCAGAGACACAGATGAGGTAGCAGCAGATGACCTCGAGGGAGTTCACTCACACTGGCTGTCTTGATGACCAGCCCAGGCATAGATTTTATTCATGAGCTGGATAGATACTGGAAAGGCAGAGCATTTGTGCTAATGAGTAACCATGAAGGAAACCAGAAAGAATAACATATGAGTATATGAATACTTAACTTCCAAGAAAATGCCTGGCAGCCTCCTGGAGCCAAGAAATGTGGTTAAGAGCTAGGCTTTGGAATAAGAGTGACCTTGGGACAAATTCTGGTGTCACTATTTCCTGTGTGCTCTTAGGAAAACGCCTGAGAACAGAGGAGAGTAAGACCCAATCCCAGCCTTCTGGAGGTTCACATCTACTGCTTAACATTTCTGGGCCTCAGTTTCCTCACTGGTAAACAGGGATAATGATAGGACCTACATTCTAAGGCTGTCATGAGGATCAATATCAGAATGAATGGTAAGAACTTGGCTGAACCGTGATACACACTGATCACAGGTTCTCTGTATAACTTTGGATAGTAAGAGGTGATGGAAAACAACACGAAGAAGGCTGGTAAATGGTTATAACCATGTTAGACTCCATCTGCATTTTGCATCCTCCTCTTCTGGAGAGCCTTAAAGCAGAGTGGTAGACATCTTCTCTTGATGGCCTCACCTCTATCTCAAAGAAGTAGCTCTTTGGGAAATTACAGTCAGTGTCTCAAAGCCCTACTGGGTGTTCCTCTTTAAGTTCATTCCAATTTTGTTCAAACCCCAACACATACGCCAGAGGTAACTCTTTGCTCTACTGTGTGGAATTGTAGGAGGGTTCAGCCACGGAGAAGGCCCATTTAGAAACCAAACAAAATGGCTCTCCTTTGGGGGCTGGAGTGGACAGGGCTTTGTTGCCAGCCCACCAGAACTCTCCCCCACCCCCTGTAGATAGATGAGATGCCCTGGCAACTGAGAACTGAGGCCTCACAGCTAAAGGCTGAGGAATGGATCCTGACAGCTGCTGGGAGAACATAAATTCCTTTTTCTTAAATCCATTACTTGGAAACCTCCCTTTGAGATCAGTCTTAAGCTGGCAGAGCATTTTGTCACGAGCCCTAACACTGGGGGTTTGAAATGGAGAGAAACACAACAGCCCAGTGCTGCCCAGGACGATTCTAAACATCTTCCTAGGTGGAACCTGCTTGAGGACAGTGGAGCAGGAAGAGATGTAGAAAACACTCTGCAGAATTTGAAAGGGTCATTAAAAAATAAACTCCAAAATAAACATGATCAACAACAACAACAAGTGACACTCTTGTTTCATCAAACAGTGACAGAAAATGCAGGTGGATATTCCTTACACAACACGACTCTGTTCTATAATATATTCCATATTCTCCTCAGGAAGGATTGTAAAGTCCATTAGTGTATTAAAGGCACTGTGATGTTGGACTGTAAAGAAACAATCAAATTTGTTATTTAAGCCAGTGTTTCTGGAACATATTTGATCAAAGATCCCTTTGGCTAAGAAACAGTTATTTCTGTGGAACATCTTTGGACAAAGAGCAGAGTTAGGGCCTCCTGTCACCTACACTGCAACTCTCCAAGGGCAGGTGGGGTGGAGCCTTCATTTGTACCCTTGGCCAGACCCCCCTGTACAGGGTCTGACTGCACCACAGACACAGCAGCCTGTCTGGGAGAGGGCATATTGGCATTTGGGCCATCCTCAGACCTTACTAACCAGGCTCTGAAAGTCCACACTTGATATTTTAGTCTCTCTTCAGGGTAAAGCCATGCCTGTGAATGAAAGAAAAGAATGCTCAAGTGGAAAAGGTTGGAAACCGTGTCTAGTCTGGAAGTTTCTGTACCAACTAGCCACCATGAAGGGCTACTCAGGATAGGGAGACACTGGCCAATTCTGGGCCTACTTATACCAACTCAGAAGTCCCTAAACACTTTGGAGAGGCTGATTACACTGCTTTATTAAAAAATATAGAAGGAAAATGCACCAACCAGGCACTGCAACAGAAGTTGCTGAAAATTGGGAACAGCAGGAAGGAGACCTGCAGGTCCGCTCCAGCAGGCTTACTGCTTGGTTTAGAGTCTGATTGTCTGGCGTCTGTCCTCTGGGTTTTGGAGTGGAACAGTTTTCCTGGAATATGCATTTATTGAACTCTGAAAGGCCAGATCTCTTAGGTAGATTAATTCATGATTTCAAAGATGCTTTGATGCTGGCAAAACATTCTGTTACTTCCAAGAGTTATTACAAGTGAAATCCTGGCATGGACTGAGAGGTCAGCCTGTAATCTTATTGAAATCTTTTTAGATTTAGAAACTCTACAGTAGGTTAAAAATAGATCACATTTGTGTACTTTTTCCTCCTTTCATCCCCACTTCAAGGGTTGTTCAGTTATTTTGACCCACCCCAGATATCAGCCAGATAAATTCTGACACTTGTCGCCTAGGAGTCTGCCAGTCCAAAAGTCATTTCCAAGTGGGTTTTGAGGTGATGCTAGCCATAGGACTGAGCAGAGCCGCTCATCATCCTACATAATCAGTTCTAGAATTAAGAGCAAAGGGCTGTCACTAAGACCGGTGTGTGCTATGTGGATTCATTTTAAGTGAAAACATAGGCTGCAAGGAGGAGAGTTTTCAATAGTGCTGTCCCAGAGAGATTGTGTCCTCCACCTTAGACCACATGTGCTGACCAGAAAAGACCACAGTGCTCAGGTCAGAAGAAGCTGTATGACGCTAACAGGTCAGGCTGCTTATAATCAAAAGATAAAGATTGCCCTTGATTTTAGAAGAGCCAAAATACCAAATGTTATCTGTATGGTGCTGGCTAGGGTTAACAGGGTGCCAGCATTTTCATGCCCAGCAAAGAGAACATTTCTACACTCAGGATTACCTCTCCATGGTTACTTTACCTTCATGAACATGCTAAATCCAGTTTTAAGGAGATCAGTGAGGCCTGAAGACATGTGTTCAATATCAACGGAATCTGGCCTCTCGGGATGAAATATTTCCTCCACAACTTGCTTCAACAATGGCTTATAAGATGCCTGGAAAGACAAAATACTATGAGTAAAGGGATTGTTTGGTTTGTCTGGAGAGAGGACAGCTTTATCTGCAATGAAGAAAGCAAAGCAAGTTTATTTTGATACTGAGCAATGCCTATATGTGTGTGTGTGTGTGTGTGTGTGTGTGTGTGTGTCACAGAAAAGACAATATAACAACATTGGGCTTTTAAATAAACTTTCACCCCAATGCTTTAGCATGCTTTTCTGCTTCTCATGCTCCCTTCTACAAGCAAATATATCTTACCAGAGCTATAATCATACTATGACTAATTTTTCTATTTAAAGTGACAATTTTATGTATACTGAGAAACAAAGTACTGTTGTTTGATACAGACATGAAGACATGAAGATGGTCTCCAGTTTTTCCTGAACATTCTTAGCATTATGCTCTCCTCTGCTAGGAACTCCAATGTTATTTACAATGTGCTGTCAATAACCAAGCTTAAAGCAATCCCTCTTCCTTCTACAGAGCTCAATTCCCAAGTATGACTTGGCCAGGAAAAGAAGCTAAGATGACATAAAGGAATCTGACAAAGGTCAGAAAGCAGACTACATGGTATCATAAGAATTTCAGTAGAATTAGGGAGATGTTAGTTTGCAACAACTTCTACAGTTTGATAAATTCTGCTAAATGCCTTCCTTTTCTGTAACCTGAATAACCCGTCCATGTTTAGGTTATATGGGGAGCCAGCCGCCTTATTGACCCTGCGCTTTCTGAGCTGTTTTTCACCACCTCTTTCCTTAGTTCTTGCTGCCAAGTTCTTCCCGTTTTCTTTTCTCGCTTGGTGGACCACCTTCCTCCCAATCCTCCAGTCAGATATGGCACGAAGTCTGGGGCATGAAGGGCAAAGGAGGAAGGAATATCTTCCCTCAATGCACTCTCTGATCTATTATAGCTTCAGTAAAGCCAGTTTCTAACAGGGCACAGTTGAGGCATATCCTGTATTAAACTCTTTCTCTCTCTGATTGGCCAAATATGTGACTTGTCTGTAGCAACTGTCAAGGATATTTAGTGTACTGACCTCATTCCTGGCTTCATCTTGCTTTTCTTCCAGTCATTTTTTTTTACTCAAATTTTCCCTTTCCAATTTTCTTGTTTTAAATAGCTTAGAAATAAAGCAAGGTATAAACCATTAAAATCATAAATAACCATTCAGCAGGAATATAGTTGGCATCTTTCCCAGGGATAAGATGCAGGGAAAACTAGCATCTTCTCACTTGGGGATACCAACCTTTTTATGCTTATTAGTCAAACAGACCATTGTTTGTCCAGAGATCTCATGGTTACATGATCAGGAAGGGCAAGGCAATGAACAGAAACACCGGTCAGACAGAAATATTTTGAAAACTATGGATCCACCTTGCTCATAAAGAAATTGCAATTAAAGCTATGCCAAGATGGAATTTTTTTTTAAATCAGACTATTGACACTCCAAAAGTTTGAAAATACACTCTTTTGATGAGGCCATGGGGTAACAGGCCCTCTTATACATTGCTGGTGGGAGGGTTAATTGTTACCATCAATGCAGAGAGCAATTCGGTAATACCTATCAATATTACAGATGCATTCAACATAGCAATCACACTCCTAGTCATTTATTCTTTGCATATGCTCATGTATGCAAATGAGATCCAAAAAGGCTGTTTATTGTTTGTAGTACCAAGATTAGAAACCACCCAAGTGCCATCAGTAGGGAGCTGTTTAATAAATGGGGTGCATCCACAGGGAGGAATGCCATGAAAGAGAATAAGAAAGCTCTGTGCTTGTGTGGCAGAAACAAGGTACAGAATAGTGTGTGAATGAAAAAAGCAAGGTGAGGATACTGTGTATGATGGGTTAGCATTTGTGTAAAAAGTGGCAGGGGGAATACGGAAGTTTAAATTGCTGAAATATGCAAAAATAAGCTCCGGTGTGAAACATAGTAACTATCAGCAGCAATGATTATGGGGTGGCGGACCAAGCAAGGGAGAAAGGTGAGAGGAAGACTTTTCATTGTATTGTTTATTTATTTATTTATTTACAGCACAGTTTAAAGCACCACTACAAACGGCAAGAATGATCTCAATTGTTAAAAATTAATAAATTATTTATGCATGAAAAAGAGATTGGGGTAAAGCACACCAAAATGTTATTTAGGGTTATCTCTAGGTTCAGGAAGTAGGAGACATTTATTTTATTTTTCCAGATTTTCCAAAATTAAGAGGTCTACTTCCAGAATCGTAAGATAATTTAATAAATATTATTTTAAATGTAAAAAAAGGGCCATGGAATCTGAATCCTGCAAATCCTGCAAATACTCTTCCCTGAGTAAACTGTTCTGAATGCTCTTCTATCACCTTAGCCTTTCTGGACATTGACTCGCTTAAACTTCAATCTCTTTAAAGCTCCTCCACAAGAAGTCCTTTGGCCAATAATCTGATACCTTATCGGCACTATCATCAAATAATAATTGACCTCTTCCTTGGTAATAGACTTCAATCTTCAGCCATGCACATTACCAGCTGGCTAAAAGACTACATTCTCCAGCCTTCCTTGCAGCTGACTATAGCCATGTAATTAAGGTTTGGGCAATGAGATGTAAATAGAGTAATGTGAGAATTTCAGAAGTCTCCTTTTTAAAATGGAAGGATATGCTTTTCTCTTTTCCTCTTCTCTGCTGGCTGGAATGTAGAAGTGAAGCCTGGAGCTCCAGCAGCCATCTTGGAAGACAGGACATTCCTTAGAGATGGTGAAGCAGAGAGCTGGAGAAACCTTGGTAAGTGATGACTTATAGAGCCACTATCACCATAACATGGACAGGCTAAATTAGTACCTACTTTACATGTCACTATAAAACCTTGTATGTTTAAGCCACTGTTTTTCAGATCTCTGTTACTTGTAACTGAATGAAATTCTGATAGAAAGCATGAAGGGAACATAAAGATATAAAAGGACATTTCCTCCTTCCAGAAGCTTACAGTTATTTATTTTATTAGTCTATTAAAACTCATTAGCAGAATCACAGAGAAATACACATAGGCTGTCATATTTAAGAGAGAAGAAAATATACCCCTGATATGGTTTGGCTGTGTCCCTACCCAAATCTCATCTTGAATTGTAGCTCCCATAATCCCCACATGCAGCAGGAGGGACCTGGTGGGAGGTAGTTTAGTCATGGGGGCGGTTACACTCATGCTGTTCTCATGACAGTGGGAGAGTTCTTATGAGATCCGATGGTTTTACAAGCAGCTTTTCCCCCTTTTGCTCAGCACTTATCCCTGATGCTGCTGTGAAGAAGAGCACGTTTGCTTCCCCTTCTGCCATGATTGTAAGTTTCCTGAGGCCTCCCAAGCCCTGTGGAACTGTGAGTCAATTAAACCTCTTTTCTTTATAAATTACTCAGTCTCGGGAATGTCTTTATTAGCAGCATGAGAACGGACTAATGCAACCCCTTAACCCATAAAAAAAAAAAATAGATTGTCATTCTCCATAAGATGTCCTGTACAAAAAGGAAGAGTAGTGATTCTGAAAAAGAGATCATACACAGCACAAAGGTGGCTCTGTAATTAAGCAAAAACACTATATTCTGTACCTCCTCTGTGCAAGGCACAGTGTATCTGGGGTGATAGGATTTGTTCTCAGGGGTCCTGTGACCCAGTGTAGACTGGGAGACAGGGGAAAGCAGGAGTTATGGAGGGATTGGGGTAAGTAGGGACACTAGGATCACTCTCACTCTTTCCCTTGCTCCACTTTTGACTAAATTTTGGGGAATGAAACATCCAGGAGAAAATGCTCACTGAGCTGGGTTCTCCTTGGGGGTAGTGAGCAGAGATTTTAGAAGTGCTGTTTTCTCAACCTCTTCATTCTTGAGACTTTGTGATTGTTCTGTGCTACACTGGGAATGTTGGAAATCTTTTTTGTTTTTTATTTTTTTAAGGTATGTAGGTGCACATTTATATAGCAGGAGAAAAGAAACTATGATTTAAAATACAGAAAAGTAACAGCAAACACATCACATAATCCAGGAAAAGAACATAAATGCTTTTATTAATTGCCTGACCTACCTCTTTGATATTCATTTCTTACATTTTTTGGTTGCATTCTCTCTGATTATCTTTTCATATAACAACAATTTTGAAATAACATTTTCTATGAAAATGTGATAGTTATCAAGCTATTGTCTCTCAATTCCAAACCCTCTCTTCTAGACTCAGTTCTGTGATGCTGGGCTGAGACTCTGAAAACCACTTCTGTGCTTTGCCAGCTAGGTCTGTTAGACTCTGCCGATAGGGGGCACTCGAGGGAGACCAGAAGGCAGGAAGAACAGGCAGGAACTTGCTTCTCCTGTTTATTTGCAATTCCTGCCACCATCACCCTGGCGATGGCCTCTCACCACTTGAAGCTGCCCCTCCTCTAGACTTTTAAGTCATAGGATTTAATAAATTACCTTTCTTTTTTTTTCAAGCTCAAAGTGGCATTTTATTTAGTAAACAATCAGTATGCATAATGCTATAATAGTAACAGAAGCTGAGTAAGTCTACAAACAAAACAAAACATGACAAATCTTGAACACTGACAAAAACAGGTACAGATATTAACAGAAAAGATGAGATAATGAACATTATAAAAATTTATTCTAAAATACATTTATTCCACTAAAACAATGCAGTAGAGGATGAGAGGGACACTCTGGTTTAATATTTTATCTAAAAGCATTAAGATTTTTAAAAAAGACATAAAATGGGAAAAAAGGAGAGGGGCAAGAATCAGGGGCTAGAAAGGCAGAAAAAAATTACCTTTCTTGTTTAAGCTTTTTAGAACTTTTTTCTTTATCTATTTTTAATTGTAACCAAAAGCATAGTAAACGATGTAAATATTAATTCATAGAGAAGTTGATAGGTTTTCCTACTTGAATGGGAATATGGGGAAAAAAAAAACCCTCTAAATTTTCTACTGAAAGAACTAAGTACAGAACAACTGGATTACATTGTGTATTCAGAGAGCACAATTTGGTAAAGACTTTCTCAGGCACGAAACAGTACTTGTGCCTTCTTAATAAAAAAAATTTCCAGTTAAGTTTTAATGAGGAGAACCTTTGGTTTCTGTCTCTCAGCCTCTTAGTTTGGACCATTTTGTGCCCTAAATCATGTCACTGAAATCTGGTTAGAATGAACTGCTTGGCAATGACTTCTTAGATGGGAACCCTCTGACTTGCATGAAATTTTCTACTCAGCCAGGAATGACTCACTTCTCAGCAAAGGACCCTGTAGAAGGTGGTGATAGTGGAGACAGATGTGATTTCTCTGGTGCCCTACTCAAAGATTCTCTCGCATGCTAGGAAGGGCCAGAGGAGAGATTAGCCATATAGTTTGTCTCCATATTAAGAGGGTAAACCATAGTAATTTAGTTTTCCTAATCAAACACTCTCTGCCAGTTCACCTTTTTGGGAGATTGGGAGAGGAATTAAAAACTCAGAAAAATTTGTTCTTTCCTTTTCTTGCTGGTCATTTATTTATTCCTTATATCTCTGGATATCCAATGTGGGCTGGCAATAGGAGATCTGTGCCCTGCCCAATCATTCAGGGACCCAGGTTCCTGCTACACCAGGGATCCCCAACCCCAGGCCATGGACCGCTACTGGTTCGTGGCCTGTTAGGAACCGGGCCACACAGCAGGAGGTGAGCAGTGAGTGAATGAGTGAAGCTTCATCAGTATTTACAGTTGCTTCCCACCACTTGCATTACCGCCTGAGTTCCGCCTCCTGTCAGATCAGTGATGGCTTTAGATTCTCCTAGGATCACAAACCCTATTGTGAACTGCGCATGTGAGGGTTCTAGGTTGCATGCTCCTTATGAAAATCTAATGTCTGATGGCCTGTCACTGTCTCTGTCTCCCATCACCCGTAGACAGGACTGTCTAGTTTCAGGAAAACAAGCTTACCTCTCCCACTGATTCCATATTATGGTGAGTTATATAATTATTTCATTATATATCACAATGTAATAATAGAAATTAAAGTGCACAATAAATGCAATGTGCTTGAATCATCCTGAAACCACACCGCCCCACCCTGCACCGCCTGGTGCCTTCCACAAAAGAGGTCCCTGGTGACAAAAAGGTGGGCACCACTGTGCTACACCATTCCCTAGAGCATTAGAATCCTACACTGAAGACTTTACCTCTCATCAGCAGATGATGAATGAGAGAGAGAGTATGAAGGATTTCCAGAGACTTTATGGGTCCAGCCCTAAAGTGATATGTATCACTTCCACCGCAGTTCATTGGCCATAACTAGTCACAATTCTACAAAGGAACCTGGAAAAAGGAGTCTAACTGTTTGCTACAGAAGAAAAGGCAATGGAGTTTTGGGAATACACAGGATGGTCTCTGCCATAGACACACTGTTAAGTTTTGATTGGAACATTAATGTAAATATTTCCTTAACAACTGGCAAGCTGCAGGTTGTAGGTAAAAGATTATTAAACCCTTTTCCCTTCTGCATAAGAATTTAACCTTTGGTTAACTTTTTATCTCTGTTTCCCTGGAAACCTGATAAAGGAAGAATGTCAAACTATGCAGCCAGGCAAGATTGCTTATGACAAAAATGACCGCTGGTTGGTAAACTGCATTAAACTGAAAGAACTATAAAAATTTGATAGAAAGCCAGAGCTTTGGGCTTCTCTGAGTATAATGATTCTTGAATAATAACTGGACTTGTCCCTTGGAGGAGTGCTGGAAGCTATGTCTGTGGAGTTCTTACAGAGGAATTAGCTCCTACAGGATATGAGGTTTTTAAGCCAGGGGACTGGTGTATTCATCCCATGTGAATCTAGCTCTCTCACTCCTGAGCTGTCACCTTGAAACCAGTCCAAGTAGCTCCTCAGTAGCTGCGTGGACTGCTTCAAGCTTCATGGATGGTCATAGGGACTACTCCAAGGAAGAAAAATGCCTTATGCTCCCCTGATGGGGAGCTACTTTCCTGTCTCGGGCACACTTGTGTCAAGTGGGAGCCATGACCACAGAGCTGACTTATTTGTTAGATACAAACATACAGTGCCTTGGGCCCACATTCCTTTTGAGGGCCCATGAAAATACATTTTTTTAAATCAGAAGAAAAAATACTTTAAGGTGAAAGTGATGTTTTCATATGTAATATTGATATATTTATTTTTACACCAGTGCAATTGTACCATATGCTTTTTACTATTTTTTATTTTTACAAAAAAAGGGGCCCATGAAGGTCATATCGTGGCCCTGTATGAGAGCCTCATGAGGCTGGCCTGATAGCTTGGTAGAGCTTAAAGAGACCCCTTGATGGCTGATACACATGGAATAGCTGAAGTTTCAAGAAATGAATCCTTAAAAAAATACCACATTTAAGTAAAATATGATAACTAAAATACTGTGTCAATGTCTCTGGTTATTCTTTTGGGGTGAACATACTGTGTGGTGGGTCTGGAAGATTCTTTTGTTGACTTGAATGTTAGCTCTTCAGGAAAAGCAGTGAGTATAGCAGCAGTTCCTGACATAATATATAGTAAGTCAGATACAATCTTGAGAAACCAGTGTAACTACAACATCTTGAATTTGGTGCACCTTAAAAATGACTTAGGATAGCAGTTTCCAAGAAAACCCAGTTGTGGCCACAGTCACATCTCCATCAGCTGGGGCTGCTGACCTTGTTTTTGCTGTTACTGTTGGCATAGCTGGGGGCTCAGTTCTGATAGTGAAGATGTCTGCTTCTCCCTTTTCTGCAAAATTGACTCTGAACAACCAGCCTCTCAGAAAAACCAGGCTTACTGGGAGGGTATTCATTTTGTTTCAACCCAAGACAGCACAGAAAAACATCTGTTCAAAATTGCTCATGGCTTTGACTAATCCATGGCTCATTTATTTTTATTTTTTGCTATAAGATGACTGTTTTTTCTCCTTTCATCTTCTTAAAGGAAACAATTTATTTGTAGATTTAAAAATGGTTCATTTGTCTGTCTGTTCATCCATCCATCCATCCATCCACCCACCCAGGCTTCAATCCAGAAGCAGATTAGTTTTTAAAAATTTGAGTATAGCCCCTTCAATTCAATATGAGGAAGGTGAAGCCCAAACACATTAACATGTTTGCTTGAGTTCACACAGCCAATTAGAAGTAGACTCAGGACAGAGCCAAGTTTCCTGGCCCTCAATTTAGTCCTACCCCATGCTGATTCCTTCAGAAAAGATGCTAGCAGTTCTGTTAGAAAGAATCAGGAGGAGCAATAGAACTTAGCACTTGGAAAAGAACAACTGGAGGCCAGGGCTGGGCACTGTTGACAAAAGAGGCCAGGCCTAAAGCCTGTTCAGAGAGCCACATTTCACTGGGCACAAGATGAATCAAGCCTCCTCAGGCACTGCTGGTTCAAAATGCTCTTGTTCAACATGCCAGAGGCACAAAGTACAGTATGTGTCTGTGGAAGGTTTTTTGCAGCTCAGCCCTGCTCTTCAAGATGCATGCCAAGGCAAGCCATGCGAGAGCCATACAGTATTTTGTCTGAAAGCCCCGTATAAGCTCCCTGCCCTGAGACATCTGCCTAATATCCTCCTGGTGTCACAGTTGAGGAATGGCATCACATCAGACACTGTGGCATTTAGTGGGGAGATTAAGCTTCTCACTAAACTGAGCATTTGCAGTAAGAAACGGAAGGGTAAGAAGACTTTCTGCGGCCGGGCGCAGTAGCTCATGCCTGTAATCCCAGCATTTTGGGAGGCCGAGGTGGGCAGATCACCTGAGGTCAGGAGTTCAAGACCAGCCTCGCCAACATGGCGAAACCCTGTCTCTACTAAAAATACAAAAACAATGTAGCTGGGCATGATGGCGCGCGCCTGTAGTCCCAGCTATTTGGGAGGCTGAGGCATGAGAATCGCTTGAACCTGGGAGGCAGAGGTTGCAGTGAGCCGAGATTGCGCCACTGCACTCCAGCTTCTGCGACAGAGTGAGACTCTGTCTCAAAAACAAAACAAAACAAAACAGAAAAAACACTTTCTGCACAGGCACAGTTGGGGGCTTAGGTTTCCAGTCAACAGAAGCGAGCAACAAACACAACCTTTTAAAACAAATGGGTGTCAGCAATCAACCTTCTGCCATACACAGCTAACAGGACACTCAGCTTTTGAAAGACACCCTTTCTGTGTAGCCCATGTCCTAACAAAGGAAAAGATAAAATGTTGCAAAAGAAGACAAAGGAAGGCCTCTTTTGTTCTTTACTGTTACAATGGCTGTGACAGCAAATGCTTACATAGTGCTGTCTAGGTGTCAGATACTATTCTAAGAAGTTTTTTGTTTTTTGTTTTTGAGAAGGGGTATCACTCTTGCCCAGGCTAGAGTACAGTAGCAAAATAATAGCTCACTGCAGCCTAGAACTCCTGGGTTTAAGTGACCCTGTTGTCTTAGCCTCCCTAGTAGCTGGGATTACAGGTGCCTGCCACCACACCCACCTAATTTTTTTAAATTTAAGAATTTTTTTAGAGATGGAGTCTTGCTGTGTTTCCCAGGCTGGTCTTGAACTCCTAGCCTTAAGTTATTCTTTCACCTCAGCCTCCCCAGTAGCTGGGATTACAGGTGTGAACCACTGCACTCAGCATGTTCTAAGAGTTTTATACGTATTAATTCACCAAATCATTAGAGCATTTTTATGAGAGAGCAACTATTATTAGCTCCTTCTTACAGAGTAGGAACCAGGCACAGAGACGTGAAGTTGCTTGCCCAAGGTCACACAGTTAGTAGAGGGGACAGTTGGGCTATGAACCCCGATGCTATGGCTTGAAAATCTGTTCTGTTATCCTCTGTGCTAAGTTCTCTCTCACTAAGAATTAAAAATGTAAGAAATGCCATTCTAGATAACATGCACAGTCTAGGATCCATCTAGCCATCCATCTACCCACCCACTAGGTGGCAAACACTGAGTTAGCCCATGCAGATACCATGGTGATCAAAGACAGGTGCTGTCTCCAGCCTTGGTGAGATGTTCTTTAAGTCAAGAGCTTCTGTGGTTGCCTCTTGATCCCCATTGCCCCCACTCTCCAGGCTGTGAAAAGGTCCTGGCTGCCCTGGAGGGCCAGGCCTGTGGTAATGTTCTGGGATTTATTTCTGGAGGTCTAGTCCAGATCCCACTCCTCTGACCCCTCTAGAGATTTTATATGCTCGATGTAACGCAGTTGGGACACCTTCTCCTTAAAGTGACTAGATGGTGTCTACTTTCTGCATCTGAATTGTGATTGACACCTTTTCCTAACGGGTTAATGGGTAAAGATTAAAATAAGAGGTGCCTCTAGTCCTAGCAAGGGAAGCAGGAGTGGCTCTGAGACTTAGTGCATGCGCATCACAGCAGGACGGAGGACCACTGGGAGGGAAGGTGGGGCCAGTGGGGGCCCAAGGCCTAGATCCTAATATGCAGCATAGGTCAGACCGGGAACAGGAACCCAGGGCCAGGCCAGCTAGCACTCTCCCACGTGACCAGGGAGCCCAGGACATCTCAATCAGATTCTGTCTGGAGACAGCATGGAGCTGGGTAGAAAGCATAGATTTCTTCTGGAGTCACAGGGCTGAGGACCAAATTGGTAGATGAGATGAACAGAATATTGTTTAGCCAAGGACTATTTTTCTAAACCAGACACGCAGCTGGACTCTGAGTCTAGTCTGGACACTTGTACTTTCCTATGCATGCATATTTTGTGTCCAAATAAATCTCCTGATCTGTAATAAATATATATGTATTGTACTTAAGATGTACCTAACAAATATTTACTAAGCATCCACTATGTGACAGATGCCACTCTAGGTACTGGGGATACGGCAGTGAACAAAACCCATAAAAATCCCTGTTGTCACAAGGCTTACATCTGTAATTTAAAAATATTTTAAATTTGAAAAACACTGAAAAACCCAGAGGTAAAAATTACCCATAATCCCATTAAAAAGTGTCACATGTATAGAATATGTAAAAATAAAGCAAGAAATCAGTGTTTCTCCTTATCCATCCAATCCTACCCATCCACCATAAGGTAACCATTATAAATTTTTCCTAAATTTTAAAGACATTAAGTATACATACCTATGAAATATTTATTTTATTCTATTTTTACAAAAATAGAATAATGCTTTACAGAATGACCTACATGTCCCCTCACTGCCACCCAATTGATCATGGACCTCTGTTTCAGTTGAGCTCCCCAAGAAGCGGACCTTGGGCCAAGGATTCAAACACACACCCTGCTCAGCATATCTAGGTCTATTCCATTCATTGTAATGGTTGCACAGCATTTCACCATGTGTCTGTATCATTATTTATTTAATCCCCCCAATGTACACACATTACCCTACCTCCACTCCACTTCCCACTCACTGACACTTAGGATTGTTGGGAGTGTGCTGATGTTATTGACTATTGTAAGGGGGGACATATGCGACAAAGGGAAACTCCATTTTCCAAAGGCCATGGCTGCAAGACAGGGTTCTGAGGGCTGGAGAAATGACAGTGTTGGCAGCAGGGAGATAAGGTCTAAGAAACTTATTGTCCTTATCACGTGCAAGATATATAGCTAATACATGTTTACGTGAAGTTGGCCAAATCAGTCACCCGGATGACATAAAATGGGAAAGACCTCATTCATTTAGTGGTTTATTTTCTCTTTGCCAACTACACCAGCCACTTGCTTCTTGACATTTTTGGTCTCAATGTCATCATATATCACTAGTTCTAGCATGTCTTTTGGAACTAGTCCACATTATAGTATTTAAGATTGCTGATTTTTTAAAATGACAAAACTACGTATGAATACCTGAGTGATTTTATCTGTATTTTGTCGCCGTGGCATTCTCAGATCTTTGAGTAAAGGATGAAAATCTTTATGTTTCTAAGAAGAGTGACAGTTTCTAAGGTCTTCAGTATCTTGGTAGGTGATTTCAGATGATCATCAGCACCACCAATCAACACTTCTAGAATCTCTATGAGAACCATATTATAGTCAGGGAGGAGGTTTTGGGCTGGCAGCAAAGATCTGGCATCTGCCCCTGGCCATCTGCATGCCTGTGGCACGTCACTTGGCCTTCCCGGATCTTGGAATAATAATGCCTCCCTGGCATAACTTGTGGCAATCAAAGGAAAAATCCAATGTAGAAGTGCTCTTCAGGTATCAGCTCCCAAACAAATACAGGATACTGGAGGAAGAATCTGGATTGTGCTAGCTGCAGTGGGTAACATTAGCTCAAGTCTCCCTTAAAGAGTCAGCACCCTGAAGCTGAACTCCTCCCCACTAACAGCACATTCAGCTCTCCAAAAAGCCTTAACAAATAGAGTTTATTTTACTAAAGGTTTTATGGAGAAATAAATAAGATTCCCCACAGTTAAACTTAGTCATCTTTTCCAACAGAAACATTTGTTCTTCCCTGAGAGCTCATCTTTGGCCACCAGGAACCTTAGTTCTGTCTCCTACCTTGTCCAACAAAGACTCCCCAGCCTCAGTGGCTCTAACCTTTCTTTATTCCTTAAGCTTCCCTTTGGGTCTTTCTATGTACTTTCCCCCTCTGAGTTTTTACACAGCAATTATACCTTAATCTTGATACCATCTCTTTACTCAATGGTCAAAAAACATTCTTCTTAGGTCCTCCTGCCCTCCTTTGAAAGCAGTGGAGGAATTTTAAATAACACATATTTTCATCACAAACTTTTTCCCTTGTCGTAACATTATCAGGTGTTTTCATTATTCTGCTCATTCAAAATGTTTACGGACTGGTTAGATCCAGAAACTTGGGAATCCTCTAAGGCCAGCCCCTCATTTGGTACCTGTAGTCATTGGCTCCCAGAGGAGAGAAGGGACTTGCAGAAGGCTATAGAATCAGTCTGCGACAAACCCACAGTTAGAAAGCCATGGCTGACTCCCAACTCAGTGCTCATCCCACCATATCAAGCCTGGGGCATAAATGAATTGAGAGGCTTTCAGATTCCGTGGGACCCAAAACTCTGAACTAAAAGAGAACTTGGAGATCATCTAGAACAAACCTTTGGTTTTAGGAAGGTTAAAAGGGAACCTTTTCTTCTATAGACTCTGAATCCTAGAAGTACAACAGATTAGAAGGTTACTTTAAAACGTATATACTTGCCTGGTGGGTATGATTTCCAGGAACATATACAGACTTAAACTGTTTCAGGAGACTCCGAGCTCCAGCAATATCCCGAAGTGAAGTAAAGAGTTCATCCACGGCAATTTTGGATTTGTGAAATGTCAGATTAATTGAAGAGTCCCAGTCTGAAAAAATCCAGAGATATTTTCTTGAGTGAGTAAATCTTTAAGTTTTCATCATGACAGCTTGAGCTCGATGTAATGTAGTTGGGAGGTTTTTTTTTTTCTTTATTATTATTATTATTATTGTTATTTTTTACCCTGTTTTCCTCTGGCTGTTTACCAACTGGGCTGTTTCAATCGTCCATGAGCAATGAAGCAAATTGAGTATAAATGCCTTTGACAGAAGTGGAACTCAAAATTGCCTGGGATTTCAGCCACTGGCTTCCATCCCTAGACTGCAGACATTTCACAGAAAGCAAGCTCCTAGGGCCCATAATCCTCGGAACACGACTTTGGGAAAATATGAGGAGACACAAAGGAAAATACGAGAGACTGTTATGATCAAACTCACTTGCTTGAATCCCACCAATAGTTTCCATAAAGCAGGACAGCAAGAATGAGAAAGATCCTGTCTAATGCACTAACAAAGCACGTGGCACATTTCAGAGGGCTGCCATTCAAAGCTGATCAAACACAGGGGGACTTAACAAGAAGACGGTTTTCTGCAACCTTCTGTTTCTTTTTCAAACTCAGAAGAACGTATTCTCTGTTTTGTTAGAAGCTCATTCAGAGGAGACATGATCATGGATAAGTTAAAAAAAAATAGGAAAAGATTAAAAATATGTCTTCTTACCTCTCCCAAATACATCAGCTACATTAACTCATTAATCGTCACATCATCCGTATGAGGCAGGAACTATTGTCTCCACCATTTTAAGTATAAGGGGACTGAGGTGCAGGTTAAGTAACACCCCTGTGTCAAGGATTGCCAAGGCCCTGCCCATACCCACTCGGTCACCCTGGGTGTCCCCTGCGAGAGTGGTAAAGTTTCTGTGTATTCCGACTGCTTCCTACCTCAGTACCTGCATGTCAGGCAGTTAGTCTGTCTGTCTGTCTCTCTCTGCCTCTGCCTCTTCTTGTCTAAGGGCTTTCTCTGATGTAGAAGCATGTTTGGCTTGTGTATGGGGCAGGCTGGGAGTGCTGGGGAGTCAACACTCATAGAAATAATCCCATTTTCTCTTCCCGTGGAGGAATAATTCTGAGTTGTGGTCTGCACAGCCTTTCTGAGGGGCCCCAGAAGGATGAAGCACCCACTGCCCACAACATCAACTCACCCATTAATACCCCCATTAGTGGCTTTCCTTCCTCCCCCGTCTCACCTCCCTACCTCCTGACTGTGCTTTGGGATATCTTTCCAAATTCAGTATTCGCACCCACATCCTTGTCTCAAGATAGTAGTGATTTGAAGACAGGTCTGGCTTTATGTTTTTAGTAACGGCTTTGTTGAGATATAATTCATATACTATATGGTTACCCATTTAAAGTATAAAATTCAAAGTTTTTAGCATATTCTGAGTTTAACAACCATCATCACCACCACAATTTTATAACACTGTGTCACCCCAACAAGAAATCCCATACCTGTTAGCAGTCACCCCCGATTTCTGCCCCCTCCAGCCCCTGGCAATCCCTAATGTGCTTTGTCTCTGTGGATTTACCTATTCTGGACATTTCATACAAACAGAATGACAGAATATGTAGTCTTTTGTGACTGGCTTCTTTCACTTATTGTAATGTTTTCAGGGTTCATCCAAGTTGTAGCATTAATACTTCATTTCTTATTGCTTACTAATATTTCATTGTATATAGAATATTCATGTATATGAAATGTGGAAATAGTATATTTTATATATCGACTTATCGGTTAATGGACATTTGGGTTGTTTTTGCCTTTTGGTTATCATGAGTAATGCTGCTAGTTTTACATGTACATGTTTTTGTGTGGACATACATTTTCATTTCTCTTAGGTATATACCTACGACTAGAACAGCTGGTCATATGGTAACTTTGTGTTTAACCTTTTGAGGAAGTGCTAAGCTGTTTTCCAAACTGATTGCACTATTTTACATTCCCACCAACAGTGTAAGAGGGTTTCAATTTCTCTACATCCTAACCAATGCTTATTATTAGCTATCTTC
The DNA here is from genome assembly GCF_000001405.40 of Homo sapiens. Taxonomy (NCBI): domain Eukaryota; kingdom Metazoa; phylum Chordata; class Mammalia; order Primates; family Hominidae; genus Homo; species Homo sapiens. The sequence continues at coordinate 52,922,887 of NC_000004.12, forward strand.
TTAATTATAGCTATCCTAGTAGATGTAAAGTGAGGATACACGTGTTGAAAAGAAATAGTTTTTAGGGAGTAGAGGTAGATTCAAACAAGCTTAAACTAAAATGGAATGAATCTAACATACCCAGAAGCATCCAAAAGAATCCAGCTGCATCAGACACAGCGAGGTGGCATGTGAGAAGCTCAGCTTGTATTCTCAGTCACTGTGTGACATTGTGTGTAATAACTCTTAAAGGATGGGCAAAAGCCTCTGATTAGTCTTCATCTCCTGGTTTCCAGAAATGTCCAACCCATTGCCATGAAAAAAAATCAGGCTGGACATGGTGGCTCACACCTGTAATCCCAGCACTTTGGAAGGCAGGGGCAGGTGGATCACTTGAGGTCAGGAGTTCGAGACCAGCCTGGCCAACATGGTGAAACCCTGTCTCTACAAAAAATGCTAAAATTAGCTGGGCATGGTGGCAGGCCGCGTATAATCCGAGCTACTTGGGAGGCTGAGGAATGAGAATTGCTTGAGCCCGGGAGTTGGAGGTTGCAGTGAGCTGAGATCGTGCCACAGCACTCCAGCATGGGTGACACAGTGAGACTGCATCTCAAATAAATAAATAAATAAATAAATAAATAAATAAATAAATGTGTGGTCAAGCTCAGTGAGAAAATGCCTCCTCACAACAGTGGACCCTACACACATGGGATTCATAGACTGCAGGGGATTGGGGGGTAGGGGAAGAATGAAGGGATTCAGGAAGTTCGTGGGAACTTCCTGGAATTCTATGCCAAGCTTTGAGGAAAGAAGAAAATGTGTAGTTTTATGGGGAGCATGTCTATAATTCCCTCTTGATTCTAAAAGAGTTCATAACCAAGGCAAGTTTAGAGCCACAGGTACAGAGCATGGATTGGTATCACAGCGTGTTTGCTGTTGGCATCACACTTCAGTTGAAATACACTGGCTTGTGCTTTAGACAATCACCAGCCAGAAGAAACCCTGGGAGGTTATGGCTTCTCACTCAACATGTGGCTTCTTTCCTTCAACCCCTAGGCTCAGCCATTTAAGATGTGAGAAACTGAATCAATTATATCTAGGAGTTGAGTACTATGTACTACTTTTTCAAATTTAAAAAGGCACAAAAACAAGGAGAAAAAAAGTTACTAGTTCTAATATCATGCAAAGTCTTTCAGTTCCTCTAAAAGTCAATCCAGCTAAATAGACTAATTTTTTTATTTAAAGTAATTCGTTTTCTATAGAACAGAAAGAGTCATCCATTTTCCATATGGTCTCTTGCAATTTTTTGGAATATGAGAAGTATGATATTCATTCATTAGGCTGGGTGGAATAGAATCATCTACTAGATTATACAGTATTTACTTAAAATCCTAGATTATACATGAAAGTTATGGATTATACATTGACATTAATTAATCATAGGCTGTGTAATTGCAGGGATTTAGTTCTACTGTGGAGCAGGTTGTCTGATATTAAGTGTTTACAGGTTACTACTGGTAAATTGAACTCAAATGAACCCAACAGAAAAATAAGACTGTTAAAGAAACTGCTGGACGGAAAATGCAAAGTCCTAAATTCACAAATATAGTCAATCTTGCTGAAAAATAGTCGATTATGTCTATTTTTCAAGCCAACTGTACATGGGCAATTTCTATCCAAACCATTAACCCTCTCCAATTTGTCTGTCATCCTCAAAGTTCTATGATATATACGTTTTAGGGATACTGGGCCAAAGGTGATTCATTTTTATCAGTCTTTAAGCATTTTTCATAATCACATCAATCCTCACCAAAAGAAGGATTTACATTTATTTTCCCAAACCCTATAATGAAAGTTACACACACACACACCCTTTAGAAATATGGATCAGTCAGGATAAATGACGTATGCAAGATCACATCACTATTCCCAGCAGAGCCAGGGTTCAAATATCCCCGATTGCAGACCTGAACTTCTCCATGTATGCTGCCTCCCACAATTCCACATCTCATCTGTGAATGCAGCTCATTCCAAATATATGCTGAATTGATAGATAAGATGGAATATGGATACAAAAGCTGTTAAATGGGGTGAATTATTTTCCGTGATAATAGTAGTATATAAGCGCCAGTTGCTCACACTATGCTAGAAACTATTCTAAGAAGTTTATACATAATAGCTCATTTAATCTCCACAGACACCTAATGTGCTAGGTACTATTATCATTCTCATTTTGCAGATGGAGAAACTGAGCCACAGAGAAGTTAAGTAACACAAACTCACTCAATCAGTACATGGTAAAGCTAAGATTCAAACCCTTACAGTCTAACTCCAAAGTTGGTCCTGTTAAACACTACATTCTGCTGTCTTTCATATCTGCTAAGGCCACATGTGTATATATATATATATGTATGCTATATGTGCTATTTTATATATATATGTACTATATGTGCTATTTCATATCTGCTAAAGCCATATATATATATATACATATATATATATATATACATGATCAACAAAACACTTAATTCACATTTAAACCAAAGAGATGCTAAAATGGAGGGAGTTGCAAGTAGCTTTCTTTTTGGGAAGACCTGGGCCTGTCTCTAGGTTAGATGCTAACAGTGTGGTTTGTAGCTAGACCTTAGATCCTTCTTTTTTGGCCATACAAGGTGTGAGGCATCCCGGGCCTGGTTGCACAGCCTCCTTTGAATCTCTGCTCTGTAAGGTGCTGTATTCAGTTACTTCTAATAAGCCCCTGACAGGCTGTTCCATTAAGCCAGCTTATGAGATAACGGCCTTTTGTAAGGAAAGTTTAAGTGTCCAATTCCAGTCAATTCTCATTTAATCCACTTAGTTAAACAGATAATAAACCAGAAGCTGATTGTAACCTTTAGCCAAGCACAGTCTGTGTACTTCAGTTGCCCACTTCTTGATAGGGGAGGCCCTCAAACCCCTAGGGTGCCCTATGTTCTTCCATAACCGGGGGATGACTCATGCCTCTGTAATTTCTTTCTCTAGAGGGCTTGAGGACCTCCTGGGCAGGGGTCTAGTTACCCCTCAGATCAACAAAATAGGGCTCCTGTGTCAGCACCTACACTTCCTCTATTCCCCCCTCACTCTTCTCCATTTACTGAAGCCCCTTTCCTTCAGCAGAGTGAGAGGAATGGTTTCCATGGCTCTGTACACCGCAGGGAGCACAGTGTGGGTCCATTTCCAGCCCCAACATAATTAAAATGCAGAGAAAACAGAACAGCTTAATGATCCTTCTGGGATGGCTGAAATGAAGCTCTACTCCTTACTCCAGTCTACCTAGTTCTCTTCTGTTTGGTTCTCTCAGGAAACAGTCTTGAAGCTTGCTGGTGCTTGGGCCACCTTTTCATAAGAACCTGGTTTCCATAAGTTTGGGTTCATTACTTAGGTATTTAGGAAAATAAAACATCTTTCATCAGAAGGGTGCTTCAGTCTGGATTCGAGCTGAAGTAGCCCTTACCTGAGGCCTTCAAACACACAAATACACACACAGACACACACACGCACGCGTGCGCACCTGTACACATATGCATTTATGCAGGTCAAGCAAAAATCATGCACGTGTGGCTTGATAAGCTGGGAGTAGGAGGGCGTAGCTAGAGTAGGATTTGAAAAGTCTCCCTATTTACTGATATCATTATCTGCACAGTTCTAAAGGCCACTCAGGCCCCTCACATCTGTTTGGGAAAAGCTAGGGTCAAAAAATATACTTTAACCCTGGTCAAGAGGCTATTTTCTCATCTGGTCTAAGACTGGTCTCATTTTTCTACTGGCCTGAGTTTGAGAACCTCAGGCCCACTTTCTAGTTTGCACTCCTGCCTGCCTGCCTATCAGCAAGCCCCAACGCAGCAGGGGCCACCTCCATGGGCTCCTGGGGCAGTTAGAGAAAGGGTTGGCTTGGGGGTGTGACACAGCCAGAGAGGGCAGAGCACTGGGGGTCATGACCTCCCCCATCCATCCAGCAGTCTGACAACGCCTTTTCTCTCTTTTCAAATGATTGTTTTTAAAATGGAGTCTTTTCTCATGGCTTTCAATAAATATTTGGCAAATGAAAACAAAACTAAATGAAGTAAAAATCAAATAAACCTTAGCAAGTGGCATGATATCTGAAATTTTCTAGTGACGCTGACTGTATAAAACCCCTCTTGAGTAGGACAGTCCCGGGAAGTGCATAAGGCAAATAAACAACAATAGAAGCCCTCTTTCCAAATAAGCTTGGACTGATGTGTGATTGGAAAAGTCATTAAAAGAGGAGGATCATGGAAAATCAATCTCTCTCTTACAAACATTTCTAAATTATTCTATCCACACCTCCATATGTATAAGTACATATTCATATATGTAATCTTTAAATTAAAATATAAATGTGTTTTCATTCACTAATCCTTTGATGACAGACTAAGGTAATTTTTTTTTTTTTAGTATTGTCTGCTGATTAGAGTTCTTTTTTAAAAAACATTATTTACCATGTAAGATTTCCGACATACCACATGCAATCCCATTTAAAGTGGAACCAGAAGTTAAAGACACCTGCAGCACAATCTGAGGACAGAATTCTTCTAGATTTTAAATTGTTTTCTTCAATCTTTTACATTTGCCTTGTTCACACCTAATTCAAAAGCATTTTTATTAATGACCCATTTTTACTGAGTCTTTCAAAAACATCCAATTTGGTTTTCACTGAGACAATTTTCTTTTTGAGTTCATACTTCATCAGTATGTGAGAACATTTAATTAAATCTTGCAACTTAGTAACAAGTACAACTGGCACACACAGGTTTGAGAAGAAACACAGTTGACTTTCAGAAACACACAACTCAGCTGGGAAGAGCAGGTGTGCACAGGACATGGAAATAGCCTTAGAACTGTGATTGGTCAGGGTTTTGGCATTAGTCCTATTTTATAAAAGGATTGTGAAGTGTGAGTGATTCCGGTGACTGGGTCAGGTGGAGGCTGGTTTAGAATACATAAATTATATCTATTATATATACACATATTTATTAGATGTATTACTATATTTTACATAAATCAAAACAATATATAAGCACATATTTCTGAGGTTTTATATTTATACTACCCAGGCACTTGTATCTGTCATCAATTTCATGTTTAATAACCTAATGTGAGTTTAAGTTCTAACATAAAAAAATTATAGGCTAGGTGCAGTGGTTCATGCCTGTAATCTCAGAACTTTGGGAGACCGAGGTGGGAGGATCACTTGAGGCTAGGAGTTTGAGACCAGCCTGGGCAACATAGCAAGACTCTGTCTCTACAAAAAAATTTAAAAAAATAGCCAGTGTGGTGGTGCATACCTGTAGTCTCAGCTGCTTGGGAGGCTGAGGTGGGAGGATCACTTCAGCCCAGGAGTTCAAGGCTACAGTGAGCTATGATCACCACTGTCCTCTAGCCTGGGTGACAGAGTGAGATTCTGTCTCAAGAAAATTATAATCTAGGTTGTCAGACATCAGGTTTTATAGGGACAATTTCCCCTTTCATATTAGAGTTCTTGAGCTATGTATCACACAGCAGGACACCTCAGCAGGTGTGGAGGTAATGATATAAAGATGCCTGGATTAGTGAGGAAGGCAGACTAACAAAATTAGAGCTATAACTATCTAGGTGAGGTCACAAAAGGCCAAAGACAAATAGGCATGCACGAAGTGGGGACTCCTTCTTGAAGTCCTCCCAGAAGTCTCCCTTCTGGCTCCCCGACTATGCTGATCCCATGACTGTTGGTGCACTGAATCCTGCTTGGTGTCTTGGAGTCTCTCAGCCTATAGTTATTGCTCCTATTGTTATTGCAGTCTGCAGCCTATAGTTATTGCTCAAATGACAAAGGAAGACAGGTGAGAGGAGGCGTGAGGACATGCTCCAGTGGGAGCAGAGACTCTGGACTCGCCTTGCATGCCTAGCACAGTGCTTAGCTCACAGAAGACACTCACTACATAGTTTTTAAATAGGTGAATGGGGAAAATAGAGAGGTTATAGAAAAAAATAGTTAAATCAGACCAAAAAAATGACATAAAGCAGCAGCACTGATTTTCTTGAGCGGCTGATAAACTGTTTCTGCATGAAATTTCAAACAAAGAGCTCCCAGATGGTTTTGAGCAATTGCAGCCTACATGGGTAAGTGGATAAACTTCCAAAAAGGCTACTTGAGAAGACCAACCTCAATTGGCTGATAAATTCTGCTTGTCTATTTAACAAGCAAAACTAAACTATACGTGGTTTAGGTATACACACATATATGACAAAAACTCTGAAGTTTGTGTTTATTATTCTCCTTCTCTGTTTTAAAGAGAAGGATGGGTGAGGAAGGCAGATTCATCTGGAGGTAGGTAAGCAAAGTGCCAGGATAGGGTGGTGGATTCATGGGTGTTTATTATATAAGTATGTTTAATACCACACAGATCATGTAATTTTTATATGTATCAGCTATTATCTTAAAAATATAACAAAACAAAAACCAGTTGCACTACTTTCTAAAGCCTCCAGCAAATTCAGCTTTTTAAAACAGCTGATTAGAGGAAAAAATGTCAGCTGACAACTATTATTATTAGGCAGGTTTGGGATGTGTGATGGACATGGAAAGACTTGTACATTCAGGAGAGAATGTGACATGGTTGCAAGTGGCTGCCCAGCTAGAATTCTGAGGCTTTTTGTGAGAAATCACGTGGTGGGAAGCCTGAAGGAAGGAAAACCATCAGGAATACACTTCAGAACTTGCACAGTCTTAAAGGCAAGTTTGCCTGGCAGGGTGCAAAGTTGCCAGAGAGGCCCAGAAAGCGGGAATCCTGTTAGGGATGCAGGCACTGGGACAAGCAGCCCTTTGATCCTGAACATCTGTACTGCTCCAGGAAGCATTGCTACAAAAAGAATAAAATACCTAGGAATCCAACTTACAAGGGATGCGCTGGACCTCTTCAGGGAGAACTGCAAACCACTGCTTAAGGAGATAAGAGAGGACACAAACAAATGGAAAAACATTCCATGCTCATGGATAGAATCAATATTGTAAAAATGGCCATATATTCCAAAGTAATTTATAGATTCAGCTATTTCCATTAAACCACCATTGACATTCTTCACAGAATTAGAAGAAACTACTTTAAAATTCATATGGAAACAAAAAAGAGCCTGTATAGCCAAGACGATACTAAGCAAAAGAACAAAGCTGGAGGCATCACACTACCTGACTTCAAACTATACTACAAGACTACAGTAACCAAAACAGCATGGTACTGGTACAAAGACAGACACATAGACCAATGGAACAGAATAGAGATCTCAGAAATAAGACCACACATCTACAACCATCTGATCCAAATTTGACAAACCTGTCAAAAACAAGCAATAGGGAAAGGATTCCCTATTTAATAAGTGGTGCTGGGAAAACTGGCTAGCCATATGCAGAAAATTGAAACTGGAACCCTTCCTTATGCCTTATATGAAAATTAACTCAAGATGGATTAAATACTTAAATGTAAAACCTAAAACTAGGAGAAACACTAGGAGAAAATCTAGGCAATACCATTCAGGACATAGGCATGGGCAAAGATTTCATGACAAAAATATCAAAAGCAATTACAACGAAAGCAAAAATTGACAAATGGGAACCATCAAGGAGGTAGAAAAATAGACGATCCTAGATCATCACGAAAACAACGAAATAACCCCAACTATTTCTAAAAATTTTCTCTAAGCTGCCTAAGCGAAAAATCTCTCTAAAATGGCTCTCTTCTGACTGCCGTAACTGTAAACTAACAGTTTATCTTAAGGTTTTATGTGTTAAATAAGGGAAGTGTGGAGAACTATAAAAATATCATGATACTGTATCACAGTAATTCATACAATTTCATATATTGGTCATTAAGTTGTCTATTAAATCAAACTAAATACACTGTAGACAAAGAGATTCTGAAGTTCAGCATTCAGAGTAACTGAAATACAATGTTTGAGGTTATTTCTTTAAAAAGGTAGGCATCAGATTTTTGATCAGTTACCCTAATGTTCTATTATCGGCTGTCACCATGGGAAAATCAGATCTCTCACAGCGTTTCGACTTTGGGACCTTTTTCCAGCAATTAAACCTACTGTAAGTGGGGGAAATGCCTGTATACAGCCACTTACGCCAGGCTCAGGTTCACAAATCTTCCCATTCCCAAGGAAGGCAGCACACAGGCTCCTACTAGGAATCACAGCCAAGTTCTCAAACAGGCATATCTCACTAGAAGTGCTTCCTAAAAGGTGGATTGTTTTTATTCCATTGAATTAATTCTACTGAATTACAAACTTGCCATTTTCACTATAATAAGTCCCCTTTCAAAGTGTGTTGACATTTCTGGTGGTTCTGAATAGCTCAAAATGGTTTGCTGGACTCTCAGAGCTGACTTGAGAGACTACTTGGATCTGGTTGTTTTCAAAAGCTGTTGGGTGGTAGAGCCTGGGGAGCTATGCTGCACCTGATAGAAGAACACTATGACGTTATTACCAACTGCTTTCGTCTTCTGAACTAGGAGAAAACAAGGTACACAAAAGAGTTATCACAACATGCCCATGAGTTAAGCACAGCTGGCAGTTTTCCTGTTAATATTTGCTTACTTCTTGTTTCCCACCACCCCCCTCCGCCTCCGGGTGGGGAGTGCAGGGTGCTGCAAAAGATGAAGCAGCAACAAAGTTAAGAAAACACAGGACAGATGAAAACTTACAGTGAGGAAATTTTAATCTGCTTACTTTATTTTTCTTTGAATTGGGAAAAGACTGCCATAATTTGATTTTAGCAGGAAATAGTATTTCCCCAGTGTATAGTTTCAGAATGAATGGGCCAGTCCAGCATCTCAGAGAGAGTGACATGGAAGCCCAGATGCATCTTCTGTGGATGGTCCTTTAGAGACCTGATGGAGGCTGATCCCTCCTGCCCTCCAGGAAGCATATCTGATGTGCCACTTCCTGCAACAAGTCCCGTACCTTCTTATCCTCCACGCTGTCTCCCCCTGTATTTCATCACGAAGATATGTGGCTGTATGTGTGGGACGGGGATTCTACCTGATGCAGCTGCAGCAGAGGCCCCAGGGCTCCCCAAAGAAGACCACCTGGAAGGCTTCCTGGAGGTGCAGGCCAAGAAGGAAGCTGTGAAGGATGACATCAGGTACACTATTTCTGCTCTTTTCTGAATCTTAGCCCAAGACCAGTCTGGTTGCTGGTTTAAAAAATAGTGCCAAAGGCCCACCTCACATGGTGATTTGTTTAAAGAGATAACGTTATACTTTATTTTAGAAATGCCAATAAAATTGGAGTACAGTGTGGGAGTCATATGGTGACACTTCTGGCTGTGATGCGTCTCTGGAAAATGCTTTTCTTATTGGGTTACAAAGAATACTTCATTCAGAGTTTAACTTGTCTGCTAATTACACAAACCTCTGTCACAGCTAATTGTCCATTTGTAGAAAAGGATGGAATCAGAAGACCAAGTCATGGCATACTTAAAAGCCTTTCAAGTTACTATCTGCCTTCCCCACCTCTTGTTCTCACTGTCACTTGGAAGAGTTCTTTAAAAATCTTTTTTTTCCATTATGCTTTTTGAGGTCCAGACTCACTGACCGTATTATAGGATTCTGTAAGTATCGGGGGAATAGTAGTGTCTTTTTTTTCATATTTTTGGGGAAGGCAAGGTGGTTAATAATATGGGATTATTTTCTGATCTATTTGAGAAAGAGGCAAGAATAAAAGAAGCTTAGTGGCCTAAAGTTCCTTTCATCCCTTTGTTTCTTAGAAGAAGAGAAGGGCAATTTGAGTTTATTTTTCTTCCAGTAGCAGACAGATCAAATGAGGCCCCCACTTTCTCCCCTCCCCCAACACACACACAAATCACTCTCTGCCCCAATCTAAGGTTCCACTGCACCTGTTGTTGTAAATCTCCATTGAACCGAGCCAGCATCACTATGCCTGAAATTTAAGCTCCCACTAAATGAGGCCCCTTATCTATCACTTTTCTCTATTTTCTTTTGGAGGCAGCATGAATTAGTGTGTAGGTTAGGCATGCTTGATTCAGAGTTGGGACACAGTCCAGAGAGGGTTGCCAGTGGGCCGTGGTGAGGAGGAGAAGAGTAGAAATATTCCCCTTCTTCTCATCCCTTTCTGAGGCAAGGCTGGGCCTTGAAGGTGGATTCCAAAACAAATGCAGAAAAATCAGGGAAGCTTACAGAAAGATGTCTCCCTCTTGAAACTCACTTAGGCTCAAAGCACATTCAAGTAGCATTGCAAGCAGGGTTAGGATCTGGAAGAAGTAGGACAGGAAGCAGCAGCTCTCTCTGTTTCCCTGACCCCGAGAACAGGGCTAGACTTCCTGCTGGGGTACAGAGGCTGCTGTCTGCAGCCTTCTAGGTGCTTCTTACCCGGCCCGACCCCAGTCCAGACTTAGGCCCCCATGGAGATGCTCACTCATTTCCTTCAGCCTTTGGCAGAGATAACTAAGATGAATCACATTGTCTACAGGGAGATTTAAACTCTTAACAAAACTGAGTTATCACAAAGCTTTAGGGCTTCTAGGCTTTCACTTGTTTCTGTGCAGGGACAATTTCAAGCCCACAGCTGTTTTCATAGTTACTATGTCCACCATGTTCATGTAGGATGGGTTTGAGAGAGTGGGGCTTGGGCTCAGAGTGTAGCTCTTTCCTTCTGCAGGATGGGGATGGGGAGAGTTAAAGAACTGGTGAACTACAGCCGGCTCCATGATCTGAAGGCAGAATATGCACTGGACAGCTGAGAAGGTCTTAGCTTCTCATTTCCCAGAAACAGCAAGGGATTTGAGAGTTAGTTTAGAAATAAAAACTCTAAAGTAGTTAGAATTTCTTTTGGGCCCTGCTTTGACTTGAATGTGTCCCCCAAAAGTTCATGTGTTAGAAACTTAATTTCCAATGCAACAACATTGGGAGGTGGGGTCTCATGGGTCATGAGGGAGGAGCCCTCGGAGTGGGTTAATTATCATGGGAATAGGTTGTCATAAAGCAAGTCTGAAGCTAAGTGTCTCTGTCTTGTGTGCTTGCTTTCTCCTGCTGTGGGATGGTCTTGCCAGATGTTGGTGACATGCCTTTGGAATTTCCAGTCTCCAGAACCATAAATGGAATTTCCAGTCTTCAGAACCATACACTTCTATTGTTTATAATTTACCTAGTCTGTGATATTCTGCTATAGCAACACAAAGTGGACTAAGACCGAAAAAAATGAAAGAAAAAATGATCAACCTAGATGGACCAAGTTGGTAACATTTAAGTTCTCTTTTCCCACACTAGCATACAACCTCCTTCATTACTGCATCAAGTGCTTGCCTCTCTCCCAGTGGGAAAAAAAATGTGCAAATTGTTCAGGACCAGCCTTAATGAACAGCCATGTGTTGCCCCCCAAGTTGCCACAATGGTTTCACTGTGAGCTCATAAAAAGAGACAGGTCTCAGGCCTGCAACCAGTTTGGCATCTCATGTAGGGTCAAGCATCCAGGAGGTGGTCAATAAATGTAACATGTGGCTAGATTCAAAACACATAATTATTCTGGAAAAAATTTTTATGGAAATTGTTGGCTGTGGCTTCAGGGCTCTACATTTCCAGAGGCAGGCTGTGGCTGTCTGGTTTGTTTGTTGTGAAAAGCCTTGGGGCCCAATTTAGGCAGGAAGCCTCTAGGAATTGCAGCTCCTAGAAATGCACCTCCAGGGCCTTCTGCAAAGCTTCACATAGTCATAGTCAGCATGTACTGAGCTCTTACTGGGTTTTCAGCACATCACCTGTATTATCTGATTGCACTTTGCAAAATTTATGTTAAAAAAGGTTGGAGAAATGCACAAGGATATAAGTTCCAAGGAAGTTCATGGCAATATTATTTATAATAGTGAAAAACTGGAATTAAATATCCATTAATAGGAGGATACAAATCAATGTGTTTGATTTATTGATAAAAGAAGATGACCACGCTAGATTAAGCGACAAGAGTTGGTTGCTGAAGAGTATGAATGGACATTATTGTCCCATAGAACTGTCTGCAATGATGAAAATAGTCTATACCTGTGTGGTCCTATACAGTAGCCGCTAGCTACTTATGGCCACTGAGCACTTGAAATGTGGCCAGTGTGACAGGGGATCTCAATTTTAAATTGTATTTAACTTTACTAAATCTAAATAGCCACATGTGGCTAGTGGTTACTGTGTTGCATTGCACAGCAGTAGAATGTAAGCCCAGCGGGAACAAAGATCTTTAATTACAATGAATTGGAACTTCCCAAAACAGTGCTTGTGCTTGGCATATGGAAGGAGCTCAATAAATAGTTGCTGAATGAAACAATTGCCTGTTAAGTGTTGTTGTGTCAGGAATTATGGGAGATTTCTATTTTCCACTTTACATGCTTCTGTTTTGATTTTTAAATAAGCATATAATTTAAGTGTTTAATTAACAACAACAACAACAAAATTCTGTGTGGAGGCTGAAGCAATTCCACCTTGAAAGCTAATCTACCATGTTGGCTCCTGATCAACACCTGTTCTAGGAAGACCTCTAAGATTTCCAGTTTATCGATTGTTGCTTGTGTAAGAGCACATACTCACTGTAAATCCTGCCCTTAGGTCAAACATCCTTGATGTTGTAATACTTTGATTGTTCTACATATACCTTCTGAACCAGCCCTCCCCTACGGTATGTAAACCCTGGGTCTGGGAGTTAATGGCATGGGGATCCACCATTGTGTCTCACCGCTGTCTGATACACAGACGTGGCTTCTGTTAAACATTTAAAGTCCCTATTAAATGTTTCTTTCTAAGAAATTGGATATGTCAGCCTCTTTCTTTGGCATCTCAGCTTCCTCAGACTTTGGGGTAGGTTTTCATAGACCTGCCCAATGCAAAACAAATTCCACTTCTGAGAAGCAACACATATCTATCTCATCCTTTTCTTTTTCTTTTCTTTTATTTTTTGAGACAGAGTTTCCCTCTTGTTGCCCAGGCTGGAGTGCAATGGCATGATCTCGGCTCACCACAACCTCCGCCTCCCGGGTTCAAGCAATTCTCCTGCCTCAGCCTCCCGAGTAGCTGGCATTACAGGCATGCACCACCACGCCCAGCTAATTTTGTATTTTTAGTAGAGACAGGGTTTCTCCATGCTGTTCAGGCTGGTCTCAAACTCCCGACCTCAGATGATCCGCCTGCCTCATCCTCCCAAAGTGCTGGGATTACAGGTGTGAGCCACCGCACCCAGACTTCCTTTCCTTTTTCATGGCTGTCTAAATGACTGCTCATTTTGGCTGGTGGGGAGGAAGGCCGACTCCTGGGTAGTGATGTAATTTATTGCTGGGTACCTGGATTAACTTTCCCTAAATAAACATTACTGGGTGCCATAGCTCCACCCGCTTAAACTCATCCTCCTGTCCTTGATGCCTGGAAAAAACCATAGCCTCCATTTCATTTTTCATCAGTCAATGCAGTCTTCAGGATTTCCATATGTCTGAACAAGGTTAACAGCAGAGGGGAAAAAACCTGATATATTGTCTCTGCCATTGAAATATGGGGTCAGGTACATATATTTTTGTAATTTACAAGGTCAGCCACAGTACTGATTTATAGCCTTTCTAAGTCAATGAGTGTCTTAGTAATAAGACTCTAAAATACCTCTTCACTTCTCCTGAGCACCCATCAAGTCTGTCTGCCAACTCAGTTTTCAGTTCTCTCCTCAAGCCTTGGTGAACACCATTTAGACTTCCAACGTCAGGCTGGCCCCTCTAGCTCTGACTTATCTGCTCTTCTCCTTCAAAGCCTGACTCTAGAAGCCAACTCCAGAGCACTCTCCTCTCCACTCCTCCACCTCCTTCAGCTCATAGACATTGTATCTGCTAGATCCATGTTTCCCAAACTTCAATCACTCATTTATCACCTTCGCTTCTGCAACTTCTTTGTACTGTCTACTCCATTATTTACTCAGTCTTCTCCTGTAAGTTGACTTTAAATCAACTCATGTATTTATTAGCTGTAAGCTGATCTTCCTTTCTTTCAATAAATATTTATTGAGTGCTGACTACCGCTAGGCACTGAAGGTATAGTGTCTGTGCTCATGGAGTCTACACTTCAATGGTGAGAAATAGACATATACATGTAAATAAATCATGTGATATTAGAGGTAAGTGCTTACAAGAAAAATGGAGGTAGGGGATATTTTACATGTGGCCAAAAAGGGCCTCTTGGAGGAGTTTGCATTTTAGCAGACACTTTTCGAAGTGAGTAGGCAAACACTACAGATACCTGGGGAAAAACTTTCTGGACAGAAGGGCAGCAAGTGCAAAGGCTCTGAGGCAGGAATGTGCTTAAGTTCTAGAAGAGCAAGGGGGCCAAGTGGCTGGCTGAGGGGTAGGGAATGCAGAACAGGTGAGAGAGGCAGAGAGGGCCAGATCATTTGGGGGCAAGTACAGAATCACAGACGAAGGAGCAAGAGAGACAAGAGCATGCACATGGATGAAGGCTGGAAAGGAAGGCACATTCACAAGCCTGAACTCCTTCTTAGGCTGATAAGTGGACTTACGTGGGGGCACCAGGAGAGAAGCAGACCATCTGCAAGGGGCTCCTGTAGAGAGCACACAAGCTCTGCACTTCACATGACCATTTTCAATGTCTCCTCCATCCCTTCCCGACAGTAAGAACATGATGAAATTCAGTGGGACAGAAAGCCACATTCTGAAACACAATAATCATCCAAATTGCTATAGGAGGAAGCTATAGCATGGCTTCATTGTCACCAGCCTCTGTTGTGAGAGGCTCAATATTGTAATGCCAGAGTCACCAACTGAGGGTGTGAAGAGGAGGGAGGAGAGTGCCAATCTCAGAAGCTCGACATGGGCACCTCTGCTGGATTTGATTGAAAGTGAGCTGGCAAGTGAAGGAAAAAATGAAAATCCTTGACCAGTGAGGTTACTTACTGGTTCATTCTGGATCCTGAAAATTCAAGGTTGGTTAAGGTAGCTTTAAGAAAAGGAAATTTTCTTATTATTCCAATAAAGGAATCAAGAATTAAGCCGATGTTTAAATTTCACAAAGGTAGTGCTCATACATTGATTCATACATTGACTCAACAAATATTTACTAAGTGCCTGCCATGTGACACTGTCCTAAACATGGGTTAGAACAGCAAACAAAACATAAAAACTTCTGCCTGCATCACACTTCCTCTGCATTTCTCCACTGTGTCTAAAAATGATGAAAATAGTTAACATTTATTGAGCACTTACTATGTGCCAAGTACTGTTCTAAGTACTTTATATGTATTAGTTCATTTACTCCTCAGAGCTGTTCTATGAAGTAGGTACTAGCATTATCCCCATTTCACAGATGAGAAAAATAACAGAGAGGTTGAGTAACTTGCCTAAGGCCAAGCAGCCAGTCAATGGCAGAACCATTATTTGAACCCAGGCAGTCTGAGCCCAGAGCCCAGACTCCTAAATGTTATGTTTTTACTATTGCAGGAAATCAATAAACACTGAAATGACTATGATAAAAAGTATAGTACAAACACAGTAAAATAGTCCAAATTTAAATAAATGGCTAGGAGAAAGATCAGTTTAAATTATGACAAACCTACGAGTTACTTAGAAACTGCACTTTTATTACCTGTAAATACATATTGATACTAGGGCTAATCTGTAATATACTAACAAGCAGAGGTCTGTACTGCTTGTTGTGATGAACCCTTAAAATTAGATTCCAACTCAAGTGCCCTATAGCTAATAACTAACACTTAATGTCCTTAAAATAATTTTTTATTCTCTTAAGCAGGCTAAGCAGTTGCCATTGTAATTTTATTGATTTTACTCTTTTGTTCAACAATCTTCACTCTCAATCTAGATTAAAGTAACCTAAATGAATAAGGTTTCATTGTGTTTCAAAGTCAACTCATCTTAAATATTGCTGGACTCGTCATCGGTGTTCAGCAATATACCAGTTCTCCTCTTCCGTGTGTGGTAGGATTTTACTCTTCTCTGAATGAGGTAGGGATTGGGCAGTAAAACATGAGTGGCAGGGACATGTGCCACTTCTGAGCTGAAGCCTTTAAAAGCCAGTGTCTAATTTACCACTCCCCCTTTTACCTGCCTCAGTGATCATGGAAGCCAGGGGACTTCTGGATGTCTGGCAGAACCCTCATAGATCTGAGGTGGACCCATAGCACAGTCAAGAAACCAGCCATTGTTTTAAACTACTGAGATTGTGGGGTTGTTTGTTATTAGCACAACCTAACAGATACAAATGCCAACCCTCCACAGTCTAGGTGAAAAAGAAAATGAATAAAGAATCTATGCAGCCAATTAGAAAGAAAATAGAAACAAACATTAATTGGCCATTATGATATTTTAAATATTTACAGGTTATCACACCTAATCTTCTTGGTATTGGCAATACTGAGAAGTAGGTATTATTTCCACTTTATTTCTATGGAAACTGATGTTCAGAATTGCTAGTAAGTGACAGAGATGAGATTCCAATCCAGGCTTGTCTGAATCTTGTGATTATACTATGTTGTCTATAAAAAGCATATGCAACTAGATTACTCTAAGGGCCAAACATAGGAACACTAGGAGGGAAAGGCATTCAGTCACTGAGTCATTCTCCAAAAGGGATAAGATGCTTACTATGTGTCAGGCATTGTGCTACGAATCTCAGAGTGAACAAGACAGTTCTGTTGATGAGCTGACAATCTAGTGTGGGCAACAGACAAGTAAAGTGGTAATTTCATTATGGTGTGATAAGAGCCATTTGACTAGGGTAAGGATGGGTTTGGACTTAAGAGTACACTCAAAGGAATGGAAGAAAGAAAAAATGAAAAAAAAAAAGCAGAGAAAGGAAAGCTAGGAAATAAATGAGGAATAATGGCCAAATAAAGAAGCACCATGAACGTCATCATCTCTTCCTGTCCAGATTTGCACACATTTGGTAAGAATATGCCATATGTTTCACCTTGGCACACATAACTCTGGTGGCATGCTGCCACTGGCTGGTGACATCAAAGTCACCTGTGAAAACCAAGAGAAGCTCTGCTCTGCTGTTAACAGCAGTCCCCAGCCCAGCTGGCTTAGGAATTCAAACCCAAGCAGGGAGCCTACATTCCCTCTAGGGCAGCTGGCACCCCCAACTCAGGAGGACAGAAGGGCAATTTGCTTGCTAGTCTTCCCTGCTGGGCTACGACTCTTGGTCACATTTATCAGAACTTTACTATGCCTGACCTGCGAGCTACTCAATAAATGTTGATTGGTTGCCTGATAGAATGAACAGCCGTTGGGGTGGAAAGGTGCCTGAGGAACCTCAGGTGCTGTAAAGCATCAAGAGGCCTGAGCCCCTTTAAAACCCAGCCAAGGACCCCAGAATGGCTGGGGCTTGTTCCGACTACACTCAGCATGTATTAATAGATCTGCATTCTCAGTTTCACAGGGAGATCCCTCCCACATGGAAATTAAGAAATAAATGGCTCTCCTGAGTGGAAATGTCAGAGTAGGGGCTGCTAGGTCACAATGTAGGACCATGTGAACTAGAGAGACAAGTAAGTCCCACATTAGAAATTAAAGACACAGTCCGTATCTGGGCAGTTTGACAATCTAACTATAGAAGGGTTAATGCATAAGGTAGATTAGAAGATGACCTGGGAGGACTCTTGTAATCTGGGGATTCCAATTGCAGCTAGAAAGAGGAATGTAGCTGAAATGACAGGAAACATGAACCACTGCTCGTAAGTTCGGATTTCAGAAGAGTACCCCTGTGTCCCTATTAAACTGATTTTTCTGAGGGCTCGGCCAGGGAACAATCTGTTTTGTGGTAATGCGCAAAGGGACTTCTTGTTGTAGGACTAAGCACTTATAGGAGAAGACACAAACTGATAGAAAGTGCGGAAGGGACGAGCATTTTAAGGTAGAAAGAGTAGACACCACCCTGTGGGAGTAGGAATGAGCATGTTCTTTAGGGGAGGACTGGTTAAGACCCTTGGGCACGCTCTTTCCACTGTTAGAAATGCCCTTCTGATCCTGTGCCTGGTAAACTCTCCTTCTCTCTGATATATCAGCTCAGATGTCCCCTTTCCCATGACACCTCCCTTGATTCCCCCGGTCCTAGATAGCAGTTTTACAGCCTAAGTTCTGAGACCCTCTATCCAAGCCATAAAAAACCATGCTAAATCCTGGCATTTTTTTTTTTCCTGCAGAAGAGAAGGTAGCCTCACACCCCTTTTCAACACAGTTCCAGAAAGATCTTTTCAGCTGACAAAATTAATTAAGCACATATTAATTGAATACCTACTATGCAGCATATAGTTTCTAGGGGATGTAATGGTGAACAAGACAACATACATACCTGTTTCATGGCTCTTATATTCTAGCTGAGGAGACAGATAATGAACAAATAGATATGTAAGTAAATGTTAGAACGTAATAAGTACTCAAAATATAAACAAAGCCGTGCATGGCAGAGAGGGTGATAGCTTTTCTGACATTTATTTCTGCTTCTTTTGGTGGGTCTTTCTATATAACAGAGGCTGGAAAACTAAACACTCAACTTCTTGGACTCCTTGCCCAGAAGCTGAGATGCTCCCTTGGTAGTCTTAAGAAGATCCCAGAAATACAATGTTGAATTATTACCCCACTGTGTTAAACCTAACTGTCTTCATCATTGGACAGCGAGTATTGGGAAGCCAGACACTCACTCCGGTTCACTTATCTGGCACACAGAAGGCACATGCCAAATGCTTGTTGAATGAATGGCTCCATCTGAAACAGACTGCCTAGCTTAAACAGAGGGCCTGCCCTGATAGGGATGAGGGAAATTTACAAAGTTAGGATGTGGGCACAAGTTACCCACTGCACAGTGCATGCTAAGAGGCCATGTGAATACTACAGGTTGAGTATCCTTTATCCAAAATGCTTCGGACCAGAAGTGTTTCAGATTTAAGATGTTTTGATTTGGGTTTTGGAATGTTTGCATGATACTTACTGGTTGAGCATCCTTAATCTGAAACTCTGAAATCTGAAATGCTCCAATGAGCATTTCCTTTGAGTATCATGCCAGAGCTCAAAATGTTTCAGATTTTGGAGCATATTGAATTTAGGTTTGGGATGTTCAACCTGTTTATACTAATTAAAGAGAAGCTACTGCTGATTCTTTCACAGGGCCAAGAGTTTGATGAAAATGGTATACGAGAGGAAAGATTTTTCTAGTGTCTATGTGTGGTAGGATTGGAGTATACAGAAAGTGGAGGAAAAGAACTAAAATCTTGACTCTAGATGGTAGAAAGTTGGTTGTCAAAGAAAAAGGAAAACAGCAGGCAGAAGCTACAGAATATTTGGCAAAAGATTAGCTTTTTAGTTTTTAGCCAAGGGACAAGGGGGAGAGTGGGTTGTGGGACATAATGGAGAAGCTGGAAAGTGTGTGCTAGTTTGAAAGAAGCTGAGAGTTCTGATTCCAGCACCAATGTCATGCTAGAGGAACTGGGAGCTGATCTGGACAGATGTGACTATCTTAGCTGGAAGTGCTAACTTAGGAGAGGTAGAATCATGTGGCTGTTAGGAGCAAGGGCCAGGGAGCCAGGGAGACTGTTATGAGTCCTGTTCTGCCATTCATTAGTTGTGGGGGCCTGAGCAAATTACCTGACTTCTCTGGGCTTCATAAATTCAATATGGGTGATAAAAGTACCTCCTTCATAGGGTTGTTGGGGGAATAAATGAGTTACTATATGGAAAGCCCTTGAAACAGTGCCTGACACTGAGAGAAAGGCAACTTTGTTAAAGTTACCTTTACGTAGCACTCTCAATGAATGACATCTCAGGAGGAGAAGTACAGAAGGGAGAGGGACTAAGGTCCAGGGAGAAAGTATTTCACTCCACTTAATATAACTCAAAACAAGTGGGCTAGCAGTGGCTTGGCCTTGGAAATATTCTGAGCATTTTGATATGAGAATATTCCTCATCAAAATGGGATTTGCCTATATAGGAAAGCTTATAGATAGCTAAGGATATGACCTATATAAATCTGCCATGGAAAGTAAAAGCAAAAAAAAAAAAAGTCATTAAGCACAAGGGAATTTGGTACTATCTGAATTTGACTTTACCTTGATACTACTAAATAAAATCTCCTAAAATGGTAAAAAATAATTTAAACAAAACAAAGGTATGGGAGTAGCCCAGTGATTCAAGATGGTATGCCTGACACAAGAAGGCCAGCTGCAGCCCCCAGCTTCTCTGGCACTAGTGTCAAGAGTATGCCTTACGGAATGTGCTGAATTCCAAACATCCCATATTAAAGAAACTGTCAGTAACTCATGCCTTAAACAAAACAAAACAAAACAAAACAAAACAAAACAAAACAAAACAAAAACCCTGTTAAAGATAGGCATTAAGCTTATGCTAGGTATATGTTTTAGTTTGTTCTGTGCTGCTATAACAGAATATTTCAGACTGGGTAATTAATAAAGAACATAAATTTACTTCCTCACAGTAAATTTATGGATGTTGGAAAGTCAGTGTCAAAGTGCCAGGTGAGGGCCTTCTTGCTGCATCTTCACAGGGCGGAACCAGGTGTAGCTTCTCTTTAATTGATACATAGTATTAATCTGGCCTTCAAGCACTCACCATGCAGTGAGTAACTTGTGCCCATATCCTAACTTTGTGAATTTCCCTTATCCCTAACAGGAAGGGCAAGAGAAAACCAACCCCCTCCATAGAGCCCCTTTATAAGGGCACTTAATCCTCATTCATAGGGGAGGAGCTTTGTTGGTCTAATCACATCTTAAAGACCCCACCCCTTAATACTATCTTATTGGCAACACTTGAATTTTGGAGGGGACACATTCAAACCAAACCCTAGCATATTAGGCTGACATGAGGAGAGACCCTGAGCTCACCATGCAATGGCTCTGTATCACCCATCTTGGCTTCCTTCTTCTTCTCCCAACCCTTCAATGTGCCTAAAATAGAACCATGTGGGAGGGCTGAATTCAGACACATGGTATAGCTTTATTTTTAGCCCATTGAAAACATTTGTTTATCAAACAATCACATGAAATGAAAGCCTAACTACAAGAGCTCCAGGATGTCAAAATGTTAAAAGTACAAACAATTATTTAGCAGATAAACCCTTAGAAACTGACAAGGATAATGAGCACTAAAAATATTCTTAATGGGCCTTATTGAATGATAGATAACACTTGTAATTTTAAACACATTCTGTCTCTTTTAGTTGTATCTGGATTAATATAATTATATCATATGACCTCTCAATATTTATTTTATGTCATTGTGGACTAAGACTGAGAATTCTCTTGTTTCTTTATTCATACAAATTATGTATTACTGTTTATCTCATTTGTCAAAAGATTTCCATACTGCAGAAATGTTATTGAGTTCTATACCAAAATGTCTCTGGTTGTGGGAGAAGACATTGAAATTATATTGCTTTTATAACAATCATGTCTTAGAAATGTTAAGTTCCTTCTTATGCCCAAATATCTGGGACTTAAGAGAAGAACCATGACAAGTAGGGTTAAAACCACTAAAGGAAGAGACCATAAGACAGAAAAAGATAATAGCTAACTATATTATTCAGTTCTTTAGGGTCCATGCTAGAGAACTATGCAACACTGTAAAGAGATAGATGTCATGACTCTTTTATTTAAAAGATTGAATTACCTATGTCTGTTGTTCTAATGACAAATTTATCATCTAAATTTTGCTCTCAAGGACAAAACTGCCTGGTCTCTCTTTTCACATGTTTAACATAATAGATACTCTACTTCAACTTTTGAATTTAGTTTTAAATATATTTCACTAAAGTGCCTGGCCACTGTTGCCTAATGCTTGATCAGAGACATCCCTCTGAGGAGAGCTATAGGTAGGTGAAGTAACCTCCAGGTTAACTGGTGGAAGGAGAAGGTGGCCTCCTTCTGAAGTCCCCTCCCTGGAGTCATTAAATGTCTTTGAGCTACTCAGAGATAATCAAACCTTCCATGTCCACCTAGCTGCAGATATTTCTTGACCAACTCCTGTATCAATAAGTAAAGACTAAATTAATAATATGGAGTAATATGCAGTCACTAAAAAAGCTCTATAGAGTTATCTGAAAATAACTAAGACATATTAAGTGGAAGAAGCAAGCTGTGGAACAATATGCAGAATATTATGTCATAATGCTTTAAAAAGCTCTATATACTTCTAAGCATTTCTTTGCAGATAAATTTGTATGTGAATACTTACAAAAGAATGTAGAAGACTACATCAAAACTGATGAAAGGGGTTACATATGGAAAGGGGTGAAATTAGAAAAAGAGATCTCAAGAGGGACTTGTGCTTTTATCTCTATTGTTTAAATTTCATTCGAGATCACATTCGTATGCTATAAGCATTATGAATCTTATTTAATTATATATTTAAATTATTTTTCTTTAGAGAACTAAAGGCACAGCCCAGAAAATCTGGTTGGAATGCCTTGTTTTTATATCCCCAGCCCACACTTAAGATTTTCTCTCCCCAAATCCTCTCCCCCTCAACACATATATTTTAACTTAGTCTGGTAAAATAATTCCATATCCTTGTCATGGCAATGAGTATGAGGATGTTAACACTGACCTTTTTACAGATGTTTCTTTTTACATTAATACTTAGTGTTCATCCATGGAAAAATGAGTTGTACTTCTGCTAATGTCAAGGGCAAGACTCAAATTCAAAAAACATCACCACTACCAATAAACAAAACCAAAGGGAAAGGATTCCTTATCAGCAGACAGTTACAGCTCCCACTAGGACACTGCCTTCTCAGCGGCTTCAGTTATCAGATATTCCTGGACATACTTTCCAAGCCATGAAAAATAACGTAAGTTTCAAATGGGATTATTATTTTACTGACTTTAAATTCAATTCTCTTTTTCTTTCTCTAACCTTTCAGTTACAGAAAGACTCATGAGAATTTTAACATTCCTTTCTCTTTTTTCAAGAAGGAATAATGAGTTTGGGATTTATACATCGAACATTTTGGGGGGTTATATTCTTTTCTTTTCCCTAAATTAACTGATTTTAAAAAGCAAATGCTGCATCCTTTTAAAATAATCTTTTAACTTTTTTAGTTTTAGGAGAAAATAAAACCACGTGCATTTGGAATAAGTTACTATCATGGAAAAATGAAATAGGTTATTTGCAAAAAATTGAGACAATAAGACTCTTGCTTCAAAAGCATAGAAAATTATCACAGGTGTCTAATGAATCTCTTGGCATGGTACTAGGGATCTGCATTTTTAATACCACAGTTAGTTCTGATGGTTTGCCAGCTATGTTTTCCTTCTTGGTATAAAATGCATTTTCTAAAGCTGTGATTATCAGCCGTGAACATCATAGGTTTATCTCAGTATGCCAAAAAGATCCTTAAGATCTCATAGGAAAAGATTCTAAAATTTTCCATTTAAAAAATAAATATATAGAGTACTTTCAGAAGGATAGGAAATGGCATGTTTCAAAATTACCAAAGTATTCTTACTCTAAAAATGTTAGGAATATTTGCCCTTTACTTCTAAAAAAAAAATTTGATGAAAATACCTAAAATTCAGAGTTCCTTCTTAAGCAAAGAGAAAGGAGTATCAGAGTTCTCAAGAATTTTTCTGTAATTAGGAATAAAAATGACTTATCATCATAACAACTAAGATTAGGGTCATAAACAATCACTATGTTTTCATCTCCTTAACCAAAAATATTAATTATGTTTCTGTAGTTTACCATAATAAAGCCACTTATTTTAATTTCTAGAAAATCTTAAGAGTTAAAAGAAATAGGCTCTCATCTTTTAAAAATCCTCATTTACCAGGATTGGAACCTCCTAGAACAAAGGATTAGCATTATTACTATTCAGGACTCAGGGATTGTTTTTCTTTGAGTCTTAGGTACTTATGGTTGGAAAGCTGGGAGGATCAGGAAAGTAGACATCAGAAGAAAAGGGTAATAATCTTTGGAATGAAATTGGTTGGGCATGTCAACCTCAGCAGGCTCGATGGCACTGTCCTATTCTATTTTTGCATCTCTGTCCTGCTGACAGTTTCCAGCCCATGCAGGCTGCTCACTGTGCCCTGGTGCATGTGAGCGCTTTCATTCAGGCCATCTCAGGGACTCAGCTGTCAGAGCTGAGTTGGCTCCTGCACTGTTCTTACAGGCTTTCTTCTCCCTAATTACATATATTTGATCACTCAGCTAGAAAAAAGTCTTGGCAAACTGCACTACAATAATCATTTCTCCCTTCAGCTCACCATCAAGAAAAATATCTGTCATGATGAACTCAAGATTTGTTGAAGGATGGCCATTCGGAAAGGGCTTTCCATTCACGGGGAAACTGACAGACAGAAGCCAGAAGTCATTTCATTATTTAGAGCGAGCTCCGGCCTTCATAGGCTTATGGCAGTTGAAACTCAGGTTCCATCAGGCATTAGTATTGTAAAAATACCAATTCTCTACAAATTGATCTAGCAATTCAGTACAATTTCAATGAAAATCACAAAGTGAAGTGTGTATGTATAATTTTACAAATTGATTCTAAGACACCTATGCGAGAGCATATGGTTAAGAATAACCATGAAAAATTTGAAGAAGAACAGACTCATTATACATATATAGTAATTAAGACAGGGTGGTATTGGCACAGGGATAGACACATTTAGATGAATGAAACAAAGCAGAGGGCCCACAAACAGTTCCATGCACATATGGAAACTTGATATACTACCAAGATGGCACTGAAATTCAGTAGGGGCAAGGATGAACTACTTAGCAAATGGTGTTCGCAAAAAAACGATATAAAATTTCATCCCTAGATTACAAATTTCATGGAAAAAAAATACAGGTGTACTAAATGTGAAAAGGCCAAAACTTTAAAATTAAAAAAAAAAAATTGAAAGATACCATGAACAGAGTGAAAAGCTAAGCCTTAAGCTAGTATAAGGTATTTGTAACATAAAACCAACAAAGGATTACATAAGTAAACAAAGAAATCAATAAGAAAATCAATTGGAAAAATACAAACAACCAAGTAGAAAAATAGGCCAAAAAAAAAAAAAAAAAAAAAGCAGGCAAATCCTAGAAGAAATCATGTGAATCACAAAAAATCACGTACAAAAAATTCTTTACACAGGATCAGGGAAGAGAGAATGACACAAATTTAAAGGTGTGATACTACCCAAATCCATATGGGATACAGCAGAGGCTGGAACCCTGAGGTGGGAGAGTGTAGTGTTGTAAATAAAATAGAGGGATTAAACGAGATAAAGGCTATTACATGCCTGGAACACAGCAAGTGCTCTGTTAATGCGCTTTCTCTTCCCTCTTTTGTCCCCCTGGCACATGGCTCTTAATCAGCAGAGCCACAGCTTTCCCAGCACTCTGACAAACATCCATGAGCCCCCAAAGACCGGGAAGTAATGATGATGCAGCTGCGGCACCATAGAAGAAACAAGTGATTTCAGTCAAAGGGCCTGGACTCACGAGCTAGCAACTTTGGACAGATTCTTGAACTCTCAGCCTCAGTTTCTGCTTCTGTAAAGGGAGATAACTACAGTGACCTTCAGGTTATCTTGAAGATGCCAATGAGCTAGTGAAAATGCAATTTAATCTGTACAGAACTAAACAAATGTAAGTCAGTGCTAATATTCTGTTCCTAGTGGGGACATGCCAAGTCTCTTTACTGCAACCAGTGGTTCACATATGGAAATATTGTGCTAATTTCCAACTCCTACTTATATATATGATTTGTTAACTCTGGAGGATGCAGCCATCAGCATAAGCAACCAACAGAAGAACACGCTGGATCCTCTCCTTTTCCTGACAGTGTGTAGTCTTCATGGGGGTGGACAGGCTAGATTTAAAACGATGGGCGGATTGATTATTTTTCTGCATCTATTTCCAGGGTTGTAATGTATATTCTCTTTCTCCCACATCCCGCCTTCTATTTTCTTCTCCCTACACAGGCTCTTTTAATACAAATTAATTAAAAGCAGGCATCTTAAGAGGTGGCTTAAGAAGACTCCTGCATCATCATAGGGAGTTAAAATTCTGAGCAAAAAGCCTTCTGGAGGAGAAGCATAGGACAGGCAGCCCCAAGACTGGACTGGATAGATGTTGCTGAGCCACCAACTCTCTGAGGGACCTGAGACAAAGCCAGGTGACCTCACCAGTGCTCCATGTTCTCACCATAAGTTCTATAGGACACTCAAATATTCTCAGGACATCAGTTTACTATACACATGCACACACACATATTTTACATTTCATTCAAAGGGTAAAACATAGACTCCCTTTGTTCTATAAACCTACAAACATGTCTGAGCATTTTTTACATAAATATTTCACAAATATTTTACATGAATACTTCGACTTATAAGTCCATATTTTAACAATGGCATCTTTTCCAATGTGTACATTATGGAAGTGTGGTTGGGGTGTACAGCCTAGGAGCTCAGGGACTGCACAGGCCTGTTCTTTATGGATGCATTGCATTCATCTCCCACAGCCATTTGTAGCTTCAGCTGTTTCTGAAAGCAGCCACTTTCCCTTTTGATGTCTGAGGTCCATTATTTTCATTTTTGACTTAACCAACAGGTGTTCTCTCTTGAACTCTTTCCTACATGAGCTGTCTTGCCTCAGGGTTCCCACGGACAGGAGAGTTTTTCCTACAGTGTTACTGAGAGGCACAGAGAAATCAGTTCCTCCTGGTCCACTGGCTCCGCTCTCAGCACTGCAGTCTCTTGTGACCACGCTGAAGTCTCAACGTTTCCCCCTTCTGAGGACATGCAGGGACAGAAGGGTGAACCACAAGGGCCAGACCTAATGCTCCAGGAAAACAATGAAAGAACAATTTTCCATCCTTTTATTTAGGGCTTAAGTAAGCCAGGCCTGTAACACCAAATTGTGAGAGTGCACAAGATGTTTTTGAACCTTGGTGCAGAATCCAGAAAGAAGTGCAGCCTCTGGTGACAGGGTCTTGGGCTAGCCATGTGAAGCCTGGCTTTATGTCAGGCCTCTCAAATGTGCTGTACAAACCTACCTGCAGGTCTACTCTAGGCAGAAGGGGTGGACCGATGGCACCAAC
This sequence comes from Homo sapiens, assembly GCF_000001405.40. NCBI lineage: Eukaryota > Metazoa > Chordata > Mammalia > Primates > Hominidae > Homo > Homo sapiens. The sequence goes on from NC_000004.12 coordinate 52,950,009, forward strand.
AAACACATCTGTACACACAACAGTGCAGCAGACACTTGTGGATGGGGTATGAGACAAGCTGTAGATGCCCTCAATTAAATCTGAGGACAAAAGAAGACTGCCCAGAGAGTGGCACTAGCATGGCAACAAAATATTTCAAAATATTAATGGGTTTTACATACACGCATAAAATCACATTTTTCTGACCTTATAACACATTTCAGTCATTTAGGTATTGAGTTTGTAATGCTTGTGGATACTCGAAAAATTGAAAGAGGCAAAGTTAGACTTCTTGTCCCCAAGACTGGAAATATGTCCCTTCGTTGGGAGTTGGGTGGTGTTGAATGCAGTTGGGGTGGAAGGAGAGGAGAGCTAATGGGAAAACAAAGAATAAGTAAATGTTCTACATTCCTGAGAAAAGGGGCCCTGCCCCCTAGCCATCTCTGCAGCAAAGCCCTGGGGGAGAGAGAGAGAATGCTCAGACATGTTTGTAGGTTTACAGAACAAAGGGAATCTATGTTTTACCCTTTGAATGAAATACAGGAAAGCAAAATACCTAGAGCAGAAATGGCTGTGTGACATGTCAGACAAGGTCATAGAGTTTTCCATGGCCCTGCACTGCCCGTGGCTCATGTGGCATGACTGTAGGTGAAACCCAGAATGGACTCTCAAGGTGCCCTGGGCTCCCTTCCTCAATGGCTGAAGAAGGCTTCTCTTGACCTAATGGAGTTTAAAGAGACTTGGGGATATAGTGAACTAGACCCCAGAAGCCTTTCAAACAGGAACTAGGGGGCGCCCACCAGGACCTTGTGGACTGACAGTGGAGGCTCAATGAGACAAAATGTGTCATGGAGATGCCTTCAGGACAGACAGCATTCGGGAACAGATACCAGCTCCTTACAGTCTTGGCCTCCAGATTAGACATGGCCCTGGAAAAAGGTGATGGGGGACCTGGAATTACCAGACAGCAATTCCGTTCCCCCACTTAGTGGAATGGGAGCACAACATGTAAATTAAAGGAATTAGAGAAAAACATTTAAAGTTGCATTTGTTATACACCCGAACATTTATCCTGAGACTGATGCCCACTACACTGGTAAAATCAACCCATAATAGATGTGTTTAGTTTGGGACTAACATACTCTAAGAGGTGGCTTTGATTGATTGATTCATTCATTCATTAATTCTCTCCCTCCCTTCCTTCCTCCCTGACTCACCAAAGAGCCAGCCATTCTGCTGAGTATTAGCAATGTTTTTCTTTAAAAAACTCCAAACACCTATTTCCTGCCCTCAAGATTTAGAAGTTTGGCTAAGACACGGAGAAGCATAGAGAGGCAGAAACAGAAACACTGACGACTAAATCTAATGCAACATGGTAAGGTCTATAACCAACATGCATACTACATTGTCTAAGAGCACAGAAGAAGGCTTGTTAACCTGAGACTGGGAAATCTTTGAAAACTGACAACTCCAATCTAGCCAACCAGTACCCTTAGAAAGACTAACTTACGATTGGAAAGCTGTAATCGACTCAATTATATTGAAAATTTGGGGGGATGTGTTGTGGCAGAAGCATCATCTGCATACTGACTATCTGTAGGATCCACCTAATTTTCCAGCCCCCTAGCAGTTAGGAGAAGTCATGTGATTAGTTCTTGTCAAGAGTCTGTAAGAAGTGATACTCCAAAAGCTTACACGAGACCCTCCAGCTCAGCTCTTCTTTCCCCACCATAGTTTCTGTGGAGACCTCAAGATGGTGCAGCTTTGAGCTGTCTGAGCCTCCATCAGCCTGGATCTTTGAGAAAGTATGTGAAACACAAACCTCACTGAGCCATATTGAACATGTAAAATCAGCAAGAAATAAGGTCTTAATTGAATTAAGTCCTTGAACTTTTTGGGTTAATTTGTTACTGCAGCAAAACTTAATGGCGATGGAGGATTAAAAAAGGGAGCTGGATTACAAAAATGCATTTCAACACTGTGCAGAGGAGAAGGCGCTCTACCCCTAGGTGATCAGTATCTTAAGAACGAAGAGATGATGGAGTGGCAGGCCACAGAGTGATATCTGTACACGGAGACAGTACCTAGAGATGAGCTCAGATGCCAGGTTGGTAAGAGAAGCCTGGACTAGAGGCAGAAGACAGGAGGAAAGCAGGAAAGCCACACTTCTACTTTCTCTCTGTTCGTCTGTCTGAGTAGTAGCCCAAAGCCACTCCCTACCATATCCCCTCTCACCTCCCCATCCCCTCTCACAGCCCCATCCCCTCTCACACCCCCATCCCCTCTCACACCCCCATCCCCTCTCACACCTCTGCCCCAAATGGTCCCACGTGAGGCCCAGACAGTAACACACCACCATCAGGCATCTTTCTGGGGGACAATCTAAAGGCAGCTGCCCTCCTCTCTGCAGGCCCCTGCGGTCTGCTCCAAGGGAATGAATAGCTTCAGACTTGGCACCTTAGAAAGGCTGACAGCTCCTGAGAGAGAAAGCAAGTAAGTTCAACAAGGCCCGTTTAATTTTACTCCAGAAAAAAGTTTATCTTCTCTCCCACAAATAGTAAACATAAGCTTTAAAATGTTTCCATTATTACTGCAATAGTTAATTTTAAAATTTTAATTTCTTTTGAAATAGGCAGTAATCACATATGGGCAACATCTAGGTGACCCCAGCATGGATTGCTGAAGGCCCCTTTCTTTCCTGATACATATCTCATGATTTAGTGTGGAACAGAAAGGTTTACAGCATTACAATCTGTTAGAGATAAGGGGACACATGTTGGAAACAGGTCCATTAGAAAAATGATGATCCTTTCATTCCCTAAATGTCACTTACCTTCTCCCCCACCTTTTCCCAGATAAAAATAGAAATCTTCATGTGACTGAACCATTCCCTGGGAAAGTCACCAAACAGAAGGGAACCAGTGATAAAATGAATGCTAACATCTTGAAATCTAGTAAAAGTATCTTTTTAGTAGCCACAGATAGCAGAAAAGTTTATAACTTTAAAATGTCCCATAGGCCCAGCAACTTTTTCTGCTGGGTAGGGTGAATATGAAGGCTCCTTGGAAAAGTATAAACAAACGAATAACAGTAACAACAACTACAACACCTAGATGGCTCCATTATCTGAGTATTTACAGAGTGCCTGGTACTACTCGGTGCATTACCTTCCTCAGTCCTCACAGTGAGTCCTTGGGAGAGTTACTATCACTGCCTCCACATGGCAAATGAAACACTCTAAAAGCAGCCATTTAACTACAGTAGTTTCCAACTATAGAGTAAAGAATGTGTAACTAGGTTAGTTTGCTTTATAACCTATAGACCTGGTGTCAGTTTATGCCAATGACTGTGATTTGGACTAACATGGGATAGCCAGCCTCAAGTAGACCAAAAAGGGAAGGGACCTCTACTATGTCTACAAGATAGACAAGTTCACAGACAGCGCTGGACACCAACCCTGCCAGCTATGAATATTCCCGATCTAGGAATAAAGAAACAAGCTCAGGGAGGTTAGATCGCTCTCTAAAGTCATGCAGCCCCTGAAGGTGGTGTCAAGGGGAGTCAAAGCATTTCTTTAGCAGCGCCCTGTGAATTCAGTTTCCTTATTCAGGAGACAGGGATTGTGAGGAATGAATGAGAAGATGAACCTGAAACTGCTTTGTCAAGTGTCAAGGGCTGCACAAGTGTGCAGAGGATGGTGGTAAAATCCCAGGAGAATTAATCATCAAGAAGATAATTACCAAGGGACTTACATTAGAGTTTATCCAGAAAAACTACTTCATCCAAGCCAACAACAATGCCAGGACAGCACTGAAATGAAAAGGCTGGGCAGGAATATTTGATAAATAATAAGATTAGCAGTGTACAATAAAGGACAGATGGGCACTTGTTGATTCTTGTTTGGTCAAACACCATTTTATAGTGGAGTGGCTGAGACCATGGACTCCTGGGCCAGGCTGCCTGGGTTCAAATCCTGGTTCTGCCACCTACTAGCTATGTAACTGTGGGTGAGCTGCCTTACCTTTCTGTGCCTCTGCTCCCTCATGGCAGATGGGGACATTCCAAGTACTCATGGCATGGGGTTGCTGTGACATTCACAGGCAGCACAGGGAGCAGTGCCTGGCATAGAGGGCTGCCATCTAAGCATGAGCTGCTCCCACATCCATTTTCCATTCTTGACAGTAAACTTGCTTTCTGTCACCACAACCTCCTCTTCAGTGGCAGGTTGTCCCCAAGTCTTTGGTCTCTCACCTGCCTGTGGAGGACCGGGCTTGATGGGTGGGAAGCAGGCCCCATACCAGGCCAGTCTGAGTGCCTGTATTCTTCTATCAAGTATGTCTTTAGCCTCATCTTCCCATCTTCCTCAAATCTGTGGAAGGTGAGGAAGATGATAGAAGATTACAGGCACTCAGTTCCAAAGATGGAATGCCACTGGAAGGTGAGGAAGTCGGGCGGGTGGCTACAATCCAGCTCCCTTGGGAATTCACAGTTGTAATCTTAACTTGAAAATATTCAGTTGGGCCAAATGAAATTGCTGTTTTGGTAGGTCAAAAATGGCTGAAAAGCAGGAATTTCATATTCCGCCACCTAATCCACATGGGCAAACAGATCAAAAGCTCAGAAAAGCAGCAAGAGAAAGGAACAAGCAGTCTAGGAAAAATCATAAAGGGTGAGTCCAGAGAAAAGTAAATAAAATAACCATGGCTTACACAGCTGCATCAGAATCAAAGAAATGCATAAATTAAGTCCAGGATCTAATCATGTCCTTTAGCACAAACATTAGCTCAAAGAGCTGGCGGTTTTGCAGATGTACACATCTGACTAAAAAGTGGGAAGAGGAGGGATTCTTCCAGGCCATAAAAGAGACATGGAAGAGGCTCTGTCCTCCCTCAAGAAGTGGCTCCTATCTGTACGAGTACACACTCCTCTTTCATCTGTTGCTTTTCCTCCCTGTCCTTTTGATCCACAAAAGAGAACCTCCACCCACCCCTCCTGCTCCTGACGTCAAGCCGTCTCCCACACAGTACCCCATTCTTGAGACTTTCCTCACTCCATCTGGTGGCTACTTTCCTCCCACCTTCGAGCTTCACCTTTGTCCTCTCTCCCACAAGGGCAGCCCTGTTTAGGAGGAAATAGAGAGCAGACAGGGGCTCAGCTGTCCACAGTGGGCAGCTGGGGTTCCAGGATGCTCCCTTTATGCTTGCATTGGACAGGAGAGCTTAGGGCAGTGGGTTTTCAGAACTGTTTTCTGTTCAGTGCTAAGAGCAAGAGGTCATCCCAGCATCTTTCTCTTCCAGCACACCTTTGGTCTTCTTGCTACTAATTTTGCTGAGTCCCATTTCCCAGAAGAAAGAGAAAGACTATAATATAAGAAACAGATCTCACAGCCTCCATGTGAAACAATGATTATTATTGCTAATATTTATTAAATGAGTACTAATGTGGTAGACCCTCTGGTAAGCCCTTCATGTCTTCTATAACATTTAACTTCTCACAATGGCTCTATAAAATAGGTGCTGTGCCTAGCGTCAGTTTTCATGCGTGGGAACTGAGGCACAGAGGGGTTAAGTGATTTGTTTCAGGGAACACCACTGGTAAGTAACAGATCTAGAAGTCCAACCAAGCAGTTGAACACCAGAGCCTCTGCTCTTAGCCTTACTTTAAATACCTCTGAAAATTGGCTTTGTGTTAACACAACCTGATAGGACATTCATAAAAAGACCCCAGCAGCAGATTCTACCTCAGCAATGTGGAACAGAAAAAATAATGTATTTATACATAGAGAAATAAAAGAAAATAGCTTTTCCATGATGACTTTGGGACAAAGACAGTGGTCAGTAATAATGATTTGGGGCTGAGAAAAATATCCATTGCGTGCCCAAGTTAGCATGCTCTAATTGAAGGAAAGGCAGCTACTTGGCTGTGGGAATACTTCCTAAGGACAGAAGATAATCCCTTACATTAACCTGGTGTCCCACAGTAGGCTGAGATACCTATTGCTGTGGTCAGCAACACCATGGAGGCTTCACTGTGGGACTTCAGATTTGTTGGTGAAGAGAAAGCTATGGGGGTCCCACTCTCCCTCCCAGCTTGAGGTCTCTGAGATGCAACACAAGGAGCCTTGGAATGAATTTCTCCACAGCCAGAGCTCTAAATCTGGAAGAAGCCCAAGACTACTGCTGGAGCTCACAGAATGGTCATCCCTGGAGCAGCAGCCATCTCCCCTACATCCTACCTGCCTCCCCATCATACTTAGAAGGCAAACCTCCTTCCCCTTGGAGCCTGGAAGGGGAGCGGTGGCTGAGGAACCAGAGGAAAGCAAGGTGGCTTCATGACAGAGGTCAAGGGGACTATGTTAGATAGGGCTTTTTATGGCAAGTGACAGAAATCCAGCTTAAATTATCTTAAGGAAAAGAGGAAAATGTACTGGCTCAAGTAACCAGGCTGAGGGAAGGGCAGGTGGCCACCAGGGTCCTGGGACAGTGCAACGAGGACTTGGAACCCACCAGGCCCTTTCTGTCTCTTGTCTCTTCTCTCTAAGGCTCAGTTTAATTCTCCTGCAGATTGGTGCCTTCCTTGCAGTATAAAAACATGGCTGCCAGCTGCTCTCATGAGCACCTCTTCCCAGCTTCATGATTAAGAAGGAATGCTCTTCCTTCCATTCCAGTTAGTAAAGTCCTAGACAAGAAAGCCAAATGGCCCAGTCCTGTGGGCAAAAAGGTGAAGCACTATAAAAGACAGTTCCCATTAACATCAAGTGGAGGAAGAGGAAGAGTAGCTGCCCATGAAGGATTCTCAGAAGGAGGGCTGGGTGCCCAGCAGGCAACAGCACAGATGTCCACCAGATAAGGATCTTCCAGTCCTGGGCCCCCAAGCCTCTGCAGTATGGTGGGAGCTGCCCCGGGTGAGCAGCAGGGGAAAAGAAACAGGGATGAGACAGCAGGGCTGGAGTTGCTGAAATCCTGGCAAAATTCGATTTGTGGTCAGAATGAAACATGCCTTCATAACTCAGGTCTTCAATGCTTTGGGGAACTCATGTGGCTTGGGAGGCTGAAGGCACACAAGAGAGGAGGGCAAGGGGATCAGAGACACCCCACAATTCCAGAAACCACCCTGGGCTTCAAATGCAAATGTTGCTGACATGCAGAAGGAGTGGGGTTGTAAACATAAGGGTTGGAAAAAAAAAAGAACGCAGTCTGGTTGCAGTATTTCCACCTGAGCCCTGCAGAGCTGTTCTGCCAGACAGTCTACAAAGCATGCACCTGGGTCTGCAAGTGCTGGGTGTGTGCTTCTATTTAATAAATAACCCTGGCACACTGTATAAACATCAGATGAACATGAAAGCTGCAACATCTGGAGAACTGTCACCATCTGCCACTCTGAGGGGAGCATTTAAAGAATCAGCGGGATAGGAGCGGTATGTGGCCTGAGTTAAAAAAAAATGTTGGCAGCTGCTGCCAGCTATCAGTTGCTGCGAATAGCAGTGGTTCTTCCTGACGTGGCAGTTTATGGACTTTCACAAATCCCGGGTGACCCCTCACAAAGGCGGAGGCCAACATACTAACCGGCTCCAATAGCCATCACTCACCAAGTGCGTTTACAAGGCTTTGTTCCTGTCTCTTTTGTGGCCTCACAATGGCAGATGCACACCAGGTCCCACAACCAGAGAAAAAGAGAGGGAGGTTACTCGTGGAGATGTCAGAAAAAGTACTCCCCTTGTGCCTGACTTCTTTGATTAAACCCTTGTTTGATTTTGTCCAGAGAGGCAAGACTTCAACATGTAGCTCTAAGTGCTGGGCCAGGCACCCCAGGTTTAGATGAAAAACTAACGCTGATAGAGGTATGTGTTTACATCAGACCGAGGTTATACTTACATTTTTCATTTGTTAATATAAATCTAAGTTAACCACCTCAAGCGGGACTCAGCAAGGGCTGCTCTTTATTAATGGGCTGGTCGTTGCTGTTTTTAAGAGAGTGTCATTAACCCTAACATACGGGCTCCTTGTGTAATTGAACAGTAAATGTGATTATGATCCCAACTGCCATCTCCAGGCACTTCTTGGAACACAAGTTCTTTGTACAGGAGAAATAGTCAGACACAAAGGAAAAAACGTTCATTTTCTCTTATTGTATCAAAATTGTTCCTTTAGATTAAGCAGGGTTATTCTTATTCCCCAAGGTGGGAAGCAAAAACAAAGACACTTTAAGTCCAATTAGAAAATACACTCATGCGTAAACATTTGATTCCAGTCTTTATTGCAAGGTTATGAACTTGTGCTTACATATTAAAATCTGACTGAGTTGTGAGGCCCTTTTGTTAATACTATAAGGCAGGCTCCATGTGTTTGTTTATTTCTGGGAAGGAAAGAATTAACTGGGCTCTTATCCCAGCTCTGTCTCAAATCAGGTACTTTCCTCACTTATTAATGGAGGAAGGGAGAGTGCCGGACAAGATGTTTTCTGACGTTCCTTTCAGCAGTAACATTCCATAACATGGTGACATTTTTTATGTTGTCATGACTGGCCTTTCATTACGGTTTCACCCCCACCCTCAACAAGTGACGTTCATCGGCTTACCGTCAGATCCAACATCCCCATGTCTACAGATCTCACAGCCACCATAGGCACAAGGAGAAAGGAACAGCTCTCGGAGGAGCGACTCTAACTTGGGAGTAGTTGAGTCCCACATCAGCCACCCATGGCCAGAAATACGGGAGGAAACGTGTGGCTAGAGCAGAGGACAGGTGTCTCTGTACACCTCTCCTGTTCCCCAGAGATGCCTTGCCATTCCATCTCAAATGGCTCTTACACTTTTTGGAAAGCTCTACAGGTAAATACGTTTCAAACATGGAGATAATTTACCATAAATGAGAACAATAAGCTGATAATCACTGATAATCACATTTAAATATTAACCTGAACTCATTATGTATTAGGCATTATGCAGAGTGCTTTATGTGTATTATCATGTGTAATCCTCCCAATAACTCTTGACAATTGGTATTATTACACCTACCTCACTGATTAAGAAACTAAGGCTTAGAGAGGAAAAGTAATTTGCAGAGTGCCTCATGGTTCAGAGGTGGTCACGTTGGCATTTGAATCCAGAAAGTCTGACTCTTGAGTCCATATGTTTAACCACTATGCTATGATGCCTCTTACAAGACAGGCAGACAGGCAAAGCTCTGGACAGGGTGTCAAGAGGCTTCGGTTCTAGTCTCAATCTGTAATGGCTGTGTGATGTTCAACAGGTCACTGCAAGTATTGGCTGCAGTTTCTTTCTGCTTGATAATAGGAGGTTGGGCTGGGTCAGTGCTCCTCAAAGAGGGATGTATGGGCTGCTCTACCCAGAATCACCTGGGGTGCTTACTTGGGCTCCATTGCAAATGTACAAAATCAGAATCTCTGGGGATAAGGCCCAGGAATCTATCTGCTGAACAAGAACCCCAGGTGATTCTTAAGCATATTAAAGTCTGAGAACCCCGTGTACATGATTCCTAAATCTCATCTGGGCTGTATTATTAAATGGCCCATGGTTTCCTTTTGTTAGAGACTCTTCAAGAATGCAAGCCATTCTCTTTCAATGGGGCCCAAAGTTAACCCCCAAATATCCAGAACATCTTCTTTAGATCAACTTTATATGACACAAGCTCTTGCTTCGTATACGACACAGGCACATTCCTCCTCCTCTAAAATGTTTAAACCATGCCAAATGAATTCCGCTCATTTAAGAGGAATGCAAAAACAAGATGACATGGCCTTAGCTAAAATAATTTTCTTAAAGTTGTTTTGCAAATAGATGTGAATAAACATATGGAACTAGTTACTGAGGAAAGGGTCACTGGATCACAGAACACTGACAGTACATGAGGGAGGGAGGCAGGGAGGAAGAGAGAGACTCCAAATTGAAACACACACACACACACACACACACACACTTGAATCACCTATACAGAAGAAAACAGGTAAAATTAGGCTGTAAGTGAACAATGTGAGAGAAAATAGGCTTCATTTTTACTGAGAATAAGTAAGTTTTGTCACCTTGTCCACGGTCTTAATTTTTTCTCTGAATTTATGTTCCTATTTTCCCCTAAAAATGTCCCTCTCACCCTATTATCTTCAGTCTTTCCCCCAACTTACCTTTTGGCCTATTTATGTTTGTCCCTTCCTGCTGAAAGTGAGGTTAGAGTGACAAAATAACCCACACCCAGTACCTTATAATTTCATGATTTTACTGCCCAACAGGTAAGGATGCAAAACCTCCTCACCTGAGGCCTCAACTCTGGCTACCAAGATGGCCAATTACTGGTATTAGTCATGCGGCCACCAGGCCCATGGGCTGCCTGCTGATGTTTCCGCAGAGAGGCACATCTTCTTCTTCTTTTTTTTTTTTTTTTTGAGACAGAGTTTCGCTCTTGTTGCCCAGGCTGGAGTGCAATGGCGCGATCTTGGCTCACCACAACCTCCGCCTCCCGGGTTCAAGTGATTCTCCTGCCTCAGCCTCCCGAGTAGCTAGGATTATAGGCATACACCACCATGCCCAGCTAATTTTGTATTTTTTAGTACAGATGGGGTTTCTCCACGTTGGTCAGGCTGGTCTCAAACTCCCGACCTCAGGTGATCCGCCTGTCTCAGCCTCCCAAAGTGTTGGGATTACAGGCGTGAGCCACCGTGCCTGGCCAAAGCACATCTTCTTTTCCACGCACCTCATTTCTTTCTCTGACACACACACACACACACAACACACACACACACACCACACATGTGCTAATAGTACCAAAAGTCACTCACAACAACAAAAATTTATTATACATCAACTATGCAAAGTACAGTTCCAGTTGCTATGAGGAAAACAAAGATGCAAAGATGTGTAAGATGTGGTCTCTGCCTTTAAGGACCTTAGCGCCTAATTTTAGAGACTAGGAATGCTCCAGGAAGTGAGTATCGTAGGAGTTCATGGTCATTGTGAGTAGTCTGGCTACAAAATGGCCTCCTGGGGGAAGTGGGACCTGAGCGGGACCTTGCAGGAGAGGCTGAGGAGGGTTGGCAGATCATTCTGGGCACAGAGAATGACTGCAGTCTCCACTCCCACTTCTTTTGATTCTGGCATATTGATTTTCTTTACCCTTTACCCTCAGCTCCCGTGATTCAGAACTTTACCTTGCTCACCAAAGCACTCTGTCCATCTGGCCACGGTGAGGGCTCAGCATGGCCCATAATCCAGATCAGTCTGAGACATGATCTTGAGACTTTTGCTGGAACCATGGGAAAGGGAAGTTCTCCTTTTTGGGGGGCTGCTTGTTCAGAGGATGTAATCCCGAAGCTACTGGCGGCCATTTTGCTACTACCCAGAGAGGGATGAACTAAGAATAAGGCCAACACTGAGAGAGGCAGAGCCAAGACAGAGGCAGACTCCTGAGGACAAAGATTGAGGAAACCAGACCTATCCCTGGCCTTTTATTTCATATCAGCTGTTTATTTTAATCCGCTTTTTAAAAGCTAGCTTGAGTTGATTAGCTGTCATTTGTAAGTTGGAAGGAGAAATGTCAGGGTGTTCATGGAATAGTGGGAAAACCAGCCTCCCTGGTTGATGTTGAGCAGCTGAAACAGTGAGGTGTGGCCAGACTTGGCAGAGGATGGGAGGGGAGGCATGAATGCAAAGCAATGGAATAAGAACTTTATATCTTATTAGCAAGAGATGCCACTGACGACTTATGGGTGAGAAAATACTGATGACAGAGGTAACATTTTAGTAAGAGTTCATGCACAAGACAGGAAGGAGGGCAAGATGAGCTCTTAGGTTACTTTCAGCCTGCAGATTCTGTGTAGATGGTAATAGCTGGTGACAGTCATGGCTTAGAAGTGGTGAGACTGGAATCTGGGATAAGCAGAAGGCAGTTATAGACAGTCTGAAGGCAATACTACAGTGGTGACGATAGGAATGGAAAAGGGAGGCTTGGAATGACATTGTGAAAGAACTGACCCCACGTTGGTGACTGCTTGTGACAGGCAAAGAGAAGAGAAGATGTTGAGTCCCTGCACCTCTGAATTGAGAGGATAGTGGTTCCACTGATGGAAATTACTGGTGGAGTGGGGATGATTCTCACCTAAGACTTTTGAAGGAATGTGACTGGAGCTTAAAGGTGGCCATGGTAATTCTTTAATCTCCCTGCATATGGGTTGGACAAGACAAGCTTTGAGGTCCCAGCCAATTCTATGGCTCTCTGATTCCAGGAAGTAGGTCAAGGTTGCAAATGCAGATTTGGCACTGAAGGGAGCTCTCTGTTCTAAGCAGCTTCAGAGGGTACTTCACAGAAGCTCCAACTCAAAGCAGAAATCTCCTTTCCAGAAAGTCTGTTAGTTGGGCCTTCAACCTGAACACATTTTACTCCTGGTACCTTACAAACTCTTGAGGCCACCAACTTTGCTGCCAGATAGCTTTAACAAAAAACGATACCCTTTATTGAGTTGAAATAGTCTTCCCTATAAATGTCGTCTGTAGGTTGTAGTATTTTCTCCTGAAGGTAGCACATTTAAGAAGAAGCATAGCTGGGCTGGGAATGGGGTGGCAGAGGTCATTCTCCTTGGCCACATTCTCAAAATATGATTGTCTTCCTATTTTTTTCTTTTTGAAATAATATGTTAAAATGAGCATTGTGTTAATGCTATGATGAAAATAGTTTAGAGGGGGGCAGCATTACTGAAACAGGCTAAGAAAGTAGACAAAAGTTGTAACTTCTTGCCTCCCTGTCCGTCTGCTTTAATCAGCAGTAGGAAACCTGCCTTAGCCCCAGACTGGCTCTCCCAGATGATGGAATCTGACTTTCTTTGAAATGAAGTCGAATCCCTTTTTCCCAAGACAGCTTATCCAATATTTTACTATCATGGTCATTGTGAATCTTTCTTTTCCAAATTAATTATCTCTGTGGATGACACAGCTGAAGTTTTTAGCTTGGATGAGATCCCAAAAGGAGAGGGAATAGAAAGAAGGGCCAAGGCCTCACAAATCCACACAAAAGTGACTTACTTGTATATAAGCTCATTGGTTTCCTTATTTCTCCTCCCCCAGCGCAACACACATAAACCTGGCTTTGTTTAAATCAAGAATTACTAAACAAACACAAGTTTTACCAAGTCGAAGTCTCCAGAAGTACTCCATTTCTATGAAGGCATTTTAATTATCCTCTATTGAAAAAAACTGTATCTTCCCAAGTTTGCAACTTATTTTCAGAATGCCCTGATCAATTATTAGTGAGATTACTATGGGGACCATTTAGGGTTAAAAAAATAAAATCTTTCTCTCTGTTGTTTTCTCCTGATGCAACGTAAGGTTGGAGGAGAAGTGAGAATCCTGGGGTCACTCACCCTACTGCTTTAAAAATGTTCACATATACTTCATTCTTTTGCATTAAGAATTTGCTGTAAGGTCCTTGGACTGTCTTCTCTTTCCCATATCTTGGAGTCGGGTTCGAAAAGGCAATGTATCTTTCTGAGAGTACCAATGTCTGTAAAGAATATTTTTAACTTGATGTTTTGTTTTTAAATCTAACCACCCTGCCCTGTTCCTTATCTTAAATTGAACTACTTCAAATATGAGTATATAAGGTACAGTTACACACTCAACTGTCTGCAAAAGTCTCTCCATCAAATGAACTCAAATTCCCCTTTTCTAGCCATGATTATTTATTTTTCCTCAGGAATGGGGAAAAATAGCTCCTTTGAGACAGGATTCTCTTCTGTAAATTTGGTGAGCAACAGCCTACATCTTTCTCTCAGCCTCAGTTTCACACTCCAAAAGATACACTATTGGTAAAAACAGAGGTGAGGGGAGGATAAAATGTTGCCTTTTGGTTTCATAAGTTGGACAAGAAGCAATGGCTGCGCAACATTAAAAGTTCCATATTGTGTCATTATCTGAATAGTTAATCAAATACCTGAAAATCAAGAGATGCCTAAGAAAAATTACACATGAGAATGAAGGACTAGTCATACATTTGTCCTTGCCAAATTACATTTTTCTCTTGTCATTAATTGGGAAAAAGAATAATATAAAGATTGTATTCAATTATTTCCATTGAAAAGCTCAATAATGGATTAATTAAGACCAACACATCTTTTCCTGAAGCAGGCCACTTAGCAATGTTCTGGGCACCAATTTTAGAAATGGAAAGCCTCCAAGTGGTTGTGTTCCAAGATTTTAAAGCTAATTAGTACAGAGAAATTATTTTTATCTATGCATCATGTAAAGATACAAAAACTAGGTCAGGAATATTTCTGCCTATTGTTAGTTGCTTAAGTTCTGGGCTGGTTGGAGGCACAGCAGCTTGGCAGAAGGGTAAACATGCATATATCACAGGTTGAATCCAATCCAGTGTTAAGTCATCAGTAGTAACTGCTAATTGCTTTAGCCAACAGGTCCAACTTTTCCAAAATAGGAAAAGGATATTTTACTATACCAAAAGGGGGTTCACATATTCCCAAAACCAATGTCTTTTCCAACGGCCCTGTCAGCACTGAAGTAATCTCCATCCATGTTTCCAGGAACATTCTAGGAGTTGCAGGCTAAGTGTCTTGAATTTTGATTTCACTGAATTAATGGTTCCAGGTAAACAAAGTGGGTTTGCAATGTCAAGACAATATAGTCAACTACTACAATCCACCTCAGATTGCCAAAGTAATATTGACCTTGCGAAATGTGAGGGACACACACACACACACACACACATACACAAGGACTCAGAAGCGATCCTTGAATCTTTTGGTCTCAAACACCCATCAAGTGCAGTTTGTTGTCCAGCCCTCACTTGAGTACTCCTAAGGGTGAGCCAGCATAAAATTGGATGCTCTAAGATAAGCATCTGAGATAAAATAACACTATGTTAATTTAGTGAGTAATTTAGACAATGGTATCAGTTCAGATCCCATCTTGCAATGGAAAAAGCCTCGCAGAAATGACATTAATTACATGATTCCTAATCTGAAAGGCAAAATGTATGGTGGTGACTAAATGAATAAAACAAAACACAAACACACACACACACACACACAGTGCTGTTGCCATCTATTTCATAATGATCATTCACTCAGACAGCATGTATTGAACACCGTCTACATGCCGTAACCATCATGATAGGTGGAGGCCAGGCTGGAAAATGTCAGATTTCGTGTTATTTCTGCATTCTGTTGCACATATTTCCTTTTCTAGGAGCCATATTGAAAACACCCCAATAAATTAGGTAGACTATAAAAGCCCCCCCGCAAAAAATGATGGGCCTAAGAGTGACATCTTTCATGGCATATTATTGGATTTCTTTGATTCCTCACTTCATGCCACAGACACTATTTACTGGTTTCCAGCCTCAGCCCAGAGCCCTCAGTTCCTCTGGCACCCCTAACCAATGCCCATTTCCCCCAGCGGCTGAGCACATGCTTCTTTTATTCTGCCCCTGCCATGCTAGTGTTCATTCTACCCACAGAGTGGTGTCCCGTAACTTCCTTATTCTTCTCATGTTTATTGGTCAGAATCTGTGCATGCCCAATTTCCACAGCACTGTGCAGTATTCAAAATGATGCCAATATTGCTGACATTTCAGCTCCCAGAGGGTGTGGAGCAGAGCACCCATGGAGGCTGTGCGTTGCCCACTTCTGATGTTCCATGCCTCCTCTAGCACCTCCTGCTGTAGCCAGCAAGCCTGGCTGGGTCTGGCCTTTAGGAAAACAGCTCAGTACCATACATGTGACCAAAACCTGCCATGACTTGGTTTCATTTGGCTTGACAGTTGTTATAGAAGGAGCCTAGGAGCTCACAATTCATTCTTTCATAGTCATAATAGGAAGATCATGGTTGTGGTCTCTTTTCTATTATTTATTACTCAAAAAACTTGACTCTGGTGTCTGCAAATAATACTCTATGCTAATAATGCTACCAGTTATTGTAATTCAAACAACATGGGTAAACATGCCAAATACAGACTTCATGGGTGCTAAAAATGTGCTAAACTTGGATCTGATTGATAAAGACTTTCTTGGGACAAGAATTAAAAATGGCACGATCCTATGAAAACGACATCTGATTTATAGGATCAACCCTTGACAGCCCAGTCTTGACATGTTGAAGTGCCCTCATTTATGGAGACACACCAGGCCATCTGGTGATGGGCCCATGCCTCATGCCCTGCACCATTCTTTTTGTTCGTAAATGCCAGGATTTTGTTGTGCTTTAAGGAAACATACCAAGGATGCATGTTTAGTAATCTTCCATATCTGGAATTTGAAATACTCTCAACTGATTATACGTGTGTTTTTTATGACATTCTCCTGTGCATGTGCAAAGTAGATCAACGTAAGCACAGGTCACTTGATGACCTGAGTCCTTTCCCAGGCAGTGCCCACGGTCATCTGCTCATCTGCTGCTGTGGTCAATCTTGTGATTCCTCGGATTCTTTAAATCCCTTTCCTCCTTCCCACATTACCTTCCACATCACCTTTTTAATCTCTGTTTTCAGGCTCATAACAATCTCTCCCCAAATCTCAACCACCCCTTACTCAACCAAGGGAGCTCTTACTCAACCAAGCAGCTCTTTATCTGGTTCTTCCCATCTTCTGCATCTAGTTTTTAAAAATATACTTCATTTGTTTGGTAGGACAGTTTTAGATTTATAAAAAAAGTGACAATAGTATAAAGATTTCTTATATAATTTATTGCTATCTGAAGCCAGTTTCTCTTATTATCGACATCTTACATAAGTCTGGTACTTTTTTTTACTATTAGTGAACCAATATTGATACATTTTCTTAACTAAAGTATAAACTTTATACAGACTTCCTTTGTTTTTAAAAAAAATTGTGTAAAGCTCATGTATATAACATAAAATTTACCATTGTAGCCATTTTAAGTGTACAGTTCAGTGGCATTAACAACATTCACATTGTGCAGCCAACACCACCATCCATCTCTGGAACTCCTTTTCTTTTGCAAGGCTGAATTCTTGACCCATTAAACTGTAACCACACTCTTCCTTCCCTCCAGGACCTGGCAAACACCATCCATTTTACTTTCTGTCTCTATGAATTTGACTACTGGAGATGCTTCATATAAGTAGAATCATACAATATTTGTCCTTTTATTTTTGGCTTACTTCAGTTAGCATAATGTCTTCTAGGTTCACCCATATTGTCCATCATCTGCATCTTTAAACAACCTCAAGGGCATGTTGCTGCACATTCTTGATCTTTCTACCATGGTCTCACTCTTACTTCTGGTTCTCTACCCTGGGGTTGGCCAGCTTCCACATGGAACCCCAGCTTGCCTCTAGTTCTGGGACCTTGCCCTAAATCCCATTTTGCCTCTGGGACCCGAGAACCCCTCCTAGATCTTACATTTTCAAATCACTTACTACATGGCAGTCCTTGTTGTCCCTAAGTAACTCTATACATGTTATTTTGCTTAATTTTCACAACATCCCCATGAAGTAGGTACTAATATTAATCCCATTTTACAGATGAGGAAACTCAAGCATAACTTGCCAAAGGAATACAGTAAACAAATGGCAGTCTGAGAATTGGAATCTAGGCAGTCCCAAATGTCCTGTAATGTCTCTCAGTTCCTGCCAGTCCTGGTGTTCCTTCCATGGGAGAAGTGGTCCAGTTCTCTGTACTCCTGATAAGACCACAAATGCACATATTTCCTCATGAGACTACAGCTGGTGCTGATTCCTTTTGGAATCTCTCCCCATTGCCCTGTTTGCTGGTTTGGGTCTGGTGGTACCAGTGTTTTCTGAGCCATGCCTGAGCTTGTGAGACCCTTTGTCTACCCTCTGGGCTCTGGAGCCTGTGTCTCATGCCCTGCTCTGCACAATTCTGTCTCTTCCTTTTTCCCCTCCCTATGTCATTCCCATCAGTGTTGACTTGTTTCCCAGTTCCAATATAACTTCAGCCGGGGTCCTCTCAGTTATTAATATTTTTGTTAAATTTAATTCTACAACTACAAGGAAGATGGCTCTAGCATCCCACTAACATTTTATTTTATCATCTGGAAGGCTGGCAACACATAATAATTCAATTCAAAAGCCACAACAGTCCTTTGGCCTGTATTAATAGAGGCCATTTCATGGCTGGGAAATGCCACCACCCTTGCAGGGGAATCACAGCCATCAATGTTTGCTCATTCCATTTCTAAAGTCATCTCTGCTCTCATTTAGACCGGGGCTACTGTGTGCCAGGCACTGTGCTAGGGCTAACACTATAGGTTGCTGTTGCTCAACTACGCAGAGAGCATTGTTGTTTGACATTTTAAATGCTGTGCACAAAAGATATTCTTACTAAAAGGCACAAAGTCAGAGGCTGCATCAGGGAGGAGATAAGGTACTTAAAATGACACCTTGAGTTCAAATGGGAGCAAGTCAGAACATGCAGGCATACTTGGTTCTGTTTCATGGCTGGGCTTTGTTTATATCTGGTCTTCCAATCTGTGGCCGTGGGGCAAATAGGTGATCGGGTGTATGGGTGTGTGTGTGCATGCATGTATGTGTGTTCAGCATTTATGTAGCCGTGGTTGGCTGACATGGACGACAGATACTATTATGAATTCTTTACTGCAAGAAGGGAAGATTACACAGAGGTTGTCAAGAACCTAGCCACAGGGAAGTGGGTGTGACAAAAATCTCTGATTTATACTTCTATCACTGCAAGACAGAATTGGACAGGTATGAGGGGGATGCTGTTGGTGTGGGGATCGGCAACCAACTGTGTGTGTGTCTGGGTGCTGGTGTGTGTGCATGTATGTATATGTGTGTGTTGTGCTCAAGGGATCTCATGTGGGGGCAGCCAAATATTACCTGGGGATGGGGCCATAAAACACATTCAAATATATGACAAAGATTCTCTGCTTGGCCAAACGCCAGTTAGGCTTCTGAATCCTCTGCTAGGCCCATATGTTCACTTTCTTGTAAAATCCAGTTTTGGCAAAGAATTCTGCTACATCAGTTTAGCAAGAACCGCTATCCTCAATATCTGATCATCCTTGACATCTGATTAGGTTTCTCACCCTCCACCATTCCCCAGGTGATGTCCAATCACCCTGGCCTGTCTTTGGCAAGAATCCTGTTAGGTGGGTTTAGCCAGACTCTCCCTCACCCGTGATGTCTCCCCTTAGTAATTTTCCATCCACTGACTCCCACACTCTTCCTTGGCTATAAATTCCCACTTGCTTATGATGTGTTTGGAGTTGAGCTCAATCTTTTTCCTGACTGCAAGACCCTATTGTGGTGGTCTGTATAGCTACCTTTATGGTTCTGAATAAAGTCTTCCTTACTGTGCTTTAGTAAGTATCATTGAATAATTTTTAACAACATGTTTTTAAATCATACATAAATATAAATCATTGCTCTTGGCCCAAATATCCATTGGTAGGAAAATGGTTTAGGAAATTAGAGTTCATGACAGAATAGAATATACTTATGGAACTCATAAGGGCCCCTCTCAAACATTCCATCTCTTGTTCTTCCAGGCACACAGTAGATGAACAGTTCAGTCCCTGGAAGTTGGCTTGGCCATGTGATTTGTGTTGGCTGGTGGAAAGGAAGCTGGGGTGATGGGTGTTACTTCCAGACAGGACTCTTAAGAGGCTGTTTGTAATTTGCTGTTTCTCCTTCCTCTGCCTCAGTGATTGTGGAAGTGTGTGTCCTGATGAGGTCTGACCCCTTGGGCCTGAGGAGGAGTGACTATGATAAGCAGAGCCTTCTGCAAACCTGAGGCAGTGATGCAGAGGGAGTGAGATATGAATTTGAGTTGTGTTTAGCCCCTGAGATTTGGGGATTATGTTAACTGGAGCAAAACCTAGCCTCTACTGCCTAAGATGACCTGCAAGGACCATTATGGAAAACATTAATAGTGTGAGGCTGAACTGGAAGACAACATGCAAAAATGAAAATCACTGTTAGTTTTTTGAAAATGGGCAGTTTTCTTCAATACAGTTGCATTTTTTTCACTTATAAAAATGTTTAAAGAGGGTAAAAATCTCAAGGAGTATAAAAGAAAACAATTGGGGCGTGGAGCCAAGATGGCTGAATAGGAACAACTCCAGTCTACAGCTCCCAGCGTGAGCGACACAGAAGACAGGTGATTTCTTCATTTCCAACTGAGGTACCGGGCTCATCTCACTGGGGAGTGTTGGAAAGTGGGTGCTGGACAGTGGGTGCAGCATACCCAGTGTGAGCCAAAGCAGGGCGAGGCATCGCCTCACCCGGTAAGTGCAAGGGGTCAGGGAATTCCCTTTCCTAGTCAAAGAAAGGGGTGACAGACAGCACCTGGAAAATCGGGTCACTCCCACCCTAATACTGCACTTTTCCTACAGTCTTAGCAAACAGCACACCAGGAGATTATATCCTGTGCATGGCTCAGAGGGTCCTATGCCCATGGAGCCTGGCTCATTGCTAGCACAGCAGTCTGAGATCAAACTGCAAGGTGGCAGCGAGGCTCGGGGAGGGGCACCCACCATTGCTGAGGCTTGAGTAGGTAAACAAAGCTGCCAGGAAGCTGGAACTGGGTAAAGCCCACTGAAGCTCAAGGAGGCCTGCCTGCCTCTGTAGACTCCACCCCTGGGGGCAGGGAGTAGCCAAACAAAAGGCAGCAGAGTCCTCTGCAGACTTAAATGTCCCTGTCTGACAGCTTTGAAGAGAGTAGTGGTTCTCCCAGCACGCAGCCGGAAATATGAGAACAGACAGACTGCCTCCTTAAGTGGGTCCCTGACCCCCGAGTAGCCTAACTGGGAGGCATCCCCCAGTAGGGGCAGACTGACACCTCACACGGCCGGGTACTCCTCTGAGACGAAACTTCCAGAGGAACGATCAGGCAGCAACATTTGCTGCTCACCAATATCCGCTGTTGTGCAGCCTCTGCTGCTGATACCAAGGCAAACAGGGTCTAGAGTGGAACTCCAGCAAACTCCAAAAGACCTGCAGCTGAGGGTCCTGACTGTTAGAAGGAAAACTAACAAACAGAAAGGACATCCACACCAAAACCCTATCTGTACGTCACCATCATCAAAGACCAAAGGTAGATAAATCCACAAAGATGGGGAAAAACTAGAGCAGAAAAACCAGAAACTCGAAAAATCAGAGCACCTCTCCTCCTCCAAAGGAACCCAGCTCCTCACCAGCAATGGAACAAAGCTGGATGGAGAATGACTTTGACGAGCTGAGAGAAGAAGGCTTCACAAGATCAAACTACTCCGAGCAAAAGGAGGAAGTTTGAACCCATGGCAAAGAAGCTAAAAACCTTGAAAAAAAATTAGACAAATGGCTAACTAGAATAACCAATGCAGAGAAGTCCTTAAAGGACCTGACGGAGCTGAAAACCATGGCACGAGAACTACATGACGAATGCACAAGCCTCGTAGCTGATTCGATCAACTGGAAGAAAGGGTATCAGTGATGGAAAATCAAATGAATGAAATGAAGCGAGAAGAGAAGATTAGAGAAAAAAGAATAGAAAGAAATGAACAAAGCCTCCAAGAAATATGGGACTATGTGAAAAGACCAAATCTACATCTGATTGGTGTACCTGAAAGTGACAGGGAGAATGGAACCAAGTTGGAAAACACTCTGCAGGATATTATCCAGGAGAACTTCTCCAATCTAGCAAGGCAGGCCAACATTCAAATTCAGGAAATACAGGGAACGCCACAAAGATACTCCTTGAGAAGAGCAACTCCAAGACACATAATTGTCAGATTCACCAAAGTTGAAATGAAGGAAAAAATGTTCAGGGCAGCCAGAGAGAAAGGTCGGGTTACCCACAAAGGGAAGCCCATCAGACTAACAGCAGATCTCTCCGCAGAAACTCTACAAGCCAGAAGAGAGTGGGGGCCAATATTCAACATTCTTAAAGAAAAGAATTTTCAACCCAGAATTTCATATCCAGCCAAACTAAGCTTCATAAGTGAAGGAGAAATAAAATCCTTTATAGACAAGCAAATGCTGAGAGATTTTGTCACCACCAGGCCTGCCCTAAAAGAGCTCCTGAAGGAAGCACTGAACATGGAAAGGAATAACTGGTACCAGCCACTGCAAAAACATGCCAAATTGTAAAGACCATCGAGGCTAGGAAGAAACTGCATCAATTAACAAGCAAAATAACCAGCTAACATCATAATGACAGGATCAAATTCACATATAACAATACTAACCTTAAATGCAAATGGGCTAAATGCTCCAATTAAAAGGCACAGACTGGCAAATCGGATAAAGAGTCAAGACCCATCAGTGTGCTGTATTCAGGAAACCCATCTCATGTGCAGAGACACACATAGGCTCAAAATAAAGGGATGGAGGAAGATCTACCAAGCAAATGGAAAACAAAAAAAGGCAAGGGTTGCAATCCTAGTCTCGGATAAAACAGACTTTAAAGCAACAAAGATCAAAAGAGACAAAGAAGGCCATTACATAATGGTAAAGGGATCAATGCAACAAGAAGAGCTCACTATCCTAAATATATATGCACCCAATACAGGAGCACCCAGATTCATAAAGCGAGTCCTTAGAGACCTACAAAGAGACTTAGACTCCCACACAATAATAGTGGGAGACTTTAACACCCCACTGTCAACATTAGACAGATCAACAAGACAGAAAATTAACAAGGATATCCAAGAATTGAACTCAGCTCTGCACCAAGCAGACCTAATAGACACCTACAGAACTCTCCACCCCAAATCAACAGAATATACATTCTTTTCAGCACCACACCACACCTATTCCAAAATTGACCACATAGTTGGAAGTAGAACACTCCTCAGCAAATGTAAAAGAACAGAAATTATAACAAACTGTCTCTGAGACCACAGTGCAATCAAACTAGAACTCAGGATTAAGAAACTCACTCAAAACTGCTCAACTACATGGAAGCTGAACAACCTGCTCCTGAATGACTACTGGGTACATAACAAAATGAAGGCAGAAATAAAGATGTTCTTTGGAACCAATGAGAACAAAGACACAACATACCGGAATCTCTGGGACACATTCAAAGCAGTGTGTAGAGGGAAATTTATAGCACTAAATGCCCACAAGAGAAAACAGGAAAGATCTAAAATTGACACCCTAACATCACAATTAAAAGAACTAGAGAAGCAAGAGCAAACACATTCAAAAGCTAGCAGAAGGCAAGAAATAACTAAGATCAGAGCAGAACTGAAGGAAATAGAGACACAAAAAACCCTTCAAAAAAATCAATGAATCCAGGAGCTGGTTTTTTGAAAAGATCAACAAAATTGATAGACCGCTAGCAATACTAATAAAGAAGAAAAGAGAGAAGAATCAAATAGACACAATAAAAAATGATAAAGGGGATATCACTACCGATCCCATAGAAATACAAACTACCATCAGAGAATACTATAAACAACTCTATGCAAATAAACTAGAAAATCTAGAAGACATGGATAAATTCCTCGACACATACACCCTCCCAAGACTAAACCAGGAAGAAGTTGAATCTCTGAATAGACCAATAACAGGCTCTGAAATTGAGGCAATAATTAATAGCTTACCAACCAAAAAAACTCCAGGACCAGAAGGATTCACAGTTGAATTCTACCAGAGGTACAAGGAGGAGCTGGTACCATTCCTTCTGAAACTATTCCAATCAACAGAAAAAGAGGGAATCCTCCCTCACTCATTTTATGAGGCCAGCATCATCCTGATACCAAAGCCTGGCAGAGACACAACAAAAAAGAGAATTTTAGACCAATATCCCTGATGAACATCGATGCAAAAATCCCCAATAAAATACTGGCAAACCAAATCCAGCAGCACATCAAAAAGCTTATCCACGATGATCAAGTGGGCTTCATCCATGGGATGCAAGGCTGCTTCATCATAGGCAAATCAATAAATGTAATCCAGCATATAAACAGAACCAAGAACAAAAACCATATGGTTATCTCAATAGATGCAGAAAAAGTCCTTTGACAAAATTCAACAACCCTTCATGCTAAAAACTCTCAATAAATTAGGTATTGATGGGACATATCTCAAAATAGTAAGAGCTATCTATGACAAACCCACAGCCAATATCATACTGAATAGGCAAAAACTGGAAGCATTCCCTTTGAAAACGGGCACAAGACAGGGATGCCCTCTCTCACCACTCCTATTCAACATAGTGTTGGAAGTTCTGGCCAGGGCAATCAGGAAGGAGAAGGAAATAAAGGGCATTCAATTAGGAAAAGAGGGAGTCAAATTGTCCCTGTTTGCAGATGACATGATTGTATATCTAGAAAACCCCATCGTCTCAGCCCAAAATCTCCTTCAGCTGATAAGCAACTTCAGCAAAGTCTCAGGATACAAAATCAATGTGCAAAAATCACAAGCATTCTTATACACCAATAACAGACAAACAGAGAGCCAAATCATGAGTGAACTCCCATTCACAATTGCTTCAAAGAGAATAAAATACCTAGAATCCAACTTACAAGGGACATGAAGGACCTCTTCAAGGAGAACTACAAACCACTGCTCAAGGAAATAAAAGAGGATACAAACAAATGGAAGAACAGTCCATGCTCATGGGTAGGAAGAATCAATATCATGAAAATGGCCATACTGCCCAAGGTAATTTATAGATTCAATGTCATCCCCATCAAGCTACCAATGACTTTCTTCACAGAATTGGAAAAAACTACTTTAAAGTTCATATGGAACCAAAAAAGAGCCTGCATTGCCAAGTCAACCCTAAGCCAAAAGAACAAAGCTGGAGGCATCACACTACCTGACTTCAAACTATACTACAAGGCTACAGTAACCAAAACAGCATGGTACTGGTACCAAAACAGAGATATAGACCAATGGAACAGAACAGAGCCCTCAGAAATAATGCCGCATATCTACAACCATCTGATCTTTGACAAACCTGACAAAAACAAGAAATGGGGAAACGATTCCCTATTTAATAAATGGTGCTGGGAAAACTGGCTGGCCATATGTAGAGAGCTGAAACTAGATCCCTTCCTTACACCTTATACAAAAATTAATTCAAGATGAATTAAAGACTTAAATGTTAGACCTAAAACCATAAAAACCCTAGAAGAAAACCTAGGCAATACCATTCAGGACATAGGCATGGGCAAGGACTTCATGTCTAAAACACCAAAAGCAATGGCAACAAAAGCCAAAATTGACAAATGGGATCTTATTAAACTAAAGAGCTTCTGCACAGCAAAAGAAACTACCACTAGAGTGAACAGGCAACCTACAGAATGGGAGAAAATTTTTGCAACCTACTCATCTGACCATGGGCTAATATCCAGAATCTACAATGAACTCAAACAAATTTATAAGAAAAAAACAAACAACCCCATCAAAAAGTAGGCGAAGGATATGAACAGACACTTCTCAAAGGAAGACATTTATGCAGCCAACAGACACATGAAAAAATGCTCATCATCACTGACCAGCAGAGAATTGCAAATCAAAACCACAATGAGATACCATCTCACACCAGTTAGAATGGTGATCATTAAAAAGTCAGGAAACAACAGGTGCTGGAGAGGATGTGGAGAAATAGGAACACTTTTACACACTGTTGGTGGGACGGTAAACTAGTTCAACCATTGTGGAAGTCAGTGTGGCAATTCCTCAGGGATCCAGAAGTAGAAATACCATTTGACCCAGCCATCCCATTACTGGGTATATACCCAAAGGATTATAAATCATGCTGCTATAAAGACACATGCACACGAATATTTATTGTGGCACTATTCACAATAGCAAAGACTTGGAACCAACTCAAATGTCCAACAATGATAGACTGTATTAAGAAAATGTGGCACATATACACCATGGAATATTACGCAGCCATAAAAAAGGATGAGTTCACGTTCTTTGTAGGGACACGGATGAAGCTGGAAACCATCATTCTCAGCAAACTATCGCAAGGACAAAAAACCAAACACCACATGTTCTCACTCATAGGTGGGAATTGAACAATGAGAACACATGGACACAGGAAGCGGAACATCACACACTGGGGCCTGTTGTGGGGTGGGGGGAGGGGGGAGGGATAGTATTAGGAGATATACCTAATGTTAAATGACGAGTTAATGGGGGCAGCACACCAACATGGCACGTGTATGCATATGTAACTAACCTGCATGTTGTGTACATGTACCCTAAAACTTAAAGTATATATAAAAAAAATTGGTTGTTTCTAAGATTCTATTCGTGTACAAATTTGAAGGCTTTGTAAAAAGAAAGTGATAGGAGTAAATTTTAGCTACTGCTGCTGAAGGCTGCTATTGTATTCAAATGAAGTAATACCTACCTGGCAGGTGAAATGTTACTTTGATAAAGGGAATTGTTAGGGGAGGCATTTCCCTTGTCTTCCAGAGTGAAGCAGAAAATTATTTCCTCTTTTAAAGTCATGGAAAATTCTGGCTCTCCTCCTATCAAGCTTTCTCTTTAATCACAAGTATCATCTCCAAAATCAGAAATCTACCTCACAGGGATTCACCTCCTCCTGAAATAGTAAAAATTCTGGTGGAGAGGAAGGGGAGCAGCAGCCCAAACTAGAAATACTAGGCTGGATGAACTATAGCCACAGGTAGGCTTGGTGAAGTCAGAATGCCAGCCGACCCTGACACTGAAGGAGCGGATGTTCCCAGTGACCCAAACACCTATGACATGGGACAATCTGCCACTTCACTGAGGCATTGATTTGAATGTTCCACTGTGGATAACAAGTGTGGCAGCCCCATTCAAAGGTGAGTAAGCCCTCAGCAGCACACCTCATCACAGCTTTTTTATTCACTCATATTGAGAAGGATGACAGAGTTGAGATTTTGGCACTGGCTCTGAGGACAGGCAGCCTTGATAGGAGTCCTGGTTCCACCATTTACTAGCTGGATAATGTTAGGCAAGTTATTTTACCTCTCTCTACTTCAGTTTTCTCATCTGAAAAATGAGGACAATAATAGCACTTACTTTGTAAGGCTGTTGGAGGATTTAAAGAGTCATACATGTAAAGCTGTCAGCATGGAGCCTGACACATAGTGAGCTCTGTGTCAGGCCAGCTCATATTCCTGTTATTATTGTTACCCGTATCACTCTAACTTCCTTGAGGTGGCAAATTCTACTTTGAACAATTGCTCCCACGGGAGAGTTGACTCCTTGTACTGTCACTGGAGGTGGAGAGAATATTAAGAAGTTGTACATAACTGATGATTTTTATAAGAAATTCAATTGTTTTTGTTTAATATAGAATCATTAAGGTTCTGAAGAGGTCACTTACACTTGACTGCACTTTATGGGAGAAATTATGTGTTACAGCACCATTTCTAAATCTGAACAATTGCTAAGAGCTTAGGACATCCTTTCTAAGAATATTAAGGTTCTACCTCATTCCACTCTAAGGTCAAGGGGGTCAGGGCTGGCAGTCATACTCCTTTCCTGTAGGCAAGAACTTCATGGGAAGAGGGACAAAACAGTATTATCAGAGACTGGCTACAGTAGCCCCTTGGGATCCTCTGAGCTCAAGGGGTCAGACTATAGGCCAGAAGAAAGATACAGGCATCTGGCAAGGAATGACTAAAAAAGAGGGTATTACGTTTCCTTCTAGATTATTCTATTCAGTTAAAAATGGAAGTATCTGTGGCAGACAGTATTCAGGAACAAAGACTGAATGGCTGGCTAGATTCTCTCGTGCTCTAGTTATCAGGAATATGAACATATAATAAAGAGGAAAATTGTTACAGAGGAGCTAGCAGTTCCTACAGCCTTGCTCATTTTTCAGGTATATGAGTAAGGAACACAGAGGCCAGGGCTCTTCTTTCAATGAATTCCTACAGCCTAAGAAGGATGAAGAGACTTCATCTATGCCACAGACTTCGTCTACGGCAGATGAGAAAAGAGCCCATCCACGTTTTTGACAGGTGTTTGGTTAGAAGCCTGGAGTCAAGTATGAGATTGAAAGGGTAAGATTCAGGGTGATTTTATTACTTGTTTATTTTCTGTCTGTGCCCAACAGCTCCACAGAACAGAGATTTAAACAAAATAGACTGTTTTGTTCACTGCTGTATCTCCAGTCCTTGGAGCAGTTGCTGGCATGTAGAAAGTGCTTGTTAATTACTTGTGGAGAAGGTGAAGCATGGAATGAAAGGAGAATTGTGGAGAGGGCAGCAGGGTAAGCAAACAGTCATCATAAGTGAGGAAGATACAGAATCTGGAGCTTGGAGGACAGCAGGCCCAACAGAGAAGCTGTGAACACAGAAAGTCACTCCCAGAGCAAGGGACTGTGCTCGCAGGTCTAAACAGAATTCTGCAGGATGCTGGCCCTGTTCTCCCAGTGTTTGATGCTACTCTCTGATGACCCCCTAGGCATTTCCAACAAGCATTCTAATTAGCATCTGCTAGTAAGGCCTGAATTATGTATATCTTAGCCCAACCTCCTCATCTATAAAATTGAAGTAATGTATCTTTCAGGGTTGTTGTGACTATTACATTTCAGTAATACATGTGAAGTATGCAGCACTTGGCAATGATTAGGACTCAGCAAATAGTAGTTATTACTGTTATTATAAAATAATACAGATGGTTTATTTCCTTAAGGTTTGTTTTTAGATTGATTTCCTAAATATTGGATGTTCATTGTGATTAGTTGTTTTGGAAAAATAAAGAGGCATGTTTTGCTTTAAAAAATGAAGAAAAAAAAAAGAAAGGAACAGTAGATAAACTTACCTGTGACATTGATCTTAGGTAAAATGTATGCTTTACAGAGCAAGCCCCAGAATATAGAATCAAGGCATTCACAACTCTGGCCCCCTAAGAGTGAAGCAATACTAAAAATGTGGCATATTTGATAAGTATCACATATAAGGTAAAGCAGGGAAAAAAATTAAATCCCTAAGAAAAATGTGTTTAGCCAGTGTAACCTGTTGGACTGGGTTTGTTATTGTTGTTTTGTAGAGATGGGGTCTTGCTATCTTGTCCAGGGGTCTTGAACTCCTGGCTTCAAGTGACCCTCTCTCTTCAGCCTCCCAAGGTGTTGGGATTACAAGCATGAGCCAACACACCAGGCCTTTTTTTGGGGGGGGGAGTAGTTAAGAGCAAGATAAAATAGAAAATACATAATTGGACCCAAAACAGGCTAAGAAAATGATCCTGCCATACTCTAACTGCCTGTTCCCAGGAGGCTTTTCCCAAGGGACTCCCAAGACTCCTAAGAGACCTCTACAGATGGGTGTGAATAATACACCAGCGGTGCAGGTTTTCTAGGGGCTGATGCAATGACACAACCCACTCTTTTCTCTCTCTTCTATTTGAGGGTGCTCTGAGCTTGTCTTTACAAAAAGATCCATATACAAATATTTTTTCTTCTGTGTCATTAAAAGTTCACACTTACATGCCCTGTGATGAGTATTTCAAATATATATATATTAATAAAATGAAGTGCTTTTTCACAACTATTAGGAGACTCCATTTTTATGTACCGTATTTCACTGAAAAGGTGTCTTGGGTGATTGAAATCATTAATTCAGAAATAACAAGGTCAGTCTTGCCAAACAGAAGACTGCAATAACACAAAATCAACATAGGATTCTGACATTTATCCTGGCACTGAACTGCACTGGGCTATGTTATTAGGAACACAGTTTGAGTTAATTGGGATTAACTCAGTAAATCCCAATTATTTACACTCATAAAAGGATGAAACACACTTAATAGGACAAAATCACTAATCTGAAATCATGTTTATTTTCCCTTTGGAAAGCAGTTAGAGACACATATCCAGAGACATAAAATAATCCGAGTTGATTCCCCACCCCTCTTATTTCCCCTCTGCACACCTACCCAGGCCAGAAACCTAGCAGTTAATCAAGTCCCTCTTTATTGTCCTTACCCATGAGATCTCTTGTTCCCCAATATCTGTCACCAGTTTCTTCTCTGTTCCCCTCATTTAGGTTCTCATCACCTCTGGATTACCTCTTGTCTTGTTCTGCTCAGAGCCATTGCACAGCACAGGTCCAAGGGGGCACTGTGTCATTTACACTGACTACAAAGTGAATGGTGCCCCTTGGGGTTGGCAATATAATGGCCTTGCCACCTGCCTTCCTTCATTTGCCCTCTTAGTCATCTTTTAATGCAAACATGGTAATGGTGTTCCATTTCTTAAAATCTTAAAAATTAATGGAAATGATAATGTTGAAGATGATAATAATAACGGCAGTTACATGCCACATGCCATGCACAATGCTACCCAAGCATTTTACATTTGTTAATTTGTTTAGTTCTTACAGCAATTCTATGAGGCAGGCACTATGATTATTCCTGGTTTACAGATGATGGAAGAAGGTTCAGTGTTGAGTAATTTGCCCAAGGTCATACAATTTCTATGGCTCCTTTTCACTTGGAGGTGGAATAACCGTAGTTCAGAGCATGACTCAAACAGTGGCTTACCTGGGCTGAAACCTCATCAGCTGTTGAGCATTATATGAGTTAGATCATGTAAAGTGGTTTTAGTGAGGCCCCCAAGTTAGCTCATGTTGTTATTATTAGTATTTCAGGATACAGCTCAAATTTTTTGGAGAGAATACGAGACATACAAAGTCCTTCATGACTTGGTGCCTGCATCTCTTTCCAGCTTTGTCTCTGGCCACAGACACTTTTGTATTTCAGTTGTTTCCCCAAAGGACACTGCTGATGCACTTCTGGTTTCTCTGCATACCAGAATCCTCTTCCTGGGACACTGTTTTCTTCTTTGACAGGTAAATATTATTTACTCATGACACTTTGTCTGATCCCTCCATGGTGACAGAAGCACTTTGTTACCCCAAAGCACACAGCGCCTTCTTCTATTACTTCACCAGGTTTCTGACATGATATTTTTGCATATAGATCTTCCTGCTGGACTGTGAGTTCTTAGAGAGCTGGGCCCAGCATTTGCTTATTACATAGCCTATATTGGTGTAGTGCCTGGCATCTGGAAGACACTCAGCAAAATGCACAGAACTGGATTGAACTGGCATGGGGTTGGCTCAGTTTATAAATAAACTGAATTTTAAAAATTCACCTTCATTTTCTGCGGTCCACTGATTTAAGAGCATCTAATTATTTATTATCTGCTATAGGCAATGGAACAATTCTAGTTTGGATGTCTGACAATCTGAAATTAAAAACTTGACAAGAGTGTGCTGCTGATGAGAATAGTATAAACCTTGAAAATGCACTTATAATAAAGGATGGTTAGAATGCCAATGAACATACAAACTCACATGGAGCTGGTAAATTCAGACAGAAACTAGTGAGAGAACAGTAAATTTGCTTTCTAAGAAAGATGAAGTCTCCTGCCCTGCTTTAATTTTAGGCTTTAAGCATTCTCACAGGGTATACACATCCCTCTATTAATTGAAAACATTGCTGGTTAACATGTATGTCTCAGTTTCAAAGCATTTTATAGTTCTATACTATACTTGGAAAATATTTTCCAATGGGCCTGTGGCTAACCTTTCATATTATGTCAGGGTCAGTGCTGAGTAGAGGGTTATTAGAAGATAAATTCAAGAGAACTGCTATTTTTTTTTCTAAGAAAACAGGAAGGTCATTGCTAGAAAGGATCAAGGTCCTTATTTTAGAGGAGAAAATCAAGGCCCAGAAGGTTAAGTGACTTCCTGAAATCACACAGCTTTCAGGCAGGGGCAACACCACACAGGAAGGCCCCGAGTCAAAAAGAATTTGGAAGGGGTACAGGGTGAGCCAGGAGAGACGGTCAGGGCTTAGAGAGCCACTACCAGGGGTTTACATTATATTCCAAGATGAATGGGCAGCAGTTGAAGGATGTCACACAGGGAAATGCTAGGATCTGGTCTGTGTTATCAAATATAAATACACTACTACTGTTGGGAGGAGAAAGACCAGCTGGAGGTTCTTACAGTGTGCAGACATGTGATGATGGGGGCCCAGGTGAGAATGTGACAGTGGAACTGGAAAGAAGGAAATGGATTTGAGATGTATTTTAGAATTAGAATCAAGAGGACTTACGGACAGTAAGGAAGAGGAATGGATCAAGGATGACTCTTATGTTTCTGGTGTGGGTGGATAATGGTACTGTTTATAAGCTGGAAAGATATAAGAACAAGGAACCAAGATTCTGACTTTGGACATGTGGTTATGGGAGGCTAGAAGTGGAAGCCATACAATGGAGGCTGCACTGCATGGTGTCTGTCACAGCATAAGCATAATGGTGGTGGTTATTTTCACTGTAACTCTCTCCATCACCCGAGTAGAGTTACTATGGCCAAGGGGAAACAGATCAGAATTGTGATGTAGTTTGTACACGGGCTAGTTTGACTGCATAATGAATGGTAGACACATTTATTGGTAAATTGATGCAGATGTCTTGAATGTTGGGTATAAATAGGCATTCATTGAAATCACACTGATTTTGATGACTCTTCTACATAAGTAGTCAGAGATCTGCTTTGAATTACAGCTATTACTGATGACCTAAATCTTATGCAGAATTTGTTACCAAATTTTTCTACTCCAAAGTAAGCAGTTTTGACTTATAATAAACTACTTATCAGTATAAATACTAGCATTCCTATTGATAGCTTATTGTTTGGATGTTATTTATCCAATCTCTAAAAATTGATTCATTTATAAGATAGTTCAAATTGTCTTCCACTGTCAGTGGAAACTGAATATCACCTTAAGAGAATATGCCTGATACTGTTTTGAAGCATGTTGATTTTCTACCAGCTATGTGCTCAGACACTCCTCTACTGCTCTCTAGTGTCCATAATTACTCAGCAGACCTTTAAGTTTGCACATGTAGCAATCCACTGGGGAAGAAATAAAAACCTTTATCTATACTTCATCCCAATTTATTTTGGGAGATGTACATGCCATAAGTAGTCAAAATAATAATCCACCTGGAGCAGTAAATATTTTCAGAAAATCCATTCTCATGGATTTCCAGTGGGCATTATTTACAATCATGATTCTCTAACCTCTCAGAGAGGTTATTTTTATTGAGTTCCAATGTGAACTACTTGGTCCCTTGGTTTGTTGTGCTGGCTTTTGACAGTGTTATGGTTCAACCTATACAAGGTATTGTTTCAGTGCCTTCACAATAGACCTGGATGCTTGCCAGATAACATAATCTACAAAGTGCACAAATAAAGGAACAGAGGGGCACGATAACTCTTTGCCTAGCCACATGAGAGTACCAGATCTGATAAAACCAAATTCAGCGTTCAATGTATATATTTGTCATTTCCAACACCCATAGAATAAGATTTTAAGGACGGATACAACTAAACATCACAGTACAGCAGAGAATTGTGGTGATATTTATGACTCTTGTGTTAAGTGTTTCCAAGAGAAGGAAAGCCACATTTTAAAGCAGTCAAAATAATTTAAAAGCTGTAATTGCGTGTGTATATATGTATGCACAAATGTTCAAAGGAGATGTATTTACCTTAGTTTAGTGGGGATTTATCTCAAATACCAAGATCTAAATTAAGCTGCTTGTTGTAGTGGGTCTTACAATATACTTAAATAAAAAATAAATAAATAAACTGCTTGAACAGCCTACATTTTCTAGACAAGTGCTATTTTTCTTTATCTACAGAATAAAGTGGTCTGTTCCCAGTTCCAGGAGCTGAGAGCTCAGTTTCCAGGCCCTCTTCAGTAATTTGCCTATTCTAATTTATAGAACCTAACAATTCCCATGTCTAAAACTGTGAAACCCATCTAGATAATGAAAATGGTGCCCTCTGCTGGAAAGAATCAAGAGGAACTAGAGTGACAAACCCTCTCCTTTCTCGTGTTGGTTTCATTACCTGGAATATGGAAAAGAAACATTTATATTTGTTTTAGGAGTTAACCTAGTATCCTTGCCTACACCCTTCTTAAGATAGATGCTCCATCAATCTCTTCTATCCTGGAGAATTTAGGCTGTTTTGCCAAACATTTCTTTTCTGAAGAGAAAGCCTCACCCCAAATATTGACTCCCACATAGTTTTTGACTGAGTAAATAGGGTTATTAGTTTACCACTTCTCTGCAAAGCAGTTGGAGTACCTGTGTACATGAAGGAGAATGTAAGAGAATGGTGGATTGTTCAAAAAGCATCTCAAGCCTACTCATTGCCCCTGCCAGGTTCCCAAACAGGAAGCCACTAGGGTGGTAAATATAACCCCAGTGGGTGAGTTACTCCAAGGGCACCTTTTGTAAAACTCTGGAGGCTATATTGGATATATTCATAGTGAAACAAAAGGGTTGAAGTTGAACATTTACAATATTAAAATCACTGACATAACAAAGTGAAGAATTTGAGTGTTGTCTTTAATAGGAACTTTTTCTGCTGCTCTATAAAATAAAGACCTCAACACTGTGCCACAAAGCCATCATTGTCAAGGGTGTTCTATCAACACTGCTATGAGGATCCAACCCACTTTTAATTATTTATCAGGGAAACAAAAGAGTCACAAGGTGACTGACAGTGGAATCAAATGCTTTCCAATAGGACTAGACTCATAAAAGAGCTTACAAAGGTTTAAGTTCCTCTGAAGCCAGGGCCCCTTTGGTGTATATGTGACCTAAGAGTGACCATTATATAATAGAATGAATGGGAAACTGCCTGTTCACCATGAATCCTAAACAAGTCTAAGTAGTTCTTCTTGTTGAATCATCAACGACAAATCCTTAGGTCGGCAGAGGCCTGAAGTCATTTGTCATCCAAATATAAGGGGAGAGAGGCACATAAAGCCATGTGCAATGTTTAACCTCAGGTTCCAAGTATTTAATTTTGAGTCCTCTTTTCCTCATGGGCTGTCTTCAACTTTCCAAAACAACTTTAATGAAATGCAGCTGGATTCTGTACCTTTTCCAATAATGCAGGAGACAGGAAAAATGATTTTGCTTACTTGCCTACACTTTTTATAAGCTAAAGTGTGAATGAACTATCAAAACCTACTGAAACTTATTAAGCTGAATTCTGTCACCAGTAACACATTTTATAGCTTTTAAAAGAAAAGCTATGGGGAATTTTGAGTAGGACATGGGTATTTAAAAACACAGTTCGCTCATTTAATTGGGAGCTGTACAGCTAAGCTTCAGACAATTTAAGTTTTAAAATTTCTCTTGGGGTTTTAAGGGTATTGATCATAAAATACTTATTTAATACTGTTTGACTGTGTGACTGCTCCTTCGCAGTAAGGGTCATCCTTGCCCTGCTCCCTCCCAGGTATGAAGAGTGGGACATGGTATTCAGCATGTGTTAGTGAAAACACAGAAACAGCCAGCATTCTTCTGAGTACAGTTTTAGGACCTTTCTGCTGCAGTGAAGTCATTTTGGTTATTTCCAGTAAATATTTATTTCATTTGGCACCATGCTTAGCTCCTTATTTATTAATTAGCATTATGTTTCATTCTAATGCTAAAATAGAAGGCTTTCAAGTTATTGAGGATCCCAAATGCATTTATAATAAAATGCTAATATCATCTTTGTATCTTTGGGGATTTTGGTGTTGATAAATTTGAGGGTGTTTTGGAGAGGTTTCTAGCACCATATAGCAGCATATTATAAAACCATGGCAGTTTTATTCTATTAAGAAATCACACCCCCAGACGTATCTGAAAAACTTCCTTTGGAAGATTGCAAAAGGCCAGATGCAAATTTTTTGCTTAAAAAATTAGTCCAGGAATATAAATATCAAATGTTTATGATTTTAGAAGGTCCAAATATCTGTCTGGAATTCTGGGTTGAAGTTAGCAGGTTAAGGTCAAGTTTTTTTGAAAGTCTCTCCAAATATGCAACAGATGACACTGCAATTCCAGCTGTGTTCACCTATTCTTAGAACAAAGCCCTACATGTACTAGGAAATTTCCAATCAGATAAGAAAAACACCAAAGAGAATGGGTAGATTGGTGAGGTGCGGGTATATGGACATTTTTTTTTAAGTGCTGAACAAATCGCCAGGAAATAATTTCTTCGAAGACACTGAGAGGACAGAATTAGCATACAATTCCTTTACATATTCTGTTTTTGCACCTGTCCCCCTGTGACGTCGCAGTCAAGCAGATCTCATGTTAACCGGCTCCCTGGCTTTGGTAGGTGCCTGGGGCTGGAGGCTGGCTTCCACCTCTTCCCTCCAGAGCTGAGCCTCTTTGCCCCGTGAGAATTACCTCCCCACCTTTCTTCCCTCTGCCCGTTCCCTGAGCAATTTAGAGGGGAAAAAAGGGTAAAGTTTTTTTTTTAATAGTCATCGAGTATATGTAAGATTTTAAAACTTGTATCCTCCACTTTGGGTATTAAGGGAAAGCTCAATGATAAGAATCTAATTCTGCAACGTTTGTGGCTAATAATGACGGTGCAAGTTCAAAATTACTCTGAGCTTGTGATAGAAGTCAATAAGTATTCTCTCAGCAACTGTTGTGGGCTGGGTGTTACAGGGGATGAAGAGAGAAGAAAGACACTACCTTCATCTCAAGCTTAGGATCTTCATGAAATTTTTTTTTTTTTTTTTTTTTTTTTGAGACGGAGTCTCACTCTGTTACCCAGGCTGGAGTGCAGTGGTGCGATCTTGGCTCACTGCAAGCTCCGCCTCCCGGGTTCACGCCATTCTCCTGCCTCAGCCTCCCGAGTAGCTGGGACTACAGGCGCCCACCACCACGCTCGGCTAAAATTTTTGTATTTTTAGTGGAGATGAGGTTTCACCATGTTAGACAGGATGGTCTCGATCTCCTGACCTCGTGATCCACCCGCCTCGGCCTCACAAAGTGCTGGGATTACAGGTGTGAGCCACTGCGCTCGGCATGGGATTCTTAAAGTACCTAATTTAAGTTTTTAAATTTCTAGACTACAAGAAAGAATTCAGTAGTTGTGGTAAATGAGGTTAAGATTCTAAGCCATATGATACTGACAATATTTGAACATTTTTATCTATAAAATGGGAGTTTCATGTGGCTCAGCCCTGGTGAGAATTTAGAGCTTGATACATAATGTTCTATAATTTTTAGTTGCAAAATAACAGTAGTTTGAAAGGATTTTTTTTATTATTTTTTTGAGACGGAGTCTCGCTCCGTCGCCCAGGCTGGAGTGCAGTGGTGCAATCTTGGCTCACTGCAGCTCCGCCTCCCAGGTTCACGCCATTCTCCTGCCTTAGCCTCCTGAACAGCTGGGACTACAGGTGCCGGCCACTGCGCCCAGCTAATTTTTTGTATTTTTAGTAGAGACGGGGTTTCACCGTGGTCACGATCTCCTGTCCTCGTGATCCGCCCGCCTCGGCCTCCCAAAGTGCTGGGATTACAGGGTTGAGCCACCGCACCCGGCCTGAAAAGATTTTTAAAATAAATGACCTATGTGTCACTCCCTTTCTTCTTTTGTTGTAGTTATTTAATATCATTTGTTTTTCTAAAATATAAATGAGTAAACTTTCATTTTCAAATGGCCATTCCTTTCTTCACAAACTTTCCGCCTCAAAACAATGCTTTTCTAGATCTTGCTCTCCTTTTCATCTCCTTTTCCTTGATGTCTCCAGAGTACAGACTCCTCTGGAGTGTCTCTTTAAACAGAGTTCATGGAAAGGTGAGCCATTTCACCAAAGAAAGGGGAGAGTAGAGGACTGGCAATGTGCCATTATCATCAGAGCCTCTTGTAAATCAGAATATGTGATAAGTTCTTCACTGAACTAACTCCAAGCAGTAGTATCTCTGTTCAGATTCATTTATCTTGATTTTTTTCATTTACTTGACTTATTTTTGTGCTTTTTACATTGTTAACTGAGATGGCAATGGTACACACAACTATTCTGCTATCCACAAAAATAAAACAACACATAAAACGCCGCAATGCAATTCCCTCTCATCAAACTGATCCACTGTAATAGCTAGGGTGTCATTTCCCCCATGTGGAGGAACTGCAAGTGAGACAGCACAAGCAATGGGTGTCTCAGAAGATCCTACCAAAGTGCATATGAAGAGAAAGTGCCAGGTTGAAACGTCTGCGAAGATCAGAGAGTGTGACACCAGCTCATTACAGTGTCAGACAAGTAAGGACTTTCCAGTGCTTCCCTAAACTCTAACCTTGCAGAGGTCAGAACCTACAATTCATCAGCTGTGGGAGGAGAAGGAGAAACCTTATGTGAGGGAGAGAGAAGGAGCCAGACACACCTCCCGTCATCAACTGCAGCACACAGAAGCTGGGAGAGAGAAAATGCGTTAACTGTAAATCACACTCCGAGTTTTGACTATGACATGGAGTTGGACTTACAAATTAGCAAATTAAGACTGTTTGTATTCCTTAAGGATGAACAGAAAAGTTATGGCCTCACCCAAATATTCATCCTGGGGTAGGGGAAGAACTGGATCCCATTGAATAATTTAAAGAAACAGTGAAAAACAAAATAATGTTGCTTTAGGACCTAATCTTACGAACCACATTTGTCCAATGTCCTGGTTACACAGCTTAGAGGTCTCTGTGTCCTTGGGCTCCAGAAAGGCTTTAAGTTTGAGTGATGAAGTCTGAGGGAGAATGACCGCTGCTGATTCTTAGGTTTTCGAATGTCAAAAAATCAGGCTTCAACCTTCGAGACTCTTCTTTTTATAGTCTGGATCCCCCTTAATTCGTTACCTCAACCATCAGGTACAGATGAAGACATTTTCTGAGGGACGCCAAACCTCCATTTTAATAGTACTTCATGAGGCTGCAGTTGAATTTATTTCATTTCTGTACTTGTTTTCACTGAGGTACACTGACTCAGAGGCAATACAGGAATACATTTCCATTTTACTATAGGATACAACCACTCTAGCAAGCTTTTCCATTATTTTCCTTTCCTGCTCTAATTTAATCTTGCTGTCTCCCCCACCTTTTTGATGAATACAATGATATTAATACTTCTTTTTTACTGTAAAGATATGTATGACTATTTGCTGTTGCATGAAAATGATAATTGCTACAATGTGTCGACTATCTACCTGTTTCAAACACTTTATATATTTTATCCCTAATAGTTATAATAATCCTGGGGGAAAAAAGTGGCAGTATCTCCATTTTATAGAAAGAGAAACCTAACAAAGAACATCAGAGTTGCTCCAGTTTATAAAGTTATAACATCAGGGAGTCCAGACTCCCACCTGGGTGTGTTTAATCCCTGGTTCATTTGTTTCTGTAGGATGAACAGAGTGGGCAATCATTGTACAAATGGAACAAGAAACTTGGATGATGTCCCTAGTTCTGTGACTAATTTGTGGATTATCTTATTAGTCCTTTAACCATGTTTGGTGAAATAAAAACCATGCTATGCCCATCAATTTCTCCTAAAGGGATGTTATAAGACCAACATGCCACTATGGATAAAGCATCCTAAGGAAAGATGATGGAAATAGTCTTATTAACAGAATAACTTCAGTTTTGTCTCTATTCATACTATAATTTCCTTTAATATTATATGATAGTGTTTCAGTATTTGAAATGTGATAGCTTAGGAGTTCAACTTATGATAAAGACACTCTGTAATTTTCCCTAGTGTGCCCATTTTAAATACAATGCAAAGAAGGAATAGAATGCCTGTGGAATGCTTATGGTAGTGACTTCAAAGGAGTTCAGAAATTTCTATCAGACAAAACCTTTGCTCCCTTGTTTACATAAAATCGACATCATCTAATAATGTATGTTTCCCACTGTGGCATTGGATTCTATTCACCTTGATTCCTGTTTTCATTTCTTTCATTCTACTTTCTTCCCAATCTGCCTGATGCATTTTGTTTTCTCAAAATTCTGCCTTTTCTGTTGGTTGCTAATGAGTTTTCTCTGTTCCCTTCTTTCCTTTTACCTACTGATGCCCCCTCCCACCATCTCTGCTTACATGTTTCTAGTCCTGCTGTTCACCTCTCTTTATTTTTCCTTCTTTGACTCTCTTCCTCTGTCTACACTCTGCACATTCTGGCATCATCTCTCTCCTTCCCTCCCTCCCATCCTTCATGCCTCCTTCAACTTTTCCTCATTACTGCTGCATGTATAAATAGGCTCGAGGCAATCTATCATTTACGCACATGCTCTCAGATAATCTCTTGCTGCATCTCACAGACAGTAGTTAACTGCAGCAGCAAATGTAACATGCTCATTTACTATCTTTTTAGAAGGAGTGCTGAAGCAGGGGTCAAAAATGAAAGAGACATCTCACATGATTCAGTGGCTTCTGAAGAATGAGCTGGTGATAAGAAGAAAGCTGTTTTCTTACATTTAATATCGACTGAAAACATGTTTCTAATGAGACAAAGCTGCTGCAAAATATATAAGGCTCTGAATGATATTAATCTGTCTTCCCAATGTGTTCTCATTAGTCTCATTCCACTATTACAATTAATAATGTTATTGCTAGAAATTTACAATGTGTCAGCCTTTCAGTGTTACTTTTTAAGTATTTAAAGTGAATTATCTAATTCAGGGATCTTCCTATAGCTGTACCATTTGTGTACTACATTAAGGAGACCAGCCAATGGGGAGAGCTGAGGCTGCTTGCAAAGCCATAGGTGGAGGCTAGCATTATTCCCATTTTTCAGATGAAGAAAATGACGTGCAGATGGTTTAAGCAACTTTCCCAAGTGGAAGAATCATGTAAAGTACAAAGTTAAAACTGGGTATTTTGAGACTTGGAATGTCAAATGTGTAATATACTGTCCAGTATAGTATTCTCTTACTAAAGCATACACAAATTGAAGGCAGGTACTGTGTCTATCTTGTTCATCATGGTAGCTACTAGTTTTAGAATAAAGAAAAAAAAATAAGGGTAAAAGTCATGAAACATTTAAAGGATTGGTCTTTCCAACAAAAGAGAAATGCAGTAATGATAAAGAAACTGTCCACTCTTGTAACTCTTACGCATCAGTTTTATCTTCACTTCCATCAGACCCTGGGCTGAGGTGGTGGTGGAGAATGTGGGAAAGTCTGGACTGACCCACCTGGATGTGGAACACACCTGGCTGTAGGTGGACAATGTGAGGCAGGCCCTTCAGTGTGCAAAATCAGATTCTGTGATGAGGAGTAGAGAGTAGGACAGGGAGAGGGAAGGAAGTCCACTAAGAGGTACTAGAGGGTATTCTGCAGGCAGAAAGGGGGCTGAGTAGATCTGGCCTGCAGGGAAGCTTGTTTTCAGGTTAATATGGTGAGACATGGGAGATAGATGGTTGGTGTTCAGTATGCTTGGGGAGAGGTAATAACAATATTGACATGCACTAAATATGATACCCTGTCTGAAGCACTTTGTGTTACCTCATTTCATCCTCACCAAAATCTCTGAGATTGGTATTATTATTCCTCCTATCTAAAGAAAATTGAAGTAAGTTGTCAAAGTTTTAATGACAGTAAAAAGGTACACTGTAGAGTCACTCCCAGATATGTTGATTTCGAAGTCCACATTTTTGCCCTTCCACCTTAGGAGGAGGGATTGGGGTTCAGGGGAGAACCCCTACTACCAACTGGGCTAGGGGGAGGATGGAAGGTTCCCAAATCTGGAGGATCAAGGAAATTACACAGGTTTTGAGGATGGGCTTGGCCTTGGGGGACAAGACTGGCACCCAGAGACAAAGTTCACTGAAGGCTCAGGGAGAGGAGTTGGATTAAGGGCCTGGTTACTAATGCACCACATCTGAGCAGAACATCCTCAAGATGACTTGACATTGCTCCACCCAACTCCCAAATGAGGGAAGTGGTTTGAATTCTCTCTGGCTAAGAAGAGTATTGGTTCTGAAACTGGGGGTGTAGCTGTAGCTGTAGCTGTAGCTGTGGAAATGGGAGGCCTGTGTAGTAAGGAAGCCATTCTGCCATTACATTTTGAGTTCAGATTGTTTTATCTGCCAGTATCTGTCCCAAAGTGATCTTGAATCCTTTTGGAATGAGGTAGGGTAAAAACTTAAAAAATGTACATGTCTTTATAGTGGATACATTTCCCCAAGCAGCCTTAAAATGTGTGCGTATATTTTTCTTAAGTATGTTTTTGCCTCTCCCTCTCCCTCTCCCCACAGTCTCCCTCTCCCCACGGTCTCCCTCTCCCCGCAGTCTCCCTCTCCCCACGGTCTCCCTCTGATGCCGAGCCGAAGCTGGACTGTACTGCCACCATCTCAGCTCACTGCAACCTCCCTGCCTGATTCTCCTGCCTCAGCCTGTCGAGTGCCTGGGATTGCAGGAGCGCGCCACCACGCCTGACTGGTTTTCCTATTTTTTTGGTGGAGACGGGGTTTCGCTGTGTTGGCCGGGCTGGTCTCCAGCTCCTAACCGCGAGTGATCTGCCAGCCTCGGCCTCCTGAGGTGCCGGGATTGCAGACGGAGTCTCCCTCACTCAGTGCTCAATGTTGCCCAGGCTGGAGTGCAGTGGCGTGATCTCGGCTCGCTACAACCTCCACCTCCCAGCCGCCTGCCTTGGCCTCCCAAAGTGCCGAGATTGCAGCCTCTGCCGGGCCGCCACCCCGTCTGGGAAGTGAGGAGCGTCTCTGCATGGCCGCCCATCGTCTGGGATGTGAGGAGCCCCTCTGCCCGGCCACCCAGTCTGGCAAGTGAGGAGCACCTCTTCCCGGCCGCCATCCCCTCTAGGAAGTGAGGAGCGTCTCTGCCCGGCCGCCCATCGTCTGAGATGTGGGGAGTGCCTCTGCCCCGCCACCCCTTCTGGGATGTGAGGAGTGCCTCTGCCTGGCCGCCACCCCATCTGGGAGGTGAGGAGCGTCTCCGCCCGGCCGCCCCGTCTGAGAAGTGAAGAGCCCCTCCGCCCGGCAGCCGCCCCATGTGTGAAGTGAAGCCCCCCCTCCGCCAGGCAGCCGCCCCGTCCGGGAGGGAGGTGGGGGATGCCTCTGCCCGGCTGCCCCGTCTGGGAAGTGAGGAGCCCCTCTGCCCAGCAGTCACCCCGTCTGGGAGGTGTACCCAACAGCTCATTGAGAACGGGCCATGATGACGATGGCGGTTTTGTCGAATAGAAAAGGGGGAAATGTGGGGAAAAGATAGAGAAATCAGATTGTTGCTGTGTCTGTGCAGAGGGAAGTAGACGTAGGAGACTCCATTTTGTTCTGTACTAAGAAAAATTCTTCTGCCTTGGGATGCTGTTAATCTATAACCTTACCCCCAACCCCCTGCTCTCTGAAACATGTGCTGTGTCCACTCAGGGTTAAATGGATTAAGGGCGGTGCAAGATGTGCTTTGTTAAACAGATGCTTGAAGGCAGCATGCTCGTTAAGAGTCATCACCACTCCCTAATCTCAAGTACCCAGGGACACAAACACTGCGGAAGGCCGCAGGGTCCTCTGCCTAGGAAAACCAGAGACCCTTGTTCACTTGTTTATCTGCTGACCTTCCCTCCACTATTGTCCTGTGACCCTGCCAAATCCCCCTCTCGGAGAAACACCCAAGAATGATCAATAAATACTAAAAAAATAAAAAAATAAAAAAAGTATGTTTTTTAATTTAATTGAATATTTTATTTATGTGCGGCAACTAAATCATCAAAGTACTTTCAGTGGCTCACTAGGATGCATATCTAGAAGCAGCTCCGCATTTTAGTCTCAAGTGTGTTTGCAGGTTCCATGTAATTTTTTACATACATTGTTTATCTCTTCAAAATGACTGCTTCAAGAAAACTGAAGAAACGAAGACAGTGGCAAGGGGCTGGCATACAGGGTGAAATAAAAATGCCACTCCACTCATACCAGGCAAAAGTTGGCAATATTGCTGGATTTCCACTCCAAGTTTCCAAACTCCAATGATAAAAATGGTCATAAAATTAATTGGAATCATTGTAACTCTCTAGCACAGGTACTTTTCTTTTGACATGAAAATTATTTATAGACTGTTCTGTACTTAGTAATAAATAGCCTCAGAAAAAGGCTCTGGAGACAGAGGGAAGTGTGGGAGATATTGGGGTTGTCAAAACGATGACTGGGGGCGTGTACTGCAGGTCTTGGCAGTGCCACGGCAAGGGAAACAAAGCGCAGACCGCATTGCTTGGGCCCCAGCCCTCCTCCCAGCCCTGAGGCTGGTCCCGCTCTAGACAGCTGGGTTTGGAGCTGCTCCTGT
Organism: Homo sapiens; assembly: GCF_000001405.40. Lineage (NCBI taxonomy): Eukaryota > Metazoa > Chordata > Mammalia > Primates > Hominidae > Homo > Homo sapiens. Next base: position 52,994,044 of record NC_000004.12, read on the forward strand.
TCAGGGGTAACTCCCCACAGGCCAGGAGTGGGGCTGTTCCTGGGGCATCCTCAGGCCAGCAGTTCCTCTGAATGGTTGGGGGAGAAATGAAAAGACACCTGGAGGGCTGTGGATCACAGCCAGGTGTTCCTGAGGGAGCTCAAGCATTCTGGGCAAGTCCTGGATGAACTCTGACCAAACCTAGAGGATTCCCTGTTTTTCTTAACACTGCCTTACTACTTCAGTTTTCTTCAAAACTCTAACATTTCACTAGCCTCTTATACTGCCTCGGACCACCCTGAAATTATGAGCGGGGAAGTGGAAAGAGCACGGGACTTGGTGCCAGAGAACTGGATTCTACTTCTAGCTCTGCTGATCTTGACCTTGAGCAAGTCAATTAAACATTGCCCAAGTCAGTGCCATCGGTGCCCTCACCTGTCAAATAGAGGGTGGACGGCAAGCCCCACTGGTCAGTGAGAGATCTGGAGATCATCTGGCCCATTTGACACAGGGACCTTGTTTTAGAGATGAGTAAACCAAGGTATCAAATAGCCTCATGCTCCCTTGGACTCTCAGGTGGTGTGGGGATTACACTTGAACTCCAGGGCTCTAGCCCTTCCTCTACTCCACTCGACAGATATACCACACTGTTGGCGATTAAAGTCCTGTCTGTTGTGAGACTCCACGCAGCAATTTAGACAGACACTGACATAGTTTCTGTCCTCACTGTTTGCAATGCAAAAACATTCCCTCATTAACAACAGGAAAAAAATGAGAGTATCTACATCTGCATAATATCATACACTATATTTATCATCATTACCATCATCATCGTCATAAAAAAAAAGCCTTGCAAACACCTACTATGTTAATGATAGCAACCAACATCTGTTGCTGGAGAGGACATTAATTTACTTACAAATAATGGCTATGTAGGAAAGAAAGCAAACTGATACCACAGAGCAGCAGGGATCAGTTTTGTGGAAGACAATTTTTCCATGAATCAGGGGGGTGGCATGGGGATGGTTTCAGGATAATTCAAGTGCATTACATTTACTGTGTACTTTATTTCTATTATTATTACATTTTAATATATAAGGAAATAACTATATAACTTACCATAATGTAGAATCAGTGGAAGCCCTGAGCTTCTTTTACTGCAACTAGATGGTCCCATCTGGGAGTGATGGGAGACAGTAAAAGATCATCAGGCATTAGATTCTCACAAGGAGCGCGGAACCTAGATCCCTCCCATAGGCAGTTCACAATAGGGTTCGCACTCCCAAGAGAATCTAACGCTGCTGCTGATCTGACAGGAGGTGGAGCTCAGGCGGTAATGCTCCCTTGCCCACTGCTCACCTCCTGCTGTGCAGCCTGGTTCCTAACAGGCCGTGGACCAGTGTCAGTCCGTGGCCCAGGAATTGGGGACCCTTGCCCTAGAGCAACTATTGTGTTTACTTGTGTCTTCTCTTCTAGATTCAGTTTCTTAAGAGCAAGAACTGAGTCACTTCCGTTTGACCAGCATGTAGCATCATGCCTGGTCTGGGTAAGAGAAATAAAGATTATGGATAATCCAAAAGCTTTCAATCTCCTTTCATGTCTTTCACAATAAACCTTTGTTGAAGACTGCTGTGGAAGTAATGCCTACTTTGAGGAACTAAAACCTTTCCTGACACCATCACAAGGAAAGGGGCAAAGAAAGAGTGGCAGAAGGAAAAGGAGAGGGGGAGGGGTTGAAAATTCTAAATAGCACGGTGGTTATAAGTGGGTCATCGTGGTATTCCACATGCATTCCACTGCTGTGTTATGTCCCACATATGAGGTCTGAGGGTGCCCTATTACCTCCTGGTCTAAAATCCAGTAAAGAACAAGAGTCCCATATTAGCTTGTGGATCCTCAGTGGTGGCAAAGAGGAAGACTGGTCCTGCTGATGGCAGTAAAACAGGGCTCTCAGTCAATGCCAGATCTATCCAGAGTGTCACTCTCTGCCTATTCAACATTAAACAAATGACTGAAATCTTGGTACTGCCTTTTGAGTCACTTTCTTCCTCAATCTCTAGTTCAAAGAGAATAAAGCCTAAACAAAAAGTCACCTCGATTATGGAAGTTTTTTCCTCACACATTTACACCCCCTGAGTCAGTCAGGGACCAGACTTACTTGAAATCCTACATGCTGAAAGAGACAGGGGGATGCACAAGGTCATGCCTTTCCAAGTCTCTCTAGCCATAAGGACCCCACTGCCTCCCAGAGCTTGAGCAAGGAGGTCTTGGCGACTGTAATGTGCAGACGATAACAGAGCAATGATAAAAATCCTCCAGCTGGAGTGGAGTCGCCTGACCGTCACTGGAGCCTCCAGCCCTGTTTCCTGTGCAGGGCACATTGGAAACACATTGGTGTTATTTTCCCTTTTTAAAAGCTGTTTTATGTTTCAGCTTTCAAGTTGTCCCAGTCACTGCGTCATGGCATCATCACATACCAACTCAATGTGTTTCATGTTCATTTGGAGAGAACATTCCCTCCCTTCCCCTTCTGAGAAATAAAAAGGAAGATGCTGGTGTTGTGGATAAGCAGCTATAGGAGTATATGCGGCTTGGGGTGAGAAGAGGGAGAACAAAATGAAATTCTAACTAATCTGGCCCATCTCATCTCAGAAAACCAGAACTCTGTGAATGATTTATGATTCTCCTGACCCTCACAGCAATGCAGATTGTGGCTCTTGCCAAGAACAAATTAGGCTGTCTGCATCTGTTACTTTTCCCAACCAAGAAAATCTCCTTGTGTGAGGAAGGAGCAAGGTCAGCAGCCAGGACAAAGGATCAACCCAAGAGAAGGAAAAGATAAGGCTGCATTCCAGTGCTTCTATTGGAAACACCACTCACTGGAAGCAAAATCAAGTCTTCTTTCAAAACTCAGAATGAGCACTTGGTTGCATGTGTGCATCTAAAATACTCAGAATAAAAAACAAAATAGAATACTCAGAACAGCAGTGCCATCAGGCACATTCCAAACGTTTAACCCTTATCTTGCTTCAGGGGCATGCATGACTCCAGGCCAGCTATTGACTAGGTTTGGCTCAGGTAACCATGACCTTATTCCCCCAGACTGAGGGTACCTCTCCATGCCACAGTCCTGGAAATCTTTAGGACTGAACCCCTCTGCGCCCACTTCAGAACTTTTCCCTTAGGCTCCTGCTATGTCCAATGAGTTGTTATTGTTGGCTCCATGTGTAGCTTTTGAAGGGAGCTTGAGGTTTCCCTCCTCCCACTCAAGCCCCAAAAGAAAGGCCCTCTGCACTTGGATCAAGGGATCAAAGAGCTCTCAGGAAAACACAGGAGGGCCCTGGTGTTAGGGGCAACTGGAACTTTCCGTGGCAGGAATAGAAAGGCGAAAAAGCCTATTGTAGTGTGTCTTCTCATCCTTCCCAGGAGCACGTGCAGAAAGACAAGCCTCCTACTTGTGGGGGGCCCACTTTGGAGTAGAACCAGGGGATGGGAGCTCTGGAGTGGATAAGGCCATTAGGTGTGGTCTAGTGTTCAGAGAAAGGCTTTCTAAGATTGCTTTTTCATTTTATTGCTGGCCTGGGGAATGGTAAAGCATCAAAAAGGCCAACCTCAGGGCTTAGGCCTGGGGAAAACAGGTTCCTTCACCTCAGAGAAAATAGACTTTAGGCAAAAACAGACCCAGAGGCTTCTATATGGTGTAACCCCCTCACCAACCTAGACAGTCAGATAAGGAATTAGGGCCAAACCCCAACTATTTGATGAGGAGTCTGTCTTTGCCCAGAGGGTCTTCTATGCCTATATCCCTGGCAGCCCTTGGACTCTGGGATTTGGCATGGTGCTAAAAATATCTTCTCAAGAGACACACAATTAAAAGTTAAGATAGTCTAGCTTGTTCTGACTACTAATCAAGAGTAGTAACATTATTTTCCTTATATTCTTCCTCATTAGATGATCTAATTCTTTCAAATACCTGGTAGAATATTGGTATAAATGCAAGGGACTTTTGAGTGGATGAAACCCAACCCCTTCATTTTACAGATGGTTAAGTTAGGATCCAGAGAGATTATTTCTCTAGGCTAGGTCACCCTGCTAGTTAGTGGTGAAACTGAGATGAGTGCACAAGGAAAGCTGCAGTCATTGGCAAGGCCTGGGATAATGAAAAAAACATGTAACACTGAAGGGGTAAAATCTTAGCAATCATCCATCAGATACTCAGTAAAGTCCTACTATGTGCCAGGCACTGCAAGGCTGAAGTGTGAGGTCAGACAGACATAGCCACTGACCTCGCAGGAGATAGAAAATACTGTAAGTACCAAACAACAAGAAATGGAAGCAAGGCTGGTTTTACTTCAAAGAAGAATGAGTGCTTTGCATCCTGAGAAACTTTTAGGTACCATGGCCAACTGCATATTCAGCCGTCAGAGTATGTCAATGATAAGAGATTAAATCCTTCTTGTTCATATATATGAATGTATTATTTCCACATTCATGAAAATGAAAGGGAAAGTTAATTTCAAAAGAACTATCTCAACTTTGCTAGTGCCAGCCCCTTTAGCCCCAGCTGGAGAAACAACTGTAGGTGTGGAGCCACACTTCTTTGTAGTCAGGAGGAACTCCTTCCTGGTAAGATCACCCAAAAAGAAGACTGATGCTCAACCACAGCTGGCAAGAACGACAGAGTCACAAATGGACTGCGCATTTACTCCTGACTCTGCAAAAATGAAAAACAAGAGTGATGCTTCAAAATACTAAAGGAAATACTTTTGAGTAATAATCAATAATAATAATAATATTAACAATAATGACATGGTATGCCATTAACACACTGTTTAGACTAAAACACATTTTGGGGTGTTATGATCCATTCCAACAGTCCCTGAGCTATAGGGTTGGAGAACAAAGTTCCATGAAAATAAACCCTCATCTGGGGCAAAATCCACCTTATCCTTTTCTGTAAATCCAGCCAAATGTATGCTTCCTACTATTTCCTCTGAAATTTAATTTCAGGGCATTTTGAATTAGCAATAAGGGTTAATACATGGAGTTGACTTTTAAAGAATTGAATGATTATTACTTTCAAGAACATAAGATGAGCCTTCAAGAGTGTTGGCGAGTAAAATCCCTGGGCACCTGCTTTAACAGATTGACAAGGACTACATATAATTAGCACCCTGATTGCCTATACCCTAAAACCTTCTTTACACCAATCAATTGCTTTGACTCCCTAATTTCACAGGACAAAAGAGACTTCAGTCCAATACCAGTGTGAATGACCATGAATCTACTCAAAATTAGTAGACTGTGAATGAATTCATTTGTATTCCATTTAATAACTCTCATCAGATTGCAATTCTGTTCCTCTTGCCCAGAGGTAGTGTGTTACGAAAATGGTTGGGGGCAGGAAGGAGGTGACACAAATCAGAGGGAACTGTGGGAGGTATCAACATGAGAGGGGCATTTATTTTTCTTTGTTTTGGTTTTTGCCTTGATGAAAAATTTGTAAAAACAAATTGGACTACGATATTTCACATTCAACTCAGCTGACTGTGTGTCTGACAGGACCTGGTATGTGTGGAGGGCAGGGACATCAAGGTAAAATGTGCGAAGGGTCATGTTTCCCCTGCCAACCCCTATTAAATACTGTTTGACATTCTCGTCCATTTGACTATGAGCTTTACACTTTTTGCCTGCTTCTTCTATAATGTTGTTTTTGGGTAAACCACGACTTCTTTGAAATCACCAAAAGAGAACACCATCTGTTGCATTATGATCATCACGGTTCAAGGTCAGGCCACTGTGAGAGTCTAAAGAGGTGTCAGAGACGACTTCCTTGTTGTCCTCTCTGATCCTCCTGGGCTGTTCTGTGCAATGGGAAGGATGGCAGTCGCTGAGCTGCTGGGACACTGGGCAGCCTCCTCTGGTTGGCATTTCTCCTGTGGTCTATTTATTTACCTGTGTGTTCCACACAAGCCAGGGAGCTCCTCAGGGACTGTATTTTCTTAATCTTTGCACTCCTGTCCAGCAAGCCCTCAGGCACAGTGCCTGGGGCATAGCAGATGCTCACTAAATGGTGGGACTGGATAATGGGATGTTGCGGGAGGCAGGGACTGCAAACTCAAGTGCTTTCACAGGGTACTGCCTTTGCTCCCTTTGGTATCCAGTCTGAGGAGAGCACAGGTTGAGAAAGGCCAGAAAAGCCTCGTACCTGGAACGCCCATTAGGTGGCCAGGTGATGGTAGACACCTGAATTCTGTTGGAGGCCCCAAACAGATTTTGCTCTCTATATCTAAAAATCAAAAGATTTCACATACAAATAGAGACTTTCAGCTTCTCTAGAAAAACTAGATACTACAAAATTCGGCCCACATTCCAACTCAGCAACAAGTGGCTGGAGCTGCTCCCTTTAGATGGGACACAGTCTCCAACCACCCACCATTCATGTTTATACTATCTGTGTGGCTCCATGAGGCATCTGACTTTGCACCTATTCTACTGGAGGAAAGGTAAGAAATCCAGCCAGATTGTGTACAGAGGAGCCAGGGGATCCATAAGCTGAGTCCTGAGTTCCAAAGTTCCCAGGCCATAGCGCCAAGCATCACGTTACCCAGAGTCTTGGCCTATCTTCCAGGCCAGCCTACTGCCCCTGGTCCTCGCTGTGGGTATCCTTTGAACAGGTTTGGTAGATTTGTACCAGCAGAGAGAAGCAAGAGTCCCTCATGGGAAGGGCACTTGTTGTTGAGGACCTGTTACACTAACATAGCAACAACTCAACATGTGCTTGTTGATTGACAGGAGGCAGAGCTCAGGCGGTGAAAAAGGGTCTTTGCCTACCACTCACTTCCTGGTATACGGCCTGGTTCCTAAGAGGCCACAGGCCTATACCAGTCCATGACCCGGGGGTTTGGGGACCCCTGCTCTAGAAGGATCTAGCATTCTTCTAGCATAGAAGTCATTAATCAAGAACAATGAATTAGATTAGAGTAAACACTATGACACTGGCTGCTTTCTTTGTAAAACAACACTAGCAATTTTGATACTTCTCAAATATAACTTTGCAATACAGTAATCAAAGCTAACTGCAGTTATGTAGCACAGTGCAGCTACCTCCTTAGAACTAAGTTTGCTGAAGGGCTGTTTAGTGCTCATGTTGTCTTTGGGGAGGGAGCATACAGTGGCTCCAGAGAACTGAAGATGTCTCCCACAAAGGGAGGTTCTACAGTGAGAATTTACGTTTGTAAATTGTTGTTCTTTCTACCAGGACAGTCAGGAGAGCACACAGCAGCACGGGAATTAACCCTAATTACACTGAAGAATTTACATTGGAGGTACAGTACTTCCCTTTTAGCGTTACTGATTTGCCTTTTACCGAACTGTTTTTCCAGTATTTTGTTTCTCTTTGTTTATTTGGCTTGATTAGGTGGTTTGCTTGATTTGTAATTTAAAAAATACAAAAACATGGCTTTTTATTACTTGTAAAAGGAATTTCCAACTATGTTGCATGGCGACAATGCTTAGCTTTATTAATAAACTAAAACAAACTAGTTTTCCACATGAAAGGTAGATAGTAAGATTATTATTTTAGTAGTTTAATCTTTTAACAGTGAAATAGGTGTATAGGACAATACAAAACGGTGAAGTGTGATTAAAACTTGAACACTCAAAATTGACGTTAAATTCCTATGTATATGTTTGGGAATATGTATATGTTGGTATATTTAAGGAGAGAAGAAAGCTTACATTTATTGCACACCAAGCATTGTGCTAGATACTTTACCTACAATGTCTCACTTAATCCTCAGAGTAAATTTATAAGAGATGCATTATTATGCCATTTTACAGATGAGGACACTGAGGGTTTGAGAGTTTACATAATTGGCCCAAATTAATCTAAGTAGTAAGCTGTAAAGCTAAGACTTGAATCCAAGGTGTCCACGTACAAAGCCAACATTTTTTCCACTATTTGCTATTAAGTGATCTTGTGGTTTACTGAATAATAAATAACTATTCAATAATTATTGGATGTCCTGTAATAATCTGACAGCTTGGTCATGGTTGTCAAGGAGAAGGGAAGAGGAAGGTCAGAATGATACGGTTCAAAAAGGAAGCATCAGAGCAGAGAAAGGCACCAAGAGAGGCCCCTTGTGAGAAACACACGAATAAGGGGATGATGGGGACAGGGCTTAAAGGTGGCATAATAAATAATCATGACTATCTCCCTTTCTCTTTATAAAGGATTTTAGTGGTAAGTAGCTGGATTTCCAAGCCAAACAGGGAGCAAGAGGTGAGGATATGTCAGAGAAGGCAGATTTGCTTGATAGACTTAGAAGGCCTGGAGAGGATACCACCACCAGACGGCACCAACATTGCTTGTCTGATATACAGCACTGGGTGGGGTATCTTTCTTCCTACTATGAACAACAGCAGCCTTGCTTAATATCACTGGGGAAGGGTAAGTTTTCTTCCTATTAACAACAACCACTACTAGGATTACTATCCCCACCACTACCAATCTTGCATTTATTCAGCATTGGTTTCAACTCAACTAACATTTCTTGAGCCCCTCCTATGAGCCTTGATACAGTTTTAGGCAATGGGTATAAGGATATGGGCAAAGAAAAGACAATCCCTGTCTTCTGGAACTTAAAGATCTATAAGCAAATATATAAACAAATGGGTCTCTACTACATTTAAGCTCTACAAGGTCAGAGACCTGTTGTACCAGTCTGTTCTCACACTGCTATAAAGGAATATCTGAGCCTGGACAATTTATAAGGAAAAGAGGTTTAATTGGCTCATGGTTCCACAGGCTGTACAGGAAGCATGGTGGAATCTGCTTCTAGGGAGACCTCAGGGAGCTTTTACTCATGGCGGAAGGCAAAACGGGAGCAGATATCTTACATGGTGGGAGTAGGAAGAAGAGAGAGAGGTGGGAGGTGCTACACACTTTTAAATAACCAGATCTCATGACAATTCACTCGCTCACTATCAGCAGAACAGCACTGAGGGGATGGTGCTAACCCATTCACAAGAACTCTGCCCCCATGATCCAGTCCCCTCCCATTGGGCCCCACCACCAACACGGGATTACAATTCAACATGAGGTTTGGGTGGGGACACAGATCCAAACCAGATCACCCATCTCTCTCTTTTCCCTCTCTCCCTTCCTTTCGTCCTTCTTTTCTTTCTTTCATTCATGCCATATGGCAGGCACTGTTCTTGGCCCTGGGAGTAGAGTGATAAACAAAAGACACGGATCTCTGTCCTCATCAGACTTACGTTTTAGAGCTGTGCTGTTCAATACAGTAATCAGTAGCCACATGTAGCTATTTACATGTACATATGAAGTAATAAAATTACACATTTGGTTCCTCTGTTGCACTAGCCACATTTCAAGTGCTCAATAGCCATCTATGGGTAGCAGCTATCATACTGGGTAATGCAGATATAGGACATTTCCATCCTCACAGAATGTTCTACGAGATACCACTGTCTTCAAGTTTTATTTGCAGTTAGATTTTTAGAATCTACCACTGTGCCTGGCACATAGAAAGCAGTATTAAACTGTCATTAAATGTTAGAGTAGAGTGATAAGGACAACAATAAAGTTGTGTCCCTGTACAGAAATTGCACAGAGGGAGAAGAACTTAATGGGATGGGGTCAAGGAATATCTCCCAGAGGAGACAGAAACAGGTGATAGGATTTGAACTATGATAAGTTATGATGTACATTTGGTCAATGAAGGCAGCTTGCTACAACTCTAAGGAGGACAGTAGAAAAGGATTCCTTTCAAAGTTAAATCACAACCTTCATGATAGCACTGGTCAGATGCTTCTTGGATGGGTAGGCTGAAATGTAGGGGAAGACGAAAAGGGCACAATAACAGTTTTCAAACCCCTGAGGAATTCTCATTAGGAGGATGTAAACAAAAAGCATGCCCTCCTTATTTTAGGAAATAAACAGTTTGCAATAAATGTCTGAAATAGTCCTGGTTCTTAAGTATTACTATGCTCTTCAAAATGAATGCTCTGTGAGGCCTTCCTTTTAATCAGCAAATATGCTAGTCAGAGCCTTCTATAAAAAGAAGCAGTACTTAGGTGTCCATTCCTTAGCCACAAAAGGAAACTGAATAAGAACATGCACACGATATGTGGTCAGTGATGGAGACCTCTGAGGCCTGATTCAGAATAGCTGTAGTCTAGAGCTGCCCAATCCAGTGGGTATCTCAGCTACAGGAAAACCAGAAGATTGGAGAGCATGGAAAGGAACGTAAATGTGGGCCACACGGAGGACATGGTAGGTCAACTTCAATTACCCATGTCTGCTTACCAGAGAAATAGAAAGGTAATTATCTTGCATAAAGGTGATCTGGTGGCTGGCCAGACACCCACTGCCATTGTAATCAGAATAAGTCCCATAGCTAACATTCAGATAGCCCTTACACATGCCCGGCATTTACTACATTTAATTCCTACAATGACCCTACAAGATAGGTACTATTATGATTCCTTTTGACAGAGGAAGGAACTAAGGCACGTAGATGTTAAGTAGCTTGCCCAAGGTCACACAGCTAAGTAGTAAGTGGTAGAGTTAGAATTTGAAAGCATTGATTATGTGCCAAGTGTGGCTGGGGACAGATGGGCCAATGGAGGTTAGGTGGTGAGAGGGTTCAACACTTGCAAATACGGTCGGAGGCATTCTAGAAACTTCCTGTGGTGAATCCCCACCCTGACACCCTGAAGACAGATGGTGCACCACTGGAAGTAAGGAAGACAGTCAGGGAAACTGCTTATGGTTGGGGGTATTTTTAGGGGTAAAGTATCCATTCCCCCAGCACCCATGAAACCTCACTGCTCTCAGGACAGACAGAAATTTCTATTCTTTATTTTAAGACAGAGTCTCGCTCTGTCGCTCAGGCTGAAGTGACACCAGTGGCGTGATCTTGGCTCACTTCCACCTCTGCCTCCTGGGTTTAGTAATTCTCCTGCCTCAGCCTCCCCAGTAGCTGGGACTACAGGCATGTGCCACCACATCCGGATAATTTTTGTATTTTTAGTAGAGACGGGGTTTCACTATGTTAGCCAGGCTGGTCTCGAACTCCTGACCTCAAGTGATCCACTCGTCTTTGGCCCCCTCAAAGTGTTGGGATTACAGGTGTGAGCCACTGTGCCCGGCCAGGATTTCTACTCTTAACTTTGGTCATGACTCCACTCCCCAAGTCCATGAGACCAAGGTAATAGATGTTGGAGAGAGCTGCTAATTCTGTACTTTTCCATAAAGTTGCAAGGAGAGTAAACAGCAGTAACCCACCACTGCTGATCTCTGCTGATAGGAAAGCCCCTGGCTTGCCTCCCGGAGGTCAGGCATTTGACCCTGCTCAGCAAAGAACAAGAGCCCCAAGTTCTGGCCAATTCTGCACCCTCAACCACTTCCACTTTTTCATAAGGAGAAGTTTGTGAGGTTTCCCTCTCCTCATACATTAAATTAAAGAGACAGCTGTAAGCACTATAAGATCTTCATGTTCCTTCATCGATAAGTAAGGCTGATTATTCCATTAAAACAGACTCCTGTTTTGGGAAAGATGATTCATTTTCTTAAATTTGCATCTATTTCCTGAAGTCCTTTGGCCCCTTAAAGAAGGGTCAAGCTATAATAAGATGGAACAATAAAACATTCAATCAGAGAGACACAAAGAGTATTACATTTAAAAAAAGGATTATATGCTCTTATCCTGACTGAAGCATGCTTCATAGTTGTGCTTTAGAATAACATCTAGATTCTACTGAAACCTTCTACCTTGAGTGTGCATTCACAAAAGTAAAGCCGACATTCACCAACAGGGTTTTCTGCCACATACTTCATTGTACTAACTGGAGAACTTGCCCTTTAATAAGCCCTACTGAGTGTTATGCACTCCACTCCACACTCCAGGAGAAAAGAGGAAGGAGGGGGACCCAGCACTGTGTGTGTTCCTGGCCAAACCTCTCCCTCCCCGACTCCTGACGCTCCTTCAACCCTCACTGCCTCATGACTGCAATCTGCTTTGGGAACCATCAGGACCATCAAAAGCATGTCATGCATCCCTTTGTACATCTGTCACCAGAGGGACCCAGTCATTCCTCATCACTCCTGTTCCCAAGATGGGCTCTGAAAATTCCTGCTCTCCCTCCATTTCCCCTTGCCCAGCCCCCAATCACTGTGCCTTCTGGACTCATGTCCATCACCAGCAAAAGCCTCTATGTTCTCAACTTCTTTGAAACTTCCTTTCACCTTGCTCCACCTAAAATTGGCTCTCCCCTCTACCATAGCTCTCTGAAGCAGTGGTTGTTTTCTCTCCTACAAACTTCACACCATTGGGCCTGGAGGTGAAGTAGATATTCGCCTTTCATCAAAAATAGGGGCAATATTGCCAATAGCAGCTATCTTCAAGAATACCCAGAGATTTTACTTGTTTGGCTTTAGAAGCAAACTGCTTTAAGGGATAAACTCCAGTCCAAGAATAAACATGCCTCTCCTGTCCTTGCTGAGTTACCTAAGTTATTAATAGCTTACTTAGTTAACTGAAGCAGGTTGTTTTCTTCAAATTCACAGGTTTTTTATTGAGTATAACCTGTTCTGTTTTAGGTTTTGAGGCAAGCTTAAAATATAGACTGTCCTCCCTAAACCTAATCTAGCTGGGGAAACAGAAGTTCATGTGGGAAATGACTAAAGGCATGCAAGTGATTTCCAAAGACCACATGTAAAACTCATTTTCATGCAGAGATCCCAGACTCAAGGCCTCTGGAAGTCAGGAAGGAGCATGGATTCAGGAACAGGCTGGGTAGAGGCCCTCACAAGTGAAGGGCATGGACCCCACCTGAACAGGGCAGCTCCTGCTTGCTCTGGCCAACTGTTGCTGTGGCCTATGGATCCCAACAGCCAGATCTTCCATTTTTTCAAGAGACACTAGAAATGCAGGTTTTAAAATGAAATATGGGCTGGGCACGGTGGCTCACGCCTATAATCCTAGCACTTTGGGAGGCCGAAGTGGGAGGACTGCCTGAGGTCTGGAGTTTGAGACCAACCTGGGCAACGTAATGAGACCCTGTCTCTAAAAAAAAATTAAAAATCAGCTGGGCATGGTGGTACGTGCCTGTAGTCCCAGCCACTCAGAAGGCTGAGGGGAGGATTGCTTGAGCCCGGGAGTTTAAGGTTACAGTGAGCCATGATTGTGCCACTGCACTGCAGCCTTGGCAACAGAGTAAGACCTTGTTGAGAGGAGAGAGAGGGAGAGAGGGAGAGGGAGAGAGAGAGAGAGAGAGAGAGAGAGAGGGAGAGAGAGAGAGAGAGAAAAGAAAGAGAGAAAGAAGGAAAGGAAGGAAAGAAGGAAGGAAGGAAGGAAGGGAGGGAGGGAGGGAGGGAGGGAGGGAGGGAGGAAGGATAGACTTGTTACTGATAATTGTTGCTTTGAAAATTTAAAAGCACTGTGAGAGGTAGCTTAGTACAGAGTTAAGAGCATGGATTCTGGAGCTAGACTGTCTAGGTTCAAATCCTAGCTCAAGCACTTATTATAGGTATGTTCTGGGGCAATCTACCTCACTTCTCTATGTGTCAGCATCTGTACCTGTAAAATGGAGGTAATAATAGTATCCAACTCTAAGTGTGGCTTAACAGCACCTGGAAGTACTCTATCAAAGTTTGATAACTGCTAATTGTCTGCCTAAAGTCAGGCTGCCAATTGGCAACCTCTACTCACTAGCCATCCTTCCTACATATCCATGAAACATTATTTATAAGCATGAGGAGCATTGGTCTTAGTGCATTTAAGTCAGTACATGAGAGAGCATTTTTAGGTGCTTATGAGTGTGGCAGACTGTAAGAGCTAGGAGATCTCAAGAAGAGCTTCATGCTGAACAGAGAGGCTTCCTTAAGAAGATGAACATGAGCTGGGCTCTAATGAATGATGTTCCTGGCTGGAGAGCAAAAAGGAGAGGGTTACAGGAAGGTGGGTACATCAGTCAAAGTCTCTGCAGGAAACAGATAACTCACTCAAACTAGGTAATTTGAGGAGAGTTGAATAAAAGGACTATGTACAAACATGTGGGCAAGGTTAAAGGAAACTAACGAGTGGAGGGCTAGTAGTCCAGGGTCATGCGTAGGCCCAAGGAGCCCATGCAGGAAGCACTAGAATACAGAGAAAACAGCTCCATGGAGAGGGTGGCCTCATTCTCCTCTTAAAACCTACAGCTGATGCCTCTGCATTAGCCAATCCCATCCAGAAACCATAGGGCAAGAGAGCCTACTGGTGCAGTCCATGTAGAATGACACCCCCCCTTCCCCTCTCCCTCCCCACCCTGGCACAGAGCATCATGGAGAAGCATGGAGAAGGCAGAATAATGAGCACAATGGGAAAGATGAAGCAAAAGGAGAAGAAACTAAAATGTGCTTGAGAGAAAGAAAACTATTCTAAGACTTAGTTTTTAAACTTATCATATTCATTTGCTCTCCCTAACGTCCAATAAATAACAACAACAACAAAACTCTTTACAATGTTGGAAGGACACTGTAGCTATGTAAACTTGCTCAGTGAGGTGGGGAAGAGAAAGGGTAAAAAGTCAGCCAGGGTCAGGGAATGGAGAGGTGCATGTATAAAACGCTCTTCAAAATAATGAAAGCTTTCTAGAGAAAAAAAAGCACAAATCTACAAAACTGTTGAACTTGAATGCTTAGCCAGGTTTTCAGAGAAAAGCTATAGAATCCAGCTGCTATTATTTTAATGGGCATGAACTGAAACTTAATAGAATGTGACTGGCCTCAAAGTTCAATAGAAGTACTTTCCAATTGTCTATAATCTCACTATCATGCAGAACGATCTGCTTGATTCAGCCAAAACTTAAATGAGTTTCTTCTATGTACTTTTCTCTTTTGATGGTGCAGAAGAGATGTGTGATCCTGACAGAACAATCTAAAGCCTGATGTGGAGATCTGGGTCTTAACAACCCCTCTAAAAGCACTGTGGGGACTCTAATGGCTTTCCTTTGGATGGTCAGCCACACCTCCCAACTACCTTTGACGAACTTGCCATCTTCCATAAATGACTGTAAATTCCTACTACTTGCAAACTATTAGTCCTCTCTCACTATCAGCCCCTTTATTATTTTCGTCCAGTATTGATTGGCTCTAGAAGTAATAAATTTCACAGTGTTGGTAGCGCTTCCTCTGTCATGGATTAACTTCCTTCCAGGGACCTTAATAATCTTAGAGTCCTATCTTCCCAGAAGCATTTTCCAAAGTCCTCATAGGCACTAAATAAACAAAGGATTACATGGTCAAATGAGTTTGGTAAATACTGGTTGAGAACCACAAAGTTAAATAAGTTTTCCTTAAGAACAACCTTTTGAGATCTTTTAATATCAAATGTAAAGGGAGAATCTACTGGAAGAACACATGGTATGCAGAGATTTTCAAACTTACTTGGCTAAAGAATACCTTTTTTTAGCAAGCACCTTGTAGGACAGATGTGCCGCTGAACATATTCTGGAATCTGGATTACAAAAGAAGAAACTGGAGTCAAAGTCTTCACAAATGATTATGGCTTTCCCTTCGTTCTCGTAATTCTGAGACTTAGTGCTGACCTTATATATAACCTCCATTTATAGACACACATAGTCTCAACCTCCATTTCTACAGACTGAAGGATCCTAACCTTCTTGTTTTTTCACTATTATGGCATCTGAGCTCTCCCACTATCACCCCCTGCTTCCCTTTATCATTTTAATTGCATTTCTCAGAACCCTGTCCAATTTGAAGCTATCTTTCTGGAGGAACAAGTTTGGAAGCAGCACACACATTCCAGGTGGGAACATGGATGGCCCTGTAAACACCTTCAGTCTGGTTTCCTGTAGCTTTCCCAAAACCCCTTGCATTTCACTGGCCTGCTGGCCTACCGGAGCTCTGTGCTCACTATACTTTCTCGGGCTGCACTGAGAGCTTGGAGCACATCACCTTCTAAGTCAAGGGCTTGTTTCATTTCCTCTCTGAGATTAGATTAGAGACCATCTTATTCTACCTCATATCCTCCACAGCATCCAGCCTCCCACATGATAACTGAGTCCTCAAAAGTCTTGCATTTGTTTTGCTGAGTTGATATTTTAGAAGTTTCTTCCCGAGTTATTATCTTGCTCTGGCCTCAAAGAAAACATATTCAACACATTTCTATAGCTTTACAAGATCTTGTTTATTCCTGACAGCTTCGCAATTACTCTACATTTACAGGTACTTTCTTCGAATTACTTAAAACTATTTTCTATGAACTGTTTCTTAGGGCTTTGTACTGCTTCTTCAAGATACGACAAAAATTTATATTCAAAACGTGACTTTTACACAATAGTAAATACATTGGCAATGACAAGAACAGTCTAGCAAACAGGTTTGTGCTTTTAGAGGCAGACACGCTAAGTTCTGCTGAATGTCAAGGCTGACTTGGGAATCCAGCTGCTTCTTACACTATAGCAATGAGGACAGAACATTCTTGGCGGAAATCCCTGTCCTTGTGGGCAAGCTGCCTTTAAACTAGACCTCCCAGTACCTGGCACAGTTCTGGGCTCACAGTAGATACTCAATAAACTTTTCTGAAACGAATAAATCATTGAATAAAGGATGAATAAGTGAACAAAGAAACATTTTGGAAGAGAAACATCTTAGGTATGGTATTGGTCACCTCTCTCAAGTGAAAGTTTTCATTCCTTTTGCTTCTTTTCCCATTTTGGGGCCGGGCTGGGGGGCGCGGTCCAGCCTCTCCAACATATGTCTTTACACTCTCAGGACGTTCCTCAGATCCCAAATACATAGCAGCAGGTAGTGTAATCAGTTATGTCCTTAGAATGGTGACAATTTAAAATTTCTGCACCTCTTTTGTTCCAGAAAATTCATGCCTTAAAAGACCAACGGCAAACTCTTCAAAATGCCTTCAGGAAATAAAGGTGACATTTGTTTCTATAGCGTACCTTGAAAAAGCATCCAGTTCAAACACTGTTCCAAAGCACTAGCTATGTCTGATTTCATATTTTACATTTGGACTTTATTTTCCCCCTAAAAAAGGCAGACATCAGAATATTATGTTTGCCAACTCATGAAACAATTGTTACTATTCTGTATTCTTTCTATGAGGATAGTATTATGAGGCTGTGCTCATAATAAAACCTTCATCCTAAATCTCTGTGCACCTTATGAATTTCACTGCATCTTTGCTTTTTTTTCCCCCCCAAAGAAGTCATTCAGGTTCCTTTAATAATACCAGTAAATAGCTCCAGCCTTCCACAGCTGCAGAGGTTTACTGTCCTGAGAGATTTTTCAGTGTTACAATTCATGCTTCCAATCAAAACAGTGACAGAGTTGACAGGATTTAGTGAGAAGAAGGACTTGATTAGGAACCAGGACACTACTGAGCAAATATTAAACAACTACAGGGAATTTCTAATATGCAGTGTTCTCTCTGTTCACAACAAAAACAAGCCAGAAACAATTTCCTGTGCTGCAGCTAAGTGAAATGGAAGTTTGTTTTTAAGGTTCCTTGTAGTGTGTTGTGTACATTTCAGCAAAGCCGATTTCACCTATGAGAGGCACTGGCTCCTTAAATAACTCCATTCTTCTCATTTCAAATAGAAACCAGCTGCACTTCTAAACTGTAACAAGAACACCTATCCAGGAGGTCAAAGCTGGAAGACACCTCACTGTGAAACGCTTCAAGCTTCTTTATCTGGGTTACAAGTTTGGTCTGCAGTGAATTGTCAGTGACAACCTGTGGCCTGGAATTTAATTCCTTGATGCCTTCATAACATTATTATTTCTTCCTCTCTAGAGGATAAACAAGTACATAATATACTATGAATTGGAGGCTGAAACCGACATTGATTGTGGGGAGAGGAAAAGGTTCTGGGAACACAAATCTGGGGATTTTTCATTGAGAATAAGTAATTTTGAAAAACCAGGTTTTAGGCTTTTTTTTTTTTTTTTTTAATAGCTTAACTCCTTCTATGGGTTAATTTGAGAGGACTCCATCCCCCTACTCCCTGCCCCACAAATTTCCAAAAACAACAGCAAGAAAGATCCTGGCAGAAGTCAAAGGGTCAATGGATCCTAAATAGTTTTCAGGTTCAAGTATGCACCATCAACAATGAGAAAAGCCCAGCCGTGTTATAATGACTCACCCCTTGACAAGAGATTCCAAACCGTGAAATCGAACAACTGCATATTTAGCCCTACGAATTGCATGGCTTACAAGTCACAGAGGGGTAAATTTGAAATAGGGAAAGGCTGGGATACCTTATTAGCATAAAATCTCTCTCTCTCTTTCTCTCTCTCTCTCTCTCTCTCACACACACACACACACACACAAAAGGCAGGGAAGTGGAGGCAGAGGCTGCACTGTGATCCTGGTCAAATAGGTTGGTCCTCTGTGAAGTGCCCATAATTCCAGAAGAACCCAGGGCTGGCTATTTGGTCCGAGGGGCCACTCTCATGGCCTGTTTGAAATAGTTCTCCTAACAGCAAGATTCAAAAAAGAATATTCTTTTCTCTCTTTATTTTTCTTTCATTCCTTTGTTCATGTAGGATAAAATTTTTACCTTTCTCTACCCCATTTCATTTTCTTAGCATTTCAGGAGAGATGAACCAGTGCTTTTCTGGTACTGCTCATCAGCATGTTCTAGCCAGTCGGCAAAAAAGGCATCTGCATTTATGGAGTTAATTGACATCTTATTAATTTTGCTCAGATTCTTTCTTTTACCTCCCTCTCCCTCTCCCCTCCTTTCTGTGTGTGTGTGTGTGTGTGTGTTTTTTTTTAAGAGAGAGAAAGCTAATGAAAACCATGTTTATATGCTCAAAGGCACAGAGGAAATTCATTACTCTGAGGAATAGCACACTCCACAAGTGAAATGAAAGTAATCTTATTTATGACAGGAAGGGGCCCTAGCTAGACTGAACTCCACCACACTTCCACTGTTACATAGAAAAGGAGCTGCAGAGCTCCTGCACCAACTCCAAATGGCGGCCTCACTGACAACAAACACATTTGCACTCTGTGTTTGAAAACTGTTAGAAGCTCCAGAAAAACAGCCATCTAATAGAGACAAGGAAACAAAATCTGCTTAGAATAGGCCATTCTTCCTTTACACCTACAGTACTTTCCCAGGACTCCTTGTGACTAAATGTTACAAAGATATCTCATCAAATCATTAGCTGATGACATTTATCAAGTACTGGTAAATACAGCTATGTTAGTTTCATAGCCTTAATTCCCTTATTAGAAGAGTTTTTCACTGTAAATTCATGGGCCCTTTCCTGTGTAAATAAATAATGGAAGAACTTAAATAATTCCTTTCACTATAAATGTCACCTTGTACCCTTGCAGACAATTCTCCCTTTCCTTCTTGAAAATTCCTTCAACTGTGAGAATATTTCCTTTTTTATTACTTGGGATTTTGCCATGTGGCTTTTTTTCCTCATTCATTCAATTAGTCAACGAAAATCATTTAGCTGTTATGTTCTAGAGGTTGGTGGGGAGATAGTCTCTACAATTTCTGTCAAAACTACTCATGAGTACTCTTCAAAATCTTAATATTATGTGAAATGTTGGCAGTAATAAGGTAGTTTTATAACATTTATTATATGGCTTCTGAGAATAACTTTTGCTGGAACGTCCTCTGAGATCATTAGGCCCATCTCCTCATTTATAGATGAGAAATCAGGCTCAAGGGCAGATCCCAGACTGTATATCTCCTTATTAAAAAATAGTTTTTTAAATTCCAAGAAGCTTCACATGTTTACCACTGAAGGAAAGGTATTATTGCTTGGATTCCGTGCAGGGGAGGGATTTTATAGTCCTCCCATCTTATGAAAAGGCTTCAGTATAAAATAAAAAGGGTCAACTAAAAAATATCTGGTATTTTGAAGTCCCATACAGAGATGCTATATGAGAGAGCAACTTGGAATTAAATTAACTAATTTGAGTTAACTCATCTTTATTAAGCCTGAGGTGCTGAGCATGTGTTGGGTCCCGGAGAAAAACAGACATACACCCTTTGCCATGTGCAGGGGATGCAGGGAGGTAAATGGGTGGACCTGTTTACATTATGGTATGGTAGGCGCTATGATGTGGAAGTGCAGAGTGCTATGAGACAGAGGAGGCTTCCTCCAGGGTGAAAGGAGTTGGTATGGAGATGGAGTGGCAGTGATTGTTCCAGGCAAAAGAAACAACTTGTATAAAAGCCTGGAAAAGAAAGTTTCAGAGTTTTTGTGAAAACAGTGTTAGTTACGCACTGAAGGGGAGGTTAGAAAGGGATTATAGTCAGAGTCTCTGATTTTCACTGGCCACACCTAAAATCCATGTGTTCCTTACTTGCCTTGTCCAAGTTGACATTTTTAAGTGTGGTATGTAACATTTATTTGTACAGTTATTCTTCCCTGTCATCCAAGACACTATTCTTAGTTTTCCTTTGCAATACACAAAGGTGATTCACTCACCTTGAGAAGGCCCTGAATTCAGCTTATTCAGCATTTATCAAGAACCTCATAGGCACAACCCTCTCCAAGTGCTGCCTCAGCCCTCTGTGTTTATAGTCCTTGTTATAGCACAGATCACATGATATTAGGGCTCCTTGGGCTCCCCCGTGAGCTCCAGGAAGGACTGTCTTAGCCACCTCCAGAACTCCAGCACAATGCCAAGCATATAACAGGAGATAAATGCTTCTTGAATAAATACACGAGCTTGGTGGGATATACCTCAATTCTTAAAACATACTTAAATGCACCTTTTGAAAAAAACAGTGTCCTACATAGCTTGCTTTGGTACAGACGGTAAGGGGACAACCAAAAAATGGTTAGAGAATCTCTATTTTGTGAAAAACGCATTAACTCAGCATTCCCTGTTATAAGGGTACATAGAAATATTTTTGAATTTATAATATCCACTAGAACGTTTTACTGGTGTAGTACTTAGTAGCAGTTGTTTTGAATAAAAACTAGACATTACAAGGTAATGATTTAGCAAAACAAACCAAAAGTCAGTGAGTCAGGAGGAGAAAAGGCACTGTGTTAAAATGACCAGCTGTATTACAGGGTCTGCTATTTGCTACATCAGTTTCTCATTAAGCAAAGCTCACTATATTTAAGGTAATTTTAACAGAGTAAATACAAAAAAACACAGTAATAAAGACTAACCATATACTTGGATGGTCAGGACACAGGCCAGGATTATGGATTTTATTCTTCTGATCCACCACAGTTGGTCCTAAAACACCTGTCATTCATCTAGTGTTACTGGGGACCTGCTATTTGCCAGGCACTGTGCTGTGCATTGAGAATACAAAGGTAAGACAGCAGCTCTGCCCTGAAGAATTTTTAGTAAGGAGTACAGGAAAATATGCAAAAAAACAAAAACAAAACCCAAAAAACAAAACGAACCTTTGGAAGAAGCAGCAGGAGAATCAGGGCAAGCTTCCCAGGAGAAGCAAAATCTCTCAAACGCACGTTGTCAGTCATCAGGCGGTTCAGATAAGACTTTGAAAACTTATCAGCACACGTCTTCCATCACTATTAGAAAAATAACTTGAGTGTACCCAACCCCAGTTTATCTTCCAAGTTGGTAACACATATCTATGTGTTCCTGGAAGCTTTGACCATATGGCATGGTCAAATAATATATTTATTAAAATATATTCTACCTTTAAAACTGATTAAGTTTGGGGAGAAGAGAAATAGCAAATTGATAAACGGTCTTCTGTAGTAACATGTTTGAGCCACAACGAGGCGCTCTGGATTCAAGAATGAGTGGGCTTCTCTTATTGTACAGTCTCTTCTCTATGAGGGGCTTTCAAAGAACAAAATGCATTTATCTAACATCAGGAAGGCCAGCAGCTCTTGTAGGAAGGCAGATGTTTGTCCTGTACAAAGTACAGATGTTTTTGACTGAAGTTCCAAAATAAATCTTATTTGTGGAAGAAGAATTAAACGAAGGCAGAAACTGCTTCTTAACAGAGGGGCTTCTAACATCTAAAATAACCATTTTCCTACACGGTCACCTGGGGTGGAGGAATAAATAAAACAAACAAGCACATAAAATTAAAATATTAACCACC
Source organism: Homo sapiens (assembly GCF_000001405.40). Lineage (NCBI taxonomy): Eukaryota > Metazoa > Chordata > Mammalia > Primates > Hominidae > Homo > Homo sapiens. The sequence goes on from NC_000004.12 coordinate 53,016,139, forward strand.
AACAACAAATGATAAAAACCCTCACAAAATAAAACAAAGCTCTCAGAATAATGAGAACATTTTTGAAAGGACACGCTGCTGGAAGCAGCTCTGATAATATTCCCCTTGGTGTTGGTTTTGGAGATCCTATCCAAGGAGGAATCTTCTTTAACCTTCATGATGAACTAGCCAGTAATCTCATGTTTGTAATATTACAATCAGTAGCCATGGAAATAAAACTGATGTCACAAATTTTGCTTTTTGATTAACACTCCTGGATTGTACAGGAGCAGAAAGCAAGCAAGTCACATCTGACCTGTGCTATTTCGTTTTTAGTAGATTAAGAAAAATTAGACCAACGGTATACTGTTATAATATGAATCTTTAAAAAATCTTCAAAATCTTTATGCAGATTTTCAAAACTCCAATGCTTCAAGATTCTTCTTTAGCTAGAACTCCTGAGCTCTTTAGTCATGAGTATTCGAAATATTCTTTGTACTAGACAAAATAAATGACTCGTGCTACAGATGAGTAAGAGGCTCTAATTAGAAGACAGGTGAAAGAAAATTTATACTTCTCACTGTTTAGAACATTTAGTTTTAACTGAGCTTGTAGGGATTTTTTTAAAAACTGCTTAGAGATCTTGAAGAAATATGAATCTTTCAAGATTTCCCAAGTATTTCAGGACATTTAAAAATGATCAAGATCTGGCCAGGTGCGGTGGCTTATACCTGTAATCCCAGCACTTTGGGAGGCCAAGGCAGGCGGATCACAAGGTCAGGAGTTCGAGACCATCCTGGCTAACACAGTGAAACCCCGTTTCTACTAAAAATACAAAAAATTAGCCAGGCGTGGTGGTGCACACCTATAATCGCAGCTACTTGGGAGGCTGAGGCAGGAGAATTGCTTGAACCCAGGAGGCAGAGGTTGCAGTGAGCTGAGATTGCAACACTGCACTCCAGCCTGGGCAACAGAGCGAGACTCCGTCTCACACACACACACACACACAAAAAGAAGCAAAAGTTCTTGCCATAGTAATCATATTTGGGTGGGCACCGGTGGCTAATTATAACACAATAGGCTATTTTCTGCTTCCTAAAAATAAGGAGGACAATTATCCAGGGGTGGAGGTAGTTATGCAATGGTACCACATATTTCTTCACCCACTAGAAATAAACGTGCGAAACATTCAAATCACATATGAAAAACAAGGAGAGAGAAGATGAATAAAAACAAGTTAAATGAAAACTTACTGTGTGAAATAGTGAGGTAACTCACCCAAAGTTCTGATGCTGCTGCTATCTGTTTTATATCTGTAGTAAAGATGACAGATGAAATAGTAGGTGCAATACAGGTTTTATAAACCTAAGGAAAACATCTTAAAGTATTTGACCCAACTATGTTTTATCTTTTAAGTTTCAATTTCCATCTAGATTCCCTGAGAATATGGACTTTAAAATATCCCACATTAGTAAGATCAAGTTCTTTTAAAATTAATGTTTGGGAAAAATAATGACCAATTTGTTGTAGTATAAAGACCACTGGGTTGGGTCTGCCCAAAATCCTCTGTGACACACTTCTCATGCAGAGCCAAAATCCCCATGAAGGCAAACTAGGCCCTACCTGCACTGAGCTCTGCCACCTCTCCTTCTCCTCCCACTTGCTCATTCCACCCTCCTGGGTATTGTTCCTTGAAGAAACCCAGCAAGCCACCACTTCAGGGCCTTTGCATTTGCTATTCTGTCTACCTGGTAGGTCATTCCCCAAAGTATCCAAACGGCTCACAGCCCAGTTCTCTGTAGGTCTATACAAATGGCTCCTTAAAGTAGGGCTTCTCTTGACCATCCTATATAGAACAGCACACTGCTAAACCACTCTGTATCCATCCTGCTCTCTTTCCTTAACTCTGTTTTTCTCCAGAGCTATCATCAGCATGTGACATACTATGCGTTTGTTTGTTGTCTTCCCATACCAGAAGGTAAGCTCCATGATGGCTTACATTAGAGCTTTGTTGGTTTTATTTACTGTTTCAACCCCAGGGCTCATGATAGGGCCTGACACTCATATTTATTTAATCATTTAATTGATTTCTGTGACATTGTTGAGCAGTTAAGAAAAAGTTGATGAAAATTTGATATTGTTACAGAATAAACCAAGCATTATAAACCATCACTATCATAAATCTATTATTCACAGATTACTAAAATGGAAAAGGAATTGATAGAACATGTACACCCAGAAAAAGACAGATCTAAATCTTACGGCAAATCCAATATTGCTCCAAATAACATGATATCCGAAATAAGGCAAAAATGCAATGTTCCTGACAAGCATTGCTTGTGACGGCAATAATCCAATGTCTCACACTTCAGAGGCCAATTTCCTTCTGGTGATTTCTCTCCAATTCATCCTGAGTGGACAGAATCACTCAAGTCAGAGTGATTTATATTTAGTCAATCAATTCTATGTCAGCAGGAAAACTCCACTGGGCCCATGAAGTGCAATTTTCACGCTTGGAGTTTCCTTTATTGCTAGGCCAGACATTTCTGGGAAAGAGACCCAGCATATCAACCCTGAAGACCAAACACAACCCTCCCAAAGGATGCTTAGGACATCTAAATATAACAAAACTTACGCCAGCCTGACCTTGCTCATTAAGAACAAGACAGTGCATGTGTTCATGCAGGATGCATCAATGATGGTGTGTACGCTCTTGTTCACCTTTAGACTAAGGATAGCCATAATAAGGTTTGTTGTGATAGCCTCTCACAGTGTATACTCAAGATGGCCAGTTAGGAAGCAAAGCAGCCCGTAAAGCTATAGAGGCCCTAACATGTCCAATTTCTACTTGATAAGTAAAGAATAATAGTGTTGGAATGATTTTGGTCAGATGGGTCCTCTCATACCCAGATGATAGGAATGAACTGCAGCAAATTTCCCAGGGTGCAATGTGTTCAATAGATATTAGGAGCCTTAAAAAGGATTATAACCTTTGACCTAGTAATTCCATTTCTAAGACTTTCTCCTAAGGAAGTAATCAAAGATAAGGACAAAGATTTATGCACAAGGATGTTCAAAAGCTGGAAACAGCTGAAATGTACAAAAATAGGAAAATGCTTAAATAAAAAATAGTAAATCTTATAATACAACATTAAAAACAAACTTTTGAAAATGAATAATTTGGGAAGTACCTTTCATATAAAGATTAACTTGTATTTAAAGCCCTGTTTATGTAGGTGTATAGATAGATAGATACTTATATGTATATGCTTATGAATTGAAATAAGTTTATCAAAATATTTACAGTGACTAGATGGTGAGAATAAATTCTATTTAAAATGTTTATCTTCATACTTTTCTACCATAAATAGATATTACTTAATTTAAAATAATACCATTGGCCTGATTATAAAAGAACACTTACTACTTCAACATCAGGAGAAGAAATAAGGAGTAAAAGTTCCTCTTGGATTCAAAGGGGTTGGACAACCCTGACACTTGTAAATGTGTGATTGTATCAACGTTGTTGAAATTCTTTCCTTCTGTGAGACATATCACTTAAAAAAATCACCTCCAAACAGACTTACAAACAAACAATATATAAAGTTATGCAGCTGAGCTTCTCAGCTTCCCACCTTCATTTTCCCAGTGGGTTCTCTGGTGGTAACTTACTGAGTTAATTTAGATTAATATGGTAGGTCTTAGGTGATTACTCTGCTTTAGATCCCAAGCAATGCTAATTATTATCATAAAGGACAAGCTACTCGGAGGTTTAAAGTTCAGGCACAGAGACCTTGTCTACATTTCTGTTATCTGGCTCACCAAATTACAAGCGTCTGGTGAGTCAATATGAAAGATTCCAAACACAAAGGTCAACGCTGGGCTACTGATCTTCCTGACCCTAACTCAGAGCCAAGAATTGCAATGCAGTTTTCTCCTCCCACACTAAAACCATTAGCAACCAGCTTGTCTTGGCTGATTCTTTTCTTTTACAACTATTTTTGAATAGGTAATAGCTCTTCCGGTGCCCACATACTAAATTAGCATGTCATTTCATGACTTTTCTTCTCTGTAAAGCCTTTAATGTGTCTGTAACAGTACTGTACTTGCTAATGTTAATTCACATTAATTAGATGATGCCTTTTCAAATCAAACTATGGTCCCTCTGAAAATTCACATGATCTAGAGTGGATGTGGAAAGCCAGTTTACACACATCTTGTGAGTTAATCGGTTACTGTTTCAGAACAACTTTGCAACAGACAACTATCCAGAACCTTGTCCAGTTGTTTTTTAGAAATAATTTTCAGAGAGCCTCAAAAGGACAAAGATAGGGAAAGGTTAAGAAACTGTCAGTCTTATCATCTGTCTTTCTACATCCCCATCCAGTCAGTCACTAAATCCTAATCATTCAAATAGCTCTGGTGTTGGTATACCCTCATCGACTCCCATGACCCTATGCCTGAAACAAGTTATCCTGTGAGATGCTTTCAGATCTCAGAGACTAGATAGCTGTTCAGCACAGTCCTTTCCTTCCTGGGTACACAGTAGCCCACGTTTCCCAGCCTCCCCTGCAAATAGGAAGGATCATGTGACTGACCGAGGGTACAAATGAAATACACCACCGCCACACAGGGCAGATAAAGACTTCCCATATATAGTCCTAGGAACCATGGATTAAACAAGATGGAGCTAGGGTGCCTAGGCTGTGTTTAAATGAGAGCAAATCATGACTACCTGTTCCTGCCCTTTGATGAAAATTTGGTGTGAAGGGTCTTAATGCTAGGGTGGGTGGTTTTGGCTTCTGTTCAAGTGAAATTTTTGCCCCACATTCCTTCTTCCAGAATTGCTCCTGTGGCCACCTCATCATGTAACCCTAAACTGTGCAAGCCATCATCGAAGTGGTAGATATTTTAAAAGTGTTACATTCTTTTAGAAATGAGCTCTACCTTGACTAAGCATGTACATCTTTTAGATGACAATATACTAATAATGTGAAATTTTCAAGTAAAGCAGAAACCCATTTTAGAATGATAAGCACAAACTTATTGGGCCTTTTAATTCATGACAGAGTTGCCACATGTCTGAGGTCAAATCTAAATGACCTGAATAATTTTACATGTCCTGTGAGTTTCAACAACACAAAATTGCAATTGTTTTTAAAAATGTATCTTTAAAAGGATAACTTGAAACCCAAAACAATAAACTTCCTATTTCTAACATTTTATAGAAGAAAAACATTTTAAAGTACTTCATTTTTAATAATAGCAACTTTCAACATAATTTATTCCTGTAGGTTTAGTTTAAAACTAACAGAGATTACTAATTTTTTCTAAACTTGCAAATCATTTCCTCAACAGAAACATACTGTATGTTATGAACTTTAAAAGATACAGTGGCTACTCTCCTTTGAAGAGTTTACTGTCTAGTGGGAGAGAGGAAAATACAAATAAATAATGGCAATGCAATGCGGTATGCATTAAGTTCTCCAGGGGCGCAGCGGCAAGTCAAGGGTGAGGGTGTTGGGAAAAGCTCCTTAGAGAAGGTGACATTCGAGATCTATCAGGATTTGAAGATGTGGGAGAGAAGAAAGGAAGAGAGATGGTAGAAAAAAGCATTTCTGAACTTTTTGACTAGACTTTTTTTCCTCCAGTAAATTTATTTTAGATACTTCAGCAAAATCTTGTTTTGTTCACAGTGCCGACAGAAGAATATGTAGTTGTTCTTCTGTAGCATCCCTAACCTTGGCCCTGGAAACTGTAAGACAGAACCCAGGTGACACTCTATGATGACTGGTGCCAAGCCAGCAGATGGAAAACATTACTGAGCCAGTTCTACCCCAATGACTGGATGCCAGCATCCTGGTGTGAAAAATGAGGAGGGGGTCACAGGTCCATGTATCATAGAGCATGATGGTAAATGCCAATGGGGATGTTGTCAGGTGATTTGTGTTGTTGTCAGAAACACTTCCACTATAATTTCTTGTTCTTCAAGGCTTTGGGAATAGGGAAAATATTATCCCTGGCAAGTTGGGAAAGGAGGCTGGACTGCAAAAGGATGTCAAATGTTAACTATTGAGAGATGCATGTAAAAAGGAACAAACATGGAAAAATGTTATTTTCTCTTACTGGGGGACTTAATTTACTTTTAAATTGATAGTGACAAAGAATAAGAACACAGTATCTTTCTATTCCCCTCCACCTATAAGTCAGCCCTGAAAATATGCCTGATCCCCCATCTAGGGCCTCTAAGGTCATTGAAGGCTCACATTAAATCAGGCAGCAGTCTAAAAATAACGTGTGTTCCAATTATTCCTTTTTGCTTGCTTGGTTTTCTGAGAAATCTGTATATCTGTATTTATAGTATCATAAAGAGCTGCTTATCCTTTTCCATCTAGCAAATTGGAGGTCAGAAAATGAAGGGAAAATGCCTAATTGGGAGAATAGTCTAAGAGAGAAAGTTTAGGCCTTAGAGTTGGGAGAACTGGTTTTGGATCCCTGCTCTGCGTGGCCTTGGCAAGTTTTAAACTTTCTCCTGATCTCTAAAGAGGGGATTAATTCCTGCCAGACTACCTCACAGAGTAATTTAGAGATCAAAATAGAAATGAGATAATACTTAAGAGGCTGGTTGGTTGGCTAGAAGAAAATGCAACAAGAGTTAAGTTTTTTTCTTAATGTTAAGTAACAATAACAAAATAATAATTATAACTGTAGGGGTGTGGAGACTGACATTTTTATTCATTGCTTTATCCCTAGTGCTTGGCACAGTGCCTGGCACATAGTAAGAGTGTGAGAATTATTTATTGTATAAATGAATGAATGGGGCGCCAAGGTAAATCTATAAAGCAGTGCTTCTACAGGCATTTTGAAAACTATCCAAAAGGCTAAAAGAGCCACATTAAACCTCTTTAGTGCATCACAGGCAATTGATTTAATTTATGGTGATCATGAGTTGTTGTTATCTTCTTGAGACCTTTGTGCATAGAGAGTTTAGGAAATACTTAGACTCATGGGTACGTGGGTCTAAATGTAAAACTAGACTCCAGGGAGGAAAAGTCCTTTCCTGTGATATTACATTTAATTTTGCAGCTACATCTCATTCCTTCATTCTGATTTGAATTTGCTCCCCCAAAGATGAATATTGCTAAGATGAGGAGTTGACATCTGCAATGGGTTGTGACTCCAATTCAATGAATTCTCTATTCCAAAACTGCACTTTGGAAAACTTGGATATCAGTTTCCAAAGGTACGCTTTGGAAAAAGGAATCATGAACCCATGTGAACCTGGCCCTAAAAATATTGGTATGGCCGTAGGAGGTACCAAGAATTCAGGAGGCTTAGCCCCTACTCACAGAGTGGTGTCTGGGTGGGCAGATTGCTGTGATATTAGACCCCTTCCTCTCCTCACAATCCCAAATTCTAACTAATCTTAGTTCTCACTTTTCTTTGGCTGCTAGGAAGCTGTGTCAAATCTAGATCAATCTCATCTATATAGGACATATGAATTTTATTTCATGAATTAAAGTCCATGATTTTCTTTATCATACCTTTAGCTTCACGTTTTCTATTCTCTTTTGCCCTGGTATTATCACTGTTTTTGTAGTCTGTTTCTCTGCAAACTGCTTTGGACGTCTTTTGGAATGAGGCATAGTATTAATAAATGCAACTGCAAGTGCTAGTCTCAGAGGTTTCTAGACTGAAACCTGAAGATGGACAGTAGCTCTGTTCAGTATGAGCTCTGTCACCACTGGATGACATACTCTTACCATGTGCAGTTAATCATTTGAGGGAAAACTTCATCTCGACATTGAGAATGTGGGAGATTGGGGGTGGTGGTGGAGGGAAGCCCTACTGATGACAAGCCAGAGTTCTAGAGACACTGTAATTCAAATGAATCTGAGGCTGGCTTGGAACACAAACTCCACAGTCAGCAGCAGCCTTATTCTTGGGCATCTAGAAACAACCAACCAATGGAAACCTGCTGGTTTCAAGAAGTCTGCTTTCATTAAATTCTTGTGGCTGCGCTTCTAAAACCCTGACACCAAGTGCTAGCCATCACAAGAAAACCTGAAGACTTGAAGATTCACTTACCTCCCCAAAAAGAAGGATTCTAGGCTAACATTTGGCCCCAGAAAAAATCCAAAGAAGTGGTGGCTGGCTCAATCTTTTCTTATTTAACTCAAACTGGCTAACAAACACTGAACACCAAAGGCTTTTCATCCAGCTTGTCCCAGGTAATAGGTTGAGAGATGAGATTTAAAGCCCTGTTTTTAAGATGGCATAATCAACTTGGAGGAAGATATTGAAGAAATGGTTGTAGAGATGAAAAGAAGATTGAGGGGAAGTGACATAAAGTAGGCAAGCTATAAATAGTTGAATGAATAGTTGCATGAATAAATGGTAGGCTAAGACACTATTGGTTCTTTCTAGATATTTGGTTTCACTTGTTTTGAAGACTGGCCATCCAGTGCCAAATTGAGACCACTACTTTCTGCCAAAATTCTAAAAAATAAAAATAAAATATTCCCATGTTTTTTTCAGCAATCATTAGGGATAGTACTTTTATTGAAAGGTGTTTATGTCTCAGGCCTTTTTTTTTTTTTGCCTTCAGCCACTCCAAATAAGGTTTTCAGCTAACCCATGGGATGACGTTACTCTGAAGGGGTTCCAGAGTCCCTTTAACTCTGGTCCTGTTACCACCTCAATCATCACACATTGGCTCAGATTATCGCAGGGCCCAAGCATTTTGAAGAAAGCAGTCCTTGGTAACCTGAAGACATTGACACAGCTTCTAAACCCCTCTTGACTCCCCCTAGAATATTAGCTTAGGCTCTGTGAGTATCCACTGCATTTGTCCCACTGGTTATACTCTACCTTATCTATTCACAGATAAACAGGGCACATGTGATTAATCCAACCTGTGGGCATCTCCACGGCCCCTCTGTGTGGCTCTGCTGAAAGCTTCCATTACTATAGTTACGAAAAAAAGGAATGGAATGAACAGAAGAAGGGGGTAAGAAATAGAGGGGAAGGTGGCTTAGCCCTTCTGGGTGGCCACATCTGAAACAGAAATCTATACTTGGTCATATAATACCACATTCAGTTTTTCAAACTCTCAAATCACACTTATACAAATAAAAATATCTTTATTTCCAAGTTATCATGAATGAAGCACAGATAGGGATATCCTTCTTACAATGAAATTAGAAAATCAACATTAAAATAAACATTCTTGTTAATCTATGAGAACATCTTTTAGTTTAATTGATGCCAAACAACATAGATACTTCCAAACCAAAAAACACATCAAAGAAAACATATATTCTCCATGCTGCTGATGGAGAATGCCTAGTAAGTACAATTTAGAGATCACACAGTAGGCAGATAGTTATTTCTCAATCTCTATCAGTTTATCAAAGCACAATTTTTCACTGCCAAGTAGGACTCTTATGCTAATTTTTCACTCTTATGCCATCTCAGCATGTTCTGTTGTGATCTACCGACTATCCAAGAGCTGAATATTTCCATTATAAATGCTAAAAATTTGAGTTAAAAAAAGAGATTTTGAAAAAGCTATTCAATTGATGCGGGAAAAACTACCACATTGTGAGCTCCTGGAGGACGAGGCCCCTGTGGCCTGCTGCTGTGCACCACAGCACACACACAACATTTATTTAACTGGAGTCACCTCATGGATCTTATGGACTGGATTTTTAAATAATAGTTTGTCAAAATGTAACCTCTGTTAAATACATGTATAAAACTAACATACTTGATTTCCACAGGGATAATTTCATATGTTAAAAGTTTCAAGAAATCTTTTTACTTAGACTGAATTATGTTCTTATGTACTTTCATGAACATGGATATGTAAATGACTACGGTTTTTCATTTTTTTTTTCTTTCTCCTTCTCAGGAAAAATTTCATACAATTTTCCAGAAAAGTAAGCTATCACCACCAGAAAAACAACAACAACAACAAAATAAGACACAGAAAAAACTAAAATTCTTTTTGTTAAACTGTGATTACAGAGTTTCTTCCACACTGTTTAAATTGCCCCTCAGTTCCACTCAGAGATTCTAGGAAACTCGCTGCTTTCAGGAGTAGAATATTCCCATTGTAAAAGACATTTCAAGAATATCCAGTCCAAGTCCTGCATTTAGAAAGGAAAACTTGCCCAGAGCCCACTGCTAATTAGAGGCATAACTTAATTAAGTTCCACCAGGGCAGGAGTTATCACTGTGCTTCCGACGCCTAGCACAATGCCTGGTACATGGTTGACATTCTATAGGTATTTGTTGGCTAAACAGATGACTTAACATGAGATAAGAATGCTGCCTCCAATTTCCTAGTGCAGTCCTGCTACAGCAACATAGCCACAAGGCCAGTTTTTAAATGATGCACTAAATGGGAAACAAGGATATCAGAGCCATGTTTGAAGATTAGCATTTTCAGGGCTGAATTAATCTTGCCAGCTAGGGACATGTGGATAAAATTACAGTGAGAACCCTGCAAATCCATACTGGCTTATCATCATGTAGCGTTTTAGGCAATCACTCTAGGAGCCAGATCCTTTTGGGTGTCTGAAATACTCCATAACTTCTAGACAACTAGAGTAGTAGTACTGCCATTACTTGAAGGTCACTCTAATAGGATACAGTGCAGGGCAAGCAGAAAAAACATAAAATGCAAACTTTTAAATTCAAACCATCATTTTTTCTTAAAAGGAAAAGGCAAGAAATGGAGAATGACAAATTCCAAAGTTGACAATGGTTACTAAACTCTTTCAGTTTTTTCCCTGCTAGTGAAAGTGTATAACTTCTCTGGCCAAATGATATGTGTACAAATTACTGTTTTGAAACAGCAATGAATTGCCTGTCACCCTAGTGACCTGATAGAGTTAATATACACCAAGGTAACAATCTCCTTAAGTTCCTAATTGACCACATTATCAGTGAACAGACCTGTCTTTTGTTGAGCTAGCCTCATCCAGAACCATGGGCTTTTTTCCCTGAAGGGTTCTAAACTCCAGAGTTCTGCAAACACATCCTCTCAGCTTACCCTGTTCTTCCCATCCTTCCAGGCCTTGTTTGTCCACCCTCCTTCATGAGGTCTGCTCAGTTACCCAGCCCCACACACTTCTTTTTTTTTTTTGGCCACAGTCTGATGCACCTTCAGGAAAGAACTGGTCCAGCTCTGAAGTGTCCTGCGCAGTGATGTAGGTAAAGTGGGCTGACCTGCTCAGTGTTGGTTTTCCAACGTCCTTGGATAGGGTGATTAGAGAAATCTCTCCCAGCCCCAAGAGTCTATAACTCCACCTACTCTTTGCATTTGTTACTTTGGCAATTCTTTAAGTTCTTCACCTGGAAGTCTGGGAGTGATCTACAGAAGAGTATGAACAATTAATATACATATATTTAATAAAAAGTAGGCTGGTAGCGGTGGCTCATGCCTGTAATTCCAGCATGTTGGGAGGCCAAGGCAGGCGGATCACTTGGGACCAGGAGTTCGAGACCAGCCTGGCCAACATGGCAAAACCCTGCCTTTACAAAAAATACAAAAATTTGCCAGGTGTGGTGGCACCCACCTGTAGTCCCAGCTACTCGGGAGGCTGAGGTGGGAGGATCGCTTGAGCCCAGGAGGCTGAGGCTGCAGTGAGCTGCATTCAAACCACTGCATTCCAGCCTGGGTGACAGAGTGAGACCCCATCTCTAAATAAATACATAAAGAAAAACAATAAAGAAAGAAAGTAAAGTAAGTACATTTTTGTACTAATTAAGATTTTATTTTTTTTTTCTTTATGGGATAGACTATGGTAGCAATATTAAAGTTTTAAGAAAAATATATGTGGGCGGGCATGGTGGCTCATGCCTGTAATCCCAGCACTTTGGGAGGCCGAGGCAGCCTGATCACTTGAGGTCAGGAGTTTGAGACCAGCCTGGACAATATGGTGAAACCTTGTCTCTACTAAAAATACAAAAATTAGCTGGGCGTGGTGGCAGGCTCCTGTAGTCCCAGCTACTTAGGAGGCTGAGGCATGAGAATCACTTGAACCTGGGAGGCGGAGGTTGCAGTGAGCAGAGATTGCGCCACTGTACTCCAGCCTGGGTGACAGAGCAAGACCCTGTCTCAAAAAATAAATAAATAAATAAATAAAAGAGAAAAAGAAAAATATGAGAGAAATGCTTAAAGTTTTATTCTTTAAATTCTTTTTGTTGTCAAATTAGACAAAATACTGCCAATATTTTATTTTATTGATAACAAATATAAACATACCTTGGAAAAACTAGGTAAAATTATTTGTAGGCTAATTCTTTGTGAATCATACTATAGTACTCCTTCTCTCTCCCATGGATATATGTTCTCTGTTCAACACAATCAAGGAGGAACTATGTCTTATTTTTTCGGTGATTTCCTCATATTATGGCTCAATGCTACTTATTCAATAGAGTGCTTCTTATTCAATAGAGTGCTTCTTATTCAATAGAGATGGAATGCTTCTTATTCAATAGAGATGGAAGAAAAGGGAGAGAGGGAAGGATAGAGGGAGAGAGTAAGAAGAAAAAAAGAAGAGGAAGAAAGCTCTTCCCCGGGGTTTTAAGTTTTCCCTGGTCAAGTATTTTATGGGTTAAGTATAAAGGGGGAGTGACTACCAGGCTCTTTTCAAGCTTGCCAAACTAAGTTTTTTTCTCAATTCTACCACAAAGCTGAATCAGTTACTTGATGAAATGTTCTCAGGACTTTTGAAGGTTAAGTAGGACCAGTGCATAGTAAGCTGGCACACTGGAGGTGAGAGACAAGTAGGCAAGCAGGTTATTTTCTGAACCATTTCATTGACAAACGCATGTTACACATATTTTATAGCTTGCTTTGAAATCTTGCTGGTTGAAACGAAAAAGATGGCAGTTTCTAGTACTCCATTCCAGTACAAAGAAGGCAAGCTTTTAGTAACAAAAATAATTCTATTCTTTTTGGCTTAAACAAATATCGAGCTGTAAAATTTTTCTTGTGATGTGTGGTATGTGTGTGTATTTAAGAGGAAATTATTCTGTAATTTCACACTTTCCCTTTTAGGAAGAATCTGGAAAAGTTTATGCCAATCTTCATCTTTGGAAAAATCTTACGAAAAAAAAAATTTAAACAAAGGTGTGCAAAAATTGCTTTTCCTTAACTTTGTTCTTCTACCCCGTCCAACCCTGGTGAGTTCCACTTTCTACTAAACTGCTCCAAGAGGCAAGAGGGGAATGAGGCAAGGCCTTCTGGTAAACAGGTGGTCAGAGGCCCAGAAAGCAAGATAGAAGCTCTAATATTTTCTTTCTTTTCTTTCTTTAGATCATATTGTACATGCACTCCACCTTGAAGACCTGTGCCTTAAACAATTCGAGTTTCTATAACTTGAATTTAACTAAAAGATGTGTTCATTTTGACTTCATTAAGCTATAAACAACAACATGGTCTAAAGGGGTTTGGGAACTTCATTTCTTGGGTAAATTTAGAAGCACTATGGTAGGTCTTTAAAATTCTTAACTCTGGAACAGAATACAGTGTTTAGAAACATATCCACACATATATGATCAACTGATTTTGATAAATGTGCAAAGGCAGTTCAATGGGGAAAAATAATCTTTTCAATAAATGGTACTGCAACTACCATCTGTAATCCAAAAAATGAACCTCAACTAACACTTTGTACCTTATAGGAAAATTAATTCTAAATAGATCATAGATCTGAATTTAAAGGTAAAATTATAAAACTTCTAGAAGAAATCATACAAGAGACTCCTTGTGGTTTTAGGTTAGGCAAAGATTTCTTAGATTTCTTAGACATGACACCAAAATCATAATCCCTTTTAAATTGGTAAATTGAATATAATAAAAATTTAAAACTTCTGATCTATTAAAGACACAGTTGAGCGAACAAAATGAAAAACACAGTCTAGGAGAAAATATTTGCAAAATAATATCTGTTAAAGGAATTATATCTAGAAAACATAAAGAACTCTCAAAATTCAATATAGGAAACAACCCAATGAAAAAATGGGAAAATATTTGAACTGATACTTTACCTAAGAAGATATATGAATGGCAAATAAGCACATGAAAAGATACTCAGTATCATTAGTCATTAGGGAAATGAAAATAAAAACCACAATGAGTGGTAGCTACAAACCTACTGGAATGGTTCAAAAAACAGAAACAAAAAAGGAAATCCTGACAATACTAAGTGCTGGTAAGGATATGCAGAACTGGAACCTTCTTATATTGCACATGAGAATGCAAAATGGTACAGACACTTTGGAAAAAAATCTAGCCTTTTTTTTTTTTGAGACAGAGTCTCATTCTGTCACCCAGGCTGGAGTGCAGTGGCGCGATCTCAGCTCACTGCAACCTCTGCCTCCTGGGTTCCAGCGATTCTCCTGCATCAGCCTCCCGGGTACCTGCGACTACAGACGCATGCCACCATGCCCAACTAATTTTGCATTTTTAGTAGAGACGGAGTTTCACCATGTTAGCCAGGCTGGTCTCGAACTCCTGACCTCAGGTGATCTCCCTGCCTCAGCCTCCCAAAGTGCTGAGATCACAGGTGTGAGCCACCACACCCGGCCAATCTAGCAGTTTTTATGAAGATAAACACATACTTACCTATATGACCCTGTAATTCCAATCTTGAACATTCACCCAAGTGAAATTAAAGTTGATGGACATATAAAAGCCAATACATGCATATTTATAATGGCATTATTGATAATTTCAAAAACTGGAAATAATTCAATTCACCTGGCTAATGAATAAATACATTGGTACTCCCACACAGCAGAAGACTTCTTTTCTATAAAAATAATTAAACTCTTGACACACATAACAAATGCATTATGCAAAGTGAAAGAAGCTATATTTAAAAGGCTACATCCAGGAGAGCTCTGGCTGGCATCTGGTAGGTGCCCCTGTGGGATGAAGCTTCCAGAGGAAAGTCAGCAATCTTTGCTGTTCTGCAGCCTCCACTGGTGATACCCAGGCAAACAGGGTCAGGAATGGACCTCCAACAAACTCCAGCAGACTGGCAGCAGAAGGGCTTGTTAGAAGGGAAACTAACAAGCAGAAAGGAAGAGCACATCCACTCAAAGACCCCATCTGAAGGTTACCAACATCAAATACCAAAGATAGCTAAATCCACAAAGATGGGGAGAAACCAGTGCAAAAAGGATGAAAATTCCAAAAACCAGAAGGCCTCTTCTCCTCTAAAAGGCCTCTTCTCCTCTAAAGGATCACAACTCCTTGCCAGCAAGGGAACAAAACTTGACGTAGAATAAGTTTGACAAACTGACAGAAATAGGCTTCAGAATGTGGGTAATAACAAACTCCTCTTAGCTAAAGGAGCATGTTCTAACCCAATGTAAGGAAGCTAAGAACCATGACAAAGACAAAAGTTTAGACGAACTGCCCACTAGAATAACCAGTTTAGAGAAGAACATAAATGACCTGATGTAGATGAAAAACACAGCACGAGAACTTCATGAACCATACACAAGTTTCAATAGCCAAATTGATCAAACGGAAGAAAGGATATCAATGATTGAAGATCAACTTAATGAAATAAACAGTTAAGACAAGATTAGAGAAAAAAAGAATGAAAAGGAATGAACAAAGCCTCTAAGAACTATGGGACTAGGTGAAAAGACCAAATCTATGTTTAATTGGTATACCTGAAAGTGACGAGGAGAATGGAACCAAGGTGGAAAACATACTCTTCAGGATATCATCCAGGAGAACTTCCCCAACCTAGCAAGACAGGCCAACATTCAAATTCAGGAAATACAGAGAACACCACAAAGATACTCCTAGAGAAGAGCAACTCCAAGACATGCAATCATCAGATTCACCAAGGTTGAAATGAAGGAAAAAATGTTAAGGGCAGCCAGGCAGAAAGGTCGGGTTACCCACAAAGGGAAGCCCATCAGAGTAACAGTGGATCTCTTGGCAGAAACTCTACAAGCCAGAAGAGAGTGGGGGCCAATATTCAACATTCTTAAAGAAAAGAATTTTCAACCCAGAATTTCATATCCAGCCAAATTAAGCTTCATAAGTGAAGGAGAAATAAAATCCTTTACAGATAAGCAAAAGCTGAGAGATTTTGTCACCACCAGGCATGCCTTACAAGAGCTCCTGAAGGAAGCACTAAACATGGAAGGGAACAATCGGTACCAGCCACTGCAAAAACATACCAAATTGTAAAGACCATTGACACTATGAAGAAAATGCATCAAGTAATGGACAAAATAACCAGCTAGCATCATACTGACAGGATCAAATTCACACATAACAATATTAACCTTAAAGGTAAATAGGCTAAATGCCCCCAATTAAAAGACATCGACTAGCAAATTGGATAAAGAGTCAAGACCCATCAGTGTGCTGTATTCAGGAGACCCATCTCACCTGCAAAGACACACATAAGCTCAAAATAAAGGGATGGAGGAATATTTACCAAGCAAATGTAAAGCAAAACAAAAACAAAAACAAACAAAAAACAAAAAACAGGGGTTGCAATCCTAATCTCTGATAAAACAGACTGACTTTAAACCAACAAAGATCAAAAGAGACAAAGAAGGGTATTACATAACGGTAAAGGGATCAATGCAGCAAGAAGAGTGAACTATCCTTAATATATATGCACCCAATACACAAGCACCCAGATTCATAAAGCAAGTTATTAGGCCTACAAAGAGACTTAGACTCCCACACAATAATAGTAGGAGACTTTAACAAACCCTTGTCAATATTAGACAGATCAATGAGACAGAAAATTAACAAGGATATTCAGGACTTGGACTCAGTTCTGGACCAAGCAGACCTAATAGACATCTACAGAACTCTCCACCCCAAATCAACAGAATATATACTCTTCTCAGCACCTCATTGCACATATTCTAAAATTGACCACATAATTGAAAGTGAAACACTCCTCAGGAAATGCAAAAGAATGGAAATCAGAACAAACAGTCTCTCAGACCACAGTGCAATCAAATTAGAAATCAGAATTAAGAAACTCACTCAAAACTGCCTAACTACATGGAAACTTAGCAACCTGCTTCTGAATGACTACTGGGTAAATAACGAAATGAAGGCAGAAATAAAGATGTTCTTTGAAACCACTGAGAAAGAAGACACAACATACCAGAATCTCTAGGACACATTTAAAGCAATGTGTAGAGGGAAATGTATAGCACCAAATGCCCACAAGAGAAAGGAGGAAAAATCTAAAATTGACATCCTAACATCAAAATTAAAAGAACTAGAGAAGCAAGAGCAAACAAATTCAAAAGCTAGCAGAAGACAAGAAATAACTCAGATCAGAGCAGAACTGAAGGAGATAGAGACACGAAAAATCCTTCAAAAAATCAATGAATCCAGGAGCTAGCTTTTTCAAAAGAACAACAAAATAGATAGACCACTAGCCAGAATAATAAAGAAGAAAAGAGAGAAGAATCAAATAGATGCAATAAAAAAAGATATAGGGGATATCACCACTGATCCCACAGAAATACAAACTACCATCAGAAAATACTATAAACACTTCTATGCAAATAAACTAGAAAATCTAGAAAAAATGGATAAATTCCTGGACACAACACCCTCCCAAGTCTAAACCAGGAAGAAATCGAATCCCTGAATAAAGCATAACAAGTTCTGAAATTGAGGCAATAACAGCCACCCAACCAAAAAAAGTCCAGGACCAGACAGATTCATAGCCGAATCCTACCAGAGGTACAAAGAGGAGCTGGTACCATTCTTTCTGAAACTATTCCAAGCAACAGAAATAGAGGGAATCCTCCCTAACTCATTTTATGAGGCCAGAATCATCCTGATACCAAAACCTGGCAGAGACACAACAAAAAAAGAAAATTTCAGGCCAATATCCCTGATGAACATCGATGCGAAAATCCTCAATAAAATACTGGCAAACTAAACCCAGCAGCACATCAAAAAGCTTATCCACCATGATCAAGTTGGCATCATCCCTGGGATGCAAGACTGATTCAACATATGCAAATCAATAAACGTAATCCATCACATAAACAGAACCATAACCAATCACACAATCACTATATGATTATCTCAATAGATATGCAGAAAAGGCCTTCAACAAAATTCAACACCCCTTCATGCCAAAAACTCTCAATAAACTAGGTATTGATGGGATGTATCTCAAAATACTAAGAGCTATTTATGACAAACCCACAACCAATATCATACTGAATGGGCAAAAACTGGAAGCATTCCCTTTGAAAACCAGCACAAAACAAGGATGCCCACTCTAACCACTCCTATTCAACACAGTGTTGGAAATTCTGGCCAGGGCAATCAGGCAAGAGAATGAAATAAAGAGTATTCAAATAGGAAGAGAGGAAGTCAAATTGTCTCTGTTTGCAGATGACATGATTGTATATTTAGAAAACCCCATCATCTCAGTCCAAGATCTCCTTAAGTTGATAAGCAACTTCAGCAATGTTTCAGGATACAAAATCAATGTGCAAAGATCACAAGCATTCCTATACACCAATAACAGACAAACAGAGAGCCAAATTATGAGTGAACTCCCATTCCCAATTGCTACAAAGGGAATAAAATACCTAGGAATCCAACTTACAAGGGATGTGAAGGACCTCTTCAAGGAGAACTACAAACCACTGCTCAACGAAATAAAAGAGGACACAAACAAATGTAAGAACATTCCATGCTCATGGATAGGAAGAATCAGTATTGTGAAAATGGCCATACTGCCCAAAGTAATTTATACATTCAATGCTATCCCCATCAAGCCTCCACTGACTTTCTTCACAGAATTGGAAAAAACTATTTTAAACTTCATATGGAACCAAAAAAGAGGCCACATAGCCAAGACAATTCTGGGCAAGAAGAACAAACCTGGAGGCATCACGCTACCTGACTTCAAACTAGACTGCAAGGCCACAGTAACCAAAACAGCATGGTACTGGTACCAAAACAGAGATATAGACCAATGGAACAGAACAGAGCCTCAGAAATAACACCACACATCTACAACCATCTGATCTTTGACAAACCTGACACAAAAAAGCAATGGCAAAAAGATTCCCTATTTAATAAATGGTGTTGGGAAAAACTGGCCAGCCATATGCAGAAAACTAAAACTGGATCCCTTCCTTAAACCTTAAGCAAAAATTAACTCAAGATGGATCAAAGACCTAAACATAAGACCTAGGACCATAAAAATCCTAGGAGAAAACCTGGGCAATACCACTCAGGACATAGGCATGGGCAAAGACTTCATGTCTAAAACACCAAAAGCAATGGCAACAAAAGCCAAAATTGACAAATGGGATCTCATTAAACTAAAGAGCTTCTGCACAGCAAAAGAAACTATCATCAGAGTGAACAGGTAACCTACACAATGGGAGAAAATTTCTGCAATCTATCCATCTGACAAAGGGCTAATATCCAGAATCTACAAAGAACTTCAACAAATTTACAACAAAAAAACAAACAACCCCATCAAAAAGTGGGCGAAGGATATGAACAGACACTTCTCAAAAGAAGACATTTATGCAGCCAACAGACATATGAAAAAATGCTTATCATCACTGGTCATTAGAGAAATGCAAATCAAAACCACAATGAGATACCATCTCACGCCAGCTAGAATGGCGATCATTAAAAAGTCAGGAAACAACAGATACTGGGGAGGGTGTGGAGAAATAGGAATGCTTTTACACTGTTGCTGGGAGTGTAAATTAGTTCCACCATTGTGGAAGACAGTGTGGCGATTCCTCAAGGATCTAGACCTAGAAATACCATTGACCCAGCAATCCCATTACTAGGTATATACCCAAAGGATTATAAATCATTCTACTACAAAGGCACATGCACCCATATCGTTTTTGTTTTTATTTTATTTTATTTTATTTATTTTATTATTATTATACTTTAAGTTCTAGGGTACATGTGCACAATGTGCAGGTTTGTTACATAGGTATACACGTGCCATGTTGGTTTGCTGCACCCATCAACTCGTCATTTACATTAGGTATTTCTCCTAATGCTATCCCTCCCCCAGCCCCCAATCCCCTGACCAGCCCTGGTGTGTGATGGTCCCCGCCCTGTGTCCATGTGTTCTCATTACTCATTCCCACTTACGTGTGACAACATGTAGTGTTTGGTAGTCTGTCCTTGTGATAGTTTGCTTAGAATGATGGTTTCCAGCTTCATCCATGTCCCTGCAAAGGACATGAATGTACATGTATATTTATTGTGGCACTGTTCACAATAGCAAAGATTTGGAACCAACGCAAATGTCCATCAATAGTAGACCGGATAAAGAAAATGTGGCACAAATACACCCTGGAATACTATGCATCCATAAAAAAGGATAAGTTCATGTCCTTTGCAGGGACATGGATGAAGCTGGAAACCATCATTCTCAGCAAACTATCACAAGAACAGAAAGCCAAATACCACATGTTCTCACGCAAAAGTGGGAGTTGAACAATGAGAAAATATGGACATAGGGAGGGGAACATCACACGCCGGGGCCTGTCAGGGGGTGTGGGGCTAGGGAAAGGATAACATTAGGAGAAATACCTAATGTAGGTGACAGGTTGATGGGTGCAGCAAACCACCATGGCACATGTATACCTATGTAACAAAACTGCACATTCTGCACATGTATCCCAAAACTTAAATTATAATAATAATTAAAAAATCTACATCTACATGATTCCATTTTTGTGATATTCTGGAAAAGGTGAGATTATAAGAAAAGAAAACAGCTCAGTGATTGCCAAGGGCTGGTTTGGGGGGAAAGGGTTGATTACAAAGGAGCAGTAAGGGGAAACTTTTGGGGTGATGGGCAGTTCTGTATCCGAATTGTGGCGGTTACATGACTGCATTCATTTGTCAAAACTCATAGCAGTTCACTTTAAAAAGTGAATATCCCTGTATTTAAGTTTAAAAAGTAAATAAAGATTAACACCTTATGTAAATGTCTATCAACTGAGGACTGTTCAAATAAATTATAGGCCACTTCCCAAAGGAATATAGTATTCCTATCAAAAATGAATAAATAGATTTATATGTAATAGCAGGAAAAGCAAGTTGTAGAAGTTTAGGCATATGGTGATTCCATTTTAAGGACTATATGAACAAGCATGTTAGGAATTATATAGGAAAAATTATGGAGAAATATTCTCCAAATAGTAAGAGAAGTTGCATAAGAGACTTTCATTTTCTGTGATTTGCATATTAAAATAATGTATGGAGTTTTTAAACAGATTTTTTTCATAATACAAAATTTTAAAGCTATAAAATCTTATGTCTCAAGCTGAAGACATGCATGTATTTTCCCAATAAAGCACAGAATTTAAGTGATTTCATGACAGGTTCTTAAAAATGAGTTTCAGCAATAATTTGAAATGGAAACTTGATTCTGAGTACATTATAGAAGCATTTGTGTTGCCAATCAGTAACTGTCTGACAAGTTAGAATATGTTATGTAACCAATGAAAATGGCCAACCAATATGACACAAATCCTGTAAGCACAGGTGCATGTAAAAGTGATGCTTTTACAGCCCCCCAACCTTAACTCTTTTTGGACACTATGTTGTCTCAGATCTGAAGTTGTCTTTTCATAGAAAAATGTCTAATCTCTTTAAAACCACATATATCTGTTATATTTATGAGACCTGAGAACTCATCCTGGCAAAGCAAGGCCAAGGAAAAAAATCTATTGATAAACATGACAACAATCCAAAAATGAACATAATGTCACAGTTCAACCAAACCCTGGGGAATATAGATCTTGGATATCTGCTTGGAACATGACACTTCATTGCAAGCCAGAATATGAAAATTTTTATTAAGTCTGCATTCAGTGAAAAGAAAATTAGTGGTGCTCTGGATCCTTCTAAGAGGGTTGGCCAATGTTAGGCTGTAAGTGTAATACTTTTTGAATAATAATTGGTAACACAAAGTGACTCTTGGAATACCACATGCTCCCAGAATTTTCCTTAATAAGAACAGCATGTTAGAAAGATAATTCTGAAAAGAAAAACGAATACAAGTCTAGAAGAAGTCATGTTTTCTGATTTACTGAGCTCTTTACTGGCATTTACTGGAATCCAATAGAACTCCAGCCTCCTGGAGTTGGCAAATCCTTTCATGAGTCTGAGGAGGGTTCCATGAAGCAGGAAATCTGCCAAAATGAAATCACCTTTCTTTGGCCCACCCTCAATTGTAAAGACAACTGGATTGTCTTGGATACAACTCTTCAGATTGATAATTGGGCTCCTTTATATTTCCTTACAGATGTTCAAATGTTCACAGAAGAGTTTGTTTTAAACAGTTTTCATTGTAAAACAGTTTGCTTTTAATTAAAACAGACTTGCATGGAGAGTTTCATGAACAAATCATGCCTGACATCTGAAGCCTCTGAGCCTTGTCCATTATGAATTTTACTCTAAGTATAAAACGATAGGGAGAAAGAACATGGAAAATAAAATGCCAGGTTGTTAACAGAAAAAAGAAGACATTTAAAGTTTTTTGTTTTTTTTTTTTTTAGACAGGGTGTTGCTCTGCATTCATAGTGGAATACAGTGGTGTGATCACATCTCACTGCAGCCTCAATCTCCTGGGCTCAAGCAATCCTCCCACCTTCGCCTCCTGAGTAGCTGGGACTATAGTCATGTACCACAATGCCCAGCTAATTATTTTTTTTCTTTCAGAGATGGTGGATCTCACTTTGCTGCCCAGGCTAGTCTTGAACTTTTGGCTCAAGTGATCCTCCTGCCTCAGTCTCTCGAAGTGTTAGAATTATAGGCGTGAGTCACCATGCCTAGCCTAAAGTATTTTAATACCGACAAAAATATTTCCTTAAACAGGATTTGAATTCTGAGCTTTCCATCTACCAGCACTATATATTCCCTTTCCAGGTAGCAGTTTGGCTACTCTAGTCTAGTGCCTTCAGAATTCTGAAAAGCTCTTCTGGGCTTTCACTTTCCATTTCATCAAAGAGAAAAAGAGATTCAGTCTTCCTTTATGGGAACCCCATTTGGGATCAGAGTTTGGCTCTCAGGCCACGGTCTAAAACATATACATACCATATGTGTTCAATAAATGTTCATTTTTTTCTTTCTCATCCTTTGTTCTCTACTCTCTTATTTCCAATCCAGTTTGCATGTCCAATTATCAGGTCTATCAGAATAAGCCTTAAAATACCAATTTCATTAGGTGACTTTCTTGCTCAAAATCTTCCAGTGACTCCCAGCTGCCCATAGAATGTAGCCTGAACTTCTCTTCCTGGTATTCAAGGCCCTCTGTAATCTGACTACAATATACTTTAAAATTCTCTAACACACTTTAAAGACAAATTTCTATTGGGCCAATCTTCTCACCAATTCCTGCCTTTAAGTGCCAGGCCCTAACCAAATTTCTCACTGGGCCTGAGTTTAGGCATATCTTTTGCAAGAGGATTGGCTGCTCCACTCCTGCCCCGATAGATCACAGTAGCCTTAGTATAGCTACCAGGTAAGGGTGCCTCCTGTATATCATGCACTTTTCATACATTATCTTTTTTCATCATCATAATAACTTGTAAAGACCACATTCTGATTCCATTTTACAAATAAGGAAGTTGGAGCTCAGTGACATTGTGACGTAAGACCATGTTGTTGTTATGAAGTGGTGAAAACAGGATTCTCTCCTAAGACGGTTGCTAGAGCCATTGCTCTGCCCCTGCCTCTATGCTGACTTCATTCATCTCTTCTGCTCTGAACCTTGTCCAGTTTTATCTTTGGAATCACTTATTTGACACTTACACTCCTTCTGTCTTGAACTGGTAATTACATGATCCATTTGTGCTTATCTTCCCAACACGGCTGTTAGAGGGCAGTGGCTTCATGCTATTAACAAATCACCTCCATCAGCATTGAGCATAGTACTATGGCATAGCACAAATGCAGTGGGTGAGTATGTTCTGAAATCCTACTTATAAACTTCTTTTTGAGTTGAATTCTCCCTCAGACCTCCTGTTTTTGTTTAGAGTGCTGTTGCTCTTTGCTGAGTTAATGTTATCAAATGAAGCAATATATCTTTATCTGAGACCATGTAACTACCGCAGCATGTAACTCAATATGAGAGAGGGAGGTGAGCTTGACTCAAATGTCAATTTTCTAAAATTAACAAAGTATTTATGAATGAATGAACTTACATGAGTCATCTGAAGAAGGATCTTTATTTATAAATAATCCACATTGGAATTTGATTTTTTTTCTCCAACCATACCTCAATTTCATAAGATGGGGTTCATTTGAATCAAAATTTAATGTCCTACAATGCAATAAAAATGAAACAATGTGAGATTCCATATGCTTCTCATGGAAGCTTGCTAGTCTGTAAAATGGAAAGTACCTAGCCATGTTTAATGTAGATACTTTGCTTTGCTCTATTTGTCTAAAAATTTCCGAGGAATGCCCTGAATTATGCAACTATAAATATCTCTGTTCTTTGGGTTTCCTA
Organism: Homo sapiens; assembly: GCF_000001405.40. Lineage (NCBI taxonomy): Eukaryota > Metazoa > Chordata > Mammalia > Primates > Hominidae > Homo > Homo sapiens. The sequence goes on from NC_000004.12 coordinate 53,040,666, forward strand.
TCTTTTCTGCAAACTCCAACCACATTAAGTTCTTCCAATGCATGCTTCTTACTCATTGCCTTTTAGTAGTGGGTTCATTATAGAACTTCCAGCATTGTCGATAAGAACTGTACTTTTTTGATGGTTCATGCCTTACTGAAAAATTTGTGAAAGACCTTTATCAAGAGTGAAAATGATAACTAATTTTGAAAACAAAGGTTAAAAGATTTTAAACCTGTTGATAGAAAATCTTTCATGAATGAGATAAAACCTCTGTTGAACTTAAATAATTGCCTAGGTTTGAGAAGTTTATTCATTTCCCTTATTTGGTGAAAGAAAAAGAAAAAGAAAACCACAGGAACTATTCAGTCTATAAATCTGATACTAGACATATGCTATGCATATTTTCATAAAGACTTTTATTATGTGATCCTTAAGCAGCATATCCGTGCCATATGGGCAGACTGGAATATAAAACATATCTCTCAGAAAAGCTATTATTGGGTCAATAATATGCTAATTAAAAGGGTTTATGCAACCATCTGTGGGATCCCCAATGGCAGACGTTTGTTTCTAGAACTGATAGTGCTGCAGTATCTTATGGTGCCTCCTACAGTGTTATGGATGCTTGATACAGTTTCACTGATGGTGATGGAACAGAGGTGTTGGTAAACCTGGTGAATTCATAAGGTATGTTTTACACTTAACAGAGATTTACAATCACTGCACATAACTTGGTAGATTTAAAGGGTTTCTGTGGAGCTAAGTTCCTCTAACTACCATTCTATTCAAAATAAATCAACATTACATTTACCTGTTTACCATACTTGCACACAGTAAAACAGCATTTAAATCAGGAGATGAGATGTCCAATGAGAGTAACTAAGTGATTAACTGTGCACTCCAGTTACCAGCTTTTGGGAAGGGTAAAAATTTAGTTTTGTAAAAGTACTGGGTAAGGATGAGAGAAAGGATGAGAGAAAGAATGATCCACATTGTTTCTTCAAAATGCCTTTGAAAATGGAAGTGTTCACCTTGTACATGTGGTTTAAGGATGGTTTGATGTAGCCCTTAGGAAATTCACACATTACTGCTTCAAAAACCATGCTTCACTATTTCAGTGGTAATATAATTACTTGTTGTTGGTGTTAAAATACTTGAGTTTTATTCTTTTCAGGCATTCCATAGCATAGCTCTGTTTCCCAGAGTGTATCCACTTCTTCCATCATTTGCTACCCTCAAGAGTTTCCTTATTTTTATATTCATCCTCTTTTCAGTAGTGACAGCATGGAGCATAAATGTTCCACTTTGTTAAGACAAGCTGAGGGACAAATAAGCTATGTCAAAAGAATAAAACATATCTCAAATATACCTAAGAGCCAGGACCTGGTCTCATGGGTCTAACAAAGGGACACATACACTTCTCTCAGCAGAGCTGTAAAATGCTTCTGCTGACTTCTGGGCCCTTTAGTAATCAACAACTCTAATGTGGTTTACAAAGCTGGTCTCATTGGAGACTGCAACAGGGTTTTCTCTCATTCTCTATACACCACGGTGGTGGATTTGCTATCTATTCCTCAATCCAAATCCGGAAATGCGTAAAATCATTTCACTGTTTTCAACCATCTGCTATTATAGACATTTATTTCTATGTAAGTAGTATAAAGCTTCTTCTAAAAAATGTGTGTGTGTGTATATATATATATATATCATCAAAAGATCCAAGAACACTGGGCCTTCATTCCCACAGGGACGCAATCAGCTAAGGCTGAGCAAAGGTGTCCCTTCCCTGTGGTATAATTTAGCATGGTTCAACACACCATGTTCTTTGCCTTTCTCAGTCCAGTAGAGAAAAAGGAAATATGTACTGGACTTCCTGGAAATTGGAACTTTAAGGCTGGATCTAAATATTACAATACACAAATAAATAAAATATACATTTTCTTGTGACACATCTGGAAAATGTACATGGAGGATCTGGTATAAGATAAAATATTCTCGAAAACAAAATCTCTACATATTAGTTTCCTCCTTTTCTTCCCCAACCTATTTTTTTTGTTTTTTTCAGCGAATTCAGCCATTTTATCCTAATGTCCTCCACTTACACACATTAGATTTCCAAGTGAAGTAACAAAACGGAGCCTCAGAATCCCCTGGAGCTGACCACCTTTCTTGGAGCAGCCTCCTGTAGTTTCTCCTTGGGACTATGGATTGTCATCTAAATGCTATCCCTGGTTTGTCTTGGGGCAAGGTTGGGCTGAATCTTCACAGCCGGAGGTATTAGGACTTACTCTACTTATTCTGTTTTTTGGAAAAGGGAAACCAGAAAGCACGTGAAACTTTATAAGTTAGAAAAACAACAGGGCCACAGACACTACTTCTAAAAATAAATACCACCTCGCCATTTCTGACCACGGCAGTGGGTTCAGCTACCAATAAAATCCGATTATATTATGTATTAATTGAGTGGCTTTCTATTAAGAGAGGCAGGGGTGAGAGGGAAGGAGGTTAGGAAAACATCTCAATAAAGCTCAGCTTCACAATGCTGAAGGCAATAGCAAATCAGATGGAACCAGGAAAGGCACTGTGGGGAATCTGATGAAGCCCACGTCAGTGACAAGTGAAAGAAAAGGGATGGCATTGAGCCAAAAGGAGGAAGAAAACAGATGGCAGCAAAATTAAAGCATCTGATTAGGCTGGAGATCTTAGCTGTCAACTAACAAATGTAAATAAATTAGGGAGACTTGACATATAAAAAATAGTGCTGAGAAAAGAAATCAGCCATGCTTAATTTTAAATAATTGGTGACCATGTTGCTGTGAAATCCATGCATTTGTCAACAAAGATTAGTTAAATTGAAGAAATATAAAGTGAAAAAATAATAATTATCTGGAACAAAATTTCTAGATAATTGTAACAAAACACGAGGGTCAGAGCAGTGGAAGGTGTTGAAGTGTGCTAAAAATCCTATCTTGTTGAATAAAAAAAGCAACTTGCAAAACAGTATTACTTTTAATATCGTTCCACTTTTTATGTACTACAAGAAAAGACTTTGTGAGGATACACACCAGATTTTTCAAGTGGTAACTGGAAATGGAGAATATTTGGGTACTTCGGTATTATTTAAATATTTAAAAAATGAACTTTTAAAAAATATTCTTTTAAAATAAACACTTACAAACCTTTAAAAAATAATATATTTCCCAAAGTATATTTTCAAAATATGAAATCTCTCTTATTTTTTGACATTGATACACTGATTATTTGCTTCCTGTGTTTCAATAGTAAAACATGTCACAGTTAATGTTAGACGCTGTGGTAGCCCCGGAGTTCACTGTTCAAACTCTTTCAAGAAAGAACTTGCCTTTGAGCTGCAAGGAGTGCAATTAGTAGACAGCTGCCAGCTGTCACCCCATTGGCATCCTCCTTAGCTTTTGAGATGGGGCCACAGTCCTCCTGGTCAGTACCAGCCAATAACAGAAGATGGTGAGGGCACTAGGACCTGGCCATTTCCTCCTAATGAAGTCTTCTCTAATAGTCAATCTTTAATCCCCAATTCCCCCTGGGGTTGGTACACTTGTCAGACCTGCATCAGAGTCTGAGGCTCTACCTCCCCAACCCTGCTTCCCCCACTGTCCTTTCACAGTTGTCAGATTTACATCACAGCCCAAGGCTTTCCCTGCTCAAACTGCAATCCTGCTCCCTCCCCCTTTTATTTTTCAAAGCCTTTATCTCGTCCTCCCACCTACCATAAAGCTCTTGCACTTCGAACTCTGTCTCAGCACCTGGTTTCTGGAGAACCAAATCAACAGACACTTTTTGGGGTTCCACATACTTTACAGGAACTTCCTTCCTTCCTTCCTTCCTTCCTTCCTCCCTCCCTCTCTCCCTTTCTCCTTCTATATACTTTACAGGATTCCTTTCCCTTTCCCCTTCCCATTCCCCTTCTCTTTCTCCTTCCTTCCTCCCTCCCTTCTTCCCTCCCTCCCTCCTTTTTTCCTTTTTCCTCCTCCTCCTCCTTCAAAGGGGAATTCCTCTCTCCACCCCAACCCTGTAATTCCTTGCCAAGCCTTTAAAAAAAATCATATAGCTCTGTCCTAAGATTATTGGCAGTGTAGGAAGCAGACACATAATCTGTCTCCATCTTTACATAGTGAGTCAATTAGGAGGCAAGAGTATTTCTGTTTTTTTTTTTTCCTTTTTGTCTGCACATAAACTGTATCCACTTAACTCCCCACCCCAATTCCCACCTCCACCCCCAACCCCCCCCCCCCGCCCACAAAAAACTTGCTTTGAGTCTGGGGTGAGCCGTGGTAACTTATAGTCACTTAGTAGCTACTAAAAATATTCTTAAAATAAGCAATGCTACTGCAATAGAAAATTCAACTAACAAATCTGCCATCTGCATTCAATGGACAATAGTAGGAGAATAGCAATATTGCCCTGATGACAAAGTGTGATCCCCAATACATCACAGCAAAGAGGTGAGTTTCACAAATATTCAGGTTACCTGGAAGAGAATTCACGTACATTTATAGGATTTTACTGTTTCCTTTGTACGAGGTTTTACTAATATTGTTGCTTTTGATTGCATACACTCTACTGGAATTCATTTATTATTTGTTTTATAGTGTGGATTTTTAGTTATTAGTATTCAACAAAATATAGTACTGGTATTTGCTTTTCTAACCCCATAAGTATGGTATGGGCACTTAATTTGTAAATGCAATTTGTGTTTTATTGCCTGCTGGGTTCTAGTATTCTACGGCCAATGTATTTCTTTTTGGATATGTAATTTAGCTTTAAAAGCTTAATTTTTAAAGGTTTGAATACTACTATATATCCAGAACTTATTATTTCGTATACTATACAAATAAATTTATAAATAAAAATAGCTTTTCTTATCCTCTGTATAATAAAACATACTTAAATTTTTAATTTCTCTCAAAATTTCCTTATAAAATTAGATTGCATCTTACATATCTGAGTATATCTTATATTCTGCCAAATAAGGGATTTTGTGTGTGTGCTTAGCAATAACTCTTGGCATAGATAGATAGATAGAGTGGGTGTTCAAAAATGCTTATTTGATGACTGAATGAATTAATCTACCAATTATTTACATATTTTGGAAAATAGAAAATAGTCTGTGGCTATCTCAACTTAAGATCCTGTCAACTAAGAAAAATTTTAACATGCCATAAAATGTTCTTCATACGCTAATTATCTCATAGTTATAATCTAACTTCTTAAAATATAAATGTTTACTATTTGTGAAATGAAAAAAAAAATCTATAGCTTTGTAGAGCTGGAAAGAGATCAGTTTGCTAACCATCCCATCTTAAAGATGGGGAAACTAAAGATCAGAGGTCACTTAACTATCCAGAGGCTACACACAGCTATGAAGGTGCAGAAGTGGGCCCAGAATGCAGCTCTCTAATATTTTCAGCTTAGTTTTCATTTCTCTTCTACCATGAGGTTGAAATATCCATACTAAAAAATCTTTTCAAAACAAATATTCAGTACCTATGAGGATGGAGTCAGCAGTGGCATAAATTAAAATGAATATTTTAAATTTTATTTTTATTTTTTTAGAGATGTGGTCTCATTCTGTCACTCAGGCTACAGTGCAGTGGTGTGAACACGGCTCACTGCAGCCTTGATCTTCAAGCAATCCTCCCCTTTCAGCCCCCCAGGTAGCTGGGACTACAGGTGCGTGCCACCACACTCAGCTAATTTCTGTACTTTTTTGTAGAGACAGGTTCTCATTATGTTGCCCAGGCTAGTCTCAAACTCCTGAGCACAAGCAATCTATCTGCCTTGGCCTCCCAAAGTGTTGGAATTACAGGTGTGAGCCACTGCGCCTGACCTATACCATTTTTTAAAGAGCACAGATTTTTTTTTTTTGTGATATCCAGAAAATCATAAAGTAAGATATGCTCTGGAAAATGTTGCAAAAGTAAGTAGAAAGTTCTGGTTCAATGGTACCTGACACTCCCACTTCAACAAAGCTACGTGTTTTTGTTGTTGTTTTTTTCTTTGAGACAGAGCCTTGCTCTGTCGCCCAGGCTGGAGTGCAATGGCATGATCTCGGCTCACTGCAACTTCCACCTCCCAGGTTCAAGCAATTCTCCTGCCTCAGCCTCCCAAGTAGCTGGGATTACAGGCACGCGCCACCACATCCAGCTAATTTTCTTTTGTATTTTTAGTAGAGACGGGGTTTTGCCATATTGGCCAGCGTGGTCTCAAACTCCTGACCTCAGGTGATCCACCTGCATTGGTCTCCCAAAGTGCTGGGATTACAGGAGGGAGCCACTGTGCCCGACCAAAGCTATGTGTTTTTGTGATGTGTGTAGTAATTATTTTCCCAAGTTTTGACTTCTTTTCATATTTCAGTAATAAATATTTACTGAATGCCTACTATATTCCAAAAATTGTTCTATAACTTAAAGATCATAGATTTAAAAAACACAAAGTTCCTGCTCCCCTGCCATTCTCAAAAGTGTGAAATCCCAATTCTCACTGAGCACAGTGGCTGATAACCTATAATCCCAGCACTTTGAGAGGCTGAGGCAGGAGGACTGCTTGAAGCCAGGAGTTCAAAACCAGCTTGGGCAACATAGTGAGACCCAGACTCTACAAAAAATTAAAAAATTAGGCAGGCTTAGTGGCATGTGCCGTAGTCCCCAGCTACTTGAGAGGCTGAGGTGGGAGGATCACTTGAGTGCATGAGGTCGAGGTGGCAGTGAGCCATGATCACACCACTGCACTCCAGCCTGGACAACAGAGTGAGACCCTGTCTCTAAAACAAAAAACAAACAAACAAAAAGCCCCACAATTATCTTCCAAGTATTTTCTTTGCAGGTTGTGTCTTCTTGACTCCTTAACTATCTGTTCCTCATGATATCTTCCTCTCACCTGTACCACGCACACTAATGCACACACATGTACACACATACACTTCTATCAGGTGACTGACATGCATGTTACACCGTCTTACGATTTTAAAATTCAGAATGACTTTACTCTTTTCCAATTTTTGGCTCTGTGGTTCCATTTAGGTTGTTTCTATCCAAAGAAAGCCAGGAATGGCATATTTATTTCTTCCCCCAAACTCCAAGGTGTGCTTTGCTAGTTTGTTTTCCTTAGAGAAATGAGGTTTAAACTGTCTCAGAAATGGGCATCTCCAGTAGGTAACCTTCTGGACTTGAACTGATAATATTTTGCAGGGGTGTCTAATTCTTCTGAAAATGTGACAGCTCTTCGACCTGACAGCCCTTCTGCCCTGACTGGTCACATGTGAGGGAATGTGTGTACTGTCTGGTGACTGCTAAATGTGGCCCAGGCATTCACTTACCCAGTGCACAAGACCCAGCAGCATCACCAGCAAGGTAGCTTGAAAAATCTTTTAATTAAATATTCTAGGCTACGCGCAGTTGCTCAGACCTGTAATCCCAGCACTTTAGGAGGCCGAAGTGGGTGGGTCACCTGAGGTCAGGAGTTCAAGACCAGCCTAGTCAACATGGCGAAATCCTGTCTCTACTAAAAATACGAAAATTAGCTCAGTGTGGTGGTGTGTGCCTGTAGTCCCAGCTACTTGGGAGGCTGAGGCATGAGAACCACTTGAACCTGGAGGCAGAGAATGTAGTGAACCGAGATCGTGCCACTGCACCCCAGCCTAGGTGACAGAGCAAGACTCTGTCTCAAAATGAATAAATAAGTACATACATACATACACACAGACATACTCTAAAACTTAGAGAGTCACTTTAACCTTTGCAGTATTGTCTTGACCTGAAAAAATGAAGATACTAGGTGTAGTGGCTCATGCCTGTAATCCCAGCATTTTGGGAGGCTGAGGCAGGAAGATCCCTTGAGCCCAGGAGTTTGAGAACAGCCTAGGAAACATAGGGAGACCCTGTCTCTACAGAAAATAAAAATAAAAAATTAGCCATGGGTGGTGGTGCATATCTGTGGTCCCAGCTACTAAGTAGGTTGAAGTGGACAGATCGCTCGAGCCTGAAAGGTCAGGGCTGCAGGGAGCTGTGTATCTCAAATGTTTTATTTCGATGGCCCTCCAGGCCCTGGGTCATCTGGCTCCTGCCTCTCTTCTCATTGGGCTTCAGCCATGCTGCCTGCATTCCTCCAACTCCCAGTGCCCCTTCTTGCTTCCTCTAAAGCTGCTCACATCCTCTGCCTCCCCATTTCCTGTCATCTGTCAGGTGGAAGCTTAGGGAGGCCTTCCCTGGACTCCCACACACCACTACACTCCAGCCTGGGTGACTGAGCGAGACCTAGTCTCAAATAAATAAATAAATAAATAATAAAAATAAAGCATCAAAACATTAATCTTAGGAATCTTTTTCAGCTTGTGGAGTAAATCAGATGAACAGTGTGTGAGAATTGGAAAACGTGTCCCAAAGAATAAGCACAACAGAATGGCGTACCTTCTTTCAACCCAGTTCAGTTTAACACAAGAGACTTCACACGGTTAATTCCATGTGGAAAGGACATTTTCTTGCTGGAAACAAATTTTAATCTTTGTGAGTCTGGAATTCACTAGGAAGAACACAAGATATGATACCAAGAATGTCTGCCCAGCCTTGCCATTAGAAGTCTTGTGACATGGAACTCTGTCTGGCACACTCATAACCTTAATGCAAGAGGATGGTGAAGAGGAATGTTTAGTGACCTGAGTGTAGATTATTGGTACTAATAGTAACAATCACAGTAACAACAAACAGTGGTATAGTGCATACCATGTGCTATTCACTGTGCTATGCACTCTTCATAACCTATATTAACTTATTTAGTCGTCACAACAGACCTGAGGGTCAGTCTACAGAGGTTAAATCACTTGTGCAAGCTTACATAGCCGAAGTAGGATTCAAACCCAGGCAGTCTGGGTTTCTGGTGCTCTAAACCACCATGTTTCACTGCCATTAGCTATCGTCTCCTCCTTGTTTTGTTCCCAAATGACAGAATAATGTTAAAGAGTGAGCAGAAAGGCAGCAGGGCATAGTGAATGGAAGGCATGCATCAGCTGGAATCATGAATCTTGCCTGGTTCAGCCTCCTGCACCAAGCTGCCTAATCTGAGTCTATCTCTTTAAAAAATTTCTGATAATGATAATGACTACCTTATGTCAGAAAATTAGATAAAATGCACAGACAAAATGCTCTCTCTCAGTGGAGGGGTTATAGGTCATTTTGTTGATGTTTTTGTTTTATTTGAGGTCATTTTAATTTCCTTCTTTTGGGTTTTCAGTATTTTAAAAAATTCTTTGATTGGCATGTATTCATTCATAGATTCAGCATTCAGCAAATGTTTATTTACTCCTGTTACAGGCTATAGATGTTAAACAGGAAAAAATAAAACACAATAGAAAATATTTTGATATGTGTACATGAGTCCGCAAACACTCGAATGTCACATGCAAAGGTAGTCATATAATGGAGGTAAGGAATTTCTTTCTCTAAAATTCTATGTTTAATGTTGTTTCTGTGGCCACTTTTGAGATCAGCAAATAAAAAGAAGTCTTAAAAACACCTTTAAGTACTTAAGAGAAGCAAGATCTTACCAGGATATCTTATTCCCCCAATAATGGTGGACAAATGAGGTGTTGATTAGACATTTTCAAAATGGCACAAAAGGCAGTCATGAGCACTGCTTTCTAACAGCTCCAGATTAAGTGGCAGCAAACCTCACCAGCAACAGTCTGGCTAAATAGCTGTCGTGATTAAACGAATCAAGATAGGTTGTAGAGGAGGCCATGAGGAATACTTCAAGATGACAAAGCTCAGAATTGGATTAGATTATTCTAGTTCAATAAAACAGATAACATCTCTATGTCTGGAACTGAAAATTACAGCCATCCCCTTGAAGCTGGAGAGTTTTGCACACAGTGGTGGGAGGCTATGAAGAAAGAACAAAAACCAGGAAAAAGCCAGGCAGATAATGCACCTGATTGCCGACACCATCTCTGGCCTCATTCCAACCCATTCTCCACATTGAGGTCAGTGTTTTATAAAACACAGATATGATCAAGTTACTCATAGGCTGAAAACCCTTTCATGGCTTCTCACTGCTTTGTTACCTCAAATGTTTTATTTCGATGGCCCTCCAGGCCCTGGGTCATCTGGCTCCTGCCTCTCTTCTCTTTGGGCTTCAGCCATGCTGCCTGCATTCCTCCAACTCCCAGTGCCCCTTCTTGCTTCCTCTAAAGCTGCTCACATCTTCTGTCTCCCCATTTCCTGTCGTCTGTCAGGTGGAAGCTTAGGGAGACCTTCCCTGGACACATCTTGATTAGGTCAGATCTCCTGGTAGGCGCTCTCTCAAAACATCAGGTTATTTTCCTTCATAGCCTTTATTACAATTTCATAATTAACACTGTGTGATTGTTTTATTTCTGTCCATCTCCTGGCTAAATTGCAAGTTCCATGAGGGCAGAGACCACATCTAATTTGTTCCTCACTGTATTCCTAGTGCCTGGCACAGTGTAGGCATTTATGAAGATGTATTGAACACAATAATGAATAAATATAATTTACAAAAAGCAACAAAGGTTTGAGAACATCTTCTATCACTATGGCAGACTGGTTAGACTCTGATCCCTTAAATTTTCTTCTTCTTGGTACTCTGGGAGACATCGGTCAGCCTCCCTTTCAGCCAGGTTCTGGGGGCATGCAACTGTATGCAGAAGTGTATGCAGTTCTGGCCTGTATGCAGAAGTGAAATGAGCCCCTTCCAGGACCAGCAACGGAGCCTCTCCAATCTTCTATACCACTCTTTTCCCCAGCAGTATGGTCAGAAGTTGAAGAGCCCAAGGTGTGGAGCCACCTAGGGGAAGCAACCCAAGCCCCTGAGTTACCTGTTGGTTAAGTGGGCTGCTTGAACCATGCTATGCTTGGCTTGAGTGAGAAAATTAAATTTTATTAGGTAAAGCCACTTTATAATTTGCAATTTTTATTACGGTGGCTAGATTTAATTACATTGGTTAATACGACTGCTTATTTCACTAACTTGTTTCTCCATCTGGATATAAAGTGGCGCTAACTGCACTAGCAATGCTGTCACTCATTGGAAGTTAAAGTCCGGAAGTTTACCACCAATAAAAGAAGGCTCTGATTAAAGAAGAAAGTAAGGATTTTAAAATTAGTTCTACTGAGTATTTCTCCTCATCTTTTAGTCAAAGAGAAGGAATTTCTAAAAGTCAAAGATGTAATAAAGAAAGAAGATACAGAAAAGATCTGAACATATTAAAAAATGAGATGAGGCCATTAAAGAATAATGACTGGTCCCTCAATTAGATCTAATTTTTCTAAAGAGCCCAAACCTACAGGTCAGACATTCAGCACCAGACCTCCTTTCTTGTAAGAAAAGCACAATAGGGAATCTAATTATTTTTAAAATGCAAAAATATGACATTATTCCCCTTCTTAAAACCTTTCAGAAGCTTTCCATTGCTTTTACTAATAAAATCTAAGTTCCTTCATGCTGCAAGACCACACATGATTAGGTCACTACCCACAACTCAACTCTGCCTCTCTCTCCCCTTACTCTCTTCACTCCAGATACACTAACTTTCTTTTAGTGTCTGGAACTTTGAGGGTTTCCTCCACCTTATGGCCTCTGCACATGCTGCTCTCCCTACCTAATTCCTGCTCATCTTTCAGTTCTCAGCTTAACAAGAAAAATTAAAAACAAAATCTTTCCCAGTCCTCTAAATTAGCGCAGAATCTTGATTGCTCGTTACGAACTTCTTGTCACATGTCCCAGTGACTGGCATCTAGTACATTCTCAACAATCATTCATTCACTGATGAGTCAAAAGGCCACTGGAGATTAAAGAATAACAAGAAAATAAAGACTGTGCATTATCAACTGGAATACTCTTGAATTGATCTTCCCTTGAGATGTTTGCGATCTTAAATTTTCCAGCTACTGACAGATCCTTGATCCTTTAGGTAGGACAGTGGGGCAGTCTTCAACTTAAACCCCAAATGGTAATTGAGACTTATACAATGAGCATTTTGTAAAGATGGCTAAAATGAAAGTGAAGAAGTCTGTTCTTGGTTCACTTTCAGGTGATTTTAGGTCAACAATTGAAACAAAATTAGTTACAAGTGACCCTAAAGGTATCTCCATACAATGCAATACTACACAACAAACAAAGCTACTGCGACATGCAACAACATGATGGATCTGACAGACAAAATGTGGAATGAAAGAAGCCAGACACAAAAGAGCACACGCTGTATGATTCCAGTTACATGAAGCTCAGAACTGGCAAAACAGGCCAGGCGCCATGGCTCATGCCTGTAATCCCAGCACATTGGGAGGCCGAGGTGGGTGGATCACTTGCGGTCAGGAGTTCAAGACTAGCCTGTTCACCAACATGGTGAAACCCTGTCTCCACTAAAAATACAAAAATTAGCCAAGTGTGATGGCACACGCTTGTAATCCCAGCTACTTGGGAGGTTGAGGCGGGAGGATCATTTGAACCCAGGAGGCGGAGGTTGCAGTGAGCCAAGATCATGCCACTGCACTCCAGCCTGAGCAACAGAGAGACACCGTCTCAAAAAAAAAAAAAAAACTGGCAAAACAAATATATAGTAATAGAGGTCAGAATGCTGGTTACCTCCAGGGGGACTGATGGGAGGAGGTACAAGAGAGCTGCTTCAGTGCTGGGAATATTGTATATGCACTGGGTCCAGACATATGAAAATTTCATTAGGCTGTAAACTTATGTTTTGTCCACCTTAGTAGATAAGTGATATCTTAATGAAAAAGAAAACAGAGATCCCACTGGTCAACACCCTGCAGTGATTCTATCACAGCCTATAGGATAAGGTCTAAATTCTCAGCAAGGCATACAAAGCTCTTTGTAATCTACTCCCCAATCAGATGCCCTCATCTCAACTCCTGACGCTCAGCACTTGCGCACTGTGCTCCGATCATATGGCTCTCCCTCAAGTTCTCTAGAAATGCCATCCCATTGCTCACCTCCATGTTTCTGCATCCGCTTTTCCTCTGCCTAGAGAGGACTCGGCCTGCTGTCCACCCAACACCCTCCTGTTCCTCAGGGAATGGCTCCGCTTCTCTGGGGCTGAGTCAGGAGCATCTTCCCCTTGTTTCCCTTCTATTTTCTTTTTAAAAAATTTTAAATTAATACATAGTAGATGTATATATTTTCAGGGTACATGTGATAATTTAATGCATTCTGATAATTTTTAAAGATCAAATCAGTATAATTGGAATATTTACCACCTTAAATATTTGTCTAATTCTTTCAAAGAATTAGAATTATTCTTTGTCGCTATTTTGAAATACACAGTAGAGTATAATAAACTATAGTCACCCTCTGGTCTCTGAAACACTAAGTCTTATTTCTTCTATCAAGCTGTATATTGGTATCCATTCATCAGTGTCTCTTCATCCTCCCCTCCTCACTACCTTTTCCGGCCTCTGATAACCACCCATCTAGTCCCTGTCTTCATGAGATCCACATAAGCTCCCATGTATAAGTGATAACATGTACTATTTGTCTTTCTGTGCTTGGCTTATTTCACTTAGTAACCTGCAGTTCCATCCATGCAAATGACAGGATTTCATTCTCTTTTATGACAGAATAATATTCCCCTGTGTATTTTTCATATGTCTTATAATTTATGACCAGAATTAGCATTCTGCATTTTAGTTGACTTTTTACATGTCCGCTTCTCCCCCTAGACTTAAGGCTTCTAGAGGGCAGAATTTTGTATTAATCAGCTCTATACCCTTAAGTCCTGTCATGGTGCCTATCACACAGAAGGTACCTGATAAATATTTGCGAAGTTTGAATTGAAAAATATGCAGTAAGACATATAACAGGTAGCAAAGAACAAGAGGACATTTTAACTAATGTTTCATTTAAAGAAACTAAATCCTTCTAGAATATAAGAAGCCAGAGACAGATGAAGTAAAGAAAGAAAATGATTAGCTTAGAAAAAAAAAAAAGAGTTTTTTTTTTGTTTGTTTTTGTTTTTGAGACAGAGTCTCACTCTATCACCCAGGCTGGAGTACAGTGGCACAATCACAGCTGCTTAGCAGCCTTGACCTCCTGGGCTTAAGCGATCCTTCTACCTCAGCCTACCCAGTAGCTGGGACTTCAGGCATGCATCACCATGGCTGGCTAATTTTAGTATTTTTTGTAGAGACAAGATCTCCCTATGTTGCCTGGACTGGTTTCAAACTCCCGGGTTCAAGCAATCTGTCCACTTCGGCCTCCCAAAGTGCTGGGATTACAGGTGTGAGCCATTGTCCCTGGCCTGAAGTCCAACTTTTAAAAGTTAACAGATCGAGGGGAGAGAAGCAGCAATAACAATAATGAAGGAGTTTGTGTTTGTGAGTTGTAAGGCATGAGCTAGACCAGGATATTCACCACAATATCAGTAATAACACCTAATTGTGGTACCTAACATTTACTGGGTGCTTCCTATCTACTAGGCAATTTGCATTCGTTATTAGATTTAATCTTTATGGCAGCCCTTTGAAGGTCTGTCATTATTCTCCATTTTATGTATCAGGAAACTGATGTTCCAAAAGCGTAACTTGCTAGGGTCACACAGACAGGATGTGGCTCAGCTCAGATTTTAATCCAGGCCCATGAGATTCCAGTGGGACTGTGATCAGTGACACTCTCCAAAGAGCACCTTGGAAGCCCACATAATGGTGGACGACAGGCAGAAAAGTGGCATGGCCTCTCTCCCCTGTGTTCACTTATAGCATTTAAACGTTCACAGCTGGAGAGCTACCCTTGGGAAATGATGCCTGGGAGTCCTGAGGGTTTGGAAAGTTGCCTAAAAACAGGCCCATTACAAAACCACATATGAAGCTGTGTGGTGATTTCCTGTAAGGTATTCATCCCAGCACTTACTAGGATAAAAAAGAACCACCCTGGAGGAACCCACAGGTTGACAGATCTGAGGGAACAGCTACCAATGACTACATGCCAAAAATAAAAATAAAAAGGAGAGAGAAAAAAGAATGAAACAGGACTCACCAGAGTCTTATGATGGGTACATGGCTCCCTCTGCAACCCACAACAAACATTAGAGTAAACGCCCTGGCACACCAAATGCCATCTGGTTTATTTTAGGCAATCTTGGGCACAGTATATTTAGTGTGGCTTCCTAGGGTCTGGGTATTGGAGTGTGTGCCCACTTGCTCAGACTCTCTCCTGACTGGCTGCAGTGAAAATGAGCTCGCTGGCCAGAGCAGACCACCATCAGAAGAGCCACCCGCCTCTTAGAGATGCTTCATGTGGTTCTCTCCTAGCCCCAGCACTTAACTGCAAAGGAAGGAAAATAAAGTACCCCAAAATGAACATGTGTATCCTGGGCACTTTTACCAAATTATGCTGCCAGATTTTTTCTATGTTATTCCCCAAGATACCTTCCAAAACCAACATTTCCAGGGTGTCCTGTGACTTTGTAACGTAGCTTTTTTTTTTTTTTTTCAGGTCATAGGGGAAGGCAAACAGACACATTTTTTACATTGACAGGCCTAGAAAAATAACAATGACTGCCTGTATTATACAATGGGGCCTTGTATTTTTACAGCTAAGCTGCATTAAAATACAGCCAGTGGACCTAGACTAAATCAATTTAATGACCTCAGGTGAGGACCCGGGGGAATGTCCATTCTCACAGTAAATCCCAACCATTCAGCCTCAGCCTCAGCCACAGTTTAGGACTGGGCTTCATCAAGTCTCAAAAATGGTAATGTGAAATGTATATGTTTTGCCTCTCAAATAAAGGACCACTCCTGGAAGTAAGGAAAGAGTAGATTTTATAGGGATAGGCTAATTATGTTTTATCCACAACAAATTCATTTATATATCTAACTTTTTTTTTTCCAAGTATTGTTCAATCAGATTACAAAATCATACATGAAAATTAGCTTGGACAAAACTAGTAGAGTAGGGTGAACTGTCATGACTTCATTCTAGAGATAGATTTTTCAGAATATATTGTACATTTCTTTCTAATTGTTCAGTTTCTCTAGTAAAGCACCACTTTTAGCCACCAATAACTTATGTTTCGACATCCCCCACTCTTCAGTTTTAGATCCTTGTATAAATTGGAACACAGTGATGAAAGAGGAAGAGGGATAGGGGCACTGAGTGGGGAGACCAAAGGATGAAGAAGGAAGAGTAATAATGAGGAAGGAGATACTGGGAAAAGGAGGAAAGTCTGACAAAGACAAAAATATCACAGGTTGGGCACTGTGGCTCATGTCTGTAATCCCAGCACTTTGGGAAGCCGAGGTGGCGGATCACTTGAGGTCAGGAGTTGGAAACTAGCCTGGCCAACATGGTGAAACTCCGTCTCTAATAAAAAAATACAAAAATTAGCCAGGCGTGGTAGTGCAGGTCTGTAATCCCAGCTACTCTGGAGGCTGAGGCAGGAGAATCACTTGAACCTGGGAGGTGGAGATTGCAGTGAGCTGAGATCGCACCACTGCATGCAGCCTGGGTATATACCCAAAGGAATATAAATGATTCTACTATAAAGGCACTGCACACATATGTTTATTGCAGGACTCCCGTACTAGCAAAGACATGGAACCAACCCAAATGCCCATCAATGATAGACTGGATTTAAAAAATGTGGTACATATATACCATGGAATACTATGCAGCCATAAAAAGGAATGAGATCATGTCCTTTGCAGGGAAAAAGGTGGAAAGGGATAAATATGGAAAGGGAAAAAGCTGGAAAGGGATAAAGCTGGAAGCCATCATCCTCAGCAAACTAACACAGGAACAGAAAATCAAACACTGCATGTTCTCACTCATAAGTGGGACTTGAACACTGAGAACACATGGACACAGAGAGGGGAACAACACACACCACGGCCTGTTGAGGGGTGGGGGGTGAGGGGAGGGAACTTAGAGGACGGGTCAATAGGTGCAGCAAACCACCATGGCACACATATACCTATGTAACAACCCTGTACATTCTGCACATGTATCCCATTTTTTTTAGATGAAATAAAGGAAAAATAAAAGACAATTATCAGGAACAGGGTGCTTGCTTATAAAAGAAAGAAGTAGGTATGTGCCATTCAAGATAGGGAGGGAGAATAATTAGAGGCCTCTCATTACTTTCCCAAATGTGGTAGAGCATAAAAATAAAGCCATGCATACCTTGTGCTGTGTTAGCAGCCAAAATGTAACGTTACCAACACCAGCATCTGGCAGGGAAAGGGCAGTGCAGAGATCAGCAGGAACTTGATGCCAGCTTACAAGAGGAGATTGCTTAGAGGGTAGAAAAGTACTGAGCACTCTCAATAAAAGCCATCTCGGAAAGTCAAGCAGAAGGGAATCTCCCCTTCATCCTCGGCAACTTCCATTGTAAATAAGGCTATCAGATAAAATCTGACCATTCAATAGACAGCTACATTTATTACTAACTTAGCTAATTACAAATCTAATTACAAATATGATTAATTTTAACATTCTATCTTAAATAATGTTAAGGCAGAGGTGATAATTTTATTATGTGCTACTATTATAGAGATTATTATTAATGTTTTGCTAAATATAACATTAATTCAAATATTTTCTTTTTTATGCCTATGAGTTGGGGAATTAATGTTATATCCCCAACTCATATAGGCATAAAAAAAGATTTGAATTAATGTTATAGTTAGTAAAACAAAAGTATGTTTTTAATATATCAGACAGTCAGACAACTATATAGTTAACTGTATATTTAGCTTCAAATACATATAATGTCTCGGGGAAAGTAGCCATTTTAAGTATATGCAGAATTTTAGGACCAAAGTCCATATAGCAGTGGGCTGGCTGCACATTGGTATCACCTGGAAAGCTTTAAAAATTGCTATTTTCTAGGCCAATCCCTGTGCACTGACACCAGAATCTCTGAATCAGGCACTGATAGTTTTAAAGACTGATAGGAAATTCCAATTTTCAGTCACAGTTCAAATTTATTGTTAAAAAGGAAAGCAAAATTGCCCCTAACAATCTGCCCCTTAACTGAATCTTTTGGTTTCGATCTCTGGGTTTGGGTCCTTTATCAATTGCTTAAGACACAATGGTTGAGAACTCTCAGATAAGTGTGGAAGACTGAATATACAAGTTTATATCTGCTTATCCCCAGAACCCCAGGAAAACTGACAGTAAAGCAGTAAAAACAGGTACCACAAAGAAAATACGACAGGAGATATACTTGATGCAAGATAAAACGAGCCTTTTGGAAGATGGAAAGCACACAGACAAGTGGCAAGTAACTTGGAGCTGAGAAAACCATCAAGTAGCATGCCACTCAGTGCCACAGCATCTCAGAATTGCTCAGGAATCGCGGTACCAGGAGCTGATGGCAAGGGT
Source organism: Homo sapiens (assembly GCF_000001405.40). Lineage (NCBI taxonomy): Eukaryota > Metazoa > Chordata > Mammalia > Primates > Hominidae > Homo > Homo sapiens. Next base: position 53,059,038 of record NC_000004.12, read on the forward strand.
GTAGAGTAGAGCCAAGTGAGAGAAATGATTGCAAGTTTCTACTAGAAGCAGTTTAGAATATCAAATTTCTTCCCCTGATGAACTCCAGCCAGGTGACTGATCTCTCCCTTGCCTCAAAGGAAATAGGAAATTAATCCTGGATAGAATAAAACAGAGACCTCAAAACTAAGGACACCAGAAACAGCAAAGGCCTGTGCTGGTTAAATCCTCCCACAACTGTGAAAGAGAGGTGTCATTAGCCCTATTTTACAGATGAAGATCTGTAGTGAAGGGCAAAGCCAGCATTTACAACTACCATGGGCCTGGCATGATAACAACTTGCCTCATTCAATCTTCAAAGCAACCATAAGAAGTAGATACTTTTAGCTCCATGTTAGAGATGAAGAAATCATCGTTTAGAGATGTTACGTATCCAAGGCCCTCTATGTGCCAAATAGCCCAGCCGGAACATGGGTCTTGGCTGTGTCTGACTTCAGAGCCTGAGTATTTAAACACGAATGTAAAAGCATAAAGCAGAGCCTGGTTTAGTGATACAGTATTTATTTTGCAAATGTCTTTTGGTAAAATCTCCTTTCTCTTTTTTTTTTTCCTGACTGTGGCTAGGAAGAGGTAATCTGCATTCCTCTTCTTCCGTATAGCCAACTTTCAAATACTTTAATTAGTGCAATTTACCTCAATTCAAGCCTCCTTGATATGTCAGGAGGTTGACTGAGATGGACTTCAATAATTCTCAGAACAAAAATATAAGTGTACTATATTTTTGTTAAAAGCATTAACCAAGTACTTTTCTACAAATAGCAATATAATATACATTACATTATTTCTCCTTGCAATTTTGTAGTCAGGAATTTTATGCAGTAAAAAATCTCCAGTGCTACAGTAACTAGATACATAAAGCAAGTTCTTCCTTCCTTTTTAATGATACTCCTCTCACTCTAAGTGGGAAGAATAGAATCTCACATTGAAAAGATTCTTGGGCTCATTGGTCCAACTTTCTCATGTGCTTACTACTGGGAACACTTGGTTCCAGAAAAATGATTCTCTCAAATGAGCAAATAATTTTCCATAATACTTAGGCCAAGACAATATGTCTTGCTCATGGAGTGTAGAATGAATAAAGGAGAGTCAGGGTTTAAAAAGAAAAGAAAAAAGTTGTAGCATTATGTCAGAGTGCTAAGGAACTAGAGGCCCCATTAATTCTACTTTCTCTATGAAAAAAGTACTGTTCTTCGTGTTACTCTGATCACGAAGGTAACTGGGCTGGGGTAGGTTGGGAGGTGGAGATTTGGCTCAAGCTCTGATCCATGAACGACCTCCAAATGTGGATATGTGGCATCATCTCCAAGTGAGTTTTACATGTAAATTGAAACAGAAATGTCCTCAAGAGGTTGAAAGATGCTTATTATACACATGAAACTTAGATCTCTGTACTGCAAAGGTTCTCAAAGTGTGGTCTGGCTGTCCACGAGGTTAATGCTATTTTCATTAGAATACTAATACATTATTTGCCTTTTTCATTCTCATTTTCTCATAAGTACATAATGGCTACCTTTGGTGTGATATCTCAACATACTGAATGCAAAAGGAGATAAGAGAATCTACCTATCTTCTATTTAATGAGACATTAAGGAAATCTGGAAAAATAGAGAACAATGCCACTCATTCTATATATATGTACTTTTGTTGTTTTTGAAAGTATAATTAAAAAAATATAAAGATATGTGACTTTGTTAACATGTAATGAGTTTATTATTTTCAGGTTTAATTTCTAATAGATAAACAGCAATAGATAAAATCCATATCAACAAAAGCTTTGGGGAGCTTATTGCTATTTATAAAAGCATAAAGAGGTCTAGATGATCATAAAGTCTAGGAATTGCTGCTTTACTGGGTCGTAACACCTACAGTGAATTATAAATTTAGAATTCATCCTGTAATTTTCTTGTGAATTACAAAAATGCAGTGCATTATATTTTTGTTAAAAGTATTAACCAAGTAATTTTCTATAAATAGCAATATAATATACACATACATAATAGAAATATAACTCTTTAAAATATGCCACAATTTTTATAAACCTGCTTTGACATCTCTTTAATTAAAATATGCTAAGAGCTTAAAAAACATCAGGTCTTTCTTGAGTTCTGAACATCCATTAGTGAAGAAAATGCAAGATTGAACTTATATTTTGGCATGGCAAATACTAATGCTCATATTCATGGAGCTCTTACTCTGTGCTAGATGCATTTCTAAGTGCTTTCCACTGGCTCTTCTCACGGAGTCCTCACAACAATGCTCGAGGATGGTATCGAAGCCCAGAGAAGTTCAATAACTTGTCCAAGGTCAGACTGCTGGTAAAAAGCTAGGATTTGGACCCAAGTAGCCTGTATCCAGAGCTCCTGCTCTAAATCATATGGACCACCATGATTCATCCAGTCCATTCCTGTCTTAGGAATCTTCCTCTCTTACTTGCCAGAAGGCACTTTAGTACAAACGAGGACAGGAGGACTACAAATCAGAAGGGCTTTTAAGAGTATGGCAGGCCCTTAATGTAGATTGAGGTCCATGGTTCTGCCTTCTGTTGCATTTACATTGCGAGTTCCTTTAGGGTAGAGTTCTGCTTACTCTGCGTTATTTATTCATTGGGAAACATCACCCTATGTGTGAAGCGCTTCAGGGCTGGGAGGTCAGATGGTAGTTTTAAAGGACTTTTTCCCTGGGGAGTTGTGTCACAAGAAATTCTCATAACGGCAATATGTCCCCCTATTTCCATTATGCAAATCTGATTGCCTTAATCAGTCCTCCTTCAGCACCTGAAAAAGAAATGTAATACTAGGACACAAACTGGTGCAAGAGAAACAATAAGTGATTTTTCCCAAGTCCACGATTAGACAGAGGGTGAGAGAGCTAGCTGGCCTGATGTTATCACATCCAGATGTGATGGCAGCCTTTAGTCTAGGGAGGTAACAAGATGCTATTAGGTGACTTAAAATATATATAATTATTATTGTAATTATATAACATAATATGTAACATAATAATAGTAATAATAGGCCGGGTGTGGTGGCTCAGACCTGTAATCCCAGCAATTTGGGAGCCTGAGGTGGGCAGATCACTTGAGGTCAGGAGTTCAAGACCAGGCTGGCGAACAGGGCAAAACCCCGTCTCTACTAAAAATACAAAAATTAGCCAGGCAAGGTGGTAGGCGCCTGTAATCCCTGCTACTTGGGAAGCTGAAGCAGGAGAATCACTTGAACCTGGGAGGCTCAGGTTGAAATGAGCTGAGATCGTGCCACTGCACTCCAGCCTGGGCTACAGAGACTCCGTCTCAAAGAAAAAAATACGTACAATAACAATAATAATAATAATAATAATAATAGTCTCTCATTAAAGAGTTTTGTTTGCTTTCATTAGACCCATACTTCCTTGTAGACAACAGTTGATTTAGAAATTTTCCTCTGCATTTCTGTTCAAATGCAAATTCTAGTTATCAAAGAACCAAACAAAGAATGACAGGCATTTTTTTGTTTAAGTATCATGACTTACATACCTACTAGCAGAAACATTATTTCTTGTCAGCTGGGGAGCCTGGGAGTGGGGAGAACAGTGCTCTGATGGAAAATCCAAATCAGGTGTTCTTCCTACCTGTGTAAATTTTTAATAATTTACTCAGCTCTTACAACTTTTATCCCATCGTGATATAAATGTAACACCAGGATAAAATTATGGCTGAACAGTGACACACAAAAAGAGTATTTTCATTTCAAGTGAGAGGAGATGCAAATCACATCTGTGATTAGACATTTTAAAAACTGGTTTTTTGAGCACCATCCAGGGATTTAGTCTCTTGAGTAACAAAGCTGGCTTTATTACATGGAACCCATATAATTTAATAGGTGCACAGCGATACAAAAACACTATTACAAATGTGAAATGACCTGGCCCTACCAAAATAAAAACCATTCATCTAGTAATTTCTTGAGTTCTTTTCACATTCAGATGACAAAATAGAAGCTTCAATTATAAATATAGGTTTATATTTAAAATACCTAAGACAAGGTTTTGCATACAAAAATAGGAGCTTAGCATATGCTTGTTAATACATGGCAAAGGTTAATTTAGAAATTTCATCTTCTTCACAATTGGAAACAGTATTTGGAATAATGCCTCTGTCAGACTTTATTCAAAATTTATTTACAAACAGTGATCTTAGGACTTTCACCTTTCAACATGTAAAACTGGGTAATCAATCTTTATATTAGAAGTTTTAATTTTAAAAACCCATAATAATTATTCTGTATACAACTTATGCCCCAATGTAACAATTCTCCAAAGCTAATAAAAGAAGCATAGTTCTTTAAAGGAAAGATATCATAAATACATTTAAAATAATAATTCCCATTTTAAAAGGAGATAAAAAGGGGAGGAAGGAGAAAGGCCTGATTTCACTTTCATAAATTCATTTAATGATCCTAACGAACAAATAAATGCTATCATCTCCTTTAAGAGATAAGGAAAGTGAAGCTCAGATGCTGCTGCTGCTTGCCAGTCTCAAGTCAGATAAACAGGGAAGTTAGGATTCAAACCCAAATCTGTCTGACTCTAGGACAATAGTGCTTACCTCTACTAAATGAGAAGAGTGAAAAGACTACTATATAACTGAATAAGCTTCACTGTTATTTGATGAAGGTCCCCAGAATTTATTCAAGCTCTCTCCATGCTAAATGACCTTAATCACTAAAAGTAGATTCACTCGATTAAAGTATCCCTCTAGAACCACTTCAGATGAACATGAACAGTTCTTGGAAGAGGGTACCACTGGCAGAGTCTATGCTTATCAGAATTTTTTTTCTAGCTAAGCTCAAGGCATCAACTGTCTAGCCCGGATTTACTATCATTTGTAGCTAATTTTGAGGCAAATTGCAGTCTCCACCTTCCCTCCCTCTCTCCTTCCCTTCCTTCTTTCTTTCCTTCCTTTTTATATAAAATATCAGTATTATCTCAGATTTACCTTCATTTTTTCTTGGTAATAGCTCCCAACACATCCATTTTCTAAAAATGTTGTTTTCTTTTTAATTTATCTTTTATTTCAACTTTTATTTTAGATTCAAAGGGTACATGTGCAGGTTTGTTACATGGGTATGTTGCATGATGCTGAGGTTTGGGGTACAAGTGATCCCCTCACCCAGGTAGTAAGCATAGCGCCCAGTAGTCTTTTAACCCTTGCTCTCCTTCCACCCTCCCCCTCTAGTAGTCCCCAGCGTCTATTCTTCCCATCTGTATGTCCACCAACACATACCATTTTGATTAAATACTTGAATGCAATAGACTGCCATTTAAAGAAATGTCTAACAATATCCTGTAATGCAAATGACCTTTAGGCAATTGGAAATGGAAGGGTGGAGACTTATTACTTGGGTAACTGTCCTGAAGACACGATAGAGCCCATTATGCCTCATTTTCAAAACTACAGGCAGCATTACTTACTTTCAATACCAATCTCTTGGAAACTCTGAGGACAATCCAAGTAACAGTCCTAGATCACTGAAGGTGTTTAAAAGAGGAGAAGAAACAGTAAGACATAGTGGTTGAGGGGAAAGGCTCTGTTATTGAATAAGCTCACTTTCAGAGGTACCCTAAGGCAAATAAGTGTGACATTATTTGTCTTAAACAATCACAGTCTTAAAATATCTCCTTATGAGGTCTGAATTCCAGCTCCACCAATTTATAACACTCTGGACAAGTTTCTTAACTTACTTGAGCTTCAGCTTCCTCATCTGAAAAAACAGGCATAAAAAGGCAGTGACTTCATAGGGTTCCATGAGATAATACATGTAAAGTACCTAGCTCAGTGTCTGGCATGTAGAAAGTACTCAATCAATTATGACTTTTAATTAATCACGTTCTTAATATTTTCTCTTGGGACATCTATAGTTTTTCACCAGAATGTGTGCTTTATTTTTGAAAGCATGTTGCTTTTTAGAAAAGAGCCAAAGTTTTTCCAGTAGTTATACAAGGCAAAAAAATTTAATCAGAAAAATATAGAAAGTAGACAGGAAAGAACTCCAGTCATGACAGCAGATACCTTGAGAGTGGCAGGAAAACTTTCAGCAGATCATCTCAGTAGAATAATAACTGCACAAATGACAGGCATATAACTAGCAGCGGTCATAGATCACTTATGGCAGTTAGCACAATAAATTCAATATGGCTTATGAGTTAAGAATATTTATACCATATATAAATTACTTCAAGGATACAGACCAGGGAAGTAGCCTGGGGGAAAGGATAACAGAGACAAACTTTAGTCTAAATATGAAAGGAAATCTGGAAAGAAAATGAATACTTCTACTGTAAGAACACTTACAATACAAATAATAAGTCAGATGTCAGATTAGGAGAAAGCAAGGAAAATCTCTGAAATCCTGCTGAGAAACTAGCATAGCAAACCGCCAGTAACACTCTGGTTCACCTAAAAGAATTTGTTATTTTTCTTAAACTGTGGTCATAAAGACATTAATTGTTATTCTGTTTTAATATTAATAATATCACACTTCAAAGTATGTCATAGTATCTTTTAGGTCAACATTATTCAAGAGCATTACTATTCTATTCCGAAAGTTTTATCTTATAAAAAAATGATAATTTTTTTCCCATTTGGTTTCTGTTACCATATCTTATCAAAATAAGAGTTTGGCTTTTTTAACTTAAAAAATTAAATACACATAGTGCTTCCTGATGCCATTCCACTACCATACTATGTATTTGTCATTTTTCAACAGTTTTAACACATGCACAGTACAAACTCTTATTTTGGAGAAATAAGTAAGATTGCTGACTGAGGTTTAAAAAAGAAAATGATCAACTGAGCCCTTAAATAAAAATACCACATGCTTTTCATCCATTTTCTCACTACTGTATTCACTGAACAGCTCTTATAAGAATAAAACTTTAAGGAATATGAACTTGTGGCAAGACCAGAAAGAATATTCTGGAACTACGCTTTGAAGTAAAATGATTCCCCTAACATCAGGAGACTTAATACTACAATTTCACCGTGAAAATAATCACAGATGAATGTTCTGACCAGGACTAATTGTCTTTGAAGTTCTCTAAATTCAAGTATTAAAAACAGTGCTTGACAAAACTCTTTACCTTATCAAAAAGTTACAAAGAAAACAACTTGTGGGCAAGGCTCAATCTACTTTGGCTTGCATATAAAATCAAACCTGTAACATTAAGCGAAATTAAAAACTGTACAAGAATCATGTTACTAAGGCAATGTAAATTTGAGAGCCTGACCTTTGGTCCTTATTTCATAGTTACCAAGGTGACAAAATAACTGCTGGGTGACAGTAGCCACTTAGCAATCAAAATCAGAACAGTCAATGTATGTGCTCTTTCCTTGTGATTGTTTTATGGTATGTGTTCAAATTCTGTACCAAAAAGTACAGCTGTAAAAACAGATTTTATGGTGAAACAAAACATACAAAAAATAAATATTATAGGTCCAGCAGAACATTCACTTGCACCTGTATGGGTCCTATGAGGTGTTTGGGAGTTGTAACATTAAAAACTGAAGGCTTTTTTTAGTGATCTGGGCCCCCACCCAACCAACAATATTAGAGTTTTAGCACATTCTGTTCCATCTGCCTAGAAAACCTTTCACTTTCCCTGCCTATTTCACGCCAACTCATCCTTCAGATGTCAGCTGAAGTGTTATTTCCCTGGGGATGTCTTTCCTGACTCCTTAGATTCAAACCCTCTCCATAATATGTGGAGATATGTTATTTCCTCTCCTCCACAGCACTTGTCACAGCAGCAACTTTACATTTTTATACGTAGCAGTTATTCAATCCATGCTCTCCCATTAGAATGCAGGCCTCATGAGGAAAAGGGGCTGATGATGCTCATTCCTGCCATTAAAACCCTAGAACCTAGCACAGAGCTGGGCATGCACTTATGCTTGTTTATGGAGAGATGAAAGGCAGAGGAAAAATAATTATAGTTAATTGGTTAGCCAGTTACTACTGGTTGGTTAGGTAATGATAACTAGCATTCTACTTCAGGTCAAACAAAGTAGAATGCTACCTCCTCCACTAATCTTACTTGGTTTCCTTCTACTTTTTATCTTCTTTCTCCCTGTAGCCTCCTGCTATAGGGACCATGGAGCAAAATGTACAGGATTGGGATGGAGATCTCAACCCTGTGTATCATGGCCTTGTAGTGCCTGTACTCATTTCAAACATGCTTTACTCATCCTGGGCCTCACACCTTTCTTTTGGGGAATGTGGTTAGTACTCAAACATACATTTCAATCAAGGCTCTCTGGGGTCAAGATCACACCAAAAGAGTGGCTGTGATGTCACTGTGGCAGCCTTTCAGAATGGGTATGTGCATTTAATATGGTTCGGCTCTGTGTCCCCACCCAAATCTCACCTTGAAGTGTAATAATCCCCATGTGTCAAGGGTGGGACTAGGTGGAGATAACTGAATCATGGGACGGTTTTGCCCATGTTGTTCTTGTGGATAGTGAGTAATTTCTCATGATATCTGATGGTTTTATAAGGGACTTCCCCCTTCTCTTGGTTTCATTCTTCTCTCACCTGCTGTCATGTGAAGAAGGACATGTTTGCTTCCCCTTCTGCCATGATTGTAAGTTTCCTGAGACCTCCTCAGCCATGCTGAACTGTGAGTCAATTAAACCTCTTTTGTTTCTTGGGTATGTCTTTATTAGCAGCATGAGAACAGACTAATACAGTGTTGAACACAACAAAGGCTCTGAGAACAGAGGTTATAACCAGCAAATACAGGAATCTAGCAGGTGAATAGTCTGCCTGGTCTATGACTAGGCGAGAGATGAAGGCTGATAGAGTTTGGGGTTCAAGAGGCTAGGAGGAGCCAGCCAGAAAAGAAATCTATAATACCAGATACAACAGAGTTCAGAGTTCTTAGCAAGTCCTTGCTTCTTTCCAGACTATAGACAGAATCATCTTGCTTATAAGCACTGCCCTTATGACTTATTAAAACTCAAATGTTAACATAACATGTTAACTGACATCACCTGTGATCATGAGACAATAAAAGATGGCCAACTAGTGAAAATGTAAAGGGTCTTTCAAAATTTTCATAGATATTTTTAGAGATTTAGGTTTACAGAAATATTAAGAAGAAAGCACAGAGTTCCTCTATACCATCACCCTGACCCACTCCACAGTTTCTAAAGAGTCTGTTTAAAATATACATAAATTTAACTGTCAGAAATAAAATGTTCCAAAATCTGTTCCTCTTGTTTCAAATCAATTGGCAATTTTTCTATTTTAGATAAGCATTAGCACCAGTTAACTTATTTAAATGACTTCATGTTTAGTTTATTTTGAAAGAAAATTTAGTATTGATGAAGGAGAGAGGGAGAATAAGATAGAGAGGAAAATTCAGACCTAGTCTTTGTACTCAAAGGTAACTACAAAAATGTGTTGGTGCATACCTTTCAATACTTTTTCCTGTGTATATATTTTTAATTTTTAATATTCTACATAGTAACCAAATATTCTGCATATTATTTTGATTAGATGATAATTATCCATATAATAGAATATCCTGGCCATATTTGTACTTTATTAAGTATTCTTCAGCCTTATTTTTAAAGGCAGCATAATATTCCATTTTATGAATAACCATACTTTATTTAACCAATGTCTCCTAGCTTTGGACATTCAATATTTATTTGTAAAATTTCAAGCATCTATCTTCCCCAATTCATTCTTTTACATATATTTAAAAAACAGTACTTTGTAGGGGTGGAAAACCCTGCAGTGAAACATCAGATAAAATGACCCTTGTTTAACTTTAGACGGATGTGCACAGTCCAAGGCCAGCAAAGTGATAAATGGGTTTTGGCAGCTCATTCTCCCTACCTTAAGTAATATTACAATGTGTCATTGGAGTGGGTCATTTAGAACAGGAAGCCAGGGACACTCTGTGGTATTCTCCCAGGGTAAATTCACAGATACCTCATAGAAGGCTTTGGCAGGATTCTCAGTATGCACAGAGAGGCATAGAAAGTGGCTTTATTTTTAAGGCTCAGATTCAGCTGAAGGATCCGCTAGGGAATCCAGAGAAGGGAATGCCTGGGCTTGGGTTAAAATAGCTGGTTTATTCTTGCCTTCACAGTGCACAAAAGCTTTACTGATTTGCCCAGCAGTCATCTGCTAATCTCACACCTTGGGATAAGTAAGTAACACACACACATCCTCATTATGAATGAGTCCACGACTCTGAAGGGAAGGATATTCAGGAGACTGCAATTCTAATTCACATTAATTTACTACATTTTCATATCTGATTGGAATTCAGTGTAGATATTGCAATTCAGCCCACCATGGGCTGCATACAGACTTCATCAGCAAAAGCAGCAAAATTTCAAATTTCCTGTGAAATCTCCTAAATGCTATGCTTCAAAATCACAGTAGTCAGTCATGGGGTATACAATTTTACTTTCGAGGTGGCTCTTTGATTTTTAGATGATAGAACTCTGTGGTGGAAAAAAGAAAGAATGCTACTTTTGTTTATCAATTTTCTTATAACTTGTCTCCAAAATGGAAAAATGTGCCAGTTTGTTTTTTCCCCCAGTAATAAAAGTAATGCAACATGGTACTATAAAAAATCTATACAATATAGAAAAGAAGCTCTAGACAGTAAAAATCACCTTTAATCCCATCATCCCAAAATAGCTGCTACTATTCAGTTGGATAACTGGTGTGTATTGTTAGAGATTGTTTTCTCCCTGACACTTAAATATTTTAAAAACTATATTAGACATTCTGGCTTTGTAACCTTCCTTCCACTTTAATAATATACATATACATCTTTCTGTATCAATCGATATTTTTATAGCTTCATAATTAACTATTTTTAATATTTTTTAAAGTCCTGACATATTTTTTATGTTGACAATTAAATTAGTAAGACCATTTTGAGGGAAGGGGTCGTGTGTTTCAATGTTGACATCTGGCTTTCTTCCAAAGAGAGAAACTTCTTACTAGTCATTAATTAAAATAAAGAAACCAACCACTTATAGCTACAAATTTCTGCATCAGCAAAGAAAACTATGCACAATAAAAACAAAAATAAGACCACTAAAATGTCTAAAAACAGCTTGCTTTCTTAGAGTTGGTTTTATCAGTTGTTGACTTTTGAAATGAATTAAATTAGGATTTTTGACATTTTATGTGTTGTTCAACATGTGCTACTTAAAACTAGGTAAAAATTAAAAGATCAGATGATTGTACAAAGCAAAAGCATTAAAGCAGAAATTCAATTAAACTAAAAAAGATGTTCACTAGGCTTCATTAAATTGAAATTAAATTAATTATGAAAAGCGAAAGTTAATTTTTAATTCTCAAAAAGAATCTTAATTTGTATCCAAAATGATGAAGGAAAAGGGTAGATAAATTTTAAATTGTTTAGGAATCATTTAAGTAATAGATCATAAGTAGATGCATAAGAAATAAGTCATTGACTTATGATGTGTAAAGTGATTGATTTAAGAGAGCAAATTAAAATGATAAACATTATCAACTGGTGTCTGTGCTGTGTACATAATAGCACCAAATCTGCATTTACTGGTTGGCTGATTATGTCCTACTTTTCTGTTCACAGCACAGGTAGAAGATGATCTAGAAAGATGCTTTACTCTATAGGTTTACAGAATAAAACGCCTGATTCCACTTTGAAACACTGTTTTCTTAGGTTTATACATTAAAATACATCTCTTTGAGATTCTGATGAAAGTCATAGATTCCTTTTCTCTCTATAAAAATATATACCCATATTTTATAGACATAGAACACTCTCCCATTAGGCGCTCTTCTTTCTTGCTTACTAATGAAACTCTGAGAATAAAGACTATGTTTCCTAGTTGCTCTGTTAGCTAGATGTGCCATGTGACTAAGTTTTGGCCAATGAGATATAAGCATAAGTGTCATATTCAACTTCTAAAGAGTGTCCTTAAAGGTCAGTAGCATGGCCTTCTTTCACTCCCTCCTCCACTTCATCTTTATTGTTGGCTCGAATGTAGATATGACAAGTTGGAGCTTGAGCTGTCATGCTGAACTATGAGAAGGAAGCCATAGGCTTAGTGAAGTAAAACAGCAAGAGAGGAGGAGCTTCAGTCCTTGATGATTATGGAATTATCGTACGCATCCTGGATGAATTTTCTCTGGAGTCTGTACATTAGAGAGGGAAATGAACTTATATTTTATTAAGCCACAGTTCCTTGTAGGTGTTCTGTCACTCACAGCTGAGCCTAATATTAGGTGATACAGGTATAAACACATACAAGGTTACATATAATTTTTTGGAGGGAGGTGGTCCATGGACCCCAAATTAAGAATATCACTTTAGAAATATATATAAAAGGATAACCACTTAATGTTTGTACTTTGTAATTAACAAATTTTTCTTCACATCCATTATCTTTCTTAATCTTCACAATCATCACAGAAATAAATATCATTTTTAATCCCATCTGTTTATTAAGAAACAAACAAAAAAATCCTGAGGCTCAAGGCATGTTATCTTGCCAAAAGTTAATAATGCAGTAAAAATTATAACCAATGTGAATGATTCTAAATCCCATGGTCTTATCACTATTCCAATGACTGTAGTACATGTACAGGTATCCTCCAGTTTTGTAAAAAAAATAAAATAAAAAATCATTCTTAAAAAACATGTAAGAAAGGCAAATGTATGCGACTTAAATGTAAGAATTATATTCTAAAAGGGGGATTTTATTCCATATAACTAGAAACATTTTAGATATTATAAAAGCTTTATTTTAATAAAATTGTTTCTACTTTTTGATACCAGATAGTAATATAATTTGCACATAATTATTTAAAATACAGAAGGCCAAACAGTCCTTGTTTAATGTGCAATGCTTCACTACCACCACCACCCTTTCTTCTGGTGACAGATCCTATTATACCTTCAGTGGTGTATACCCCACGTGCTTCCATAACAACTTTACAACTAGAGCTGGTGGGACAAAATTGCTTCTCTGGTGGATGATATGAGTCCAGAATCTCAGATACTTAAAGAAAATCTCATGTGCAACAGATCATCACCTACACCTAAGAAGAGGCCCAGATGAGAGACAAAGATGGAGAGAGAAAGGGTACTGTTAGCAATCCAGGCTCTGGTGTTAGTGATACAGGAGCTAGAAATAACTTATTCAGGCAGATAGTGAGGATAAAAGAGTCCTCAGCAGAATTTCCCTTTTAACAAACAGCAGCCCCAAATTATTTCTTTTTTAACAAAGAACAGCCTGAAATATCGAGCTGCAGACATAGATAAGCAACCTGGAAGCTTGCACAGGTGAAGGTTAGCAGCTGTGCCAACAGAAACGGGCTACCTGGGGTTCAAGTATGTTCAACCTGGAGGCTCCATCTTCCCTTTCTTTGTCACCCCGTGTACAGTGAAGAAACAGGCAACATGGCACCAACCAGGCAAAGAACCCAGAGAATAATAAAAGATTAGGGGGGGGAAAGCCAGGTTTTCACACCTTATTCAAACAGCACACCTAGTCCTAACTAGTTTTTTGTGCCCTATGCAAATGACACACCTGGTCCAACCAATCTTTTGCACCCTATGTAAATCAGACACCGCTTCCTCAACCTCATCTGTAAAACTCACTGCATTTCACCGTGGAAGTGGCAACCGATTTCCCTGGGACCCTTCTCTGTAGCAAGAGAGCTCTTCTCTTTCTTTCACCTAGTAAACTCCCACTCCTAAACTCACTCCTTGTGTGTCCGCATCCTAGTTTTCTGTGGCCACAAGACAATGAATCTCAGGTATTTACCCCAGACAGTGATGTCGCTTCATTAGTCCCTGAGATGTCCAGGGCTACCCTCACTTTTATGTCCTTTGATTAGACTCAGTCTTCTTCTAATTAAACCACCATTGATGGGTTCTGCAACTATGGATTCAAACAACTGCAGCACAAAAATATTCCAAAAAATAGTGTCTGTACTGAACATGTACATACTTTTTTTCCTTGCTATTCCCCAAATCATATAGTTTAACTATTTATATAGCATTTTCCTAATTATATTTCCTAATTAGGTTACATATAATACCTAATTATATTAGGTATTATAAGTAATCTAGAGATGATTTAAAGAATACAGGAGGATGTGCATGGGTTATATGCTAACACTATGCCATTTTATGTAAGGAACTTGAGCATCCACAAATTTTGGTATCCATAGAAGGTCCTGGAACCAATTCCTGAGGGATGATTGTATGTGTTATTTTTCCCTCTGGAAATGCACAAGGCTTTGAAACTTTTTCACTTTCTATTGCTTGGATAAAGCTAATTTTACAAGCCCAATACAGTTGATCGAGTCCCTATAATTTACCTGAACCATTTTTGCCCCCAGCAGTAAATACCACCTGAATGTGGCTAGCATACCAAACATTCCAAGCCCTGTTGACCCTCTCAACACTGCATTTGGACTATCCTCTGAAAATGAGATCAAGATGCTGAAAAGAAAAGGTGGAAGACTTTAGTTTCCCTGCCAAAAGATCTGCAGACATGAGTGGGCATAATGACGTACAGACATACTTCAGAGATACTGTGGGTTTGGTTCCAGACCACTGCAATAAAGTGAATATTGCAATAAAGTAAGTTGCATGAATTTTTTTTGATATAAAAGTTATATTCATAGTATGTTTTAGTGTATTACATATGCAATAGAATTATGTCTAAAAACAATGTACATACCTTAATTAAAAATATTTATCGCTAAAAATGCTAATGATTATCTGAGCTTTCAGTGAGTTGTAATTTTTTTGTTGGGAGAGACTTGCCTTGATGTTGATGGCTGCTGACTGATCAGGGTAGTGGGTGCTGAAAGTTGGGATAGTTGTGGCAATTTCTTAAAATAAGACAACGATAAAGTCTGCCTTATTAACTGACTTCCTTTCATAACAGATTTGTCTGTAGCATGTAAGCACCACAGTAGAACTTCTTTCAAGATTGGAGCCAATCCTCTTAAACACTGCTGCTACTTTATTAACTAAGTTTATGTGGTATTCTAAATCCTTTGTTGTCATTTCAACAATGTTCATAGCATCTTTGCCAGAAGTAGATTCCATCTCAAGAAACAACTTTCTTAGCTTATCCATAAGAAGCAGCTCCTTATTTGTTCAAGTTTTATGGAATTTTAACAATTCAGTCACATCTTCAGGCTCTGCTTCTAATTCTAGTTTTCTTGCTGTTTCTACCACATCTGCAGTTACTTCATCTGCTGAAGTCTTGAACCCTTCAAAGTTATCGATGAGGCTTGGAATGAATGTCTTCCAAACTGCTGTTAATGATATTTTCACCTCCTCCCATGAATCACAAATGTTCTTAATGGCATCTAGAATAGTGAATCCTTTCCAGAAGGTTTGCAATGTACTTTGCCCAGATCCATCAGAGGAATCACTACCTCTGGGAGCTATAGCCTTAAAAAATGTATTTCTTAAATAATATGACTTAAAAATCAAAATTACTCCTCAATCCATGAGCGACAGAATGGATGCTGTGTTAGCAGGCATAAGAACAACATTCATCTCCTTGTACATCTCTGTCAGAGCTCTTGGGTTACTAGGTGCATTGTTAATAAGCAGAAAAAAGGAACTTTTTTTTCTGAGCAGTGGTTCTCCACAGTAGGCTTAAAATATTCAGTAAGCCACGCTGTAAACAGATGTGCTGCCATCCAGGGTTTGTTGTTCCACTGACAGAACACAGGCAGAAAAGATTTAGCATAATTGTTAAGGCCCCTAAAATTTTCAGAATGGTAAACGAGCATTTGCTTCGAGTGAAAGTCACAAGCTGCATTAGCCCCTTGAAAGAGAGCCATCCTGTCCTTAAAAGCTTTGAGGCCAGGCATTGGTTTCTCTCTACCTATGAAAAGTCCTAGATGGCATCTTCTTCCAATAGAAAGCTGTATCATCTACACTGAACATCTGTTGTTTAATGTAGCCACCTTCATCAATGATCTTAGCTAGACCTTCTGGATAACCTGCTGCTGCTTCTACAACAGTATTTTCTGTTTCACCTTGCACTTTTATGTTAGAGAGACAGCTGCTTTCCTTAAACCTCATGAAACAATTTCTGCTAATTTCCAACCTGTCTTCTGCAGCTTCTTCACCTCTCTCAGCCTTGATAGAATTGAAAATATTTAGGGCTTGCTCTGGCTTAAGCTTTGGTCTAAGGGAATATTGTGGCTGATTTGATTTTCTATCCAGACCACTCAAACTTTCTCCATATTAGCAATATGGCTGTTTCAGTTACTTATTGTTTGTGTGTTCACCGGAGGAGCACTTTCAATTTCCTTCAAGAACTTTTCTTTTGCATTCACAACTTGGCTAACTATTTGGTGCAAGAGGCCTAGCTTTCAGCCTATCTCAGTTTTTGACATGTGTTCTTCACCAAGCTTAATCATCATTTCTATCTTTTGATTTAAAGTAAGGGACATGTCATCTTTTCACTTGAACACTTAGAGGCCACTGTAAGGCTGTTAATTAGGTTAGTTTCAATATTACTGTGTCCCATGGAAGAGGAAAGTCTAAGGAGAGGGAGAGAGATACAGGAACAGCCAATTGGTGGAGCAGTCAGAACACACACATTTATTGATTAAATTTGCTGTCTTACATGGGGGTAGTTCATGGTGCCCCCAAACAATTATAATTGTAACAAAAAAGATCACTGATCACAGATCACAATGACAGATATAAAAATAATGACTAAGTTTGAAATATTGTGAGAGTTACCAAAATGTGACACAGACATGAAGTGAGCATATGCCGTTGGAAAAATGGTGCTGATAGACTTGCTAGACACAGGGTTGCCAGAAATCTTTAATTTGTAAAAACAAAACCATACAAAAAATGCAATATGTGCACAGTGCAATAAAGTGAAGCTCCATAAAACAAAGTGTACCTGTATATGTGTAGGGATTATTTGCCCCAAAAAAGTAGTTTTATAGCAAAAGGTATAATTTCTTAATGACATTTAATGAAATCTGAGCCTAGAAAGGATTGTTCTCCTCAGTCCTAATTTTCATATATTACAAGAAAAAATTTCTATCACAGTTACAACTTTTCACTTGGACATCTGGGCTGGTTATTCCATCCCCTTTTGGTCTTTTCTAAAGAAATCTTTTATATACAAAAACATTCAGTTATTTTCTTTTGGCTAAAAAAATTCCAATTTTATAAAGTAGGTGTTCTCTACAGCATCAAGGTTGATGAAAACCATACCCTTGAACAGGAAGTTCAAAAGACAGAATGGCAGGCAAGAGCGGACCCATCTGCTATGGAAACATGTTACCATCCTGCAAGGCCCAGAACCCCTGACAAGAGCACACCATTATTTATGAAAAGCCTCTGCTCCCTGGCTCTTGTCAGACTCATTCCCAAGCCACTCCGGGGCTAAGCAAATGCGCTGATATCTAGTTGGCCTTGTGTCCTCGTAACTGTCAGGAGCAGAGGTGTTGGTGAAATATTAAGAGGAAAATGAGGTGGACGGACCAATCAGTGGCAAAAGCAGTAATTTTAAAAGCTGTGAGGAAAAAAGGACCTGCCAGGTCTGAGCATTGAAATATAATTCTCCATCAAATTTAATGAACCTTTAAATGGTGATGAGCAGGAGCTCCCCAGCAGCCTTTCTCTACACCGGCTCAAAGTAGGCTGCCAGCCACACTTGCATTTATCCAACACGGGCTGCTTCCCCTTCCCTCTTCTTTGAGAACAAATTATTTCTTCATTCAACAGCAGAGTAGAACTTGGAGAAAATATGCTTGGTAATTGCCCTAATTTAAACGTACCAGAAGTCATTTTACATATTGCTCACTCAAAGTATGCCAAGTAAAGGTCTAGGAATACAGTTCAGTTCTAAGATGTATATCTTGTATATATCCTTTAAGCACCCAATGGTATCATCATAGAACTTGCATTGTATTTTCTTCCTATAAGGAAGAACACTCCTTGTTCTCTGGAGAAAATCTAGCTTTGGGGGATATAAATATAGGTTATGAGCCTAAGTGTGATCACATTTAATTTTAAGATCTCACAGTGTGGCAAGAAAAATAACAACATAAAAATAGAAGTTCTCCATTTGATCAGCGCATTCAAAACTTTATTAATAGAATTCCTTTAAGTGCTTGTGTTTTATGGGTCATATTTCAGTATTAAGATCTAATTTTTATTTCTCATTTTTGCATATACACAAGTTTTCTGGAAAAATCATGGGAAATTCCAGTAATATTTATACCCTAGTTTGACAAATGCTCAATCATCTTTACTGTATTAAAAACTTATTCTATCTTTCCTGGACTCATGAACATTTATTTTTTATTTATTATTTTTTGAGACAGAGTCTCACTCTGTTGCCCAAGCTGGAGTGCAGTGGCATGATCTTGGCTCACTGCAACCTCCGCCTCCTGGGTTCAAACAATTCTCCTGTCTCAGCCACCCAAGTAGCTGGGAATACAGGTGTGTGCCACCGCACCCAGCTAATTTTTGTATTTTTAGTAGAGATGGGGTTTCACCATGTCAGCCAGGCTGGTCTCGAACTCCCGACCTCAGGTGATCCACCCGTCTTGGCCCCCCAAAGTGCTAGGATTACAGGCATGAGCCACGGCGGCTGGCCTCATGAACATTTATTTCTAATAATAATAAATGAACATTTATTAGGTCATCTTGTCCAATCCTCCTATATCAAGAATGAGTCACAGAACAATTCAGTAACTTGCAGTAGATCACATAAGCTGTTGCTATTAGTTTACTGGATTTTATGTCTAAAATACATAGCACTTTTCTTGGTGATAAACTGTCAAGTTTTTCTCTTTAGGCCAAAATTCTACGTGAGAGCTTGGTGTAGTATGATTAATGTTAAGCTCCAGCATATTTTGGAGCACTGTAAGATCAAGACCACTGGAACCATCATAAGACTTTGTTGATTTTTCGAAATCCTCTGGCATGATCAACAGGAACTAGTTATTGGTTAAATTACAGGAGCAATTTTTTAGCACCATCATTTGCCTTATACTACAATAGATCAATTGCCTTATTAATCTTACTTTATAGACAAGGAACTGAGGCTCAGGGAAGTGAAGTACTCGCCTAGGATCAGAAAGCAGCAGACAATGGGATAAAATTTAAAAACCCAGTCTATATCTCCCAAGCTCACATTCTTTCTACTCTACCAAATTGATTTTAATCTCTATTTGTTGTAGCAAATATTCAAATTACTAAAGCATTCATAGGCAAGAAATCCATTTTAGTTCTAAAAATGTTAAGAGCACAGCCATAATTAATTAATAAACAATTTGTGGCAAAGTTCAATTTTAAAGATTTCACTTTGACAAAGACACAATCTATAATTTAAAAAGTGTGCAATGTGTGCCTTTCTAAACAATAGGGGCTGAATTAGAAGTCTTACCTTCTATAAAAAATCAAGAGGCATTTCCTCGGGCATTGACTCTATGCGCTAGTAATGTTCTAAGTGGTTCAAATATATAATTTCACTTATAATGCTAATAAGGCAGGTGCTATTGCTAGCCACACATTCCAGGTAAGAACCCTAAGGTACAGAGAGGTTAAATAACTTGCCCAGTCACACAGCTAGTAAACCACAGAATTAGAAATGAACCCATGTGATCTGATTCCAATATCCATGGTCTTATCCACAATGCTGTATTTACTAATATAATAAAAAAAATCTATTAAATGGTTATGTCTTGTTCTTTTACTTGCACTTACTCAGCATTTTAGTCAGGGTTCCCAGAGGAACAAAACCAACAGTCCATACCAAATGTTCATTTTACCCCTAAACACAGAGTGATCCTGGTAATTACAAATGGTGATATTTTGTAAAACTCTAAACTAAGAGGTTTAGATTACCTCTGGTTTGTACAAGAACCAAGAGGAGATCTATTATAGGAAGTGGCTCACATAACTATAGAGGTTGAGAGGTCCCATGATCTTTCCTCTACAAACTGGAGAACCAGGAAAGCTGGTGGTGTCATTCAGTTTGACTCTGAAGGCCTGAGAATTGAGGTTGGAAGGGGAGGGGAGACAATGGTGAGGAGGGCTAATGGTGTAAGTACCAACCTGAGTCTGAAAGCCCAAGAACCAGGAGCACTGATGTCTGGGGGGCAGAAGATGGATGTCCCAGCTCAAGCAGACAGTTATTCTGTTCTACTCAGGCCCTTGAAAGACAGTGCCCACTCCCACTGGTGAGGGCGATTACACAGTCTACCAATTCAAATGCAAATTCCTTCTGCAAACAACTTCACAGACAAACGCAGAAAAAATGCTTTACCAGCTCTCTGGGCATACCTTAGCCAAGTCAAGCTGACACATAACAATCATCACATGGAGTTAAGATGAAACAGAATGAGGTGTAAATCAACGAAGAACATAGCATTCTCTTGGATCCAAAAATTTTTTTTATAGAATATTCTGCAATTACTCTATGTGTGCTATCACTGGCTACAATGTGTAGGCAGAGGGAACTAGGAAGATATAGCACTGAGTTTATTGACTTCTTGTGGCTGTCCAAACTAAAAAGTAACAGTGCTCACAGCACCCAATAATTACCATTATATGGTTCCTGGCACAGTGATTAGACTCTTGATAAATGCTTACATTCCCCTTACATTGTGCTTTATAACCTGAATATACTATCCAATTGCAAGTCCTCAACCAAAAGCATGAGAAAGTCACTCTCTCCATTATAAATCATCATTGAGCTAAGACTGCAGGGGATGTTTGATGACTATATGGCATATACAGATACATATCTGTGTGATATAGAAAACATATATAAGATTTATGTGCATAAATATACATTTTAATATATACATGAAGAAATTCCTTTCTTCACTATGGGAATAGTTACGTATTCCTGTTGTGTAACACATATAGACAGATGGTAAGAATTTATATATTTGTTTAAAGGTAATTCCAGTGAAGCTTTGCCTTTGTAAAAGGATAGCAACATACAGAACCAAGTGTTCTAGCAACGAAACATTACCCTCTGCCTCTACTCCCCTTAACAATTGCTTCTTAGTCTAAGAATGATGAGTTCTCATCTCACGTTTAGATTTTTACAAAATATCACCATTTGTAATTACCAGGATCACTCTGTGTTTAGGGGTAAAATGAACATTTTGTAAGTTATGGTTTAATAATGTCTTTCCAATCTCCACTCAGGAATCTAAGACTTTCTGGCTTAAAAGGCATTAGAAGAGATGCTTGGGCAAAACTTTAACTTTGTTGTTTTATAGGATATTTTGGTATAATTAGAATGGGTCATAGCAATAAAAAAACTATTAAATTATGTCCTGTAGTATAAACATTGAAGACCTTATGCTAAAAGTTTGAAGTGAAAATAACGTATATAGAAACAGGATTTTTAAAATGCCTGATAATTTACAGGTTCCACTTACTCCTTAAAACGACCCAGGGTGACAGAAGGGTTTGATAAGCAGGGAGCACACCTTGATAGGCCTTTCTCTCTCTGGCCCAAAAAGAAGTAAAGAAAGGCAATTATTCTTATACTCACAATACAGCAAATAGGGAGGGGTTGTGGGAAATCTTCATTTAACCCCTAAGAACTATTTTTCATGCAATTAGGAGATATGTCAACAACCAGGTTTCAAAACCTCAAAATAAACATAGCACTGGGGATGCACTGGAAATGATGTTTTAATATAAATAGCTGTTTAGAGAATAGTAAAATTAATTTTACATGGCTAACCACTGTAGAAAGACATCTAAAGCAAACATACATGATACAAAACTGCCATATTTCATCAAATCTAAGACATCATTAATTGTAAAATATATCTCAGATGTTAAAATTGGAAAAAAATTGTACATCTTAAAGTAGATGAAATACATTAAGTATATAATAATTCTGACTTCAAGAACTATCCAGTATATTATTTCAATTACTTGTTGCAGACTACGATCCACCTCCTAATGCCCTGTAAATGCAACACATGATTAAATCTATACTTGAGCACACGTGAAGCAGAATTTCAGGCAATTATCTTAGTGTGTGTGTTTGCAACATCTAGGTAATTGTTGTATAATCTATCCTTTATATCCTGGGAAAAACACTTGCTGTCATAAACAACTCATCTTCTTTTTCAAAATTTTTTTATTTCAACTTTTATTTTAAATACAAGGCGTATGTGTACAGGTTTGTTGCATGGGAATATTGCGTGATGCTGAGGTTTGGAGTACGGATCCCATCACCCAGACAGTGAGTATAATACCCAATAGGGAGTTTTTCAACCCACCTCCCTCCACTTTCTACTAGTCCACAATGTCCATTATTCCCATATTTATGTCCATGTGTGCTCAATGTTTAGCTCCCACTTATAAGTGAGAACATGTGGTATTTGGTTTTCCATTCCTATGAACCACTCATATTCTTAAGTACTTTTACCTTTTAATAATAACTTAGGGGGGAAATCAGAACTCTGGATAATTATTACATTGCTTTATCAGGATGACTTTTAGTTTGTTCATTGATTTTTATAGGTTCTCTGTGTTGATTCTTAAAAATTGACACATAATTCACATATCATAAAATTTATTACTTTAAAGTGTGCAACTCAGTGGATTATATTATATTGACAAGATTGTACAAGTGTCATGACTATCTAATTCCAGAGCACTGAAATCACCCCTTAAAGAAACCCAGACCCATTAGTTGTCATTCCCCATGTCCCTCTCTTCTCTACTGCCCACTCCAACCCTCCTCACTCTACCATCAGCCCTAGGCAATATTAATCTTTCTAATCTGTATAGATTTGACTATTCTGGACATTTCATATAAATGGAATCATACAATAAGTGGCCTTTTATGTGTGGCTTCTTTAATGTAGCATAATGTTTTTAAGGTTCATCCATGTTGTAGCATGTGTCAGTACTTCATCTATTTTCATAACTGAATATTGTATGGATATAACACATTTTGTTAAACCATTCATCAGTTGCTGAACATCTGGGTTGTTTCTATTGAGTTACTATGAATAATATTGCTATTAACATTCATATATAAGGTTTTGTGTATAAAAACAGAATCTTATTTCTCCTAGGTATAGGAGTGGAATTGCTGGGCGTATGGCAACTCTTATGTTCAACTTTCTGAGGAACTGCCAAACCATTTTCCAGTCTAGCTCCACTATTTTATATTCCTATCAGCAATGTATGAAGGTTACAATTTTCCCAAATCCTCATCAGTATTTGTTATTGTCCTTTTTAGATGATGATGATTATTATAGCCATGCTAATGGTTATAAAGTGGTATCTCATTGTGGATTTGATTTGCATTTCGCTAGTGGCTAATGAATCTGAGCATCTTTTCATGCACCTACTGGTTATCTTCTATGGAAAATGGCTAGTTAATTTTATGTGTCAACTACACTAGGCTAAGGGATGCCCAGAGAGTTAGTAAAACATTATTTTTATGTTTGTCTGTGAGGGTGTTTGCAGAAAAGATTCACATTTGAATTGGTAGCCTGAGGAAAGAAGATCTACCCTCACACACAGGGGTGACCAAGATTTAATCCACTGAGGTCCCAAACAGAACAAAAGGCAGAAGAGGACCAAATTTGCAGGTCTCAGAGAGCAGAGAGCAAATTTGAGATATCCATCTTCTCTGGCCCACAGACATCAGTGCTCCTGATTCTCAGGCCTTCAGACTCAAACTGGAACTTACACCATTGACTTTCCTGGTTCTAGAGCCTTCAGGTTTTAACTAGAATTATACCACTAGCTTTCATGGGCCTCCAGTTTAAGACAATAGATTATGATATTTCTCAGCCTCTATAATCACATAAGCCAATCCATTATAATAAATATCTGTCTCTCTTTCTCTCTTTCTCTCTTTCTTAATATATATCCTATTGGTTCTATTTCTCTGGAGAACCCTGACTAATATAGATTTTGGTACTGGGAGTGGGGTGCTACTATAACAAATACCTAAAAATGTGGGAACAGCCTTGAAAATCGGTGATGGGTGAAGGCTGGAAAAGTTTTGAGGTGCATGCTAGAAAAAAGGTATATTGCTTTGAACAATATTTCAAAAGCAGCTCTGGTGAGGTCACAGAAAGAAAGAAGAAGAACTGTAGAGAAAGCCTCAATATTCTTGAGAATACTTAATTATAAACAGAATCTTGGTAGAAACATGGATGGTAAGGGCCATTCTTATGAGGTCTCATATGGAAATGAGAAACATCTTATTAAAAATTGGAGGAAAAACATTTAAAGGAAAACTAATACCAGTCCTACTCAAACTATTTTTTTAAAAAAAGAAGGAGGGAATACTTCCAACCTTATTCTGTGAGGTCACTATTACCCTGATACCAAAACCAGACAATCACACATGAAAAAAGGAAAACTGCAGGTCAGTATCTCTGATAAATATTGATGCAAAATCTTCAACAAGATACTAGCAAACCAAATTCAACAATATATTAAAAAGATCATTCATCATTATTGGGGGAACCCACCCCCAATATTTCAACATAGGTTCTTTCTATTTTCCATTAAGTGTCAGCCAGCTGAGAAATAAAGAGAGACAGTACAAAGAGAGGAATTTTACAGCTGGGCCGCCAGGGGTGACATCACATATCAGTAGGACTGTGATGCTCGCCTGAATCTCAGACCAGCAAGTTTTTATTAAGGGTTTCAAAAGGGGAGGGGGCGTAAGAACAGAGAGTAGGTATAAAGATCACATGCTTCAAAGAGCAAAAAGCAGAACCACTAATAAGGGTCTAACAAAGATCACATGCTTCTCAGGGAACAGGACAAAGGGCAAAAGCAGAACCACTGATAAGGATCCAAGAAAGATCACAGGGCAAAGGGCAAAAGCAGAACCACTGATAAGGGTCTATGTTCAGAGGTGCACATATTGTCTTGATAAACATCTTAAACAACAGAAAACAGGGTTCAACAGCAGAGAACAGGTCTGACCACAAATTTACCAGGGTGGAGTTTTTCCCCACCCTAGTAAGCCTGAGGGTTCTGCTGCAGACCAGGGCATATCTCAGTCCTAATCTCAACTGCACAAGACAAACATTCCCAGAGTGGCCGTTTATGGACCTCCCTCCAGGAACGCATTCCTTTTCCAGGGCATTAATATTAATATTCCTTGCTAGGAAAAGAATTTAGCGATATCTTTCCTACTCGCATGTCTGTTTATAGGCTCTCTGCAAGAAGAAAAATATGGCTCTTTTTGCCCGACCCCACAGGCAATGAGATCTTATGGTTGACTTCCCTCATTCCATAAAAATCGCTGTTATTCTGTTCTTTTTCAGGGTGCACTGATTTCATACTGTTCACACATGTTTTACAATCAGTTTGTACAGTTAACCCAATTATCACAGTGGTCCTGAGGTGACGTACATCCTCAGCTTACGAAGATAACAGGATTAAGAGATTAAAGACAGGCATAAGAAATTATAAAAGTATTATTTGGGAACTGATAAATGTCCATATTAATATGAAATCTTCACAATTTATGTTCCTCTGCTGTGGCTCCAGCTGGTCCCTCCGTTCGGGGTCCCTGACTTCCCACAACACATCATGATCAAATGGGATTTATCCCAGGGATGCAAGGATGGTTCAGCTTATGCAAATCAATCCATGTGATGTGTCATATCAACAGAATGAAGAAAAAAATATGATCATTTCAAATAATGCTGAAAAAGCATTTGATAAAGTTCAACATTCCTTCATGATAAGATACCTTAAAAAACTGTATAGAAGGAACATACGTTGACACAATAAAAGCCATATATGCCAGATCTACAGCTGGTATCATGCTGAATGGTGAAAAACTGAAAGCCTTTCCTCTAAGATCTGGAACACAACAAGGATATCCACTTTCACCACTGTTATTCAACATAGTATTGGAAGTCCTTGCTAGAGCAACCAGACTAGAGAAAGAAGTAAAGGGCATCCAAACTGGAAAGAAAGAAGTCAAATTATCCTTGTTTACAGATGATATAATCTTATATTTGGAAAAAACCAAAGACTCCACAAAAACTATTAGGACTGATAAACAAATTCAGTAAAGTTTCAGGATACAAAACCAATATACAAATATCAGTATTATTTCTATATATCAACAGTGAACAATCTGAAAAAGAAATAAAAAAGTAATCCCATTTACAAAGGCCACAAATAAATTTAAATAATTAGGAATTATGTTAACCAAAGAAGTAAAAAATGTCTACAATGAAAACTATAAAACACTGATGAAGGAAATTAAAGAAGAAACATAAAAATGGAAAGATATTTCCTGTTCGTGGACTAGAAGAATCAATATTGTTAGTATGTCCATACTACCAAAAGCAATCTACAGATTCAATGCAATCTCTATCAAAATACCAATCACATTCTTCACAGAAATATAAAAAACAATTCTAAAACTTATATGAAACCACAAAAGACCAAGAATAGCCAAAGCTATTCTGTGCAAAAATAACAAAACTGGAGGAATCACATTATCTGACTTCAAATTATATTGCAGAGCTATAGTAACCAAAATAGCATGGCACTGGCATAAAAACAGACACATAGACCAATGAAACATAATAGAGAATCCAGAAACAAATCCATACACCTACAGTGAACTCATTTTTGACAAAGGTGCCAAAAATATACATTGGAGAAAAGGCAATCACTTCAATAAATGGTGCTGAGAAAACTGGATATCCATATGCAGAAGAATGAAACTTGACCCCTCCCATCTCTCGTCATATGCAAAAATCAAATCAAAATGGATTAAAGACATAAATATAAGACCTACAACTATGAAACCACTACAAGAAAATACCGTGGCAACTCTCCAGGAAATTGATTTGGGCAAAAATTTCTGGAGTAAAATATCCCACAAGCACAGGCAACCAAAGCAAAAATGGACAAATAGAATTAGTTTAAAAGCCTATGCACAGCAAAGGAAACAATCAACAAAGAGACAACCTACAGAATGGGAGAAAATATTTGTAAACTACCCATCTAACAAGGGATTAATAATCAGAATATACGAGGAGCTCGAACAATTGTACAGGAAAAAAATCTAATAATCTGATTTAAAAAGTGGGCAAAACATCTGAATAGACATTTCTCAAAAGAAGACATACAAATGGCAAACAGGCACATGAAAAGGTGTTCAATATCATTGATAATCAGAGAAATGCAAATCAAAACTACAATGAGATATCACCTCACCTCAGTTAAAATGACTTTTATCCAAAAGACAGGCAATAACAAATGCTGACAAAGATATGGAGGAAAAAAGCCCTATACACTGTTGGTGGGAATGTAAATTAGCACAACCACTATGGAGAACAGCTTGGAAGTTCCTCAAAAGACTAAAAACAGAGCTACCATATGATCCAGCAATCTCACTGCTGGGTGTACACCCAAAAGAAAGAAAATCAGTATGTCAAAGAGATATCTGCACTCACATGTTTGTTGTAGCATTGTTCACAGTATCCAAGATTTGGAAGCAACCTAAATGTCCATCAACAGATAACTGGATAAAGCAAATGTGGCAAATATATACAATGGAGAACTACTCAGCCATAAAAAAGAATGAGATTCTGTCATTTGCAACAACATGGATGGAATTGGAGGTCATTATGTCAAGTGAAATAAGTCAGACAGAAAGACAAACTTTGTAGGTTCTCACTTATTTGTGGGTGCCAAAAATCAAAACAATTGAACTCATGGAGACAGAAAGTAGATGGATAGTTATCAGAGGCTGGGAAGGGCAATGGGGGGTTGTGGGGTAGTGGAGATGGTTAATATGTAGGAAAAAAGATAGTTGGAAAGAAGGAATAAGACTTGGTGCTTGGTACCACAACCAGATGACTATAGTCAACAATAATTTAGATAGCTGGAAAAGTATGACTGGATTGTTTGTAACACAAAGAATAAATGCTTGAGGAGAGGAATATCCCATTTCCCATGATGTGATTATTGCTTATTGCATGTATAAAAGTATCTCATGTACCCCATAAACATATACACCAACTACTACCCACAAAAATAAAATTCTTTTTAAAATTGAAGGAAAAGCTATCTTTGCTCTAAAGAGGCAAAGAACCTGGCTGAATTGTGTTCATGTTTTAGCAAAACACTAAAACATAGAAGATAGAACTTCTACAAAACATAGAAGGTAGAACTTGTGGGCAAATAAATTGAATATTTAACTAAAGCTGTTTCTTTTTCTTTTGAGATGAAGTCTCACTCTGTCACCTAGGCTGGAGTGTAGTGGCACAATCTCAGCTCACTGCAACCTCACCTCCCGGGTTCAAGTGATTCTCCTGCCTCAGCCTCCCAAGTAGCTGCGATTACAGGCATCCGCCACCACACCCAACTAATTTTGTATTTTTAGTAGAGACAGGTTTTCTCCATGTTGGTCAGGCTAGTCTCGAATTCCTGACCTCAGGTGATCTGCCTGCCTTGGCTTCCCAAAGTGCTGGGATTACAGGCGTGAGCCACTGTGCCTGGCCAAAGCTATTTCTTTTTTCTTTTTCCTTTTTTTTTTTTTTTTTTTTGAGACGGAGTCTCGCTGTGTCCCCCAGGCTGGAGTACAATGGCATGATCTCGGCTCACTGCAACCTCTGCCTCCCAGGTTTCAAGCGATTTTCCTGCCTCAGCCTCCCGAGTAGCTGGGATTACAGGCACCCACCACCGTGCCCAGCTAATTTTTGTATCTTTAATAGAGATGGGGTTTCACCATCTTGGCCAGGCTGGTCTTGAACTCCTGACCTCATGATCCACCCACCTCAGTCTCCCAAAGTGCTGGGATTACAGGCATGAGCCACCATGCCCGGCCCCAAAACTATTTCTAAGAGAAGTGTTGAAAGTGAGGCTTGGCTCCTTCCGACTGCTTATAGTAAAATAACAGAAGAGAGAAATGACTTAAATATGAAATTGTTAGGTAAAAAAGGAAGCAGAACGTAAAGATTTAGAAAATTCTTAGACTATCCATATTGCAAAACAAGATAACAGTAAAGATGTGACCAAGCAACCATTTGCTAATGAAATTTGTATGGATCAGCCATCTCAACAGAAGCCAGGTATGATCCTCTAAGACAATGGAAGAATGACCCCAAAGATGATTCCAGAGATCATCAGGGCTGCCTTCCTTGGTTTCAAAAGGGAAGACCATCATTGCACAATCAGCCAGATCTCCTCCACCCAAAATAGTGACAGCAGGACTGCCAAAAGGCTTGGAGCCTAAGCCCTGCCTGACAGAGCCGTGGGAGCAGAACCTCTAACCTAGCAGTTCTTGAAGGCAGGAGTCCCACTGTAGTGGGCCTGGAAGGAGCATCAAGCCAAAAAAGATTTTTCTCAAGCCTTAAGATCTCATGGAGTTTGGCTTGTAGCCTGGACTTACATGGGATTTGTTACCCTTTTCTTCTTTGCTATTTCTCCCTTTTGGAATGGATATGTCTATTCTATCCCTGTCCCACCACTGTATTTTGGAAGCATATGGCTTATTTGGTTTCACAGTGTCACAGCTAGGGAGCAATTTGCCTCAAGATGAATCATATCTTGAGTCTCACCCATATCTGATTTAGATGATATTTAGGTGAGACTGTGGGTTTTAAATTTTAGGTTGATGCTGGAATGAATCAAGATTTTGAGGACTGTTGGGATGCAATGTCTTTTGCTTGTGAGAAAAACATAAATTTTGGGAGGCAAGGGGTGGCAGGCTATGGATTGAATATGTATCCCCCAAAATTCATATGTTGAAATACTAATCTCCAATGTGCTGGCATTAGGAAGTGGGCACTTTGGTAGGTGATAAGGCCATGAGGGCAGAGTCCTTATGAATGGAATTAGTGCTGTTATAAAAGAGACTCTGGATAGCACCCCTACTTCTTCTATCATGTGAGAACTTAGCAAGACACTATCTGTGAACCTGGAAGAAGGCCCTCACCAGACACCAAATCTGCTGGCACTTTGATATAGGAATTCCCAGTCTCCAGAACTGTGAGAAATAAATCTGTTACTACAAGCTACCTAGTCTATGGTAGTTTGTAATAGCAGTTCCAACAGACTAAGGCAAATGTCTATTAAATTTTTTGTTCATTTTTTAAATGGTTTATCTTTTTATTGGTCAGTTTTAAGAGTTCCTTATCTATTCTGAATACTAGACTGTTACCTGATATATGGTTTACAAATATTTTTCCAGCTCTTTTAATTGCCTTTTCGCTTTATTGCTAGTGTCCTTTGAAGCAAAAAGTTTCTAATTTTGATGAAGTCCAATTGTGCTGAACTGTTTTGAACCACAAAATTTCTTTATGAAAATTTTCATCATGATGCAGGTAACTAAAATTAAAATGCAGGGCTTTTTATAATTATTCATTTGACAAATAACTGAATATGGAATCAGCTTACAATTTCTCTGCTGGTACAAAAGTCAAATTTCTTTAATTTGTAAAAGAGACAAATAACTATAAAGTAGGCAAATTAAATATTTAATAGTCAAAAGATACCAAATTAATTTTGTCATGAGGCATTCATAACAAAAGATTTTTTTCTATACAGGCTAGGAAAAAATTGCTTGAAAGGGATCAAAATAAATATAATCAATTTCTTGCCAATGGATAGAGGTTAAGGCCATCTCTAGATGTCCCGTTTGTAGAATTTCTATATTCTTAAATTAGTTTTGGAATCTACATCTGGACTAAATGCTAATATTATTAATTCACAGAACATGTTTGCTTGCCATCATTTCTTAAGATGTGAAGTTATACAAACATATTTCCCCTGCAGCATTTCAAAACATACTCAACCATTAAAAGGAAATTAATTTTAAAGACATCTGTGCCAAAATGTATGATATATTTGCTTCTTCTGCAGAGAGCTACAAAAGACAGAACTTTGCTTTGGTAATAATAAAATGTGTTGACTTCCAAGCACTGCATAGTTTTGCAATGGAAAACAAGCTGGAGAAGCTTTTGAAGGTTTGTCAGAAACTATGATGTCTGGGTGGCAAGTGGGATTTCACTAATCCCCAGGGACATTGCAAAACTGTCTTCCCAACCATCTGTTGCTAGGACTCTAGTCAAAAAGAGGATGACAAGTGAAAACTATTTTGGCAACAGAACAAAAAATAAGAAATCCAAAACAAACCTCTCACAAACAGTTGGGCTTTCTATTAGATTCAAATCATACATGACCACATTTTTAGAAATGCACATATTCAACTCACTGAAAATGCCAAAAGAGATAGAATGGAAAAGGAAAGGTAACCAGGAGGGGACACCTCTTCTGGAAGAAACCTGTCTATTAATACTTGTTCATATGACAGAAAAGTTCATTGAGGGCAGTGATTGTATTCTTAGAATGTCAGTGCTGGCTAAATGAATATGTGAAGAGAGAGTACAAGAAAGGATCATAAGATCCAGATAGGAAAGAAATCAGCTTGAAAATATCCACAGTATGTGACTTGGGATAAGGAAAGAACACTGAGCATGGCAGTGGTATTCTCAAGTGGGATCTTTAGTAACCATTCATTCACTTATTCAACAAATATTTGTGAAACTACAATGGGTACCATCTTAGACACTAGGGATGCAGCTAAACAAAACAGACTAGATCCCTGCCCTCATGGAGCTTACATTGAAAAGCTAATAATTATGGAGCACTGAAGTGTGCCAAGCATTGTGTTCAGAGCTTCATATATATTCTCTCTGATCTTCACACCACCCCTATGGGATAAGCACTATCATCATTCCCATTTTACAGAGGAGACAATTGAAGTTTACATAAAGGGACTTGTTTACGTCCAAGAATTGATAACAAACACAGGTCTGCCTAACCACTGAAACTCTAATCTTCACCACTGCACAACTCCCCTCACAGATTCATCACATGACTCTAAGATCATACTTCTATATTAATAACTGCTATGCCATGTTGTTTATTTTTGGATGGCAATTATGCAAATGGGTGTTATACCATTTCATACTATATTATACTATTATAGTCATTCACAGATGAGAGAAAAATCTTCCATATTGGTAAAGTTTAAATCTATGGGCTGAAGAAAGGAAATTTTTTGTCTCTGAAGATTGCTGAAAGAGGAGACAGTGAGGAGATACAAAGTTAAAAGAGATGCACATAGCAGAAAGGAATAATGCTATGAGTTTTTCTAAGATGGAAGAGAGCTGTCTCCCACTAGAGATAAAGAATTAACTCTCAGCACCCAGGCAAAAGAGGAAACTAGGTTAAAAAAAAAAAAAGAACTCTGGCAACTCTGTGCTAGGATGGTGTGTAAGTCTTAAAGTAATTATTAATGAGATTCAGAATATTAAAAAACTAAGAAAATCATTTGAGTATATATTGTCTCTGATGATTTTCCAGTAATTCAGAATCTAGAAAATAACATATAAAATATTAACATGACCCTCCAGGGATATCTACATAAATCTTATTGCTAAATAAGTTAATTATGACTTATTATTCCATAAAATGTCAATTTAGCTCAACTTTCAACTGTTCAAATTCAGAACACCTAAAGTCTCTCCAGAGTCCTGTAGATACAACTTTCATAGAAACTGCTTAGGTGACCTGTGATATAACACAGGCAGACATGAAGATTTCTGGGAGGAGAGATGCACTCTGAAAAATAGGGCTATGGAGTCTGTTCCTTCTACATTCATTTTAGCAATGCTACATCTTCACTATTAGACACTCTAGATCATGCTCACTTCCCACTTCCAATAATTTATAGCTTTTCTTTTAAAAATAATTTTATTAATTGATATTATGCTGGAATATCAAAACTCTTAAAAGATTCAATTACTAAACACTTAAAGAAATATAAATCTTCCAGAGTCAATATCAGTATCACTGTGAGTTTTTAGGCAGATGTGACAGAAAAGAAGACGTCAAAATTAGAACAGGAAGCAAAATAATCTCATTAAATCAAAGCTATATTAGAAATTGTCATATGACATATTGTGCAAATTACAGTGCATATTTGTGCTTCATTTCATTCAATAAATATTTACAGAATACAATAGGCCAAGCCTTGTGCTAGAAGCATATATACAGGACAAAATGACATAGTCTGAGCTTTTGGTGGATTTACATTATAATTTGCCTGATAAAACACGTCATATGACACATAACAGGTCGTATTTTTTAACATCTTGTAAGAAAAAAATTTTAGGTCTAAGGAAATAACCTCAAAATTGTTAGTTGAAATGTATAATGGTACAGCCACTCTGAAAAACAGTTGGGCAATTTCTTTAAAAAATAAACATACACTTACCAAACAAACTAGCAATTACACTCTCATGCATTTAACTCAGAGAAGTAAAAATTTACAACTCCACAAAAACATGTACATGAATATTCATAGTAGCTTTATTTTTAAAGCCCCCAAATTGGAAACAACCTACATGTCCAATAAGAGATAAATGGTTAAACAAACTGTGCTACATATATACCACGGAATACTACTCAACAATATAAAGGAACTGATTGATATATGATATAAAAAGAACTATGGATATATGAAACAACCTTGACAGATCTCAAGGGTATTTAAGGGGAAAAAAGCTAACCTCAAAAGGCCACTTAATGTATGATTCCATTTATATAACAATCTTGAAATGACAAAATTATTAAGAGAGAAAACAGATTAATGATTTCCATGAGGTAGGTAGGGATGATGAAAATAAAAATACAGTATGTCAGATGGTAATGTTATCAAAAAAATAAAGCAGACTAAAAAAACAAAACAGAGGGCCCAAATGGGGAAGGAGATTATTGCTACTGTACATAGGTTGGTGAGAAAGGCTGCTCTGAAGGAGGTACAAGAGTGAGTCACGTGGATATTCGAAGCAGAGAGGACAGAAGAGTAGTGTCCATGGCTGGAGTGTGCACAGTGCCTTTCAGAGGGCTCAGTGTGGTTGAATGAGGGAGGACAGAGGAGCAGGAGATACTGTTAAAACATTGGGAAAAAGAGGAGAGTTGATCATAAGTGGTCTTGTAGGCAACTGTATGGATTTTGACTTTTTTTTGCTGACTGACCTAGGGAAGCTGCTGAAAAGTTTGGAGCACAGGGTTTATACCAGTGCCCAAAACAGTGACTGCAAATGATAGGTGTTCAGCAAATAGTTGTTCAAGGGATGGCATGTTTTGACTTATATTTTTAAAAAAGGATCACCATGGCTGCTGAAAGAAGAATGAAATGTGTTAAGGCAAGAGTCTGAAGAAACAGTATTGATGTGAGAGTAAATCAGTGCAATTTCCATTGAGAGCAATTTGGCAATAATTTGGCAATATCTGTCAAAAATATCAATATATATAACTTTTGATCCAGGAATTCTTCTTCTAGGAATATATCCTACAGATGTACTCACACATGTGTGAAATAATGTATCTGGAAGGCTTCTGTGTAATAGCAATAGATTTTAAACAACTTCAATGGCCACTGTGAGATAAGTTAGAGAAACTATAGAATACCCATACAACAGAATACCACGCAACCATAAAAATTTAATAGAAAGCTCTTTACATGCTGATATAAAACAGTCTCCAAGATATATATTAAATGAAAAACCAAGGCAGATTTCAATGCTATGATTTGTATTTTAAAAGGTAATAGAAAAAAAATATGTATTTGTGTGTGTGTAGAGATGTATATCTTTGCAGGAGCACTCAAGAAACGGTAGCATCAGTCATCTCCAGGAAGAATAGCAGGGTGAAGGGGCTAGGGATGGGTGGGGGCCAGGATGGAGGGAAAACATTTCACTGTATGTAATTTTTAAACTTTTGGATTTTGAACTATGTAACTAAAAAATGAATAACATTGAAATTTTCTTTAATATTTTTAAAATAGATTATTTATATACCTTAGTTAGGAACTGGGGAAAGAAACACGAGACTTAAAGTTACAAGGATGTAGGTTTAAGACCACTTCCAGCATTAGTAGGGGTATAACATTAGAAAAGTCACATAACCTTTTGAGCCTCAGTTTCCTAACTGGTGAATGGAATTGTTGTAGAGTAGCCTAACTCTTAACCAAAGTTCATCTTTCCACTGTGCATCACATTCCATCCTTTCTCCTCTACTCAATTATGTGGCTTGTATTAGTTTGCTACGGATGCCATAACAAATATCACAGACAGGTGCCCTAAACAACAGAAATTTATTTCCTTACAATTCTGGAGTCTAGAAGTCCAAGATCAAGGTATCAACAGGGTTGTTTTTCTAAGTCTCTGTCTCCTTGGCTTGTAGGTGGCCATGTGTCTCCCCATGATCTTTCCTCTGTGTATATCTGTGCCCTTATTTCATAAGGATGGTATGAGATACCAATCTCATTGGATTATCGCCCACCTAATGACCTCATGCAGCCATCATTAACCTCTTTAATGACCCTATCTCCAAATACAGTTCCATTTTGAGGTACTGAGGGTGAGGACTTTAACATATAACATCAGGAGGATCACAATTCAGCCCATAACAAAGTATTGGCAACTCTGCTCTTTTTCCCAATGTCATCAATTTCTTTAATCTCTGTTGGACCATTTTCATCAGTGTACAATGTGCTTTTATTTCTTTTATCTTAAAAAAAAAAATCTCTGACTCCACTTCTCCGTTCAGCAACCACCCTATTTTCTGGGTCTCCTTTACAGCATAAGTCTTCCAAAGAGTTGTCCATATTCACTGTCTCAAATTCCTCTTTTATTCTCTTACACTCATTCCAACAAAGCTTTTGCCCCCTCACTCCACTGAAGCTGCTATTGCTTTTGTCACCAATCAACTCTATGTCACAAAATACAATGGTCAAAACTCAGTCCTCACCTTAACTTGTCCTGTTAGCATTACTGATGTACTTTTACTTGGCTTTAAAGACACATATTCTATTAGTTTTCCTCCTAATTCATTGGTTGCTGCTTCTCAATTTCCATTTCTGGTTTCTTTCTTCTTCCCCTCTATTGAACGTTACTTCTTGAACTTCTTTCTTTCTCTAACTATACTCAATCCCTTAGTGATATCATTGTCTCATGACTTTGAATAATGTCTACATTCCAATAGCTCTTGCATTTTTGCCTTGGATGTTCAATAGATGTGTTACATTCAGCATGCCCCAAAGTGAACTTATGTTCTTCCCTTAAAAACCGGCTCACACATAGCCTCCCCTATTCCAGCTGACTTTAACTCCAATCCCTCTAGCTGCTCAAGTCAAGTAATCTTTGACATCGTTCTTTTCCTTATATCTCACATCTAATCCTCCAGAGAATGCCTAAGGCATAATCTGCTATATATATATATAATCTGATCTCTTTTTACCTCCTTCACCACTACCATCCTGGTTCAAGCTTTCATCACCTCTCACTTAGATTACTCTAAAAGCCTCCTAACAAGAGTCCATGCTCCCAGTCTTACTCCCCTCTTCAGTATCTTCTTGACATGATAGACACTGTGATCCTTTAAAAATGTATGACAGATAATTTCACTCCTCTGCTGAACACACTCCAACAGCTCTACATTTCATTCAGGGTTAAAACCTAAGTGCTTAAAATACCCTAAGACTCTTCATGACCTACTACTACATTTTTCTCTCTTGCTCATTTTTTTTTTATTATACTTTAAGTTCTAGGGTACATGTGCACAACGTGCAGATTTGTTACATATGTATACATGTGCCACGTTGGTGTGCTGCACCCATTAACTCGTCATTTACATTAGGTATATATCCTAATGCTATCCCTCCCCCCATCCCGACCCCACAACAGGCCCCGGTGTGTGATGTTCCCCTTCCTGTGCCCAGGTGTTCTCATTGTTCAATTCCCACCTATTAGTGAGAACATGCGGTGTTTGGTTTTTTGTCCTTGCGGTAGTTTGCTGAGAATGATGGTTTCCAGCTTCATCCATGTCCCTACAAAGGACATGAACTCATCATTTTTTATGGCTGCGTAGTATTCCATGGTGTATATGTGCCACATTTTCTTAATCCAGTCTATCATAGATGGACATTTGGGTTGGTTCCAATTCACTATTTGTGAACAGTGCCTCAAAAAACATAAGTGTGCATGTGTCTTTATAGCGGCATGATTTATAATTCTTTGGGTATATACCCAGTAATGGGATGGCTGGGTCAAATGGTATTTCTAGTTCTAGATCCTTGAGGAATCGCCATGCTGTCTTCCACAATGGTTGAACTAGTTTACAGTCCCACCAACAGTGTCAAAGTGTTCTTATTTCTCCACATCCTCTCCAGCACCTGTTGTTTCCTGACTTTTTAATGATTGCCATTCTAACTGGTGTGAGATGGTATCTCATTGTGGTTTTGACTTGCATTTCTCTGATGGCCAGTGATGATGAGCATTTGTTCATGTGTCTGTTGGCTGCATAAATGTCTTCTTTTGAGAAGTGTCTGTTCATATCCTTTGCCCACTTTTTGATGGGGTTGTTTTTTTCTTGTAAATTTGTTTGAGTTCTTTGTAGATTCTGGATATTAGCCCTTTGTCAGATGAGTAGATTGCAAAAATTTTCTCCCATTCTGTAGGTTGCCTGTTCACTTTGATGATAGCTTCTTTTGCTGTGCAGAAGCTCTTTCATTTAATTAGATCCCATTTGTCAATTTTGGCTTTTGTTGCCATTGCTTTTGGTGTTTTAGTCAGGAAGTCCTTGCCCATGCCTATGTCCTGAATGGTACTGCCTAGGTTTTCTTCTAGGGTTTTTATGGTTTTAGGTCTAACATGTAAGTCTTTAATCCATCTTGAATTAATTTTTGTATAAGGTGTAAGGAAGGGATCCAGTTTCAGCTTTCTACATATGGCTAGCCAGTTTTCCCAGCACCATTTATTAAATAGGGAATCCTTTCCTCATTTCTTGTTTTTGTCAGGTTTGTCAAAGATCAGATGGTTGTAGATGTGTGGTATTATTTCTGAGGGATCTGTTCTGTTCCATTGGTCTATATCTCTGTTTTGGTATGAGTACCATGCTGTTTTGGTTACTGTAGCCTTGTAGTATAGTTTGAAGTTAGGTAGCGTGATGCCTCCAGCTTTGTTCTTTTGGCTTAGGATTGTCTTGGCAATGGGGGCTCTCTTTTGGTTCCATATGAACTTTAAAGTTGTTTTTTCCAATTCTGTGAAGAAAGGCATTGGTAGCTTGATGGGGATGGCATTGAATCTATAAATTACCTTGGGCAGTATGGCTATTTTCACGATATTGATTCTTGCTATCCATGAGCATGGAATGTTCTTCCATTTGTTTGTGTCCTCTTTTATTTCATTGAGCAATGGTTTGTAGTTCTCCTTGAAGAGGTCCTTCACATCCCTTGTAAATTGGATTCCTAGGTATTTTATTCTCTTTGAAGCAATTGTGAATAGGAGTTCACTCATGATTTGGCTCTCTTTTTGACTGTTATTGGTGTATAAGAATGCTTGTGATTTTTGCACATTGATTTTGTATCCTGAGACTTTGCTGAAGTTGCTTATCAGCTGAAGGAGATTTTGGGCTGAGACGATGGGGTTTTCTAAATACACAATCATGTTGTCTGCAAAGAGAGACAATTTGACTTCCTCTATTCCTAATTGAATACACTTTATTTCTTTCTCCTGCCTGATTGCCCTGGCCAGAACTTCCAATACTATGTTGAATAGGAGTGGTGAGAGAGGGCATCCCTGTCTTGTGCCAGTTTTCAAAGGCAATGCTTCCAGTTTTTGTCCATTCAGTATGATATTGGCTGTGGGTTTGTCATAAATAGCTCTTATTATTTTGAGATATGTCCAATCAATACTTAATTTATTGAGAGTTGTTAGCATGAAGGGCTGTTGAATTTTGTCAAAGGCCTTTTCTGCATCTATTGAGATAATCATGTGGCTTTTGTCTTTGGTTCTGTTTACATGCTGGTTTACGTTTACTGATTTGCCTATGTTGAACCAGCCTTGCATCCCAGGGATGAAGCCCACTTGATCATGGTGGATAAGCTTTTTGATGTGCTGCTGGATTTGGTTTACCAGTATTTTATTGAGGATTTTTGCATCGATGTTCATCAGGGATATTGGTCTAAAATTCTCTTTTTTTGTTGTGTCTCTGCCAGGATTTGGTATCAGGATGATGCTGGCCTCATAAAATGAGTTAGGGAGGATTCCCTCTTTTTCTATTGATTGGAATAGTTTCAGAAGGAATGGTACCAGCTCCTCCTTGTACCTCTGGTAGAATTCGGCTGTGAATCCGTCAGGTCCTGGACTTTTTTTGGTTGGTAGGCTATTAATTATTGCTTCAATTTCGGAGCATGTTATTGGTCTATTCAGGAATTCAACTTCTTTGTGGTTTAGTCTTGGAGGGTGTATGTGTCCAGGAATTTGTCCATTTCTTCTAGATTTTGTAGTTTATTTGCGCAGAGGTGTTTATAGTATTCTCTGACGGTAGTTTGTATTTCTGTGGGATTGGTGGTGATATCCCATTTTGTTCTTTAAACATTCCAGACTCACTGCTGCTTTAGAGACTGCTCTAACTGTTCCCTCTCTCTGGAAAGCTCTTCCCCTAGATAGCCACTTGGTTATCTCCTCAGTACT
The DNA here is from genome assembly GCF_000001405.40 of Homo sapiens. Lineage (NCBI taxonomy): Eukaryota > Metazoa > Chordata > Mammalia > Primates > Hominidae > Homo > Homo sapiens. The sequence continues at coordinate 53,098,679 of NC_000004.12, forward strand.
TTAAGATCAATGAGCCTCTTCCCTGACATCTCTATTTAATACTTCCTACATGCATGTGTGTGTGCACACACATACACACACACTCTCTCTGACTCCCTTAATGACTATATGATTACTCACACACACACATGCACGCACACATTCTGACTTCCTTAACCACTATATGATTATTTTTTTCTTAGTCTCATCAACTCCCTTAAAACTGTAATATTATTTGTTTCCATAGACCTATTCTTCTAACATACTCTATCATTCATCTAGCTTTGTATGTACCTATCTATCAATCATGTTTACTGTTTATTGGCTGTCTCCTCCAGCTAAACTGTAAGCTCTGTAAGGGAAGTGAATCATTGTCTGCTTTGTTCACTGGTATATCTCAAACACCCAGAACAGTGTCTGGCGCTCAGTAAGTATTCAAAAACTGTTTGTTAAGTGAATGAATACAAGCACTGGTACTATTGCTTCTATCACTTCTACCACCACCATTCATATTAGAAATATACAAACAGTAAACAATGACAAGTCTTCGCCAGTTTTCCAAATCACTAAGGATGTCTATAAGACTACTTCTACAATCTCCTTTTGTCACATGAGGTCACAAAATTTCACAAAGCGGAGAGTTGAAAGAGAAAAGAGTAAGTTATCATTACATTCCTTTTAACTTGTAACCATCAAACCCATAATTATTAGCCCATTTCCTCATTAAATATCCTCTAATGGGTAGTAATCTTTTGAGGGCATCTTAGCCTACTTTGTGTTGCTATGAAGGAATATCTAAGGCTGGGTAATTTATCAAGAAAAGAGGTTTATTTTGCTCAAGGTTCTGCAGGTTGTACAAGACGCATGGCGCCAGCATCTGCTTGGCTTCTGGTGAGGGCCTCATGCTGCTTCCATTCATGGTGGAAGGTGAAGGGGAGCCAGCATGTGCAGAGATCACATTGTGAGAGAGGAAGCAAGAGAGTCTGAGGAGAGGTGTCAGCCTGTTTTTAACAAGCAGCTCTAGAAGGAACTATTAGAGCAAGTACTTACTCCCCCTACCCACTTAGGGAGGGCATTAGTCTTATTCATGAGGTATCTGTCCCCATGCCTCAAACAAACACCTCCCATTAGGGACTACCTCCAACACCGGGGATCAAATTTCAACATGAGGTTTGGAGGGGTCAAACATCCAAACCATAGCAGAGGATTTTTGTCCTTAATTTTTTAAAAAATTATTTATGGGTAAGAGGTATGTGAAAGTTTATAAAATACTGGAAAAGACACTGAATTGAACCTCATTCTAGTTCAGTGGACAAGGAAAATATGAACAAAAAACTAATTTGGAAGTCTCATAAATACCAATAAATAATGGTATAAGCAAACTAAAAGGAAATCAGAATGGACATCAGGAAACTGATGAAGAAAACAATAATAATAATAGCAATCTGTTGCTTGTCATGTTAGTAATCTTAGCCTTCACTTCTTCTAATTGTTACTCATGTGGTAGTTAAGAGCTCAGGAATTAAATTGCCAACATTTACTACCTGGTTGAACTTGGGCAAGTTATTTAATTTGCCTCAGTTCTCTCATCTGTTCAATGTAGGATAATAATAGCAACTACTTACTAGGGCTTCTAAGAAGAATAAATACCTTGTTTATAATAGTGTCTGGCACCTAGTGATGGTCCTGAAGTCAATAATCAGAAGTACCATCATAGTTATGAAATACTAAATAAATTATACAAACAAAAAATAAATGTGTACACATGCATGTGTGCATATGTGAATGAATGGATAGAAATGGTTTCATAACGTGATTATTTAATTAGCCATAAGAACCACTTCCTATCCACGCTAGATAGCAAAATTACATTACCTTTGTTAAATTAGGTGTTGAAAGGTCATTAGTTCTATATTACAAATTCTTATTATTAAAAAGTTGCTTTTATAACTATTCCAACAAAGCGTACTGTAAGAATAAAATCTGGAGCAGGAAAGAATGAACAGACACATAAGGCTCCCTATGGAATCAGCCCAAACCCAGTAAGTGTTCAAGATTACAGAAACTGAATTTCTGGCTTTACTTCAGCATTATTCTGGGTCCCAAAAATTTGCTTTCTTTTTAAGTATTTTTCAGTATCTCTTTTTTAGTGAATGTAGGATATAACCAACGTTAGAAGTAAATTGTAAAAAATGGTTTGCAAGTTTTCATTAAAATCTCATGACTATGCAAATACTCAGAATTTTTGCATAAATAATCACCACGACCCCCAAATGATGTTTTCGAATGAATCATGCAAACCCACAGTTGAGAGATTAAGTATAAAAAAAGACAGATATCCACCTCTGGCACAACTTCAAATGCGTCGATGGAGACAGAAAAATGTCAAACACAAAGATTACATGAAGCACTGCAGCTTCCATGGACAGGGAAGAAACTACCAATACTTTCTGTATGGTAAAATACTTAAACACACTTCAGCTTTCATGCATTATAAAGAGGATTGACTTGTAGAAACTCAGGACCAGTGGCTTTATGGATCTGCAACAGGGACCCCTATGCTGTATATGAACCTAGTCAAAGAGCTGCACTTCCAAATGCTGACATACTGCTAAGGAGATTGGGGCTTCTCTCTGGTCCTGTTCCTCTCTTTGACTCTTTGACTCTCTTTGATTCAAAGAGCAACTCAGAGTTTTCAGAATGATATTCTAATTTGATAGTAGTTGATCTTTTAAATTCTAGATAGTGAAGGGTTCCAGTAGATTCTAGTTAACAGTAATGTGTGAAGTTTAAAATGTATCTGCTGATAGAGAGGAAATTACTCATGGAAGAAATATCTCTGATGCATAACACACAGTCTGGCTGTACTGAGATAGTTGTTTCAAATGGAAAAGAATGCAGTTGGTAGTGCTTTTAATCAGAACTTTAAGAACCACTGGGTGACTTAAAAGATATAATGGTAGAGAAAAACCTCATTTGCAACAACAATGGAAAAAAGAGATAATACTTGGAAATAAACTCCAAATGTTTCAAACCTATAGGACCAACACTTTAATAAAACACTCTGCAAAACACAAATGTAGACTTGAACAAATGGAAAGACATTCCTGGTTCTTGATTAGGATGTCTCAATGTCATCAAAAGATGTTTGTACTCACTAAGTCAATTTATAAATTTTGTGACATCCCAATTAAAAAAAAACCAATAAGCTTTTTCTCCCCTGGGAAATAAACAAATGAACTTTACTACACATGAATTTTCACATGAAACAATAGCCAAAAGAGAATATCAAGAAAAACAATGAAAAGAAAGAGTTGTGAGGAGATAACAGCCACATCAGATATTAAAACCTACCACAAAATCTGTATAAGTAAAACGGTGTGGTCCTGGAACATGAATGCACATGCAAATCAATGAAGCAGAACAGCAAGTCCAGCAAAAGACCTGACCACAGGTGGAAATTATTCTAGTATATGATACAGGTGCAACTCAAAATGCTGGGGCAGCAAAGAACATTTTAATAAGTGCTGTTGGGACAATTGGAAAGCCATTTCCAAAAGATAAATTTTCATCCATTCCTCATGTCATCCAGTAAGCACAAACTTCAAATAGATCAGATTTTTAATAAGTAAAAGTATACAAGTAATTTTTGATGGATAAATTCCTCTATAATTCCTCTATAATCTGAGGGTAGAAAAGGCCTTCTGTGACTAAAAATCCAGATGCAGTTTTTAAAAATTGACATATTTGACTAAAAAAAATTGAATGGCAAAAACACCATAAGCAAAATGATAGGACAAATAAATTAGAAGAAAATATTTGCAAATAATATAAAGAACTAATATTCATAATTTATAAAGAACTTTTAAAAGTTGATGAAAGGAGATCAAAAGTACTCTAGAAAATGGGCAAAAGACAGGAATAGAAAATACACAAAAAAGATATAAAATTACATTAAAATATGAAAATATGTTCAATTTTACATAAAAGGAAAATTCATATTAAAATTATATTGAAAACAATTTCTCATCCATCAGTTTGACAAAAAAACAAAAGCTTGTTGGTGAGGCTGAAGAAAAACAGGCCCATTTTTATACATGATTTTCAGGAAGGCAAAAGGGTGTAAATCTTATGTAGGGGAATTTCACAATGTCTAACAAAAATATAGGAACCAGCTTGCAGGAGCTCTTACTTGACAAATGTAAAACAATAAGGTACCCAAATTCATTCATTACAACTCATTGAATTAAGAATCCATGAGTCTATACTTATAATAAATAAATACATACATACATAGGCAGACAGCTGGAGAGAAGGAAAGGCTCTTCCTTCTGGTAGAATGTCAACTGATGAGTGCAGGGTGTAATGGAATTGAAAATCACCCTTTACAACCATCACTGTAAGATTGTGGGAAGAATCAATGGGGAAAAGTTTGATGAGAAGCAGGATGTTTGTATGGTCTCAAAGAAAATGACCACACATTGCTTATTTCTTGCAAGGGAGAACATAATAAATATAAATCAATGTCTTGACTGGGTGATCAAAATTAACATAACTGAAGGGAGATGATTAGCAAAGGGCTCTGGATATAACACCCCAAGAAGGCTACATTACTTAGTATTGTGGGTGAGTAGGGGTTGGGAGTCTGAACTGAATCTAAACAAATAAATGGATGGAGAATTATGGGAGCCAAGTTTTTCACTGTTGGTGTGGAAGTGTGCAGATGAACAAGGACATAAGGCTATAATCCATCTATTCACACAGAATGCTCCACCTGGTAATGGATTACAGCTGAAGACATTAGTATAAACAAATGTTTAGCTTAATCTGGATATAGAATGTTTCATAAAAATATTTATAGATATCTATATTTTCATGGTTTTTATATATATTATATATAAATATATATATAATTTTCTTGCTCTGTCAACTAAGAGGATGTAGAAGAACAATGACATTCCAGTAGCAATGAGCATATCTAGTACCAGATCTTGATTTTCAATATCCTCCAGTGAAAGGAAGCAGGGTTCCCTGAAGAAATAGCTGATTCTAGGACAAAGGCAGGAAATATACATGAGTCTGGGTCTTGTAGTTCCAGAAAGTAAGGAAGTAAAAAAAAAAAAAAAAAAAAAAGGCATGGGGTAGGGGATGGGAGAAAAGAAAAAAAAATGCCGTAAGGGTTGACAACACAGATGCCACTGAAAGAGCTCCCAATGGCCAAAGCTGGAACAATATGAGCTAAAAAAAAAAAAAAAAAAAGAAAATGACGTATTGGAGTATAACCCAAAATACAAAATAAATATGTATCAGTCCATACTGATATAAATAAATAATTGATTAAGTAAATAAAGGGAGAAGAGAAAACTATCTTGTGCAGAAGAATTCCTAATAATTATGCTGAGGTTTTATAGATGTTATGTATGTATATTGCCTTCAAGGAGGTGGAGCATAACTCCTTATTTATTAAGTGTGGGCTACTTCCTAAAGAGTTGAGTATGAAAGCAGGAGTAGTGGGGGAAGAGTAATTGTACAGTAGAGAAAACTGAAAAATGCTTCTTCAGCCAGGTGATAAAGGTCAACATCATGTCAATGGTATATACTCTTGATACGATGTAATGAAAATGACACTTTACCTCTGCAGTCTTTCTCCCCAAAATTTATATCACCAATCTAATAATGAGAAAAACATCAGACTCATCCCAGCTAAGAGCATACAAAATGCTAAATAGTGTTCCTCAATACTGTCATGGTCACCAAAAATAAAGAAAGTCTAAGAAACTGCCATAACCAAGAGAAGCCAAAGGTGACGTGATGAGTAAATGTAATATGGCACCCTGGATGGAATCCTAGAACAGAATAAGGATATTAGGTAGAAACTAAGGAAATCTTTAAAAAGTCCACACTTTAGTTAATAATACTGTATTGTTACTTGTAAATGTACCATACTAACGTAAGATGTAAATAATAAGAAAAACTGGATACAGGTTATATGGAAACTCTGTATTAGCTTTGAATTATTCTGTACATCTAAAACCATTCTAAAAAACAAAGTTTATTTAAACTAAAAACAAATCCATGTCAGCTGAACAGCTTGTGCTAATCATTACTGCAGAATATCATCACAAAACACAGATGACCTGACGTTTCCTCACAGTTAGTTCTCCACAGCTCATGGGGTCATACAGCGCAGCCTAATTAAGAGATTTGGTAGTAAAAAGAGAATTAGAGAGTGGCTGGCAAGATGGCTGAATAGGAACAGCTCCGGTCTGCAGGTCCCAGTGAGATCAACACAAAAGGAAGGTGATTTCTGCATTTCCAAGTGAGGTACCTGCCTCATGTCATTGGGAGTGGTCAGACAATGGGTGCAGCTCACAAAGGGCGAGCTGAAGTGGGGTGGGGCATTGCCTTACCCCAGAAGTGCAAGCGGTCGGGGAACTCCCTCCTCTAGCCAAGGAAGCCATGAGGGACTGTGCCATGAGGAATGGTGCACTCCGGCCCAGATACTATGCTTTTCCCAGATTCTTCACAACCTGCAGACCAGGAGATTCACTTCCGTGCCTACACCACCAGTGCCCTGGGTTTCAAGCACAAAACTGCGCGGCCGTTTGGGCAGACACCGAGCTAGCTTTAGGAGTTTTTTTTCATACCCCAGTGGCACCTGGAATACCACCGAGACAGAGCCGTTCACTCCCCTGGAAAGGGGGCTGAAGCCAGGGAGCCAAGTGGTCTAGCTCAGCAGATCCCACCCCCATGGAGCCCAGCATGCTAGGATCCACTGGCTTGAAATTCTCACTGACAGCACAGCAGTCTGAAGTCCACCTGGGACCCTCGACCTTGGTCGGGGGAGGGGTGTTTACCATTTCTGACACTTGAAAAGGTGGTTTTCCCCTAACAGTGTAAACAAAGCCACAGGGAAGTTCAAACAAGATGGAGCCCACTGCAGCTCCGCAAAGCCGCAGTAGTCAGATTGCCTCTCTAGATTCCTCCTCTTTGGGCAGGGCATGTCTGAAAGTAAGGCAGCAGCCCCAGTCAGGGGCTTATAGATAAAACTCCCATCTCCCTGGGACAGTACACCTGGGGGAAGGAGCGGCTGTGGGCGCAGCTTCAGCAGACTTAAATGTCCCTGCCTGCAGGCTCTGAAGAGAGCAGCAGAAGTCCTAACACAGTGCTCGTGCTCTGCTAAGGGACAGACTGCCTCCTCAATTGGGTCCCTGACCCCCCCACCCCCCGCCTCCTGACTGGGAGACACTTCCCAGCAGGGGTTGACAGACACCTCACACAGGAGAGCTCTGGCTGGCATCTGGTGGGTGCCCCTCTGGGACGAAGCTTCCAGAGGAAGGAACAGGCAGTAATCTTTGCTGTTCTGCAGGCTCCACTGGTGATACCCAGTCAAACAGGGTCTGGAGTGGACCCAGTCAAACAGGGTCTGGAGTGGACCTGCAAACACTAGCAGACCTGCAGCAGAGGGGCCTGACTGTTTAGAAGGAAAACAAATAAACAGAAAGGAATAGCATCAACATCAACAAAAAGGATGTCCACACAAAAACCCGATCTGAAGGTCACCAACATCAAAGACCAAAGGTAGATAAATCCATGAAGATGAGGAAAAACCAGCACAAAAAGGCTGAAAATTCCAAAAACCAGGACACCTCTTCTCCTCCAAACGGTCACAACTGCTTGCCAGCAAGGGAACAAAAATGGACGGAGTATGAGTTTGACGAATTGCCAGAAGTAGGCTTCAGAAGGTGGGTAATAAGAAACTCCTCTGAGTTAAAGGAGCATGTTCTAACCCAATGCAAGGAAGCCAAGAACCTTGAAAAAAGGTTAGAGGAATTGATAACTAGAATAACCGTTTAGAGAAGAACATAAATGATCTGATGGAGCTGAAAAACACAGAGAACTTCGTGAAGCATACACAAGTATCAATAGCCGAATGATCAAGAGGAAGAAAGGATATCAGAGATTGAAGATCAACTTAATGAAATAAACAGTGAAGAAAAGATTAGAGAAAAGAGAATGAAAACAAACAAACAAAGCCTCCAAGGAATAGGGGACTATGTGAAAAGACCAAACCTACATTTGATTGTACCTGAAAGTGTACCTGAAAGTGATGGAGAGAATGAAACCAAGTTGGAAAACACTGTTCAGGATATTATCCAGGAGAACTTCCCCAACCTAGCAAGACAGGCCAACATTCAAATTCAGAAAATACACAGAACACCACAAAGATACCCCTCGAGAAGAGCAACCCCAAGACATGTAATCATCAGATTCACCAAAATTGAAACGAAGGAAAAAATGTTATGGGCAGCCAGAGAGAAAGGTCGGGTTACCCACAAAGGGAAGCCCATCAGACTAACAGCAGATATCTTGGCAGACACCCTAAAAGCCAGAAGAGAGTGGGGGCCAATATTCAACATTCTTAAAGAAAAGAATTTTCAACCCAGAATTTCATATTCAGCCAAACTAAGCTTCATAAGCACAGGAGAAATAAAATCCTTTACAAACAAGCAAATGCTGAGAGATTTTGTCACCACCAGGCCTGCCTTACAAGAACTCCTGAAGGAAGCACTAAACATGGAAAGGAAAAACCGGTACTATCCACTGCAAAAACATACCAAATTGTAAACACCATTGACACTATGAAGAAACTGCATCCAGTAATGGGCAAAATAACCAGCTAGCATCATAATGACAGGATTAAATTCACACATAACGATATTAACCTTAAACATAAATGGGCCAAATGCCCCAAATAAAATACACAGACTGGCAAATTGGATAAAGAGTCAAGACCCATTGGTGTGCTGTATTCAGGAGATCTACCTCATGTGCAAAGACACTCACAGGCTCAAAATAAAGAGATGGAGGGATATTTAACAAACAAATGGAAAGCAAAAAAAAGCAGGGGTTGTGATCCTAGTCCCCGATTAAACAGACTTTAAACCAACAAAGATCAAAAAAGAAAAGAAGGGCATTACATAGTGGTAAAGGGATCAATGCAACAAGAAGAGCTAACTATCCTAAATATATATGCACCCAATACAGAAGCACCCAGATTCATAAAATAAGTTCTTACAGATCTGCAAAGAGACTTAGATGCCCACACAATCATAGTGGAAGACTTTAACACCCCACTGTCAATATTAGACAGATGAATGAGACAGAAAATTAACAAGAATATTCAGGACTTGAACTCAGTTCTGGATCAAGTGGACCTAACTGACATCTACAGAATTCTCCACCCCAAATCAACAGAATATACCTTCTTCACAGCACCACATCGCACTTATTCTAAAATTGATCACATAATTGGAAGTAAAATACTCAGCAAATGCAAAAGAACGGAAATCAGAACAACAGTCTTTCAGACCACAGTGCAATCAAACTAGAACTCAGGATTAAGAAACTCACTCAAAACCCCACAACTACATGAAAGCTGAACAACCTGCTCCTGAATGACTACTGGGTAAATAATGAAATTAAGGCAGAAATAAATAAGTTCTTTGAAATCAATGAGAACAAAGACACAATGTACCAGAATCAACGGGACACAACTAAAGCAGTGTTTAGAGTGAAATTTATAGCACTATATGCCCACAGGAGAAAGTAGGAAAGATGTAAAGTTGACATCCTAACATCACCATTAAAAGAACTAGAGAAGCAAGAGCAAACAAATTCAAAAGCTAACAGAAGACAAGAAATAACTACAGCAGAAGTGAAGGAGATATAGAGACACGAAAAACCCTTAAAAAATCAATAAATCCAGGAGGTGCTTTTTTTAAAAGATTAACAAAATAGATAAGTGACTAGTCAGACTAATAAAGAAGAAAAGAGAGAAGAATCAAATAGACACAATAAAAATGATAAAGGGAATATCACCACTGATCCCACAGAAATACAAACTACCATCAGAGAATACTATAAACACCTCTACACAAATAAACTAGAAAATCTAGAAGAAATGGATAAACTCCTGAACACATACACCCTCCCAAGACTAAACCAGGAATAAGTTTAATTCCTGACTAGACCAATAACAAGTTCTGAAATTGAGGCAGTAATTAATAGCCTACCAACCAAAAAAAGCCCAGGACCAGACAGAGTCACAGCTGAATTCTACCAGAGGTACAAAGAGGAGCTGGCACCATTCCTTCTGAAACTATTCCAAACAATGGAAAAGAGGGACTCCCCTCTAACTCACTTGATGAGGCCAGCATCATCCTGACACCAAAACCTGGCAGAGACACAACAAAAAAAGAAAAGTTCAGGCCAATATCCCTGATGAACATCGATGAGAAAATCCTCAATAAAATACTAGTAAAGCAAATCCAGCAGCACATTGAAAAGCTCATCTACCATGATCAAGTCAGCTTCATACCTGGGATGCAAGACTGGTTCAACATATGCAAATCAACAAATGTAATCCATCACATAAACAGAACCAGTGACAAAAACCACATGATTATCTCAACAGATACAGAAAAGGCCTTCGATAAAATTCAACACCCCTTCATGCTAAAAACTCTCCATAAACTAGGTATTGATAAAAAGTATCTCAAAATAATGAGAGCTATCTATGACAAACCCACAGCCAATATCATACTGAATGGGCAAAAACTGGAAGCATTCCCTTTGAAAACCAGCACAAGACAAGGATGCCTTCTCTCACCACTCCTATTCAACATAATATTGGAAGTTCTGGCCAGGGCAATCAGGCAAGAGAAATAAATAAACGGTATTCAAATAGGAAGAGAGGAAGTCAAATTGTCTCTGCTTGCAGATGACATGATTGTATATTTAGAAAACCCCATCGTCTCTCAGCCCAAAATCTCCTTAAGCTGATAAGCAACTTCAGCAAAGTCTCAGGATAAAAAATCAATGTGCAAAAATCACAAGCATTCCTATACACCAATAATAGAAAAACAGAGAGCCAAATCATGAGTGAACTCCCATTCACAATTGCTACAAAGAGTATAAAATACCTAGGAATACAACTCACAACGAATGTGAAGGACGTCTTCAAGGAGAACTACAAACCACTGCTCAAGGAAATAAGAGAGGACACAAACAAATGGAAAAACATTCCATGCTTATTAATAGGAAGAATCAATATCATGAAAATGGCCATATTGTCCAAAGTAATTTATAGCTTCAATGCTATAAATCAAGCTATCACTGACTTCCTTCACAGAATTAGAAAAAATTACTTTAAATTTCACATGGAACTAAAAAAGAGCCTGTATAGCCAAGACAATCCTAAGCCAAAAAAAATAAATAAATAAATCTGGAGGTATCACACTACCTGACTTCAAACTATACTACAAGGCTACAGTAACCAAAACAGCATGGTACTGGTACCAAAACAGATATACAGACCAATGGAACAGAACAGAACAGAACAGAACAGAGGCCTCAGAAATAACACGACACACCTACAACCATCTGATCTTTAACAAATCTGACAAAAACATGCAATGGGGAAAGAATTCCCTACTTAATAAACAGTGTTGGGAAAACTGGCTAGCTATATGCAGAAAACTGAAACTGGATCCCTTCCTTACACCTTACACAAAAATTAACTCAAGATGGATTAAAATATTAAATGTAAGACCTAACACCATAAAAACCCTAGAGGAAAACCTAGGCAATAGCATTCAGGAGATAGGCATGGGCAAAGACTTCATGACCAAAACACCAAAAGCAATGGGAACAAAAGCCAAAATTGACAAATGGGATCTAATTAAACTAAAGAGCACAGCACAGCAAAAGAAATTATCATCAGAGTGAATGGGCAACTTACACAATGGGAGAAAATTTTTGCAATCTGTCCATCTGACAAAGGGCTAATATCCAGAATCTACAAGGAACTTAAACAAATTTACAAGAAAACAAACAAACAACCCCATCAAAAAGTGGGTTCATCTCAAGCTCATCATCACTGGTCCTCAGAGAAATGCAAATCAAAACCACAATGAGATACCACATCATGCCAGTTAGAATGGCAATCATTAAAAAGTCAGGAAACAACAGACGCTGGAGAGGATGTGGAGAAATAGGAACACTTTTACACTGTTTGTGGGAGTGTAAATTAGTTGATCCATTGTGGAAGACAGTGTGTCAATTCCTCATGGATCTAGAACCAGAAATACCATTTGGCCTAGCAATCCCATTACTGGGTATATACCCAAAGGATGATAAATCATTCTATGATAAAGACACATGCACCCGTATGTTTACTGCAGCACTATTCACAATAGCAAAGACTTGGAACCAGCCCAAATGCTCATCAATGATAGACTGGATAAAGAAAATGTGGCACATATACACCATGGAATACTATGCAGCCATAAAAAGGATGAGTTCATGTCCTTTGCAGGGTCAAGGATGAAGCTGGAAACCATCATTCTCAGAAAACTAACACAGGAACAGAAAAACAAACACTGCATGTTCTCAGTCGTAAGTGGGAATTGAACAATGAGAACATATGGACACAGGGAGGGGAACATCATACACCGGGGCCTACTGGTGGGTGGGGGACTAGGGGAGGGATTGCAATAGGAGAAATACATAAGGTAGGTGATGGGTTGATGGGTCCAGCAAACCATCATGGCACTTGTATACCTATGTAACAAACCTACATGTTCTGCACATGTATCCCAGAACTTAAAATATAATCATAAAAAAAGAAGAATTAGAGTGAAATGCTAGTAATAAGACGTACTGTTACAGAACTTTCTGGTACATATAATTTCACTCATTTCAATGTCATAACTTTGTTTTGAATTATTCTGTGTTATATTTATCTTCAAGTCGGTCATCTTTCAAGCAAAATGTTGTGAAGCTTTGGTAAAAATTAGAACAAACCATAGCCTAAATATTACTTGATTAGGAAAGCTATTCTGGATCACACATTCCTGGAAACAAAGTCTCTGGACGTATAATTGAGGACTGAAAGGGTAATCAATTGTGTAAGCTGAATTTTTGCATTTCTTCTTCCCAAAGCCCACAGCAACATTGCTAATTTTACCATTTAACATTTTTCATATTTGAATATATAGAGTTTCTGATTGTATTATCTGAAAATTTTATTACTAACTATATTTCAAGAGCACTTGTGATTTATAGCTTATGCTGAAATATCAATGCTATACAAAAATTAAGATAAAACATCATTCATTCTTCTATTATTGAGTGTATTAGGGAGTAACTGCATGCTTGGCACCATGATAAATAAGTGCATTTGGAAACAGTGAAAGAAGTATGAAGAATGAGTTCTTCATTCTCAAGGAGGACTATAAAAGAGGAGCAGGAATTAGTCAAAGATAAATGTGCTAAAAACAACAACAACAACAAATGAAGATCATTTAGGAATGATAGACAAACAGAGAGAAGTTTCATTGACCTGTGGATACAGAGCTAGGCCGGGAATTTTTATGTCAATAGATGGAATGGAAGAGAGTTTTACAGAAGGACTTTGTAGTCCACATATTGAATCACTCTGCTACATTGCTTGAAATAAATGTCACTCAAATGAAGCTTGACCAAATGAATGCCTGAAGGAAAACGAAGGGAAAAGAGAATGAAAGGTGGAGTTTTTTGAGGAAGGAATCAGGATAAACTGAGGCACCTTAACTAAATCTAAACATCTTATATTACAAAAGACTCTAGCCTTAATGCATAAATTAATTTAAATGAAAGCATTTACATACAATTTTGAACTTCTGACTTTAACACCTCATCAATATAAACTCAACTGGGATTTACTGTATAGCTGGTATGGCTCTACGGTGAGCAGAGAACAGTTAAGTCATGACATCTGCCATCAAAGGGTCTATCTGCCAGATGCATTCGCACCAAGTAGAAGCCCTAAAAATTTGCATCCTTTCTCCATTACAGGACATAAAATAATGCTTCTCAAAACATTTGAGTGAAGTAGTGTGACATGGTAGTTAAGAGCACAGGTTTTAGAACCAGGCTCAGGTTTGAATCACTGGTTTGCCACTCAATAGCTGAGCTCTATTATTTCTCCAAGTCCTACTTTCCTCACTGAGAAAATGGGGATAATAATAACAGATTCCTCAAGGGATCTTGGAGGATTATCCCATCAATCTTGAAACCCTGTTTCTTCAATCTACCCACTTCTCTCAACTGTTGATGCCTAAATCAAGCCTCCATCTTCTCCAGCCTACATTAGGACAATGGCTTCCTCATTGGCTTTTCCTTACGCATTCCCTACCCCTATTCCCACCATCATCTATTCTCCACACTAGCCATAGGATCCCAGATAAAATATAAATATTATCATGATTCCCTCTTAAGGTCTCTTACTGGCTTCTCATAGCTCTTAGGATGAATACTAAATCCTTAAATTGGCATACAAGGCCTTGAGTTACTCTGTTTACTCTACCACGTTAGTCACATTTTGTGCTTCCATCTACTCCCCAACCCAATCCCTTTGCCTTTTGCTTCAGAATTCAACTCAAACATTGCCTCCTAAGGAACCCTTTCCTAACTTCAAGACCAGACTGGCAGATCTTAGTGCCACTCCTCAAATATTTCTGGTTTTCTTCTTTCAGACACGGTAGGACTGCACTTTTCCTAGCCCCTGTAAGTTAGGAAGGACCATAACCCTTACTTTGGCCAATGAAATATGAGCAGAAGCTACTGTGTTACTTCTTTTCCTGTCCTGAAAATGGCCATGTGCTTGTTAGTGGCAGCTCTGTTTGCCTGTGTCCTGGAGTAAGGGGGACAAAAATACTGATGGAGAACAGAACTCTCAGCCTACTTCTCACAGACATGTAGCATAAGCAAGAAATAAGTTTTCATTGTTTTAAGCCACTGAAATGTTAAGGCTGTTATTTCAAAATAATCTGTCTTATCCTGACTGGTAGACTAATTTAGAAACCCCACTAGAATGTTCTCCTAACAGTCTCCTCTGTGACAGTTTTCACAACTGCAATCACATAGGTATATGTGAGTCATTTGTTTCATGACCTCCTCCTACTAGAATGTAGCCTCCACCAGGGCTTGTTCACTTCTGGAACCCTAGCACCCAGCACACTACCTGACATAATTCTCAGTAAAAATTGGACAAATGAACACATTTATTATTGGATAATGTTTATAAAGTGGCTGGAATAAAACAAAGGTACAGAAAGTGGTCAATAACAATGAGGCATTATTTCTTCTCACTATTGTGAGAAGGCATTATTTCTTCTCACTGTTGTAAGAAATTATTTCTTCTCACTGTTGTGAGAAGGCATTATTTCTTCTCACTGTTTTAGTATAATTATTACATAATCATAGTTAATTAAAGGCAGCTTAGTGTAATGGTTAGGAGCCAGACTCTGAAACCAGATTCCCTGAGGATTTGAATCCTGGCTCCACCACTTACTAGCTGTGTGACCTTGGTCAAATTACTTAAACTTTCGTTCCTTTAATTTCTTCATTTGTAAAGTATGAGACAATAATTGTACATATCTCATCGGACTGTCATGAGGATTAAATGAGTTAACTTGCACCTAAAACTATGGTTGGCACATACTAAGCACTATGTTAGATTTTGTTAAATACACACAAATATGCACACATACTACACATAGTATTAACATAAAAGGGGCTTTAGCAGCTTCTGTTGAACTATATATCTCCAAAACAGATGCACATGGAGGTTCCTGGTAAGTTGAAGTTACCATACTCCATCTTTTCGCCCCCACTGAATGCAAGTAGAAAACCTGGGCAGAGCACATGACCCCAGAATGCAAAAAACCATACTTTGAAGTCTCAGTAAACTGGTGGTAAGTATATCATTCTTCTTGTTTTCCTCCCAGCCTGTACTCAATCCAGCCCAAAAGCCAGAAATTTGATTTGAATAATTGTGGATTTCTCATCAGAACCTCTTGGAGTCCAGAAGGAAGTAGAACATTTTTTAAAGGCTGAAAGAAAAATACATTCAATGAAAACATTTTTCAGAATTGAAGGTGATGTAGCTATTTTCAGTTGAAAGAAAATTAAGAGAATTGCTTCAGGAAGTTCTTCAGATTGAAGGGAAATCATATCAGAAGGAAAAGTGGAACATCAGAAATAAAGGAAGAAAAACAGAAATAGTTTTGAAAATTGAAATTGAAAATGATCACATTATCTAATGGAGTTTTTAATGTATATAAATGTAGTATATGAGAGAACTACAATATAAAGAGATTTAGAGATATATGAGTAATGTTTCCATGTTCCACTTGAAGTAGTAAAATATTGATTGTAAATAGACCATGTTAAGTATGTGTATTCTAATCCCTAGAGCAACCTCTAACAACACTATACAAACAGAAATAGGCAAACACGATGTTTTTAAAATGGAGTATTAAAAAAATGTTTAAATAACCCCAAAGAACACAGGAAAGGGAAAACAGAAGAATGAAAATTAGAAGGGATAATCAGAAAACAAATTATAAAATGGTAGACCTAAATCCAAACATTTCAATAGTTACAATAAATGTAAGTGGTCTACACACACAAAAGACAGAGATTATAGACTGAATTTTTTTAAATGAAAGCAAATCATATACATAGACAAATTGGAGCACAAGAAGGAGAAAACAGTACAGTTAGGAGATTTAGAAACACTAATTCAAGAAAAAACTGAAAGAACATGATAAGATTAACCCAAAGAAGAAAAGACTGAGTCAGGGTATCTTTAAATTTTTAAAAATATACAGTGAGAACCTGTTCTTTACTTAGTGCCAGGTCCATCCTAGAAGCTTCCACACACATGGAAGTGGTACAAAATTTGCTTTCATCTTGAGTCCTAAAAGGCAGAATTAATGAATGTCAGTGAGAGGTAGACAGATCAATTGCTGTAAGAATCCAAAGACAGAGAGGGCAGACCTGTCATCTCATTGGAGGTATCTTCCCTAAAGCTGAATAAAGGCTGAAATTTGGGTGATACTGTGGAAGAAACTTGAGAAAAGGAAAGGTAGTCACATTTGTATTTTAATCTTTTACTTTTATTACTGACAAGTGGATATGGGCTGACATGGTATTTCTACTTTAGGCTTCAAATTTATAACTTTTTCCTGACATATCTATTTATAGTATGGCAATAAAGAAGACCATAAAACTCTCTTCAATAGATTTAGAAAGACACTGACCTTCTAAAAGGTCTAACAATGCGATGCCTGCTCCAGAATAAAAATAAAATGCTGCAGAAATGTTTCCTTTCTTATCATATAGAAGACCTATGCTGTTTTAATTTGCCTAGCACTCATCCTCCATTTTTCTGATATCACTATTTATTTTGGGTACCTACATCTCTTTTACTCTGCCCATGAGCATTGGATGGGCTGATTTCCCCTCTGACTCAAGGATAAAGATGTGACCTTGACCTGGCCAATCAGAACACAGGATTCGTTCAGAAATTGGGAACATCACTAACCATAGCTATTCAGAGTTAATACTAGGACACTTTTTTGAGCAACCAGAATAGAAATTCCTTTTGTTTTCATTTGTATATGAACATAGAGGATGTATGTTAGTCAGGATAGAAAGGATTATGTTATAATAAAATGTTAAAACCTCAGTCAGTTAGTAAAACAAAAATTCTCTCTCACATTAAATGTTCATAGTGACAAGCAGGGAAGCTCTGCTCGTTGATATCACTCATGCATCTAAGCTGATGAAGGCCCACCCCATCTTGATACATGCTTCAATGTTTGCCATGGTAGGAAGAGGGGGACATAATAAATAATGTACTGGCTGTTAAAAGCTTTCTGCCCAGAAGTGCCACATGCCTCTTATGTCCACACTTTATTGGTAGAAGTAAATCACATTGCCAAACCTAACTTCAGGGGACAGAGAAGCAGAATCCTACCCAAAAGGAAGAAAGCTGGAAATATTTGGTGAACAGCTAACAATTACATAAGACATAACAGGATATACTACACAGAAGAGCACTTGCAGAGGTAAAGGAAGATGGAGTCCTGATAACACTGTTCCAGCTTCTGAATCCAATTATACCTGAAGCTGGATGGCCTTGGAGAGTTGGGTTTTGTGAACCAATAAATATGATTAATTCAGTTGGATTTTCTTTCATATCTGACAATGAAAAGAACCCTGAGTCACATACTTCTCAACAAATAACAGAGCTAGCACAGTAATTTGGGGTTTTGAGGGAGATGGTAGAAGGCAGATGGATGTTAACATATCCTTTGGATGCCAACAGGTCTTAAAGCAACCACAGAGCCTCTAAGTACCATCACCTTGTCACAGATATCCTGGAATTCCATATGCAATGAAAGTTGAAGAAGCTGATGAAGAAAGAAAACCAAAGATGCAAGATTTCTAACTAGACCTAGACAAAACTTCTGCATCTTATCTAACAGATCCTGAGAAATAGACTCAGAAGAGGAGTGCTTCTCATTTTCTACAGGAGGAGAGTAGCACTCTGTGTACTGGAACTGAAACCATGGAAACTTGAGGGAATTCCAGACCACGCTGACTCCTATCAAGCTGCTGTGCCCCACCCCAGGAGAGCTGAACACAGGAGTAGCACAAGAGGGGCCACATTTTAACCTACCACTTCCTGTGATCTGTCTTACCTGGCCCAGAGCAGCTTGGAGTAAGACAATTTTCACCCTTGCAAGACTTAGCCAAGAATATCTATTAGATAGAGAAGAGGTGCATTCTTGTTCCCATATACAGCAGCTTGGGGTTGGCAAACCTGGGCTCAAATCCTAACTCTGCTACCTCTCTACTGAGTGTTCTTGAGAAAGTTTCTTAACCTCTGAGCCTTAGGTTCCTTATCTGTACAGGTGATCAACACTATCTACCTCAAAGGTAAGAGGTGATTTAAAAAAACAAAAAACAAAAAACACATACAGTGTTCCATACAAAGCCAAGCACCTAATATGTCTTCCTCTCGCCACCTCCTTCCCATCCCACCATCCACTGCCTTTCTTCTTTATCTGGAGGTGTAGAAGGGAAGGCTGCTGGTTTGTGGGCAGACCAGGAGTTTTGTGCACACTAGAGAAGGAACTCATCATGCTGTAAAGTACAGTAAAGTTCAAGAGCAAGTCCCAACCTTGGTTTATATTTTAGAAAAACCTTCTTTTAAACATGTCTTGATATACCAAAACACCACATGCAATTTTATATAAATAGAGTCACAGCAAAGGGCTTCTTTAAAAAGCAAGAAAACGGTAATCAGCTAGATTCATTTTTCCATCCAATCAGATGGATTGGGATTGTTAATAAATAAAACATAAAGACAAGGCGGTCTTTTCATGGAAAAATCTTATTTTTTTAAAGAAAATTTCCAGAAATAGCACTGGACTTCCATTTCAGTTAAGCTGCACTCAATTCACCCAAAACAACCCCACATTGATTGAGCATCAGTATTGTATGCCAGGTACTATGTGACATGGACACAAACACAATGTGAGATGTGTTTGTGAGATGGACAAACAAAAATGTGAGACACAAAAATGTGAGATGGACACAAACACAAGTAAGAAGTAATGTTGCCATTAAACCACAGGCTCTTTGAGGGCAGGGGATTTTTTCTTATTTGCCATTGTTTTCCCAGAACCCATTCCTGCCTGGCACATAGTAGGTGCTCAGTAAATAAGGGACAACTGATGAAATGACCAGCTCAAGCAGTTCGTGGTCTCCTGGTAGTTAAAATTAAGTGACATAAGTCATATTGGTGACTGCATTTCTCCGTCTTTGAGTAGTTATTGATTAAATAAAGAGGTTGTGGTGGTCAATAAAATTTGAAATGAGATTCAATCACAAAGAGAGATAAATCAAATATTTGTATCAGAAAAAAAGTATTTTGAAAATCCTTTGAAAACATGACATCTCATAATTGCAATAAGTAGAATTTTCTTCCAGGTTCAGTTTACAGCAAGGTACAATAACAGTAAAGCAGTAATAAAGGTAACATATTAGTGGCTGAGTGCTTACTAAGGGTGGGCTGAGCAGTGATCCCACCCACCACCCAGAGGGCGGGACACAAATGACTTCTGATTTACAAAGGACAAAACTGAGAAGTAAGAACTTGCCAAGGTCACAGACATAATTAGCAGGGATACATTCGATTCTGACTCTAGAAGACTTCCCTCCCTGCTTCTGCCTTTTAACTGCCACACTATATCTATTCCCTCTTATAATCTACAAGGCATCTACGTAAAAAAAAAATAAAATAAAAGGCTTTTGTTTCAGTGGTATCCATATCACATGGGGGAACAAAAGCCACTTTGGGAAACAACTCTGATAGAATTCACTGTTACTTAGTAGAGACTTGAAATGCATTTTTAAGTAACTGGAAAGAAGAGGCCCAACATAAACATTTGTAATCTTGCTACTAAAATCAAGTTTCTGTCTGGGCACGGTGGCTCATGCCTGTAATCCCAGCACATTGGGAAGCCGAGGTGGGTAAATCACTTCAAGTCAGGAGTTCGAGACCAGCCCGGCCAACATAGTGAAACACTGTCTCTACTAAAAATACAAAAATTAGCTAGGCATGATGGTGCATGCCTGTAATCCCAGCTACTCAGGAGGCTGAGGCAGGAGAATCACTTGAACCCGGGAGGCAGAGGTTGCAGTGAGCGGAGATTGCACCATTGCACTCCAGCTTGGGCAACAGAGCGAGACTCCATCTCAAAAAAAAAAAAAAATAGCCAGGTGTGGTGGTGGGTGCCTATGGTCCCAGCTACTTGGGAGGCTGAGGCACAAGAATCGTTTGAACCCAGGAGGCAGTGGCTGCAGTGAGCTGAGATTGCACCACTGCACTCCAGCCTGGGCGACAGAACGAGACTGTTTCAAAAAATAAATAAATAAAAATAAAATAAAGTTTCTGCCCAAAGTAAGTAAGGGAGTGGATCAGAGGAAGAGATGGTAATAAAGCCAGCTTAAAACTCCTGTGGTTTGATGGTTAAGAAAAAAATAAAGTCTCCATAAGGTTAGCATATACTGTTAGCCCTGTGAGGACTGCCAGTGTTTGGTATAGGCATGTGTTACCCCTGAAGTATGCTTTCATTTCAGAACTTTCCAAACCCCTGAAGAGTGCTGTAATCCCCTGTAGAAAACAGATAAATTGAGGTATTCCAACAACACAGATGAAACCCAGAACCCTGGGGCCAATCAGCAGTGACATCACACCACATTCCAATGCTGGCCTCTCACTACAAGGAGCTCACACAGAAACCAGAGCTTTGTTTTCCTTCAGTAATCAGGGGTGAGAGAGTGTTGGATTTTTATAGAAAAGTAATTACTGCAGGAAGATAATTACCTTCCCTCAAACAGGCCTCCTCTGCCTGTCATAACCAGGAAAGCAAGGGGCCCCTTCTATGCATACCTGAAGGGTTCTTGTTTCACCAAATCCAACTCAATCACACACTAATGGGTGAAAATGTATCCAATATTTTTACAGTCTAGTGACAAAAGGGCTGTGCAATTCTCAAAGTAATAAACGCATTTGACGAAAACTATACCTTAAATACACACAGTTTTATTTGTCAATTATACTTCAATAAAGCTGGGGGAAAAGAGACAAAAAACTAAATTAAAAAAAGTTCTTAGTGGCACATTTTTATAATTTAAGACAGATATCACTTCTGCTATCATTACTACCACCAGAATGGCAGCTGTCATTTACTGGAGGTTATGTTTAAGGCGTTGTTCTAACTATGCTATGATCTTACTACTGGGATACTCATTTTGCAGATGAGAAACTTAAGCCACAGCAATGAGATATAACTTGCTCAGGGCCACATGATGAACAAATAGTAGAACAAAGATTCAAACCCTGTCAATCTATGAAGCCCTAGTCCTAAATCACTGTGATAGAAGCATTAATAACTTGTATTTTTCCTTGTAGGACAGGACCTAAATGTTATTAACAGTATAAGCGTTCATGGTTAACATCAAATGTCTCTGGGGCACAGAGACACAGAGGTCCCTGTTTCACAGTCCACACTGGGAGAAATAGACAGTATCAGGTTAGAGAGACTGTCAGGCGTCATACCCAACTGAACCCAAGAGGACATTTTGCTTGGATGAGAAAAAGAAAATTTATTGAAATTTTATAAGGTCACCAAAGTTTAATGTCCCCCAGAAGGGTGTTGGTATAACATGGCCAAGGTATCCCATCACAAAATAAAAATAAAATCCTGTATTTTATGGAAATGAAAAAAAATTGCTAGCTGTCATCCAAACTCTTTGTGTACTTAAAGAGTGTCATTAATATTCCCAAACTGCCCTGTAAGGTCTCTTCTTCCAGCCAAACAAATGACCCTGAGTCCCCACACACTCAGGAGTTCTATTCGTAGATTCACTCAATAGACGCTTGCCAAGCGGCTACTACGTGCCATATCCGGTACTTGATACATTTCTGGGCCTCTAAGGACATTTATAACTGTGTGGATCTTGAGTTCCTGTTTACAAAAAATTGACACAATGATAAGTGAACTATTTCCAATTTGATCAGAACTGTCGCTCATTATAATCTTTTATTCCACCAACAGGGTGGTGGAGGGAAAACATGACAGTGAAGGGAAAGCAGAGGCCATAAACTCCACTGCACCTAAGGGCCCACACGTAATACAAGAGAATGAAAGGGATTGATTCTGGGGTGGGCTGGGAGCACAGGCCCCTTCTAAGGGGCAACCATGATTCAACTCCCACCAGTTCCTACCATTCCTTGCATTTTTCAAAAAGAAACACACAAACAAAATCCAGCTATTCATGTGAAGTCTCTATTGTTCAAGTTTGGGCTCCAAATGAAAGTTATCACAAACACTGAGTAGGCCAAACAAAACAGGGCTCCAGAACAGCTAGGGCTTGCTGGTTATGAGCCTGCCATCCAGTTTCTTTTCTGAGGCGTAGAAGGATAGAGGCTGATTGAATTGGGAACATGCTGTTATGGACAGTTCTTTCAGGTCCCTTCCACGTCCACAAAAGAAGTAACTTTGTGAATTACTGGCAGAGCCAACTGAATGCGGTGCTTACGTAACAGACCTGGTCGCAATCAGAATAGTGTCCTGCAAAGGCAAGGCACAGGCAGAAGTGGCAATCCATGTGATCTTGACTCCCTTTGTGGAAGAAAGTGGGATTCCAGGCAGCCCTGCCTGCATATTGTTTCATATTACATAAACATAACTAATTGGTTATGACTGGTACAATGATTATAGCTGCATTACCCGTGTGATTTTTTTAAAGCAGACATTAATCAAGAATGCTAATATAAGCAGCTACCAAGGTCACTCTTATTTTTCTTGTTTTTTTTCCCCCAAAGTGAGTTCTTGCTTTTAATTTCAGCTGCCATCATCACATCACATTATCCATTTGAACCCAATTCTGACCTGATGGAATCACCTAAGGAATAAACTTCCCCAGACTCACTCACTTTGATGCCAAGCAAAAAACATTCTGAACCCTAGTCTGGGCGCGGTGGCTCATGCCTGTAATCCCAGCACTTCGGGAGGCTGAGGCAGGTGGATCACCTGAGGTCAGCAGTTTGAGACCAGCCTGGCCAACAAGGAGAAACCCCATCTCCACTAAAAATACAAAAATTAGCTGGGCATGGTGGTGGGCACATATAATCCCAGTTACTCAGGAGGCTGAGAAAGGAGAATTGCTTGAACTCAGGAGGTGAAGGTTGCAGTGAGCTGAGATTGTGCCACTGCACTTCAGCCTGGGTGACAGAGCGAGACTCCGTCTAAAAAAAAAAAAAATCCTGAACTCTGACCTCTGAACCCTGACATGCTGACAAGCCGCAGCTCACTCAACATGAAAGGGAAGGAAGAGCCTCAGCATAAACCCTATCCTGCCAAGAACTTCAGCCACTAAATGGCACAGCTGTGTCACAATAAACAAAGAGAAATAAGCAGAATAAATAGGTGGGGAGGGAATGTCGGAGCCTCTCGGTCCAGAATTAGTAGGCAATACACGCAGACATAAAGAACTCGGACTTCGACTCCAGATGGGCCTACATTTGAATTGTAATTTTTTCACCTAATAGTTTTGTGATGTCACATAAGTCAGTTCACCTCTCTAAGCCCAGTCTTCCTCATTTGTAAACTGGGTAGTAACACCTACTTCACAGGATTGCTATGAGGTATAATGAGGGAAAGTACGCAAGGCATTTTATAGGCACTCAGTAAATGGCAGCTGTACTTATTCTAAATGTTTTCATGTTTAATATTATTATGGTCAACTTATTTTTATATTATTTTTCATGTTTTCTATTTTTAATTTTATATTATTTTATATTTTTAACATAATAAACTTATGGCTTATTCATACAAAAAAATTAGGGCTTATTTCTGAACTGTGAGATTATTTGGAATATACGTACAATTCCTGTCCAATACTCCCTTACTGCTCCTATTAAATGGCTATTGAAGGACTACTTTGCTGACCCACTCTCTCCAGACAAAATTTTCATTACAGATTCACATTTTCAATGAATAGCATGCTGGATATTTACAGTTTTCATTTTCATTTCTTCTATTGCAAGGTATGTTTCTGTCCCCCCATTTCCACCCTATCCTAGCCTGATAGCTAGACACGAATTATTTTCTGCAGAAACAGAAAGCAAGATTTGCAAACACTTGAACATTAAGTTTAAACAACATTAGTCTAAGCAAAGGGCAAAAAGATTAGGCTGTGTACATATAGAGCTTTCTCACTCCCAGGCTAGGTTTTTAAATGTTTCCGGTTTGGCTAAGGAAATGGGAAGAGAGAGGGAATGCATGAATAGGTGACTGTGAGACCATGGAAACCAACAGTGGGGACTGTCCAGTGCCAGAGACAGCTGAGGGAGCAGCCAAACCAGTGCCCTAAGGGTTACCTTGCTGCTAACATGAGATGGGGGTGGGGGGGGGGCACTGACAAACATTCCTAGCAAGGTGCCAGTTGTGTGCCTATAAGAGGTGATGCTCGTTGATGCCCAAAATGCTACTAAAACCCAAAACCTCAACTGATCCCCTCCAAGTACACAACTCTCACCCCACTCATTGACCTAGGACCTTAATTGCTCCAGAAGAAAGGGCAAGGCCCTGGGTAGCTCAAGTGAGATGATGTCTCAAAGGAAAGTCATTCCTCATGCTTGATCAAGGGAGCTCCAGACAGAACACACTGCTCCAGTTCCACACAGATCTTCAGACAGGCCTCCTCAGCTTTCTGATTCAGTAGGTCTAGGGTAGGACCTGTAAGCTGTATTTTTAACAACCGTCTCAGGTGATTCTGGCTTGCAGAATGGTGCTTGGAAACCACTCCATCTAGAGGAGAATTAAAATGGATTTTCATAGGTACCTCTGTGGTAACAACAGTCCCATACTAGGAAGCAAGAGTCCAAAGGCTTTGTGTACTCTAGTGATGAGTCCATAGAAATAGAATATTTGGGGGTCAGGGCTTTGTCCTATTAGAGGGTCCAATATATTGCTTTCCTGCTTTAGACTATGAGACCAGTGAGCTAGGACATCCCACAGGGTGGTTTGGTGCTATATCTGGTCATTTTTGGTGTAAAATAAATATTAATTCCTATCAGTGCTGTTTGGCATGCTAGGAACACAGGACCAAGTATTTGACAAACAGACACCAAATCTTCCACTTATATAGGCAAATTAATAGTGTCTGATAACCAAACTTCACATGGTTGGGCCAGAGAAAGCTGAGGATCAAACTATAAAATTTTCTTCTGAGAAAAGAAGCATAGAAAGTAAGTTCATCTTAACTATGCATAGGTTAAGTGTCCTTCTCTTGTGAAGTTATTATTAAAGAAAATCAGTTCCAAATATGTAGGTGTGAAAGAAAAATAGGAGACTCAATTCTAGATGAACAAAGTGGTTTGGGGGAAGAATAACTAGACTCGCTGTCAAGAAGATGATATATTATTACAATATTTGGCTTATCGGGATTAGAGAAGAAAGTCCATGATAGTGTAAGCAAAGTTTTATAAAGAAAGAATATTTTTCTAGAAAATATTGGTCATTATCAAATACTTCCCTCATTAGCTAACATCCTAGAACCAGGTCTAGACCCCAAAGGATCAGCTATAAATCTAGCCTCCATTGAGTTTAAACCAAATCAGAAGA
This sequence comes from Homo sapiens, assembly GCF_000001405.40. Classification (NCBI taxonomy): domain Eukaryota; kingdom Metazoa; phylum Chordata; class Mammalia; order Primates; family Hominidae; genus Homo; species Homo sapiens. The sequence continues at coordinate 53,124,754 of NC_000004.12, forward strand.
GAAAAGTGAAGAGCATCATAAAAATGTCAAAACTCTTTGTTCATTCCTTCCTTCAGCACCACCATTTTCAGATGGGAGCTAGAAATGCAAAGGTGGAGAACACAGTCACTGCTCTCAAGGAACTTAATTAATAGAAGAGAGAACAAACAACAATAATAACTATATTCTGCAATCCCTGAGATAGGTACTATTATATCCCCATTTTAGACATGGAGTAACGGAGGTAAAGAGAGATTAAGTGATTTGCCCAAGATCACCCCGGGAGAAGGAACACATGTGGATAAATTTCAACCCTGTGTGGCAATACAAATATAAGTCCCTAGGATCCTCGCAAATCAATACTGAGGCACAGGGGTCATTCTGAGCTAGGATGATTAGGGAAGGAATAAGAAAGGCAGTGACATATGAGTTCCATCTTAAAGAATGAGTGGGAGTTTTATAGGTAAGAATGGGGAACAGGGAATGTATTTTAGGCATAGGAAATGGTATTAAAATATAGTACAGTTGGGGAAAATAACTTATGATAGAGATGGTCTAAAATTATTTAAATCCTGAGGAGAGAATACAGAAGGGATCTTCTTCTTCCAGCATATTATAACACGTCAGATGAGATCATTTCGGTTATAATATTATAAGAGTAACATTTTATTTATCTTGATCTAAAGCCTTTTTCATTCTTATTCTCTTTTACTAGCATTTTGAAATTTTCCCGTTTATCACAGTCAACAAAAATTTATCAGATATTCTCCTGCATGTAGGCAAAAAAGCAGCAAGTGCTCAGACAAGCCAGTCAGCTTCCTGCTGTTGAGTAGCTAACCTCAGAAGATGGGACACACGCTCATGTTTCTGTCAATGGGCACACATGCCTGACGGCAGGGCCCAGGTTATATACATGCAGGGAAACAGATACCTGGGGCTAGGAGCAAACACACTCCTGCCACTTCATATTAAACATTATATATTCTTAGTTTCTCCGTTATGATGAAAGACTACCCAATAGGATGCTGTAACTTAGAACTGCCAATTTCATGTCTGACTGGCAGGGTTTAGGGCCTGATCACTAAAGGGAGGGGGTAGATATGGGGTAAATAGAAGTTGTTTTAGAAAATGTTTCAGGAGTGATGGTTCCATCCAGGTTGGGAAGAGTATGGGAGAGCATCCAGAAAGGACTACAGAAGCTGGCTGAGGACAGATTTGTCAAGGAACATTTGCAAAGAGGCTGCAGCTGGATACTACCAACAGGCACTTCTCCCATGAAGGACAAAGGGAAGCGGACCATGCTGAGGGAGTTCAAGGGAAAACCAGAGAGTTGAAGTTGAGCTAAAACTAATATGAAGTTTCGCTAAAACTAAGGGATATCTGTGGCATTAATGAGAGACACTTTCCCCTTAAAAGTAAGCTCCATGGCAACACACACCTTGCCTACTCTACTATTGACCCTTTGCCAGTACTACCTTAGATGCACAGTTGTTCTTCCATAATAATCGGTTGAAAGGAGAGGAGAGAAAGAAGATGAAAGAACAGACACTTTTGCCACTTTAAAATGGCAGATTGCGTTAAGTTACATCACATTGTTTTTTGTTTGTTTTGAGACAGAGTCTTGCTCTCTGGAAGTGCAGTGGCGTGATCTCGGCTCACTGCAAACTCCGCCTCCTGGATTCAAGTAATTCTCCTGCCTCAGCTTCCTGAGTGGCTGGGATTACAGGCATGTGCCACCATGCCCAGCTAATTTTTGTATTTTTAGTAGAGACAGGGTTTTGCCATGTTGGCCAGGCTGGCCTCCAACTCCTGGCTTTAAGTGATCTGCCCGCCTCAGCCTTCCAAAGTGCTGGGATTACAAGTGTGAGCCACCACGCCCATCCTCACACCGGTTTTTAAATGATGGTGTACACATGGAATTTACCTTCCTTCTTAAAACTGGTACCTTGCAGGTCCCTCACACGTGGGACAAATAATTTGCCCACTTAACTACAGAGTACAAGTTGTGTGGGTGAGCCACACCTGCAGGGAAAGCAGGATTCCCGAGAACCACCGTCTCGGCAGAGAGCTCTCCTCTTTCTCCCTGAGTTCCTCCCAAAAAGTTATTTGGCCTGTTTCATTCCTATCATAATCAGGTTGGAAAAAAAAACCTTCAGAGAACCAGAGGATTAAAAGATGGGTTTAAATAAAAAATTTTGCATTCCATGTGTTGGCTGAATGGAGTGCTCAGTACCTGACCGGAAAACAAGATGTGGGGACAAAAGGAAAGAAGAGAAAAGCAATAAAGAAGAAAAAAACCTGAAGAAGTAGAGAAAGAAACAGCTAATTTAACCCAAAACTTCAGAATTTAAAAATCTGGTCATGTAAAAATATTAAAACACAAAGCAACATTTCCACTAACAGCTGATGTGATTTGTTTTCATTTCATGAAATATTTTCTTCACTATATTTCAAACAATGGGATTTAAAAACTCTCATCCAAAACTCATGGTTTCCTTTGATGTTCCAATTCCTTCTTCAACCAAACTTTCTATTCTCCAAAGCTAAGTTCATCTGGTAAACTTGCAACATATTTGCCCTGTTGCACAGCATCAGAGGAAACTCTGAAATGCAATCAGCTTCTTTCTTATTCCTTTATTCATGCAATAAATATTTATTAAGAGTCTTCTATGTGCGCACCCCCCACCCCAACCCCCAGCACAACTGGTGCTTGAGATACAACGTTGAGCAAAACTCACAGAGTTTATGATCCTGGAGGGAAGGCAGACACTAATCAAAGTAACACACAAATAGGTAATAAACTTTGTTCACTTTACGACACACAATGGGGTTGTGAGGCATTGAGCTGGTCTGGAGGTTCAGAGAAGGCTGATCTCAGGAGTTGTCTGAGCTGAGCTCGGAAACGGTTAGCTGGGCTGGGCTGGGAATCAGTTGCAGAGAACTGCTCTTGCAAGCACTTAGTATCTCAGGCAGTATAATATATTTAAGGAACTGCAAGGCCTGTGTCTGGGACAGAGGGAATGAAAGAAAAAAATGGCCTCCAGACTAAGAAACTGGCCATGGAAAAATGACCTTCTGCTGCTCTGAAAAGTCCAATGTGGAGGAGTGTGTCACTTTGGTCCAGACAGAGAGGACACGGTGGGTGTAGCACACTATTTGGTAACCATTTCTAGCTCCTCTCTACTCTGGAGAGTAATAACCCAGTTTTTTGTTTTTTTTTTTTTTTAGCCCAATCATGTGCATTTTTGCTATTCTGTTATTTTAAGCAAAATACTGATTTTTTTCACTATCAAATTGCAGAACAAGGGCCATGTCCTAAAAAAAAAAAAAAAAAAAAGCCAATAAAAAATCTAATATATGCATGTTCCCAGAATTGTTTTCATTTGTTGAATCTGACATTAAAATAAATTTAGACATAAATTGGCTCAAGAAAAAACGTAAAGATAATACTAAGGAAGTAATTAAGAATTTGATATTTTGATTTTTACGTGCACATACGCCATCAAAAAATTCCAACAAATATATCCTGATGGCTTTTGTTCTGTTCTAAATTCTGTATATAGCTGACCTGATGTGTAACAGCTTCAACACTTCCATTCTAATATCTGGAAGGGCTGCTGCTCTGAAATGCTATAATCACCTCAAAGTCAAAAGCCATTAAATGTTCATCTCTAAAATTAAAGGCATGTACTCATCTCAAATGATGTCATTTGTCTGGGCTTCTGCGTTTCCGAGGAGAACAACTTGAAGTAATCAAGAATATAATGTGCAGCCTCCCAAGGTGACCAGTTATAAGATATAGTATGTGCATGTTTTCTGATTTCTCTCGGAGAGCTGTAAGGTTCGGAGGGGAGGAGGGGTGAAGGGGAATGGTAAGCAAGAGATTAAAGTTTAAAAAAATAATAAAGATACATTTACAGAATAAATTGGTGCCTTGAAATATGTTTCTGGGAACAAAATTTAAAGCATCCTACATTTTTAAAATATATGAAAATATGTGCTTCACTTGTTATCCATGGAAGAGATGACCAAAATACTATGAACTATAACTACAGTGTTATTGTTTATGTGGTGCACTGTTTCTATGATTTCACAGAAGGGCTGTGCATTCCCAGTTAGCATGTATCCAATCACATTTTAACTATGAAGAAAACTTTCTTGGCCAAAGATTGAATTCTTTGCAAGGTGGTGATTTGTATGGAAAAGAACCCCCAAATTGTACATCACTATGTGAGAAGAACAGTACAGATTTGTTTTTCTTAACTACCACAACACAAATAAGGAAATAAAGAGTTTAGTCATTTTACAGTATAATTTGGCTTTAAAAAAGCTTCAAAAATTAAAACTCTAAAGCATTTTGCATGTTGGGAAATGTAAGTTGCTAATGAACACTGCACCTCATCAGTTTCCTCTGCCAGTTGGCTTTCTGTCAGGTTGGCAACAACTCAAGAGCCAGACAGGAAAGTTCAGGCGTGTATCTTGGAAGAAAACAAAACAAAACAAAACAAAACAAAACAAAACAAAACGAACAGAAAAAAATAGAGAAAGGGGCTTCATTTTGTAAACACTTCAATGAAAATTAATACTCCACTTGGGACCAATTCAGTCCAGGTGCTAAAGACAGAATAAACAAGCAACACATGAAGGCCTAAAAAGTCAGGCTTCTGTGGGAATTATATTATTGTTTACATTTAAAACTAAATTTTAAAATATGAATCAATATCAGCATGGTTGCACACATACATTCTCCTTCTGGCTTTAAAAATGTTAATCTTCCATTCTCACATCATAAAATAATGTAAGTCAAAGCCTAGAGCCTGTTGCATCTCTTTCAATATTTTTTTGCTGCAATTTTAGGCTGAAATGGTTGTACCTAAATGTTTTTCCTCCCATTCAAGATCTTAATGAACCTCATTTTGAAATTAGAGGATCCTTTTTACATTCTGATTAAGGATAAATTTTCTTTTATGCAATAATGTCTCCTAGAATGTGGGACATAAATTCAGCACCAACATTGTCAACAACTTCCTTTCCAATGTTAGTTTTAATATTTTTATGTTGACAGTATATCCATGCCTTCTTTATTCTAGGCACTGGTGGCCTTAATACACCAACTGCAAAACACATGCAAAACAAAACCCCACCTGATACCTTCACCTGGAAAGCATATATGGGATCAGGCTTTCTATTTACCAAATACATATTAAAATACTAACAGTGGTTTTCTCTGGGTAGTGGGTTTATAAATTAGTTTACATTTTATTCTGTGTTTATTAAAGAGCAAAAGATCACACTGAAAATCCTGACTTCACCACTATACAATATATCCATGTAACAAAATTAGACTTGTGTCCCATAAATTTATAAAAATTTTTAAAAATAACTATAACATCTTTCAAGTATTCTAAAATAAAAAAGTATGACTTCTGTAATAAGGAAAAATCCAATTATAAATAATCCATCATAAAGGAAATTATAAACATAAAGAGAGATGTTTTTAAGACACTGTTTTTAGGTTTTTAAGACACTAGAGGAAATTCCATACAATTATTGTTAGGCATACAAAAAATCTTCAAGTAATTGTTTAGATGTCAGTGACATTTTCATCTCTTTATAAGTAAAATATCAAACTCACTGTGAGAGAAGACAAGATACCTCTATTTTTAAAATACAGAGATATAAACCTGGTTCTTTAATGAATGCTCTTATGGTAGACGTATCTAGTTTTTGTACATTGGTATCCCTTCCTTTGTGGAATCACTCCAACTGTCAATCTAAGTGGCAGTTGTGGGACTGCCAATTGCAGTGCTACCCCACTGACCATTTCTTCAAATCCCTTCCCCCATCTCCCCTCTCCCTCTACACACACACAGTTATGGCCACACGACTTTGGTTTGGCCAAAGGGTATCCCATCCCCCTGGCAAGTGACTGAAGGTCAGTCAGCTTCCTTTCCTGGGACTGATCTACAACCTCTGGAAGAAAAAACCCTCTTTTTTCGTGGGTTGCTATTCTAGAATGACATAAACCAAAAGTGGTTGGGGGTGATGAGGGGTTATACAGAGGCAGTTGTGATAGGAAAGGATGAGGTCGATAACTAAAAGGAAGAAAATGCATAGAACACTAACTAAAAATGCAGAGAATATAACTAAAAGGAAGAAGATGCAGAGAACACTGATCATGCTGTTGGGCGCCTGCCCCAACTCTCCTAAATATAGCTCTATCTCTGGCAAATATCTCTATCTACACGCAAATATAAAAGGCAAACACCAACCAGAAAAACATATTAGCAAAATATATGACTAAGAATTAATAACTGTAATGATCCAAGTGCTCTGATTTTAAATCATTAAGCATAAAATGAATGATTCAGCAGAAAAAAAGGAAAAAGGCAGTACCAACAAAATGAAATTTATATGTGGGCTCTACTTTGTTCTTTATGATTACAAATTTTTGACAATGAGAATTTATTACTGTAATAATAGATAAAAAAGCTTAAAGGCATTAAAATATAAAATTATATTTAAGAATGTTGCCTGGGATCAGTATGCAGGATGAATCGGTGGGTATGCAACGAGTCAGAGATGTCAGATAGAAGGCCATGGGCCAATGGGTATCTGAGATAAAGAGGCATCTTTAGAGAGATCTGAACAGTGTATCAAAGGAAATAGAAATGGGCTGCAGGGAGGTGCTGCCTACCATGGGGGCGAAGGTGAGTCAATGACTCCATTGCTTCCCTCCTGAGATAATGGTGTGACCCTGAAAAAGACAGATAGTACTGAGGAAGAGCTGATTTGGAAGTGGATGAGGGAGTATATTGATTCAGATAAAAATAAAAAGCATATGAAGCTAGAACCATAGAATGGCAGAGAAAGAAGAGATCTTAGATTTGTCTAAAACAAGATTCTCATTTTATGATGAGTATACTGAGTCTGCAGCAAGCTAAGTGACTTGCAGGTTACACAACTGTGGGCATACTTAGGAGTGAAAATTCGGCCTCCTCCCCGCTGTGCTCTTTTCCACCACATCACATGATCTCTCCAATTTGATCCATAGCTTTGTGTTCAAGAAAACTACTCTTGTGTTCCATGCATTCCATCTCTTCTCTTTCATGATTGAGAAATATGTATTGTATCTAATGTAGAGTTAACAAGAGTCAGTAATAGCTAATCTCTTAAACAATTCATTGAATAATTACAAACACAATTATTACTGCCAGCATTGTCATAAAAATTGGTGATATGGACAGTATGTGTCATGCATTTGTACACATATAAATATTAGTAGAAGAAGATTCATTCCAGTGTCTCAGATAAGAATAATCATTTTTGTGATGTGGCATGGAAAAATTAAGTACTGGAGAAAGTAATTTGTAGTGATCCTTTAATATGTTAGCAAATTACTTAACTAGTTAGCTACCTCAATAGGAAGCTCTAAGTATCTTTCTACATAGCTTGTGATATATTTTAAATATGTATTAAACATCTTAAACTTCACTGATACAGTGTTTAGTAATATGTGCTATGGGTAACTATTTTAATATGTTGGATAGTAAAACTAAATATAACGGTTCCAACATTTCTCCTGGGAGTGATTTTGGCAGACATATGTTCTTCGTCAGAGTTTCCAGCAGAAATCTTAGAAATCAAGAGAAAAAATAGACCCTATTATACCAAACAACGTTGCAAACCACAATAGAAAACAAGTATTTAAAGCTGTTTTTTGTTTTCTTTTGTTTTGTTTTGGCAGCCCTGAAATAACAAATCTGAAACACTAGAAATGAAGATGTATTCTGTAATGGAAAAGTCTAATGCTGGCATGGCACAATAAATGAGAATATTTAAATTAGAAACAAGAGATTAGTCAAAATCCTTTCTGAAATGAGTGTTCCCCCTACACCCTGAAGTTTTCCTTTAGCTGAGTGGGTGGATTTGACAGTCATTGTTTTGTACACTTTCACTTACTGTAATGAGTTAAAATTTTCATTCAAGTGTGGGTGACATGAAAGCTGGTGATGGACGTGTAGAATCAGTCTTCCAGTTGCCATAGCAACATCCTTGTCACCACCAAGCCAGCAGGTATGCTCAAGGTTTAAGGGACAATTTTTCAAGGAAAAGATTTTCAAAATCCTGAAAACTGTCTTTCAACTGGAATACTGTCCTGAGGAGCAGAAATATGCAGGTATACATATCCTGAAATTTGATGAATTACTGAGGAAAAACTGTGGGATGAGAGAAGAATGCAGAGGTGATAATAAGGGAAGCATAAGAGGAAAAATTCTTATTAGCTCCTTGTCTTTTACAATTCTCTGTTTGAGGCCGGGTGCGGTGGCTCATGCCTGTAATCCCAGCACTTTGGGAGGCCGAGGCGGGTGGATCACAAGGTCAGGAGATCGAGACCATCCTGGCTAACACAGTGAAACCCCGTCTCTACTAAAAATACAAGAAATTAGCCGGGCGTGGTGGCGGGTGCCTGTAGTCCCAGCTACTCGGGAGGCTGAAGCAGGAGAATGGCGTGAACCCGGGAGGCGGAGCTTGCAGTGAGCCCAGATCGCGCCACTGCACTCCAGCCTGGGCGACAGTGCAAGACTCCGTCTCAAAAAAAAAAAAAAAAAAAAAAATTCTCTGTTTGGAAGTACTTCATATGTTATAAAGAAGACTCACTTTCTACAAGGCTGGAGAAAATTACTTGGCTAAGTATGAAAAATGCTTTGTTTGAAAGACATAACTTCTCAAACATAATAAACAAAACGTCCATGCCTTGTGCTAATGGAGATGAAAGCTTTTATAATTAAGTGGTAGCCATGAAGAACAATAATAATTTTATATGGTCTACATTAGACCCAGACTTTTCCAAAGAAGAGAGATAACATAAACAAATCATTGCAAATAGATTTTTACTACTGGTTGTAGAATGTGGTCTTGTTTTACTATGGATAAGAATACATACATGGTTTCCTTTGGAAACTAGAGCTAAAGACATTAACATGAGCTGCCTTCCACAACCCAAGGAAAAACAAATCCTCAACTCCTTCCTCATTCACAGTTGATAAGACTCTGCTCTGTTAGATTTCTAGTGGGGAATGTAAGAGAACCCCAATTGAAAGCTCACTAGACTATGCCTACCTTCCCAATGTCTTTAAGAACACTGCTTTCCATTTGTCTGTCAATGAACATTTAGGTTGTTTCCATAGCTTGACAATTATGAATAGTGCTTCAGGGAATACCAGAATGCCAATATCTCTTTGAAAAAATGGACTATTCATTCAACCTTAAAAAAGAAGAAAATTCTGTAATATGTGACAACATGGATGAACCTTGAGGACATTACAGTAAGTGAAATATGCCAGTTACAGACGGGCACATACTGTGTGATTCCATTTATATGAGGTATAGGTAAATTCATAGAATCAAAGAGTGAAATGATGGTTACCCAGGGCTGGGGTGAGGGGAACTGGGGAGTTGCTTGCTAATCAATGGGCATAAAGTTTCAGGTATGTAAGGTGAAAGAGTAGAACTTATTCTACTTATTCTGCTGTGCAACATGGTGCCTATGGTTAACAATACCGTATTGTACACTTCAAAACTTAAGAGGGTAGATCTCATGTTAAGTGTTCTTATCACAATAAAATAAAATTTAAAAAAAAAACAGTGCTTTTTAAACCAGACCTGTCTTTCCTCATTTGTTATACATGGTTGAATTTAAACAAGGTAATGAACAGGTGAGAAAAATAGAGAAGAAAAAATTTAGAGAAGAACTAAAATCAAAATTTTTAAAAAGTTGATGATAATTTTTAAAAAGCGTGGTTCACTACAAAGGTAATTTATACATTTTATGCAAATAAATGTGAAGCTTTTGATTATTCCAATTCGAGTAACAGGAATCTCTATACCATTATTTTATGTCAAAGTTTTGGGAATTAAATAGCAAAGGAAGCACAGATATAGCTGTAGCTAGAAAACATACCATCTTGACAGAACATGAGGAGAGCCTCACACTTTTCCATAAAACTTACTTTTCACATTCTAGTTTCTTAAAGACCTAGAGCTCAATTAGTGCAATTCCTACCAATGCAGAAGGCCCAGTGTCAGTCAGTTCCTCATGCTGGGAAGCTCTTCTCATGGAGTAAATCAGACGTTCTAGCTGGCTTTAGTTTCCAGAGATGTCTGCCTTGTATTTAACCCAAAACTGCCTCTCAGCCTTTTCTGTTCAATAGACAGAGTTCTATGAGAAGCCTACTTCCACTTAAATGGTAACTTTATAGAATCTATTTGAAAAAAAAACCAAAAAACTATTCTACATCACTAGTAAACTTAAGCCAGATTAAAATGTAAACAAATGTAATTTTTTTTTTTAGTTAAAAGTAATCAAAAAAGGAGATCATTGGGTACTTTCCCTTGCTTTCTGATAAAAGTACAGGGCATCATTTTATCCATCTGGAGATCTTTTAGATTTCTAATAATTTCTAGAGTTAGAAATTCAAAAGCATTCCTCTGTAATCAATGCCTAAGGCGGGGGCTCTAGAATAAAGACTGGAAATTGTTAAGTCCACAAGCTGAATTCTGTCCCCCAATAAGATTTATTTGACTCATGTAATGTTTTGGAAAATAAACCAATTTCTTAAACTTTGGTGATTTCAAATTTTTAAAAATCCAGATTCCTGGTTTCTTGAGAGATGGCAATACCAGACTCATGCTTCCCTGGCAAAAATAAGAGGATCTCAGGCTAGGCGTGGTGGCTCACGCCTATAATCCCAGCACTTTGGGAGGCCGAGGTGGGCGGATCACAAGGTCAAGAGATCAGAGATCGAGACCATCCTGGCCAACATGGTGAAACCCCATCTCTACTAAAAATATGAAAAATTAGCTGGGCATGGTGGTACGTGCCTGTAGTCTCAGCTACTCGGGAGGCTGAGGCAGGAGAATCGCTGGAATCCAGGAGGCAGAGGTTGCAGTGAGCCAAGATTGTACCACTGCACTCCAGCCTGGCAACAGAGCGAGACTCCATCTCAAAAAAAAAAAGAGGATCTCCAGTTTGACACAGTCTCCACCACTCCCTATTGTCCCTTTTAGTAAGACTATACATCCCTGCCATTTATCATTGCATTTTCACTGTTGTTTCCCCAAAACCTAACCTACTTTACTTATTTATATTTCTTGCTAGCCTCTGTAAATACCTGAGTTTGAGATTCCTGTGCTAACCCATGATTTCAACCATTTTTAAAGTATGAAGACACAATATAATTATGCTTTTGATACCTGTTAATTGAAAAATGGGAAAAAATTATGCAACTTCAGCACTGTCTTTAAATAAATTTATCTTTTATAAATCACAACTGTATCTACAAATATTTGTATATTTATATGTGAGAGTAATATTTAGTTCATGGATGATACATAAAGCACACATGAATCAGTAAACCTTTGCACTAAGTCTTAGGTTTTCCCAGGGATCCGTAAGCCAAAGGTTGGGAATCACTGGTCTAGTAAAAGGAATTCTGGACTGGGAATTGGGAGACACAAACCTTAGTCCTATCCCCTCATTGAACAGGCTATGATTGGTGATTTGAGGCAAGTCAAATAACCTTTTGTGGCCTCAATTAACCTTGTTGTCCTCATGAGCAGAGCGAATAGACTAGATAATTGTTGAGAACATTTCCATCAATAAAACACAATAATATTATGCCTTATGACTCCTTTTACCTACCATAAAAACCCAGACATCCACAAAACTCCCAAAAAGTATACTTTGATGGATTAAAGGAAAGAATTGTCATGGAAAACCTGAAAACACAATGAAAACTAACTCTACCATTTCCAGATTTAGACACAATACCATATTGTCTGTCCCAAACCATGTTTGAAAAACTAGTAGTGTATCTGCAAATAAATTCTCCCAAAGAGAAGTTCATATTACAGATACATTTCACTTGAATTCAGATATTTGGGCTACATTTATTAGACATGCAAGTTTATGGAAATCAGCACACAACTACTAAGAGTCAGAGTCAAAACCAGAACCCAGATCCACTTGACTCCGAATCCTGTGCTCAGAGCCTCTACATTCTATTACCACTGTCCCAGGGTTTCAATGCTTAGAGAGCTTAGACTAATGCTAGGTACATAAATGTGGTCAATAAATATTGATAATCTGAGAATGTTTATGATATAAGTCCAGCACAGAATAGATCATTATTTCAGTATACACTGTAAAAAATTTTAATATTATAACTGTAATATTAAAACACTGGGCATCACTCCAACTCACAGTATCTTGCCTTAGAATTTCCTCTGTTAGAGAAGTCTGTAATTGTAGCAAATACAAGTTTCCTACCTAATGTACATTTTCACTTTCTATCTTCTAACAGAATCCTTACTTTGTTTATGACAAATATACACCCAGTTACAATATACACTCATCAGATTCTCTTGCAGTCAGAGGTTGCCATGAAACCGAGATCTAGCCAAGGATGCAAGTCTTCTGAGTGGGGCTTTCAAGAAAGCTGTTGTTTTCCTAATAAAAAAGGACAGATTTGGCCAGTATATGCCTTTTACCTTCATCCTTCCTCACTTCTTTCCCAAAGCATGGACACTTCTCCCTGGAGGGGAAGCATCCAGCGCATGACCATGATGATAAAAACCACACCTAGGACAGTGAAGGAGGAAGTCAGAAAGAGCATGAATTCTGTCTGGACTTCTTGCTTAGAAAAACAAACCCCAGTTGTTATGCTAATATGGTAAATTTTTCATTGTATACAACTGGGTATCCTAATGCATATAAAGCTATAGTAATTGATAGTCCCAAATTATCAACAGTAAAATAAGAGTTTGATAAATGTAAATTACAGTTCTTAGGGTATTATCATGCCTCTATCATGAACCACTGCATAGATACTTTGAGTTATTCATTCTCTAGCTTTACACTAAGCCTAAACAGATCTAGCCCTTGTTGACCTGGACTTTAAAGATACTATAGAAATACAGGGAAAATCAATGAGTAATAATGTGAGTAAATCAATGAGTAATAACAAAACATGTTTAGCAAGACAAATTTTTCCAAAGTAGTTTTTTGTGTCAAAAAGTAATATTAAAGTCTTGTTTTCCTTTGTTTCCTGATTCAGAGCCATCTGACCAATATACCCTAAAGCATTGGTTTGCTCCTAATAGGTCAGAGGTGTGCCAAGCTGCTGCTTCACCTCAGTCCACAGGTCAACTGGGTAGGACCTAGACTGGCCAGAGCCCCCAGGGCTGGTTGCCTTTGTTCATAAGAGTCTCGTCCACTTACCTCAATCTACTATGCAAACATTCTCATTGTCTATGCACATGATGAGAAAAGGGTGGGGAAGCACTACCCTATATGACAGCTAGATGCTATCAAAATCATAATGGTGGTGGGAGAAAAATAGCCTATTTATAATACTAGATGGACCAAACATTAGTTAACACACATAACATCATTTTATTCTCAGCAAAATCAAGAATGGTCAGTAGGGCAGTTACGTTTATATCAAGGTTCAAGGATGGATGATTTGCCCACTAACACTCACTGCTGAAAGACAGCAGAGCCCAGACTTTTAAATCAAGAATTTCTACATCCAAACACTATGCTTTTTTTGATATACCTCTCTATATGATGACATTCCAAGTTTACACAGATCTTTAAAAATAGTGTTTTGATTTCGTTCTCTGAAGAAAATTCAAATGGTTTTCTTTGTTTTCTCTTGTGACTGCCATGCAAACACTAACGTATGTTGAAACTGATACTCTCTTAGAACTTAGCATGACTGAGAAAGCATAACACTAATCAACATACTTGGCTGTACCAATTTTCTTTTTACAGCTCCCTACCATTGAAAAGCAGAGAGCCAACCCTTGACATTTTGTGTGAGTAGAAAAGTGAATTTTTGCCCACCACGCTAGAAATCTCCTCAAAAGTATCTATGAAAAAGTGAACAGAATAAAAGTAAAAGAGTATGCTGCCATTGAGTATGCTTAAATTTTTGTTTTGTTTTGCTTCATTTTGTCAGAGATTTGTATTGCCTTTCCATACAAGGGAAGAATATACAGAAATTAAAGAAACTGTCAAAAGTAAACTACATATTTAACAGATGAAAGAAAATCCCTCTCCCCCTCCCCCTCCCCCTCCCTCTCGTCTCCGTCTCCCCTTTGCACGGTCTCCCTCTGATGCCCAGCCGAGGCTGGACTGTACTGCCGCCATCTCGGCTCACTGCAACCTCCCTGCCTGATTCTCCTGCCTCAGCCTGCCAAGTGCCTGGGATTGCAGGTGCGCGCCGCCACGCGTGACTGGTTTTTGTATTTTTTGGGAAGACGGGGTTTCGCCATGTTGGCTGGCCTGGTCTCCAGCTCCTGACCGCAAGTGATCTGCCAGCCTCGGCCTCCCGAGGTGCCGGGATTGCAGACGGAGTCTCGCTCACTCAGTGCTCAATGTTGCCCAGGCTGGAGTGCAGTGGTGTGATCTCAGCTGGCTACAACCTCCACCTCCCAGCCGCCTGCCTTGGCCTCCCAAAGTGCCGAGATTGCAACCTCTGCCCGGCCGCCACCCCGCCCCACAAGAAGTGAGGAGCGTCTCTGCCCGGCCGCCCATCGTCTGGGATGTGAGGAGCCCCTCTGCCCAGCCGCCCAGTCTGGGAAGTGAGGAGCGCCTCTTCCCGGCTGCCGGCCGTCATCCTGTCTAGGAAGTGAGGAGTGTCTCTGCCCCGCCGCCACCCCGTCTGGGAGGTGAGGAGCGTCTCTGACCGGCCGCCCAGTCTGAGAAGTGAGGAGCCCCTCTGCCCGGCAGCTGCCCCGTCTGGGAAGTGAGGAGCCCCTCCGCCCGGCAGCCGCCCCGTCCGGGAGGTGGGGGGCAGCCCCCGCCCGGCTGCTGCCCCGTCTGGGAGGTGGGGGGCGCCTCTGCCCGGCCGCCCCATCTGGGAAGTGAGGAGCCCCTCTGCCCGGCCGCCACCCCATCTGGGAGGTGTACCCAACAGCTCATTGAGAACAGGCCATGATGACGATGGTGGTTTTGTCGAATAGAAAGGGGGGATGTGTGGGGAAAAGAAAGAGAGATCGGATTGTTACTGTGTCTGTCTGGAAAGAATTAGACATAGGAGATTCCATTTTGTTCTATACTAAGAAAAATTCTTCTGCCTTGGGATGCTGTTAATCTATAACCTTGCCCCCAACCCCCTGCTCTCTGAAACATGTGCTGTGTCCACTCAGGGTTAAATGGATTAAGGGCGGTGCAAGATGTGCTTTGTTAAACAGATGCTTGAAGGCAGCATGCTCGTTAAGAGTCATCACCACTCCCTAATCTCAAGTACCCAGGGACACAAACACTGCGGAAGGCGGCAGGGCCCTCTGCCTAGGAAAACCAGAGACCTTTGTTCACATGTTTATCTGCTGACCTTCCCTCCACTATTGTCCTATGACCCTGCCAAATCCCCCTCTCCGAGAAACACCCAAGAATGATCAATAAATACTAAAAAAATAAAAAAAAAGAACAAAAAGAAAAAGGGATATCATTTAAACACAGTATGTAGAAAAGAATAATTATTGAATCTGTACTGGTCTTTAACTTTTACACTTTGATCTTTAATTCTGTTATTGTGATTGAGTCCAAAGAAAAATAGTATGAGTAAAATAAAAAGAACACCAAAAATGCTAATATATATATATATATATATAAATTTTAATCCACAGGGCAATCACCGTCAAGAGATATTATTGAAATAAAATTTAAGTTTCCTAGCCTTGTTTTAGAAAGCTGGGCAACCAATAGATTTCAATGGCTTGAAGTGATACTTTAATTTCTTTATAACAATGCAGAAACTAAAGAGGATGCATTCATAAAAATAGGGAGGTATGGCAGGATCTATAAGTAGCTAATACAGACAGATTAATAAGCATAGGCAATATCTAACATATTAACCAGAATATTAATTCTCTGTTCAGAATACAAGAACATAATGGGATGGTTGAGCATGCACGGCATAAAACGATATATGTAAGCAAACATGAGTTACAGAATATAATACATGAAATGGTTACCACAGGTGAGGTTGTGGCAGGTTTAGAATATCATGTTTAAAGACATGGGCTACAGATCCACAATACCTGGGCTCAATTCCAGGCTCTACTGTTTATCAGTTGGGTGATGTTAGCACACTTAAATTTTTAGTATACAAAAATGGTTACTTTCTTGATCCTATCAACAGTTAAGATGGTAATGGAGGGTAGCCAATCATATACCCAAAAGATACAGTCCTGAACTCCCTAATCCTTAATGTTGAAATCCTAAAAGATCAGAAGCCCTAAAGCTGAAATCCTAAACATTGTAATCCTAAAAGTATAATTCTGGAAAAAAAATTTTTTAATCTTTAAAGATATTTACATTTTTAAAAGGTGATTTATTTGATAAACAACATGACAGAACATTCCATAAGCCACTTTACACAAAAAAACAGCCAATGATAATCTATATTTTTGTAAGCATAAACACTCAGGTATACTAATGACAGTCACAGAGGTATAACAGTTAAGATGAGAGGAAATATATTTATAGAGAAATAGGGTCAAAAAGGGAAATGTATACATATATCTCTCTAATTGGTAATTGTGTGCACCCAGCTTTACGTAACTGCAATCATCTGAATTACTATGATGAACAACCTCTTGTCTTTTGACAAGATTGATCAAAAACCAAAATGGCTGAGACAGGAAAAAAACAAAACAAAACACACAACGAGTCACTACCCACAAGAGCCAAGATTTTGAGAAATTTTGTCTTTCACAAGTGCAGATGTATGAAAAGGACACCTCTTCATTTACTGAGGAAGTTTCAATGCTTTTATATACATGTACAATGCTTACACACAAAGTCAATGTTGTGATAATGTACATTTGTGGAGTCAAATTTGAAAAAAAAAAAAACATTAAATCAGTTAGAACTCTTTGAAAGTCTACACATTTTATACCTCCAATTTATACTGGATGTTGGTAACATGGCTCAGGCTGAAGAAGCCTCAGGATTCTGGGGATCAGTGATGTAAGTTCTGGAGTCTAAAGTCCAGCAAGCCTGGAGTTCTGATGTCTAAGGCAGCAAAAGAAAAGTCTGTCCCAGCTCTCAGAGAAAGACCAATTTGCTTTCTGTATTATTATAGTTCTATCCCGGCCCCAGCTGTTTGGATGCTGCCCACCAACACCGAGGGTTGATCTTCCCCACCAAATCCACTCAGGCTCACACACTCATTTCCTCTGGAAACACCTTCACAGACACACCCAAAATAATGTCTTACCAGATTTCTAGGTATTCTTTAATACAGTCAAGTTGACAAGTAAAATTAAGTCCACAAGTCCACCCCTTGTCAACTTGACAACCATGCACATCTTCTTAAACCATACTTAATTTCCAAATAAAGACAATAACAAGAAAATGGTTCCACCAAACATGATTCAACTACCCTGTGTTTGTGATTTTCAGGATTTTAGATGTTAGGAACTTAGGCTTTAGGGATTTTGATCTTTCAGATATCAACACTTGGAGCTGGTGTTCAGAAATGTGTCTTTTAAGATTATCCAAACCTATAAAACTAAAGCACTATATAAAAAGTAGAATTGTTATTCAATTGTTAATCGATTCCCTATTTTCAATAATTCTTTTTAACCAAATTTTCATCAACCACAAAATGTGCATAAGGCATACAATAAATTTTGCCACTCAGTAACAAGAAAGCCAAAACTGTACATCGGAATAACATGAGTGCAAACCTTACGCCAACTTTCCAACAGCAAACTGTAGGCAAGTTCACTGTAAAAGCCAGGCTAACCTAGTTCCAGCACACACAAAGCACATTTGGAAGGCAATTCAGTTTTCCAATATATACTGGGATATCCTTTCCTATTCTACAAGACCGAGTCAGAATCACCACTGCCCCAATACTATGTTTTTTATCCTGAGATGTAAATCAATAATCATTTCAGCAGCTAAGTGAAAACACAAATGCTTCTTTTCAGTACATTTTTGATTTCTCAACATACTTAGTAAGAGGTATGTCTATACTGGCCAAGTAAGTCTATCTTCAGAAATAAAGTCCTATTGGTCTTCACAAAGGCTGAAAAAATGTGTGTGTGTGTTCCAGTGGTAAGTTTGAATATGTCAAATTTATTTGACATCTTCTTTACCCTGTTTAAAGTGTATATCCAAAGTTAATCTAAGCTGTAGTGTGTACTTAGTATTATAAGATGTCTCTAAAACTTAAAAATATGCTAAAATTTCCACAAATTCTTAATTTTTAATCTTTAATTTCTGAGTATACAAATTTTCCTAATATTAGTACAAATGCACAGAAGTATTTTAAAAGCAAGAACATGCAATATCCTAAGCAACCATAAATAGAGAAACTAATTAAAAAATGAAGTGCTGGGCCAATGAACACCTTGAGTGAATATCAAATGAATATTCTTACAGCATGATTTCAGTTCCAAAAGTACCATAGCAACATATAAATGTTTAAAAAAGCTATCCAAATAACCTAGGTTAAAACATGTCATCTTGTTATCTGTTTCCAAAATTATGCTTCTTAGGAATAACTTTTAATTAAATTCTCCTAGCATTCAAACCTACTTTGAATCCCAGCACTCTTCCAAGCACTGTATAAATCATATTAAAACTTTCTAAGTTGATATTTATTGATGGCCAAACACATGCAATCACATATAGTGTTATACTTAATGAAATGGCTTTAAGTTTTTCTTAAATGGATTTTAAGTTGGCAAATAGGTTTTATACTAAGCAAGAAAATGTTTCATTTCTGTGGAAACTTCATTCAATTCCCATCTTGACAGGGTTTCATTTTCTATAAGCAACCATAAGAAAGGTCAACAGTGGGCACAAAGTAAAGTTCACATGCATGAGAGACTAAGGTTTACAGCTGCACATTCTGCTCCCGGGAAGTCTGGACACTTCTCCCAGAGAGGCCCAACAGAGGACAAGAGGAAAAGATGGAGGATATATAAGCGGCCTCAGCTGCAACTTCCTGAATGAAGAAGTCTTCATACACCTAAACATACACACACACACACACACACACACACACACACCAGCAAATGAATAGAAATGTGGTACATTTTTAAAGTACTCACATTTCACATAGAACTTTTAATAACTTCTTACTTTCAGATAGACACAGGCTCAATCCATACGCATGGAAATTAGCTTTACACAAAATATAAATAATGAATTTGATACAAAATAACATGAATGCCTTCATGAGTTATATTGCAGTTATTATTGGAAGTGAAGGTAGTTAGATTTTATGATGTTTAATCATATTTCCCTAAAATTAGCAGAACCTACTTTACTGGGATGTTTAGGTATTATTCTGGATAATACCAATTAATTCAAATTCAAAATAAAATAAGAAAAGTCAAAATATAAGGCTGGGCATGGTGGTTGACAGTTGTAATCTCAGCACTTTGGGAGGCCAAGCAGAGAGGATCGCTTGAGCCCAGGAGTTTGAGATCAGCCTGGGCAACACAGTGAGGCCCCATCTCTATTTAATTAAAAAAAAAATACACACACATATGTAATATATGTGTGTATATATGTGTGTGTATATGTAAGTATATATGTTATATATACACACGTGTGTGTGCATGTGTATATATACATATACATGTATATATATGGACTTATATATGATATATATTATATGTACACATACAGATATATATACTGGACATATAGATACAGGTGTGTATATATATACACACACAGGTATATATACATTGGAAATTGGAATATATATATTTTTTATATATAATATATATATAATATATAAAAACACTACTGAAAATGGCAATTTCCAATCCTATAATATTGTGTAACATCTCAAAGAAACAGTTTTTAAAGTTTGAAATGACAATCTCACAGAGAATATATCAATAGGAAACTCTTTGAATAGGATGTACTACATTTTATTTTTCCTTACAGATAATACTCTCTGTATTTTGCTATTTTAACAAGGTCTAGGCTCTAAGGAATATTAATTAGACAAGCAATTAGAAGAGAGGCCATGTCACTACCATGCCATTGCAGAAAAATACTGCAGTGGAAACCTCTAATCCTATAGGCCAGGGGTCGCCAACCCTGGGCTGCAGACAGGTACCCGTCCATGGCCTGTTAGGAACCGGGCACAGCAGGAGGTGTGCAGTGGGCAAGCAAGCATTACTGCCTGAGCTCCGCCTTCTGTCAGATCAGCGGCAGCATTCGATTCTCATAGGAGTGTGAACCCTACTGTGAAGTGCACATATGAGGGATCTAGGTTGCATGCCCCTTATGAGACTCTAACTAATGCCTGATGATGTGAGGTGGAACGGTTTCATCATGAAACCATGCACCTCCATCCCTGTCCCCTGATGGCTGCCCTTGGTGCCAAAAATGTTGGGGACTGTTGCTATAGGCTGGCTAGCATTCATCAGGCCTCATGAAATTCCAAACAACTCCAGTGAAGATGGTTACCTCCTCTTCCCAAAACAGTATTTATTTTGAAACCTGTTTCGTGTATCAGTGATGTTTGTGTCCTGTATCTTTGTTAGACACTCACCCGTAATTTTTTGCAGCAAAGGTGACAATCCAGATTCCTCACAGAAGACCTGAGCCAATGCTTTCTTGACTTTTTCTTCTGCTTCACACAGGTCTTTGTCTACCGTGAGCTCTCCAGTGACAGAATAAATATATATGAGAAGGATCAGCAGTTCCTCAGGGCTGTAGTCCTCGTTGGTTCTCTGGGTTACAGGCTTAATCATGGGCAGCAGCTGATTTAACACAACGGACATTGCTGACTCCCCAATGCTCTAAAATAAAAAATGATATGAAAATATGTCAATCTTGTATAAAGACATAATTTATGGATTACATTAGTCGAATGATAGCTTTCAAACAAGTCTGTATATGATATTTACTGACTGCATCACTTTTTATTTGTGTGTTTCTTGTCCTGGAGAGAATACTACAAGAAGTTTGGCATCAGAGTTTTTGTTTTGAAAGTCCTAATTTATAAAATGGCCAGTCAAGTTGTAGGTTCCATTATATCATCTTAACATTGCTTAAACAAATAGGAGTCCATTAATTTTAAAGAAAAAAAAGTAAGTACTTCAGATGAAATTTTAAAGAAAAATAGTATATTTGTAAGATAATATTATTTAACAAAAAAACAAAAATGGCAGCATCTATATATCCAAATGAATGCTGACACTACTTCAGAGGAATCACCTCGGATTTTCCAGCATATTCTTTATAATAGTTTCTATATCAGCAAATATTAGCCAGAATACTTTTTAAAACAACAAAAAGTCACTTTCTGCTAAATCTGATGAATAAAATACAGAATCACACAGGGTAATGGTCACTTAGGGTTCAAAATTTCTTTGAGTGAGTCAGTAGATAACTCGCATTAAATTTAAAAAAATTGCCTTTATATCTTCCACAACTTCTCGAGTGATATTTAGCAGAGGATTTCAAAATTCTTTGAATGTGATAATAGCACTGTATTACTGGAGTAACTGTGTAAGTTCCCAGAAACTGTACCTATTTCTATCATAAATTCTGAGATTTTTGGTGGATACAGAAATCCTCATCTTAAATAATATGATTTAACTCCTCTTAAAATATAAAATAATCCTGTAAGATAAAACTCTACACTTTGTATTTATATTCAATACAAATTGAATATCATATTCAAATCAGGGGCCAAATTAATACAACTTGCAACTTACATTATTCATTCAGAAGCATTCATTGAGCACCTACTATGTTCTAGGCACTAGTCTAGGTATACAGCAGTGCACAAAACAAATTCCCTGCTTTCATAGAGTTTACATTCTAGTTAGAGAAAACAATTAAAAAGCAAAAGAAGTAAAACATAAACAGCAGCCCACCCTTATCCATGGTTTTGCTTTCCATGGTTTCACTTACCTGTGGTCCAAAAATATTACATACAATAAGATATTTTGAGACAGAGATAGAGAGAGACCCCATTCCTAAAACTTTTAGTATAGTATATTATTATAACTGTTCTAATTTTTATTAGTTATTGTTAATCTCTTACTGTGCCTAATTTACAAATTAAACTTTATCATAGGTATGTATAGAAAAAAACACAGTATATACAGGATTCAGGACTATGGATAGTTTCAGGAATCTACTGGCAGTCTTGTGTCTTGGAAAATATCCCATGCAGATAAGCAGGGACTAGTGTAGTATATTAGAGTAGTAAGTGCTATAAACAAAAATAAAGCGGGAAAGGAAACAACATCTTAAGATGTGTGTCTGTGTGTATGAATATGCACACATAGTTTGGGGCTGCAGTGAGCTATGATTGTGCCAGTGCACTCTAGCCTGCACAACAGAGCAAGATACTGTCTCTAAAAAAATTTTTTTTAATGCTCAAAGAAGAAAAGCTTTATTGTGGATACAGTTTACATAGGAAAAGTCACGTTAAAAGGAAATATTAGAATAAAGAAATACCAATAGAAACTCTTCCTCTTTTTGAAGAGAAAGTTAACAGCAAACATGTTGCTCAATGTTGTTCTGTGCTGAAATGATTACCAAAATGAGCTTTTCCAGTCAAGCCATTTCCACACCTGGAAAAATTTGGATAGATCATCTCAAGGTTAAGGTTCACGATTATATTTTATACACAAAAAACAGCTGTTACCATTTATTTCCACTAAAAATCTTGGATGTTCACAATGTACCATAGAAAAATAAAATGTTCAGTCCTTGGAATGGACGAGGTAAAAATGGAAAAGAACGCAACAGAGATTTTACTGTCACATGGTGACAAGACACAATTTACCAAGTGTAAACACACACATGCTTCCAAAGGACCAGGGGGCCGAAAGTTTTGAAGACACCCTAGGGCTGCCCTGTAGCTTCAGGAGTCTCTCTAGAGCAGGGGTGTCCAATCTTTTGGCTTCCCTAGGCCACATTAGAAGAAGAACTGTCTTGAGCCACACATAAAATATACTACCACTAATGACAGATGATGAGTTTTTTAAAAATTGCAAAAGAATCTCATGATGTTTTAAGAAAGTTTATGAATTCCTGTTGGGCTGCTGCATTCAAAGCCATCCTGGGCCACATGCAGCCCATGGATCATGGGTTGGGCAAACTTGCTCTAGAGGAACTCTCAAGTGTTTCTTTGCTTTATAAGCTGCCAAAAGTAATTTAAAAGAAAAGAGTCCTGTGGTTGGCCTGTTAAAGAAAGGTCATGAAGGCTGCAGCTTTCATTTTGGCTGTTTACTCTACCACTAACTCCTTAGATGACAATAAACAGATTCTTTCATTGCTTTATGTCCCATTTCTAGAAACTATGTGTATACATAAAGCATCTATCCTACAGGGGCCCTCTGGGTCTCCCCCCAGAGCAAAATGATTTTTTAAAATATAGTTATAAAAAGTTTATATAGTTATAAAACAGAATAGAATCATCATCATGATCATTTGTAAAGATTCATTCACTAACATCTGGCCTTCAGAGCTTCATTTTCAAGTCATTGGTCTAAGATACGTGCAAGAGAATAAAATCTCTCACTAGTGATACCCTATCAGTATTCTGTTGTACATGCCAATTTCTAAACTTACATTCTAAATCTGTTTAATGCATCCCACGAAGCCTATAACTGATCTGAATACAAAGTCAGGAATATTGACCAGTCTTAAAGAGCCATCAGAGATGGTGGAATAAACAGACTCTATTTCAAAAAAGCTAGATTCCAACCCCGATTGTTCCTCTAACTCCTTAACTTCTCAGGATCTCTTCTTTCTAAAATGACATGATCTGACCAGAGGATGGCTGGGCAATAAGTCATGTTATGCCCAGGTCTCCATTTTCACTTTCTCCCCCTTTTCTTTTTTTAAAAACTTTACCATTGTTGTGAGGGCAGCAATTCATACTCTTATTGCTGGCTACTTAGCAAAACATAAATGCTCAAAAAAGGCCAGGTGTGGTGGCTCATGCCTGTAATTCCAGTACTTTGGGAGGCCAATAGGAGAGGATCACTTGAGGCCAGGAGTTTGAGAAGAGCCTGGGCAACATAGCGAGACTCCTGTCTCTACATAAAACAAAAAACTAGCTGAGCATGGTGGCATGTGCCTGTAGCCCCAGCTACTCAAGAGGCTAAGGCAGAAGGATCGCTTGAACCCAGAAGTTTGGGGCTGCAGTGAGCTATGATTGTGCCAGTGCAACAGAGCAAGACCCTGTCTCTAAAAAAATTTTTTTTTAATGCTCAAAGAAGAAAAGCTTTATTGTGGATACAGATGGACAAATCCAGAAATAACTGTAGACATGCATGTAACATGGGCTGGCATGGATACATGTATTTCCTACTCTGTCCACTGGGAAGTAGTGCTGACACAGTAGCAATGATGACAGCCAGTGGCCAGATCTTAGTTTCTAATATCATTCTCCAATAAAAGGAAACAGGAATCCTCAGAGAAGTGATTCTAGGGATGGGGAAAGGAAAATTCAAGATGAGTCTGCAAAGTCTTTTTTAAAAGTAAGAAAGTGCTAACAAACCAAAATGATAAGCACAAGTCAAAAGGACACACAAGCCAAATGTAAGACTTCCCAGTGACCAAAGCTGGAACAACATGAAACCCAAAATAAATAAAGTAGTATTTGATTTTAACCCAAAGTATACAATAAATATATGTCAGTCCATATTGATATAAATGAGTGGTTGGATTAATAAATATAAATGTAGAGGAAGAGACAAATCTTCCTTAAGGAATTCCAAGTAACCTATGTAGATACTTTTACCTTCAGGAGGTAGCACTTAATTCTCCCTATCCCTTGAATATGGGCTGCATTTAGTGACTTGCTTCTAAAAGTAGAATATTTTTAGAAGGGAAAATGAAGGTGTATCTTTACCTTAGCATAACCAGTGATAAAACATATTGATATCATGTCCCTAAGATGATGCCATCTTCCCTCATGTGATTTGATGAGAATGGTGCTTCACCTTTCCAGTATCTTCCCCAGAACCCATAACCCTAGTCTAACCATGACAAAAACATCAGAAAAATCCCAACTGAGCAACATTCTACAAAATGCCTGGCCAGTACTCCAAATTATGAAGATCGTGAACAATCAGGAAAGACCCAAAATCTATCACACGCCAGTTGAAACTAAAAAAATAACCTAACTACTAAATGTAATTGTAGTATCCTGGATGGCCTCTTGGAATAGTAAAAGGACTTTAGGGGAAAATTAATGAAATCTGAATGAAGTCTGGAGTTTATAGTTAATGTACCCATGTTAGTTTATTATATTTGATAAATGCACCACAGTAGTATAAGATTCTAACAATAAAGAGTATACAGAAACTCTCTGTACTATCTTGGGAACTTTTCTGTACATCTAAAGCTATTCTAAAATAAAATGCTTAGGGAAGGTAAAGGAGGGAGAAGGAAGGGGAAAAGAAGAAAGTAAGGGGAAGGGAGGGCAAGGATGAGAAATAAAGACTTCGTGGTCAGGAAGAACTCCTCACAACCAGAGCCATCAGCCAAGATAAGGGACTGACCCAGGAAGCAGTAAAGTCTCCATCAGTGGCAAAGAGAGGCAGGGTGGTCATCTGCCCAAGATGAAGCAAGGAGAACCCTGTGCCACTTTGGCTTGGAAGGTAAACTAGACTAGACCCTCCTAGTGCTATCCATAAAAGCATGGTTCCAAACTGAATGTTTATACATTTTCTGCTCTTCTCTATTCTTAGAATGGAACCTTGACAATAACGAAGAAAAAAAATCCGTGACTCCATAGATTGAAAATGTTTTAAAGGCAGAAGATAGAATCTCAAGAGGATTAATAATAAGGATGTGGGAATAAGATAATATGCTTGGGTTTCAATCCAGGCTGTACCAATTACTAGCTGTATGACCTTGGGCAAATTATTTACCTTCTCCAAGTCTCAATTTCCTCATCTGTAAAATGGAAACAATACCATAAATGCCTGAATATTAGACAATCCTATATCACAGCCATCTGTGTGCATAACATTGGGACAATTGCTTAAACTACTTTGTGGTTTCAAATGACGTAATCCCCATAACAGGATAGTCTTTGTAAAGACTCAAATATAAGATGATGCCCTATTTTCTGAGGGCTAATTTGGGGAAAGTACTTTACCTGATTTAGGAATATATAATCATAGCTTTTGCTTTATCAGGTTGTTCTGAAGTTGTAACGTCAGAAGTGAATTACACAACCAGTAAATATAAAATATTACTACCACGACTCCCACCTGCTACCCCACAGGCTCCTTTCTTAGAACTGATTAAGATGGTTGGAAAGAGAATTAGACCTTCTAAGAAGAGGAAGTTAGTAGTCTCAAAGGAGGGAGGGGCAGCCTACAAATACTGGGTTTGAAATCACATCTTGGAACTTAACTACAACAGTCAGTGAAAGGTCAAAGGCAATATAAACATTATTAAACACTGCCATTTAAAAAGGACATGCACAGCAAACCAAATCTGAGACCAAAAGAAAAAAGGTTTCCTTACAAAGTACTGAGATTAAGTTTCTCATTTGTTTTGATATAAATGGGCTTACTAGCAGGAGGTAGAAGACTGAAGCTGTGTCTAGAGTGACAAAACCTTTTGTTTATCTGAAGTCTGGGGCTCCTGTTATTCTTGAATGAGTCCTCAGTCACTATGCGCAAAAGGCCCTCTGTAAAATATGTGTTTTTTTTAGAAAGCTGACCTTTTTAGTTCAATTAAAATGCCACTGCAAAGTCAGAGTTTGTCTCTGTACTGGCTACCTTGGCAGGCATGAGGAGCAAACAGGCTTTATTCCACGTGGCTGCAGAGCAGGCCAGGCTGGCTGTACACCTGCCCTTCTATGGTGCACAGCCTGAAAACACTCAGTAAAACTCCACATCATGCTAAGCTTCTGCTGGAGAACCCATCTCTGCAACTCATCGTGTTAGTCCATTTGTGTTGCTATGAAGGAATACCTGAGGCTTGGTACTTTACGAGGAAAAGAGATTTATTTGGCTCACAGTTCTGCAGGTTGTACAAGCATGGTATTAGCATCTCTTGGCTTCTGGTAAGGCCCCAGGAATCTTCAATCACAAAGGAAGGCAAAGGGGGTGCTCAGCACATCACATGATAAGAGAGAGCAAGAGAGAAGTGGGGAGGTACCACACTCTTTTAAACAACAAGATCTTTTATGAACTCAAAGCAAGAACTCACTTGTTACGATGAAGAGGGCACCAAGCTATTAATGAGGGATCTACCCCCATAACCCAAACATCTCCCACCAGGCCCCACCTCCAACACTGGGGATCACATTTCAGTCGTTTTGTATTATTATTTTTGACAAACCAGACTTTACTAAAATTTCTGTTCATCTGATGTAATTAACAAGGCAGTAAAAGGTAAATCCAGTCTCCTATATAAACAAAACACTTCAAAGAATCAGTACAAAGTATACCAAAGCTTGAGACTTCATGAAAGAGGATATCCAAATACCATTAGGCACATATACATGTACTCAGCATCATTAATCAACAGGAAAATGCAAGCTAAATTCACAGTAAATCCGTATCATACTAACTGGAATGGCTAAGTGAAAAAAAAAAATTAAAAAAAGAACCTTCCAATATCAAATGTAGGCAAGGATGTGGAGCCACTAAACGTCTCATACATTGCTACAAGGAGTGAATATTAACATAAACACTATTAAAACCTGTTTTGTGACATCCACTAAAGCTGAACACAAGAATTTCTGATGAAGCAAAAACTTCATTCTTAGGTATAGGGGTTTCAATATGAGATTTGGAGGGGGCAAATATCCAAATATCATTCCATCCATGGCCTCCTCAAATCTCATGTCCTCGCAATAAAAAATACAGTCATCCCCTCCCAATAGTCCAAGGTCTTGACTCATTCCAGAATCAGCTCAAAAGTCCAAAGTCTCATCATAGACTCAAAGTAAGTTCCTTTCACTTATAAGCCTGAAAAATCAAATAAAGCTATTTACTTCCAAGATACAATGGTGGTATAGAAATTGGGTAGATGTTCCCATTCCAAAAAGGAGGAATCAGCCAAAAGAACGGGGCAACAGACCCTACACAAGTCTAAAACCCAGCAGGGCAGACATTAAACCTTAATGCTCCAAAAAAAAATCTTTGACTCTATGTCTCACATCCTGGGCACACTGGTGTGAGAAGTAGGCTCCCAAGGCCTTTGACAGCCCTGCCCCTGTGGCTTTGAAGGGTGCAACCATGAAGGTTGCTGTCATGGGTCAGAGGTAAGTGTCTGCAGCTTTTCCAAGCTCCGGATGCAAGCTGCCAATGGCTCCACCATTCTGCAGTCTGGAGGATGGTGCCCTCCTTCCCACAAAGCTCATCTTGAGAGTGTCCCAGTGTGGAATCTGTGTGGGGGCACCAACCTCACATTTCCCCTCCACACTGCCTTAGTAGAGTCTCTCTGCAGGGGCTCCACCTCTTCAACAGGTTTCTGCCTGGGCATCCAGGCTTTCCAATACATCTTCTGAAATCTAGGGGGAAGCTGCCAAGCCTGCTTCACTCATGCACTCTGCGTGCCTACAGTCTTAAAACCATGTGAAACCTGCCAAGGTTTATGGATTGTGCCCTCCAGAGCAGCAACTAAAGTAGTATCTGGGGCCCTTTGAGCCACAGCTGGAGCTGGAGTGGCCAGGATCCTGGGAGCAGTGTCCTGAGGCTGCATAGGGCAGTGGGGCCTCAGATCTGGCCCCTGAAACTATTCTTTCCTCCTACACCTCTGGCCCTGTAATGAGAGGGGCTGCAAAGGAGATTTCTGATGCTTTCAAGGCCATTTTCTCATTGTTTTGGATATTAGCACTTGGATCCCTTTTAGTCATGTAAAATCTCTCTAGTAAGTTGTTGCTCCACAGTCTGCTTGTATTCCTCTCCTGAAAATGCTCTTTCCATCTCTACTACATGGCCAGATTGTGACTTTTCCAAATTTTTATGCTTTGCTTCCCTTTTAAATATCAATTCCAACTTTAAGTAATTTTTTTGCTCCTATATCTGGTCATAGGTTGTTAGAAGCAACCATACCACATCATGAGTGTTTTGCTGCTTAGAAATTTCTTCTGCCAGAAACTCTAAGTCATCTTGCATAACATGAGTGACCATCATTCCAATTCTCAATAACTTTCTCATTTCCAACTGAGACCTCATCAGCCTGGGCCATCACTGTCCATATTTCTATCAGCATTTTGGTCACAACTATTGAACCACTCTCTAATAAGCTCCAAACTTCCCCTCATCTTCCTTTTTTCTTCTGAGATCTCTAAACTCTTCCAGCCTCTGCCTATTCCCAAGTTCCAAATCCACTTCCACATTCTCAAGTATTTTTATAGCAATACCCCATTCCTCGTACCGATTTTTTGTGTTTGTTTGCATTGCTATAAAGGAATACCTGAGGCTGGGTAATTTATAAAGAAAAGAGGTTAATTTCTCTCACAGTTCTGCAGGCTGTACAAGCATGGCACAAGCATCTGCTCAGCTTCTGGTAAGGTCTCAGGAAGCTTTACAATCATGGTAGAAGGCAAAGAGTGAGCTGGCATATCACATGGTGAAAGAGAATGGAGGTCGGGGGAGCAGGTAGCATACTCTTTTAAACAACCAGATCTCACATAAACTCTGAGCAAGAACTCACTCACTACTGTGAGGAGGGCACCTAGGAATCAAGAGGGATCTGCCCTCATGATCCAAACATCTCCCACCAGGCCCCACCTCCAACATTGAGAATCACATTTCAACATGAGATTTGGAGGGGGCAAATATCCAAACTATATCATCCTCCAAGCTTCAGCCAAGCCATGGTGTGTGCAGGCTTATAGGATGTTGCCAGTGGGAGCCTGACAGAGTGCTCAAAGGAGCCCACATCCTAGTCCCTGGAATCTGTGACTGTGATACTCTATCTGACAAAAGGGACTTTGCAGATGTGATGAAGGTTGCAGATCTTCAGATGGGAAGATTGCCTACATTATCTGGGTAGGGCCAATCTAATCATATGAGTGCTTAAAAATAGAGGACTTTTCCTGGCTGTGCTGAGAGAGAGAGATGTGATGATGAAGAATCAGAGAGATTCAACATTTATGGCTTTGAAGATGGAAGAAGAAGGCCATGAGCCATGGAATGCAGGGGGCCTGTGGAAGCTGGAAAGAGCAAGGAAACAAATTCTCTCCTAGAGCCTCCAGAAAGAGAGACAACCCTGATGACATCTTGATGTTAATCC
This sequence comes from Homo sapiens, assembly GCF_000001405.40. Classification (NCBI taxonomy): domain Eukaryota; kingdom Metazoa; phylum Chordata; class Mammalia; order Primates; family Hominidae; genus Homo; species Homo sapiens. The sequence continues at coordinate 53,155,019 of NC_000004.12, forward strand.
AGTAAGACCTTCCGAACAGTAAGAGAACAAATCCGTTGTTGTGTTAAGCCACTAAATTTGTGGTAATTTGCTACAGCAGCAATAGAAAATTAATACAAGTGGTTGATGTGAGGTAGGGCCTGAGAAGTTCTGCATCAGGGCACACAACTCAGGCAGAGAATCTGGTACACGGTGGTAGGATGCTGTGGTTTGAATGTTTGTCCCCTCCAAAACTCAAGCTGAAATTTAATTGCTATTGTAACAGTATTAAGAAGTGGGACATTTAAGAGATAATTAGGCCATAAGGGATCTACCCTCATGGGTGGGACTGGTGCAGTTATAAAGCAGCAAATTCAGCCCTCTCTTGCTCTCTCAACCTTTCCACCTTTCTGTAAGGGATAATGCAGCAAAAAGGCCTCACCAAACGCCAGCACCTTGATATTGGACTTCCCAGCCTCCAGAACCATAAGCCAATAAATTTCTAGTTGTTATAAATTACCCAGTCTCAGGTATTGTTGTAGCAGCACAGAACAGACTAAGACATAGGGCTCAATACGTACTTGCTGAATGATTAAATGAAGAAGCAATAACATGCATGAACAGGCAATTCAGCTGTATCCATTCCACCTGTACCACTAGGGATCCAGTGCATGTCTTCAGGGATGTGATAGAGAAGAAAGACACAGAGACACACTGAATTTAAAGCCTGCTACTTAATAATTTTACCAAGAACTAGTCAGTTCAAAATCATGTAATCGCATAAGCCAATATTTATCAGATCCAGAATAATTATATAAGAGGACAGCAGTTTTCTAAGTTTGGTCCACAGGCTCCTGAGATCCCAGAGATTCTGTCAAGAGGTCCATGAGGTCAAAATTATTTTTGTAATAACAGTAATACATTCTTTACCTTTTTCACTGTATTGACATTTGCACTAATAGTGTAAAAGTATGGTGGGTAAATTTGCAGGTAACAACACAGATAAAGGCAGCGGCTCCAAACTAATAGTCGCTGAATTCTTTACCACTAGGCTATATTTTGTGAGCTATATATACTCACAGCTGAATTTTGTAAAAGCCAGTTTCACTTAAGAGCTCTTGATATGGCCAGATACAGTGGCTCACACCTGTAATCCCTGCACTTTGGGAGGCCCAGGTGGGTGGATCATGAGGTCAGGAGTTCCAGACCAGCCTGGCCAAGAGAGCAGCCTGGCCAATATGGTGAAACCCTGTCCCTAATAAAAATACAAAAATTAGCCAGGTATGGTTGCAGGCACCTGTAATCCCAGCTACTCAGGAGGCTGAGGCAGGAGAATTGCTTGAACCCGGGAGGCAGAGGTTGCAGTGAGCTGAAGATCATGCCATTGCACTCCAGCCTGGGTGACAGAGTGAGACTCAACTCAAAAAAAAAAAAAAAAGAAAAGAAAAAAGAGCTCCTGGCCTGTAATCCCAGCACTTTGGGAGGCCAAGGCGGGCAGATCATGAGGTCAGGAGATCAAGACCATCCTGACTAACACGGTGAAACCCCGTCTCTACTAAAAATACAAAAAAATTAGCCGGGTGTGGTGGCAGGCACCTGTAGTCCCAGCTACTTGGGAGCCTGAGGCAGGAGAATGGCATGAACCCAGGAGGCGGAGCTTGCCGTGAGCCGAGATTGAGCCACTGCGCTCCAGCTTGGGCGACAGAGTGAGACTCCGTCTCAAAACAAACAAAGAGCTCATGACAAAGCGGTCAAACTTATTAATCTTATTGACTTTCAATCCTAAATGTCTCTTTAATATTGTGCATGACAAAATGGGAGTATGTATGAAGCACTTCTGCTATATACTAACGACGATGGTTATCCCTAGAAAAAGCACTTGTGCAATTGTTTTGAGTTGTGTACTGAAGTAATCTCTTCTTTCATGCAATAGCATTGTTACTTGAAAGAATGACATAGAAGTTACAATTTTTAAAACTTGGCTATTTGGCACATATTTTCTCCAAAATGAACGAAGTGAGCCTGTTCCTTCAAGGAAAACAACCGATATACTTACTGTCAATGTCAAAATTCTGGCAAAAATTGGAATTCTGGAAAACTTATATATGCCATTGCCAGATGATCTATTCTTAAAAACTTTTCTGATGAGATCATTGGTGACATTAAATGTGATTTTTTGAATTACATAATAAAATGTGTTGACATTTGGAACATCTGTATAATTTGGTGAATCAAAATGCTTTCCAAATGACCAATGCATGATGTAAGAAAATCAGGCATAGGCTAAAGATCCATCCAAAATACAAGGTAGACCAGCGAATTTTAATGTAAAAGGGTACAAAAAGCTCATTGATAGGGTTTCCAATGCCACATTACAACTTACCTTCAAGTAATCACTACTTGTAGAGTTTAGATACAGCATCAAACAAGGATATCCACAAGCATCTAAAAAAGCCATCACAATATTCCTCCCTTTTCCCACTGTATGTCTGCATGAGGCTTGATTTTTTTCATATTTTTCAACCAAAACAATATATAGCAGCCTATTGAATGAGGAAGCAAACATAAGAATCCAGCTGTTTTCTATTCAGCAAAACATTAAAAATATTTTCAAAAATATAAACAAATGTCATCCTCATTTTTTTTGTTCTGGAAATATGGTTACTCTTCATAAAATATGTTATTTATACTATGAATCAATGGATTTACTTTTTTTAAGAATACTTTTCAATTTTCTCAGTATTAATTTCTAACAGAGTCAATATCAATAGTTACCAATTTAAGGATATCAAATCCTAAAAAGAAAGCTCATTATTTTCTACTCTCTTTTCCTCTCTCCACAGCTGAAATACAGATAAAGTGGTTGTAATCCAGCTTCATCTACGTTGTTAGAGAGAAAGGCTGAGAAACAAGATAGAAGGAAGATTAGCTCCCTGGATCAGAGCTTCTCAAAACTTAATGTTCATGTAAATTATGTGCGCTCAGTTAAATTTGTTAGGTCTGGGATGGGGCCTAAAGATTCTGCACTTCTAAAAAACTTCCAGGTTGATGTCAATGCTTCTGATCTTGTAGCTCCTTCGAGTCCCCTGGTAAGGTACATGAATGGCCTCAGAACCTTAGCCCAGGTTAAAACCTCCAGTGGAGGGATTATATAGTTCCAGCACAAATAATGTAGACCACATTTTGAATGTCATGTGGACTGGACCATCCAACTATTTCTAGACTGCAGTGTCAAAGTGAAATAAGCTATCCTGTTCGAGTCCCTATATCACTTCTTTTGGTATAGCACTTTAATCTGCATAATAATATAACACGTAAATACATATCTCCAGCCAAATTTCTCTCCTTTGCTCCAAACCCAGCCAAAACTACCTATTGGACTTCTCCACTTGTATATCTCACCTGTAAATTTGATTCAATGTGTCTAAAGCTGAAATCACTATTTGTACCCCCAAATTTGCTCTTCATCCTCTACATCCTGTACTGTTGTGTGGTACCATCACTCTTCCAGTTGACCAAGTCAGAAGCTTGGACTCTACCAGAATTCTCCCTTGCCCCTGCCACAGCAAATCAGCCAAGTCTTGATGATTTTTATATATCCATCCCTTCTTATCCATTCCTTCCCCTACCACTTAAGTTGTAATTACCATCATCTCTAGCCACAATATATCTCACTCTAAAACAAAAAACTGATCCACTTAAAATTATTTAAAGTTAAATAAAATCCTCCAGACAAAGCCCTTAACATTACATATGCATCCCATTTATCTTCTTGGCCCCAATTAACTGCTTAGCCTCAACAGTCACGACTTCTTTTCTGACAGATTACAATTAAACTTTACTGAACTACTTGCATTTGCCTCTGTGCTTTTATGCATGCAAATCTCCCTGCCTAGACTGTTCTTTTCCCTCTTCACTTTGTCTCAGGATTCAACCTAAGCATTATCTTCTTTGACCTTCCCTAAATGGGTTAAATGTGCCTATTTTGCAATCCCAAAGAAGCCTCTCTGTCTGTCTGCCATGGCTCTTATCACCCTAAATTTAATTATCTATTCATATCTAGCTTTCTTCTAAGACTGAAAAATCCTCAATAGCAAGAACCACATTTTATTCCTAATCCCATCTCCAGGACCTAGCTCCGCCCTTTGAATACAGTTGGTATTGAAATCATACTTGTCTCTACAATGAAATAGCTGACATTAGAAAAAAAGAAAAAAATAAACATTTATAAAGATATAATTGTAGATTATCTCATTTAGTCCTCCTAATTACCCTGTAATATGGCTATAATTATTACAGAGGAGGAAACTGAGTTTGAAAAAGATTACTTGTCGAAGATATCAGCTGGTGAATGTTTGAGCTGGAATCCAACTCAACGCCATCTTTCTTCAAAATATACATCGAGTCTACTACACATTTTCGTCTCCAGGGCTTCCCAGTCAGAAGAAAGCTAGAGTTTGCAGGGAAGGGGAATCCAAATCCTTGGGACAAGGATGATTATGACAAGGATTCTGACTAGGACAAATAGTTAAGGGACCCAGCTTATAAGACAATAGATAAATTATATGAGAGTAGAGGCAGTAGCAGGGAAACTTTAGACATCAGAGGTAATCTACTGACTAGTGGCTCCTTAGAGTTCTCTGGTAAGGCACACGACTAGCCCAAAGTCTCAGTCAAAGTTAAAACCTCCAGCAGAGGGAAACCAGATTCCCCCCACCCCCTTGGCACATAAATACTATGTGCCACAGATATTAAGGCAGATATTCCCATCCAGGATGTCACCATGCCATGACCACCCCCTTCAGAAGCCCTAGTGACAGCTGGCTGGGGCCTACGACAGCTAGTGCCCCTGGGCCAGTGACCATAATTTCTGTGAACCCAGTATATGCTGTGCAAATGCAGTATTTTGTATGTATACCTACCACTATATGAAAAAGGATGGGATGCACTTAAGAGATATGCACAAAAAAATGCACGAAAAAGAATCAGATTCCAAAGTCCTCTAACAGGGTAGAAATGGTCTCCATGAGCAGCTTATTTAAAGATGATAGACTGGAACTATGGCATGGGCTTCAGATGCAAAGAAGGGAGAGGGTGCTAGATCAATGTTACAGAAATTGTCAAGATAGATTTAGTTCCTTTAGCAATGGAAACAGAAGAGTGGTAAGACAAGGCAGAGAAGGGGCCAGATCATTTAGGGTGGTGTAGCCGGCCCATTGTTAGAACTTCTGCATTTCTTCTGACATGGAAGTCACAGAGGTTCTGAGCACAGAACTGGTATGATCTTGTTTTAAAGGTTTTCTCATTTCGGCTATGGTGAAGAGAACAAACTAGAGGGACAAGGGTATAGGCAGGGAGACAGGAAGCAATTTCAATAAACCAAGTGAGAAACAATGGGGCTTGGATCAAGGAAGGAGCATTGAATGTAATGTGAACTGGTGGAATTTGCAGAGATTTTGAAGTTAAAGGCAGTGGTTTGTTGCTAGACTGAATACGGAGTATAAGCAAAAGAGTCTAGAATTATTCCAAGATTTTTAGAGGAGGTTCAGAAAAGGAGGGGGTGTTTCAAAGGAGAAAACACAGAGGACAGAATTGGTGTAAAATGTAAGAATGGGACAGATAGACATATTTCAGAAAGTAGGATGTCTAAGCCCAGGACAAAAAAAGAGAATAGAATTAATTGAAGGATTCTGGAGTGAGGAGCAAAATAATGGCAAGGGTGAGAGGCAGGAAAGGTAGAAGAATGCACCAAGAAAACTTAATAGACAGGATAAGCAGATGAAAATAAACACAGAAAGGTTAATCTCAAAGTATCAACGTGCTTCCCAAAATGTATTCCTATAAGGGGCACTAGTTGACATTCTGTGTCTGTGGAGCATACAATTCTGATAGTGAGAAATAGTGAAGTCCTTGAGGAAGTGAAAACATTCTACAAACTTTCTCTTCTATTAAAAATGCCACTGGAGGAAAAAATGTGGTATATTCACACAATGGAATATTACATAACAATGAGAATGAATGCTCTGTAATTTCATAAAATGATAATACAGATGAAACTCACAAACATAATGTGTAATGGAAGAAGCCAGAAAAAATATATAACTATATCCATGTAAAATACAAAAGCCAAGGGAAATGTATCTAGATTTTCAGAAGTCCCTACTCCTTAGAGGGAGGGAGTAACCGGGAGAGAGCAAAAGAGGGGCTTCCAGGGTTGTTGATAATCTTCCAGGTTGAGCTGGGTGATGATTACACAGCTGTCTTCAGTTAGTGAAAATTCATTGAGCTGTACTTTTCTATATTATATTTACTTCAATAAAAAGTTTTTAAAATGACATTAAACCAGCCATATTTCCTGAGTCCTGGGAAGAACAGAGCTATCTACTTAGAGTTCTTACTACAGATTAGCATTTATCCAAAGTAAGAGCAGGAAAACATAAGAAGCTTACAGAATTCATCAAATAATCTAATTCAGCTACAAGTACCTTTGGCTAGGAAGATAGGGAAAAGCCTTGATTTCAGAGGATGGAAAAAACAACTTTCAATGGATGCTCAGTTTAAAACATGCATATGTTTTAAGGGAGATATAAACTTTTTTGTAACGTTTTTTCCCATCTCTCGGGAAATGATGTTATGCTGTGCTTCAAACAGAACTGCCAAGTTTAAGAGGCTGTTTTCTGTAAACAGGCCAGTTGAGCCGTAAGTTGCATGAAACAAGGGACAAGTGACTTCTTCAGAGAGCAGAACAGAACACCACAGGGAATTGAGAACTATGCATCCAACAAAACCACTAGTCATTCGTCTTTATCTGGCTACATTTAATGATTTAAGAACTCTTGTTATCATATTATCATCAATCAATTACAATGATTGAGCAGCCTCTAAAAACCCAGGGTTTTTAAAATGCAACTATCCGTGACCTAAATTTCCTGCTGATTCTGTTGGCCCCAGGTTAGGCCTGTTTGTCTATCATCAAGGGAGCCAATAAAAATAATAAAAACAGGTCAATACTGGGCTTTCCAAAGGCTTTATAAAAATATGCATACTTCTCCAGCCAGTGCCAACTCAACATGTCCACTCTTTGCTTGAGCTCTTGGTAAATTCTGCCCCTAATTACAAATTACAAATATTTCACAGAATGTACACATTATCTAAAAACCTGCTTATTTTTCCTTTTTCCCTTGCTTGCTTTTTTTTTTAGTCTGGCTAAGCAACAATTTTGCAACTCTGATCAGGCAACATAAATGATGTCATTTTGCTGTATTCAGCAAAGGAGCTACATCTTGGCAAATTAGGAGATATATGAGAAGATGAGAGTCTAAATTTTAGCTATCTGAATGGAGAATGTGATACTGCTGCACTCCCAAGCCTGTGCTAGAATCTGACTTCCAGGATCCACAGAACAAAGCAAAAGTCTAAACTGAATGTTTAAGGATGAAGAAAATGGCCAGTAAAAAAGGCCAGTTTAAAAGCTGTCTGTAATGGGATGGCTGGGTCAAATGGTATTTCTAGTTCTAGATCCCTGAGGAATCGCGACACTGACTTCCACAATGGTTGAACTAGTTTACAGTCCCACCAACAGTGTAAAAGTGTTCCTATTTCTCCACATCCTCTCCAGCACCTGTTGTTTCCTGACTTTTTAATGATTGCCATTCTAACTGGTGTGAGATGGTATCTCATTGTGGACACAGGAAGGGGAACGTCACACTCTGGGGACTGTTGTGGGGTGGGGGGAGTGGGGAGGGATAGCATTAGGAGATATACCTAATGCTAAATGATGAGTTAATGGGTGCAGCACACCAGCATGGCACATGTATACATACGTAACTAACCTGCACATTGCGCACATGTACCCTAAAACTTAAAGTATAATAATAATAAAATAAAATAAAATAAAAAATAAATAAATAAATAAAAATAAAAGCTGTCTGTAGAAATGAGGGCAGTTATCTTAAGTGCTACTTCAATCCATTTCCTATCACTTGTTTGGGAAGGAGAAGGGCATTTCAGTGGCTGAGGCCTCCAGCTACCTTATGAGAGTGACCAGCAACAGAGAAATTCTATTGGGTAACAAAGCACCATTCCTCACATTCATGACCTCCCTGCAGAAACCTGCAGGCTCAGTGGAGCCGGGACAAGGCCCTGGAGTCCTCTCCTACAAGAATCCCAGCCAGAAGCTCTGCAGGTTAGACCAGCATATTTAAAAGCAATTCTGGAATGTTCTCTGCTCCAACGGAGAAGTCTGGACAAACTCCAAAAAAGGCTTGAGTGCTGGAATCAGGGCCCAAAGTCAAAATCAGGAAGGTAGCAAATTGCCTTTAGGGGTTTCTATTTTCCTTTCTCTCACTTTGGTCCTCCCACATCCCCACCCAGAACTCACTGGCTTCTTCCAATTATCAGCAAATGAACCACCGCTCCTCTAAGAAATGAATGACTGGATGGCTGCATTTAAAAAGAGGAGAAGAGGCCAGGCGCAGGGGCTCACACCTATAATCCCAGCACTTAAGGAGGCCGAGGTGGGCAGATCACTTGAGGTCAAGAGTTTGAGACCAGTGATTGAGCCAACATGGCAAACCCCATCCCATCCATAGTAAAAATATAAAACAATTAGCTGGGCATGATGGCAGACACCTGTAATCGCAGCTACTCAGGATGAGGCAGGAGAATTGCTTGAATCCAGGAGGTGGAGGGTGTAGGGAGTCAAGATCACACCACTGCACTCCAGCCTGGGTAACAGAGAAAGACTCCGTCTTGGCAGGGGTCAGAGGGGAGGAGAGAGGAGAAGAGAGAACCAAAGAGGAAGTGAGATGACTCTTTAACGGTTAAATTTCTGGCTTGATGGTAGTTTGGCAGAATTTGGCATTGGAAGCCTTTCTGGATCTCTTGAAATAACGTTTTACAGAAATTAACTGAAGGATACTTCATCTTCTCCTCCTCTTTTAAAAATGTACTAGTATACATTCAGAAGGAACATCTCATTTTCTTAAAGGAATAATATGAAAGGCTGTAACTGAAGACTGCTATACCTCTTAACCATAGCAAGGCATTTAGCATCTCTAGGTCTCAAGTTCCTGGTAAAAAGCAAGATAATACCACACACCTCACCAGGCTTTCATGGAAGAGAAATGAGATGAACACTCTATAAGGTACTGTATATTTGTTTTACTACTACATTTATTACTATTTTATTACCTTCCCCAAAAGGATGCTTCTATTTATTTAGAGAGAGGCCTGGTGTGCGAGGTATATTTATGTTCCTCTAAAGATTCACCTGCCCACTGCCCCCAACTGCTGAGTCTTGGCCACTTGTTCCGTGGAGCCCCTGAGTGACTGCTGCACTGCCTCACCCCTACACAGCCAACTCCTTCAGACTCCCCTCAGGACAACCTTGACATGGTTACATCACACCCATATGATGTGCGCCACAGTAGCTCTACGTGCCTAGGTCCAGCCAGCTAGTCCCACAAAGGCTCTGGCTTCCATTGTAGCCACCTAGAAGACCCAGAGAATACCATCTAGAAGTAAGGGCAGTATTGGCAGAATGTGGTGTCTCATGCCTGTAATCCCAGCACTGTGGGAGGCCAAGGCGGGCAGATAACTGGAGATGAGGTGTTCAAGACCAGATTGGCCAACATGGCAAAACCCCGTTTCCACTAAAAATACAAAAATTAGCCGGGTGTGGTGGCATGCCTGTAGTTCCGGCCACTCAGGAGGCTAAGGCAGGAGAATCACTTGAACCTGGAGGTGGAGGTTGCAGTGAGCCGAGATCACGCCATTGCAGCCTGGGCGAAAAAGCGAGACTCTGGAGTCTCAAAAAAAAAAAAAAAAAAGAAGAAGAAGAAGAAGAAGAAGAAGGGCAGTGTAGTCATTCCTTAGGAGAAACTTTAAGACCAATGAGAAAGAAGAAGACTAGAAAGAACTAACAGATAAATTCCTCACCAGCTTCTCCCTTACAAACGATTCTAAGTAGCAACAATGCTATAACAAGTCTTTTCAGAGTTGACCCCATGACTGAAAAAGTTGTGTTTTGTGGAGCACTGGCTGGCTTGGCAGTGCAGCCCCTGGAATGCGCTTTTCTTCCATCCCTAACTCACTCTCCTTGTTCCCTTACTCTTGCTGCTCCTGGATTCCACCTACTTTTCCTTTTAAGCGTTACCATAAAAATTTTGCATCAACTCTGTTTCCTAGGAAAACAGGATGAAGATACTTGGAGGATGGCACAAAGGTGAATTAGGCAAATAGAAGCTTCCTGATGCCACTGAACTGTTTGAGTTTGAGTGGGTTTGTGTACGTGTGCACGCACTGTCTCTTCAACTGTATACTTGCATAAATTTTGGAATATTGAATCCTTGAAGAAAGGGAAAGAAAATCCTTGCCTATCTTTATATAATTAATGAAAAACAAACATTAACCAGCCTGATTTTTTAAAAAAGAATCTCCTTATTGTTTTATAGATCATGGAGCTGTAATCTCAGAGATCCATGGCATGCAATGGAATCTCCACTCCTTGCACTGACTTGCACGACCCTACATGACCAGCTTTGCCTTCCTCTCCTTTTATCCAATACCACTCCTGCTCCCACCCTGACTCTTCCCTTGTTTGCTCCAGCCACACTGGCCTCCATTCACCCAATTACCCTTCTCTGGTTTATATTTCTCTATAGTCCTTTTCACCATCCATCTTACTATAGGTTTTACTTATTTACTTTGTTTATTGTCCGTCTGATTTCACTAAAACACTCACGGAGACCAGGATTGTTGAATGTTTGAGTGTTTTGCTCACTGCTGTAGCCCCAGTGTCTAAAACATACTTGATATATAGCAGGAAATCAAACTTTATTGAATGAATGGATGACTGAATAAATGAAGTCTCTAAATACTGACCCCTACAAGATATGATTTTCTCCATCTCTTCTCAGATGTAGTTTTTTAAATTGTTGCAGTAAAATATACATAACATAGAATTTGCTATCTTTATTAGTTTAAGTGTACTTTCTGTCTGTATAAATTTGACTATTCTAGGTACCACATATAAGTGGTAACATACAATATTCATCCTTTAGTGTCTGGCCTACGTTATTTAGCATGTCTTAAAAATTCATCCATGTTGTAGCATGTGTCAGAGTTTCACTCCTGTTTAAGGCTGAATAATATTCCACTGTATGTATATACTACGTATTGTTTATTGATTCATTTGTCAATGAATATTTAAATTGTCTCTACTTTTCAGATATCGTGAATAATGCTGCTATAAACATTGATGTATCAGATATCTTTATAAAGAGGTAGAGATGTATCTGTATATCTTTTTGATATAAAGAAAAAAACAGGAGGCGACCTCAGAGGTCATGACATTTAATCTTTGTCAATATACAATCTTTCTTTGCTTTTGTGGCAAAAAGGAAAAAAAATCTGTGAAACAAACCGGCTGCTTGCTAGGTAGAAATCATTCACTTTGCATTGGAAATGGCTGGTATACCTTCACTTCATGTGTTTGAAATGGACCTGCCTTATAAGGAGGTACATAGAGAGATTGGAGGGCTCAAAGACATAAAAAAAGAGACAAATTTTGAAGTTACAAGAAAAAAAGTGAGACAAACATAAACCGATTCTCTAGATTAAAAATGGTAAAGCTAGTGAAAATGAGGAAGAAAGATTATGGTAACCTGAAGTAAAATAAAGTATTTTCCCTATTCCTGCTGCAAGTGGTAATATACAAACACAGAAAGCAAAATGGTACCCATCCACAACCAAGGCAGCCAGCAATCAAGCAATCAACACTTGGATTAAAGATAACACAAGGACCAGAGATCATTCTGAGGATCAAAAGATGGTGTAATATCAAAAATGCCCACCAAAAAAAAAAAAAAAAGGACTCCACATACTGAATTCTTTGTAATCTAGGTCCACATAACAAGATAAAGCATTTGGTAGCATTTGGGAATAAGAGGATAGGGCTGTGAATAGGAGGGATAGAGGACCTGTGATTTCATTAAACTAAGTCAGGGGCCTTTACCTCCTATGAGAAGATCAGTATGTGATACCATTAATCATCTCTTCTTCAGATAAACCTTTCTAACCTGCTCCATCTAACAACAGCCCCTTTGCCTAGACTTCCTCATCTCCCCCTTTCTTTACCGGACAATTCCTACTTACTCTTTAATACCCAATTCATATGTCCCTTCCTTTGTGAAGTCTTCCCAGACTGGTCAGATCCTCAGCATCACAGACACAGATGCTCCCTACTGCGTATACCCAGAATACTCTGTAGCCTTTTCTACTCTAGGACTTAGCCTACCACCTTACAATGATTTCCAGACATTTATTTTCTCATTAGGCTAATGTGTCCAAAGGATTTCCAGACATGTATTTTCTCATTAGGCTAATGTGTCCAAAGCACGTGACTCATTTATTTGAAGGTTATAATCTTGTGGTAACTGACCCAATAGAATTTGAAGAATGATGCAAGGGACAAATCTAACTTACGGAGAATACTGAATATTGAGCAGGAACATTGATAATAACCAAAGTACAAATAATGGATCCAAAATTCCAACCCTAAAACATAGTTACATTTTAAGATATCTAGCTCCTAGGCTTTTTCTGATGCTACTTAATGAGATAGTCCGTATATATAATCCAACAAGTGAATCAAAACACTTGATTTAGGTTTTAATTTTGTTTAAAAATGATCTAAAAATACATGAGAACCTAGGATAAAGACAATGACAAATGCTAAACTTTGCAGTAATTATACTGTCCACCAAAACCAAGAGGAAAGAGGAGAGTTCTTTCTTCATATAAGACTAATCTCTGTACTTGCAATGTTTCTGCCCATGAAAGCACTTCATTATTCAAAATTTTCAAGGTTAATTATGCTATATATTTTATTTTCTGAAAAACACAGATTATTAGGGAGCCATGTGCAAAATGAATAATTAAAGGTAGACTTCAGTGTCTTGGAGTAATATGAGGCTGGATATTATGACGGACCCTCTTGCTACAATAATATATATACCACACACAATACAATAATATATAAATGACAGTAAATGTACTTTTTAATTCACTGCTGACTTGTAAGGAAAATCCGCATAGGCCAAATAAGTAAAACAAAAACCAACCAGTGAGCTGAAATCAGACTTTAGATAACAAGCCAACAAAAAGCTGGCATTGCCTTGGGGAAACTACTGGCTTCCTTGCAGGAATCCAGAAATTTGGACTTGGGTTGCCTTACAGGTGGGAGAACTGAATCTGCAATTCATCTGTTCATTCAGGACCCCAAAGTGAGCTAAAGCAGTGGCAGATTGGTAGTGTCCCTAGTGACCCCTTAGCTTCAAAGGAGAAGCCAAGCCAAATGCTCTTTGAAGGAAACCACCCCTGATTTAGGCCTGCAGAAGTACCAAAGATTATTCTTCCAGATAAGAGCTCACAACTCAAACCCATGAAACACAAAAAAGCAAGTCATGAATGAGTCAACAGACATATCATAGAGCAGATTCAAATCCCACTGACTTCAATAGTGGAATTATTAATGAATATAAACTATATATAAAATGTGCCACAAAATAAAAGATGAAAGCAAAATAATTAAGTCGGAAATAGGACACTATCAAAAGTAACCTGAACATTTTTTATTATAGATTGATATATTATAGTTGTACATATTTATTGGGTACAAAGTGATGTTATGATATATGTATAGAATGTGAAATTATTAAATCAAGTTAGCTAACATATTCATGATCTCAAATACTAATAATTTTTTTGTGGTGAGAACATTTGAAATTTACTCTCAGTAATTTTGAAATATATAGTATGTTAGTATTACTATAGTCACCACACTGTGCAACAGATCTCAAAAAACATATTCTTCCTGTCTAAACTGAAACTTTGTATCTTTTGACCAATATCTCTTCATTCTCTCCATGCCTCAGTCTCTGATAACTACCATTCTACTCTCTGCTTTTATGAGTTCAGTTATTTTAGATTCCACATATAAGTGAGATGATGTGGTATTTGTTTCTGTGCTTGGCTTATTTCACTTGACATAATGTACACCAGGTTCATCCATGTTGTCGCAAATGAATGATTCCCTTCTTTTTTAAGAATGCATAGGCCGGGCGTGGTGGCTCACGCCTGTAATCCCAGCACTTTGGGAGGCTGAGGCGGGCAGATCACCTGAGGTCAGGGGTTCAAGACCAGCCTGGCCAACATGGCGAAACCCCATCTCTACTAAAAATACAAAAATTAGCTGGGCGCCTGTAATCCCAGCTACTCGGGAGGCCGAGGCAAGAGAATCTCTTGAACCTGGGAGGCAGTTTTCAGTGAGCCGAGATGGCACCACTCTATTCCAGCCTGGGTGACAGAGCGAGACTCTGACTCAAAAAATAAAAAAATAAAAAATAAAAAAAGAATGAATAGTATTTCATTGTGTACATATATACCATGTTTTCTTTATCTGTCCATCTATTGATGAACATGCAGGCTGATTCCATAACTTGGCTACTGTGAATAACCCTGCAATGAACATGAGAGTGCAGATATCTCTTCAACATGGCAATTTCGTTTGCTTTGGATATATACCCAAAGTGGTATTGCTGGATAATATGGTAATTCAAAATATTTTAAGGAGCCTTTGTATAGTTTTCTATAACGGCTGTATGAATTTACATTCCCATCAACAGTGCGTACAGATTCCCTTTTCTCCACATCCTCGCCCACACATCTTTTTTTGTTGTTTTAATAATAGCCATTCTAATACAATCATATCTCATTGTGGTTTTAACTTGTTTTCCTAATGATTAGTGATTTGGGGCATGTTTTTCATTTTCTTTGTTGGTCATTTGTATATCTTCTTTTGAGAAATATCTGTTCAGGTCCCATTCCCATTCGTTAATTGGATTGTTTCTTACCATTGAGATGTTTCGGTTCCTTAAATATTCTGGATATTACAGATGTATCCAGTGCATGGCTTGCAAATATTTTCTCCCAGTCTCTCTAGGTCGCTTCTTCACTCTGTTAATTGTTTCCTTTACTATGTAGAAGCTTTTTTAATTTGATGTAATCCTATTTATCTATTTTGTTGCTGGAGTTTTTGGGGTCAAATACAGAAACTCATTGCCCAGACAAAGGTAGTGTGGTTTTTCTTGCATGTTTTCTTGTAGTCATTTTATGGTTTCAGGTCTAACATTTAGTGTCTAACTCATTTTCAGTTGATTTTTGTATATGGTGTGAGATATACAAAACTGTTCAGTTTCATTCTTTTGCATGAGATACACAGTTTTCCCAGCACCTTTAATTGAAGACACCATCCTTTTTCCCACTGTGTGGATTGGGCATCTTTGGCAAAAATCAATTTTCTGAAAATGCATTGGTTCATTTCTAGATTCTCTATTTCGTTTCAACCATCAATGTATCTATTTTTAGGCCAGTATCATGCTATTGTAATTACTGTAGATTTGTAAAATAGTTTGAAAGCAAGTAGTGCAGCGCCTCCAGCTTTGTTCTTTTTTACTCAAGATTGTCTTGGCTATTTGAGTTTTTATGTTGTTTCATATGAATTTTAGAATGTTTTTGCTATTTCTGTGAAAAATGCCATTGGAAATTTGATAGAAATTGCACTGAATCTGTAGATTGCCTTGGGTCATATGAACATTTTAACAATATTAATTCTTCCAATACATGAGCGTGAAATAATTTTCCATTTATTTGAGTCTTCTTCTATTATTTTCATCAATGTCTTATTCTTTTCAGTGAATAGATCTTTCACATTCTTGGATAAAATTATTCCTAGGTATTTTTTTATAGCTATTGTAAATGGGATTGTCTTCTTGATTTCCTTTTCTGTTAGTTAGCTGTTGGTGTATAGAAATGCTACTCATTTTTCTGTGTTGATTTTGTAACCTGCAACTTTACTGAATTCATGTATTAGTTCTAACAGCTTTTAGTGAAATCTTTAGGGTTTTCTATACATGAGATCATGTCATCAACAATCAGTGACAATTTCACTTTATTCCCTATTTTGATGCCTTCTGTTTCTTTCTCTTCTCTAATTGATCTGATAAGGACTTCCAGTACTATGCTAAATAGAAGTGGTGACTGTGTATATCCTTGTCTTGTTCCTGACCTTAGAAGAGAAGCTTTCAACTTTTCACCACTGAGTAAAATGTTAGCTGTGAGCTTGCCTTTCTTGTGTTGAGGTACCCTTCTACTAGACCTAATTTGTTGAGAGTTCTTATTGT
This sequence comes from Homo sapiens, assembly GCF_000001405.40. Lineage (NCBI taxonomy): Eukaryota > Metazoa > Chordata > Mammalia > Primates > Hominidae > Homo > Homo sapiens. The sequence goes on from NC_000004.12 coordinate 53,171,221, forward strand.
AAAAGGATGTTGGCTTTGTCAAATGTTTTTTCTGCATCTAATAAGATGATCATAGGGTTTTTAACCTTCATTCTGTTAATGTGCTATTTCACATTTTTCGATTTGCATATATTGAACCATGCTTGCATCCCAGGGATAAATCCAACTTGTTCATTGTGAATTATCCTTTTGGTATATTGTTGAATTCAGTTTGCTACTACTGCATTTTGTTAAGAATGATTGTGTCTGTGTTCAACAGAGATATCAACCTATTATTCTCTTTCCTGGTAATTTCCTTCTCTGGCTTTGGTACCAAGATACGAGTTTGGAATTATTCCCTTCTCTACAATTTTTTCAAAGAGTTTGGGAAGGATTGGCATTAGTTCTTTTTTAAATGTTTGGTAGAATTCAGCAATAAAGCCATCAGGTCCTGGGCTTTTCTTTGATGGGAGAGATTTTATTATTGATTCAATTTTCTTACTTGTTATTAACTGTTCAGATTTTTTATTTCTTCATGATAGTAGGTTGTATGTGTCTAGGAATGTATCAGTTTCTTCTAGGTTATCCCATTTGTTGCTGTATAATTGTTCATGGTAATCTCTTATGATTCTTTGTATTTCTGTGGTATCACCTTCAATGTCTTCTCGTTAATTTCTGATTTTATTTTAATCTTCTCTCTCATTTTCTTAGTTTAGCTAGGGGTTTGTCAATTTCAGCTATCTTTTCAAAAAATCTGCTCTTAATGTCATTGATTTGATTATTTATTTATTTATTTATTTTTATTTTTATTTTATTTATTTATTTATTATTTATTATTTATTTATTGAGACAGAGTCTCACTCTGTCACCAGGCTGGAGTGCAGTGGTGTGATCTTCGGCTCACTGCAACCTTCATCTCCTGGGTTCAACTGATTCTCCTGCTGCAGCCTCCCATGTAGCTGGGACTACAGGCACGCACCACCACACCCAGCTAATTTTTGTATTTTTAGTAGACAGGTTTTCACCTTGTTGGCCAGGATGGTCTCAATCTCCTGACCTTGTGATCTGCCTGTCTCAGCCTCCCAAAGTGCTGGGATTACAGGCGTGAGCCACCACACCTGGCCCTGTCATTGATTTTATTGCTTGTTTAGTCTCTATTCCATTTATTTATGCTGTAATCTTTGTTAATTCCTTTCTTCTGCTAACTTTTGGCTTAGTTTGTTCTTTTCTAGTTCCTTGAGATAAAACATTAGGTTGTTTATTTCAGATCTTTCTTCTTTGTTTGATATAGGTGTTTATTGCTATAAACTTCCCTATTAGAGCTACTTTTACTGTATCCATTAAGTTTTGGTATATTGTTTGTCCACTTTCATTTTTCTCAGGACATTTTTTCATTTTTGTTTTGATTTCTTCTTTGACCCATTGGTTGGTCAGGAGCATGTTGTTTAACTTCCACATATTTGTAAATTTCCCAAGATTTTTCCTGTTACTGATTTCTAGTTTTATATCATCATAATCAGAAAGATACTTGATATAATTTCAGTCCCCTAAGTTTATTCAGACTTGTTTTGTGGCCCAATATATGATCTATCCTGAAGAATATTTCATGTGCAGTTGAAAAGAATGTGCATTCTGTTGCTGCTGCAGGTAATGTCCTATGTAAGTTTGTTAGGTCTACTTGGTCTAAAGTGTAGTTCAAGACCAATGTTTCCTTATTAATTTCCTCTCTGGATAATCTGTCCCTTGAAAGTCAGGTACTGAGGTCTCCCACTATTACTGAATTGCAATTTATTATATCTCTCCCTTCATATCCTTTAATATTTAATATTTACTTTATATTTAGGTGCTTCAATGTTAGGTACAATATATTTATAACAGTTATATTCTCTTGTTGAATCTACCTTTTTATCACTGTATAATGTACTTCTTTGTCTCTTTACAGTTTTTGACTTAAAGTCTATTTTGTCTAATATAAGTACAGATGCCCCTTAACTTGTAATAGGATTATATCCTGATAAATCCATCATAAGTTGAAAATATTATAAACAATGTAAATCAAAAGTGCATTTTTGACTTAAAATATTTTCAACTTACCATGGATTTATCAGGATGTGCTCCATCATAAGCCAAGAAGTGTACTGAATATGCATTGCTTTTGCACCCTGATAAAGTCAAAAAATCATAAGTCAATCAAAAGTCAGGGACCATTTGTATAACTACCTCTGCTGTTTTTTGATTTCCATTTGTGTGGAATATCTTTTTCCATCCCTTCACTATCAGTCTATGTGTGCCCTTAAAAGTGAGGTAAGTCTCTTGTAGGCAGCATATAGTTGGGTCTTGTTTCTTCATTCATTCAACTATCCTGTTTCTTTTTATTGGAAAATCTAATCAATTTACATTCAAAGTAATTATTAATAGGTAAGGACTTAATACTGCCACTTTATAATTTGTTGTCTGGTTGTTTTCTAGATACTTTATTTCTTTCTTCTCCTGTTCCTGTCTTCCTTTGTGGTTTATAGTTTCCTCTAGTGGTATGCTTTGAATTCTATTTCAGTTTTGTACTTCTTTTATGCATTTTTGCTTTGTGGTTACCATGAGGCTTATGTAAAATATAACAAGCTATTTCAAGCTGATAACTGCTTAACTTTGATCACATACACCTCTACACTTTTACTCCCCACGCTCATACCATATAGACATACACACATCATACAGCAGATTCAGATCTTAATGTCTTCAATAGCAGAATTATCAACTAAAGAATATGTTATATAAAAAATGTTTAAAGAAATAAAAGATGAAAGCAAAATAATTAAGGTATGAATAAGGAATTATCAAAAACTACCTGATATTTTTAAAAAAGAAGAGTTTTTAAAAGTCAAAAACATATTTGAAATTAAAAACTCAAATACTGACTTCAAATACTAAGCAGGAAAATAGTAAAATGAGGATAAATCTGAAGATATCAACAAAACCATGGCAAAGAAATAAAAGACAAAAATATGAAAATAATATTGAATGTGAAGGTCTAAAACATGTTTAATTAGAATTGCTAAATTAAAAAAATGAAGAGGAGACATAATACTAAATGAAATAATATATGAGAATTTTCTAAAACTGAAGAAAAACATAAAACCACAGACACAGGGAATACAATGTATACCAAGCAGGGAAAATGTAAAGATATCCAGAATTAGACATTATTAACATTATAATGAAATTGTAAAAAATATATATACATACACATCTGAAAAGCAGTCAAAGAAAAATGGATCACATACAAAGAAACTGACATTAAAGTGGCTGCAGATGTATCAATAGCAACAACAGAAGCTGAAAATAGTAAAATAAATAATATCCCAAAATGTTAGTCATCTTTGTGCATTTAGCTCCTATTATAGTGCCAAGTGCACCTCAAAATGCTCCAAAAATGCTGGTCTAATCAATCAACCACTTCAATAAAATGATTAAATTGGGCACAGGGAAGAATGGAAAGAGACTTACATTAATGAAATCTGTAATTGGCTTATTTCCTCATTTGTTAGAGTCCTGGAGTGGGGGAAGGTGCAACAGTAAATTCACGACAAAGTGGGAAACATCTGCTAATATGAAGCAGTAAGTCTTCATACCCACACCTCACCCCTTGTCTTCAGTCAAAAGAAATGACATTTATTCAGTATAGTTAGCATGGGATGTTTTTGTTTATAAGAACGATTTATGTCATCCATATAAATGTTCTGCCTATGCCGTACAGCACAGATGACTGTTTTGCATGTTTGTGACGGACCACAGCTCCATATTGACTATAGAAAGTCTTACTCAGCTCTAATTTCAGTTTACTCTGGGGTTTCAGATTCTGCTGACTACAGACAAAATTTTTCTCCCCCCACAATGGCTGCATACTTTAACAATCCCCATAGAATTCCACAGGAGTCTGAATTGAAATACAGAACTAATAAGGTACCCTAACAAATAGAAAAACTTCAAATCACTTTTAGAGTTAATAACTTCTCTAAATTAAAAAGCAAATATGAATACAGAAATAAGTTTTATTTCTTAAAACAAAGCCATGTAATGTGATATCTTTTAGCTTGGTTTAAATTTTTGAATTTCCTGTTTTCAGGGACTAGGAAATTGGATGTTCAAATTCACTTGAGACAAATTGTAATGTTTTCCAAATAATTAAAATATAACAAAAAATCCTACTAAATTTAAAATTTTATTTGTACATGGAACGAGGCTAAAAATTATTTTAATCTGCAAGTAATTCAATGAGTTCATATAACTACTTCTGAAATTTTTTCATTTCTTTAGCATTCATTATAGACTGAAATTAGTTCCTAATTGAAAATTGAAACTCCTAATTGAAATATTACCATGAATCAGATTTATATCTGTTATTAGTTTATTTATGCCTTATCTTTTCTCAGGAAAGATTTAAAGCACAAAGATCAATGACTAATTTAGGACACTTTGGCATCTTTAAAATTGTCTCCATGAATAATTTATTGGACCTCATGACTATAAGCCATGACACTTTCAAAAATGGAAAAGCACACTAGCAGATAAGACAACTGCCACTTTCAGTGACCCTGGATATACCACTTAGGCTCTCTCCTCATCTATAAAATTGGAACACTGAACAAGAGGATTCCAAAGGTCCCTGGTTCTAGCTTTACAATCCCATAACACATAAGGAATCTTTATATCTTCCTAGTCCCTGACTTCCTTAATTATTCATTAAGGCTCTAAACCCAAGACTGTGAATTTATAACTATTGAGATGATTCTTCTCCCATTCCATTCTTCACACCTTTCTACTTGTCACATAGTTGTCCATTTTCTATTATTTTCTATCTATTCAAATGATATTTTTTACTTTATTTTACAAAACAGTCTCATTCAATTGAGAAAGTGTTCTCAATGTTGAAGATAATAATGGAATGTACCATGATAAAAATGTGTCATTGAATACTTAGATTTCAATTAAATAACAGTCAAACCAGATACATTATAGCCTACCTACAAACAACTTCTTTCAAAAGTCTGCGAATTAAAGTATAAGTAAAACATATTTTGCCAAGTCTAAAAACACTGGATAGATTTTTAAGTTAGTAATACAGACAACACTCAAAGGAAATTTATTTTTGTGAACTGGTAGAATATAATACATAGTTGAAACACATAACTGAAACCCTCCTTAAGCCTCTTAGAGCTCTTTGGGAGTGAACTGCTGAGATACCTTGGGGAGGAAATGAAACTGTTACCTTGGCCAGACAACTTAGCCAACACAGAAACACTCTCACTTTCACCACACCCTAAATTGCCTTTGCTTTCCACTATGAGCTTAGAGAAGGGACCTGAATAGAGAGAAAGGAATAACTACCATGCTAAACAAATGGCAGCTGAGAGAAAAAGCCTTCTAGACCACTGTTCTGACTGCACTGTGAGAAAACTGACAGTTGGGTGGGTCAGACAGAAACAGGTTTTGGATGGGTGCAGTGGCTCACGCCTGTAATCCCAGCACTTTGGGAGTCCAAGGCGGGTGAATCACCTGAGTTCAGGAGTTCTAGACCAGCCTGCCCACATGGTGAAATCCCATCTCTACTAAAAATACAAAAACCAGCTGGGTGTGGTGGTGGTTGCCTGTAATCCCAGCTATTCGGTATGCTGAGGCAGGAGAATCACTTGAACCCGGGAGGCAAAGGTTGCAGTCAGCTGAGATTGTGCCACTGCACTCCAGCCTGGAAAACAGAGTGACAACAATCTCAAAAAAAAAAAAAAAAAGAAAGAAAAAAAAGAAAGAGAAACAGGTTTTAAACAGGTAGACATCATGAAATCAAATGTACTTCCTTCTTCTTTATCTGTTTCCTGTTCCCTTTTTGTTAGCTTTTCCTTCTTCCTCTTCCTTTTCTTCACCCATTCATTTTTACATTTCTTTAACAAATGTGTGTTCAGGCACTGAGTGCCAGATAGAAGAGATACATTGGTGAATAAACAACATAGGTCATCCCCTTATAAAGCTTAGAGTCTAGTGGGGGATAGAATCATATAAGCAGACAATGATAAAACAGAGAGTTAGTTGAAGAAAGTAAATAGCATCCCTGGTGTTACAGTAATACATGCTTGGGGCACCCAATCCACAATTGAGGTATCAGGTAAAGAAAGCATCCTGGAGGAAGTAAAGACCATGCAGAATCTGGAGGAGAGAGGGCCAAGGAGTGGGTTAGGAGAAGGGAGAGGGTATTAAGGTTTATTTATTTGTTTGTTTGTTTGTTTGTTTTGTAACTCAAAGTAAATTGAGCAAAAAAGTAAAAATAAAAAACAATAAGAAATGAAAAGGAGGACTGGGAGAGGAGCCAAGATGGTCGAATAGGAACAGCTCCGGTCTACAGCTCCCAGCGTGAGCAATGCAGAAAACGGGTGATTTCTGCATTTCCAACTGAGGTACCGGGTTCATCTCAGTGGGGAGTGCCAGACAGTAGGTGCAGGGCAGTGGGTGCAGCGCACCGTGTGCGAGCCAAGGCATCGCCTCATCCGGGAAGCGAAAGGGGTCAGGGAATTCCCTTTCCTAGTCAAAGAAAGCAGTGACAGATGGCACCTGGAAAAGCAGGTCACTCCCACCCTAATACTGCACTTTTCTGATGGGCTTAAAAAATGGCACACCAGGAGATTATATCCTGCACCTGGCTCAGAGGGTCCTACGCCCACAGAGTCTCACTCATTTCTAGCACAGCAGTCTGAGATCAAACTGCAAGGTGGCAGCAAGGCTGGGGGAGGGGCGCCCGCCATTTTCGGGTTAGTTGTTTGATTAGGTAAACAAAGTGGATGGGAAGCTAGAAATGGGTGGAGCCCACCACAGCTCCAGGAGGCCTACCTGCCTCTGTAGGCTCCACCTCTGGGGGCAGGGCACAGACAAATGTAAAGACAACAGTAACCTCTGCAGACTTAAATGTCCCTCTCTGACAGCTTTAAAGAGAGTAGTGGTTCTCCCGTCATGCCTGAGAACAGGCAGACGGCCTCCTCAAGTGGGTCCCTGACCCCCGAGTAGCCTAACTGGGAGGCACCCCTCAGTAGGGGCAGACTGACACCTCACACAGCCGGGTACTCCTCTGAGACAAAACTTCCAGAGGAACGGTCAGGCAGCAACATCTGCGGTTCACCAATATCCGCTGTTCTGCAGCCACCACTGATGATACCCAGGCAAACAGGGTCTGGAGTGGACCTCTAGCAAACTCCAATAGACCTGCCGCTGAGGGTCCTGTCTGCTAGAAGGAAAACTAACAAACAGAAAGGACATCCACACCAAAAACCCATCTGTACATCACCATCATCAAAGGCCAAAGGTAGATAAAACCACAAAGATGGGAAAAAAACAGAGCAGAAAAACTGGAAACTCTAAAAATCAGAGCGCCTATCCTCCTCCAAAGGAATGCAGCTCCTCACCAGCAATGGAACAAAGCTGGACGGAGAATGACTTTGACGAGTTGAGAGAAGAAGCCTTCAGACTATCAAACTACTCCGAGCTACAGGAGGAAATTCAAACCAATGGCAAAGAAGTTAAAAACTTTGAAAAAAAATTAGACGAATGGATAACTAGAATAACCAATGCAGAGAAGTCCTTAAAGGACCTGATGGAGCTGAAAACCAAGGCACGAGAGCTACGTGATGAACGCAGAAAGCCTCAGTAGCCGATGCGATCAACTGGAAGACAGGGTATCAGTGATGGAAGATCAAATGAATGAAATGAAGTGAGAAGAGAAGTTTAGAGAAAAAAGAATAAAAAGAAAGGAACAAAGCCTCTAAGAAACATGGGACTCTGTGAAAAGAGCAAATCTACATCTGATTGGTGTACCTGAAAGTGATGGGGAGAATGGAACCAAGTTGGAAAACACTCTGCAGGATATTATCCAGGAGAACTTCCCCAATCTAGCAAGGCGGGCCAACATTCAAATTCAGGAAATACAGAAAACACCACAAAGATACTCCTCAAGAGGAGCAACTCCAAGACACATAATTGTCAGATTCACCAAAGTTGAAATGAAGGAAAAAATGTTAAGGGCAGCCAGAGAGAAAGGTTGGGTTACCCACAAAGGGAAGCCCATCAGACTAACAGCTGATCGCTCGGCAGAAACTCTACAAGCCAGAAGAGAGTGGGGACCAATATTCAACATTCTTAAAAAAAAGAATTTTCAACCCAGAATCTCATATCCAGCCAAACTAACCTTCATTAAGTGAAGGAGAAATAAAACACTTTACAGACAAGCAAATGCTGAGAGATTTTGTCACCACCAGGCCAGTCCTAAAAGAGCTCCTGAAGGAAGCACTAAAGATGAAAGGAACAACCAGTACCAGCCACTGCAAAAACATGCCAAATTATAAAGACCATTGATGCCATGAAGAAACTGCATCAACTAATGAGCAAAATAACCAGCTAACATCATAATGACAGGATCAAATTCACACATAACAATATTAACTTTAAATGTAAATGGACTAAATGCTCCAATTAAAAGACACAGACTGGCAAATTGGATCAAGAGTCAAGACCCATCAGTGTGCTGTATTCAGGAACCCCATCTCACGTGCAGAGACACACATAGGCTCAAAATAAAGGAGTGGAGGAAGACCTACCAAGCAAATGGAAAACAAAAAAAGGCAGGGGTTGCAATCCTAGTCTCTGATAAAACAGACTTTAAACCCACAAAGATCAAAAGAGACAAAGAAGGCCATTACATAATGGTAAAGGGATCAATTCAACAAGAAGAGCTAACCATCCCAAATATATATGCACCCAATACAGGAGCATCCAGATTCATAAAGCGAGTCCTTAGTGACCTACAAAGAGACTTAGACTCCCACACAATAATAGTAGGAGACTTTAACACCCCACTGTCAACATTAGACAGAACAACGAGACAGAAAGTTAACAAGGATACCCAGGAATTGAACTCAGCTCTGCACCAAGCGGACCTAATAGACATCGACAGAAGTCTCCATTCCAAATCAACAGAATATACATTCTTTTCAGCACCACAACACACCTACTCCAAAATTGACCACATAATTGGAAGTAAAGCACTCCTCAGCAAAAGTAAAAGAACAGAAATTATAATAAACTGTCTCTCAGACCACAGTGCAATCAAACTAGAACTCAGGATTAAGAAACTCACTCAAAACCGCTCAGCTACATGGAAACTGAGCAAGCTGCTCCTGAATGACTACTGGGTAAATAATGAAATGAAGGCAGAAATAAAGATGTTCTTTGAAACCAACGAGAACAAAGACACAACATACCAGAATCTCTGGGACACATTCAAAGCAGTGTGTAGAGGGAAATTTATAGCACTAAATGCCCACAAGAGAAAGCAGGAAAGATCTAAAATTGACACCCTAACATCACAATTAAAAGAACTAGAAAAGCAAGAGCAAACACATTCAAAAGTTAGAAGAAGGCGAGAAATAACTAAGATCAGAGTAGAACTGAAGGAAACAGAGACACAAAAAACCCTTCAAAAAACTAATGAATCCAGGAGCTGGTTTTTTGAAAAGATCAACAAAATTGATCAGACCGCTAGCAAGACTAATAAAGAAGAAAAGAGAGAAGAATCAAACAGACGCAATAAAAAATGACAAAGGGGATATCACCACCAATCCCACAGAAATACAAACTACCATCAGAGAACACTATAAACACCTCTACGCAAATAAACTAGAAAAATCTAGAAGAAATGGATAAATTCCTCGACAAATACATGCTCCCAAGACTAAACCAGGAAGAAGTTGAATCTCTGAATAGACCAATAACAGGCTCTGAAATTGAGGCAATAATTAATAGCTTACCAGCCAAAAAAAGTCCAGGACCAGATGGATTCACAGCCGAATTCCACCAGAGGTACAAAGAGGACCTGGTACCATTCCTTCTGAAATCAATAGAAAATCAATAGAAAAAGAGGGAATCCTCCCTAACTCATGTTATGAGGCCAGCATCATCCTGATACCAAAGCCTGGCAGAGACACAACCAAAAAAGAGAATTTTAGACCAATATCCTTGATGAACATCGATGCAAAAATCCTCAATAAAATCCTGCAAACTGAATCCAGCAGCACATCAAAAAGCTTATCCACCATGATCAAGTGGGCTTCATCCCTGGGATGCAAGGCTGGTTCAACATACACAAATCAATAAATGTAATCCAACATATAAACAGAACCAAAGACAAAAACCACATGATTATCTCAATAGATGCAGAAAAGGCCTTTGACAAAATTCAACAACCCTTCAGGCTAAAAACTCTCAATAAATTAGGTATGGATGGGATGTATCTCAAAATGATAAGAGCTATCTATAACAAACCCACAGCCAATATCATACTGAATGGGCAAAAACTGGAAGCATTCCCTTTGAAAACGGGTACAAGACAGAGATGCCCTCTCTCACCACTCCTGTTCAATATAGTGTTGGAAGTTCTGGCCAGGGCAATCAGGCAGGAGAAGGAAATAAAGGGTATTCAATTAGGAAAAGAGGAAGTCAAATTGTCCCTGTTTGCAGATGACATGATTGAATATCTAGAAAACCCCATCGTCTCAGCCCAAAATCTCCTCAAGCTGATAAGCAACTTCAGCAAAGTCTCAGGATACAAAATCAATGTGCAAAAATCACAAGCATTCTTATACACCAATAACAGACAGAGAGCCAAATCATCAGTGAACTCCCACTCACAATTGCTTCAAAGAGAATAAAATACCTAGGAATCCAACTTACAAGGGATGTGAAGGACCTCTTTAAGGAGAACTACAAACCACTGCTCAAGGAAATAAAAGAGGATACAAACAAATGGAAGAACATCCCATGCTCATGTCTAGGAAGAATCAATATCGTGAAAATGGCCATATTGCCCAAGGTAATTTATAGATTCAATGCCATCCCCATCAAGCTACCAATGACTTTCTTCACAGAATTGGAAAAAACTACTTTAAAGTTCATATGGAACCAAAAAAGAGCCCACACTGCCAAGTCAATCCTAAGCCAAAAGAACAAAGCTGGAGGCATCATGCTACCTGACTTCAAACTATACTACAAGGCTACAGTAACCAAAACAGCGTGGTACTGGTACCAAAACAGAGATATAGACCAATGGAACAGAACAGAGCCCTCAGAAATAATGCCACATATCTACAACTATCTGATCTTTGACAAACCTGACAAAAACAAGCAATGGGGAAAGGATTCCCTATTTAATAAATGGTGCTGGGAAAACTGGCTAGCCATATGCAGAACGCTGAAACTGGATCCCTTCCTTACACCTTACACAAAAATGAATTCAAGATGGATTAAAGACTTAAATGTTAGACCTAAAACCATAAAAACCCTAGAAGAAAACCTAGGCAATACCATTCAGGACATAGGCATGGGCAAGGACTTCATGTCTAAAACATCGAAAGCAATGGCAACAAAAGCCAAAATTGACAAATGGGATCTCATTAAACTAAAGAGCTTCTGCGCAGCAAAAGAAACTACCATCATAGTCAACAGGCAACCTTCAGAATGGGAGAAAATTTTTGCAACCTACTCATCTGACAAAGGGCTAATATCCAGAATCTACAATGAACTCAAACAAATTTACAAGAAAAAAAAAACAACCCCATCAAAAAGTGGGCCAAGGATATGAACAGACACTTTTCAAAAGAAGACATTAATGCAGCCAAAAAACACATGAAAAAATGCTCATCACCACTGGCCATCAGAGAATGCAAATCAAAACCACAATGAGATACCATCACACCCCAGTTAGAATGGCGATCATTAAAAAGTCAGGAAACAACAGGTGCTGGAGAGGATGTGGAGAAATAGGAACACTTTTACACTGTTGGTGAGCCTGTAAACTAGTTCAGCCATTGTGGAAGTCAGTGTGGCGATTCCTCAGGGATCTAGAACTAGAAATACCATTTGACCCAGCCATCCCATTACTGGGTATATACCGAAAGGATTATAAATCATGCTGCTATAAAGACACACGCACACGTATGTTTATATCGGCACTATTCACAATAGGAAAGACTTGGAACCAACCTAAATGTCCAACAACAATAGACCGGATTATGAAAATGTGGCACATATATACCATGGAATACTATGCAGCCATAAAAAATGATGAGTTCATGTCCTTTGTAGGGACATGGATGAAGCTGGAAACCATCATCCTCAGCAAACTATCGCAAGGACAAAAAAACCAAACACCGCATGTTCTCACTCATAGGTGGGAACTGAACAATGAGAACACATGGACACAGGAAGGGGAACATCACACACCAGGGACTGTTGTGGGGTGGGGGAGTGGGGAGGGATAGCATTAGGAGATATACCTAATACTAAATGGCGAGTTAATGGGTGCAGCACACCAACATGGCACATGTATACATATGTAACAGACCTGCACGTTGTGCACATGTACCCTAAAACTTAAAGTATAATAATAATAAAATTAAAAAAAAAAAGAAATGAAAACTAACATTTAACAGGATTAAAATAAGAACATGCCTAAACTTTGGAACCCTTATGAAATCTTCCATCTTTCTTACATTTTGGCTACTAGGATGATGGAAACTACTTAACAGTTATAAAGAAACACCTTTTAGAACAAAGTTGTACTAGCTTTCATTTCTTCATTCAAAAGTGTCCTGAACATATAACAGGCTGCATGTTCTTGGCTTCATATCTGCATAACAATGACACACAGAACAGTTAATCTGAGCAAGCACATACAACAGTTAATCCAAGCAAGGATGATGATGTAGCCAGTTTCATCAGCATTGCCTAATACAACAAATGCCTTTCAGAGACTACAAAATTAGCTAGATAACGTAACCTACTCCTAGAAAAATATCCCATTTAAAAATGTAATTTATGTCACTGACTTTCCGTACTATAACTAGTGGTAAAGGCCATTGTATTGGAGATTGTTTCTTGTGCCCAAATATTCAATTTTCCTTACATCATTTAGTAACATAACCACCCGTTTAGCTTGGCACATGGTTACCTAGGGAAAAAGACCACATTTCCCACCAGTCCTTGCAACTAGATGTGGTCCTGGAAGTGAGATCTTGCCAATGGGAGGGTGGGAGATGTAGTGAAATTACAATTTCTGGGTCATCACCTTAAAGGGAACATACTCTACCCATCTGTTCCTTTCTGTTTCTATCTTTGATCTCTGGAATCAGGAAATAATTTCAAGAGCTAAAACAGCTATTTCGGACCACAAAATGGATATAGTATAGACAGCAGAACAACAGTAACTGGAACCCTCATACCAAGAAATTGCATTGCCAGCTCTAGACCACTGATGGAGATTTTTACATGAGAAAGAATAAAATTTCTATCTTGCTTATATCTACTGTATTTTAGGGTCCATTTATTAGAAAAGCATAAGATATATCCTAGCAAATTTAACTAATATCTACTCTGTTTGTCCAAAGGCCTTTTGAGATGGCTGGTGAACCACTCTTAAGCAAGCTGTTGGCAATAGGGAACTCAACTCATCAATCCCTCACTTACTGTTTACTTCATGTCAAGTATCAATAGTGCTATGCAAAAAGAACTACTCTTGTTTGTTATCATGAGGCTTTGTAGAAGCTTGGAAACTTCTTACTTGCTCTAATATACCCTGCGGGCCCATGAAACAATCTTTCTACCAGCTACAAGAGATTAACTTTCCTGGTGAGCAAGCATTCTCTTTGTAGATGGATTTGTTGTGATGAATTTGATGCATCTCTTTGCTAGAGGGAAAAAGCATTTAGAAAAAAACAAATAAAATATAAAAATACTCTCCCTAAATAGAAGCCAGTGAACATTACCAATAGCTAATTGACTCTCAACATTATAGACTGATAAGAGAGAAAAATATTCTTCACTTAATTCAGGCTACAGGGGCTGACACAGTGGAACCTGCAATCCAAAGAGAAATATAGAGAGTAACAAAATTCTTTTGAAATGATAATCCTTTGTGATATTAAATTTATGATAAGTAAACTGTATAGCAACCATAATCACAAAACACCTTATCTCATGCCCTTAGGTTGTAGTAAACCATGGCAATTTTAATCGAAAATAATACTTGGCACCAGGAAACCAAGAATGGCACCCTTGAAAATGCTGCTCTGAATAGGAAACTAACATTTTAGATATATTACAGAAGTAAGTAACTCTTAGCTGCTTTGAATTATAATAATAATTATAACGCATTTATTTCATTTCAAGTGGCACTCCATTATGCTATATAGTGCTGCTCTTAAAATTCTATTGTAGACTCCAAGCTTCCTGCTTCCTAGTCTCTCATGTTGACTGTTGTTCCCTGGCAGGGTCCTACCAGCAACCAAGAGAAACCTGCAAGTCCCCAAAACAGCAAAAGTATCAAATATAATTTTTTAAAACTCTTTTTATTATCTAAATTAAGCTGGAATTACTCTATTAAGTTACCAAGAGTAATAAAAGGCATACCCATAACATATATATCACTGTTTGAAGATATTTAAATTTAACTGTGATTACAATCTTTAACTAAGGCTCTCAGACTCTCTTAAACCTCTTTCTAAGGTTAATTAGTAGCCAATGAACAATTTTCAAAATAAAAGCATAATATATAAAAGTTAATAAAACTGGCTCCAAGTTAATTAAATTTATTTTCCTTCAGAAATATCCTGCCCTCCTTGAGATGCAACATGGATAACTTTGTGAAAACAGTGAAATGTACAATTCAGCAACTACTAACACAAAAAAATCAAAGGGATATTCTGCTTCGTAAGTAAAAATCTACAGGGTAGGCCTTATTCTACAGTCAGCACTTTTCTAACTTTTGTTCAAGTTGTGATCATGAAAACAGTGCTTAACATTGACTTAGGTCTTGACTGCATGCCAGGTAGTGTCTCACACGCTTCACATGTATGAACTCACTTGATCTTTATGACAGTCCTATAAGATGGTGCTATTATTATCCCAGTTTTAGAGTCTGAGTCTTTCCCACCCTTCAAGATCTGGTTTAAATTTCACTTCCTCACAAATCCTTCCTTAATTATTTCCCAATTCATATTATATTCTACCTCCCCCTTTTCCCACTATATTATGTGTATCTCTTACGGGACTTACCATAGTTCCCCCTAAAGCTCTTTATGAATGCTTCTCTTTCTTGTCATTACATCACAAGTTTCTGGGGAGGCAGACTCTGTCTTACTCACTTTTGTATTCCTACAATGCTTGGCAGAGATTCTTGCACGAAGAACATGTCCAGAAAATGTTTGTTGAACTTACTTATACTAGCATTAATATGGGAAAAAAGGAAGAAAGGAATTTAGCAGCAGCTCTAAAAACAAAGAAAGAGTCATGAATAAAAAGCAACAAGCAGTTATTCTGTTTCTGCAGATGACAGAACAAAAGAGATCCCAGAGATCATGAGATAAAACATTTAAATATTAGGTAAACATTAAACCATAATTATACTGAAAGAAAATACAGGTGAATGGTTACAAAATCTTTAGAGGTAGAAGGCCTAAATAGGACACCAAGAGCAAAATCAAGCAAGAGAAGAATTAAATAAATGTTCAAGGGAGCCAGCTCTGAGTTAGGCTACATGGTTTTGATTCCCAATTTGCTGTTTGTAGAGTCAGTTTATTCAACCGTAAAATGGGGATGATGACAATATCTGACTTACACGGTTGCACAGTGGAATGAAGGAGATAATGACTATCAGGCTCTCAACACAACGCATGACATAATGTCTTCCATAAACATTTCAAAACAAACCAATTAAGGAAAAGATAGAGTTGACTGTAAAAAGAAAAAAGCATTTATGCTATAAAAGTATCAATCAAGTCAATCAGTATCAAATGACAAACAGAAAAAAAAATTACTGTCATAAATACATGAAAAGCTTGTACAAATTAATAAGATTAAAACTCCAGTAGAAAAGAAAGGAAAGCCGAGCTCAGCATTTCACAAAACATTAATATATACAAATGAGAAAAACATGAGAAAACACACCTTATTTAAGAAATTAGAAAGTATTCATTAAATTTTTCTTCTTATTAAATCAGCAATATTGACAATGCTGTGAAGCAATGGACAGCATAGAGAGTCTTGTGGAAAGCTTAAATTGGCATATTTCTGAGGGCACTTTGCCAATAACCATCAAAAGCCTTAAAATGTGCATACCTTCCTAAAAATGCATAATTATTATACATCCATAAAAATCTAAAAAAAGAAAAAAGTACATATGTTATGACCTAGGAAATTGAGGCATTTATACCAAGGAAATAATCACTGATATGCACAAAGATGTAAACTGCAGCCTTGTTTATAAGAGTGAAAAACTAGACATAACCTAGTGATCTAACAATGAGACTAGTTAGTAAACTAAATACCTTTACAAAACTGACTGCTGTGATCTTGTGGGAGATACTTAATGCCATAAATGAAACAAATATGATATAACAGCTTATTATATGGTCCCATTTTCATTAAAACAACAACAATAACAAAATGTGTGTAGGTATGAGTGTGTGTATATACACACACAAGAAAGATCTGAAAGGAAAGATATCAAAATGCTAACACTGATTATCTCCAGGTAATAAAATTATAGATGACTTTGGAAAACCATAACATTTTCTAAATTCTTTATGATAAACATATCTTCATAATTAACAAAATAAAAATTATCTTTCCAAAAGGAAAAATTAAACATCAAGAGATATTCTTGCCCATTGTTCAGGTAGAATATATCTTTAATTGTGGCTGCACTGTGCTCCTTATAAAAGTCATACAGTAATGAGCTTCAGCCCACAGGTTCTATTGGTACAGAAACAGCTCAAGCAGTTTAGCAGAAAAATTCAATCAAATACAAAAAACAACTCAAGGGAACATCCTATGCTTAATGGTTAAATGGCAATAGAAAAAAAGACAAATAACTAAGCAGTACTGGATAAAGCTAAAACCTTAATCTCATGCTTACTCAGCAGCAAAAAGAAAAAGCAAAGCAAACATTAATTATGGAAGATTTAGTGATCTGTATGGTTATAGTTGTAGAAACACTTCCAATCTGTGTTTACCCACGCTGTAACTCATTGCTTTCTGCAAATTTAAAGAAACCTTTTGCCTGACAGTTCAAATGCTTGGTTACAGCTAAGGGAACAATAGTTCAACCACTTTGAAAATAGGCTAGAGGACAAAGTCCTCACACTTCAAAACTGGTGTGTGTGTGTGTGTGTGTGTGTGTGTGTGTGTGTGTGTGTGTGTTTAGTGGCTTTCCAACTTCATAATAAATCTACGAAAGGGCCAACTTCATAAGGGAGCCAGTCTGAATACAAATATATTTAGCCCCATCCTCCCTACATGGCAAGGAAGGAGCAGGCACATCACTATGTAACTAGATTGCACGTTCATTCATTCTTAACGACTGTTACCAAAGATTCCCAAAGTAAACAGTAGTGAAAGCCATGGTATTACAGTATTGAAAGCAATCTATTAACTCATGCCTTTTCAAAACCAATGAGAGAATAGACCTAGTTGAAAATTCTTAATTCCATCTAGTAAGATAAATCTTGAACACAAAATGCTAGAAAAAAGGGCGGGGAGGTCTAAGTACATAACTGTTTAAATTGTCTATCCAGTCTATCCCAAATGCAGTGCTCACTTGTTTTTTTCCTGCCCAGCATCCATTGCCCCTTCTCTGAATAATAGCACCCAGTTTTTATTTAGGGGACTCTCCCATTTTGGTTCATATGATCACCTCCATTTCCAAACTTCAGGAACTGACAGGTAACTCAGGAATGCTCATGCAATGTATTCATTCCCCTAGACAGAATAAATATTCATCAAGCACATAGCCCAAGCTAGTCCCACTGGTGACAAGAATTATCAGCCTTAAAACTTTTCTCTAAGCTCCTGGGAAAGAAGCACGTTCCTTTTGCTGGAGTTTCATGCTGAAAGAATGTAAGCTATTGCTGTTGGGCACAGCTTTGCCATCACTTGGAAAGAGGATATCTAAAAACAAAACAGTAAAAAAGTGAGTAGGATTAAAAAACAAAGAAAAACAGATTCCTGATAAACTATTTTTAAAAGCTGGATCCAAACATGCCTGAAGCTATTCATCACCATCTGATTTAGATTCTGTCACATGAGACTAAAAGGAGACAATAAATATGGGGGAAAGGAAAGTTAGATGGTTGTCCCTTCCCTCCCCAGTTGATCTACCTGTCTTGGTCAGCATGGGTTACTATAACAAAATATCATGGACTGGGTAGCTTAAACAAGACATTTCTTAGCTTGCAAACTTCGCTTCCTTCTTGGCTGTATCCTTGCATGGCGGGGCCTGAGAGAGCAGTAAGGGAGGAATTCTCTAATTTCTTCTTATAAGGGTACTAATCCCATTATAAGGACCCCACCCTCATGACCTCATCTAAACTTAATTACCTCTCAAAGGCCCCACCTCCAAATACCATCACATTGGAGCTTAGGGCTTCAACATAGGGATTTGGAAGAGACACAAACATTCAGTGCATAGCACTACCTAAATTGCTTTTAGACACACACAAAATAGACTGGAGGAGGTTACTCTATGCTACCTCCAAGCAGATCTGTGTGACTGTCATTGTACTAGAATACATCACCAGAATATTGGCTACATCCTTAAGTGTATATCACTGCTTACTCCAAAGCCTAACCCAGTGCCTAGAACACAACATCACCCAATAAATTTTTGCTGAAAAATGAATACGTGAATTAACTAATCTTTTGGGACTTATTTTCAATACAAACTAAACAATAACATGAATGCTATAATAAAGATATCAGTAACATGATATGAAAATACACAGAAAGGTCTAACTCTATATTGGAAACCAGATAATCTGGAGTCACATTCCAATATTTAACTGATCTGAATCCCTCCTGAAACAGTCAATGTATCTCCTCATCTTCTCCTTAGCCTTATCTTCAACAGGCACAAAATACTTTAATAATGAAAAATAATCCCCAATCACTGGCATCTTCTACTTGACTACTGAGAAACAGCTCTGAAACTGTAGCATAGACAGATGTTGGCGTGTGTGTTTTGTGTATGTGTCCTTATCATGGTCTACAAGGCCCTACAGGCTCTGTTTGACCTCGGCTGTTCTCCTTGCCTGCTGTGCTCCAGCCACATGGGCATCCTTGCTCTTTGAAAACACCTGGCACTTCTCATCTCGGGACCTTTGTTTTTGCTATAACCTCTGCCAATAGATGATACAAGTGGCTATTCCTTTTCAGGTGTTTGTCCAAATGTCACCTTCTTAGTGAGGCCTTCTTGACCCTCCTTTTTACAATTGCAAACTACTCCACCTCTAATACTTCCTATTCCATGGCATTTATCCACGGCATTATACTTTCTAATATATGATTCACTTATTTATTTTCTTCATCGTCTATCTGTCTTCCCATACTAAAAGATAAACTCCATGAAGGCAGAGATTTCAGTCTGTTTTTTGTTCTCTGTTGAATCCTCAATGCCAAGGAAATAATAGATGCTGAATAAATGAACGAAGAAATATAACACAAGAGAACTACAACTAAATCATGAAGTGCTCTGATTCAAATTAAATATGAAGATTTTCCAATCAAATAAACTACAGAAGGTTATGTCTGTGAACTCCTTCAGAAGTTAAAACTAGAGAATTCCTATAAATATATTTAAAACCATAATCACTATAAAATATTCCCTTATATTACAGAAGTTAAGACATAAAAATTATTTAAGAAATGAAATGTGTTATCACAAAAAACTACACCAATAACCAGAAAGTATAAGGGTTGCATTTACTTTGCTTTAGATCTAAAACAGTATTAAATATAAAATTTGAGGGCAGAGTGCTGTGGCTCACGCCTGTAATCCCAGCACTTTGGGAGGCTGAGGAGGGCAGGTCACTTGAGGTCAGGAGTTCAAGACGAGCCTGGCCAACATGGTGAAACCCCCATCTCTACTAAAAATACGAAAAATTAGCTGGGCCTGGTGGCAGGTGGCTGTAATCCCAGCTACTTGGGAGGCAGCTGAGATCGTGCCACTGTACTCCAGCCTGGGCAACAGAGCAAGACTCTATCTCAAAAAATAAGAAATAAATAAACAAACGAACATAACATTTGAGTGATATTCATTAGCAAAAAAATCAAGTGTGAAAATATTCATAAATTATGGTTATATGGGTTTTGTTTTTTGTTTTTTTGAGATAGAGTCTCACTCTATCACCCAGGCTGGAGTGCAGTGGCACGATCTCCGCTCACTGCAACCTCTGCCACCCCGGTTCCAGTGATTCTCCTGCCTCAGCCTCCCGAGTAGCTGGGATTACAGGTGCATGCCACCGTGCCCAGCTAATTTTTGTATTTTTAGTAGAGAAGGGGTTTCACCATCTTGGCCAGGCTGGTCTTAAACTCCTGGCCTCGTGATCCACCTGCCTCGGCCTCCCAAAGTGCTGGGATTATAGGCGTGAGCCACCGCGCCTGGCTGGTTATATGTTCTCTTACAGAAATTAAATAAGTAACTGTCATAGAAAACAATAGGAACACACTTTGTGACTGCAAAAAGGTTTGTCTATTGGAAAAACAGAAAGCACCAATTAGAAAGGGGCTTCCTGGATGCAAAAAGTCCCACTTCTACTGCTTGTAACAGTCCCTGTCCCTGGAGCACTCTTTTCCTGATTTCCTTTCCAGTAGAGACCACTCTAGGTAAATGGAAAGATAAGTTTAGCCCTGGCTGTCCCCACATGCCTTAACAGGGGAACAGTAATATTAACATTTAATGTCAGGAATCCCCAGCTCTGGACTCTGGGAGTCAAATGTTTTGTTTAGCAAAAAGAGTGTCTTGAAAATTAACAAATTTCCCATTACAAATTCAAACTGCTGACTTCTCTTAAAAATCTGCAACTTTAAGCAACACCGAAGTTGAACTGCTTAATAAAAAGAGGAACTAAAGAGTAGTTGCCCCTTGACACTAGGCACCTGTTTTCAGGTTCACCACTGTCCCCACGACTCCCTATTGTCTTACATCTTGTTTCTACTGCCTGCCTGGCCAGGGAAGGGTTGAAAGTCCTGCTGTATATAGTCTAGTACCTTTCCTTATCGTTTGTAAGCATGAACCCTTAACTCCCTGCATTCTGTTGTTTGATTCATTAAACTCTTAACTCCTTCTGCCGTAGATTTAAATCCTACTGCAGAGTAACATGAAATCAAGGTCAGAATCAAATTTTCTAGGGGAAACTGAGTGAGGGGTATATAGGAACTCTCTGTACTATCTGTGCAACTTTTCTGTAAACATAAACTACTGTATTCTAAATAAAATGTTTATTTAAAAAATCAGAGGGGAAAGCATGAACTATTCAATAAATGGCAACGATACAAAAGAAAACCCCACGAATTGCCATTCTTGACCCACTCAATGTATGACTGCGTGCAAGTCACTCATCCTCTCTTATCTACAAAATGGGGATGGTAATTCCTCCTCTGCCTTACTCACAGTTTTGCTGTGATGATTAAATGGGATAACAGATGTAAAAGGTCATGGAAGAGCTGTCACTGTATAGTAAATGCTAATCTTACTATAGTAAGTGTACTAATAGGATATTAGTAATATATAATAAATGTGCTAATAGGATAGCACATTTAAAAATATTACAAAACAACAGCATCTTATAAGAATCTTTAAGGATGTTACACCAAGAAGGTTTGATTATCTATACATGGTTAATGGCACAAAAGAAATTATGAAGCCTAAGATTACATACTCAGGAAATATAAAAATATACAAATTAAAAACAACCTCCTTATTGTAAACGAGTTGTAAGCATAAATTACATCTAACTTGTCAGACTGCTAAACTGAGAAATGGCTAAATTTCCTGAAAACTAAGGATAACTTTAAGGTCAGCCAAATAAAGTTTTCAGGAATAATATATATGACCAAAACAAGTCTATCCAGGAATGACAATGTTAAGAAGTGAACAAAATTCATCTGTAAAGGAAACTAAGACAAATGTTGATATTAAAATGTATGTAATGAACTAAGATTACCACTACCTCCAAGGAGAATGTAACAGGATTTCTTAAGTGGTTAGTCAGCTTTAGGATTCCAGACAGTCAAGGTTGCTGTGATTATCTGTTTCAAAGAAACAGGTCTACAGAATACAAGTATATTCTGGTAACAGTAACCAAAAGACAAAAAATAATTTAAGAAGTACTTGAGGCATCGTGTCACTACATCCATCACTTAAATCTATGGACTTCAGTAATTTGCTATTGAAAATTAATCAAAATGGTCCACAGGTCATTGGTCAGGTTTATTCAGTCATCAAAAAACCTCGCCTAATTAACCAAATAGATTATGAAAAATGTCTTCTCTGGAAACCTTCACCTTACCAACAAAGGGAACTTTTGAGACTAAACAAAGCCAAGAGCAGTTACTTATATGCCAAATTAAGACCTCTGTTTAAGGGGGAAAAGAAAAGTACAATGGAGTACATGAAGAAATATTTTTCTTGCCTTTTTAAAAATATAGAACTTTGAGTACTTTTTGTTTCTATCACCGTTGTTTTTAAAATATTTTATTCTTATCAAAGTAAAATATAAGCATGGTTCATAAGATTCTATTCAAATAGGACAGAATAATTTACAATGAAAAGCAGCAGCCTCCTACCTCACCCCTTCCCAAGTCTGCGCCTACTTCTCAGAGAAAATCACTTTGGGTTGATTTTTGGTTTGGGTTACTCTGGCGATCAGCATCAAGTCATAAAATAGAGTGCTATAATTACACCACTTCTTTTAAAAATCACTTTTTTAGCACTTTCTATTGGCTTCCTACTATGATGGATTAGAATTTAGCTTGCTTGCATCCCCACCCTACACATACAACCAACATATACACAGACAACGTACATTTATATAACACCTTTGGTTTCTCTATTGATTACCTTCTTCATTTAAAATACTATAGTTACACTTTTGTCTCTTCTTCCATCAACTATAGAGCATCCTTTTTGTCTCGTGTGTAAACATACTAACGAATGCAGTTTTCTTTTCCTTTTCACTCCTCCTGTCACTACTACTACCACTATGTTAGCTTATACCTCTGAGATTCTCTTTCTTTTGGTCAATGCTTATTCCAATTATGTAAAGAAAAAACTCACTATTATCTATTAAAACCTTTTTAGAACCTATAATTATATAAGTTATTGCTAGCAGTACATTTGTGCCTCACTTTTGAAGACTATTATTCACTATGAAAATCCACTCTAGTAACACATATATTCTTTTCTTCATATTACGGATGAACATAGATCAAATTTCTTAAAGAACTAAGTTTTACTCAGCCAAAGAAGTACCAGTAGTTTCAATTTATTGTTGAAACTAGAGGCTTTCCATAGTAGAAATCCATCATTAGAAAATAACACAGATTTAGGATAACTTAATGATTTGAAGGAAATCATAGACTAGCTGAGATGAACACAAACCATCTTTTATCTTAATCCTTCTCTACAGAGTATCAGCCTCCTAAACCAAAGATTTCTTTTCATCACTACCTGATGACCTCTGGCACAAATCACCCTATATCCCTTCTGTCTCCAACCCAGTACACACGAGCGACACTCTGTCTCAAAAAATTTAAAAAAAGATTTTATTTTCTCGTTTAGAGCCACACATTTGAGCATCATGGCTGTAGGTACAGATACAGCTGCTGATAAAAAGTCAATGGATTTGAACTGGACAGATTGGACATTAACAGGATTATAGGTTACAGATGTCATGTAAAAACCCCAAGTGGCTTTAAAAACAGAAAAGTCAGTATGTATCATGTAGTGGTAAAGCAGGCTAAGAGAATGGGCTCTACAGTCAGAATGGCTGGTTACAAGGACCGGCTCTGCCACGGCCAGTAGTGTGACTTGAGCATGTTACTCAAGCCTCTGTATCCCAGCTTCGTCAATTTAAAAATCGAGTGCTGTAAGGATTAAAAATAATGGTATATGTAAAGAACTTAACATTGGCATGGCATATAAGAACTTAACAAGTGAGATCCACTAAAATTATTAGGAGTAGTAGTAGTAATAGTATGTTATCGGTCAGAGACAACTTCCCCGATTTTTTTATGTTGGACCTAATCACATCTTTCACTTCTGCACATCTGGTGAAGTCAAATAAATGACTTTCCTTTTCAGAAACCTGCCTTTACCTCTAATTGTAGTCAAGGCAAATAGTCCTGATAGGCAAATAGCCCCCAGGTGACCCTTCTGGTCTGGGCTCACTGAGATATTAACCCCACATTCCTACGGATCCTGGTTTCACATTGTGTCCTTCAAATGCTTTCACCATGCCACTTCTCATAGTCAGCCCCAGTTTTTAAGGTGCATTTAAAATAAGCTTACATTTGGAACCAGCTAAGAATGCTAAAAACAGATGTGCTACTTTCCAGACAGACTGAAGAAATCGTACGAACAACTGATTCAGTACTACCTGGATTGTGACTAAAACCTATCAAATTATAGCTCCTGATAACAAGCCTGAAGAAAAAAGTTAATTTAGTGATAGTGCCCTGTTATTACACATTTAGGGCAAAGAAAAGTACATTTCTATGGCAATTTCCAAGATATTAAAAATGAGATAAAACCAGATGAGAGAAAAACAGAAATCTAGCTCAAGACTTAACATCACCATATGTGAAATATCAAATAAATAGCTACTCTAATCTCAAATGGTAATCTTTCCTTTCAGCCTTTCTCATTTTATTGGACCAAATATTTCAAGCCTCATCTGTGTTCTATTACAATCCTAAAGACAACATGATATCTAGGATAGTGTTTATATATAAAAATAATTTTAGATCAGGAGGTGACAGAAACTGATGTCCAGATTCCATTACCCTAAGACTTCATGTAATTACTTTGTCTTTTTAAAAATCCTTAAATGATCATTTTCTCCTTTGGCACAGAGTCTTTTGACTCCTCTTTTGATGCCAACATAGTCTCATCATGAAAATAAATTGAAAGTAGGTGGTCTGGTTAGTCTTCACAATGCTACATTTTAATCAGGCAAAGCAGTGAAAAACATGATTGTCGAAATGCTGGCGTGTCTTCAAACAACAGTGTATGCTGTCCATTTTACTCTCAGTGAAAAAGCTCTTCAAGAGATTTCGATAAAGGTTTCCTTCCTACTTGCAGTCCACATTTGTAATGTTTATATAAGTGGAGGATATAAATCTTTCTCCAATGAACCCCATGGTTTTTAAAGCAGATTCTTGTTATAAACTGCCTGTTTCCGTTTTGCCTGCCTAAGCAAGCCAGGCAAAGACCATTCGCGAGAGACTGGAACTAATTTAATGTGCTCCAGGTTTAAGCCCCTAGCCTCTGCGCCTTTGCAGGGAGATTTTACACAGTGGATTACTGCTGACTTTAACAATGATTCATATGATAAGTGGCTTTTGATTTGTTTTTTAATGTCAGAAAATATGCATTGGCAAAAGAAATGTCATTGAAATCATTTCGTTAAAGCAATATCCATAAAAAGGGGTGGGGGAAGGAGAATTCAACTTTTCATCAAAAAAAAAAAAGTCTAAATCATGCCAATGTCTTGTTCACATAAATTTATAGTTTTACTCAATGCAAAAGAATACAAAGCTATTTAGAGACAGCTAGATTTAAGACTGGATGAACTGCAAGATAGGATTGGTTGAATCGATATACTTTACCACAAAATTGGTTATTATTATTAAAATACCAAAGCCACACGGAAGATAGACAAAAGCATCATTCTTTATCCAGCCTCAAAGACACCCTGTGTGCTTTTTTCAAAGATTCACAATTCCTTGAAACCAACACTAATTAAAACAGAAACACATTCACAAAACCCGGAGTAAGATCCATCATCCCAAAGCATGGCGGGGGAGGAAAATTTCCTCTGTTTAACTCAAAGGAACAGAGCAGCAACAACATTAATTCAAAAGAAAACAAACTGAGAAACAAAAGTATGTATTATACTATTATTCTAGAGTTCTGCATTTAAGAGGCCTGAACTGTTCATCAAAACATACTTTCAAAATGCCAAATGTAATAAGATATGCTTGTCCCCAATCATCTGTTAGTTTCTTCTGGTTTTTCTTGAAGTTCCTTTGAAAGGATTATCCAAAGTCTTACAGTAGGGGGCAGTATTGTAACATCATGCTCACACTTAAAAGGACTCCAGGTCAGCCCAAAAGAGGAAAAAGGGCCATTATTCATAAAGACTTAACTATGTTGGCATAATTACAGAAATTATTACAAAATTTCAGATTTTTTCCCCAAAGCCTAACCTGCTTTCTTACCACCTACCTATAATATTAAGATGTCTTAAACAATAGAAAAAGCAAATGCTTTTTATTGAAAAAGTCTGTCCAACAATCTGATACATGCTGATTGCTGTTTAGCAGTGAAAGAACTATTTATTGAATGTCATATTTCAAAAGCATGAAGACTTCTCCAATTGCAAATATCCAGATGTTCTTTATTGTAAATATGACATTAGAAGATGGCAAAAAAAAAAAAAAAAAAAAGAAATGAATATTTCATCTTGCTCTAAAATGAAATGCAGAGCTGGTTTATAAACACAAGTCAATGTAACCTATGCTAATGAGATGTTAATTTCAAAAATATGGGGTAAAAAAATATTTACAAGTATAAGAATGTCTTCATATTTTCCAGGAATAAACCTTTTCTTTCCATCTGTCTAGGATGGCTCTTGGCTGGCCTGCTAGGAAATATGGAAACTGAAACTATTTGTACTTAATGCTTGGCTTCCAATGACTTAACAAAATTCTGGGAGTTTGCGGACAGGAAAATGCAAAGTCCTCACCATGTCCCAAGATAAAACATATAGATATATAATGGCAATTTTTTTCCATGCATAATGGTGATCCATATGGATTTCTCTTAATTCTGGAAATACGAGTGATTGCAGCTTTTATTTAATAATTGAAAGCCTTAAGGTCACTAAACAAAACAATAATTACTGTATTTGACTTTAAAAGAATCAAACCTCCTATCATCTTAGGCAAGTACTGTTGTTTATCTTCATCTTCAATTTCAACTCAAATTGAGTTGCTTGTTTTCTGCCTGCTGGCTTTAAGGGGACGGGCTGTTATAAATTCAAACAGGATTTTTTTAAATCTAATAATTTCAACTAAAAAATTATATTAAAAGTATTATTTTATAGACACATAATCTAATATTTTAAATGTAAAAAAAGAGATCCTAAGAATACTAAAACCTATGAAATATCATATGAAGCCAGCAATTATTGTAATCATGTTTAAATGCTATAAATTTTCAGTTTCAGTACTTCAAGTTATAGTTTATTCTAGTCTTATTATTATACATTATACTCTCTCTACTTGTCCATTTTTGTTTAAGTTGTTTTGGAGTTGGGGATGTTTTGGTTTTATGCTGTGTGAGTGAATGTGTGTGTGTGTGCATGTGTGTATACATGTGTTCATTTAAAGATCCTATAAGAACCCTCATATGTATACTTCTTGGAGAATATGGACTGCTCCTATGCTTTATCACCCAGGTTTTCTCAACTGTTGTGATAGGTTCCTTTTCAAGACTTAACAGAAAAACTGTGCCTATAATTACCATCAAATTTCCCTCAAATTGAGCTAAACAGCATACATTTGAGTTGCCAAATGGGACATAATTCTTCATAATTACCGTCCAAAAGAGCTTGTGACAGTTACAACAAAGTAATTCACTAATGGAAGAGCACCAGGTATGCATTTTCCTGAAACATCTGTTTGAAATGCTGGGTCATTTGAAGAGTATGTAAAATGCTCCCATCTTCTAATTAGTTTCTC
The DNA here is from genome assembly GCF_000001405.40 of Homo sapiens. Lineage (NCBI taxonomy): Eukaryota > Metazoa > Chordata > Mammalia > Primates > Hominidae > Homo > Homo sapiens. Next base: position 53,199,064 of record NC_000004.12, read on the forward strand.
ACCAACCAAAATATCACTGCCAAACTTAACTAGTTTGAGGGGCCAAGGTTCTTCTGTAGCAAAGCCAATATAACCACTCAGTCCCTCTAAAGGCAAGCACTTGTTTCATCTCTGAGTGATGGCATTTGTGATGGAAAAGAAGGCAGCATTTCCTTCTAATAATAACATTTTTCCTTATTATTTCATTTCTCCATCATCTGTAGTCAGAAAGCACCCTGACATACTACATAAAATGCTTGCTTATTTTCTTGCTTCTCTCCCTTCTTTATCTATCTGATCGAATGAGAGGGGAGATGATTACAAACAACAGAGTATGAACTTTGGGTTGTGTAGTATAAGAAGAAATACATTTGGTTTTTGTTTCTGGTTCCTGGCAAAGAGCACCAAAAACCTTTAGAATTTCCTGAGTGATAAGAGTATCATTGTTTATTCATAACTAGCTCTTTTTGATTCATAACTAGCTGACTTTATGTTAATAAGGTAACTTAGGGTAGGATCCCTAGATAGCCTCAGGATGGGGCTGGTCATCAGAAAGATCAAGTAATTAGAGGGTTGAAGGGGGTGGGACTTCAGATTGAGCTCTACAAAAACTCCTTAGCAGCAAGACTTGATGAACTTCCCAGCTGGCGAACACATCAACAACATGCTGGAAAGGTGGAATGACCAGAAAGGGCATGGAAGCTACCTGTCCCCGTACAAAATAAGTAGCACTGGGTAGCTTAAACAAGAGAAATCTATTTTCTCAGTTTTAGAAGCTGGAAGTTTGACATCAGGGTGTCAGTATGACCAGGTTCTGGTAAGGGCTCTCTTCCTGCTTGCAGATGGCTTTTTTCATGTGTATTCACATGGCAGAGAGAAGGAGGGAGGCGGGAAGAAGAGCAAGAGAGAGTGAGAGTGAGAGCAAGAGAGGGAGAGAGAGAGAGAATGCAAGTTCTCTTGTGTCTCTTTTAATAAAGGCATTAATCCTATCAGAAGGTCCCACCCTCATGACCTCATGTAAATCTAATTATGTCCCAAAGGCCTCATCTCTAATTACTATCACAATCACATTGGAGGTTAGGACTTCAGCATACGGGTTTTGGCAGAACACAATTCAGTCTATAGCACTGAGGTCATTGGCCAAAATCAGATATACAGCTTGCACTCATGTAATAATCCTTCTTCCTAGGAGTGAGTGATTATTCTGCACCTGATCCTTTAAACCAGGATATAAGAAACAGAGTCATTGCAATAGAAGTTTGTCTTAAACAACAGCCTCTCCTATTCTTTTTCCCATCCCTCTACCTCCAAACTCACCACCACCACCACCAACTAAACCCACTGTAGAATATAAGTAGCACTATGAAAGTGAATCTCCAAAAACTTTGAACTATTAAAGTAGATTTCAAATGAAAAAAATTGCCATAGTATCCTGATACAATCAGATTTGAAAGGAAAATATAAGCACTGTCTCTACAACTAATTACAGAGTTTTTCCTCTACTTAAGGTAAAAGCAATAATCTGTTTCTGGAAAGAACACTGGGCTTCCTGTTTGAAAAGTCAGAAGATAGGACAAGCGCTTGTCTCGTAACTGAAAAAACTTTTCCTCTATGAGGTAGACTATCTGGTTTAGAAAAAAAATGTGTTCAAATTAAATCCTGACTATTTATTGCTGAAGGATAAATGTAGACTAAAGTACATTCTGTCTTAATGGCATGAATTTAGCCTACATTGTGACCTGTGTAGCTTCTAGAAGACTCAACCTCATGACACATATACACATGCATTCAATGGATTCAGTTCAGTCATTCATCTCTATGCACATTAAATTTTTCACTAATTCATCAGAAATGTATAAATCCATTCTAAAAATCAAAAGTTTAAAAGTTCAGCAAAGTTCAAGTATTTCATGGAGAATAAGGTTGATATGATTTATAATACAAATATTAATTTTATTTTAATTTAATTTAATTTTTTAAAAAATTTTATTATTATTATACTTTAAGTTTTAGGGCACACGTACATAGCGTGCAGGTTTCTTACATATGTATACATGTGCCATGTTGGTGTGCTGCACCCATTAATTCGTCATTTAGCATTAGGTATAGCTCCTAATGCTATCCCTCCCTCCTCCCCCCACCCCACAACAGGCCCCAGTGTGTGATGTTCCCCTTCCTGTGTCCACGTGTTCTCATTGTTCAATTCCCACCTATGAGTGAGAACATGAGGTGTTTGGTTTTTTCTCCTTGCCATAGTTTGCTGAGAATGGTGGTTTCCAGCTTCATCCATGTCCCTACAAAGGACATGAACTCATCCTTTTTTATGGCTCCATAGTATTCCATGGTGTATATGTGCCACATTTTCTTAATCCAGTCTATCATTGTTGGACATTTGGGATGGTTTCAAGTCTTTGCTATTGTGAACAGTGCCTCAATAAACATACATGTGCATGTGTCTTTATAGCAGCATGATTTATAATCCTTTGGGTAAATACCCAGTAATGGGATGGCTGGGTCAAATGGTATTTCTAGTTCTAGATCCCTGAGGAATCGCCACACTGACTTCCACAATGGTTGAACTAGTTTACAGTCCCACCAACAGTGTAAAAGTGTTCCTATTTCTCCACATCCTCTCCAGCACCTGTTGTTTCCTGACTTTTTGATGATTGCCATTCTAACTGGTGGGAGATGGTATCTCATTGTGGTTTTGATTTGCATTTCTCTGATGGCCAGTGATGATGAGCATTTTTTCATGTGTTTTTTGGCTACATAAATGTCTTCTTCTGAGAAGTGTCTGTTCATATCCTTGGCCCACTTTTTGATGGGGTTGTTTGATTTTTTCTTGTAAATTTGTTTGAGTTCATTGTAGATTCTGGATATTAGCCCTTTGTCAGATGAGTAGGTTGCAAAAATTTTCTCCCATTCTGAAGGTTGCCTGTTCACTCTGATGGTAGTTTCTTCTGCTGTGCAGAAGCTCTTTAGTTTAATTAGATCCCATTTCTCAATTTTGGCTTCTGTTGCCATTGCTTTTGGTGTTTTAGACATGAAGTCCTTGCCCATGCCTATGTCCTGAATGGTATTGCCTAGGTTTTCTTCTAGGGTTTTTATGGTTTTAGGTCTAACATGTAAGTCTTTAATCCATCTTGAATTAATTTTTGTATAAGGTGTAAGGAAGGGATCCAGTTTCAGCTCTCTACATATGGCCAGCCAGTTTTCCCAGCACCATTTATTTAATAGGGAATCCTTTCCCCATTGCTTGTTTTTCTCAGGTTTGTCAAAGATCAGATAGCTGTAGATACGTGGCATTATTTCTGAGGGCTCTGTTCTGTTCCATTGGTCTATATCTCTGTTTTGGTACCAGTACCATGCTGTTTTGTTTACTGTAGCCTTGTAGTATAGTTTGAAGTCAGGTAGCATGATGCCTCCAGCTTTGTTCTTTTGGCTTAGGATTGACTTGGCAATGCAGGCTCTTTTTTGGTTCCATATGAACTTTAAAGTAGTTTTTTCCAATTCTGTGTAGAAAGTCATTGGTAGCTAGATGGGGATGGCATTGAATCTGTAAATTACCTTGGGCAGTATGGCCATTTTCACGATATTGATTCCTCCTACCCATGAGCATGGAATGTACTTCCATTTGTTTGTATCCTCTTTTATTTCATTGAGCAGTGGTTTGTAGTTCTCCTTAAAGAGGTCCTTCACATCCCTTGTAAGTTGGATTCCTAGGTATTTTATTCTCTTTGAAGCAATTGTGAATGGGAGTTCACTCATGATTTGGCTCTCTGTTTGTCTGTTATTGGTGTATAAGAATGCTTGTGATTTTTGCACATTGATTTTGTATCCTGAGACTTTGCTGAAGTTGCCTATCAGCTGAAGGAGATTTTGGGCTGAGACAATGGGGTTATCTAGATATACAATCATGTCATCTGCAAACAGGGGCAATTTGACTTCCTCTTTTCCTAATTGAATGCCCTTTATTTCCTTCTCCTGCCTGATTGCCCTGGCCAGAACTTCCAACACTACGTTGAATAGGAGTGGTGAGGGAGGGCATCCCTGTCTTGTGCCAGTTTTCAAAGGGAATGCTTCCAGTTTTCGTTCATTCAGCATGATATTGGCTGTGGGTGTGTCATAGATAGCTCTTATTATTTTGAGATACATCCCATCAATACCTAATTTATTGAGAGATTTTAGCCTGAAGGGTTGTTGAATTTTGTCAAAGGCCTTTTCTGCATCTATTGAGATAATCATGTGGTTTTTGTCTTTGGTTCTGTTTATATGCTGACAAACATGAATTTTAAAAAGAGAAGGCATAATCAGATTTTTTTTAGCTTGTATTTGATTCTAGTTAGATCATGAGGCATAACTAAAGATCTGTAAGTTGGATTTTCAATTTTCGATCAAAGAAAGAAAGATCAAATGAAACATAGAAAAATAAATACACTCCCTCAAAAAACCCTACTAAATTACTTAAAAAGAAAAACAAAAAAAAGTTTTGTTGTTTTTTTATACATTAATAAACCCACAAATGCAAAAAAATAAAATAAACTTGAAGGAGATAGCAATAGCATTTTAGGAGCTTGAAAGCCAATGAATAAGGTTAAAGGACTTATGAAAGTCAAGTCAAAAAAGCCAAATCCCAACTGGTGGAAGAGGTGAGAAACAAACCTACTTATACTATAGAATCCTTGAAAGGCTCAGGAAATGGCAGCAAGTGTTTATTCTAAAATTGGGAGGGAATTGGGTAAATTAATAACACATGGGATAAAATTCTTCAAGAAGTAGTTGGATCCCTAAATGTCCCCACCAACACTCCATCCAGATCACTCAGCAGGAGGTTTCGTATCTGGAGAGAGTAAAATCACATTTTGGTCTAGGAATTAATTGGCAAAACTTGAGAATTATTAACTGAATGTACACCAAAAGCTGATTGCTGACACTACGTACCCTTTCTTCTATGTGTCTCCCAGAAGATGCATCCAGATCTTTTCTATTCCATGTAGGAAACTGGAAAGGTACTCTTTGTGGGAATATGTCTATTTCAAGAAGAAAGATCTAATACTGATTCTGATGGCTCTCCAACAAACCTCATTCTATAGTAAACCTCAAAGCCACAAACCCCCCATAAACTTAGCCTGTTCCATTGGCTTTTTAGATCTCCACTCTTAATCTTTACAACCTGGAACTATCCAATATCTGCAGAAAGTTTCTAACATGGAATATGGAAGATAAAACAACTTTTTTTAAAAAAGCAATTTGGAAAATCCATGCAGGGAAAAGGAAATGTCCAAAAAAAATTACATCCTTGAAAAACTAAGAGAAAATATTGTATCCATAAAAAATAACACTATTTAGAAAAATAATATTTAGAATACAGACATGTACACATATAAACACACAAAGATTGAAATTAAAAATATGAGCAAAAATAAAAATTCAATAAAAAGCTTTGAAGATAAAGTTGAGACTATCTCCCAGAGGAAGAAGAAAAAAAAGAAGACAAAAGAAATAACAAACAAGAGGAAAAAGGTTAAAAAACTTTTTGAATCTTCTCAAAAATAGAACAGGGATTTCAGAAAGGGAAAACAGAGAAAATGGAAAAAGGGAATTTTAAAAAATCAAGAAAATTTTCCAGAGTTGAGGCTGTGTGATTCCATACTGAAAGAGTACCCAGCATACTAGATGAAAACAGACCCACAGCATGGCTCACAATTATGAAATTTGAGAATACTGGTAAGAAGATTAGATCCTATAAGCTTCCATAGTAAGGAAAAACATGTATTACATATATTACAAAGGATTAGGAATCAGAACAGGTTCAGAAATCTCAAAAGCAATGCTGGAAGCAAGAAAACAGTGAAGAAATGCCTTCAAAATTCCCAAAGAAAATTATTTCTAAATTGGAATGGTATATTCAGCCATATTACTAATAGGAAGATAACATACAGGCATTTTCAGCTTTTCAATATATCAAAGGATATATCCCTTTGTCCTTTTTGTCTGGAAATTACTAGACAATGTCCTCTAAAAAACAGGAGGGAAAAAAGTTGTAAGCGAGGAAGATATGGCATGAAGAAAACAGGGGATCCAACACAGGGTAGACGAAAAGGGAATCTGCAGAATGACAGTGAAAAGAACTCTGGATCACAACTGTGCACTACACATATAAGATAAGCAGTCCAGACTGCACCAATGTCCAATTCAGGAGACAAGCACACTGAAAGCTATCATTGCCACTGTCCCATTTACCTCTGTACCACCTTTTTTTACCTGGATGTGCCCCATCAAATAAAGGAAGTAAACCAGGAAGGATAAAAATAAAGAGGTCCAAGAAAAACTGACTCCATCCCAGGAAAAAAGCAAATGAAATGTGAAGAATGACAGCAAAGAAAGATGATGCCTACAATGAGAACTGGAATTCCTAAGATAAAAAGAGAATAGAACAGAGGTTAAAGCAAACAAACAGTAAAAGCAACAACAAACCACAAAACTGCTTGAAACCCTTACACCAACATGATTCATGTTATGAAAAAGTCAAGAACCAAAGATGAAAAAGGCTCTTAAAAGATGGGCAACACTTTGGGAGGCCGAGGTGGGCGGATCACGAGGTCAGGAGATCGCGACCATCCTGGCTAACACGGTGAAACCCCATCTCTACTAAAAAAATACAAAAAAATTAGCTGGGCATGGTGGCAGGTGCCTGTAGTCCCAGCTACTCGGGAGGCTGAGGCAGGAGAATGGCATGAACCCAGGAAGCGGAGCTTGCAGTGAGCCGAGACTGAGCCACTGTACTCCAGCCTGGGCTATTGAGCGAGACTGTCTCAAAAAAAAAAAAAGATGGGCAAAAAGTTAGTAATAGTACAAAATAAGCTTAATAAATTAAAAAAAACACAATTATCAACTCAAAGGAAAAAGTAAATATAATCATAGAACTTTACAACTCTCAGCTGTGAACAGTTTTTGCCTGGGCATTATCAGTACTAATTATTATTACACTAGTCCCCCAAAGTGCAGCAAAAATTTTAGTTAACTTGGTATATTAGCTGTGAGTAATTTTATAGAGTTCAAATTTCACTGTTAGCTTTTTAGTCCACAAATCACTACACAAGTAACAGATGTGCATCTTGGTCAATGACTAATAATGTCACTTCTTTCAAAGTCTGTAGGCAACCAGTTACTGCATATCTCTTATTTGGGTCACACACAGACAGCAAAGTGTGTAGTGCTGTTGCCTCCTTGTCTCCCAATAATAAGCCCATATGACATTTAATTTAAAAAATAAATAACTAAAAGTAGAAATTAGCAAACAGAAGATGAAGATGTTCCAGAGGAAGTGATGCAAGCAAAAAATCTTCACATTAAAGGACCTCTCAGAGATATGCATGACTTTGAATGTACAAAGCTTAAAATGCTGTAAGTTAACCCAAATTTAGAAAGAACTATGACTGTTTACCAAAGCATAGAAAACATGTTTGCTCCATATTGTAAGTTATAGAAGGTGAGAAATCTTCAAACTACTCAAGTTTTTTTAATCGTAAAAACTCCACTGTAATTCTCAATGTTGCCACTGCTTTAAATTACAATATACTAAATAAATACTAATTACCCTATACATGTATCACTGACAGTAATGAGTTTGTAATATTCTGACTAAAATAATTTAATGGTCATGGAACAATTATTATTTTTCATTGGTTATTAAATCACTTTGCATGGCCTCAATTCTGAACAGTCATTTTTACCATCCTACACTACTGTGCAAAGTGAGGATCATATTTGATTTTTAAAGCTATATGCATGAGTTTGCCTGCTAAAAATTAAATTAACAGTGCCTGGTTGTCTTAGTCCATTTTCTGTTGCTATAAGAGAATACAAAGACTAAGTAATTTATAAAGACATGAAGTTTATTTAGCTCACAATTCTGGAGCCTGAGAAGTCCAAGAGCATGGTTCCAGCATCTGGTGAGGGCCTCCTTGCTGCATCATAACATGGTGGCAGGTATGGCATGGCGAGAGGGCATGAGAGCCTGTGCAAAAGAGAGGTACCAGGGCCAGACTCACTTTATAACAACCTACTGTCTAGATAACTAACCTGCTCCCATGATAATACATTAATCCATTAGTGACGGTTTTGCCCTTATGACCCAATTACCTCTTATTAAGCCCCACCTCCCAACAATGATGCATTACGGATTAAGTTTCCAACCTATGAACTTTTGGGGGACACATTCAAACCACAGCACTGACAAAACCTAGGAATGTAATACATTTTTGCTAAAAAAAAAAAAAAAGGATGATGGCAAGAGGGGAGAATTTTTTTTTAAATAGTGCTCACATTTTTCAAACTGCTATACTGACAAAACCAACAATCCTTAGTGTCTGGAAAAGGTCAAACTTGAAAACATCATAAACCAACAAAACATGGCTGAGTAGTTTGAAATATATTATATATATATTTCATATATATATATTATATATATTATATATATAATATTTATATATTATATATATAATATTTATATATAATATATATAATATTTATATATATATAATATATATATAATATTTATATATATATATACAGACCCAAATCTCATGTCAAAATGTAATCCCCAGTGTTGGAGGTGGGGCCTGGTGGGAGGTGATTGAATCATGGGGGCAGATTTCCCCTTTGGTACTGTGAGTGAGTTGTCAGGAGATTTGGTTGTTTAAAAGTTCGTAGCACCTCCTCCTTCTCTCTTCTTCTTTCTCGGGCCATGTGAAAACATGTCTGCTTCCCCTCTGCCTTCCACCATGATTGTAAGTTTCTTGAGGCCTCCCCAGCCATGCTTCCTGTACAGCCAGTGGAACCACCAGCCAATTAAACCTCTTTTCTTTAAAGATTACTCAGTCTCAGGTATTTCTTTTTTCTTTCTTTTCTTTTCTTTTTTTTTTTCCCCCCATACAAAGTCTAGCTCTATCACTAGGCTGGAGTACAGTAGCAAGATTTCAGCTCACTGCAACTTTCACCTCCCAGGCTCAAGCCATCCTCCCACCTCAGCCTCCTGAGTAGCTGGGACTACAGGTGTGCACCAACATGCCCAGCAATTTTTTTCTTTTCTTTTTTTTTCTTTTTATATATATAGAGAGACAGCGTTTGCCATATTTCCCAGTCTGGTCTCAAATTCACGAGCTCATGCAATCCACTTTGGCCTCCCAAAGTCCTGGGCCAGACACGAGCCACCACACCTCGCCAGGTACTTCTTTATAGCAGTGCAAGAACAGACTAATACATTGACATTGAAAACAATAAGCAAGTTTATTGAGCGAAGTAACAATTGAGTAATGCAGGTACATCAACAATGATCTATACATATTTACTAAATAATCCTGTACATGTCACAAACACTTTCCTGCATGTTATCTCTTAATACTCAGAACAATCTGTGACAATGTTATTATAGTTTCTCCTATTTTGTAGAAAAAGACCTCATAGTTCAGCAAAGCTAGGTCCTATCCAAGTTCCCCATAGCTGGGTTTGTGGCAAAGCTGGTGTGCATACCCAATCTCCTGACTCCTAGTCGTGTGTGTTCTATGCTGCACCATGGCAGCAAAGGCTAAGGCAGTGCTCTTACCTCCCAGTCAAAGCCATATACACCTCTCATAATTCCAAAGCAATGGAAGCATATACATTTTCAGAATTAGGCAAAGAAGGAACTAGAAAAATCTTATAAGTTAAATATCTTGTTAAAAGTACGTCTCACATTAAATGATAAATTGATAAACTAAGTGAGCAATGTTACTGTGATTTTTAGCAAAACTAAAAATATTCCAGTGAAAGAGACTAATCTCAAGAAGCTCGGCCCTTTGAAAGTTTGCCTGCCTGCCTTTAGGCAACTAAGGGACTCTTGGCCACAGGAATGTACCCAATATTTGCATTTCTAACAAACCCTAGTTTGAATTCCCTGCTCCTGTGCACAGACTTAGGGTAGAGGATTAAGACAAACCCTCTCAGTTTGCCTGAGTTTGAAGGAGTTACCAGGACTTGGGACATTCAGTGCTAAAACCAGGAAAGTTCCAGGCAAACTGAAATGAGTTGGTCATCCTATGGAGGTTACATGATAGTAAGGGATATACGGTCAACCCTGTGCTGACTTCCTGCTCTCACTCTCCAAGGTCGAAGTCTATACAGATATTAACATAATATCAACAATCCAAAACCTTAGTGCTTAATGCATCCTACCATGCCCTTGATAAAGCTAAATACAATGATACACTAGATGAGGGGGCGGCAGCCAGGAAAGCTTCTCCTTTGAGTAACAGACTTTTGGTTAGTATTTGTGCTCAATGTATCCTTAGGGAACTGGATGCTGAGGTTGGAAAAGTGTGATGACTCTCTTCAAAGACCAAGTGGAAGTTCAGCACTAATGATCAGTTCCTCTTGGAATATAAGAATGTCCATTTGGGTATTCCTTCCTATAGTGTTAATAGTGGGTCAGAAATTATTTACAATGAACATAATTTCATTATACAGTATAGCTTCTGCTTCATTCTTTCACGGATACATGCCCTCACTGTGTATTCAACTAAAAAGCCACTCAGGGAATACCAACTATTGCTAGACACTGTGTTAAGAGTAGAAAAATGATGACATGGTCTCTGTCCTCAAGAAACTATAGTATAAAGAAGTGACATACCAGTGTTCTTACAGTCCTTAGATTGTTTTGCTAGTAACTTTGTAGTCTTCTTTCTCCATTAAAAAAAAAAATACAAAATTGGAAATAGTAGATGATGCATTTTGAGTGTGATTTAGGCAAAAAAGAGGATGGAGAACTCCAATCAGTAAACCCTTTCTCAAAGAAAAGGCCTAGCACTACACCAAAATTTTGGTGAATAAATAGATATTTTACACATTGTAAGTTAAAAAAAAGTTGATGTATGTATGAATCTTTCTATGATTCTCTCTTTTGAAGTGCTTTTTCAATTAACCAATCATCTTCTGGCCCTTATCACCATGGATAAGAAGACTTCAACTATAGTTTTAATTTCAGAAAGTGGGTTCACTCATTCTCAATGAATCCTTTTGATATTTTCATGATACCTTGAGCCAAAGAACCCTCCCATAATAGATATCTGTACTGGATAGACTCTACTTGACTCTAATGCTTAAGATTCTGGGCTCTGAACTGTGGGCAGCTAGGAGAATAGGTGAGTAGGGGTGGGAAAAGGGGCAGGCTGAAGTGTTGATACAAAGAGGCTCAGAAGGGCTTAACACAGGAGTGTGGCTGGAAAGATTTGTGTAGGCCAATAGTTCTCAAACTGTGGTCAGGAAAGTCCTGAGGGAACTTTCCAGGGGTTCCACGAGGTCAAAATTATTTTCATAATAATACTAAGTAATTATTTTTCTTTTTCACTCTCATTCTCTCAGGAGCATAGAGTGAAGTCTTCCAGAAGCTATGTGATGTGTGATACGACAACAGATTGAATGCAGAAGGAGAGACGAGAATCCAGCTGTCTTCTATTAAACCAGACATTAAAGGGATTTGCAGAATGTAAAACAATACCACTCATCTCACTAAATATTTCTGTTCTGAAAAACATATTATTTATGTTATCATATATATTTATTTCTATTTTTATTAATAACGTGCATTATTCTTTTTAATAAATTAATAAGCATGGTATTATGACAGATATTGATTTTTGTCCATTGTTCCTGGCTCGTAACTCCCACAGCCTTTGTTACAGTCTTTTATTATAATGTGGAATGTGTTAGACCTCAGGGGCAGGCTTCTGACCTCCTGCCCTCCTTTCACCTACCCAAGGCAGCACTCTAATCTTCCCCTGCCTTTCTGTTGTGGGTCTTAAGACCCTCCCAGAGATGGTCCACCCCATACCCTGAGGGAAGGAATGCTGCCCTCAAGAAGCCTCCATAAAAACCCAAGACGGGCCAGGCATGGTGGCTTACTCCTGTAATCCCAGCACTTTGGGAGGCTGAGTCAGGCAGATCATGAGGTCAGGAGATCAAGACCATCCTGACCAACATGGTGAAACCCTGTCTCTACTAAAATACAAAAAATTAGCCAGGCATGGTGGCACGCACCTGTAGTCCCAGCTACTCTGAAGCCTGAGGCAGGGGAATCGTTTGAACCCGGGGGGCGGAGGTTGCAATGAGCTGAGATTGCACCACTGCCCTCCAGCCTGATGACAGAGCAAGACTCCATGTGAAAAAAAAAAAAAAATCCAAGAGAACTGTGTTCAGAGAGGTTCCAGATAGCTGAACCCTTGGAGGTTCCTGGAGGATGCACACCCAGGGTGGGCATGGAAGCTCCATTCCCCTTCCCCCATACCTTGCGTTACACATCTTTTCATCTGTATCCTTTGTAGTATCTTTTATAATAAATTGGTAAACGTGAGTGTTTTCTTGAGTTCTGTGAGACACTTCAGCAAATTAATCAAATTCAAAGGGGAGTCATGGGAACCCCAACTTGAAGCTGGTCAGTTAGAAGTTCTGCAGGCCAAGACTTGAGACTGATGTGTTTGGGATGGGGGTCAGTCTTGGGGACTGAGCCCTCAACCTGTGGGATCTGATGCTATATCTCTGGGTAGATAGTGTTGGCACCAAATTGGATGATGCTCAGCTGGTGTCCGCTGCTTTGTGTGTGGGGAAAAATCCCCACGCATTTGGTCACAAATGTCTTCTTCTGTGTTGATGATTGTTGTAGTGTGAAAGTAGAAGAAAAGCATGGTTTGAGAGTTTTCCTCCATACAGTCAGTAGTTTTAAATTTTTCCATTTTATTTCTAAGATGGTTGATACCAATAAATATAATCCATTTAAACAAAAGCTCTTTGGAGCCCACAATAACATTCAAGAATGTAAAGGGGTCCTATGACCAAAAAGTTTGAGAACCACTGGCTTAGACCATACACTGGAAAACCAAAACTACCAGCTAAAGAGTTTGAATTTTAGGCTTAACAAGGCTAATTTCTGCCTAGCATTTTACTACTTCTCCTTCACTTCTTCCCTTCTTCAGTTACCTTATAATATTGGATGGATAGTACACCCCCCAACCAAAATTTCCTCCAGCTGAATGTTAAATCACTCAGGCATGGCACCTCTATTCCTTCTGCTGGGGAAAAATAAATCAGAACTTAATAGAATCCACTGTTGGGAAAGCATTCTCCACCCCTCAAAATCAAACGCTCCTTTCCTACCCCAAAGTCGGTAAAGTTAACCATACATTATAGCTTATAAAGGACCAGGACTTCCAAAAGTCAAAACAACACCAAATGTGGAAAGCACATTTAGCTTAGTGTAACTCTCAGAGCACCCAAAGTGACATAACCACAATGAAATCAATTACCTAGTCAGCAGGTGTTTGTCCATGTCACTTCCCAAACCAATAACATAGTCCAGGAAAGGCTGGAAACAGTATCCAAATTAAAAGAAAGCAAAAAATAAATAAATAATAATAATAATAAATAATTTGCCCATGAACAAAGAACCCACACAATATAGTATTAAGGAGATGGTAAGAGAGAGAGGAAGAAAGTGAGCACGTGTGTGTGTGTGTGTGTGTGTGTGTGTGTGTGCATGTGGTGTCTGTGTGTGTTGACGTGGAAGGGATAAAGAACTATAAACAAATGATTAATATTCATTAAGGTACAAGGAAAACTGTTCATATTATGAATAAAATTTTAGAGTAGTTGTTTTTCTATAATTGTTATATGGGATCATTTTTTCTCTTGAGGTGATGGTAGTTTTAAAAAGGAAACCAAATGAACTATTCAAATTCTCCTTCACAAGTGAACCTTAACTCATCACAATGATTACACGGTTTTTTTTTTTAACCAGCACACATTATTTCTTCTATCTTGTTAACAAATACAGTTGATTTTTAAAAATTCTACACATGAGAGAAAAGCCAGCAAACTAGGTGCAGGTAGACAGGTGGCCAAGGAAAATATTCAGCCTGTATGTACGAATAAGGCTGTTCTAGATGTTAAAATATGGAAACACTACTGTAATAATGATAAATGAAGTGTGTGTAAACGCATCTGGTACACACAAACAATTTCTAGCAATGATAATCACGATTAAATTATTTAGTAGGTGTAATGTGAAAAGCACTACCTTTTTGCAAAGTTTAATGTCTAAAGAAAGTCCAGTTGCATATAAGACTTTAAATACAATTGTCTCCAGTATAAGCAAAAAGAGATGATGAGTAAAGATAGAAATCAAAATCACAATCCCTTTATGTTTTATTGCTGCAGGTGTATAGAAAAAAGAAATTCCTCTTGGAGATGCATAGTGCCAAAACAAGAACTCGAAAACCTTCTTTGTAATAGAGTAGAAAAAAATGCGTCTGACTTGATTCATTTCTCATCAGGGACCTGACCTTTGATACAAAAAGGGGTCTGAAATTAAAACCAGAGTGACTATGATCTCGAAAGTCTACCTGCTTTCAGTCATGCTCTGTAAAAAGCCTCTTTTGTAAAAGCTCTTCATGCTAGTTCAAGCTGAAAGTAAATTCAGGAATTAAGATGTGCAGGCAAATACAGGATATAAAAGTATTAGTGGAATTCTGCTTCAAAGAGTTCTTCAAATTTTCTCATTCATTTAATAATGCCATACGGTTCTTTCATTTATTTATTTTTTTATAAAGTTCTAGGGTACATGTGCAAAACATGAAGGTTAGTTACATATGTATACATGTGCCAAGTTGATGTGCTGCATCCATTAACTCGTCATTTATATTAGTTATATCTCCTCATTCTATCCCTCCCTCCTCCCACCACCCCACGACAGGCCCTGGTGTGTGATGTTCCGCTTCCTGTGTCCATGTATTCTCATTGTTCAATTCCCACCTATGAGTGAGAACATGTGGTGTTTGGTTTTTTGTCCTTGCGATAGTTTGCTGAGAATGATGGTTTCCAGCTTCATCCCTGTCCCTACAAAGGACATGAACTCATCCTTTTTTATGGCTGCATAGTATCCCATGGTGTGTATGTGCCACATTTTCTTAATCCAGTCTATCATTCATGGACATTTCGGTTGATTTCAAGTCTTTGCTATTGTAAATAGTGCCACAGTAAACATACGTGTGCATGTGTCTTTATAGCAGCATGATATATACTCCTTTGGGTATATACCCAGTAATGGGATGGCTAGGTCAAATGGTATTTCTAGTTCCAGATCCCTGAGGAATCGCCACACTGACTTCCACAATGGTTGAACTAGTTTACAATCCCACCAACAGTGTAAAAGTGTTGCTATTTCTCCACATCCTCCCAGCACCTATTGTTTCCTGACTTTTTGATGATCGCCATTCTAACTGGTGTGAGATGGTATCTCATTGTGATTTTGATTTGCATTTCTCTGATGGCCACTGATGATGAGCATTTTTTTCATGTGTTTTTTGTCTGCATAAATGTCTTCTTTTGAGAAGTGTCTGTTCATATCCTTGGCCCACTTTTTGATGGGGTTGTTTTTTTCTTGTAAATTTGTTTGAGTTCATTGTAGATTCTGGATATTAGTCCTTTGTCAGATGAGTAGGTTGCAAAAATTTTCTCCCATTCTGTAGGTTGCCTGTTGACTATGATGGTAGTTTCTTTTGCTGCACAGAAGCTCTTTAGTTTAATTAGATCCCATTTGTCAATTTTGGCTTTTGTTGCCATTGCTTTCGGTGTTTTAGACATGAAGTCCTTGCCCATGCCTATGCCTTGAATGGTATTGCCTAGGTTTTCTTCTAGGGTTTTTATGGTTTTAGGTCTAACATGTAAGTCTTTAATCCACCTTGAATTAATTTTTGTATAAGATGTAAGGAAGGGATCCAGTTTCAGCTCTCTACATATGGCTAGCCAGTTTTCCCAGCACCATTTATTAAATAGGGAATCCTTTCTGCATTGCTTGTTTTTGTCAGGTTTGTCAAAGATCAGATAGTTGTAGATATGCGGCGTTATTTCTGAGGGCTCTGTTCTGTTCCATTGGTCTATATCTCTGTTTTGGTACCAGTACCACGCTGTTTTGGTTACTGTAGCCTTGTAGTATAGTTTGAAGTCAGGTAGCTTGATGCCTCAAGCTTTATTCTTTTGGCTTAGGATTGACTTGGCAATGCAGGCTCTTTTTTGGTTCCATATGAACTTTAAAGTAGTTTTTTCCAATTCTGTGAAGAAAGTCATTGGTAGCTTGATGGGGATGGCATTGAATCTATAAATTACCTTGGGCAATATGGCCATTTTCACGATATTGATTCTTCCTAGACATGAGCATGGGATGTTCTTCCATTTGTTTGTATCCTCTTTTATTTCATTGAGCAGTGGTTTGTAGTTCTCCTTGAAGAGGTCCTTCACGTCCCTTGTAAGTTGGATTCCTAGGTATTTTATTCTCTTTGAAGCAATTGTGAATGGGAGTTCACTCATGATTTGGCTGTCTGTTATTGGTGTATAAGAATGCTTGTGATTTTTGCACATTGATTTTGTATCCTGAGACTTTGCTGAAGTTGCTTATCAGCTGAAGGAGATTTTGGGCTGAGATGATGGGGTTTTCTAGATATACATTCATGTCATCTGCAAACAGGGACAATTTGACTTCCTCTTTTCCTAACTGAATGCCCTTTATTTCCTTCTCCTGCCTGATTGTCCTAGCCAGAACTTCCAAAACTATGTAAAACAGGAGTGGTGAGAGAGGGCATCCCTGTCTTGTGCCAGTTTTCAAAGGGAATGCTTCCAGTTTTTGCCCATTCAGTATGATATTGGCTGTGGGTTTGTCATAAATAGCTCTTATTATTTTGAGATACGTCCCATCAATACTTAATTTATTGAGAGTTTTTAGCATGAAGGGCTGCTAATTTTATCAAAGGCCTTTTCTGCATCTATTGAGATAATCATGTGGTTTTTGTCTTTGGTTCTGTTTATATGCTGGATTACGTTTATTGATTTGCTTACGTTGAACCAGCCTTGCATCCCAGGGATGAAGCCCACTTGATCATGGTGGATAAGCTTTCTTGATGTGCTGCTGGATTCGGTTCATCAGTATGTTATTGAGGATTTTTGCATCAATGTTCATCAGGGATATTGATCTAAAATTCTCTTTTTTTGTTGTGTCTCTGCCAGCCTTTGGTGTCAGGATGATGCTGGCCTCATAAAATGAGTTAGGGAGGATTCCTCCTTTTTCTATTGATTGGAATTGTTTCAGAAGGAATGGTACCAGCTCCTCCTTGTATCTCTGGTAGAATTCGGCTGTGAATTCGTCTGGCTCTGGACTTTTTTTGGTTCATACGCTATTAATTATTGCCTCAATTTCAGAGCCTGTTATTGGTCTATTCAGAGATTCAACTTCTTCCTGGTTTAGTCTTGGGAGGGTGTATGTGTCCAGGAATTTATCCATTTCTTCTAGATTTTCTAGTTTATTTGCATAGAGGTGTTCATAGTATTCTCTGATAGTAGTTTGCATTTCTGTGGGATTGGTGGTGATATCCCCTTTATCATTTTTTATTGCATCTATTTGATTCTTCTCTCTTTTTTTCTTTATTAGTCTTGCTAGCTGTCTATCAATTTTGCTGATCTTTTCAAAAAACCAGCTCCTGGATTCATTGATTTTTTGAAGGGTTTTTTGTGTCGGTATCTACTTCAGTTCTGCTCTGATCTTAGTTATTTCTCGCCTTCTGCTAGCTTTTGAATGTGTTTGCTCTTGCTTCTCTAGTTCTTCTAATTGTGATGTTAGGGTGTCAATTTTAGATCTTTCCTGCTTTCTCTTGTGGGCATCTAGTGCTATAAATTTCCCTCTACACACTGCTTTGAATGTGTCCCAGAGATTCTGGTATGTTGTGTCTTTGTTCTCATTGGTTTCAAAAACATCTTTATTTCTGCCTTCATTTCGTTATGTACCCAGTAGTCATTCAGGAGCAGGTTATTCAGTTTCCATGTAGCTGAGCGGTTTTGAGTGAGTTTCTTAATCCTGAGTTCTAGTTTGATTGCACTGTGGTCTGAGAGACAGTTTGTTATAATTTCTGTTCTTTTACATTTGCTGAGGAGTGCTTTACTTCCAGCTATGTGGTCAATTTTGGAATAAGTGCGATGTGGTGCTGAGAAGAATGTATATTCTGTTGATTTGGGGTGGAGAGTTCTGTAGATTTCTATTAGGTCCACTTGGTGCAGAGCTGAGTTCAATTCCTGGATATCCTTATTAACTTTCTGTCTCGTTGATCTGTCTAATGTTGACAGTGGGGTGTTAAAGTCTCCCATTATTATTGTGTGGGAGTCTAAGTCTCTTTGTAGGTCTCTAAGGACTTGCTTTATGAAACTGGGTGCCCGTGTATTGGGTGCACATATGTTTAGGATAGTTAGCTCTTCTTGTTGAATTGATCCCTTTACCATTATATAATGGCCTTGTCTCTTTTGATCTTTGTTGGCTTAAAGTCTGTTTTATCAGAGATTAGGATTGCAACCCCTGCCTTTTTTTGTTTTCCATTTGCTTGGTAGATCTTCCTCCATCCCTTTATTTTGAGCCTATGTGTGTCTCTGCACGTGAGATGGGTCTTGTGAATACAGCACACTGATGGGTCTTGACTCTTTATCCAATTTGCCAGTCTGTGTCTTTTAATCGGAGCATTTAGCCCATTTACATTTAAGGTTAATATCGTTATGTGTGAATTTGATCCTGTCAGTATGATGTTAGCTGCTTATTTTGCTCCTTAGTTGATGCAGTTTCTTCATGGTATCAATGGTCTTTACAATTTGGCATGTTTTTGTAGTGGCTGGTAACGGTTGTTCCTTTCCATGTTTAGTGCTTCCTTCAGGAGCTCTTTTAGGGCAGGCCTGGTGGTGACAAAATCTCTCAGCATTTGCTTGTCTGTAAAGGATTTTATTTCTCCTTCACTTATGAAGCTTAGTTTGGCTGGATATGAAATTCTGGGTTGAAAATCATTTTCTTTAACAATGTTGAATATTGGCCCCCACTCTCTTCTGGCTTGTAGCGTTTCTGCCAAGAGATCTGCTGTTACTCTGTTGGGCTTCCCTTTGTGGGTAACCCGACCTTTCTCTCTGGCTGCCCTGAACATTTTTTCCTTCATTTCAACTTTGGTGAATCTGACAATTATGTGTCTTGGAGTTGCTCTTCTCAAGGAGTATCTTTGTGTCATTCTCTGTATTTCCGGAATTGGAATGTTGGCCTGCCTTGCTAGATTGGGGAAGTTCTCCTGGATAATATCCTGAAGAGTGTTTTCCACCTTGGTTCCATTCTCCTCGTCACTTTCAGGTACACCAATCAGATGTAGATTTGGTCTTTTCACATGTCCCATATTTCTTGGAAGCTGTGTTCATTTCTTTTTACTCTTTTTTCTCTAAACTTCTCTTCTCGCTTCATTTCATTCATTTGATCTTCTGTCACTGATACCCTTTCTTCCAGTTGTTCAAATTGGCTACTGAAGCTTGTGCATTCGTCACATGGTTCTCATGTCATGGTTTTCAGCTCCATCAGGTCCTTTAAGGACTTCTCTGCATTGATTATTCTAGTTAGGCATTCATCTAATCTTTTTTCAAGGTTTTTAGCTTCTTTGCGATGGGTTTGCACTTCCTACTTTAGCTCAGAGAAGTTTGATCGTCTGAAGCCTTCTTCTCTCAACTCGTCAAAGACATTCTCCGTCCAGCTTTCTTCCGTTGCTGGCGACGAGCTGCATTCCTTTGGAGGGGGAGAGGCGCTCTGATTTTTAGATTTTTCAGCTTTTCTGCTCTGCTTTTTCCCCATCTTTGTGGTTTTATCTACCTTTGCTCTTTGATGATGGTGACATACAGATGGGGTTTTGGTGTGGATGTCCTTTCTGTTTGTTAGTTTTGCTTCTAACAGTCAAGAACCACAGCTGCAGGTCTGAGTTTGCTGGATGTCCACTCCAGACCCTGTTTGCCTGGGTATCAGCAGCGGAGGCTGCAGAACAGCGAATATTGCTGAACAGCAAATGTTGTTGCCTGATCGTTCCTCTGGAAGCTTCAGCTCAGAGGGGTACCCGGCCGTGTGAGGTGTCAGTCTGCCCCTACTAGAGGGTGCCTCCCCTTTAGGCTACTCGGGAGTCAGGGACCCACTGGAGGAGGCAGTCTGTCTGTTCTCAGATCTCAAACTCCATGCTGGGAGAACCACTACTCACTTCAAAGCTGTCAAACAGGGACATTAAGTCTGCAGAGGTTTCTGCTGCCTTTTGTTCAGCTATGCCCTGCCCCAAGAGGTGGAGTCTACAGAGGCAGGCAGGCCTCCTTGAGCTGCCGTTGGCTCCACCCAGTTTCAGTTTCGAGGCCACTTTGTTTACCTACTCAAGCGTCAGCAATGGCGGGCGCCCCTCCCCCAGCCTCGCTGCCGCCTTGCAGTTCGATCTCAACTGCTGTGCTAGCAATAAGCGAGGCTCCATGGGTGTGGGACCCTCTGAGCCATGCGTGGGATATAATTTCCTGGTGTGCCGTTTGCTAAGACCGTTGGAAAAGCACAGTATTACGGTGGGAGTGAACCGATTTTCCAGGTACCGTCCGTCACTGCTTTCCATGTCTAGGAAAGGGAATTCCCTGACCCCTTGCACTTCCTGGGTGAGGTGATGCCTTGCCCTGCTTCAGCTCACACTCGGTGGGCTGCACCCACTGTCCTGCCCCCACTGTCGGACAAGCCCCAGTGAGATGAACCTAGTACCTCAGTTAGAAATGCAGAAATCACCTGTCTTCTGTGTCACTCACACTGGGAGCTGTAGACTGGAGCTGTTCCTATTCGGCCCTCTTGGAACCGCCCCCGCAATATGGTTCTTTTAATGCTTAACATTATTTTAAGATACACTAAGATCAAAAAATATAAATGACAATAATAATAATGGTTACTACTACCACCACCATGACTGCCAAGGTCTACAAGGCCTAAGAATCTGCCCAGTCATCCCCTCCACTTCCAAACACTCACACCACAGCAGTGGCCTCCAATCTGCTGGGGTGTAAGCATTGGGTAGTGGAGGTGTTTTTGCCCTTCCTGCTACCTCTACCTAAAACTATCTCTCCCCAGTCAGCCTCATGGTTCACTCCCTCTCTTCATTCAAGTCTCCACTCAAATATCACTTCTTCAGAAATGCCCAACCCTCACCATTCTGTATCTGATAGCTTTCTCAATTCTTGCTGCTTTTTAGCCCATGACCCAGCTTCATTTTTCTTCATAGCACTGATCAAAAGCTATATTCAAATTATTGAAGAGCCAATACAGCAAGGACACCAACCAAAGGAACACATGCTATAGAAAACCTGATCAGTTTATAAGCTCATTATCATATATACCTATTAATCCTGACATGCTGTATACATTTGTTGGTTTCTTTACTGTCTGTTTTCTTAACTAGAATGTAAGTTGTGTGAAGGCAGGGACTCTGTAATATTAACTGCTCTATTCCTACCACATGGAACAATTGACTATTAGTCATATAATAGGTACCCAATAATTATTTGTTGAAATAACTAAGTAATTTCTGTGTGTCTATGTGTCATTTAACAATTTATCATAAATGCAAAGAATATTCTCATATAAAATGCAGTCAGGTATTCAGTTACTCAAAGACCATACAAATGTACACATACACATAGACACACAGCACACAAGAGTTTTATAGCATTAGATACAATAAAGCAGTTAATAATAACATCTTAATATCTGTAACAATATCCTTGAAGATTCAGAAGTCACATGCAAGGCTTCACACATATCACAAGAGTCCCAAAGACTCCATCCAGTTATCACTGATTCTGCTGGTAATGGTTTGGGGAAGAAGAATTCCTCTGAGAAAATAAATATACTTTACTGAAATAAAAATGTGAAGCCCTAATTCAAATTACATGCAGGGATATTTGAAATGCTGTTTTCTCTTTCCTTCCAATAAAGCTAAACAAAATTTGCTACACTGGAAGTGGGAGAAATTAATCTCACCTGCATCGTGATGTTTACTTTAATCATAGAAAAAAATAGGTATTAACAAAATACTGGCAGATAAGAAGGTAATAAGCAGCAGAGTAGCAGGAGTATCAGGAGCAACTACAATGGTCAAATCTATATTTTAAGTACCCACAATTGGCCAGGCACTGTGCTAGTGCAGTATATACATTATCACTAATGCCCAGAACCACTCAACAGCCACCTCACCCACACAAATGAGGAAAATAGGGTTCAGGAAGGCCAAACAACTCTTCTTGGAGATTTGAAAGTAAGATAATGTTGATCATTACAGAATCTCCTCAAATAAAGGAATAATAATAATTTCTCATTTGACTGATAAGGAAACCAAGGAGCAAAAGATCTAAAGACTGAAAATTAAATCCTTTGACTCCCATTCACAAGCATCCTTGTCTATTGAGGCTAAATTAGTCCATGTGTTTTTAATTTCACGAAGATCTTGCCTTGTAATAAAAACTGTAATATTAAATTAAAACCCCACTGAGTTCAAATTTATAAATTTAAATCTTGCTAATAACTATTTATCCTTGACAATACTACGACAGTTTGGAATGATGCCTCCCCATCTGTAACTTCCTCTCCAATAGTGATTTGTGACATGAATTCCCATCTAATGGATATTGTCCAGATTTTGGATACAATTTTTAGAATATGATTGCTTGCTTACTTTTTAACTGATTACCCATAAAAATTTCAAATTAAGGCTACTGTAGTAGAAAAGAAAAATCAGGTTAAAATTAAAATGTCATTGACAGGAGACAAATTGCAAACTGGAAGAAGGCAGAACAAGGTTAATATTGCTGGAAGATGGAGATTAGAAAATGAGAAATAGGGAGATCCAGCAGCTCTACTACAGCTGGTGACATTTCCAGTCCTTGAACACCATCAAGCACCATGGGAGGCTACAAGAAGAGGCAACAGAGGAACCACAACAACAAAATACTACATTAGCAACACATAGGACTGATTCTGTTAACTCTGTTCCTTGGTTCCTAATGTACCTGACATTACTTTGAATGAGTCAAATTTCAGTACCAGACAGGTTCCTGGCCACATTGTTTTTCCATTAGGCTTATGACTAAAACAGCTTTTCACAACATCGGCTAACACTGTGAAAATCTGTTCCTATATTACCATCTCATCTGGATTATGTCTTTCCTTTTCACCCGCCCACCCTCACCTTTGTTTTTCTAACACAAGAAAACAGTACAAATTTTAATCATGTTCTAAAACAGTGAGAGAAGCAGCAATGACTCAATGACTTAAGAAGAGAATAAAAATCTTGGTTTTGAAACACGGAATCCTGGTGTGTCACCATCATAGTATTTAACCTGGAGAAAACCACTATACATGTATGTGCTCTGACATTCTTCCTGAAGCTTGAAGCTTTGATAGAAGTAATTATTTTTACATGACTGCAAAAGCTTAACTGTCATTTTTATCCATGGGACAGTGGATATCTGTGCATGATAAATTTAGAAAACATTAAGTGATAAATATTTGCTAATAATATCCTGAACTTACTTTTTATTTGAAATTTTTATTGGTTTATCATGATAACTATTTTAATGACAGTTCTAGGGAAAACAAGACGGGACTTCAACACCAATTAAATTCATTGCAATTGGAAGAACTACTCCAAATAGCATTTTTTTTTTCACTATAATATTGATTCCAAATGACTTGCCCAGAGTAAGTCAATTCTAGTTCTGGTTACCATATTTAATCATGATTTCAGAGATATGTCAAAACATCAAAGGGATATCACTGCAAATAATATGCCAGAAGAAAGAACTGGTACCACAATGTTTAAAGCCCTAATTTGTATTGTGTCCTATCTGGTTACTGTTATCTTTGAAAAGTAATATAACTTCAGCTTTATGCATTTAATTTGGTACCCAGATATTTGCAGGCATAGGCAGTAGCAGATTCTACAGAAACGTATTTCTGTAGTCCCTCCAAGGAAGTTTTGTTTTCTTTCCCCCAAAAGAGCACGGACTGGTCACCAGATGTGGAACCCATATGGCACACAAACACGAGAGCCCTGGGACAGTAAGAATGGAGCTAATAAGCTCAACAGGCAGGAGCACCCATTCTGAGATGATGGACAAATGTTCAGTTCTATTGGCTTTCTGAAAAAAATATATAAATCATTTTATTTTTAAACTAAAAATATGGCTTGGCCTGTCATTTTCTCCAATTCTTCTCTTTTTTTAGTTTGAAAGGAAATTTACCCATATGTAATTTATTACTTAGTCTGAATTCTGTCCTTTTCGCATATAATTCATGTTGAGGTTTAAAGAAAGAAAACTAAATCAGGAACAGATAGTAAGATTGCTTTAACTAGTGAAAAGTTAAATTTTGTTTGCTGTAACTCTGAAGGAACTGTTATAGTTCATCAGTCACTAGGACCTGTATATTCTGTTTCTTGGTTATCTCTGGAATGTAATTCTTCCCCTCCAGGTGTCAGCCCTTTTTCCACAAACACATGCCTTACAGTCACACCCTGCCATGTGAGATCCTGCAACATGCTATGCGCTATCAGAACTCTGTGTCTTTGCATATACAGTTCCCATTGTCTTGCATGTCTTTCCCGTCCTTCCCTAACCGGCAATTCCCTTTCATCCTTCAAAACATAGTCTCACGGAACATTTTCTCATGGAAATCTCGTTTGGCTTGCCTAGATGCAATTATGACTTTTTAATGCCTTTTAAAATGAGCCACCGCAAATAAGTCCACCAATGTGTTTCTTTTCTAACATAAAAGAACTAAAGACAATACTGATGGCAGTTGACATTTATAGAGAGCTCTATTTATGCCAGACACAATGTTAACTACTTTATGCAAATCTCATGGAAGGTTATAAACTTAATATATAAAAAGCTCTTACAAATTACAAAAATAATACTTCTGCATTATAGATACTACGAAACACAAAGAAAATAAGAATCTCACAATCCACCTGAGAGAAGATAAAGATGGTCATAAATTCTTTGCTTCTCCTCCCCTTGGGAGGTGCAGTCTAATTCTTTTCCCTTCATTCTGGGCTAGTCAATTAAGTTCCTTCATTCTAGCTAGTCAATTACTTTCTGGAACTTTCAAGGCTAGGTGATAAAAAGTCTTACATTTGGCTGGGCGCAGTGATTCACGCCTGTAATCCCAACACTTTGGGAGGCCGAGGCGGGTGGATCATGAGGTCAGGAGCTCGAGACCAGCCTAACCAACATGGTAAAACCCCATGTCTACTAAAAATACAAAAATTACCCAGGCGTGGTGGCATGTGCCTGTAATCCAAGCTACTCAGGAGGCTAAGGTAGGAGGATCGCTTGAACCTGGGAGGCAGAGGTTGCAGTGAGCCGAGATCACCCCACTGCACTCCAGCCTGGGCAACAGAGCAAGACTCCGTCTCAAAAAAAAAAAAAAAAGAGTCTTACATTTTCTGCCAGTTCCCGCAGAACAATTTCTCTGGATACCTTAACTTCTGTGTAAGAAGTCTGAATACCCTGAGATTGCCATGATGGAGAGGCCATGCGTAGGCACTGCAGCTGAGTCCATCCTTCTACCTAGTCCCTACAAAGCCCAGATATATGACTGAAGCCATCTTGGATCATCTCTCTACAAGCTGAATAGCCCCCAAATAACCTTAGTAGATGCCATGTAGAGCCAAAGAATTGCTCAGCTCAGCTCTGCCTGAATTCCTCCCCCACAAACTGTGAGCTCTAATAAAATGCTGGCTTTAAGCCACTAAGTTTTGGGGTAATTTGCTATGCAGCAATAGATAACTGAAAAACCTACTACTTAGAAAACTATGATAATAATTGTGATGTATTTTCCAGTATTTCTTCTACTTTATATATCTAATCTCCCTCTACTTTCTTCACCTTTTTTTATTATTTAACAGAGTTAGCTTCATGGTATATATGTAGTTTTGTTTTTCATGAGAATAAACTCTCTTCTATTAACATTACATGAATAACATTTCCACACCTCATTAAAAATATTCTTCAATAACTTAATTTTTAACAACTATAACATGCATTCCATCAATCTCACTGTAAAACATCTAGGTTGTTCCTAATTTGTCATTATTATAAATAAAAACCATAAGGAAAATATTACAACATAAATCATATCACCATATTTGATTATATTCTTAATTATCTTAATCTGAAATGAAATTACCATAAAAAATATAAACCTTTTCAAGGTTTATTGCCAAAGTGCTTTGACAAAATTCACTCTTCCAATAGTAATGTTTCTGAATGAACATGTTACTGAGCTCTACCCAACACTAATTATTATTTGATAATCTTTGATAATTTTAAGTGGTAAATTACATCTCAGCATTGTTTGGGGTTTTTTATTACTAGGAAAACTGAACATTTTTTTCATATGCTTATTAGCCACTATTATTTCCTCATCTGTAAAATGGCTGGCCACATTTTAAAAATCATTTTTTCTGTTGAATGATGTTTTCCTTATCCATATGAACAAATTCTTCACATGTAATATACATCAATCTTTGTCTTATGGCAAATACTTTTCCTATTTTGTTTGCTTTTATCAAGGTGAGTTGATAACACCCTATATAAAATTTTTAGAGCTAATAATAATGGCTAAAATTTGTTGTGTTTTCTATGTTATTGCCAAAGGGCGACTACCTGACATAAATTTTTGTATTCTAAAGACTTAATGAATTTGCTATTATGATTATCCCCTCTAGTTTGCAAATGAGGAAACTGTGCCTTAATGAGGTAGATAATTTCTACCAAGATCACTCAGTAAGTATCAGCAGCATTTAGTTCTAGAACCCTCTAATCTTAAGGTCCTTTCTCTAAACCACTAAGCCATACTATTATCAAATTTGGTGGCTTTCCCCCTTTGTGATTAATGTCATGGCTTTTAGGTTTTTCCCTATTCCAAAATAAACTCAATGTTTACCAATATTTTCCGGTAGTTTACTTGTTATTTGGGGTATTTTTAATTTTTTTAAATTTAACAGTATAGAAATTTGATCTCGCTGTATTGCCCAGATTGGTCTCAACCTCCAAGCCTCAAGAGATCATCCTGCCTTGGCCTCCCGAAGTGCTGGGATTACAGATATGAGCCACTGCAACCAGGCTGGTTTTGGATTTCTAATTTATCTTTTAATATAGCAATAATCACTCCCCTCATCAATTGTTCTTAGCCACATATTAAATATTATTTCTTTTCCCACTGGTTTGTGATACTGCCTTTAACAAATAAAAAAGTCACTAAAATACTCTTGCATCTGTTCCTAAACTATCTTGCAGCAATACAACATTATTGGTAATTATTTTTATGGGGGGGAGGGGACTAATTGCTGAATTAAAATGTAAGGACCAAAACCCAAAAAGACTACTAGAAAATACTGATAAACATTATTGATGTATAATTGATATATATTGATATATAATATTGATAAGTATTATCATATGGGCTGACACAAGTCTTTTTCCCAACATTACTGTTTTTTAGGCTTTTTTGGCTGTTTTCAAGAATAACTTAATCAAATTATTTAAAAAATTTTTCACTAACATTCTGATGAGCAATGAAGTTCATAAAATAAATTGAGAGGAAATTTTTAATGAACACGTACTATCTGCCAGGTGGAAAAATAACAATAAACAAAACATGGGATCCCTGCCTTCAGAGAGCTAAGGAGACTGATAAGTTAGGCAATATTTAAATTAATTGAATTATTTAAATTAGGGTGATCAGTGCAAGAGGATGGGCAGCACCAAAAAAAGGCAGCTTACTTGGACTTGAAGGATGAGGTAACACATATAGGTAAAGAAATGACCCAGTAAAAGAGAAGATCACTGTGGCTGCCTCCTTAACCAGAAACCAACCAACCCTCAAAAACCTGTCTATCACTAACTAAATTATTTTTAACACTCTTGTACAGTTATCAGGGGATTACATTTTTTCTGTGGGTTATTTACCCCGATCTAAAAAAGGTATCCCTAATGAGGTGCATTTCAGCAAACTCCTTGCTGTTGAGGATGTCCTGGACCTTCTCATCCTTTCCTGTCATGCTGTCTTCCTGCGAAAGAAGATGGAGCATGTGGCTGACAGATGGAAAGATGGCCAGTATGTGTGACCTCTGTAAGCGTCTCCTCTGGCCTCTTATCTGAGCATCACCTGACCTTCTTCAGTGATGAAAATCCTTCCTATCACCACTCTACAATTTTCTATAAAAGGACACCAATTATAATTTCAGCCATAGAAAGGTGACAAAATTAAGTATAATGTGAGAAAAGGACATTGTATATGAGAGATGTGAAAATAAATTTTAAAGAGGAAAAAAATGGCAATTTCCTTGATGATTTTTCCTGTCACAGCAAACAGTGAAATTCTCCTGTGTAGCCAATGTTCACAAAGAAATTTAGATCTTAAATAAACCCATATAAGCCATCTATAGAAGGGTGTGCCATAGAGGGGATTCTTGTAAAGATGACGCTAAAGTTCTTCCAAAAATGAGAATCTTGGTATAAAAACGGCTAAGATTTTGAAGTAAATGCAAACAACAATACAAAGTCTTTGCATGAATTTAAAAACTATATTTGTTGTTTGGATCAAGCCTCACTACAGCAGAATACCTTCACCTTTGGGGCTGAGCACTGGGAAGTCTAAACCCTTTATTCCAATATGATTCACCCATCAGTCATAATATATGGCTGGAAAATGGCAAATAAGATGAACTACAAATACTGGAGGGGAGTGCTCCAAACGAAATTCCAGGGTATATATTTATTCATAAAACAAAAATAAGGAATTATTTCTGCAAAAAATCAAAAATTATGAATCTGACTTTATTTGTATTTTCTGATAAATGTATGTACAGATGATTTGCTTATAAACAGGCAGAGCTGCACTTCTCATACTAGAAGTGCAGTTTGACAATTACATTTTTTAATTTATATTTTCAAATAAGCTCTTCAATGTAGTGTGGTAGAGTTATTGAAAGCACAGACTTTGGAGTCAGGCAGAGACAGGATTGAATCCAGGCTCCACCACTTATAAACTATGTAACCTAGGTAAATACTTAACTTCTCTAAGCTTCTGTTCCTTCCTCTGTAAAACAGGAACAAGGATAGTTCCTAGAACTGTAAGGTTTGAATAAGACAATGCATATGAAGCATTTAAGCCTAGTTCTTGTCACTGGGCAAGAGCTCAATGGTGGTAGATGGGGTGGTAGTGGGGATCAACTATCTCATAATTTCAGTACAAACATCTTGTAAAGACTTCAGGATGATTTTACAAAGAACAGGGTAAAAATGGGAGTGGTGTGGTGAAACAAAAGTGATAAGGGTTTCTGGCAAGATTGATACATTTCTGACAACATTAGACCAAGTTAGAGACATGAGCAGCTATAGTCATCCTTCTTCTACGACTCTTGGCAAAAACCCTTATGTACAAGTTGTCACTTAAACTTGTTGTCTTCTGTTGCTTCAACAATAACATTACCTCTTTTATGAGTTTGATGAAGATAAAATAGATACAAACGTTAAGATATTTTCTATATCTCAGATATTGAAATAAGATATGCTTTGACAAAATTCAACAACACTTCATGCTAAAAACTCTCAATAAATTAGGTATTAATGGGACGTATCTCAAAATAATAAGAGCTATTTATGACAAACCCACAGCCAATATCATACTGAATGGGCAAAAACTGGAAGCATTCCCTTTGAAAACTGGCACAAGACAGGGATGCCCTCTCTCACCACTCCTATTCAACATAGTGTTGGAAGTTCTGGTCAGGGCAATCAGGCAGGAGAAGGAAATAAAGGGCATTCAATTAGGAAAAGAGGAATTCAAATTGTCCCTGTTTGCAGATGACATGATTGTATATCTAGAAAACCCATCATCTCAGCCCAAAATCTTCTTCAGCTGATAGGCAACTTCAGCAAAGTCTCAGGATACAAAATCAATGTGCAAAAATCACAAGCATTCTTATACACCAATAACAGACAAACAGAGAGCCAAATCATGAGTGAACTCCCATTCACAATTGCTTCAAAGAGAATAAAAAACCTAGGAATCCACCTTACAAGGGATGTGAAGGACCTCTTCAAGGAGAACTACAAACCACTGCTCAATGAAATAAAAGAGGATACAAACAAATGGAAGAACATCCCATGCTCATGGCTAGGAAGAATCAATATCGTGAAAATGGCCATACTGCCCAAGGTAATTTACAGATTCAATGCCATCCCCATCAAGCTACCAATGACTTTCTACACAGAATTGGAAAAAACTACTTTAAAGTTCATATGGAACCAAAAAAGAGCCCACATTGCCAAGTCAATCCTAAGCCGAAAGAACAAAGCTGGAGGCATCAAGCTACCTGACTTCAAACTATACTACAAGGCTACAGTAACCAAAACAGCATGGTACTGTTACCAAAACAGAGATATAGACCAATGGAACAGAACAGAGACCTCAGAAATAATGCCATGTATCTACAACTATCTGATCTTTGACAAACCTGACAAAAACAAGCAATGGGGAAAGGATTCCCTATTTAATAAATGGTGCTGGGAAAACTGGCTGGCCATATCTAGAGAACTGAAACTGGATCCCTTCCTTACACCTTATACAAAAATTAATTCAAGATGGATTAAAGACTTACATGTTAGACCTAAAACCAGGAAAACCCTAGAAGAAAACCTAGGCAATACCATTCAGGACATAGGCATGGGCAAGGACTTCATGTCTAAAACACCAAAAGCAATGGCAACAAAAGCCAGAATTGACAAATGGGATCTCATTAAACTAAAGAGCTTCTGCGCAGCAAAAGAAACTACCATCAGAGTGAACAGGCAACCTACAGAATGGGAGAAAATTTTTGCAACCTATTCATCTGACAAAGGGCTAATATCCAGAATCTACAATGAACTCAAACAAATTTACAAGAAAAAAACAAACAACCCCATCAAAAAGTGGGCCAAGGAGATGAACAGACACTTCTCAAAAGAAGACATTTATGCAGCCAAAAAAACACATGAAAAAATGCTCATCACCACTGGCCATCAGAGAATGCAAATCAAAACCACAATGAGATACCATCTCACACCAGTTAGAATGGCGATCATTAAAAAGTCAGGAAACAACAGGTGCTGGAGAGGATGTGGAGAAATAGGAACACTTTTACACTGTTGGTGGGATTGTAAACTAGTTCAACCATTGTGGAAGTCAGTGTGGCGATTCCTCAGGGATCTAGAACTAGAAATACCATTTGACCTAGCCATCCCATTACTGGGTATATACCCAAAGGATTAGAAATCATGCTGCTACAAAGACACATGCACATGTATGTTTATTGCGGCACTATTCACAATAGCAAAGACTTGGAACCAACCCAAATGTCCAACAATGATAGACTGGATTAAGAAAATGTGGCACATATACACCATGGAATACTATGCAGCCACAAAAAAGGATGAGTTCATGTTCTTTGTAGGGACATGGATGAAGCTGGAAACCATCATTCTCAGCAAACTATCGCAAGGACAAAAAACCAAACACCGCATGTTCTCACTCATAGGTGGGAATTGAACACTGAGAACGCATGGACACAGGAAGGGTAGCATCACACACTGGGGACTGTTGTGGGGTGGGGGGAGGGGGAAGGATAGCATCAGGAGCTATACCTAATGCTAAATGACGAGTTAATGGGTACAGCACACTAACATGGCACATATATACATATGTAACAAACCTGCACGTTGTGCACATGTACCCTAAAAGTTAAAGTATAATAATAAAATTTAAAAAAAAGATATGCAATATCTGAATCAGGTATTGAAATCAGATATTCAATACCTCAGATCTCTGAGGTATAATTTTGAAATAAAATTAGATGAAAATGCCTCACTAACTATAAAGAACTATACATACATCAAACCAATATGTACACTGTATTGTATGCTTCTTATAGGTCAGGCATATTCCAAGTGAAGTGAAAGCACAAATAAATAAGTTATAAAATGTCAGTCTAACAGTATGGGTATAGTTGTGCCAGAGTGAGATGGATGCAAATAAGCCATGCTACAACTGATAGGTATTATTATAGGTATATGCATAAGGGACTATGGCATACTAAGAAAGGAACCATTCATGTGTTAAGTAGGATATATATCCCTTATAAATTGAAAACTAGTTTTTTAAAAAAAAACCCTTCTTAATACTGAACAAAGTGTTTCAGACCTAACAGATGCTCACGATCTGTGCTGACTATAATCCTTATTATTTAACTTGCTCGTCCCTACTCACTAGATAATGCAAGCCGCACAACAGCACAGATTTTGTTTTTCTTGTTCATGGATTCAGCCTTGCTGTCAAAGCATGGCGTCTGGTGTCTAATAGGTGGCTCGATAAATATTGATTGAATGAATGGATTTTATGTTCTGGTTACATAAGAAATCATCTCCATTTGGAGGTCATTTCATAAGCTCTCCTACAAAAGCAAAATGTCTTCACTTCTAAACTTTAGTCTATATTTTCTCTTTTTTTACTGTATTATTTTATCATGCTAATCAGAAACACACTCAATTATTCCTATACCCAATCAATATATGAATTATTCTTAAGGAGAATTTAAATCAGGTGGGTGCCATTAAAAACTATCCTGGTCAATAGAGAAGAGTGCTGATGGTGTATGCCTTGGTTGATAAATTCATCATATTTAAATAGGCAGCTTTCCTCTAAAATGTTATGTTTATGAGATTACTGCTAATATACTTTTTTCTTTTCTTTTTCTCACTAAGGCTATAATCCCTTAAAAAATGTAGTACCAAGAAGAAAACAAATCCATCAAATAAAACTTACCTAAAAAAATTAAACAAAAAATGTTATATATATATTAAAGTTTCATGTAATTATCTTCCTTTTAGTCTCAAAACACCTTGATGTACTCTACATGTACAGATTTTATGTCTTTGTACTTTATAATGTTTTTTCTATCAAAACCAACGTTAAAGAATACAAAACAAAAACTAGTGGGTATCATATATTCAATAAGACAGAAGAGAAATTCTATATTTTTCAACAAAAATTAGTAACAAGAAATGCCAAACCCAAATATTTCCAGTTTATTTCCCTACTTTTTTCTATTTAAAAATTATGAATCCAGAATGTTGCAAGGAAAACAAACTTTAAATACTTACTAATATATAAAACAAAACAGCAACCAAAACAAAACAGTTCACTTACAAAAAGAAAAAAGGCTGCACCATCCCTATGTGGACGAACTACTCAAAGGAATCTTTTGTATTCTCTAGTAAAACTACAATAAAGATTTTTTTTAATCACATGGATGGATAACAATAGAAAGCTCCACGTGGAAGGGTGATAATCTATCAATTTTTAACACATATTTTTCCCCTGGAATAAGCTTTTTGGCAATTTTGTTTTGCTTATTTACAAAATCAGGAGACAAAAAAACAAGACTAGTATTCTTGCATTTTATGTTAGGAAAGATGCCTGTTAAAAACATACAGTACAACCAGTATGTAATTGCCCAGCTGTGGATTTCTTTTTCTGCACAGGACATGAAATATCATAAATTACTCTAGAAGAAATAGTTCCAGAATGTTTATAAAATTACACTGCAACACAATACTGCAAGTCATAAGCTAGTTCTGCTCCCACTGGACAGCCTTGAGTAAAGAAAGAAAGAGCTGAGGAAAGCCACATATTCCTCCTAAAGTATGTCCATCTTTAGGAGATTCGGATCATTCGACATTCATCACTTCAAGCATCAACACATTCTGGAGAAAAAAACCAGACAGACTTAACAGGTTCTGCTCAGCACTCTTCTACATCTTCCACCTGTCCACTTCTGCTGTGAGTCCTTTAACTTCAAAGTAAAGAATGAGAAGAACAGAGGGAGATAGCAAGGCATAGACTTTCCAGAGATCATGGAGAAATCCATGCGCTAGCCCAACACTCCTGTCTAGTCTCAGGCACCCACTAATGTTAAGCTAACCTCTAGCACTCTCGGAATCCTTAAGTCAGAAATACTCTAGGTATTCTGCCAGCCTAGGCATAGGCTTCTTTCAGAAAAGCACACCTTTAGGCACATTAGACCTAAATGCCCTGTGAACAGACATAAGCAAGACTTGGTTTCTCCAAGGCTAATGCTAAAAAGAAAAAAAAATCAATTAGTGTTATGTCCTTTTATTCTTAGGAACCTAGGTGTTTAACAAAGAAAAAAAAAATCCTAGCACCACTGGGGTAGTTGTCATGGTACAAACAGCTAGAGGGAGTGGCTCAGGATGGAAGATTCAGTTAGTGTAGGGAAGCACAAACCACTGTTATTTCCCTTTTGGTCATGCAAGAATAACCAGAATGGTTGTATCCTCCTTGTTTTTCACAAAATGAAGACCCACCCATATGCGCCTTCAGTCACTGGCATAAGGTGTGTATTTGAAACTTTTTTAGTAAACCCATGAAATGGTAAGAACCAAAATTGTTAGCCTTAAACTTACTTTGCCTGATTACTAACTCTGGTTTCCAGCTGGAATAACACATGATATCATTGCTTCTAAAGCAAGGCCAGTTAAAAAGCACTGGTTTACATAGCCTATATATTCGACTCTCATTTTCTGATCAGATGCTTGGCACAGATTCACCTAACTCCAAATCTGGCCATATGCCTACCCTGGGCAAAGGAACAAAAGTTCATGGTGTTATTTTCTTTTTTCTATTTGTCTCTCTTTCATTATTCAAAAATACAATACTTTAATGTGATAAGGGAGAAGAACTACATTAAAATAACTATTCTGCAAGAAGAAATGAAATTGAGATGATATATCCTTATGGAGAAATGTGTAGGTCTCATGAGTGTCCAATTAAAAGCTTACTGAGGAGTAAAACTCAAGATAAAAATTTAACGTGAATGCCAAATTTATAGATATATCAAAGAAAAACAAACTAATGGGAAACAATGCATTTCAGTAATCCCAGTACTCATAAAAAAAGTTATCAATTAAATGCAGAATCTAGGACTTATTTTTCTCACAGAAGCAATACTAGAAAAGCAGGACTCAGATACTCATACCAGCCTATAAAATCCTACTTTGTCCTGTATCTTTGAAAAATGGCACAAGTAGTAGTAATGTACTGATAAATCCACATTACAAAAGAAATTGTATGCACATCCAAAAAAAAATATTTGTTTCAGTTTGACAATGTTACTGTCTAGCAGACAGCATGTGCTCAATACATTGTTATTACACAGACTGAAACAGAATACTTTGGAAAAGGCTTTTCAGCTTTTCCCCTCCACTATTTGGAAGTGACACCTCTCTTGGCAAAGAACTTGAGGGAGGAGCTTCCCTGGAGAGGAGAGAAGGTGATGGAGAGATTTATATTTCTTGGAAGTAGTAAAGTTTATTAATTCTCTCTATAAATAATACAGTATCCCCCAGGTATTCTGAATGATTTTAAAAAATGGGGACTGGAGGACAGAGGTTTTGTCAATTAAATAAAAGTGTCTAATCATATGAATGTCTGAGGAGCCAACATGTTAGGCAGCTCAGATCTCTTTAATTCCTAATGTTCTTTATCTGGGACTTTTTTGATACATTTCTTTGGAAAATTTAAAAATTTTAAAAATTTAGGTTTGCACCAAAGTAAGTGAAATATTCATACACTACTTCCAAACACCCAGAATCTGGCGACGTTTAAGAGCACAAGCATCAAGATAATTCATTATTTTGATCACTTCCTTAGCAGGTCATAAAATGATCAGAATTACAAGGCTCACAGCACGAACTCCTGTGATGAATATTGCAACAAAAGGTGACCATATTAATTGGAATGTAGTTCACCTACTATCACAGAGATCCAAAATTACAGTGCCTTAAGCAAGATAGGAATGTATGTCTTACTCACACAAAGTGAAAATAGGTGATCCTGGGCTGGTATGGTGTTTCCACCATCATGAGATAACCGACCACGGTCTTCCCATCTTTTGCTCAAACATCCCCAACACACAGCTTCCTCTATGATCCAAGATGGCCACTCCTGCTCCTGCCATTCTGGCTGCATTTCAGCAAGCAGGAAGAAAGGGGATAAGGGAAGACATGTGCCTGCCCTTTAAATGCACAGCCTGAACCTGGCCCACATCACATCTACATAGGTCTCATTTGCCAGAACCTGGTCTCATCTAGTTGGAAGGGTAACTGGGAAGCACATTCATTACTTGGGGTGGCCATGTGCTATGCAAAAAGGTGAGAACAGGTGGTAAGAACATAAAGAAGCCTCTCTGTCCTAACAGCCACAATGAGATATCTCTCCAGACTCTGGTAAACCATGTAAACATTTATCAATTTATGGCAGGTACCAATCTGTGGCAAGTAAATTCCATGTTTATAACAAACTACTCCAATTCCCATGAGTGGGAAGTTATGCCTGCTACTACAAATGTGAAAATGAAGATTCTACATTTGAGGACATACTCATGAATAAAGTACCCAAGGTCTCTGCTCTCACTTATCTTATATTCTAGCAGAGAGAGATAAAGTAAACAAAATAATGTCAATAAACGAGAAGTAAATATAAAACAACAGTGGCTCCAAGCTATTCAGGGAAGTCCTCCTTGAGAAGCCCACAATTGAGTTTTGATCTGAGCCAGCTATGTGAAGAGAAAGTAGCAATTGTAAATGCTCTGAGATTCCCCATTTGTCAAGATCAAAGTTACCTCAGCTCTAGTTTTCTGTATGTAAGCCTGATATGTGTGGAAGAGGAAATGAAAGTATGAGCATGCGTGTGTGTGCATACGTGTGTGCATACATACGTGTGTGCATACATATGTGTGTATAAGGACAAAAAGGGAAATCTATAACACTAACACTGGAGTAAATACTGAATAACCAAGAATAATGTAGAACACTCTAAAGCCTGGGGCAATCTATGGACTGAGGAGGATAAAAAAGCAAATGGTTAGAGAAGTTGAGAGGCACAGTAGAAACTTTGTATTCTGTGATGGTTAATATTGAGTGTAAACTTGGATTGAAGGATACGAAGTATTGATTCTGGGTGTGTAAGTGAGGGTATTGGTAAAAGAGATTAACATTTGAGTCAGTGGGTTGGGGAAGGCAGATCCACCCTTAATCTGGTGGGCACAATCTAATCAGCTGCCAGCGAATATAAAGCAGGCAGAAAAACATTAAAAATAGAGACGGGCCTAGCCTCTCAGCCTACATCTTTCTCCCATGCTGGAAGCTTCTTGCCCTCGAACATCGAACTCTCAAGTTCTTCAGTTTTGGGACTCAGACTGGCTCTCCTTGCTCCTCCACTTACAAGGTCTCCACTATTGTGAGACCTTGTGATTGTGTAAGTTAATACTAAAGTGGAGTTTATTAAGCATATGTAAGTGTGTGTGTATATATATATGATATATTTATTAGGATATATATATCACACATATATAAGGATATATATATATATATATCCCATTAGTTCTGTCCCTCTAAGAGAACCTTGACTAATACATATTCAAAAGCTATTTTTCTTAGTTGTTTTAAATGGTGCTTCTTGTTATATAAAGTTAACTAACTTTGAGTATATTGTTCTAACTAAATTGCAGTTCAAAATGAATAATCAGCAGTTATGAATAAAATGTCTGGCATGTTTTTTT
Source organism: Homo sapiens (assembly GCF_000001405.40). Taxonomy (NCBI): domain Eukaryota; kingdom Metazoa; phylum Chordata; class Mammalia; order Primates; family Hominidae; genus Homo; species Homo sapiens. The sequence continues at coordinate 53,236,656 of NC_000004.12, forward strand.
TTAATCAAAATGAGTTCTATGCAAAACAGGTTTAAAAATAAGCAAATACAGTAATTATATATTTATATATTTATATTGCTTTAAAAATAATAATTACAGGGTTATTTTAACTAGGATAATCTGTCATGATTTCTAACTACTTAAAGTCACTGTTTTATTTATTTATTTATTTATTTATTTATTTATTTATTTATTTATTTTTTATTGATAATTCTTGGGTGTTTCTCACAGAGGGGGATTTGGCAGGGTCATAGGACAATAGTGGAGGGAAGGTCAGTAGCTAAACAAGTGAACAAAGGTCTCTGGTTTTCCTAGGCAGAGGACCCTGCGGCCTTCCGCAGTGTTTGTGTCCCTGGGTACTTGAGATTAGGGAGTGGTGATGACTCTTAACGAGCATGCTGCCTTCAAGCATCTGTTTAACAAAGCACATCTTGCACCGCCCTTAATCCATTCAACCCTGAGTGGACACAGCACATGTTTCAGAGAGCACAGGGTTGGGGGTAAGGTCATAGATCAACAGGATCCCAAGGCAGAAGAATTTTTCTTAGTACAGAACAAAATGAAAAGTCTCCCATGTCTACTTCTTTCTACACAGACACGGCAACCATCCGATTTCTCAATCTTTTCCCCACCTTTCCTGCCTTTCTATTCCACAAAGCCGCCATTGTCATCCTGGCCCGTTCTCAATGAGCTGTTGGCTACACCTCCCAGACGGGGTGGTGGCCGGGCAGACGGGCTCCTCACTTCCCAGTAGGGGGCGGCCGGGCAGAGGCGCCCCTCACTTCCCGGATGGGGGGTCTGGCCGGGCGGGGGGGCTGACCCCCCCACCTCCCTCCCGGACGGGCGGCTGGCCGGGCGGGGGGCTGACCCCCACCTCTCTCCCAGATGGGGCGGCTGGCCGGGCAGAGGGGCTCCTCACTTCCCAGTAGGGGCGGCCGGGCAGAGGCGCCCCTCACCTCCCGGACGGGGCGGCTGGCCGGGCGGGGGGCTGACCCCCCCACCTCCCTCCCGGACGGGGCGGCTGGCCGGGCAGAGGGGCTCCTCACTTCCCAGTAGGGGCGGCCAGGCAGAGGCGCCCCTCACCTCCCGGACGGGGCGGCTGGCCGGGCGGGGGGCTGACCCCCCCACCTCCATCCCGGACGGGGCGGCTGGCCGGGCAGAGGGGCTCCTCACTTCCCAGTAGGGGCGGCCGGGCAGAGGCGCCCCCCACCCATCTCCCTCCCTGACGGGGCGGCTGGCCTGGCGGGGGGCTGACCCCCCCACCTCCCTTCCGGACGGGGCGGCTGGCCGGGCGAGGGGCTGACCCCCCCACCTCCCTCCCGGACGGGGCGGCTGGCCGGGCAGGGGGCTGATCCCCCCACCTCCCTCCAAGATGGGGTGGCTGGCCGGGCGGGGGGCTGACCCCCCCACCTCCCTCCCGGATGGGGCGGCTGGCCGGGCAGAGGGGCTCCTCACTTCCCAGTAGGGGTGGCCGGGCAGAGGTGCCCCTCACCTCCCAGACGGGGTGGCTGGCCGGGCGGGGGGCTGACCCCCCCACCTCCCTCCCGGACGGGGCGGCTGGCCGGGCAGAGGGGCTCCTCACTTCCCAGTAGGGGCGGCCAGGCAGAGGCGCCCCTCACCTCCTGGACGGGGCAGCTGGCCGGGTGGGGGCTGACCCCCCCACCTCCCTCCTGGACGGGGCGGCTGGCCGGGCGGGGGCTGATGCCCCCACCTCCCTCCCGGACAGGGCGGCTGGCCTGGCGGGGGGCTGACCCCCCTACCTCCCTCCCGGATGGGCGGCTGGCCGGGCAGGGGGCTGACCCCCCCACCTCCCTCCCGGATGGGGCGGCTGGTGGGGCGGGGGCTGACCCCCCCACCTCCCTCCCGGATGGGGTGGCTGCCGGGCGGAGACGCTCCTCACTTCCCAGATGGGGCGGCTGCCGGGCGGAGGGGCTCCTCACTTCCCAGACGGGGCGGCTGCCAGGCGGAGGAGCTCCTCGCTTCTCAGACGGGGTGGCCGGGCAGAGATGCTCCTCACCTCCCAGACGGGGTTGCGGCCGGGCAGAGGTGCTCCTCACATCCCAGACGGGGCGGCGGGGCAGAGGCGCTCCCCACATCTCAGACGATGGGCGGCCGGGCAGAGACGCTCCTCACTTCCTAGATGTGATGGCGGCCGGGCAGAGGTGCTCCTCACTTCCTAGGTGGGATGGCGGCCGGGCGGAGACGCTCCTCACTTTCCAGACTGGGCAGCCAGGCAGAGGGGCTCCTCACATCCCAGATGATGGGCGGCCAGGCAGAGATGCTCCTCACTTCCCAGACGGGGTGGCGGCCGGGCAGAGGCTGCAATCTCGGCACTTTGGGAGGCCAAGGCAGGCGTCTGGGAGGTGGAGGTTGTAGCGAGCCGAGATCACGCTACTGCACTCCAGCCTGGGCACCATTGAGCACTGAGTGAACGAGACTCCATCTGCAATCCCAGCACCTCAGGAGGCCGAGGCTGGTGGATCACGTGCGGTTAGGGGCTGGAGACTGGCCTGGCCAACACAGCGAAACCCCGTCTCCACCAAAACCAGTCAGGCGTGGCGGCGCGAGTCTGCAATCGCAGGCACTCGGCAGGCTGAGTCAGGAGAGTCAGGCAGGGAGGTTGCAGTGAGCCGAGATGGCAGCAGTACAGTCCAGCTTTGGCTCAGCATGAGAGGGAGACCGTGGAAAGAGAGGGAGAGGGAGACCATGGAAAGAGAGGGAGAGGGAGACCGTGGGGAGAGTGAGAGGGAGAGGGAGAGGGAGAGGAGGGAGAGGAGGGAGAGGGAGAGGGAGAGGGAGAGGGAGAGAGCGTCCCCAATCTTTTAAGTCAAAGTCACTGTTTTAATAAGACGGAGTTTCGCTCTTGTTGCCCAAGCTGGAGTGCAATGGCTGGATCTCAGCTCACCGCAACCTCTGCCTCCTGGGTTCAAGTGATTCTCCTGCCTTAGCCTCATGAGTAGCTGGGATTACAGGCATGTGCCACCACACCCAGCTAATTTTGTATTTTTTAGTAGAGACGGGTTTTTCCATGTTCGTCAGGCTGGTCCTGAACTCCTGACCTCAGGTGATCCCAGCCTCCCAAAGTGCTGGGATTACAGGCATGAGGCACCATGCCCGGCCTTTGTTTAACACTTAAAATATTATGCTACTTACATTTCACTGTATAGACCCAAGCTAAATTAAGACATTCTCGAGCTATCAGCAATCCACTCATAAAAATCTTCCTAGCCTAAGATCTCATAATGTCAGCCTAAAAGGTCATTCCCAAAGCATCCCTCAGTCCTAGACTACATTGGGAGAAAGTTCAGTGTTGCTGAAATAATCATGATATATTCTCAGCATATTCAAGCAGTCACAAAGGTATCTGATAAAAGATCACCCTCCTTAACTTATGAAAGGTGCTACAATGGGTTGACTACAACAAGTGAACAACTTTTTGTCATACTCAGGGCCAGTGAAGGCAAACTGCCACCATGTTTTTGCTCCAGTGGTTTTGCCAACACAGCAGAACCAGAAAGATATGAAGTCGGGCCCAGGTCTGAGGGAATTCTCATCTACCTCTTACCTTCAAAAATCCCATTTCATTGATCTAAGACTCTATAATTGATCGTAACACACACCATTATTTTATGTGCTCCCAAGCTAGAAAAAAATAGTTTCAACTAAAATATGCTACCAATTTCAGGATGTACCCAAATTTCAGAAATGTGAAAAAATGGACATATCAGAATCAATGAAAAATGGTAGGTAGTATTCTTCTAGCCAAATCTGCCCCTTTTGTTTACAGAATGGAAAGTGACCTTCACTATTTTCAACTTAATCCTCAAAAAGGGAAGGTTGCCTGTATTATGTCACCATTTCATTGATTCCAACTTCTTTTTGCATACAACTATTAAATACAAATGACCAAAGGGGCAACTAATACTTTCCCATTTGACGTTTGTCCAAAAATATTTAAAACATTTCATTCAAAACAACTTCTGATTACTGTTTGAATCTCAAAATAGCTACAGAAAACAAAACAAAACAAAAACCTCTTTGCAGCTCTGGTTCTGAACAAGTTAAGAAATAAAGCAAAGCTTGAAAAAGACATGCAGTCAGGCATCCGGAAGTGGCTGCCTATGCCACAGGGCAGTGGTCGATGGCTTCTGCTATCCAGTGCCTTGAGTTCGATTTCTTAGAAACAGTTTGAGATGAAGAAAAGAACATTGAATGGACCTCTCCAAGATGGTCAACTAGACACGGCCAGGAGGAACACCTCCCACACCAAGGGACCAGGACATCAGGAAGACTGGCACACTTCTAGCAGATCTTCAGAGGGAAGGCATTGAGAGCAGACAGATGGAAGACACAGATACTAGACTGAAGGGGAAGGAAGCTGGGAATGCTGTACAGTGCTACCAGCACCAGGACTTATTTCTAGCCCCCAACAACTCCTGCAGAAGAGGTGAGTTGAATAGGCAAGGAGCAACCTGCTCTCACCATAGGCTTCTGGAATCCTGGCAGGAGGAGACCCCTCAACCACCAAAGACAAATGAGTTGGCAGAGAGATGCTCAGAAAAGTACGAGGGGCAGAATTCCAGCCACTGCAAAGCCCAGAGGATTTGGTGCGGTGGCAACTATAGTGGAGCATGGACAGAGATACCCATCCCCTAGGCTCAACTTGCTGCCATAGGAGACTTTAGCCCCCAAGGGAAGTGTCAGATCTGAACTCTGCAAGGCAGTCTTCCCCATGAGACAGGGCCAGTCCAACCCAAGCACCCCTCAGTGTGCTGGCCTCTCCCAGCCTGGCTGTGCCTGTTTGCAATCCAGTCTCCAGGTACCTCCAGGGGGCCCACATCATAGCTCCTGTGCTGGTGGACCATACCTGACCAGCAGCGTGCTCCAGTAGAGCAGCCCCATTGATATACACCAGCCCACTTGTATCCTCCCACCACTGCAGCCTCCCATGTACCACTTTGCTGGCACACACCCTGCACATCGCTTTGCCAGCACATGTGTGCACAGGCAAACCAAACCTTGCCTTCCGTCCCATGCCAGCATGTATGTGTGTGTGCACCCTGTCATGCCACTGCTGCCAGTGAGAGTTCACTCCCTCCCCCTCCTCCTGCTGCACCACCATTGTTGTCTGAGCATTAGTGGGTACTGAGCTTACCAGCCCCAATTCTGCCAGCACCCCACCCCTGTGCCAACATTGTGGTGGCTTTGAAAAGAGACATGGAAAACAGTGGACATGCCTCCACTCTGAGTGGCACCACCACCTGCATGGACATGTACAGAGGACATACAAAGTCCTATGCCCACCAGTACCACACCCCCATGATAACACCATCAGCAGTGCAAAAGGGCACAATTGCTGGACAGGGGCTCCCAGCCCACACAAGCTGTGCTGCCATTGCTGCAGCTGTGAATGCCGAAACAGAGGCTGGCACCCCAGCACCCACTAGCATCCTGCCGCAGCTGACAAGCATGTAGCCTGCTGCACTGCTGCAGCTAGTGCTGCTAGTATGTGCAAACAAAAATGAATCCTGCTGCCACCAGACTATGAAGTGCATTGGCTGACACCACCCATCAGAGTGTTGTGACCAGCAGTATGGGAGCACCTCAGTCCCCTAAGTGCAGCCGGTTCCTAACCTTGAGGAGCCAGAGAACAAAGCCAGTGCCAATACCAGTCACCCGAAGTTAGAACACACAAGCTTGGACTCCTGAGCAGAGACCTGGCTCCCTAAAAATCTTCCAGAAAGGAAGCCAGTTGACTGAACTCACATTATACCAAAAATAAACCCCCAAGGTCACCAAATAGGATAAAAGAGGAAAAAAAATCCAAAGGACAGCAACTTCAAAGACTGAAGGAACATTAGCCCACAAAGATGAGAAAGAACCAGTGCAAGAACTCTGACCACTCAAAAAGCCAGTGTCTTCTTCCCTCCAAATGACTGCACTAGCTGGAGAGCAAAGGTTCTTAACCAAGGTGAGATGGCTGAAATAACAGAAATATAATTCAGAATATGAATAGATATAAAGATCAGCAAGATTCAGGAGAATGCTGAAACTCATCTAAGGAAGCTTAGAATCACAATAAAATGATACAGGAGCTGACAGACAAAATAGCCAGTATAAAGAAGAATGTAGTCAATCTGATATAGCTGAAAAGCCCACTACAAGAATTTCAAAATGTAATATCACAAGTACTAACAACAGACTATAACAAGTTGAGGAAAGAATCTCAAAGCTTGAAGACAGGCTTTCTGAAATAAGCCAGTCAGACAAGAATAAACCAAAAAGAATGAAAAAACATAAATAAAACCTCTGAGAAATATGGAACTATGTAAAGAGACTAAATCTATGACTCATTAGTGTTATAGAGATGGGGATAATGGAAGCAACTTGAAAAACATATTTTAGGATATCCTCCATGAGAACTTCCCCAACCTTGCTAGAGAGGCCAACATTCAAATTCAGAAACTGCAGAGAACCCCAGGAAAATACTTTACAAGAAGATCATCCCCAAGACACATAATTAACAGATTCTCCAAGTCAAAATGAAAGACAAAATGTTAAGGCAGCTAAACAGAAAGTATAGGTCACCTATACAGGGAAGCCCATCATACTAACAGCAGACCCCTCAGCAGAAACCCTAAAAGCTAGAAGAGATTGGAGGCCTATATTCAACATTCTTAAAGAAAAGAAATTCCAACCAAGAGTTTCATATCTGGCCAAACTAAGCTTTATAAGCAAAGAAGAAATAAGACCCTTTTCAGACATGCAAATGCTGAAAGAATTAATAATTACCAGACCTGCCTTACAAGAATATCTGAAAAAAACACTAAATATGAAAAGGAAAGACTGTTACCAGCCACTACAAAAACACACTTAAGTACACAGACTAGTGATGCTGTAAAGCAACTATACAAACAAGTTGGCATAATGACCACTTATCAACATGAAGAGAGGATTAAATCCATACATATCAACTTTAACCTTGCAAGTAAATGAGCTAAATGTCTCCATTAAAAGGCACAAAGTAGCAAGCTGGAAAGAAAAAAAAAAGAGAGAAAAAAAAGAACCAGTGGTATGCTGTCTTCAAGAGACCCATCTCACATGTGATGACACCCATAGGCACAAAATAAAGGGATGGAGAAAAATCTACCAAGCAAATGGAAAGCAGAAAAAAGCAAAGGTTTCAATCCTAATTTCAGACATAACAGACTTCATTTGTTTGTTTGTTTTTGGTATTTTCTGTTTTTCTCATTTTTAAATTTATTTACAACTTTATTCAATGAAGAGACATAACAGACTTTAAACCAACAAAGATCAAAAAAGACAGAGAAGGACATAATAGAAAATACATTATAGAAAAGGGTTCAACTCAACAAGAAAATCTACCTATCCTAAATGTATATGCACCTAACACAGGAGCATCCAGATTCATAAAACAAGATCTTAAGGACCTTCAAAGAGACTTAGACTCCCACATAATAATTGTGGGAGACTTCGACACTCCACTGACAGTATTAGATCATTGAGGCAGGAAATTAACAAAGATATTCAGGACCTGAACTCAACACTGGACCAAATGGACCTGATTGACATATACAGAACTCTCCACCCCAAAACAACAGGATATACATTCTACTCATCACCACATGGCACAAACTCTAAAACTGACCATACAATCAAATATAAAACAATCCAATCCTCAGTAAATGCAAAAGAACTAAAATCATACCAACCAGTCTCTCAGACCACAGTATAATAAAAGTAGAATTCAAGACCAAGAAAATCACTGGAAACCATACAATTACATGGAAATTAAACAACTTGCTCCTCAAAGACTTTGGGGTAATTCATGAAATTAAGGCAAAAATCAAGAAGTTCTCTGAAACTAATGAGAATAAAGATACAACATACCAGAATCTGTGGGACACAGCTAAGGCAGTGTTAAGAGGAAATGTACAGCACTAAATGTCCACATCAGAAAGTCTGATGTCCACATCAAATTAACAACCTAACATCACAACTAAAAGAACTAGAGAAGCAAGAGAAAACCAACTCCAAAGCTAGCAGAAGACAAGAAATAAGCAAAATCAGAGCTGCACTGAAGGAGACTGAGATGTGAAAAACCATTCAAAAGATCAACCAACCCAAGCCTTGGGGTATTTCTGAAAAAAAAAAATAATAATAATAATAAGATAGACCAATAGCTAGACTAATAAAGAAAAAAAGAGAGAAGATTCAAATATACACAATTAGAAAGAACAAAGGGGATATTACCACTCACCCCACAGAAATTCAAATAACAATCAGAGAATACTATGGACACCTCTATGTACACAAACCAGAAAATCTAAAAGAAATAGAAAAACTCCTGGACACATACACCCTCCCAAGAATCAACCAGGAAGAAACTGAATCCCTGAATAGACCAATTACAAGCTTTGAAATCCAATCAGTAACAAATAGCCTACCAACCAAAAAAAAGCCTGGGATCAGATGAATTCACAGCTGAATTATACTAGATGTACAAGAAGAGCTGGTACAATTGCTACTGAAACTATTCAAAAAATTGAAAAGGAGGGACTCTTCCCTATCTCAGTCCATGAGGCCCGAATTATCCTGATAGAAAAACCTGGTGGAGACATCAAAAAAAGGGGAAAACTTCAGGCCAATATCCTTGGTGAACATTGATGCAAAAATCCTCAACAAAACGCTAGCAAACTGAATCCAGAATTACATTAAAAAGCTAATCCACAATGATCAAGTAAACTTTATCCATGGAGTGCAAGGTTGGCTTAACATATGTAAATCAATAAACATGATTCATCATGCAAACAGAACCAAAGGGAAAAAACCACATGATCATCTCAATAGATGTAGCATAGGCTTTCAATAAAATTCAACATCCCTTCATGTTGAAAACACTCAACAAACTAGGTATTGAAGGAATATACCTCACACAAACTAAGTATTGCAGGAATATACCTCACACAAACTAGGTATTGCAGGAATATACCTCATACAAACTAGGTATTGAAGGAACATACATCAAAATAGTAAGGACCATCTATGCCAAATCACAGCTAACATCATACTGAATGGGCAAAAGCTGGAAGCATTCCCTTTGAAAACTGCCACAAGACAAGGGTGCCCTCTCTCACAACTCCTATTCAACATAGTATTGGAAGTCCTGGTCAGAGCAATTAGGCAAGAGAAATAAATAAAAGACATCCAAGTAGGAAGACAGAAAGTCAAACTACCCCTGTTTGCAGATAACATAATCCTATATCTAGAAAACTCTATAGTCGTGGCCCACAAAGCTCCTCAAGCTAAATTCAGCAAAGTCACAGAATTCAAAATCAGTGTACAAAAATCACTATCATTCCTATACACCAACAATAGCCAAGCGGAGAGCCAAATCAGAAATGTAATCCCATTTACAACTGCCACAAAAAGTATAAAACACCTAGGAATATAGCTAATCAGGGAGGGGAAAGATCTCTACAATGAGAATTACAAAACACTGCTCAAAAAAATCAGAGATGGCACTACAAAATAAAAAAAATTTCATGCTCATGGATAGGAAGAATCAGCATTGTCAAAATGGGTATACTGCCCAAAGCAATGTACAGATTCAATGCTATTTCTATCAAAATAACAATGACATTCTTTCCAAAACTAGAAAACACTATTTTAAAATTCATATGGAACAACAACGAAAAACCCGAATAGCCAAGGGAATCCTAACCAAAAAGAACAAAGCTGGACACATCACACTACCCAACTTTAAACTATACTATAAGGCTACAGTAACCAAAACAGCATGGTACTAGTGCAAAAACAGACACATAGACCAATGGAACAGAATAGAGAGCCCAGAAATAAGGCTGCACGCCTGTGACCATCTAATCTTTGACAAAGCTGACATAAATAAGCAATGGGGAAAGAACTCCCTATTCAATAAATGGTGCTGGAATAACTGGCTAGCAGAAGATTGAAAGTGGACCCTTTCCTTATACCATACATAAAAAACAACTCAAGATGGATTAAGGACTTAATTAATTGAATGTAAAACCTAAAACTATAAAAACCCTGGAAGATAACCTAGGTAACATCATTCTGGACGTAGGAACTGGCAAAGACTTCATGATGAAGTTGCCAAAAGCAAGTTTAACAAAAGAAAAAAATTATAAATGGGATCTAACCAAACAAAAGAGCTCTGCACAGTAAAAGAAGCTATCAACAGAGCAAACATACAGCCTACAGAATGGAAAAAATTTTTGCAAACTATGGATCTGACAAAGGTCTAATGTCCAACATCTGTAAGGAACTTAAAAAATTTACAAAAAAAAAAAAAAAACTCCAAACAACACCATTAAAAATTAAGTGGGCAAAGGTTGAATACTAAGAATGAGAATTAAAAAAACAAAAGTTGAGCAAAGGACATGAACAGATACTTTTCAAAAGAAGACATGCATGTGGCCAAAAAGCATATAAAAAACCAGCTCAAAATCAGTGATCATTAGAGAAATGCAAATAAAAACCATAGTGACATAATCTCACAACAGCCAAAATGGCTATTACTAAAATGTCAAAAAACAGGTGCTGGTGAGTTTGTGCAGAAAATGGAACACTTGTACACTGTAGGTGGGAGTGTAAATTCGTTCACGCAGTATGGAGATTCCTCAAAGAGCTAAAAACTGAACTACCATTCGACCTAGGAATCCCATTACTAGGTATGTACCCAAAAAAATATAAATTGTTCTATCATAAAAACACATGCACATGTATGTTCATTGCACTATTATTCACAATAGCAAAGACATGGAATCAATCCAAATGCCCATCAATGAAAGACTGGATAAAGAAAATGTGATACATATACACCATGGAATACTATGCAGCCATAAAAAATAACAAGATCAGGCCGGGCGCGGTGGCTCACGCCTGTAATCCCAGCACTTTGGGAGGCCGAGGCGGGTGGATCATGAGGTCAGGAGATCGAGACCATCCTGGCTAACAAGGTGAAACCCCGTCTCTACTAAAAAAATACAAAAAATTAGCCGGGCGCGGTGGCGGGCGCCTGTAGTCCCAGCTACTCGGGAGGCTGAGGCAGGAGAATGGCGTGAACCCGGGAAGCGGAGCTTGCAGTGAGCCGAGATTGCGCCACTGCAGTCCGCAGTCCAGCCTGGGCAACAGAGCGAGACTCCGTCTCAAAAAAAAAAAAAAAAAAAAAAAAAATAACAAGATCATGTTTGGGGGAGGAGCCAAGATGGCCGAATAGGAACAGCTCCGGTCTACAGCTGCCAGCGTGAGCGATGCAAAAGGCAGGTGATTTCTGCATTTCCATCTGAGGTACTGGGTTCATCTCACTAGGGAGTGCCAGACAGTGGGCGCAGGTCAGTGGGTGCAGCGCACCATGCGCCACCCGAAGCAGGGCGAGGCATTGCCTCACTGGGAAGCACAAGGGATCAGGGAGTTCCCTTTCTTGGTCAAGGAAAGGGGTGACAGACGGCACCTTGAAAATCGGGCCACTCCCACCCAAATACTGCGCTTTTCTGACGGGCTTAGGAAACGGCGCACCAGGAAATTATATCCCGCACCTGGCTTGGAGGGTCCTACACCCACTGAGTCTCGCAGATGCTAGCACAGCAGTCTGAGATCAAACTGCAAGGTGGCAGCGAGGATGGGGGAGGGGCGCCCGCCATTGCTCAGGCTTCCTTAAGTAAACAAAGCAGCCAGGAAATTCGAACTGGGTGGAGCCCACCACAGCTCAAGGAGGCCTGCCTGCCTCTGTAGGCTCCACCTCTAGGGGCAGGGCACAGACAAACAAAAAGACAGCAGTAACCTCTGCAGACTTAAATGTCCCTGTCTGACAGCTTTGAAGAGAGCAGTGGTTCTCCCAGCACGCAGCTGGAGATCTGAGAATGGGCAGACTGCCTCCTCAAGTGGGTCCCTGACCCCTGACCCCCGAGCAGCCTAAGTGGGAGACACCCCCCAGTAGGGGCAGACTGACACCTCACACAGCCGGGTACTCCTCAGGGTCTGGAGTAGACCTCTAGCAAACTCCAACAGACCTGCAGCTGAGGGTCCTGTCTGTTAGAAGGAAAACGAACAAACAGAAAGGACACCCACACCAAAAACCCATCTGTACATCACCATCATCAAAGACCAAAAGTAGATAAAACCACAAAGATGGGGAAAAAACAGAACAGAAAAACTCGAAATTCTAAAAAGCAGAGCGCCTCTCCTCCTCCAAAGGAACGCAGTTCCTCACCAGCAACGGAACAAAGCTGGACGGAGAATGACTTTGATGAGTTGAGAGAAGAAAGCTTCAGACGATCAAACTACTCCGAGCTATGGGAGGAAATTCAAACCAAAGGCAAAGAAGTTAAAAACTTTGAAAAAAATTTAGACGATTGTATTAAATAGAATAACCAATACAGAGAAGTGCTTAAAGGAGCTGATGGAGCTGAAAGCCAAGGCTCGAGAACTACGTGAAGAATGCAGAAGCCTCAGGAGCCGATGAGATAAACTGGAAGAAAGGGTATCAGTGATGGAAGATGAAATGAATAAAATGAAGTGAGAAGGGAAGTTTAGAGAAAAAAGAACAAAAAGAAACGAACAAAGCCTCCAAGAAATATGGGACTATGTGAAAAGACCAAATCTACATCTGATTGGTGTACCTGAAAGTGACAGGGAGAATGGAACCAAGTTGCAAAATACGCTGCAGGATATTATCCAGGAGAACTTCCCCAATCTAGCAAGGCAGGCCAACGTTCAGATTCAGAAAATACATAGAACACCACAAAGATAATCCTTGAGAAGAGCAACTCCAAGACACATAATTGTCAGATTCACAAAGTTGAAATGAAGGAAAAAATGTTAAGGGCAGCCAGAGAGAAAGGTCAGGTTACCCACAAAGGGAAGCCCATCAGACTCACAGCAGATCTCTCGGCAAAAACTCTACAAGCCAGAAGAGAGTGGGGGCCAATAATCAACATTCTTAAAGAAAAGAATTTTCAACCCAGAATTTCATATCCAGCCAAACTAACCTTCATAAGAGAAGGAGAAATAAAATACAGACAAGCAAATGCTGAGAGATTTTGTCACCACCAGGCCTGCCCTAAAAGAGCTCCTGAAGGAAGCACTAAACATGGAAAGGAACAACCGGTACCAGCCACTGAAAAATCATGACAAATTGTAAAGACCATCAAGGCTAGGAAGAAACTGCATCAACTAACGAGCAAAATAACCAGCTAACATCATAATGACAGGATCAAATTCACACATAACAATGTCAACTTTAAATGTAAATGAACTAAATGCTCCCATTAAAAGACACAGACTGGCAAATTGGATAAAGAGTCAAGACCCATCAGTGTGCTGTATTCAGGAAACCCATCTCACATGCAGAGACACACATAGGCTCAAAATAAAAGGATGGAGGAAGATCTACCAAGCAAATGGAAAACAAAAAAAGGCAAGGGTTGCAACCCTAGTCTCGGATAAAACAGACTTTAAACCAACAAAGATCAAAAGAGACAAAGAAGGCCGTTACATAATGCTAAAGGGATCAATGCAACAAGAAGAACTAACTATCCTAAATATATATGCACCCAATATAGGAGCACCCAGATTCATAAAGCAAGTCCTTAGAGACCTACAAAGAGACTTAGACTCCCACACAATAATAATGGGAGACTTTAACACCCCACTGTCAACATTAGACAGATCAACAAGACAGAAAGTTAACAAGGATACCCAGGAATTGAACTCAGCTCTGCACCAAGCACACCTAATAGACATCTACAGAACTCTCCACCCCAAATCAACAGAATATAAAGCTCTCCTCAGCAAATGTAAAAGAACAGAAATTATAACAAACTGTCTCTCAGACCACAGTGAAATCAAACTAGAACTCAGGATTAAGAAACTCACTCAAAACTGCTCAACTACATGGAAACTGAGCAAGCTGCTCCTGAATGAATACTGGGTAAATAATGAAATGAAGGCAGAAATAAAGATGTTCTTTGAAACCAACGACAACAAAGACACAACATATCAGAATCTCTGGGACACATTCAAAGCAGTGTGTAGAGGGAAATATATAGCACTAAATGCCCACAAGAGAAAGCAGGAAAGATCTAAAATTGACACCCTAACATCACAATTAAAAGAACTAGAGAAGTAAGAGCAAACACATTCAAAAGCTAGCAGAAGGCAAGAAATAACTAAGATCAGAGCAGAACTGAAGGAAATAGAGACACAAAAAACCCTTCAAAAAATCAATAAATCCAGGAGCTGGTTTTTTGAAAAGATCAACAAACTTGATAGACTAATAAAGAAGAAAAGAGAGAAGAATCAAATAGATGCAATAAAAAATGACAATGGGGATATCACCACCGATCCCACAGAAATACAAACTACCATCAGATAATACTACAAACACCTCTACGCAAATAAACAAGAAAATCTAGAAGAAATGGATAAATTCCTCGACACATACACTCTCCCAAGACTAAACCAGGAAGAAGTTGAATCTCTGAATGGACCAATAACAGGATCTGAAATTGTGGCAATAATCAATAGCTTACCAACCAAAAAGAGTCCAGGACCAGATGGATTCACAGCCGAATTCTACCAGAGGTACAAGGAGGAACTGGTACCATTCCTTCTGAAACTATTCCAATCAATAGAAAAAGAGGGAATCCTCCCTAACTCATTTTATGAGGCCAGCAGCATCCTGATACCAAAGCCTGGCAGAGACACAACAAAAAAAGAGAATTTTAGACCAATATCCTTGATGAACATTGATGCAAAAATCCTCAATAAAATACTGGCAAACCAAATCCAGCAGCACATCAAAAAGCTTATCCACCATGATCAAATGGGCTTCATCCCTGGGATGCAAGGCTGGTTCAATATATGAAAATCAATAAATGTAATCCAGCATATAAACAGAACCAAAGAAAAAAACCACATGATTATCTCAATAGATGCAGAAAAGGCCTTTGACAAAATTCAACAACCCTTCATGCTAAAAACTCTCAATAAATTAGGTATTGATGGGACGTATCTCAAAATAATAAGAGCTATCTATGACAAACCCACAGCCAATATCATACTGAATGGGCAAAAACTAGAAGCATTCCCTTTGAAAACTGGCACAAGACAGGGATGCCCTCTCTCACCACTCCTATTCAACACAGTGTTGGAAGTTCTGGCCAGAGCAATTAGGCAGGAGAAGGAAATAAAGGGTATTCAATTAGGAAAAGAGGAAGTCAAATTGTCCCTGTTTGCAGACGACATGAATGTATATCTAGAAAACCCCATCATCTCAGCCCAAAATCTCCTTCAGCTGATAGGCAACTTCAGCAAAGTCTCAGGATACAAAATCAATGTACAAAAATCACAAGCATTCTTATACACCAATAACAGACAAACAGAGAGCCAAATCATGAGTGAACTCCCATTCACAATTGCTTCAAAGAGAATAAAATACCTAGGAATCCAACTTACAAGGGACGTGGAGGACCTCTTCAAGGAGAACTACAAACCACTGCTCAAGGAAATAAAAGAGGATACAAACAAATGGAAGAACATTCCATGCTCATGGGTAGGAAGAATCAATATCGTGAAAATGGCCATACTGCCCAAGGTAATTTACAGATTCAGTGCCATCCCCATCAAGCTACCAATGCCTTTCTTCACAGAATTGGAAAAAACTACTTTAAAGTTCATATGGAACCAAAAAAGAGCCCGCATCGCCAAGTCAATCCTAAGCCAAAGGAACAAAGCTGGAGGCATCACACTACCTGACTTCAAACTATACTACAAGGCTACAGTAACCAAAACAGCATGGTACTGGTACCAAAACAGAGATATAGATCAATGGAACAGAACAGAGCCCTCAGAAATAACACCGCATATCTACAACTGTCTGATCTTTGACAATCCTGAGAAAAACAAGCAATGGGGAAAGGATTCCCTATTTAATAAATGGTGTTGGGAAAACTGGCTAGCCATATGTAGAAAGCTGAAACTGGATCCTTTCCTTACACCTTAGAGAAAAATTAATTCAAGATGGATTATTAAAGACTTAAACATTAGACCTAAAACCATAAAAACCCTAGAAGAAAACCTAGGCATTACCATTCAGGACATAGGCATGGGCAAGGACTTCATGTCTAAAACACCAAAAGCAATGGCAACAAAAGCCAAAATTGACAAATGGGATCTCATTAAACTAAAGCGCTTCTGCACAGCAAAAGAAACTACCATCAGAGTGAACAGGCAGCCTACAAAATGGGAGAAAATTTTTGCAACCTACTCATCTGACAAAGGGCTAATATCCAGAATCTACAGTGAACTCAAACACATTTACAAGAAAAAAACAAACAACCCCACCAAAAAGTGGAAAAAGGATATGAACAGACACTTCTCAAAAGAAGACATTTATGCAGCCAAAAGACACATGAAAAAATGCTCATCATCACTGGCCATCAGAGAAATGCAAATCAAAACCACAATGAGATACTATCTCCCACCAGTTAGAATGGCAATCATCAAAAAGTCAGGAAACAACAGGTGCTGGAGAGGATGTGGAGAAATAGGAACACTTTTACACTGTTGGTGGGATTGTAAACTAGTTCAACCATTGTGGAAGTCAGTGTGGCGATTCCTCAGGGATCTAGAACTAGAAATACCATTTGACCCAGCCATCCCATTACTGGGTATATACCCAAAGGACTATAAATCATGCTGCTATAAAGACACATGCACACGTATGTTTATTGCAGCACTATTCACAATAGCAAAGACTTGAAACCATCCCAAATGTCCAACAATGATAGACTGGATTAAGAAAATGTGGCACATATACACCATGGAATACTATGTAGCCATAAAAAATGATGAGTTCATGTCCTTTGTAGGGACATGGATGAAATTGGAAATCATCATTCTCAGTAAACTATCGCAAGAACAAAAAACCAAACACCACATGTTTTCACTCATAGATGGGAATTGAACAATGAGAACACATGGACACCAGAAGGGGAACATCACATGCTGGGGACTGTCGTGGGGTGGGGGGAGGGGGGAGGGATTGCATTAGGAGATATACCTAATGCTAAATGACGAGTTAATGAGTGCAGCACACCAGCATGGCACATGTATACATATGTAACTAACCTGAACATTGTGCACATGTACCCTAAAACTTAAAGTATAATTATAAAAAAAAAAAAAATAACAAAGTCAAAAAAAAAAATCATGTCCTTTGCAGGAACATGGATGGAGCTGGAGGTCATTATCCTTGGCAAAGTAGCATAGAAAGAGAAAACCAAATACCACATATTCTCACTTATAAGTTAGAGCTAAGTGATGAGAACACATGGACAAATAGAGGGGAACAACACACACTGGGGCCTACCTGAGGGTGGAGGGTGGAGAAGGGAAAGGATCAGAAAAAATAACTATTGAGTACCAGGCTGAATGAATGATATGATTTGGCTCTGTGTCCTCATCCAAATCTCACCTTGAATCGTAATCCCCATAATCCTCACGTGTCAAAAGCAGGACCAGGTGGAGGTAATTGGATCATGGGGGTGGTTTCCCCCATGCTGTTCTCAGGATAACGGGTGAATCTCACAAGATCTGATGGTTTTATAAGTGCCTGGCAGCGTTTCCCCTGCATGCACTCACTCCATCCTGCCACCCTGTGAAGAAGATGCCTGCTTCTCCTTTGCCTTCTGCCATGATTTTAAGTTGCCTGAGGCCTCCCCAGCAATGTGGAACTGTGAGTCAATTAAACCTTTTTTCTTTTTTTCTTTTTTTTTTTGTTTTATTTTATTTCATTTTTAGTAGAGATGGGGTTTCACCATGTTGGCCAGGCTGGTCTCGAACCCCTGACCTCAGGTGATCCACCCACCTCAGCCTCCCAAAGTGCTGTGATTACAGGCTTGAGCCACTGCACCTGGCCGACCCATGTCATTTTAGACCAGTGCTGACCATTTCTCTTATTCTGAGATGAAGGAAATTTTCAATGTGGCACTATCTACTACTGTAGCCACTGGCCATGGGGCTACTGAGCACTGAAATTGTGGCTGGTGCCATCAGGGAAGCAAACACTTCATGTTTATTTTATTTTTTTATTTTATTTTATTTTATTTTATTTTATTTTATTTTATTTTATTTTATTTTATTTATTTTATTTTATTTTATTTTATTTTTTGAGATGGAGTCTCGCTCTGTCACCCAGGCTGGAGTGCAGTGGCGCAATCTTGGCTCACTGCAAGCTCCGCCTCCTGGGTTCACGCCATTCTCCTGCCTCAGCCTCCCCAGCAGCTGGGACTACAGGCACACACCGCCATGCCCAGCTAATTTTTGTATTTTTAGTAGAGACGGGGTTTCACTGTGTTATCCAGGTTGGTCTCAATCTCCTGATCTCGTGATCTGCCCGCCTTGGCCTCCCAAAGTGCTGGGATTACAGGTGTGAGCCACTGCACCCAGCAAATACTTCCTATTCTTTTTTTTTCTTTTTTATTTATTTATTTATTTATTTATTTATTTTTTATGGATCATTCTTGGGTGTTTCTCGCAGAGGGGGAGTTGGCAGGGTCATAGGACAATAGTGGAGGGAAGGTCAGCAGATAAACAAGTGAACAACGGTCTCTGGTTTTCCTAGGCAGAGGACCCTGCGGCCTTCCGCAGTGTTTGTGTCCCTGGGTACTTAAGATTGGGGAGTGGTGATGACTCTTAAGGAGCATGCTGCCTTCAAGCATCTGTTTAACAAAGCACATCTTGCACTGCCCTTAATCCATTTAACCCTGAGTGGACACAGCACATGTTTCAGAGAGCACAGGGTTGGGGGTAAGGTCACAGATCAACAGGATCCCAAGGCAGAAGAATTTTTCTTAGTACAGAAGAAAATGAAAAGTCTCCCATGTCTACTTCTTTCTACACAGACACGGCAACCATCCGATTTCTCAATCTTTTCCCCACCTTTCCCCCGTTTCTATTCCACAAAACCTCCATTGTCATCATGGCCCGTTCTCAATGAGCTGTTGGCTACACCTCCCAGACGGGGTGGTGGCCGGGCAGAGGGGCTCCTCACTTCCCAGTAGGGGCGGCCGGGCAGAGGCGCCCCTCACCTCCCGGACCGGGCAGCTGGCCGGGCGGGGGGCTGACCCCCCCACCTCCATCCCGGACGGGGCGGCTGGCCGGGCAGAGGGGCTCCTCACTTCCCAGTAGGGGCGGCCGGGCAGAGGCGCCCCTCACCTCCCGGATGGGGTGGCTGGCCGGGTGGGGGGCTGACCCCCCCACCTCCCTCCCAGACGGGGCGGCTGGCCGGGCGGGGGTCTGACCCCCCACCTCCCTTCCGGACGGGGCGGCTGGCCTGGTGGGGGCTGACCCCCACCTCCCTCCCGGACGGGGTGGCTGCCGGGCGGAGACGCTCCTCACTTCCCAGACGGGGTGGCTGCCGGACGGAGGGGCTCCTCACTT
Source organism: Homo sapiens (assembly GCF_000001405.40). Classification (NCBI taxonomy): domain Eukaryota; kingdom Metazoa; phylum Chordata; class Mammalia; order Primates; family Hominidae; genus Homo; species Homo sapiens. Next base: position 53,256,162 of record NC_000004.12, read on the forward strand.
CTCAGACGGGGCGGCTGCCGGGCGGAGGGACTCCTGACTTCTCAGACAGGGCAGTTGCCAGGCAGAGGGTCTCCTCACTTCTCAGACGGGGCAGCCGGGCAGAGGCGCTCCTCACATCCCAGATGGGGCGGCGGGGCAGAGGCGCTCCCCACATCTCAGACGATGGGCAGCCGGGCAGAGACGCTCCTCACTTCCTAGATGGGATGGCGGCCGGGCAGAGACGCTCCCCACTTTCCAGACTGGGCAGCAGAGGGGCTCCTCACATCCCAGACGATGGGCGACCAGGCAGAGACGCTCCTCACTTCCCAGACGGGGTGGCGGCCGGGCAGAGGCTGCAATCTCGGCACTTTGGGAGGCCAAGGCAGGCGGCTGGGAGGTGGTTGTAGTGAGCTGAGATCACGCCACTGCACTCCAGCCTGGGCACCATTGAGCACTGAGTGAACGAGACTCCATCTGCAATCCCGGCACCTCGGGAGGCCGAGGCTGGCGGATCACTCGCGATTAGGAGCTGGAGACCAGCCTGGCCAACACAGCAAAACCCTGTCTCCACCAAAAAAATACGAAAACCAGTCAGGCGTGGTGGCGGGCAGGCACTCGGCAGGCTGAGGCAGGAGAATCAGGCAGGGGGGTTGCAGTGAGCCGAGATGGCAGCAGTACAGTCCAGCTTCGGCTAGGCATCAGAGGGAGACCGTGGAAAGAGAGGGAGAGGGAGACCGTGGGGAGAGGGAGAGGGAGAGAGGGAGGGGGACGGGGAGGGGGAGGGGGAGGGGGAGGGAGAGGGAGAGCTAAACCTTTTTTCTTTATAAATCATCCAGTCTCAGGTATTTCCTCATAGCAGTGTGAGAAGGGACTAATACAGTGACAATATAATCTGTACAACAAACTCCCATGACACGAGTTTCTCTATGTAACAAACCTACACATGCGCCCCTGAACCTAAAAGTGTAACACACACACACACACACGAAGCCAAATATCACCTTTAATACAGATAGAGAGGCCAAACCAGGTGGTAGAATGTGAGGTCTATTAGCCAAGTGAGCTTGCTAATATGGGGCTCCAGAAGGCAGCCTTTTCTTCTCGGTCACAGGCAAGCTATGAGCAGGCTAGGCCTCCCATGAAGGGGCAGGACAGAGTGCCTGTTCCCTATAGTCAGTTCAATGTGAAGAAGAGTGCAGAAAGAAACAGCAGCTGTCACACAATAAAGGCAGATCCTAACCCTGGAAGGCTGAGCCCCGCAGTGCTCTGTATAGTCAGGGCGCCTCCTAAGCGGAGAAGAGGTAGAGTTGAGCCACTTCTTATTCCATCATTCCAAATTTACCAATCAGATAGAACATCCCTCTCACTAAAAGAGAGTCAGAGAAAGGGTAAGACCATAGGAAAACTCTTCTTGATGGAAATCAGGAGTGGGAGAATGTTGTTATACTCTAATAAAAAAAAATTTTCCATGTTGGGTTTTTGTGGGGTTTTTTGATACAATATTGCAAAAAATAATGCTCCACAATTTTTCTTCCCAGGAAAAACCTTATCAAAATCTCTTCCTAATGTGTAAAGAGCACCCAACTCTGCCTTTGGAGATTATATTTTTTTGCCTCTTTCTTTACTCTTCATTCAAATGATATCATAGTTTTTTTTAGATTTAAAAATCTCTTTATGTCTGGAAATCATTAGTCCAATACAATCTTTTCTGCATTATGCATGCTCTCTTTTTTAAAAAAAACCTCATATTTAAAAAAAATAGCAAAAAAGATACAAAACAGGATCAATAAAGAAAAAAAGTCCCTCCCTACATGTTATGAGATAGGGTTGGCTGCAAGAGAAACTTAATAAGATTTAGGAAGTAGAAGGAAGGCTGAGCAGATGATGCTTATCATTGATCGAGGGCCATAAAGGAAAGACTCAAAGGTGCTAGTGGTTTCCAAGTCATCCTCACTTGTTCTCGCTCCATATCCAGCCCATCTTCCTGACTGCCAACCTTGATAGCATCAAGTTTTGTCAATGACTTTTTTTAGAATTTTTTATTTCAATAGGTTTTGGAGAAACAAATGGTATTTGGTTACATTAATAAGTTCTTTACCAGTAATTTCTGAGATTTTTGTGTACCCATCACCCAAGCAGTGTAACTGTAAGCAATGTGTAGTCTTTTATCCCCCGCCTACACACACATTCCCCCAAGTCCCCAAAGTCCACTGTATCATTCTTATGTCTTTGTGTCTTCATAGCCTAGTTCCCACTTTCGAGTGAGAACATAAGATGTTTGGTTTTCCATTCCTGAGTTACTTCACTTAGAATCATCATCTCCAATTCCATCAAGGTTGCTGCAAATGCCATTATTTTGTTTCTTTTTATGGCTAAGTCGTATTCCATGGTGTGTGTGTATATATATATATATATATATATATATATATATATATATACACACACATATATACATAACACATTTTCTTTATCCACCCATTGATTGATGGGCATTTGGGCTGGTTCCATACTTTCACAACTGCAAATTGTGCTGCTATAACCATGCATGTGTGTGCAAGTGTGTTTTTCCTATAATGACTTCTTTTCCTCTGGGTAGATACCTAGTAGTGGGATTGCTGGGTCAAATGGTAGATCTACTTTTAGTTCCTTAAGGAATCTCCACACTGTTTTTTATAGTGGTTGTACTAATTTACATTCTCAACAACAGTATAAAAGTGTTCCCTTTTCACCACATCCACACCAATATCTATTTTTTTATTTTTTTATTATGGCCATTCTTGCAGGAGTAAGATGGTATCACACTGTGGTTTTGATAGGCATTTCCCTGATAATTTGTGATGTTGAGCATTTTTCCATATGCTTGTCAGCCATTTCTATATCTTCTTTTGAGAATTGTCTATTCATGTCCTTAGCCCACTTTTTGGTGGGATTGTTTCTTCTGCTGATTTGTTTGAATTCTGTGTAGATTCTGGATATTACTTCTTAGTCAGATGTATAGATTGTAAAGATTTTCTCCCACTCTGTGGGTTGTCTATTAACCCTGCTGATTATTTATTTTGCTGTGCAGAAGCTTTTTAGTTTAATTATGTCCCATCTATTTATCTTTGTTTTTGTTGCATTTGCTTTTGGATTCTTGGTCATGAAGTCTTTGCCTAAGCCAATATCTAGACGGTTTGTCCGATGTTATCTTCTAGAATCTTTATGGTTTCAGGTCATAGATGTAAGTCTTTGATCCATCTTGAGTTGATTTTTGTATAAGGTGAGAGATGAGGATCCAGTTTCATTCTTTTACCTGTGGCTTTCCAATTATCCCAGCACCATTTGTTGAATAGGGTGTCTTTTCCCCACTTTGTGTTTTTGTTTGCATTTTCAAAGATCAGTTGGCTGTTAAGTATTTGGCCTTATTTCTGGGTTCTCTATTCTGTTCCACTGGTCTATGTGCCTATTTTTATACCAGAATCATGCTGTTTTGGTGGCTATGGACTTATAGTATAGTTTGAATTCGGGTAATGTGATGCCTCCAGATTTGCTTTTTGCTTAGTCTTGCTTTGGCTATGCGGGCTCTTTTTTGGTTCCATATGAATTTTAGAATTGTTTTTCTAGTTCTGTGAAGAATGATAGTGGTATTTTGACAGAAATTGCACTGAATTTGTAAACTGCTTTTGGCAGTATGGTCATTTTCACAATATTGATTCTACTCATCCATGAGCATGGGATGTCTTTCCATTTGTTTGTATCATCTATGATTTCTTGCAGTAGTGTTTTGTAGTTTACCTTGCAGAGGTCTTTCACCTCCTTGGTTAGATATATAACCAGGTATTTTTTTTTTTTTTGCAGCTATTGTTAAGGGGTTGAGTTCTTGATTTGCTTCTCAGCTTGGTCGCTGCTGGTGTATAGCAAGGTATATAGTGGTTTATAGATTTGTGTGCATTAATTTCATATCCTGAAACTTTGCTGAATTCATTTACCAGTTTTAGGAGCTTTTTGGATGAATCTTTAGGGTTTTTTAGGTATACGATCATATCATCAGCAAACAACAAGAGTTCAACTTCCTCTTTACAGATTTGGATGCCTTTTATTTCCTTTTCTTGGCTGAGTGCTCTGGCTAGGACTCCCAGTACTATGTTGAACAGAAGTGATGAGAGTGTGTATCCTTGTCTTGTTCCAGTTCTCAGAGGGGATGCTTCCAACTTTTCCCCATTCAGTATAATGTTAGCAGTGGGTTCGTCATGGACAACCTTTATTACCTTAAGGTATGTCCCTTCTATGCTGATTTTGCTGAGGGTTTAATCACTAAGGGATGCTGGATTTTGTCCATTGCTTTTTCTGCATCTACTGAGATGATCATGTGATTTTTGTTTTTAATTCTGTTTATGTGGTGTATCACATTTATTGACCTGTGAATGTTAAACCATCCCTCCATCCCTGGTATGACACCCAACTGATCATGGTGGATGATCTTTTTGACATGCTGGTGGACTCAGTCCACTAGTATTTTGCTGAGGATTTTTGCATCTATGTTCATCAGGGATATTGGTCTGTAGTTTTGTTTTTTGGTTATGTCTTTTCCTGATTTTGATATCAGGGTAATACTGGCTTTATAGAATGATTTAGGGGGGATTCCCTCTTTCCCTATTGTGTGGAATAGTGTCAATAGGATTGATACCAATTCTTTGAATGTCTGATAAAATTCAGCTGTGAATCCATCTGGTCCTGGACTTTTTTTGTTGGCAATTTTTTTATTGCCATTTCAATCTTGCTGCTTGTTGTTGGTCTGTTCAGAGTTTCTATATCTTCCTGGTTTAATCTAGAAGGGTTGTATATTTCCAGGAATTTATCCATCTCCTCTATGTTTTCTAGTTTAAGCATGTAAAGGTGTTCACAGTAGCCTTGAATGATCGTTTGTATTTCTGTGGTATCAGTAGTAATATATCCCGTTTCATTTCTAATTGAGCTTATTTGGATCGTCTTTCTTCTTTTCTTGGTTAATGTCGCTAATATTCTATCAATTTTATCTTTCCAAAGAACCAGCTTTTTGTTTCATTTATCTTTTGTATTTTTGTTTGTTTGCTTGTTTGTTTCAATTTCATTTAGTTCTGCTCTGATCTTTGTTATGTCTTTTCTTCTGCTGGGTTTGGGTTTGGTGTGTTCTTGCTTCTGTAGTTTCTTGAGATGTGACCTTAGTTTATCTATTCGTGCTCTTTCAGACTTTTTGATGTAGGCATTTAGTGCTATAAACTTTCCTATTAGCACCTTTTGCTGTATCCTAGAGGTTTTGATAGGTTGTGTCACTATTATTGTTCAGACTTTTAATTTGCATCTTGATTTCATTGTTGACCCAAAGATTATTCAGGAGCAGGTTATTTAATTTCCATGTACTTGCATGGTTTTGAGGGTTCCTTTTGGAGTTGACTTCCAATTTTATTCCACTGTGGTCTGAGAGAGTATCTACTATAATTTATATTTTCTTACATTTACTGAGACTTGTTTTGTGGCCTATCATATAGTCTATCTTGGAGAACATTCCATGTGCTGATGAATAGAACGCATATTCTGCAGTTGTTGGATAGAATGTTCTGTAAATATCTGTTAAGTCCATTTGTTGTAGGAACAATTTAAGTCCATTGTTTCTTTGTTGGCTTTCTGTCTTGATGACCTGTCTAGTGCTGTCAGTGGAGTATTAAAGTCCCCCACTATTGCTGTGTTGCCATCTATCTGATTTCTTAGGTCTAGCAGTAATTGTTTATAAATTTGGGAGCTCCAGTGTTAGGTGCATATATATTTAGGATTGTGATATTTTCCTTTTGTACTAGTCCTTTTATCATTATATATTTTCCTTTTGTACTAGTCCTTTTATCATTATATAAGGTCCCTCTTTTTTTAACTGCTGTTGCTTTAAGGTTTGTTTTGTCTGATATAAGAATAGCTACTCCTGCTCACTTTTGGTGTCCATTTGCATGGAATATCTTTGTCCACCCCTTTACCTTAAGTTTATGTGAGTCCTTATGTGTTAGATGAGTCTCCTGAAGACAGCAGAAACTTGGTTGGTGAATTCTTATCCATTCTGCCATATTGTATCTTTTAAGTGGAGCATTTAGGCCATTTTCATTCAATGTTAGTATTAAGATGTCAGGTACTATTCTATCCATCATGCTATTTGTTGCCTGGATGTCTTTTTTTTCCCATCGTGTTATTGTTATATAGGTCCTTTGACATTTATGCTTTAAGGAGGTTCTATTTTGGTGTATCACAAAAATTTGTTTCAAGATTTAGAACTCCTTTCAGCAGTCTTGTAGTGCTGGCTTGCAGTGGTGAATTCTCTCAGCATTTGTTTGTCTAGAAAAGACTGTATCTTTCCTTCATTTATGAAGCTTAGTTTTGCTGGATACAAAATTCTTGGCTGATAATTGTTCTGTTTATGGAGGCTAAAAATAGGACCCCAATCCCTTCTAGCTTGTAGGATTTCTGCTGAGAAATCTGCTGTTACTCTGATAGGTTTTCCTTTATACATTACCTGATGCTTTTGCTTCACAGCTCTCAAGATTCTTTCCTTTGTCTTGACTTTAGATAGCCTGATGACTATGTGCCTAGGCAATTATCTTTTTGTGATGAATTTCCCAGGTGTTCTTTGAGCTTCTGGTATTTGGATGTCTAGATCTGTAGCCAGGCTGGGGAAGTTTTCCTCAATTATTCCCTCAAATATGTTTTCCAAACTCTTAGATTTCTCTTCCTCCTTAGGAAAAGCAATTATCTTAGGTTCGGATGCTTAACATAGTCCCAAGCTTCCTGGAGGCTTTGTTCATTTTTTAAAATTATTTTTTCTTTGTCTATGATGGATTGGGTTAATTCGAAAGCCTTGTCCTTGAGCTCTGAAGTTCTTTCTTCTGCTTGTTCAATTTTATTGCTGAGACTTTCCAGTGCATTTTTCATTTCTCTAAGTGTGTCTTTGATTTCCAGAAGTTGTGATTGTTCTTATTTATGCTGTCTATTTCACTGAACATTTTTCCTTTCATATCCTATATCATATTTTTGATTTCTTTAAGTTGGACTTCACCTTTCTCTGGCGTCTCCTTGATTAGCTTAATAATCGACCTTCGAATTCTTTTTCTGGAAATTTAGAGATTTCATCTTGGTTTGGATTGCTGGTAAGCTAATGTGATCTTTTGGGGCTGTTAAAGAACCTTGTTTTGTCATATTATCAGAATTGTTTTTCTGGTTCCTTCTCATTTAGGTAAACTATGTCAGAGGGAAGATCTGGGACTCGGGGCTGCTGTTCAGATTATTTCGTCTCATGGGGTGCTCCCTTGATGAACTGTTCTCCCTCTTCCCCTAGGGATGGGGCTTCCTGAGAGCTGCACTACAGTGATCATTTTTGCTCTTCTGGGTCTAGCCAACCAGTGGAGCTACAAGGTTTCAGGCTGGTACTGGGGAGTGTCTGCAAAGAGTCCTATAATGTGATCCATCTTCAGGTCTTTCGGCCATGGATACCAGCACCTGCTCCAGTGGAGGCAGCAGGGGAGTGAAGTGGACTCTGTGAGGGTCCTTGGTTGTATTTTTGTTTAGCGCACTGTTTTCTTTTGTCGGTTGGCCTCCAGCCAGGAGGTGGCGCTTTCAAGAGTGCATCAGCTGCAGTACTATAGGAGGATGCAAACTTGCCCCATGGTTGCCTGGTTAAGTATTCAGGTTTTTCAGGCAGTAGACAGGGCCATAGAGCCCCCAAGAGATTATATCCTTTGTCTTTGGCAACCAGGGCTGGTAGAGAAAGACCACCAGGTGGGAGCAGGAATAGGTGTGTCTGAGCTCAGACTCTCCTTGGGCGAGGCTTGCTGCAGCTACTGTGGGAGATGGTGGTATAGTTCCCAAGCCAATGGAGTTATGTTCCCAGGGGGATTATAGCTGCCTCTGCTGAATCACACAGATCACCAGGGAAAAGGGGTAAAGCCGGCAGTCTCAGGCTTCACCCCGCTCCCATGTAGACTACAGTCCTAAAGGCTGGTATCATGCCCACTGTGCCCCAGCAATAGGACCAAGTTTATTTCCAGGCAGCCAGTGACCAGGGCTGAGAACTTCCCCAGACCACCAGCCTCTCCACTGAGAAAGCAAGCAGACTCAGTTTTTCAGCATCTCAGGGAGCCTGCAGTAGTGATCCAGTTCCTCCAAATGGTCTGTGCATTCTCTCAGCTTTCCTGGCATGTTCCTGCAGTGGTTCTTGGAGCAGAAGTTCACGATGTGAATCTCCACACACTGCTCTGAGTGGGAGCTGCAAGCTAGTCCTGTCTCCTATCCGCCATCTTAATCCAAATCTCCAAAGATGCTTTTGCAAGTAACAATACCCCATGCTGCCAAATGACTCTTGAATAGCAAGGCCCACAGAGAAGCAGTGTGGTGGAAACTTCTTCTCAGAAAAACTCAATCCTAATTATAAATGGCTAAAAAGAAGGCATTATAAAACAGAACCTCCCAGGGTGTTGGTGAAGTCAGGAATGGCACTAAAATGAGCCATCATATTTCCAAGCCAAGCCATATGGCGTGAGAGCTAATAGAGGCACTAGAGGACTTAGAAAGTAAAATCTGCCAATTTATTAGAAAATTAGCAGACATACTATTACTTAGCTTAGGTAAACTTGATTTGCTATAGAAAGATACTATCTAACATTCAATATATTTTAAAAAACCAATCCTACCTATTAAAAACTACTTTGGCAGCCAATAAAATAGATGCCTATTTTTTATTGCAAAGAGATAAAACTTAAAACTAAAGCTATATTTTACCTCAATTTTCTTGAGTGACTTTATAACTCATTTATATTTTATTAAAAAACCATTTTCCAAGCTGGATTGCTTTAATTTAAAGTATAAATTCTACCTAAAGAAATAACTGGAGATGGATATATTACATATATATTTATAAAGTATATGTTTAGGAAGTAGGAAGTTTAAACACAGCTGCTTCCTTAATACATTGTTTGCTATCATTTTATAACCACAATAAGTTATAGTCAAAATAAAAGGTTTTTTTCCTTGTATTACTCTTCAGTGATTTTATAGAGGGGAAATCAGATGTTGGGCAGCGTTCAAGAATACATATTACTTTTCAGTGTTCTCACTCTATGATACCTTGATTTTATCCCACAAAATCTTTTCTGGGGTTTCAAAGTTTTCTGAATCCAATGAGGATTATGTTTATTATTATTATTACCACTCACACCAATACACCATGCCATTTTTTAAGACAAGTAGAAACAGCATAAGGCTTAAAAAATATAGTGGGTTTGCTAATGCACAATTTTTCTTTAATTTTTACTTTTATTCTAGATTTTAAAAATGTGAAATGCTTCACGAATTTGCATGTCATCTTTGTGCAGGGGCCATGCTAATCTTTTCTGTATCATTCCAATTTTAGTATATGTGCTGCCAAAGAGAGCACCTAATGCACAATTTAAAGGGTCATTTATTTGCTGTGTAATTTTGACAAAAAGGTCAGTTGTTTCATTCTCTTTGAAGTTCAAGCACTAGTTATTGTTATAACTATAACAATTACATTGTTATAGTTTTATAATAAGTGGTATAAACATGCCTATAAAATAATTGTTTTCTTTTGCCTTTTATTTATTTATTTATTTATTTGAGACAGGGTCACCCAGGCTGGAATGCAGTGACGCAATTACGGCTCACTGCAGCTTTGACCTCCTGGGCTCAAGTGATCCTCCTGCCTCAGCCTCCTGAGTAGCTGGGACCACAGGCATGCACCACCACATCCAGCTAATTTTTTTTTTTCATTTTTAGTACAGACAAGGTCTCACTATGTTGCCCAGACTGGTCTTGAACTCCTGGCTTCAAGTGATCCTCCTGCCTCAGGATTGCAGGTGTGAGCCACCAGGCCTGGCCAATAAATTTTTAATGGGGAAAAAAAGCTTTTTTCTTGTGATGACTAGCATAAAAACATCAGCCATCCATTGCAGAAAAAGTGGGCTTTAAATCAAGGTTTAAAGAGAAATACTGTCTAACATTATCAAACAGTAAATATAAAAAGATAGTAACATTTTTCTAAGTGACAAACTCATTCTTCCTTAATAAATTTTAATTTAGGAAACCAAAATCCAGGTGAGAATATATTAAAGACAGCATTTGTAATATTTTTGACCCAGCTGAAAGAATAAATAATAATGACTATTTATTGAGGATTTACTGTACTTAGTTATGTATTAATACACATATAGTCTCACTCAATCCTGACAATAACACTATGAGGTAGATAATTTATTCTTAGCTATGTATTATGTGTATTAATACATGACACATAAATATGTGTATTAATACACATGTAATCTCACTCAATCCTGACAATAACACTATGAGGTAGATACTTTATTTCTCTTTAGATGAGGAAACTAAGCCAAACTCTCTTGCTATACTACAAGAAAGGAATTCTTCATACTTTACACCATTTCACCAAATTAAATGAATTTGTACTTTAATTAAAAGGCAAAGCTACTTTGTGAAAACACTCACTAATTGAATCATAAACATATCCACGATCCGTTTAAACATGTTCTTTTCTACACTTTAAATTTGAAGCAAAATCAGAATTATTTTATAACTAGCACAGATGTATTCAATGCCTAAAACACTGACAGTGATATTGGACCTTGGAGATAAGAGAGAGAAAAAAGGAGTCATGAAGATGCTTTATCTCCTTCGGCTTTTCAAATTGTACTCACTGCTAACAAATATTAGATTTTCCCCAAGAATACTCAAAAAGGTTTCTCTTTTAAGCATATAATATTATCTTTAGAAATTAAGTGTATAAATCTATTGTTTCTAGGAGTGTAAGTCCAACACAAATCTTACAAATAGTCCTCAGGTCTCTTGCTGGCTAGTTGTTAGATCACCAAAACCATTGTAAGTAGAAGAAATGCAGTAACCTATTTTTAATTGTAGATTTCTAAGACCGATTTCTTTTTTTTAGCTAAGGTTGTCTATAACATTACTTAGGCCATAAAGTAAACATTGAGGTTTCGGTGATTGAGGCCTGGTAGAAAGTGGTGGAAATGAGTCTCCCAAGACATAAACAATTCTCAACATTAGCTGAAATTTCTTGGTGGCTCTAAAGCCCTTGGGGAAAAACGAAAGGTTGTCCTCATGCTCAAAATAAACACAAATGCCCTACTTTCAAACCAAAGCCTGTAAAAGGGGCAGCTGCCCATATATTATGACTTGTTAAACTAATGGATGAGTATATACTATGTAAAGTAAGCATGTCCATAAACAAAGAGCATTCCGATGATCAGTTTATACATTCGCCTATGCTAAAACCCTAACTTGTAAGGACCCAGAAGTGACTGAGAACACAGTACTGGTCAGGGTGATATGCAATTATGATAAAAGTAGGATTTTAGTATTTTAAATGTTTACTTCTTTTCCCCAATCTTATTTATTTATTTAAGAGATTGGGCGGAGGCAAAGGGGTCTCTCTGTGTTGCCAGGCTGGAGCGCAGTGGCTATTCACAGGCCACTGCAGCCTCAAACTCCTGACTTCGAGTAATCCTCCTACTTCAGCCTCCTGAGTAGCTGAAACTACAGATGTGTATCACCATGCCTGGGGTTCCTCAGTCTTTCAATTCTTTCTTTAGTTGTTGAAAGAACCACACCAATTACCATGATCACATCTAATAGTCTAAGAGTCTAATATGGAACAAAAGATTCCAAAAATTAATTACAAATAAAAAATGGCTTAGAATTAATATGTCAAATTTCTTCAGAAAACTTTAGTAAGCTTATCTAGAAAGATTATCATTCTCAGGAGAAAATCTCTGTATAGTCTTGTTTTGAACCAATTTTATAAGATTTTGGAGTGGGGCTCACTTTAGAGGACATGTGATGTAGACAGCAGCAGGGTGAAGAGATTGTCCATACGGTAGGGCAGGAGGAATGAAGGAGGGCACAATAGTGGCTTAGGGCAGGTTGTCAGAGCCCACGAGTATGAAGAGGGTGTCCACAGGGGAGACAATGGCAGTCCAGAGCATGGTGTCAGAGCCAGAACCGGGTGAGGAGGGCATTTGTGCATGGGGGTGGGACAGTCTCGCAGGGGTTGTTGGAACCCAAGGGGATGGAAAGGGCATCCACGTGGAAGGTGGTGGAAGTGAGGATCCAGGGCAGGGGATCACAACCTGAGCAAGATAAGGATGGTGTCCATACGACTACCAGGACCCAAGTGGGGTGAAGAGGACATCTCAAAGGGATGGGGAGACTAGAGGAGAGGGGAGAATGAAGCAGCAGCCCTGCATGGGTTGTCAGAACCAAAGCAGGTGACAAAAGGTATCCAGGTGGAGGTTGAGTGACAACAACATCCCAGGATGCGGTGTAGGACTCTGAGCGGGGTGGTGAGGGCAGCTAAAGAAGGCAGTAGAAATGGTAGCAACTCGGCATAAAGTGTCAGAGCCTGCAGAATGAGGAGGGTATCTGTGCTATAGGAGCCACAGTGTGGGCTTGGTGTGGGGTGCTGGAGCCCGAGAGGCATGAGGAGGGCCTCTATGAAGAAGGCAGAGGCAGGGGCAGCACAGGGTGAGATGTCAGAGCTCAACTGAGGTAGAAGAGCATCCCTATGGGGAGGTTTCCACAAGGGTGCCTCTGTATGAAGTGAGAGAGAACATCCGTGTGGGCTTGGCCATGGCCTGGAGCAGGAAGGGAGAGCCCAGGTGAGGTGAGGAGGCATCCACGCCACAGGGAAGCAACTCTATTGGAAGATTAGTTACACACAGTGGGGATGATAAAGTAATTAAATATGTCAAGGATAATGGGAGACAAGTTCCTCACTGTCAGAGAAGGGGGGTGCAATTATGGAAAGGGGGAAAACTGGAATGAACCCTGTGCTGTTAGACTAGAGCTATGATATTAGACCAAGTGCAGTGGCTCATGCCTGTAATCCCAACATTTTGGTAGGCCAAGGCGGGAGGATCACTTGAGTCCAGGAGTTTGAGACCAGCCTGGGCAATACAGAAAGATCCTATTTCTACAAAAAATAAAAAATAAAAATGAGCCAGGAGTGCTGGTGCATTCCTGTAGTCCCAGCTACTCAGGAGTCTGAGGTGGGAGGATCACTTGAGCCCGGGATGTCGAGGCTACACTAAGTGGTGATCATGCCACTGCACTCAATCTGGGTGATAGAGTGAGACCCTGTCTCAAAAAAATTTAAAAAAGAACTATGAAAGTAATATGAGCTCATAGTTTTTAATGAAGACAGAGATAAAGACAGTGATAGAGATAGAAATATGTTTTAAAATGGTATAATTGGTAAATTCACAATCATTGTGAGTAATTTAAAATCACCTCTGACAGAAGATAAATCAAAGCGATAAAGAATTGAAGAAATTATAGTTTTGAATCACTTACTATTACTTATATTATTATAATTATAAATATCAACAACAAAGCAATAGGTCCAGGTTATTTTTTGGAGTATTTTACTTTTAAGCAACTGATAATTCCTTTTTTAAACAAATAGAGAATAGAAAAAGTAAAACCCTAACTGACTTTACTAAACTATTATAATATAATCTTTTTTGGAAAACCAGACCATGGCAGAACAATAAAGAAAAAATACAGGCCCGGTGCAGTGGCTCATGCCTGTAATCCCAACACTGGGAGGCCAAGGCGGGCAGATCACTAGAGATCAGAAGTTCGAGACCAGCATGGCCAACATGGCGAAATCCTATCTCTACAAAAAAATACAAAAATTAGCTGGGCGTGGTGGTGCACACCCGTAATTCCAGCTATTCGGGAGGCTGACATGGGAAAATCACTTGAACTCAGGAGGTGGAGGTTGCAGTGAACTGAGATCACGCCACTGCACTCCAACCTGGGTGACAGAGCAAGACCTGTCTCAAAAAAAGAAAGAAAAAATCCTAATTTCACCTGTGAGCATGAATGCAAATTTCTATGGAAAATATTAGTAAACTATATCCAGCGATTTGTATGTGTGTGTGTGCATATGTTTACATGTGTATGAGTATATGTGTGTGTGGGAACAAGTTGAATTTGTCCCAGGAATGCAATGAAGATTATTTAGCATTAAAAAAGTTATAAACCCAATTCACCACATTAACAGATTAAGGGAGAAAAACTCATCATTTTAAAAAATAATAATCTGCATTAAACAAAATGCAACACTAATGCATCACTAAAAAAAAAATACAGCAAACTAGGATTAGGAAGAAACTTCCTTAGTCTGATTAAAAACAAAACAAAACCTCAGCAAACATAATACTTAATGGCAACATTTGGGAACATTTTCCTTCAAGTCAGGAATAAGATGAAGATGCCTGTTAGCATGACTCTTACTGAAAAAGGGCCTAGTATGCCTGGTCAATGCACTATGAAAGACACTTGGTATCAAGTGTGGAAATGAAGAAACAAAACTGACTTTATTCACAGATAATATTCTTGCCCACACAGAAGGCCCAGGACAATCAATGAATAACAACCAGAAATAAGAAAACAAATATCATTACAAAATGCAAGGTGTTGGATCCATGATCACTATTCACGAGTCAAGATATTCCTACATGCCAACAATAAACATCTGGAAAACTGAATTTTAAAAACTGAATTCATAATGGCATTAAAATCCTTAAAATACCCATGAATAAAAGCATAAAACTGAACATATGGATTTAAAAACACTGATGGATAAACTGACAACTAGAACAAACTAAAAACTGGGGGAAAAAACACTTTTATTTGGGATCTTAGTATATTACATATTAATGGGAAAAAGATGAGTGTATTTTGGCTCCAAATAACAGAAAACCAACCACCATAAACAACAAAAATTATCATCTCACAAAACAAGATATTTTGAGGTAAGGCTCATAAGCCATCATTAAGGATTCAGAAAGTTTTTTTTTCTTTTTGCCTTGATGGAAAAAATACATAATGAAGAAATAAGCTCCTTTTTCTGCCTCTTGATATATGTTTGTGACACTTTAGACATTCTGGATAATGAAGGCAGCTCACCGACATCCTGAAGAGGACACAGCCTTGAGCCTTACCTGCTTCAATATTTTTGGCAATGTCTGGTAAACTAACAATATATAACAGGAGACATATTCCAGGGTATTCACTGCATAATTTTTCCTAATCTCACATACATACACACATACAACACACACACACGCACACACACACACACACAGCACAAATGCAACAGCCTAACTAAACATCAGTATAGATTGCATAAATAAATTGTATATTTATGATGTGGTTTAAAGGAATGAGCTAGATCTACATACATCACTTTATTTATTTATTTATTTATTTATTTATTTATTTATTTATTTTTGAGATGGAGTCTCCCTCTGTCACCCAGGCTGAAGTGCAGTGGCACAATCTCAGCTCACTGCAACCTCTGCCTCCCAGGTTCAGGAAATTCTCCTGCCTCAGCCTCCCGAGTAGCTGGGACTACAGAGGACCGCCACCACACCCAGCTAATTTTTGTATTTTCAGTAGAGACAAGATTTTGCCATGTTGGCCAGGCTGGTCTCCAACTCCTAACCTCAAGTGATCCGCCCACCTCGGCCTCCCAAAGTGCTGGGATTACAAGTGTGAGCCACTGCACCCAGCCCATCACTTTGGATTATCTTAAAAATAGAAACTTGAGACTTCATGTCTAAAACACCAAAAGCAATGGCAACAAAAGCCAAAATTGACAAATGGGATCTCATTAAACTAAAGAGCTTCTGCACAGCAAAAGAAACTACCATCAGAGTGAACAGGCAACCTACAGAATGGGAGAACATTTTTGCAATCTACTCATCTGACAAATGGCTAATATCCAGAATCTACAATGAACTCAAACACATTTACAAGAAAAAAACAAACAACCTCATCAAAAAGTGGGCAAAGGATATGAACAGACACTTCTCAAAAGAAGACATTTATGCAGCCATAAGACACATGAAAAAATGGTCATCATCACTGGCCATCGGAGAAATGCAAATCAAAACCACAATGAGATACCATCTCACACCAGTTAGAATGGCGATCATTAAAAAGTCAGGAAACAACAGGTGCTGGAAAGGATGTGGAGAAATAGGAACACTTTTACACTGTTGGCACTGTAAACTAGTGCAACCATTGTGGAAGTTGGTGTGGCAATTCCTCAGGGATCTAGAACTAGAAATACCATTTGACCCAGCCATCCCATTACTGGGTATATACCCAAAGGATTAGAAATCATGCCGCTATAAAGACACATGCACACGTATGTTTATTGCAGCACTATTCACAATAGCAAAGACTTGGAACCAACCCAAATGTCCAACAATGATAGACTGGATTAAGAAAATGTGGCACATACACACCATGGAACACTATGCAGCCATAAAAAAGGATGAGCTCATGTCCTTTGTAAGGACATGGATGAAGCTGGAAACCATCATTCTCAGCAAACTATCGCAAGGACAAAAAACCAAACACCGCATGTTCTCACTCATAGGTGGGAATTGAAAAATGAGAATACATGGACACAGGAAGGGGAACATCACATACCGGGGCCTGTTGTGGGGTGGGGGGAAGGGGAGAGGGATAGCATTAGGAGATATACCTAATGTTAAATGACGTGAGTTAATGGGTGCAGCACATCAACGTGGCACATGTATACATATGTAACTAACCTGCACGTTGTGCACATGTACCCTAAAACTTAAAGTATAATTAAAAAAAAATAGAACCTTGAGAGAAAAAAGCAAGCTATTTAGGGATATTTATAGTATAATATCACTTATGTAAAATTAAAACCCATAGCATAAATGCTCTATATTATTTATGAGAAAGCAAACATCTAATAAAAATATAAAAACAGTGAATTGAGCTTGTAATTATCTCTAGGGAAAGAAAAAGGAAAATCAGATTAGAGATGGTTATATAGTATCAAAAATGCTTCAACTTTATCTCTAGTTTTATTTCTTTAATGAAAAAGGATCCATGATAAATATGAAAATAATGATAAATCATATTGAGTCTATGTGGAAAGTTTACAGATACTTGCCATTTTATGTACATTTATGCTTCACAATCCTCTGTCCTTTTTAAAGTACTGTATAATTTTTAAAAATACTTCATAATTTTAAAAAACACATACTACATATTTTTTTAAAAGTTTCCCATGAAAATATTTCATCAGTCATGAAAAGTTCCTATCCCACATACAAATATCTGTATAAACACTACAAATGGAGATCACTTCCTTCATTTTTTACTAAACGCCATTTTAAGACACATGCTATATGTTGCTTAAGGACTAGAAACTAGGTAATGTCAGAAGAAATGTAAATAGCGATAATATGTTACAGAAAAAGTAGCAAGGATCAAATAAAGATGCCATGAAGAGCAAGAAAGGTCCAAATGGCATAAAATTGAAAGAGGTGTCCAGAGGTTAGTCCAATGCTCAAAAAACATCCTTGGTATTAAATGAGAAGCCAAAGATGTTACTGTCAAAATTTTTTTTTAAACAGGTGTGAAAAAAGTTTCTACTTGAATTTTAACTAGGGGGCACTTAGAGAATATGAAGCAGGGCACATGTCAACAATATGATTTATTACTAAGGCTATAATAAATGTCAAGGTTTTTCTCTGGAAGTCAAAACATTAATTATTAAGATCCCACGAGGTTCCCATAGCAACATACCTGAAGAAGGAGCCTTTCAAAAGCCAGAAAGTTGTCCCACTTGGCAGTCTGTGGGTGTTTCAACGTTTGAGCTGTGGCCAGTCCAAGCTGGAGGAGGCCACAATGATTCATTAGAGCTTTGAGGTTGTTCTTGAAGAGCTGAATATAGGACATGAGCTGTCCCGGTGTGACTCTCCCTGGAAACATAAGAATTTATCAGTGTACCCCCTTCTGGGAATAGTACAAATAATGAGAAGGATTCCATTAATAATACCACTGTCTTGTATTTGGGCAGAACTTCAGAGCTGACTGCAAGCTTTCCTAAGCTATTGTGATTCTTACAACTATATAGTGACAAGAGCAAAACTGGTCCTATTATTAATACCTGCATTTTGCAAGTAAGGAAACAGGGATGCTAATTAAGGGATCTGGCCAAGGTCATGTTGCCAGTAGAATTCATTTTATCATTATGTAATACTCTGTAAATAAATTTTCAAATAAAGTCACACAAATAAATATTTGTTGAGCTCAACTTGGAGTACCTCTTTATGACATATGACATAGCAATCTAAGAGGGAAAAAGATAAGATTTCTAATTGTGTGTGTATGTACCTAAAAGAAGATGAGAAATAGATTATTTCTCATCTAAAACTTTACCATTGATATCAGTGAGTTCATGACAATATTCGTGAGATAAAAGCAGTTACATGGAACAAAAATGTATCAAGAACTACAGTGCAAAACCACTGGAAGAGGAGGTATCAGAAGAAAGGGTTGGTGTGGGGAACAGCACATTTGCTACAATGGTCACCTACATTTAGAACAAGAGAGCCTACCTCATAAAAGCATAGAGACTATACAAACACTTGTACATCTACAAACACACAAACTGTTGAGGATTCACTCCTTCAGAGCCCCTAACTCCAAGTTTTGCCAATAGCTGTCTTTCCACCGAGTCTCCTCCCACTCTCCAGTCTGTAAAATTTCATTCCTGCCATTCCTCCATGCTATGCGCAAAGCTCTTGGACATCGGATTCTCCCCACCAGGCAAAAAGGCAATGGGGCCAAACATAGATGTAAGCCAAGTAATTCATTCCTATATGTTTCACCCATGCCATGTTTGTGGGTTGTTCTTTGATACTGAAATCCAAGTTTATTTGCTTGTTATAAACTTGTTATAAACTGAAATCCAAGTTATTTGCTTGTTAAGTATTTGGCAATGAAACCACCTGCATTTATTTAGCAATTTACACAGTGCTTACACAAACACACCCTTTACTGATTCTCATGGCAACTCCTTGAGGTAGAAAACGAGGCTTGTGCTGCATCTATTAGTCCTGCCTGACGTGCTAAGAAAGTAATGTCTTACCCAGTGCTAAATGGCAGATATCACTTAATAAATGGTTTTTGCTAAAAGTAAAGACCTTGCCACATGAAACTCAAAAGCCTACAACATATCTTTCTATCTTTTCATTAATTTTTTTGAAGAGATAAAGAATGTTTAAGTTCTTCATTACCAGTTTATCAGGGTAAGCATTTAAAGAAAAAGAACAGTGGGAATAAGTAGGAGGGTGAGTCTCATGAGTTTCTTTGGTCCCTTGGTAAAGCATGGGTTTGTTCCTGATTCTCAAAGCAGCAAGCTAACAATCTGCTTGCTCAAGTACTCATAGAAAAAAACCTCATTAATACTTTGTTTCTTTATCAGGTTTATTAAGGTATTTTCTACATACAGTAAAATTCAGCCTTTTCTAGTGTACAGTTCTATGAATTTTGACAAATGGATATGGTTGGATAACCACTGTCACAGTCAAAATACAGAACATTCCCATCATTCCAAACAGCTCCCCTTCTTGGTAGTCCATTCACTTTCCCTAGTTCCAGCCCTGTTGGTTGATGAACCCTTATCCGTGTTTATCTGATTTCCATCTCACAGTTTTGTCTTTCTAGAGTGTCACATAAATGGAATCACATAGTATGTAGCCATTTGAGTCTGGCTTCTTTCACTGAACCATAATGTATCTGAGATTCATCCACGTTGCTGCTTGTATTAGTAGTTTGCTCTTTTTTCTTGCTGAGTGATATTTCATTGTGTGGATGTATCATAGTTTATTTAGCCATTTATTTATCTATTCACTAGTTAATGAGTATTTGGGTTGCTTTCAATTTTTTAGAAATTATGAATAAAGCCTTCACAAACATCTGTGTACAGGTCTTTGTGTGTGTGTGTGTGTGTGTGTGTATACATATGTTTCATTTTCCTTTAGGCAAATTTCTAGGAGCAGGTTTCTAGGACAGATGTTAAGTATATGCTTACTTTTAATTTTTTTTTAATTCTTAAGCTTTATTTTATCACTCTTATCAAACATATCAGAAAGCATATCAACAGTGCATCTTATGTTAAGTTTACAACAAAATTGAACAATGTAATTGTGTTTGATGAAAAAGTTTTATAGCAAAAAAGCGTACAATACAGTCCATTGAAATGCAGGGTTCATGCTTTTTAGGTACGTTAAAAAGTGGAAAATAAAAGACCTCTGCTACTCAGCAACATCAAACAAGTTTAAAAGACTTGAGTGGAAATCAGATACTTAGGGGTTTGTGAAAAAAACTTCTTGGTACTGACCCACATATACATTTATAGTTTCATTTAGTTATTTTTTTTTAATTTTTATTTTAGGTTCAGAGGTACATGTACTGGTTTGTTATATAGGTAAACTCGTGTCATGGGGATTTGTGGTACAGAATGTTTTGTCACCGAGGTACTATGCCTAGTACCCAATAGTTATTTTTTCTGATCCTCTCCTTCCTCCCACCCTCCACCCTCAAGTAAGCTCCAATATCAGCTGTTCCCCTCTTAGTGTCCATGTGTTCCCATCATTTAGCTCCCACTTATAAGTGAGAACATGCAGTATTTAGTTTAAGCACATGTTTAATTTTATAAGAAATTGGCAAACTGATTTCCAAAGTGGGCTGTACCACCAGCAACATATGAGAGTTTTAGTTGCCTTACAACTTCACCAACACTTGGTTTTGTCAGCTATTTTTATTTTAATGATTCTAACAGATGTGTAGCAGTATCTCATTGTGGTTTAAAATTTCATTTTCCTAATGACTAATGATGTTAACCACCTTTTCATGTGTGTCTTTTGCCATCCTATATCTGTTTTGGTGAAGTGTCTGGTCAAATCTTTTGCTCATTTTTTAATTAGGTTGTTTGTTTTCTTATTACTGAGTTGTGAGTGTCATTCACTTTTATTGATTCATTGATTCAACATATATTTCTGTAACAGGCACTATTCCTGTTTCTAGGAATAAACCTGTGAACAAATCCAGACAAAAACCCCTATGCTTGTAGCCAACAAATAAAGAAAACAACTCCTTGATGATCTCCTAATTAATTCAGCCTCTTACGTGTCATTCTCTCTAAAGGGATAGGGACCTTTTGTGCAAATGATTAACATTTTTAAGAAATGATATTCTCTGACATCTATTATATTAAATATGTAAGAACAAATTTTCACACAAAATGGTTTCAAAACTTAAGATTGCCATGAGCTCCATTTATTTATATAAACACTGTACTGCAGGTGATGGCAGTGTGGCTCCTAAACACATAGAACTTAGTCTATCAAGACAAACATTCATTTAATGATCATACAAATAATTACTTAATCATGATAGTGGTAAGTACTGCCAAAGAAAAATACAAAATGTCTTGAAGGTGTGAAAGGCTCTACATGATATGAAAACTGCCTACCTCTCCAACCCCATCTCCTCAACTGAAAGAAGAGGAATTAAATAGATTCAAAATATATACAATTCATTTCTTCTATAACTATGTTTTAGAGAGACTCCAGGAAACGGGAATCACCAGAGGAAGCCATCAGAGGATCTGCTCAGATTTCTATTGTAATAACCGTATGTTCATTTTAAAGATAAAAGTGTCTTTGATTAAAAAACAGTCCAGGCTCGGCGCGGTGGCTCACGCCTGTAATCGCAGCTCTTTGGGAGGCCGAGGCGG
Source organism: Homo sapiens (assembly GCF_000001405.40). Lineage (NCBI taxonomy): Eukaryota > Metazoa > Chordata > Mammalia > Primates > Hominidae > Homo > Homo sapiens. The sequence continues at coordinate 53,277,826 of NC_000004.12, forward strand.
GCAGATCACGAGGTCAGGAGATGGAGACCATCCTGGCTAACACGGTGAAACCCCGTCCCTACTAAAAATGCAAAAAAATTAGTTGGGCTTGGTGGTGGGCGCCTGTAGTCCCAGCTACTCGGGAGGCTGAGGCAGGAGAATGGCGTGAACCCGGGAGGCGGAGCTTGCAGTAAGCGGAGATCCGGCCACTGCACTCTAGCCCAGGGACAGAACGAGACTCCGTCTCAAAACAAAAAACAAAAAAAAAAAAAACAGTCCTCGCCAGGCGCAGTGGCTCACGCCTGTAATCCCAGCACTTTTGGAGGCCGAGGTGGGTGGATCACTCGAGGTCCAGGGTTGGAGACCAGCCTGACCAACAAGGTGAAACCCTGTCTCTACTAAAAATTCAAATATTAGCCGGGAGTGGTGGTGGGCACCTGTAGTTCCAGCTACTCAGGAGCTGAGGCAGGAGAATCACTTGAACCCGGGAGGTGGAGTAAGCCGAGATTGCACCACTGCATTCCAGCCTGGGAGGCAGAGAGAGACTCCATCTTAAAAAAAAAAAAAAAGAAAAAAGAAAGAGAAAAATTAGCTGGGCATGGTAGTGCTCACCTATAGTCCCAGCTACTCAGGCAGCTGAGGCAGGAGAATCACTTGAACCTGGGAAGTGGCCAAGATCGTGCCACTGCACTCCAGCCTGGGCGACAGAGTGAGACTCCATCTCAAAAAAAAAAAAAAAGTCAAATTTTTTATCCAATCAGCATTTCCTAGCTGAGACCCAGACTCAGCTACCATATTTATGTAACGTCACCTTCTCATATAAGGCATATGATCTAAAGGAACAAATGGGTATATCTCCTAACAGAAAATATCAACACCACACTACCTTGTGTTCCTTGCAGATTTAGTAGTTATTCACCTTCTCTACTCTGTTCTATTCCCCTTTGTATGTCGTTTTTTACACACTCATGACACTACTCCTTCGTTAGGTATAAATCACGACAGCAGATTTTTTTTTCCTAAAAATCCCTAAGAGGCTAACTGGAATTTAAGTTAAAAAGTAATTCACACAGATGCTCTAAAAAAAAAAAAAAAAGGCCAGTGACATTTTTAAAATTTTTAAATTTAACCATAACCTTACCAAAAGCAAATGGAAATCAACTAATTGACCATCAAAAATGCTGCAGTAAGACTAACCACTGAAGTAAAATTTCTTAGTTTATATAAACTAAAACAGCAAGCAACTAGACAAGTGTTGAAAAAGTAATGGACAGAATATTTATTCATACTTCACCTTACAAAAACAAGCAAACAAACAAAACCCTTGACAGACAGATTTACATGGTTATTTAAAAATGTCAACCCACCAGGCTTTACAGCACATTTTAAAAGCCATAAAACAAAGGTTATTTCATATTAAGACTGCATAAATATATAGCAACTTTTTAAAATTTGATTTTCAGTTAGGCTTTATTTTTCTTTCTTCTTATTTTTCTTTGTAGAGACAAGGTCTTGTTATGTTGCCCAGGTTGGTATCAAACTGCTGGCCTCAAGCAATCCTCCCACCTCCCAAAGTACTGGGATTACAGGTGTGAGCCACCATACCTGGCCCTTATTTCACTTTTAAGAAAGAGAAACAGGCTTCTGGTTTCAATTTAGCTAAGAGAAAAACACAAAACTTCATCAAACATCAATTCTATACATTTTCAAAACTGTTATTAAAATATAAATTTATGTCTTGGGTAAAAGGTTACAGATTTAGAAAACAAAAGGATTTAATATTATGTCAATATAGTTTGTGATTCTTATGATATTGAATTCAACTGAATTCCAATGCATTAAGAAGCTGTATTAGTCCATTCTCACACTGTTATATAAAGAAATACCCGAGACTGGACAATTTAAAAAGGAAAGAGGTTTAATGGCCTCACAGTTCTGCATGACTGAGGAGGGCTCAGGAAACTTACAATCATGGCAGAAGGGGAAGCAAACATGCCCATCTTCACAAGGTGGGAGGAGAGAGAAAAATGAGTAGCAAAGAAGCAACAGCCCCTTATAAAACCATCATGTCTTGTGAGAACTCACTATCACCAGTACAGCATCAGGGAAACTGCCCCCATGATACAATTACCTCCACCTGGTCTCTCCCTGGGGATTATGGGGATTACAATTCAACATGAGATTTGGGTGAGGACACAAAGCCTAACCACATCAGAAGCTATTCTTCCAATTACTGCATATACTTGACAAATTATAGCTTTCTCAATCTGTTTTCTGGCTGGTAAAATATACTTAAAATATTTACACATGTATAATTCTTTACTGGCACTTTTAAAGATTATTCTATCATACCCAGTCTGTCAGATTTGATTTAATGGCAAAACTGTTATGATGGGAAAGAGCAACCATCATAAGAAATTTTATCTAGAGGCCAGGCACGGTGGCTCACGCCTGTAATCCCAGCACTTTGGGAGGCTGAGGCAGGCAGATCACTTGAGGCCAGGAGTTTGGGACAAGCCTGGCCAACATGGCGAAACCCCATCTCTACTGAAAGTACAAAAATTAGCCAGGCATAGTATCATATGCATGTAATCCTAGCTACTCAGGAGGCTGAGACACGAGAATTACCTGAGCCCAGGAGACAGAGGTTGCAGTGAGCTGAGATTGCCCCATTGCACTCCAGCCTGGGCGACAGAGGGAAACTCTGTCTGGAAAAAAAAAAAAGAAAGAAAGCAATTTTGTCTAGAATAGCATATTTAGCAAATAAAAAATTGTAAAACCCTTGATATAAGAAACAGTCATATCGTCATTGCATGTTTTTTATTCATTCAATTCTGCAAAGATGAATGAAAATCCAGTGTGTAGAATTTGAATAAACAGATGTATATGTTTTAAGACTTGCATTCTTAGAAATCTAATGTCAGCATTTCATTTTTCTCCTTTTCAATGATTTTCTAATATAATAAAGGCAATGTATATTAGAATATTTAAATATAATATATTCTGCTAAAACTCTGGTTTATTAGTTCATACACAACTGGCAAACAGGAATTATGTCAATATTATTCAAAAGTCACATCTGTTCTTTTGAGATTTTTTCCCCATTATTTTAACATTTTGTGCTATCAAAGACAGCAGCTAAACACAAAGTAAATGAGCACAACTGAACACATCAAGCTACAAGAGGAATTGAGTACCCTATGAAGCACCCATTCATCCTTGCTTTTCCTCTTGGCTCTGCGGCCGTGCGCCCTGTTTTGGAAGTGCTTCCTGTTTGATTCGACCTGATCTCCATTGCATTTTGCTTTTGACTTCCTAACTAAACAACCTCAACTCGTCTTATACCTTCCAACAAGCTACTGTAAACTCTTTTGCTCACAAAAAGTTCTATATATGCTGTAACATTGATTTATAGAAATTTAGCATGCCTTTTTAACTGTGCTAATATTTTTATCAAGAGTTTTAATGTTTTTGTAAGTGCTCCAATTACAAGGTTGCATAGATTTTTGAATGGGCTCCTGCTGATACCATGAGCCCTGACTCCTAGTATGTGATGCAAAACCCAAGTTTTTCAGAAATGCATATATATCATAGAAAAAATACCCATAACTGATATATAGACAGGGGTGGCAACTTTACTAAGATTAAACTATTGGTTAGTAGACAGCACCATGAAAGAAATCCTCAAATGTTAATTCAACAGTTGACACAAGAGAAACAGAATCTTGAGTATGCCAGATGGCTTATGAGTTTCGTAAATAATGTGCAAAAGACTCAAGAGGCTACCCTGAGCACATGTGTTTATATTGGCTCCTCAGGAGATGCATCAGAATGATAAAAAGTAATAAAAAGGGATAGAAATGCACTCAGGAAGATCACCGAAATAGTCTATAAGCAAACAAAAGATTGCAACACCTTTTCCCCTCACCAGTTGGTTATCTCTGGAACTTGCATTATATATTTTAGCTTTCTTTTTTGTTCTGCAGCTAAGCAATATCTTATAGCTGTCCATATTCTTAGTAGAGGATATTAAGTCCCTTGCCCTTCTCTTTATTTCTTCTTTCCCTCTTTCGTCTTTTAAATCATCAGTATTTGTATTTTTACCTAGTCAAGATTGATAGCATTTCTATTTTATTCCATAACCATAGTAAATTACGGTATTACTAAACTATTATGTGCTTTTTCTGTAGTTTGATTCTAAAAGTTCAAAATCAGTAAATAGCATTTACAACATCATAAACTGTATAACAATTCTATTCTCCTGTACTTTGAAGATTCACAGTGATTGTGTCTAATTTAGAGCTTTTTCAAACTTTTATTGTAGGTTCAGGGGTAGAGGTGCAGGTTTGTTATGAGGTTAATTCTTTCTACTTGCTTCTCAGTAAGCCTATTTAATTTGAATACAGTTTTCTTCTGTCTTTTGGGAAAGTTTCACATTCTTTCATGCTAATTGCTCTCTGTCTTTTGAAACTACTAATAGTTCATGGGCCTTCTAGATTGCTTCTGTATGTTTGTCTTTTCTCTGATCTTCTACACTTCTTTCTATATTCTCTCTCCTTTGTTCCTACATTTTAGGAGATTTTCTTAATTTATCTTTCAACTATTGTCTGAAGTTTTTGGCTATTTTATTTTCATAATGATATCTTTAATATCCGAGGGCCCTTTTTAAAACAGCTTTATTGAGATAGAACTTACATACTATAAAATTCCCCCCTTAAAGTATACAATTCAGTGGTTTTTGGTATATTCACAGAGTTGTACAACCATCAGTGTGGTATAATTTCAAAACATTTTTATTAGCCTAAAAAGAAACCCCATACCCAAATAAAAAAGATTTTATGTATCTATACATAATAGAATTTCAGCTGAACAAAATTTCCAGCTAAAAGACGTAACTGTACTTAGCTATACCAGGAAATAAAAAAAACAACAGAAATGATAATATTCAAGTAAATTCAGCAATAATTGAACTCTGTTTTTTTAATATAGTAAAACTATCATCATGTGTGGTTTTTTAAATTTAATGAAGTATAAATTTCTAGACAGTGAAAGAGCGATGGATGAGTACTAATTTATGCAGGAAAGCAAACAATACAAATCAGCTCCCACCTCGATAAGAGGCTTTTCTTGGAATATCTGAAAAGGCTCTGAGCACAGAAGGAGCTACCTGCCCATGAGCAACTCCAGCCTCAGAAGCCTCAGGGATAATAGAGGTGGATAGTGAGGAGTATAACCTACATAAAGCACATGAATCTTAAATATACGGTTCAAATAATTTTTACGTATGTATATATCCATGTACTCACCAACCAGAGCAAGGTATAAAACATGTCAAGCACTTTAGAAGACTCCCTTGTATACTTACCCAGTCGATAGTCTCCTCCTAAAGGTAAACACAACAGACCATTTTTTGTCTAGTTTTAAACTTAATATAAATGGAATCCTACATATGCATTTTTTCTTGTCTGGCTTCTTTTGTTCCAAAATCTCATTTTTTGTTGTTTCTGTGTTTTACTGCTCTATATTACCATAACAGTTTCTTTATCAATTCTACTGTTAAAACATATTTAGGTTTTATTGGCTGGGGCTATCATAAATACTGATGCTATGAACATTCTAAGACATGCCTTTCAGTGGACATAATCATTTGCTTCTATTGGATATATACACAGGTTTGGAACTATTGGATGGGTGAGTACTAGTTTTACTTGATACTGTCAGTTTTCCATGGTTGTACCAATATCCTCACACATTTTACATTTGTTTTTTGTTTTCTGTTTTTATGGTAGAGTCTCAGTGTGTAACCCAGGCTGGAGTGCAATGGTGTAATCTCAGCTCACTGCAACCTCTGCCTCCCAGGTTCAAGTGATTCTCATGGCTCAGCCTCCCAAGAAGCTGGGATTACAGGCGCCCACCACCACACCTGGCTAATTTTTGTATTTTTTTTCTTTTAGTAGAGACAGGGTTTCACCATGTTGTCCAGTTACATTTGCTTTACCGTAACGTAACATAATTTTAAAATATGCATGTAGGCCAGGCACGGTGTCTCACGCATGTAATCCCAGCACCTTGGGAGGCCGAGGTGGGCGGATCACAAGGTCAGGAGATCGAGACCATCCTGGTTAACACAGTGAAACCCCCGTCTCTACTAAAAATACAAAAAAATTAGCCAGGCGTGGTGGCGGGCGCCTGTAGTCCCAGCTACTCGGGAGGCTGAGGCAGGAGAATGGCATGAACCCGGGAGGTGGAGCTTGCAGTGAGCCGAGATCGTGCCACTGTACTCCAGCCTGGGCGACAGAGCAAGACTCCATCTCAAAAAAAAAAAAAAAAATGCATGTAATGAAGCATTACATGCATAATGTAATGTATGATTGATAAGTTTCTTTCATGGCATTTTATGCTGGGTAGCCAAAAGTCTAATGAGTAAAAAAAAAAAATCAACAGAAACCACATTGCCACATTACCATACTATTAATATGCACTTTCATTTTTCTTATTGATTGTTTATTTATCTACTTACTTTCTTACCTTATTATATAGAAAAAAGTTGGAAAGGCAAGACAACAATTTAAGAAAAAAGGTTACTTTGAAGAACAGAATGGTGGGGTCAGGGAAGAGAGGAAGTTTACATTCATTTTTTATTTTATATATGTTGTCATTTGAATTTTCCATAAGCTTGTGCTAGTATAACTTTTGAAATATTGTCTAGGTTCTGACATAAAATAATATGTCTCATGTAGAATGGACAGATGTGTATTTTTCTCTGGGAAACTTGACTTTATTACTATCACTATTTGTACAATGCGTTCAACAGATAAATAAATAGAAGAGAAATAATAACTGCCTACACTTCTTACCTCAATGGGGTTTAAACAAGAAAGAAATATGGTTAACATGCATATTTAAGTCAGCCATAAGAAAAAAATATCCTGCTCATAAAGACTATTAGATACTGAAACAATTTATTAAAGGGGGAAGTGGGATGAAATTATACATCTCCCACAGGGATTTGGAGGACTATATATACAGCCAACCATATAGTGAAAGTTGGATAAAGCCCAGCTGGGAATTGATGTCCATTTTCATAGCACCATAAATACTGAAGGTTTTCTGGGACATCCTTTAAGTAGTATAGGTTTCTGGTTACACAATTTTTTTAGCTCTACAGCATTACAAAGGTAGAATAAGAAACTAATGTGAAAAGAGCACTTTAATTACATGAATCAATTCAAATGGGTTTAAAATTCAGAAATCTGCTGAAAGATCTATTTCAAGGCTACCATGGAATAAGGTGTAACTGCTGCAGGATCCGGAGTCATGAACAGAAAATAAACAGCTCTCTCCGAAGTTATACAAAACAGTGAAACATAAAACCATCAGAAACATTTACAGTTTAGCTTTCTTTGGAAATGCAGCCTTCTTGAGGCTAACTTAAACACTACCTCAACATTTATAAACTCAGCAGATAACATGGCACATAATAGGTAGATTGCCTCTGTTATCCAGGGGCAAATTACCAGGCTGCCAGGGAAACCACTTTCTTGGTGGATCCACTCTGACTTGGAAAGGAATTTCTGCTCTTAAGGGTGCCTCTAAATAAATTCCCACCTACAGTCATGGGCCTTCTCCCCATATCATTCTCTCAGGATTTAAAAACTGCTAGCCATATTATCATGTTGAGGATCCCTTATATTGAGAAAATTTAAGAAGACTGATAAGAAAGATGGCTGACTAGAGTTGCCTCATGTTCATCTCCCCAACAAAAAAGAACCAAAACAATAAAAAACAACTAAATTTCAAGCAGAATGACTAAAGGAGAGCGCTGAAGTACAGTACAGCAAGGGAGTGGTGGAAACCATGTGGGGCACAAAAACTCAGAGGATGTCACATAAAGAAACACCTTCCCATTCCCCTAGTCAGGATCTGCTCAGAACCAGAATGGACTTCTCCTTGAGGGGAAAGGGTAAGCTGGAGGCCTCCAGCAGCCCCCACAACCACTGCAGATATCTGCAATCTTTGCTACCAGAGAACATTGCAGTCCTCACAGGTCATGAGCCCAGTTAGGGAGCTGCCTAGAGTTCACATGGCTGTACTACTTCAGAAAAGGAACTCACATTCTGTCCCACCACCCACCACCTCCCCACAACCCCGTGGCCCAAGCTGCTTTGCACAGCACCATCTTGAAACTAGAGCCTCTGCTAGAGTGTACCCTTCTCTGGGGGAAGAGTAGCCACTGCATCCCATCATCCCTGAGGCTCTGCCATTGTTGCACCACATTCACGTACACAGAAGCAGACCATTCCCTAGCCAAACCACTGAAGCTTGCACCCCACTGAGGTAAAGTTCCCTAAGGGGCACTCCATCTCCTGGATCCCAGCTGTTGCTGTATGGTGCCCCATTTCCAGGCTACTAAGAGCTTAGCCCAGGGGAATACCTGCACTCCTGGCACCTGAGCCAATCTGGTGCCTTGACCCCCAGAAATCTGAGCTTCAGCCTAGTGGAGCGGCCATGCACCCTGGTGCCTAAGCTGATGTAGCACCCAGCTCCTCAGGGACACAAAGCCCTAGCCCAGCAGAGTAGGTATATGTTCTAACCCCCAAGGACCTGAATCCAGACTTCAGAGAAACCACAGGGCCCCCCAGCATCCCAGCCTCTGGGACCTAGAACCTGGTCCCAGTAGAGCTGCACCGTCTCCCAGTACCTCACTCCCCAAGGACCTGGAGCTCCTGCACAGCAGAGCAGCTATATACCCCATGCTCCCTAGTTAATAAAGGAAACCAGGGCCCTGGCCCAGCAGAGCAGCTATGCCCCCAGGCACCTGAGATAATGTGGTACCCTGTTCCAAGGGAAACAGAGCTTTGGCTGAGCTGTGGCACCCTACTCTGGGCCAGTCACAGCACCCTGACTCCCTGGATGCAGACAAGCCCTTTGGAGTCTGAGCTGTTGAGGTACCCTGCCTCTCTGGGAAGTTGAGTCATTGTTGCCCTTCTCCCTGCACCCTGAAACAAAGCTAAAGTTGTGTACCCCCATTCCTGGGCCCTTGGTGCTACTGCACTTGGCCTCACAGAGCCGATGTCACTACCATGTCCCAGCATCCCAGAGTCCAGAGTCACCACTATGTGGCATCCTCTCTCCTAGTGCCTGGGAAGTTACTGTGCCCTGTTGGCTCTGGAATCCAAATTTCAGCTGTGCTCTGCTCCCCAGGGCCTGACGTTCTAGAACACCCCTTCTCCCCTGGTGCCATGACAGCTCTGTGCCCTGACCCCTAGGACCAGAGTCACAGACATAAACCTGTCCCCGGGTCTAAGCTACTAGGGAGTGCCTCACACTCACAGTCCCCAACTTTGTGGGAGAGTTTCATCTACCTGTGCTTCAGTTAGTGAACCTGTGCCCACATCACAGGTGTCACAGTAGTTCAGCAAAACACTGAGTTCTGAACCCCAGCTCCACAGCCACTCCAATCACCTGTGCCCTAGAACACAGCACCACTATCACTGCCTGTGGACCATGTCAGACCTGGCACCAAGAAGGATACGCTCAGCTAAGTCTCCCAACTGTGGGGAAAAAGAGAATAGAAAAACCCTACCCTTACCACTGGGAACCCTAACCTACAGTGCCACCACTGTTGCCAAAAACTCCTGCAGCCTAGGCCACTGACACACCTATAATCATCACTGACATTGATCACAGCTGAAGAAGCTACACAGAGAGTCTGTACCCGCCCAGAACCAGAGTCAATGCACCCTGCACAAGTTACACCCTAAAACTCACCTGCAGGTGAAAGTCTCTCCCTACAAAAGCCACTCTATAAATTGGGAAGAGACAACCATTCTACCAGATACACAGACATCACCACAGTGACACTAAAACATTTAAAAAGCAAGTAAACATGATGCCACCAAAGGAAAACAATTGTTCTCCAATAATTGACTCCAAAAAAATGGAAATTTATGAATTGCCTAAAAAGAAATTCAAAATAGTAATCTTAAAGAGACTTAGCAAGATAAAAGAGAATATAAATAGACAATTGAATTAAACCAGAAAATAATTCATGATCTGAATTAGAAATTCAACAAAGAGATAAAAATCATAAAAAAGGACCAAACAGAATTCTTGGAGCTGCAGAATTCAATGAATTAAAAAAATATAATTGGGCTGGGAAAGGTAGGTCATGCCTGTAATCCCACCACTTTGGGAGGCCAAGGCAGGAGGGCTGCTTGAGCCCAGGAGTTCCACGCCAGCCTGGGCAACACAGCAAGACCCTGTCTCTAAAATAATAATAATAAACTATAAAAAAAATTAAAGAAATAATTGAGAGTTTCAACAGCAGACCAGATCAAGCAGAAGAAAGAATCTGTGAACTCGAAGACAGTTCTTTTGAAATAAATCCATCAGAGGAAACAAAAGAAAAAATATTGAAAAAGAGTTTAGAAAGCCTGTGGGACTTATAGAGTAGCATTAACCATATAAATATTCTCATTATGGTAATTCCAGAAGGATAAGGAATGGAGAAAGGCATAGAAGCTTATTTGATGAAATAATTACTGAAAACTTCTCAAGTCTTAGGAAAGATAGGGACATCTAGGTCCATGAAACTATAAAGTCCCCAAAAAGGTTCAATCTAAAAAGGACCTAAACAAGGCACACTACAAAAACAAAAACAATTGTAAAAGCAGCAAAAGAAAAGAATCAAGTGACATACAAGGGAATCCCCATCAGATTACCAGCGAATTTCTAAACAGAAACTTTGCAGGCAAGGAGATAATGGGATGATATATTCAAAGTGCTGAAAGGAAAAATATGAAAAAAACAAAACAAAACCGTTAGTGAAGAATACTACACCCAGCAAAGCTTTCCTTCAGGAATGAAGGAGAAATAATATTTTCCCCAGATAAGCAAAAGCTGAGGGAATTCATCATTACTAAACCAGCTTCAGAAGAAATGCTTAGGAAAGTTCTTCAGCTGGAAATGAAAGGATAATTACTCTCATAAAAACATATCAAAGTATAAAACTCACTGGTAGAGGTAAATAATTCAAATTCAGAATACACCATTACTATAATGGTGGTGTGTAAATATTTCAAACTTCTACTATGAAAGTTAAAAGTCAAAATATTCAAAAACAAAAATAGTTACACCAACTTGTTAAGAAATACACAATATTAAAAGATGCAAATTCTGACATCAAAAATATAAATTGTGGGGGATAGGGAGTAAAAGTCCAGACTACTTTTATGTGACCAAAGTTAAACCATTATCAAGTTAAAATAAATGGTCTGACTGGGCATGGTGGCTCATGCCTGTAATCCCAGCACTTTGGGAGGCCGAGGCAGGTGGATCCCCTGAGATCAGGAGTTTGAGACCAGCCTGACCAACATGGTGAAACCCTGTATCTACTAAAAACACAAAAACTTAGCCAGGCATGGTGGCAGGCGCCTGTAATCCCAGCTACTCGGGAGGCTGAGGCAGGAGAATAGCTTGAACCTGGGAGACAGAGGCTGCAGTGAGCCAAGATGGCACCATTGCACTCCAGCCTGGGCAACAAGAGTGAAACTCAGTCTCAAAAACAAACAAACAACAACAACAAAAAAAATGGTCTTATTATGACAGCAAGATGTTTTGTGTAAGCCTCAAGATAAAAGATAACCACAGAGCAGAAAACTATGGCAGATACACAAATGAGAAAAAGAAAAGGAATCAAGGCTTAGTACTAAAGAAAACTACTAAATCACAGAAGCAAACAATAAGAGAAGAGAGGAAAAAATGATCTAAAAACAACCAGAAAACAATTAACAAAATGGCAATAGTAAACACTTGCCTATCAATAACAATCTTAAATATAAATGGATTAAAGTCACCAATCAGAAGATATAGAGTGGCTGAATGGAAAACAACAACAACAAGATCAAACTCTATGCTGCCCACAAAAGACCCATTTTAGCTTTAAGGACACACTTAGGCTGAAAGCAAAGAGAAGGAAGAAGATAATTCCTGTAAAAAGTAACAACAACAACAAAAAAAGCAGGGGTAGCTATACTTAGATAAAATAGACTTCAAGTCAAAAACTGGTACAAGAGACAAAGGTTAATATTTAATGTTAAAGAGGTCAATTCATCAAGAGGACATAACAATTATAAATATATACGCACCCAACATTGGAGCACCTAAATGTATAAAACAAATATTAACCGTCATGAAGAATAAATAGATAGCAATACAATAATAAGAGTTCAATACCCCCATTTGAACAATGGGTAAGTCAACCACATCAAAAATTAATAAGGAAATACTGGACTTGAACCACTCTTTAGATCAAATGGACCTAACACATTTATATAGAACTTTCCATCTAACAGCAACAGAATAATATTCTTTAGCACACATAAAACATTCTCCAAGATACACTATATGTGAGGCCACAGTATAGGTCTTAACAAACTTAAGAAGATCACAGTCATATCAAGTATTGATTCTAACCAAAGTGGTGAGAAACCAGAAATCAGTAATAGGAGAAATATTGCAAAAAAAATCACAAATATATGAAAATTACACAACATGCTCCTGAACAAACATGGGTCAAGAAAGAAATCAAAAGAAAAATTTAAAAATATCTTGAGACAAACAACAATGGAAACAAAATGTATCTTACCCTATAGGTGAAGCAATAGCAGTTCTAACAGGAGAGTTTATAGCAATAAATACCTATATTAAAAAGAAGATCCGAAATAAATAGCCTAACATTATACCTCAAGTAACCAGTTAAAGAACAAACTAAATCCAAAGTTAGCAGAAACAAGGATATAATAAAGACCAGAATACAAATAAATACAGAAGAGAAAAACCATGGAAAAAATAATTTTAAAAAAGATGGAAAAATAAATAAAGTTGACAAATGCCTAGCTAGATTAACTCAGAAAAAAAAGAGAAGACAAAAATAAATAAAATCAGAAATGAAAGTAGAGACATTACTACAGACACTTCAGAAACTGAAGGAATCATAAGGTACTATTATGAACAATTTTATGCCAACAAGTTGGATAACCTAGAGAAAATTGATAAATTTCTTAAGAAATGTAACATAGTAAAATTGAATAATAAGCAATTAAAGTTTGAACAGACCAATAACAAATAAAGAGACTGAAACAAAATTTCAAACTTTCCAACAAAGAAAAGCCCAGAACCAGACGGCTTCATGGCTAAATTCTACAAGTCAAGGAAGAATTATTACCAATACCTCTTAAGCCCACACAAAAAAATTAGAGCTAAAGGGAATACTTCCCAACATATTTTATAAGGCCAGTATCTCCTCAATATCTAAACTAGACAAAGACACTGCAAGGAAAGAGAACTGCAGGTCAATATTTCTGATGCACATTGATGTAAAAATCCTCAACAAAATACTAGCATACAAATTTAACAATACATCATAAAGATTATACATCATGAAAAAGTGAAATTTATCCCTGGCATGTAAGGCTACCTTAACATATGCAAATCAAAAATCACAAGCATTTCTTTACACCAACAACAGACAAGCAGAAAGCCAAATCATAAATTAACTCCCATTCACAATTGCTACAAAGAGAATAAAATAACTAGAAATACAGCTAACAAGGGAAGTGAAGGACCTCTTCAAGGAGAACTACAAACCACTGCTCAAGGAAATCACAGGACACAAGTGAATGGAAAAACATTCCATGCTCATGGAGAGGAAGAATCAATATCATGAAAATGTCCATACTGCCCAAAGTAATCTATAGATTCAATGTTATCCCCATTAAACTACGACTGATATTCTTCACAGAATTAGAAAAAAAAAAACTATTTTAAAATTCATATGGAACCAAAAAAGAGCCCATATAGCCAAGACAATCTTAAGCAAAAAGAACAAAGCTGGAGGCATCATGCTACCCAACTTCAAACTATACTACAAGGCTACAGTAACCAAAACAGCATGGTACTGGTACCAAAACAGACACATAGACCAGTAGAAAAGAATAGAGAACTCAGAAATAAGACCACACATCTACAACCAGCTGATGTTTGACAAACCTGACAAAAACAAGCAATGGGGAAAGGATTCATATTTAACAAATGATGCTGGGAAAACTGGCTAGCCATATGCAGAAAATTGAAACCAGACCCCTTCCTTATGCCTTATACAAAAATTAATTCAAAATTTTTTTAATTTTGAATTAAATTAATTCAAAATGAATTAATTCAAAATGAATTAAAGACTTAAATGTAAAACCCAAAACTATAAAACTATAAAACCCAAAACTATAAAAACCCTAGAAGAAAATCTAGGCAATACCATTCAGCACATAGGCATGGGCAAAGATTTCATGAGACGAAAATGTCAAAAGCAATTGCAACAAAAGCAAAAATAGACAAATGGAATCTAATTAAACTAAAGAGCTTCTGCACAGCAAAAGTAACTATCCTTAGAGCAAACACACAATCTACAGAATGAGAGAAAATTTTTGCAATCTATCTATCTGGCAAAGGTCTAATATACAGAGTCTACAAGGATATTAAACAAATTTACAAGAAAAAAACAACCAACCACATTAAAAAGTGGGTGAAACACATGAACAGACATTTCTCAAAAGAAGACATACATGCAGCCAACAAACATATGAAAAAAAGCTCATCATCACTGATTATTAGAGGAATGCAAATCAAAACCACAATGAGATACAATCTCATGCCAGCAGAATGGCAATTATTAAAAAGTCATGAAACAACAGATGTTGGTGAGGCTGCAGAGAAAAAGGAACACTTTTACACTCTTGGTAGGTGTGTAGATTAATTCAACCATTGTGGACGACAGTGTGGCAATTCCTCAAAGACCTAGAACCAGAAATACCATTTGACCCAGCAATCACATTACTGGGTATATACCCAAAGGAATATAAATCATTCTATTATAAAGATACATGCACGTGTATGTTCATTGCAGCACTATTCACAATAGCAAAGACATGGAATCAACCAAATGTCCATCAATGGTAGACTGGATAAAGAAAATGTGGTGGGGAACATCATACACTGAGGCCTGTCAGGGGTTGGGGGGCAAGAGGAGGGAGAGCGTTAGGACAAATATGTAATGCATGTGGGGCTTAAAACCTAGAAGACAAATTCATAGGTGGAGCAAACCACCATGGCACATGTATACCTATGTAACAAACCTGCACGTTCTGCACATGTATCCCAGAACTTAAAGCAAAATAAAAAATAAGAATATATATATGTAAATTTATCAATCCAAAAAAAAAGAAAATGTAGTACATACACACCATAGAATATTATGCAGCCATAAAAAGGAATGAGATCATGTCTTTTGCAGGGACATGGATGGAGCTGGAAGACATTATCCTCAGCAATCTAATGCAGGAGCGGAAAACCAAATACTGCATGTTCTCACTTATAAGTGGGAGCAGAACAATGAGAACACATGGATGCAGCAAAGGGAACAACACACACTGGGGCCAGTTGTGGGAGGGGAAGCAGGGGGAGAAAGAACATCAAGAAAAATAGCTAATGCATGGTGGGCATAATACCTAAGTGATAGGTTGATAGGTGCAGCAAACCACCATGGCACAAGTTTACCTATGTAACAAACCTGCATTCCTGCAAATGTACCCCGGATGTTAAAATAAAATAAAATGACATATGCAAATCATATACTATAATATATCACAATAACAGAAAGATAAAAACCTCATGATCATCTCAAATGATGCAAAAAAAGCATTTGCTAAAGTTCAACATCCTTTCTTCATAAAACCTCTTAATGGTTTATGTGCAGAAAGTTCCTCAACCTAACAAAGACCACTCATGAAAAATTCAGTGCTAACATCATAATCAATGGCGAACAACTGAAAAGTTTTTTCCCTAAAATCTGGTATATGGCAGGAATGCTCACTCTTTAAAAAAAATTATATTTTGAGTTTTGGGGTACATGTGCAGAACGTGCAGGTTTGTTACATAGGTATACACGTGCCATGGTGGTTTGCTGCACCCATCAAACCACCATCTACATTAGTATTTCTCCTAATGCTATCCCTCCCCCAGCCTCCCACCCCCTGACAGGCCCCAGTGTGTGATGTTCCCCTCCCTGTGTCCATGTATTTTAATTGTTCAACTCCGACTTATGACTGAGAACATGCAATGTTTGGTTTTCTGTTTTTGTGTTAGTTTGTGGAGAATGATGGTTTTCTTTATCCAGTGTATAATTGATGGGCATTTGGGTTGGTTCCAAGTCTATGCTATTGTGAACACTGCCACAATAAACATATGTGTGCATGTATCTTTACAGTAGAATAATTTATAATCCTTGGGGTATATACCCAGTAACGGGATTGCTGGGTCAAATGGTATTTCTAGTTCTAGATCCTTGAGGAATCACCACACTGTCTTCCACAATGATTGAACTAATTTACACTCCCACCAACAGTGTAAAAACGTTCCTATTTATCCACATCCTCTCCAGCATCTGTTGTTTCCTGACTTTTTAATGATCGCCATTCTAACTGGCATGAGATGGTACATCATTGTAGTTTTGATTTGCATTTCTCTGATGACCAGTGATAATGAGCATTTTTTCATGTTCGTTGGCTGCATAAAGGTCTTCTTTTGAGAAGTGTCTGTTCATATCCTTTGCCCACTTTTTGATGGGGTTGTTTTTTTCTTGTAAATTTGTTTAAGTTATTTGTAGATTCTGGATATTAGCCCTTTGTCAGATAGATAGATTGCTAAAATTTTCTCCCATTCTGTAGGTTGCCTGTTAACTCTGATGATAGTTTTTCTTTACTGTGCAGAAGCTCTTTAGTCTAATTGGATCCCATTTGTCTATTTTGGCTTCTGTTGCCATTGCTTTTGGTGTTTTAGACATGAAGTCTTTGACCATGCCTATGTCCTGAATGGTATTGCCTAGGTTTTCTTCTATGGTTTTTATGGTTTCAGGTATTGCGTTTAAGTCTTTAATCCATCTTGAGTTGATTTTTGTGTAGGTGTAAGGAAGGAATCCAGTTTCAGCTTTCTGCATATGGCTAGCCAGTTTTCCCAACACCATTTATTAAATAGGGAATTCTTTCCCCATTGCTTGTTTTTGTCAGGTTTGTTAAAGATCAGATGGTTGCAGATGTGTGGTGCTATTTCTGAGGCCTCTGTTCTGTTCCATTGGTCTATATATCTGTTTTGGTACCAGTACCGTGCTGTTTTGGTTACTATAGCCCTGTAGTATAGTTTGAAGTCAGGTAGTGTGATGCCTCCAGCTTTGTTCTTTTTGCTTAGGATTGTCTTGGCTATGCAGACTCTTTTTTGGTTCCATATAAAATTTAAATTAGTTTTTTTTCCAATTCTGTGAAGAAAGTCAATGGTAGCTTGATGGGGATAGCTCTGAATCTATAAATTACTGTGGGCAGTATGATCATTTTCACAATATTGATTCATCCTATCCATAAGCATGGAATGTTTGTCCATTTGTTTGTGTCCTCTCTGATTTCCTTGAGTCATGGTTTTTGTGATCCTTGAAGAGGTCCTTCAAATCCCTTGCAAGTTGAATTCCAATTATTTTATTGTCTTTGTAGCTATTGTGAATGGGAGTTCATTCATGATTTGGCTCTGTTTGTCTGTTATTGGTGTATAGGAATGCTTGTGATTTTTGCAGATTGACTTTGTATCGTGAGACTTTGCTGAAGTTGCTTATCTGCTTAAGAAGATTTTGGGCTGAGATGATGGGGTTTTCTAAATATACAATCATGTCATCTGCAGAGAGAGACAATTTGACTTCCTCTCTTCCTAATTGAACACCTTTATTTCTTTCTCTTGCCTGATTACCCTGATGAGAACTTCCAATACTACGTTGAAAAGGAGTGGTGAGAGAGGGCATACTTGTCTTGTGTTGGCTTTCAAAGGAAATGCTTCCAGTTTTTGCCCATTCATTATGATATTGGCTGTGGGTATGTCATAAATAACTCTCAATATTTTGAGATACATTACATCAATACATAGTTTATTGAGAGTTTTTAGCATGAAGCACTGTTGAATTTTGTCAAAGGTGTTTTCTGCATCTATTGAGATAATCATGTGGTTTTTGTCATTGGTTCTGTTTATGTGATGGATTACGTTTATTGATTTGCATATGTTGAACCAGCCTTGTATTCCTGGGATGAAGCTGGCTTGATCATGGTGGATAAGCTTTTTGACATGCTGCTGGATTCGGTTTCCCAGTATTTTATTGACGATTTTCACATCAATGTTCATCAGGTATATTGGCTTAAAATTTTCTTTTTGTGTTGTGTCTCTGTCAGGTTTTGGTATCAGGATGATGCTGGCCTCATAAAATGAGTTAGGGAGGATTCCCTCTTTTTTTATTGATTGGAATAGTTTCAGAAGGAATGGTACCAGCTCCTCTTTGTAACTGTGGTAGAATTTGGCTATGAATCTCTCTGGTCCTGGACTTTTTTTAGTTGGTAGGCTATTAATTGCTGACTCTATTTCAGAACTTGTTATCGGTCTATTCAGGGATTCAACTTCTTCCTGGTTTAGTCTTGGGAGCGTGTATGTGTCCAGGAATTTATCCATTTCTTCTACATTTTCTAGTTTATTTGCATAGAGGTGTTTATAGTATTCTCCGATGGTAGATTGTATGTCTGTGGGATCGGTGGTGATATATCCTTTATCATTTTTTATGGTATCTATTTGATTCTTCTCTCTTTTCTTCTTTGTTAGTCTGCCTAGCGGTCTATCTATTTTGTTAATCTCTTCAAAAAACCAGCTCCTGGATTCACTGATTTTTTTGAAGTGTTTTTTATGTCTCTATCTCCTTCAGTTCTGCTCGATCTTAGTTATTTCTTGCCTTCTGCTAGCCTTTGAATTTCTTTGCTCCTGCTTCCCTAGTTCTTTTCAATGTGATGTTAGGGTATCGATTTTAGATCTTTCCTGCTTTCTCTTGTGGGCATTTAGTGCTATAAATTTCCCTCTGCACACTGCTTTAAAAGTGTCCCAGAGATTCTGGTACATTGTGTCTTTGTTCTCACTGGTTTCAAAGAACATCTTTATTTCCGCCTTTATTTCCTTATTTACCCAGTAGTCATTCAGGAGGAGGTTGTTCAGTTTCCATGTAGTTGTGTGGTCTTGAGTGAGTTTCTTAATCCTCAGTTCTAATTTGATCGTACTGTGGTCTGAGAGAATGTTTGTTATGATTTCTGTTCTATTGCATTTTTTGAGGAGTGTTTTACTTCCAATTATGTGGTCAATTTTAGAATCAGTGTGGTGTGGTGCTGAGAAGAATGTATATTCTGTTAATTTGAGGTGGAGAGTTCTGCAGATGTCTATTAGGTCCGCTTGGTCTAGAGCTGAGTCCATCTCCTAAATATCCTTGTGAATTTTCTGTTTCATTGATCTGTCTAATATTGAAAGCAGCATGTTAAAGTCTCCCACTATTATTGTGTGGGAGTCTACATCTCTTTGTAGGTCTCTAAGAACTTGCTTTATGAATCTGGGTGCTCCTATTGGGTACATATATATTTACTATAGTTAGCTCTTCTTGTTGCAGTGATCCCTCTACCATTATGTAATGCCCTTCTTCGTCTCTTTTGATCATTCTTAGTTTAAGGTCTCTTTGTGTCAGACTAGAATTGCAACCCTTGGTTTTTTTTTTGTTTGTTTGTTTGTTTTGCTTTCCATTTGCTTGGTAAATATTCCTCTATCCCCTTATTTTGAGCCTATGTGTGTCCTTGCATGTGAGATGGGTCTCCGGAATACGGCACAACAATGGCTCTTGACTCTTTATCCAATTTGCCAGTCTGTGTCTTTTAATTGGGGCATTTAGCCCATTTACATTTAAGTTTAATATTGTTATGTGTGAAATTGATCCTGCCATTATGATGCTAGCTGGTTATTTTGCCCGTTAGTTGATGCAGTTTCTTCAAAGCATCGATGGTCTTTACAATGTGGCATGTTTTTGCAGTGGCTGGTACCAGTTGACCTTTTCTATGTTTAGAGTTTCCTTCAGGAGCTCTTGTAAGGCAGGCCTGTTGGTGACAAAATCTCTCAGCATTTGTTTGTCTGTAAAGAATTTTATTTCTCCTTCACTTATGAAGCCTTTTTGGCTGGATATGAAATTCTGGGTTGAAAATTCTTTTCGGGTGCTGGAGCCAAGATGGCCGAATAGGAACAGCTCCAGTCTACAGCTCCCAGCATGAACGACACAGAAGACGGGTGATTTCTGCATTTCCAACTGAGGTACCGGGCTCATCACACTGGGGAGTGCCGGACAGTGGGTGCAGGACAGTGGGAGCAGCACACCATGCGTGAGCCGAAGCAGGGCGAGGCATCACTTCACCCGGGAAGCGCAAGGGGTCAGGGAATTCCCTTTCCTAGTCAAAGAAAGGGGTGACAGACGGCACCTGGAAAATCAGGTCACTCCCACCCTAATACTGTGCTTTTCCAATGGGCTTATCAAACAGCACACCAGGAGATTATATCCGGCACCTGGCTCAGAGGGTCCTATACCCATGGAGCCTCGCTCATTGCTAGCACAGCAGTCTGAGATCAAACGGCAAGGCAGTAGCGAGGCTGGGGGAGGGGCGCCCACCATAGCTCAGGCTTGAGTAGGTAAACAAAGCGGCCAGGAAGCTCGAACTGGGTGGAGCCCAACAAAGCTCAAGGAGGCCTGCCTGCCTCTGTAGGCTCCACCTCTGGGGGCAGGGCTCAGACAAACAAAAGACAGCAATAACCTCTGCAGACTTACATGTCCCTGTCTGACAGCTTTGAAGAGAGTAGTGGTTCTCCCAGCACACAGCTTGAGATCTGAGAAAGGGCAGACTGCCTCCTCAAGTGGGTCCTTGACCCCCGAGTAGCCTAACTGGGAGGCACCCCCCAGTAGCGGTGAACTGACACCTCACACAGCTGGGTACTCCTCTGAGACAAAACTTCCAGAGGAACGATCAGGCAGCAGCATTTGCAGTTCACCAATATCCGCTGTTCTGCAGCCACCGCTGCTGATACCCAGGCAAAAAGGGTCTGGAGTGGACCTCCAGTAAACTCCCACAGACCTGCAGCTGAGGGTCCTGACTGTTAGAAGGAAAACTAACAAAGAGAAAGGACATCCACACCAAAAACCCATCTGTACGTCAACATCATCAAAGACCAAAGGAAGATAAAACCACAAAGATGGGGAAAAAACAGAGCAGAAAAAACAGAAACTCTAAAAATCAGAGCGCTTCTACTCCTCCAAAGGAATGCAGCTCCTCACCAGCAATGGAACAAAGCTGGACGGAGAATGACTTTGATGAGTTGAGAGAGGAAGGCTTCAGAAGATCGAACTACTCTGAGCTAAAGGACGAAGTTCGAACCAATGGCAAAGAAGTTAAAAACTTTGAAAAAAAGTTAGATGAATGGATAACTAGAATAACCAATGCAGAGAAGTCCTTAAAGGACCTGATGGAGCTGAAAACCACGGCACGAGAACTACGTGATGAATGCAAAAGCCTCAGTAACTGATGTGATCAACTGGAAGAAAGGGTATCAGTGATGGAAGATCAAATGAATGAAATGAAGCATGAAGAGAAGTTTAGAGAAAAAAGAATAAAAAGAAACGAACAAAGCCTCCAAGAAATATGGGACTATGTGAAAAGACCAAATCTATATTTCTGATTGGTGTACCTGAAAGTGACAGGGAGAATGGAACCAAGTTGGAAAACACTCTGCAGGATATTATCCAGGAGAACTTCCCCAATCTAGCAAGGCAGGCCAACATTCAAATTCAGGAAATACAGAGAATACCACAAAGATAATCCTCGAGAAGAGCAACTCCAAGACACATAATTGTCAGATTCACCAAAGTTGAAATGAAGGAAAAAATGTTCAGGGCAGCCAGAGATAAACGTCAGGTTACCCACAAAGGGAAGCCCATCAGACTAAGAGCTGATCTCTCGCCAGAAACTCTACAAGCCAGAAGAGAGTGGGTGCCAATATTCAACATTCTTAAAGAAAAGAATTTTCAACCCAGAATTTCATATCCAGCCAAACTAAGCTTCATAAGTGAACGAGAAATAAAATCCTTTACACACAAGCAAATGCTGAGAGATTTTTGTCACCACCAAGCCTGCCCTAAAAGAGCTCCTGAAGGAAGCACTAAACATGGAAAGGAACAACTGGTACCAGCCACTGCAAAAACATGCAAAATTGTAAAGACCATCAAAGCAAGGAAGAAACTGCATCAACTAACGAGCAAAAAAACTAGCTAACATCATAATGACAGGATCAAATTCACACATAACAATACTAACCTTAAATGTAAATGGGCTAAATGCTCCAATTAAAAGACACAGACTGGCAAATTGGATAAAGAGTCAAGACCCATCAGTATGCTGTATTCAGGAAACCCATCTCACGTGCAGAGACACACACAGGCTCAAAATAAAGGGATGGAGGAAGATCTACCAAGCAAATGGAAAACAAAAAAAGGCAGGAGTTCCAATCCTAGTCTCGGATAAAACAGACTTTAAACCAACAAAGATCAAAAGAGACAAAGAAGGTCATTACATAAGGCTAAAGGTATCAATTCAACAAGAAGAACTAACTCTCCTAAATATATATGCACCCAATACAGGAGCACCCAGATTCATAAAGCAAGTCCTTAGAGACCTACAAAGAGACTTAGACTCCCACACAATAATACTGGGAGACTTTAACACCCCACTGTCCACAGTAGACAGATCAACGAGAAAGAAAGTTAACAAGGATACCCAGGAATTGAACGCAGCTCTGCACCAAGCAGACCTAATAGACATCTACAGAACTCTCCACTCCAAATCAACAGAATATACATTCTTTTCAGCACCACACCACACCTACTCCAAAACTGACCACATATTTGGAAGTAAAGCACTCCTCAGGAAACGTAAAAGAACAGAAATTATAACAAACTGTCTCTCAGACCACAGTGCAATCAAACTAGAACTCAGTATTAAGAAACTCACTCAAAACTGCTCAACTACATGGAAACTGAGCAAGCTGCTCCTGAATGACTACTGGGTAAATAATGAAATGAAGGCAGAAATAAAGATGTTCTTTGAAACCAACGACAACAAAGACACAACATATCAGAATCTCTGGGACACATTCGAAGCAGTGTGTAGAGGGAAATTTATAGCACTAAATGCCCACAAGAGAAAGCAGGAAAGATCTAAAATTGACACTCTAACATCACAATTAAAAGAACTAGAGAAGCAAGAGCAAACACATTCAAAAGCTAGCAGAAGGCAAGAAATAACTAAGATCAGAGCAGAACTGAAGGAAATAGAGACACAAAAAACCCTTCAAAAAATCAATAAATCCAGGAGCTGGTTTTTTGAAAAGATCAACAAAATTGATAGACCGCTAGCAAGACTAATAAAGAAGAAAAGAGAGAAGAATCAAATAGATGCAATAAAAAATGACAAAGGGGATATCACCACCAATCCCACAGAAATACAAATTACCATCAGAGAATACTATAAACACCTCTATGCAAATAAACTAGAAAATCTAGAAGAAATGGATAAATTCCTCAACACATACACTCTCCCAAGACTAAACCAGGAAGAGGTTGAATCTCTGAATAGACCAATAACAGGCTCTGAAATTGAGGCAATAATTAATAGCTTACCAACCAAAAAAAACTCCAGGACCAGATGGATTCACAGCCGAATTCTACCAGAGGTACAAGGAGGAACTGGTACCATTCCTTCTGAAACTATTCCAATCAATAGAAAAAGAGGGAATCCTCCCTAACTCATTTCATGAGGCCAGCATCATCCTAATACCAAAGCCTGGCAGAGACACAACAAAAAAAGGGAATTTTAGACCAATATCATTGATGAACATCGATGCAAAAATCCTCAATAAAATACTGGTAAACTGAATCCAGCAACACATCAAAAAGCTTATCCACCATGATCAAGTGGGCTTCATCCCTGGGATGCAAGGTTGGTTCAACATACGAAAATCAATAAACGTAATCCAGCACATAAACAGAACCAAAGACAAAAACCACACGACTATCTCAATAGATACAGAAAAGGCCTTTGACAAAATTCAACAACCCTCCATGCTAAAAACTCTCAATAAATTAGGTATTGATGGGACGTATCTCAAAATAATAAGAGCTATCTATGACAAACCCACAGCCAGTATCATACTGAATAGGCAAAAACTGGAAGCATTCCCTTTGAAAACGGGCACAAGACAGGGATGCCCTCTCTCACCACTCCTATTCAACATAGTGTTGGAAGTTCTGGCCAGGGCAATCAGGCAGGAGAAGGAAATAAAGGGCATTCAATTAGGAAAAGAGGAAGTCAAATTGTCCCTGTTTGCAGATGACATGATTGTATATCTAGAAAACCCATCATCTGAGCCCAAAATCTCCTTCAGCTGATAAGCAACTTCAGCAAAGTCTCAGGATACAAAATCAATGTGCAAAAATCACAAGCATTCTTATACACCAATAACAGACAAACAGATAGCCAAATCATCAGTGAATTCCCATTCACAATTGCTACAAAGAGAATAAAATACCTAGGAATCCAACTTACAAGGATGTGAAGGACCTCTTCAAGGAGAACTACAAACCACTGCTCAGTGAAATAAAAGAGGACACAAACAAATGGAAGAACATTCCATGCTCATGGGTAGGAAGAATCAATATCATGAAAATGGCCATACTGCCCAAGGTAATTTATAGATTCAATGCCATCCCCATCAAGCTACCAATGCCTTTCTTCACAGAATTGGAAAAAACTACTTTAAAGTTCATATGGAACCAAAAAAGAGCCTGCATTGCCAAGTCAATCCTAAGCCAAAAGAACAAAACTAGAGGCATCAAGCTACCTGACTTCGAACTATACTACAAGGCTACAGTCACCAAAACAGCACGGTACTGGTACCAAAACAGACATATAGACCAATGGAACAGAACAGAGCCCTCAGAAATAATGCTGCATATCTACAACTATCTGTTCTTTGACAAACCTGACAAAAACAAGCAATGGGGAAAGGATTCCCTATTTAATAAATGGTGCTGGGAAAACTGGCTGGCCATATATAGAGAGCTGAAACTGGATCCCTTCTTTACACCTTACACAAAAATTAATTCAAGATGGATTAAAGACTTACATGTTAGACCTAAAACCATAAAAACCCTAGAAGAAAACCTAGGCAATACCATTCAGGACATAGGCATGGGCAAGGACTTCATGTCTGAAACACCAAAAGCAATGGCAACAAAAGCCAAAATAGACAAATGGAATCTACTTAAACTAAAGAGCTTCTGCACAGCAAAAGAAACTACCATCAGAGTGAACAGGCAACCTACAGAATGGGAGAACATTTTTGCAACCTACTCATCTGACAAATGGCTAATATCCAGAATGTACAATGAACTCAAATACATTTACAAGAAAAAAACAAACAAACCCATCGAAAAGTGGGCGAAGGATATGAACAGACACTTCTCAAAAGAAGACATTTATGTAGCCAAAAAACACATGAAAAAATGCTCATCATCACTGGTCATCAGAGAAATGCAAATCAAAACCACAATGAGATACCACCTAACACCAGTTAGAATGGCAATCATTAAAAAGTCAGGAAACAGCACGTGCTGGAGAGGATGTGGAAAAATAGGAATACTTTTACACTGTTGGTGGGACTGTAAACTAGTGCAACCATTGTGGAAGTCAGTGTGGCGATTCCTCAGGGATCTAGAACTTGAAATACCATTTGACCCAGCCATCCCATTACTGTGTATATACCCAAAGGATTAGAAATCATGCTGCTATAAAGACACATGCACATGTATGTTTATTGTGGCATTATTCACAATAGCAAAGACTTGGAACCAACCCAAATGTCCAGCAATGATAGACTGGATTAAGAAAATGTGGCACATATACACCATGGAATACTATGCAGCCATAAAAAAGGATGAGTTCATGTCCTTTGTAGGGACATGGATGAAGCTGGAAACCATCATTCTCAGCAAACTATCGCAAGGACAAAAAACCAAACACCGCATGTTCTCACTCATAGGTGAGAATTGAACAATGAGAACACATGGACACAGGAAGGGGAACATCACACACTGGGGACTGTTGTCGGGTGGGGGGAGGGGGGAGGGATAGCATTAGGAGATATATCTAATGCTAAATGACGAGTTAATGGGTGCAGCACACCAACTTGGCACATGTATATATATGTAACAAACCTGCACGTTGTGCACATGTACCCTAAAACTTAAATAATAATAAAAAAAAAAAGAAAAGAAAATTCTTTTCTTTAAGTATGTTAAATATTGGCCCCTACTCTCTTCTGGCTTGTAGGGATACTGCCAAGAGATCCACTGTTAGTCTGATGGGTTTCCCTTTGTGGGTAACCCAACCTTTCTCTCTGCCTGCCCTTAACATTTTTTCCTTCATTTCAACCTTGGTGAATCTGACGTTTATGTGTCTTGGGGTTGCTCTTCTCAAGGAGTATCTTCGTGGTGTTCTCTGTATTTCCGGAATTTGAACGTTGGCCTGTCTTGCTAGGTTGGGGAAATTCTCCTGGATAATATCCTGAAGAGTGTTTTCCAACTTGGTTCCATTCTCCCCATCACTTTGAGGTACACCAATCAACTGTAGGTTTGCTCTTTTTGTATAGTGCCACATTTCTTGGAGGCTTTGTTTCTTTTCATTCTCTTTTCTCTAATCTTGTCTTCTTGCTTTATTTCATTCAGTTCATCTTCAATCTCTGATATCCTTTCTTCTGCTTGATCGATTCAGCTATTGATACTTGTGTATGCTTCATGAAGTTCTCGTGCTGTGTGTTTTAGCTCCATGAGGTCATTTATGTTCTTCTCTAAACTGGTTATTCTAGTTCGCTATTCGTCTAACCTTTTGTCAAGGTTCTTAGCTTTCTTGCATTGAGTTAGAACATGCTCCTTTAGTTCGGAGGAGTTTGTTATTACCCACCTTCTGAAGCCTACTTCTGTCAATTTGTCAAACTCATTCTCCATCCAGTTTTGTTCCCTTGCTAGCGAGGATTTGTGATCCTTTGGAGGAGAAGAGATGTTCTCATTTTTGGAATTTTCAGGCTTTTTGTGCTGGTTTCTCCCCATCTTCATGATTTTATCTACCTTTGGTCTTTGAAGTTGGTGACCTTCGGCTGGGGTCTCTGAGTCCTTTTTGTTGATGTTGATACTATTCCTTTCTGTTAGTTTTCCTTCTAACAGTTAGGACTCTCTGCTGCAGGTCTGCTTAAAGTCCATCCATGTTGTGGCAAATGGATATCCTTTTTAAAGGCTGAATAATATTTCATTATATATTAACCCATTATATACATATGTATTTTTTAAATTTTTTTATTTTTTCAAAAAATCATTGCCAACGCCAGTGTCAGAGAGCCTTTTCCCTATGTTCTCTTCTAAGAGTGTTATGGTTTCACATCTTACATTTAGGTCTTTTATCCATTTTGAGTTTATTTTTGTATATAGTGTAACATAAGGGTTCAATTTCATTCTTTGTATGTGGACATCCAATTTTCCCAGCAGCATTTATTGAGACTATTCTTTCCCATTGTGTCATCTTGATGCCCTTGTCAAATATTTCGTGTACAGGATCTATTACATAATAAGCACACATACTAATTATCTTTTAAATACAAAGTACCAGCTGTTTTGTATGAAGTCAGACATTAGACATGTGCAAAGATGTAAAATAATGCCACTCTTTTCACTACCTTATTTTGTTTTAGAAAATATAGTTATTTTTTGTAAAAATGTCACTTTTGTTAACATATAATGGGTTTATTATTATCTCAATATGAATTAATAAATATTTTAAAATACTCCTTGCTTTCTTTTCTAACACGTTGTTTTGTATCTATCCAGCTATCCATTCACCTATCCCACATGTATCAATAGATGTAATCCACATAAACAAAAATTATTGAGGAACTCTTTAGGTTTTTAAGACTGTAAACAGGTTCTAAGACCAAGAAGTTTGAGAACTTATGTTCTAAATCAGTGTCACTCTTGGATTCCACAGGAGAGTGATAGAAAAGCAATCCATTAAATAAATATGTAACAAATACCAACTGACACTGTTAATTCAAGAATTTATTTATTAATTCCGTAAACATTTCTTGGGTATACAGTAAGTTCAAGTTCCTATGTTAGGTGCAAAGAATACTAAGAAGCATAGGTAAGAGTTCTCAGCCCCAACTACTCTGAGTCTGGTGGTAATTGCTGTAATACAATAATAGTACAAACAAAGAGATGAGAGCTATGATAGAGAAAATGTTGGGAGAGAACTGGAAAGCCCAGGATACTGAACCATAGGAAATGGGGTTTTATGTTTTTTATTTATTTTGGAGTGGAGTGTAGAAGTAGAATAAGGCTCTAACATTGGTGGCAGTCATTAAGTAGCATCTATGTGCAAGGCACAACAGGAGATACAAAGATATCTACAACCTTCTAGGAAACTAGAAGTAACAGAAGGCATAAAACAATTATCAGAAAGAGGGAGAGATCAGAAGAGCAGAGTGACATGAAGACAAAGGGAAAAGAACCCAACAAAGAAGACGTGATCAGATGCTAGAGAGACATCAAAAGGAATAATACGTATCAGAAAGGAAATTTGTAAATAGAAATAATAATTATTAATTATTAATTCAATGAAAACTATTTCTGCCTCTTTCTATTGAAAATAGAAATACTCATTGTCTCTCTGTTACTCACCCATACTCATCAGGCAATCCATTCATTCAAACTACAAGCACTAAGCCACCCACTGTGTACCAAGCCAATGGCCAATGAAGGACATGACATGTACACTATCTAGCAAGGTTTTTGATCCACACACACTTAACTATATCACATCATTGTAAGTGCTAAAAAGGCATCCATAAAAAGAGCTGTGTGTCCTTAGAAGCCAGAGCAATTTATTCAGCCTGTTGAGGGAGTGAAAAGCAGGGAATCAGATGTGGTTCCACAGAGAAAGTGACATCTGTATTTAATCATGAAGAATCAGATGGGTTTTGACAGGAAAGATGTGCATTTTTGTGTGCAAATGAGTGTATTGGAAGATGAGTGGTTATATTAGTCAAGGTCTTGGCAGGAAAAAGATGGCACGCCAACTGCATCCTGGCAGGAAGAAGCCAGGCAAACAATATCCTAACTATACTTTCCTCTCACCCTCTAAATCTCCTGCCTATGCCTCTCATAGGCCAAACTCAAATGAGAAGCAAAGCCTGGAAAAGGCAGTCCACGAAGGTCAGTCTCCAGAGGCACAGATATAGAGGGGCGGAGAGTGATCTGGAGGAACAACCAAATGAAAGTATTTCA
The DNA here is from genome assembly GCF_000001405.40 of Homo sapiens. NCBI lineage: Eukaryota > Metazoa > Chordata > Mammalia > Primates > Hominidae > Homo > Homo sapiens. The sequence goes on from NC_000004.12 coordinate 53,307,179, forward strand.
GACAGACAACAAAGTCCTGGATCTGCAAAAGTTCATGTAGGGAAATAGGTAATAGAGAGGGAAAGCAATGAGAATAGGTAGGTGAAGCATAAGGCTAGAAGGCAGAACCATCTTTATAAATAGCATGCTTAGACATTTGGATACTATCCTGAGGGACCCACCAAAGGGTTTTAAGCGGGGGCATGGCATAATCATATCTGAGCTTGTAGCTCTGTAGACACTACCTCCCCCAATCCCTAGTTGTTTGACTCCTCTCTCTAAAGAGGCCTGATAATAGAAGTCAGACAGATCCAGCTTTGTATCCTTGCTTACTTGCTATGTAACCCATCAGTGAGGACCCAGTCAGAAGACATTAAACACACCAGTGACATGAACAGAGAAAACTTAACATACAGAATTGTTAAGTGGGTAATTGAAAGGATAAAAAGAGAACTCCAAGGTACCAGGGAGGTAGCTCCCACCACCAGTGTGGAGGAAACAGAAGCAAGAGATTGAAATTATTAAAACTTACAAATGTAGGGACTTAAATGCAAACCTCTGACAATGGAGCACTACTTGGCTGGGGTGGTACCTCTGAGGAGAGGGTGCCCTGAAGCTAGTTTTCCAGGTGTTAGAAGAACTGCACACTGGATTCAGCTGCTACCACAGGAAAAACTTGCCACTGCTGTGGTGAAGGAGTATACTGTTGGCAAGATACTCACAAGCAGAAGGAAAGTCCACAGAAAGCAGAAACGAAGGAGAAGGCTGCTTCTTACCCTCTAGCCTTGAGGTTTCCCTCTAGTTCCCCTTATTAGCATAGCCTGACAGGGATCCAGCTGGGCAAGCTGAAGTGTGGTCTGAAAGTCCCAGCCCCAGCATCACGAAGTGGGAGTTTAGATCTGAGAGACAAGAACTTAACAATTGGCACAGTAATCCTGGAAAAGAAACCTCAGCTTTGTGGTCTCAGTTTTCCTTGCCTGTGAAATGGGACTTTTAAAAAATTACCAAATTTATACTATTGGGAGCATTAAATGAAACAAACTATGCAAAACTTCTTTTATAGTACCTGAAACAAAGTAGCTATTCAATAAAAGTTAATTCCCTTCCCCATTCCCCAAATTGTGGTATCAACTAATATATAAAAACAAAGATGTGTGTGAGTCAATAATCAGTATATGTCTCTTATGAGGCAGCCAGATGTTCTCATCCTTTATAAATGACCATATATCACATGGTATGTTAGTCTTACTAGGTTTTAACTTTTCCTTTTTGCAAAGTTGGGCAGTCTCCCCATCTCCCCATCCATTTCTCACTCTTTCTCCTCCCATCCCTCTCTCTCTCTCTTTCTCTCTCTCTTATACACACATAACAAAGAGATTTGCATGCACACATGCTCCTCTTAATCTCAGAGAAAATTTTTCCCGTGAAGGCAAAAATATAAATGTGATCAAAAACACAGCTATTACTCAGCCAGAACTGGATGAATTCACATATCAAAAACAGGAAGTAGAACACTCTCAATGCTGTTTTTAAAAAACACGTATCAAACAAAATTTTAAAGTATTTTGATGTATTGCTGTTTTTCAAAGCCAATACTGCTAAATGTTGAAATTCAGAAATGAAAGTAAGTGTGGCATTGGTGGAAAACAAAAATCACAAATCTTATCTGGGGCTTTATTAAGAGAAGCACAAGCCGGGAACGATGGCTCACGCCTGTAATCCCAACACTTTGGAAGGCCGAGGCGGGCGGATCACAAGGTCATGAGTTTGAGACCAGCCTGGCCAACATGGTGAAACCCTGTCTCTACTAGATAAAAATAAAAAAATTAGCCGGGCATGGTGGCATGGGCCTGTAATCCCAGCTACTCGGAAGGCTGAGGCAGGAGAATCGCTTGAACCCAGGCGGCGGAGGTTGCAGTGAGCCGAGATCACGCCACTGCACTCCAGCCTGGGCGACAGAGCAAGACTTCGTCTCAAAAAAAAAAAAAGAGAAGCACAGTACAGTACAGTGTTCAAAATAGGGGAAAAACAAGACAACATCTTTGTTCAGTTCTGGAATTCACATTTTAGGAGGAATGTTAACAAACTAGAGCTCTGCCAGTGACTTAAAACTAGAAGTAAAAAGTAGGAAAGGCTTGTCTTTTCCCAAATGGTTGAAAGAACTCATCGTATTTAATTAGGAAAAGAGAGAATGGTGGTGAGTTTATAGGGCTGACACTAAGATGTCCCAGAACTAGGAGAGCAAATTAAGAAGTATCACCTTGTAGTGGATCAGATTATCATCTAGAAATGTAACTCCAGAGATTTTTTCCATAAAAGTGTGACCACAGAGGATTAGGAATCCCAAATACAGTCAAGGGGATGTTGGCGGTGCAGGGAGGAGGAGTCAGGAGGAATGAACAGAGTCAGGAAAGAGGCAATGCAATGGAATTATAACCAGGCTGAACATGGAAAAACTATTTAGAATTCTGCTTAAAAAAAGACAGGGTTATCAGAAGGGAGATATTTAGCATAAAGCCTAGAAAAAGATGAGTGAAGTGGAAAGAATGAATTAGTACATTTCCGAGAAAGAAAGGAGAAATAATCTAACTTGATCTGTTTGCTTTGCATTCACTCTCATCAAATAACCTTATAATTTAGTTTCCCGTGCAGATGTTCCCATAGGCAGAGACTGTAACTATAGCTTACTCATTCCAGTTTGCTTGATAGTCATAACTTCCCTCTGCTCAGAGCTTTTATTCTCCTTCAAAAGTCCAGAAAATAGCTATTTCCCCTATTTTATGGACAAAGAAATTGAAGTTTGGCTAATAAGTGGCAGAACTGTGATTCACCCTCAGATATAATTGACTTTATACTCCATCACAATCAGAAGAGGCTAAAGTCACAGAAAACACAGAGAGACATATAAGAAAGTGGCAAAGTCTAGTAGTGAATGCTGCAAAGAGGTCGAGAAGGATGGTGACTGGCAAAAATGTCCTTATATTTAGTGGTCTGGGAGGCTTTCCAGTAAAAAAGTGTCATGAGCCAGACTGCACTACATTAGTAAGAAAATAATAAAGAAACAGAGGCATCAAGCATAGAACACTCTTTCAAGAACTCTGGCTACAAAGAAAAGACAGTATCATAAAGATATCTGTTTTACTTTGGCTCTAATATAATAGAATAGTTCTGTCACCCATTAAACACTGGGGAATATGTCCACTTTGTAGAGAACTATAGGACAGATATGTGAAGTTCCTCAACCACAATCATATTCCAGTGAAAGATTCTCTGTAAAATGTATCAGCGTTTGAGATGGGCATCATCTACTCATTTCTTCTGTGAGTGGCCATTTTAGACTTAAACAAATGGATTTCTAATGGTCTATTTGTTTTGTTACTTTCAGAATACATTTTTCATTATGAAAGCCAGTGGGAAAAATACAACTGCATTTCAGTGTTTTCAAAGTCACTTTTCTGGAACATATCTATTTAGTTAACTGACAATTTAATAACAAGCTCTCAGAAGGATGACATGTTTATATGTGCAATAATAAAATGAATTTTTCTCTGTCTTTTAGCAATTAAACATTTTTCCTTTAAGTAGATGATGTTTATTTCTCTTGGTGCTCATAACGTTTTAACATGAATTTACCTTGTACTGAGAAATTTTATATTTAAGATATGAGGTTTCAATCATGGGATCCCTCCCCATAAATTTAAATACAAGGGAATCGTGAGTCTATAATTAAAATCTGTTTAACATCTCAAAAATACTAGAAGCCTTTATCACAGTCAGAAAAATTTATACTTCAGTAGAAACTATAGCAAGGATGGGAGAATTGTGCATAGTTTAAAATATATGTTATAGTTTTAAATGCTATATGATAAGCTATATGATAGACAGTTTTCAAAAATCAATGTTTTATTATGTTTACAAGTTCCAGTTCTCTTCCTTACTGTTCATAGTTATGAATCTGTTTATATATGAAAATGAGACCCAAGAAATTCCGGCTAGTGATATGAAGCAAAAATGGGCAGCCATACTGTGTTATCTGTTACTAAAGAGTAGTGGGCACATGGTTGGAGTATGCTTTGAATCAATCTTTTTGGTCCTTCTTACAACAGAAGTTTGCTAACAATCCTCTGTTTTTTTCCTTCTTTCTTCCTCCCACTCTCACCCCAGCCCCTATCTAGAGTTGTGGAATAAAGCAAACAATTCTATCTTAAAAAAAATTTTTTTTTTTGATTGACAGAAAACTCAAACATTTAAATGTGAATTGCTTATGGGATTACCTGTCCTTTTTAAAAATTTGTGGCTCTGCTTATTTTTCAAAGATACGGCCCTTTAGAAAAGTAGTTTGTTGCTCTTTTAAGAGTCCTGAATCGAGCAATAGAAACTGATTTATGCTCTGTGATAGTATCATAATGTTGTATCACTGAAACACAATATAAATTAACCTTAGCATGAAGACCCTTTGTGCATTCCTACTTTCCTTGATTCACAATTTTTTTTTTTTAAACGGTGTCTCACTCTGTTGCCAGGCTGGAGTGCAGTGGCGCAATCTCAGCTCACTGGAACCTCTGCCTTCTGGGTTCAAGCTATTCTCCTGCCTCAGCCTCCTGAGTAGGTGGGACTACAGGTGCGCGCCACCACACCCAGCTAATTTTTGTATTTTTAGTAGAGACAGGGTTTCACCATATTGGCCAGGAGGGTCTCAGTCTCTTGATCTCGTGATCCGCCTGCCTCGGCCTCCCAAAGTGCTAGGATTATAGTCGAGAGCCACTGCGTCCGGCCGATTCACAATATTAATTAGTTCTTGTTTCAACATACTTAAGAATAAGACACTCAATGAGGTAAATACACTTGTTACTAATGTGTACCTAGGGCTATGGAAAGGAAAGGAGAGAAGGGGATGGGAGATGGAGGGACAGAAGGAAGGAAGAAAGGAGGAAGAAAGGAAAGACAATTAATAGTCAAGTGCCAGGATATCTCAGTGCAGCAAATTTGAGACCCACTCTAAGGGTGAGGGACCAGGCTAGGGCATGTCTGTCTGCTAAATTGTTTTTAGTATGACAGTTCATTTATTAATTCAAAACTAGTAAAAGAGCTCTCACCCTTCAAAACCACTTCCGGCATTGGCTGTACAAATTAGGATGATTTTATAAATAAAGTGCATATTACGTGGCATCAAAATTCTTGGATTTGAATTCCAGTCCTACCACTTATCAGATATATGGCCTTGGGCAACTTATTTTTCTGTTTCAGTTTCCCTACCTGCAAAATGGGATACTAATAGTACCTGTTTCATAGAATTACTCTAAGAATGAAATAAGATAACACATATAAACAGTCCAAAGACCTAGCATACTGTAAGTTCTCAATAATGGTTAGTTATTTCACTTTTCTTATCATCATTATGTTCCTTGCAGCCCTCAAATATAGTTACCTAATACACTAAAAGTCATATTCTTTTCATGTTATAACCCTGTAACATTTTTCTTCCTAGATTCATCCATATTCTGCTACTTTCAAATTTTGTTCTATTTCAACTTAGTTTGATTTTTGCCCCCATGTGTAATCAAGAACTTGGCCTATGAATCTCAGCAAAGAAAAATTTTCCCATCCAATAAAATGTACTAATATTTACTGAATACCTAAGAACAGATTATAAGAGAGAAACCTTATTTTTAAAAGAGAAAAATAAAATTTTGCAAACTTCCAGAAACAAATTCTACCTATTAACCAGATTCAATATCCATATTTAAATATTTCTGTATCAATAAAATTATTTAATATTTTTTAAAACAAAAAAATTAAAAGCCAAATTTTTTTTCTAAAATCAACGCATTACTTCTGTGGTTCTCTGACTTTTTGATCAAAAGAAAAAAAGCCATTTAAAACTTAAATTCCATTGCAATCATATTCATCTAATACCAAAGACAAAGATGGATGTGAAAAAAAACAAGAAATAGAAAAATTAGGTATGTAATTCCTGGTGAAGAAGAAATAACGCTGATGTGACTTGACAATTAGGACTCTAAGGGTGAGGGACTAGGCCAGACCATGTCTGACTGCTCAATTCTTTTCTCAGTACCATTTCAGTCACTAATTCGAAAGTAATAAGAGAACTTTTACCCACCATAAGTGGGGTAATAGGGGAAGAATGGGGGAAAAAAGGGAGTAGGGTTGGAATAGAATTAAGGAGAGGTAGTCCAGACCAATTTTGACAGTTCTAAAATAGATCAATAAGAAACTAAAATAATTATTCTTTGTAAGCAAAAACTCTCCTAGAGAGTTCCCAAAGCTGAGTCTAAGAAAAGTGGTCATTGCTGAGCCCAAGGGCAGCGTGCACATATTCCTTCCCTATTCTTTCAACAGTATACAAAAGTCGTTACTACTTTGGCCTAGATTCCATGTTGGCTAGCTTGGCCCACAATTCAGAACAGGTTTAAATAAGCTTCCTCAGAGGCTGCCTGTGTCCTAGGTTTAGGCTTACCCATACTCATCTTGATTGGCAGGTTTTCTCTGCTTGCCGCTTCCACTAGATGTCTCCGAACTTCCATCACTGCCTCTTTGTGCTTAGTGTTCAGTAAAGCTTCCCATAGGGCTTTGGCTGTGGTGTCACTGCAGGAAAATCACAAAAAGAGCTTTAGAATAAATTTCTACTGGATACTGGAAAGGGTTGAAAGCAAAATACTTTTTAAAATATATTTTTGAGCATTAATGTAGTCTTTCCTACTGATAGACTCTAAGTATTAGGATTAAATAAAGAATGTCTAATTCACATAATTGGCAGAAAATATTGAGAAATTAAGGAAACAATAAAATCAAGTGAAAAAAAGGGAAGAAAAGCTGTACTGTGTGATGAGAAGTGTGGGAAAACTATGTGATAAATTTTTTCAAAGATTTTGCACTTAAATCTTTCAGAATTCAACTCAACATCACTAGAGTAATATAAATGTTATATAAGCCAAAATTAAATGCAAGTCTCAAAATGATTTATCAGTGATTATAAGCACTATATCAATTCGAGATTAAATACTTGTCCAAGAAACAAAGCAATCAGCAATGAGCATTTCATTCAAAAATTACTCAACAGACTTCCTAATTAGTAGGCTTCCTACTAAATGAAAATCAGGAATTATGCTAAGTAGCCATGGCCTGAAGTATCCCACTTTGGGCCTTAGGTTGGAAGGATGGTACTTACTAAAACCTTTACAATTAACCGTTGATAACAGCACGAAGCACTGCATTATATGCAAGGTCTCATCTGGGCTCACTTCTCCAATAGCCCTCTGTCTCACCCAACATGCTATGTCCAAATTATAAATGAGGGCAGTGTTCTTTCCGGAAGATCTCTGCCATGTAGCCAAGTATACACATTTGTAGTAACGTTTTAAAAACTGAATACAAAGAAACAAGGATGACTTCTGTCCCTTTCTAAAGACTTTTTCCTCCAATTAAAGCCCTACTCACTCTCCTACTATCCACTTAGTAATAGTTCAAAAATAAATACATTTTTAATTTAGTTTTAAAGTTACATCTATTAAGATTTTAATTTAGTTTTAAAGTTATACCTAATAAGACATATCTTCCAAATTTGAATTGGATATTGAATAATAGAATGATGTATTTTTACACTGAGTTTAATGCCTGACACATTATAATCTTTCATTGAATAGTTTTTATTATCATGTATCTTTCCATAATGAACTAATATTACTGCTCAACATACTCCACTTGTTTTAATCTGATCAAATCTGTCATCATTATAACTCTGCATCTAATATTCTTAAGTTTAATTTAAGTAAGCAGGTAAACTACATGCCAAGCCCTGTATTTGGTTGGGATACAGATTTTTAAAAAGCTTTGAATGGCATAGTTTAGAAGACAAGGCAGATACAAAAGCAAATAAATTACTAAAAAAGTGTGGTAATAAAAGCCATGGTCAATGCTTGCATAGGTGTTTATGCAAGCATAATCCTAGCTGGGAGGATAGGGACTGAAGGAATGATTTCTACTGGAAATGATGAGCAAGTACAAAGATACATAAGCTCTAAAAGCAGCCTGGGAAGAAGTTAAAACTCAATCTGGGAAGGAAAATGGCAAAAAAAAAAAAAAAAAGCCTTCAAGAAAGATATAAAATCTTGGTTACAAAACAAGAGAAAGAAGGACATTTCAGAATGCAAAAAATCCTAGGAACATGACCCTGAGGAGCACTGTTCTGTTGCATGCCAAGGTGCACGGGGAGGGGCAGTGGAAGGAGAGCATAAAAGAAGGTGCAGCCACACTCTGGGGGTTCTGCATTCCTTGCCAAGTCATGTCAACTTTGATATGTAGGTGACAGGAAGCCAAGGAGCATGTGATTGATTTCACACTTTGAGAAGAACAGCATAGCTCAGCAGTTATGAATACAGTCTTTATCATAATTCAAAAGGAGGTCTGTTTGCTATGAGGCTTTCAGAAAGTTACTTAATTTCTCTAAAGCTCTGCAGGCAATTGAAGAACCATGGAAGAATTCTGAGCATGGGAGTTACAATCCCAGTTTCCCAAACTTATGCTTCATAATTGTTCTCTAGTCTCAACAATATCTCTCCACAAAACACAGGGATTTCTCACATAAGTCTCAACGCAACCCAGAACTTTCAGAGTAGAATGTCACTACCCTCCTCTTTTCCATGAGAATATGTATCTGGCTAATTCATCTCTAAAATCACAGTAAGTTAGGTAACGTTGTGGTTGCCCCATCAGATTGGTGTAGTGGTTTATGGACTCCGCAGTCAGATAAATCTGGGTTCGAACTCCAACCATGCTCCTCCTCACCCACTCCAAATACATGGCCTCCTAGACCATTCTTCTCCCGTATTCCAAGCAGAGGAACACTCTTTCTACAAATCTCTCTCTCCCTCCAGGTATCTGCTAAAACATCACCTTATCAGAGAGGTCTCCCCTTACTGCCCTGCTTAAAAAAGTGACATTGCCTATCACAGCATCTTATGCTAGCACTCTGTTGTCTACTTACTGGGCTTTACTGTTCTACATAATTCTAATTACCAGCTGACTTATTATGTTTCCATGTTTATTTGTTGTCTGTCTCTCTCATAAAAGGTGGGGTCCTTCTATGAAGGCAGGGACTTTGTTTTACTCATTGCTAATTCTTCACTACCTAGAACAGTGCAGATCTCTGGTGGGTACACTCAGTAAATACTGAATAAATGATACTTGTTAATTGTGTAACTGTGCACATAATTAATGCTCTCTTTTTGGTATCTGTGGAGTTGGAAGTTATAATAGTGAATTCACAGGATTGTTGTAGGATTAAATAATATAATTCATTTAAAGCACTTTCCTGATTCACAATAAATGTAAGTTGTGTGGTGGTGGTTGTAGTTGTTACTAGTATTACTGTTGTTATAAGTGGTATTGTCTTATATTCATGGTCTTTAATTCACTATGTTCAGGAGTTTGTGATATATTGGATGAATTCACTTACTTAATTACACTGAGTATGCTTATTCATACAATCTTGATTAGTGCAGATGTACTAAAGTCACTTGAAGCTTGTACTATCTGGCTCTTGTCTATTAAAATATTTTAGAAGAAATACAAAGTTTCCATGATCTCTAACAGTGATACATACTCAGGTCATGTTTTCTTAAAAATTGTTTTGCTGATATAAACAATTCTGGGCCGGGCGCAGTGGCTCACACCTGTAATTCCAGCATTTTGGGAGGCCAAGGCAGGCAGATCACAAGGTCAGGAGTTTGAAACCAGCCTGACCAACATGGAGAAACCCCGCCCCTAATAAAATTCAGAAATTAACCGGGAGTGGTGGTGTGCGCCTATAATCCCAGCTACTCAGGAGGTTGAGGCAGGAGAATCGTTTGAACCCGGGAGGTAGAGGTTGCAGTGAGCCAAGATCATACCACTGCACTCCAGCCTAGGCAACAGAACGAGACTCCATGTCAAAAAAAAAAAAAAAAATTCTGAATGTCTAGATATGTGTGAGAGTTCCTAATGCCTGCTTCCTGTCCTAAACAGTTTTCTAAACACGTCATACTAACTTCACATTACACATGGTCATTTTAAGTTTATCAAGGGAACATTTACAAGTTAATTAAGGTTCTCTGAATAATTGGCACTGAAGAAGGTCAAAGTCATACTTACTGGTATTTTTTTTGTCTCCTGCACCCACTTCTTCACCAAGTCACTCTATTACTGCAATGTGGTAATTCACACACATACACCTATATCAGCATCTGAGTTGAGCATGGTAGTTAAGTCACTGCCTTTCTCTAATATGCTCATAAAAGTTGATCCAATAGGCAGTATTTCATACAATTGAATTTTCACATGAAATCAACTCCTGATATTAAACTTTATGTCAAGAAAAGTTAATTGAAATCCATACTATAATTGCAATAGCGGATTATACGTAAATCTTTATCATCTCCAACTGTGCAAAACTTTCTGTTTTCCTACTGGGGAAATAAGCAATACAGAGAGGACTATATGCAACGGCCAGTGTGGTAGATTATTACTAGGCAAGACTGCAGAGTGGCAGGGGCATAGGTTCTGGACCAAACAACACAAGGTGCCATTTTGCCACCTACTAGCTCTATGTCCCTAGGAGGGCTTCTTCTCTCTGTACATGTTTTCTCCTCTCCTAAATGGGGATGGTAATAGTACATATTCAGTAAGCTGTTATAAGAATCAAATGGGCTAATACATCTAAAGCACCTAGAACAAATCCTGACACACAAGTGCTACAGCAGTAGTAGTAGCAGCAGCAGTAGTAATAAAAGAAAAATCAAAGGGCAGAATTTTCTTGTAAGATATAGAAGGAAGCCTTTTGTAGAACTGCAGTGGTCTTCCCCCACTACTTGTGTACATATATGTACAATCACTGTCAGCGACTTCATTTTCTAATATGAAAAGGTCAACAATAGATAATGTAGAATTCATACACACTGAAAACTCCAATGCAAGCAATCTCCTTATATATGACAAGTTGATGTAAATAATTTTTATTTTTCAGGAATAAAATTGAGAACTTTACTATAGCTTACTTCAAAACAGACAGCTATAGAAAGTTAGTGTTTTTCTTACAAAGACTTTTAAGCAATGACTTTTGTTTCAGCTTATCTCTTCAATTTAATTATTGTAAAATTCTGCAGGACCTTTTAAAACTACAGTTATTACTTTTACAAGGAGTTCAGATTCTATATTCTATTTCCAGACTGACTTATTAAATGGTTGTACAACTCTTGGGTCAGAAGCAAACATTAGAGGTTTGCTAATATAAAGATATTAATCATCTTTATATCTTCAGCAGGACTCTACCTAACCCAATACAGACAGATGAAAAATCTATTTTTAGTTTTTAAAAGCACCTAAAGAAAAATTTATAATATTCCTGAGAAAAACACTACAGCTTCAAACAAATCAAAACTCTGATTGGACTCTATTTAAACCTAAACCCTTTGTGCTCTACTATAAATCTCATTCATCTAGCTTAATCTTTTATCTTAAGTTCAGGAACAGCTGGTCAACATCTTTTTGATAATCAGGCCCACCCTAAAAGAGTTGTTTTTTTTTTTCCCCTGATGGCCAAATTAAGGAAAATTTTTGAAAGGTGAATAAAATACAATGTTAAATATAGTTTCAAATACCATCACTCCATTCTATTTCAAAAGCATTTCAGAATTTACAAAACTTCTTATATCTCATTTGATCCTCATCTCCTGAGCTAAACTATTATCTGAAGCTCCTTAAATCCAATTTAAAGAGCCTCAGAGAGGCAACTGACTGATTTAAGTAACCTCAATCTTTAAAAGGCAAAATCACAACTGAGGCAAATGGCTTCTAAACCCAGTAATCTTAATACTATACCATGCCATGCTTATATTATGCAAATCATCAAAGAGAATCAATTATGCAGAACGTCAATTGTTTTTCACTTTTCATGTTGGTTTTCTTTTCAAATCCATAATATCCTTTAAGTTCACACATGGGTCCCACAAAGGACAGGATGGAATGGAGTGAAGAGTAAAGTAGATCCACATTAATTCCGGAAGCAGGTAAAGCTCTAAGAACTCTGCACACTTTTGTTTTAAGCAATATCATACTATTCCCCTTGTGGGTCAAAATTAGCCATTGACAGTCACTTGGCTACACAATGCTAATTTTCCACTTTTATTCAGCCTTTTTCCTTAAATGTTTCCCTCCAAGAAGACTTTGATGAATTTTTAATCATTCTACATATATATCATTCATATAACTGAAAAAGCAAAAACCTAGTCTAAATTGCCTTACAGGTATTATTTCCAATCTAGCTCTAACTCTATGTACAACATGTCCTTGGGAAAGAAAGAAGGGGAAATAGCCTCTACTTTTTTTCTTTTTTTTTTTTAGAAGGAGTCTCGCTCTGTCACCCAGGCTCAAGTGCAGTGGCATGATCTCAGCTCACTGCAGCCTCCACCTTCGGGTTCCAGTGATTCTCCTGCCTCAGCCTCCTGGATAGCTGGGATTACAGGCATGCGCCATCTCGTCTGGTTAATTTTTGTATTTTTAGTAGAGACGGGGTTTCACCATGTTGGCCAGGCTGGTCTCAAACTCCTGACCTCAGGTGATCCACCCAACTTGGCCTCCCAAAGTGCTGGGATTACAGGCATGAGCCACTAGGCCCACCCGTCTCTACTTATTTTTAACACTGATAAAATTGAGACAAAATGAAACGAGTTGCCTAACATCTCATTATATTACAAAAATTAAAAAGGAGGATTACAGCTCAGGTCCACCACTGGAAGTGCCAATGGGCTGCTTCTGTAACTTGGTTAGTCTTTTTGGTGCTTTATATCCCCTTACAGTTATTACTAATGTTATAATTTTCACTTATTGAAAACTATGTCATAGGCAGCATGACTATATTATCTCATTTAATAACAACAACCTTTCAGGATAAGTATCATTGGACCCCATTTCATAAGTGAAAAAACTGATTCTAAATGAGATAAAACAGTTTACCCAAATTACATGCCCAGTAAATTAGGGTTTGAACTCAGGTTGCTGTGAACTCCAAAATCCATCTGTTTACCATAATTCTACACTGTTCTGTAAAATAAAAGGCTTGAACTAAAATGCCAATTTCTGAGATTCCTTGGGTCCCCAACAAGCTATATTTATAAGGTTTCCAGGCAGGGTGTGGTGGCTCACGCCTGTAATCCCAGCACTTTGGGAGGCCAAGGCAGGCGGATCACCTGAAGTCAGGAGTTGGAGACCAGCCTGGTCAATATGGTGAAACCCCATCTCTACTAAAAATACAAAAATTAGCTGGGCATGGTGGTGCACGCCGGCAATCCCAGCTACTCAGGAGGCTGAGGTAGGAAAATCACTTAAACCTGGGAGGTGGAAGTTGCAGTGAGTTGAGATTGCACCACTGCACTCCAGCCTGGGAGAGAAGAGTAAAACCCTGTCTCAAAAAATCAATAAAAAATAAAAATAAGGTTTCCATTATGCCATGGTCCTCAAACTTCACATGCACAAATTTGATTAACTTTCCAAAGGTCAGCAAAAGATAAGTGAATATCCCATGCTGCTATTTCTTTTATTAAACCTCTTTTTCTTTTTCACAAGTCCAGTGACAGCAATAAAAAGAATTAACAACAACAAAAAAATTACCAACAGCTTGTGGAATATAAATTAAACAATTTCTTCCCTTTTTTCTGTTTTTAATATCATGGTTTCAAAAGACATAAACTGAATTCATTGTAGCTACCAGAATACAATTTAATTTGTTAAAATAGATTCCTTGAAATATACAACATGAAAGTAGAATATTTATTCTATGAAATATAAGTAGTTTCTATATTGTCAGTAACTATTTAAAATGCCAATACATACTAATTGTCATTTTTTGATAAATTATTCTGAATTCTTAAAAATCAAACTGTTTTTACAAATTGTCATGTTTGAAGAAGACCAATGACATACACATAATAATAACCTGCTACAAATAGCTCTTTAAGGTCTTTCAAGAAACTTCTGTACATGAAAATATGGTCATTTCAGTTCATTCCTGGCTCTTTATTCACCAGAATTACTCAACTCTGAATGAAATCTTAGAAGCTGCCTTGGGTTGGCATGTATGAAATGTCAAATGCAGTCTGCTAGAAACTAACAGGAAATATTCATCACCAAATAAAATAGAAAGAAGACAGCAAAATTTTTAAAAGGTGGCTGAATGTTGAATCATGGTGATACTTCAATCAAGTAGAAGGCATGCAATTAAGAGATGAGGGTGAAATGTGAACGCGTACCATTATCTTGTGACTAAACTTAGTTTCTTCGTGGCATGCACAGGAAGTTAAGCTTAATCACAGGATATGCAATAATAGTCACAGTATTCCAACAGAAATCCAATGACAACAAAAAACCCAAACAATTTCAACTAATTTTAAACAGAAGGCAAGCTGAGTCATAGTTTTTCACAGCAGGGAATAATGGCTTCCATGAGGGGTGAGCTTAATGAGCTCTGAAGGTAGGTTTTCTAATTAAATTATTCACAGAGGCTTCAATAGTCATCTTTCCTCTTGACTACCTTTTAAAACAATTACATCTTTAACAAATGTACCAATTAATCTTCATCTCAATAGAAGCAAAAGCAGCTAAGTGCAAGATATGTGACAGAGTCCCTTGGTACTGGAAAGCAGCCCTTTGTTCATTCTTTCTTTCAAAATATAAGCACTTTCTGTGAGCTGGGCATGGATGCTGGAAACATGGCTGTGAGCATCCTCCCACACCCTGCCTGCATGGAGCTAGCCATCTAGCAGGGAAGGTGAAACTGAGCACACTCCAGCAGGGTGATAAAAACAGAGATTGAGAACTTTGGGAAAGTGCAACACCTAACCTGGGCTTGTCAGAGGCGTTTGAACCAGAGCAACTCCATCTTGAATAAGGACTGGGTAAAATAAGGCTAAGACCTGCTGGACTGCATTCCCAAATGGCTTGGGATTCTAAGTCACAGGATGAGATAGGAGGTTAGCACAAGGTACAGATCATGAAGACCTTACTGCAAGCTGTTTTAGCTTGCAGTAAAGAAGCCGACCAAAACCCACCAAAACCAAGATGGCAATGAAAGTGACCTCTGGTTGTCCTCACTGCTCATTATACACGAATTATAATGCATTAGCATGCTAAAAGACACTCCCACCAGCACCATGACAGTTTACAAATGGCATGGCAACATCAGAAAGTTACCCTATATGGTCTACAAAGGAGAGGCACAAATAATCCACCCTTAAAAAACGGACTAGATAACAACGTATTAACTGTTTAACCATCACATAAAATAGAGAGTATTTGAGTTTCATCTCAGTATAAACATTTTTTATTCCTACTCTCTATCAGCCCATTAATGATTAACACTATAATCAACACAAACGTATTAATAATTTCCTCTTAGAAAACAGTAAAGCATAAGAAAGACTGTTTTTCATATAGATTTCTAATGCATAAATGGATTAACTCAGTATGAGGATTTTAAATCAATAACACAATTAGATTACTTAAAAACCAAACACATATCCCTTCTCTGCCACATTTTTCTGACTCTAAAGGATATACTTTGAGTTCCTATACATTAGTACATGATCCAGTACACAGATCAGCACTTGCTCCACTGGGGAACTCTAGGCTGGATTGATTACATCTGTGTGTTTTGGCTCAAATTCAAGCCATGGAAAGTTAAGGATTAATTCATGTGTCAAGGAACTCTAGGACAAAGAGTTAGTGACAGTTTTATAGAAGCTCTTAGAAGCAAATGTATCTGCCTGCTTCACCCTTCTGTCACTCACCTCCATGAAGAAGGTTCATTTCAATCAGCATAATCTTATATGCAATGATTATACAGTGACTCCAGTATCTATCACTTTGGTAGGTGACACCATTGTGTCTATATGCACATTTGTATGAAGCTTCAAAGCCTTGGAAAAACTTGATGTGTTGAAAATTATTATAGCTTATTTTCTCTTCATTGGTAAAAACCAATTGATTAAAAACCAGCTTGAGTTTTGGTTCAGCTGAAATAGGAATTTGCATTGCCCCTATTATTAACTATCTTAACTCCCACAGATTTTGTTAAGATGTTTTGTACTATCTCCTTTGATACTCTAGAACTACAGAACAGTGTTGAAGTGTTACAACTCTGAGGAGAGAAGAATATACAGTAGTTCTTTTTTGTTGTTGTTTTTTTGGGACAGGGTCTCCCTGTGTAGCCCAGGTTGGAGTATAGTAGCATAATCACAGCTCACTACAACCTAGACTTCCTGGACCAAGTGACCCTCCCACCTGAGTAGCCAGGACTACAGGTGCATGCCACCATGCCCAGCTAATTTTTTTTTTTTTTTTTTTTTTTTTTACTTTTTGCGGAGATGAATTTTCACTATGTTGCCCAGGCTGGTCTCTAACTAGGCTCAAGCCATCCTCCTACCTCAGCCTCCCGAAATACTGGGATAACAGGCATAAGCCAATGTGCCTAGCCTTTCCTTTTTCATTATAGTCAACCTGTAAAAAATATTCTATTTAAAGCATTTTCAATATAGTAAGATAAATAATTCTGTGTGTGTGTATGTGTGTGTATTGTGTGACAAAAGTAGAGAGCTCTATGGTGTTGCTTAATTTCTGTGTTCCATGATATCCAAAAACCTGGGAAACCACTTTGAAAGGCTCCAGGCCTAAGGAACAGAGTAAAGAGGAATCTTCAGGCTTCCTTCTAAATTTTTGCAGCCACAATTACCCTATTAATAAAGGAGACAGGAATTCCTATTAAAAACCCCAAATAAAGGGATAACAAGCACACAGGTCTTGAATATTTCCCACAAGGAATAGCAAAGTTAGGAAGGCATTGAACAACTTGCACAAGGTTGAAACCTTGTGGACTAGAAGCACACCATCCCCTAATAAATGTCTTCGATACTATTTAAAAATGTACCCAGGAGCCAGGCACAATGGCTCACACCTATAATCCTAGCACTTTGGGAGGCCAAGGCAGGAGGATCGCTTGAGGCCAGAAGTTCAAGACCAGCCTGGGCAACCTAGCAAGACCCCATCTCTACAAAAAAATTTAAAAATTAGCTGGGCATGGTAGCACACACATGTAGTCCTAGCTACTTAAAAGGCTGAAACAAGAGGATCGCTTGAGTCCAGGAATTTGAGGCTACAATGAGCTATGATCATACCAGTTCACTTCAGCCTGGGTGACAGAGTGAGACCCTGTCTCTCCAAAAAAAAAAAAAAAAAAAAGTATCCAGGATACATAGGGACAGAAATGACTGTCAAAAAGGAAGAAGTTCTTATACTCACAGATCCCTTGAAACAGGAGGCATGACATGCCAGGCAGGGCCACATGGGGAAGCACCAGCGTTGGTCAAGAGGCAGAGGGAACAAGGGAAAAACACAGGCTCATGCCCTTATTGTGGATTTTGTGGGAAGGAATGGCCAAGGCAGGGTAAGCAGGCTGAGGGGGCTTAGGATGTGCTGGTTTAAATCATTTCTGTGGGCTCTGGTTGTCCGGTACATGGCGCTGGGGTGATGAGGGCAGGGGAATATTGGCTGGGAGCATAAGAGCCCAGCAGAGGGAAGAGGGGTGAGTTCTGACTGATAAGTTTGCA
Source organism: Homo sapiens (assembly GCF_000001405.40). NCBI lineage: Eukaryota > Metazoa > Chordata > Mammalia > Primates > Hominidae > Homo > Homo sapiens. Next base: position 53,324,809 of record NC_000004.12, read on the forward strand.
TATGAGAGGCTCATTCCCTGACTAGTTGTTTGCTATTTCTAGACTCCAGGTGCCAGAGCATCAAAGAAACAGAAAACAAGAAAATATTGTTAATACAAATATTGATACTAATTAACTATGTCTTAGTCAAATAAGGCCTAGGAAAGTAGATAAAATCAAATTGTGACACATGGGTAAGGTTCTTGAGGCTTGCCTCACCAAGAGAAGATACATATGATCCCCAACCAACAATCAGGCCCTCTATCTCCAACCCTAACCCACCTTGCAATACTCCTTTTCTCACCATAAAAACTCTAACTTCCCTCTTACTTTTGTTTCTGATATTCACTCTCCTTAAGAACGTAATATAACCTAGAAAATTACTACAGATGTGTGTGTGTGTGCGCGTGCGCGCACGCTTACATATTTGTGACAGTAAAAAAAAAAAAAAAGAGAAGACTCACTGCCTTTCTAGGGGGCACAGAGGACAATAATTCTAATAACACATTCCTAGAAGCTCTCCCATTCTTGAAGGTAAAATGCACTTGAGAGCCATGACCCACCAAAACATAAATGATTAACAAAAATAATGATTGCACCATTCAATCAAATCACAAAGAATTAGCCAGGAAATAAAAAAGAAGAAAGATGAAGGAGTAAAAAATAGAAGAAAAGACACAGGACTGAGCTTCAAGTACAATCTAGACCTGCAATAAACAAAGAAGGTTCTAGATACCACATTTTATCAATGCAAATGGTCTGAATAAGTAAATGAACTAAAAGGCATCGTTGGAATGTGTTTTGTGAGATTGATTTACTGATAGCAGCTTTCTACAAAAAATAAAAATAAGTAGGTAAATCTTAAATCCCAAAGGGAAGTCACTATACAAGACTTTTGACTTATTTTTATCTCCTTTGAGTCTTACAAGCATATATGGTAGGCATTATTATAACCAAATTTTCAGATAAAGGGGCTAAGGTTCAGAAAGCATAAGCAACATTAACCCTTCAGTTCAAACAATATTTAACAGGTAGCTTCTTGTTTAAGCCACTTTGTCCAGTTTTTTTTAGGATACTAAAGGGACATAACTACTAACTCTCCCCCAAAATCAAACCTGAAGGAACTAAAGAAGAAAACACCAAGACATGGAAAAGTATAAGAAAAAATGGCAAACCATGACAAAGCAGCTGAGTTTATGCAAAATATGCTAGAATGATTCAGTCTTAGACTGTCTATAATTACAACTTGCCACATTAGCAGATGACAAGAAAACATACTATCTTTTAAATAGATTCAGGAAAAACATTTCATAGATTTCAACACCAATTCATTATTTAAAATTTTATTTATTTTATTTTATTTTATTTTATTTGAGACAGGGTCTCGCTCTGTCACCCAGGCCAGAGTGCAGTGGCGTGATCACAATTCACTGCAGCCTCCACCTCCTAGGCTCAAGCAATCCTCCCACCTCAGCCTTCTGAATACCTGGGACAACAGGCGCATGCCCCCACACCTAGCTAATTTTTGTATTTTTTGTAGTGACAGTGTTTCACCGTGTTGCCTAGCCTGGTCTCGAACTCCTGGGCTCAAGTGATCCACCTGCCTCAGCCTCTCAAAGTGTTGGGATCACAGGCATGAGCCACTGTGCCCAGCCCATGATTAAAACATTTTTCAAAATCTTAGTAAATTAGGATGAGAGCTTCCTTAACCTGATAAAAAAAAAATCTACAAAAAGTCTACTGTGAACATCATTATAAATGGGGGAACGTTAGAGATATTCCTCTTAAAATCAGAAATAAGGCAAGGAGAGTCACCATCACCGCTCCTATTTAAAACCATATACAAGACAAAAAGAAAAAAATATCTTCTCATTCCTAGAAGATATGCAGTCTTGCTATCAGTTTTGTCAAGTACCAAGATCAAAAGAATGAAAACACAAACCAACCAAGACTGCCATTAAATGAATAATCTAAACCACGGTGTCCTAAAGATGTGGTTAGCAAGTTGATTTTCATAGGTCCACAGGTGAATATCTTTAGTTGTCATTAATCTGTATTTATTTTAATGTAAATCACAAAAAATTTAACTAACAAATTAAATCCATGACTATTCAAGTATACAGACATTATTTTAGAATGAGGCTATAAGTAGGTACTGATCACTTAAGTTTAACAACAACCAAGCAAAATCTGTCTTTATAATAAAGTCCAAATAAGAAAAAAAAAAACAACAACAAAAAACTTCATAATTTAATCCAAAAGTCATTAGTTGGTGCCTAGAAGGGAGTTGTCTTGATACAGCAGCAGAGTTCATGTAATGAGCAGGCTGGAAACATGTTAGCACAGAGTGTCGGAGCCTGAGAGGGGTGAGCGGGTATCGTCTTGGGGAGGGTTGGTAGCCGAATACAAGGTGTTGGGATCCAAGCAGGAAGAGGAAGATGTCTGCACAAAGGGCCCAAGAGGGTGGGTGGGAGCATCAGATTGCAACCAGATTGAGGGGACATCCACATGGGATGGAGGGTGGCAGCAGTCTGACCCAGGGTGGCAGAGCCAAAATGGAATGAGAAGGGTGTCTGTGTAGGGGTGGGCAGCTGCAGCCTGGCTCAGGATGTCAAAGGCCAAGTGGAGTGAGAAGGATACCCACACCAAGAGTATGATGCACTGTGGCAGTGGCAGCCCAGAGCAGGTGAGCAGACTGAGAAGGGTGAAGAGGACTCCAGTGCAGAAGCAGGCCAAACCAAAATATCAGAGCCTAAATGGTATGGAGTCTCCATGCAGAGCATGGGGCAGGATGCGTTTATGTTGGAGACCAGGAGTGATGGAGGCAGCATCCACATAGAGGAGGAGGAAAAGGCAGCAATGTTGACACTATATTGGTTAAATACAGGAGACTGAGCAAAGTAAGTAAATCTACTGAGGGATAAGAGGGTCAGGTTACTCAACTGTTCAAGAAGTAGTTACAAATATGCAAAGGGAAAAAACTTAAAATCAATCCTTGTGATGCTGGCTTAGAATTGGAAGTATTGCTGGGAACTCATAGTTCTCAATATACAGAGATTAGCATAGAAATAAAGATCGGCCGGGTGCAGTGGCCTCACTTTGGGAGGCCAACGTGGGTGGATCATGAGGTCAGGAGATCGAGACAATCCTGGCTAACACAGTGAAACCCTGTCTCTACTAAAAATACAAAAAAAAGAAACAGCCAGGCATGGTGGCATGTGCCTGTAGTCCCAGCTACTCGGGAGGCTGAGGCAGGAGAATTGCTTGAACCCAGGAGGCAGAGGTTGCAGTGAGCCGAGATAGTGCCACTGCAACCCAGCCTGGGTGACAGAGCGAGACTCTGTCTCAAAAAAAAACAAAAAAAAAACAAAGAATGATCAATGTAAATACATGTGCACATGTATGTGTGTGTGTGTGTGAGTGTGTGTGTATGTATACAAATTCCTTAGCTGTGTCCACTGTGAGGCCCTGGGAACAGTGACACTCCAAAAGCAGCAAGCACACTGAGCCCAGATCTTGGTTTCTAAATACAATTCTCCACCAAAAAGAATCAGTGCTCTTAGAGAAATGACTGATTCCAGGACTAGCTAGGATAGGTACAAGATGAATTTGAAATATACCAGAAAGTATTAAAATGCTCAAAGAACGATGGTTATATATCAAAAAGACACAGAAGTCAGGGGATCTCATTGACCAAATATGGGACAATATTAACATCAAAGCAAATAATAAAAAATGAGTTATAACCCATTGAATAAAATACGAATCTATTAGTTTATGCTAATATACACATAAAAAATACATATATACAAACATACATACATGCGGAGAACAGACAGCTTTATCTTACCAGAAAATATCAATTAAGAAATGTAAAGAAAATGATAGAATTGGAAAAATCACTATTATCAGCCATCACAGAAATAATTCAGTCAAGAAATATTGGGGGAGGAGCCAAGATGGCCGAATAGGAACAGCTCCGGTCTACAGCTCCCAGCGTGAGTGACGCAGAAGACAGGTGATTTCTGCATTTCCATCTGAGGTACCAGGTTCATCTCACTAGGGAGTGCCAGACAGTGGGCGCAGGTCAGTGGGTGCGCGCACCATGCGCGAGCCGAAGCAGGGCGAGGCATTGCCTCACTTGGGAAGCGCAAGGGGTCAGGGAGTTCCCTTTCCGAGTCAAAGAAAGGGGTGACGGACACACCTGGAAAATCGGGTCACTCCCACCCGAATATTGTGCTTTTCGGACCGGGTTAAAAAACGGCACACCACGAGATTATATCCCTCACCTGGCTCAGAGGGTCCTACGCCCACAGAGTCTCACTGATTGCTAGCACAGCAGTCTGAGATCAAACTGCAAGGTGGCAGCGAGGCTGGGGAAGAGGCGCCCGCCATTGCCCAGGGCTGCTTAGGTAAACAAAGCAGCCTGGAAGCTCGAACTGGGTGGAGCCCACCACAGCTCAAGGAGGCCTGCCTGCCTCTGTAGGCTTCACCTCTGGGGGCAGGGCACAGACAAACAAAAAGACAGCAGTAACCTCTGCAGACTTAAATGTCCCTGTCTGACAGCTTTGAAGAGAGCAGTGGTTCTCCCAGCACGCAGCTGGAGATCTCAGAACGGGCAGACTGCCTCCTCAAGTGGGTCCCTGACCCCTGACCCCCGAGCAGCCTAACTGGGAGGCACCCCCCAGCAGGGGCACACTGACACCTCACACGGCAGGGTATTCCAACAGACCTGCAGCTGAGGGTCCTGTCTGTTAGAAGGAAAACTAACAAACAGAAAGGACATCCACACCAAAAACCCATCTGTACATCACCATCATCAAAGACCAAAAGTAGATAAAACCACAAAGATTGGAAAAAAACAGAACAGAAAAAGTAGAAACTCTAAAACGCAGAGCACCTCTCCTCCTCCAAAGGAACGCAGTTCCTCACCAGCAACGGAACAAAGCTGGATGGAGAATGACTTTGACGAGCTGAGAGAAGAAGGCTTCAGACGATCAAATTACTCTGAGCTACGGGAGGACACTCAAACCAAAGGCAAAGAAGTTGAAAACTTTGAAAAAAATTTAGAAGAATGTATAACTAGAATAACCAATACAGAGAAGTGCTTAAAGGAGCTGATGCAGCTGAAAACCAAGGCTCGAGAACTACATGAAGAATGCAGAAGCCTCAGGAGCTGATGCGATCAACTGGAAGAAAGGGTATCAGCGATGGAAGATGAAATGAATGAAATGAAGCGAGAAGGGAAGTTTAGAGAAAAAAGAATAAAAAGAAACAAACAAAGCCTCCAAGAAATATGGGACTATGTGAAAAGACCAAATCTACGTCTGATTGCTGTACCTGAAAGTGATGGGGAGAATGGAACCAAGTTGGAAAACACGCTGCAGGATATTATCCAGGAGAACTTCCCCAATCTCGCAAGGCAAGCCAACGTTCAGATTCAGGAAATACAGAGAACGCCACAAAGATACTCCTCAAGAAGAGCAACTCCAAGACACATAATTGTCAGATTCACCAAAGTTGAAATGAAGGAAAAAATGTTCAGGGCAGCCAGAGAGAAAGGTCGGGTTACCCTCAAAGGGAAGCCCATCAGACTAACAGCGTATCTCTCAGCAGAAACCCTACAAGCCAGAAGAGAGTGGGGGGCAATATTCAACATTCTTAAAGAAAAGAATTTTCAACCCAGAATTTCACATCCAGCCAAACTAAGCTTCAGAAGTGAAGGACAAATAAAATACTTTACAGACAAGCAAATGCTGAGAGATTTTGTCACCACCAGGCCTGCTTTACAAGAGCTCCTGAAGGAAGCGCTAAACATGGAAAGGAACAACCAGTACCAGCCGCTGCAAAATCATGCCAAAATGTAAAGACCATCGAGACTAGGAAGAAACTGCATCAACTAACGAGCAAAATCACCAGCTAACATCATAATGACAGGATCAAATTCACACATAACAATATTAACCGTAAATGTAAATGGACTAAATGCTCCAATTAAAAGACACAGACTGGCAAATTGGATAAAGAGTCAAGACCCATCAGTGTGCTGTATTCAGGAAACCCATCTCACGTGCAGAGACACACACAGGCTCAAAATAAAAGGATGGAGGAAGATCTACCAAGCAAATGGAAAACAAAAAAAGGCAGGGGTTGCAATCTTAGTCTCTGATAAAACAGACTTTAAACCAACAAAGATCAAAAGAGACAAAGAAGGCCATTACATAATGGTAAAGGGATCAATTCAACAAGAAGAGCTAACTATCCTAAATATATATGCACCCAATACAGGAGCACCGAGATTCATAAAGCAAGTCCTGAGTGACCTACAAAGAGACTTAGACTCCCACACATTAATAATGGGAGACTGTAACACCCCACTGTCAACATTAGACAGATCAACGAGACAGAAAGTCAACAAGGATACCCAGGAATTGAACTCAGCTCTGCACCAAGCGGACCTAATAGACATCTACAGAACTCTCCACCCCAAATCAACAGAATATACATTTTTTTCAGCACCACACCACACCTATTCCAAAATTGACCACATACTTGGAAGTAAAGCTCTCCTCAGCAAATGTAAAAGAACAGAAATTATAATGAACTATCTCTCAGACCACAGTGCAATCAAACTAGAACTCAGGATTAAGAATTTCACTCAAAACCGCTCAACTACATGGAAACTGAATAACCTGCTCCTGAATGACTACTGGATACATAACGAAATGAAGGCAGCAATAAAGATGTTCTTTGAAACCAGCGAGAACAAAGACACAACATACCAGAATCTCTGGGACACATTCAAAGCAGTGTGTAGAGGGAAATTTATAGCACTAAATGCCCACAGGAGAAAGAAGGAAAGATCTAAAATTGACACCCTAACATCACAATTAAAAGAACTAGAGAAGCAAGAGCAAACACATTCCAAAGCTAGCAGAAGGCAAGAAATAACTAAAATCAGAGCAGAACTGAAGGAAATAGAGACACAAAAAACCCTTCAAAAAATTAATGAATCCAGGAGCTGGTTTTTTGAAAAGATCAACAAAATTGATAGACCGCTAGCAAGACTAATAAAGAAAAAAAGAGAGAAGAATCAAATAGAGGCAATAAAAAATGATAAAGGGGATATCACCACCAATCCCACAGAAATACAAACTACCATCAGAGAATACTACAAACACCTCTACACAAATAAACTAGAAAATCTAGAAGAAATGGATAAATTCCTTGCCACATACACTCTCCCAAGACTAAACCAGGAAAAAGTTGAATCTCTGAATAGACCAATAACCGGAGCTGAAATTGTGGCAATAATCAATAGTTTACCAACCAAAAAGAGTCCAGGACCAGACGGATTCACAGCCGAATTCTATCAGAGGTACAAGGAGGAACTGGTACCATTCCTTCTGAAACTATTCCAATCAATAGAAAAAGAGGGAATCCTCCCTAACTCATTTTATGAGGCCAGCATCATTCTGATACCAAAGCCGGGCAGAGACACAACCAAAAAAGAGAATTTTAGACCAATAGCCTTGATGAACATTGATGCAAAAATCCTCAATAAAATACTGGCAAAACGAATCCAGCAGCACATCAAAAAGCTTATCCACCATGATCAAGTGGGCTTCATCCCTGGGATGCAAGGCTGGTTCAATATACGCAAATCAATAAATGTAATCCAGCATATAAACAGAACCAAAGAAAAAAACCACATGATTATCTCAATAGATGCAGAAAATGCCTTTGACAAAATTCAACAACCCTTAATGCTAAAAACTCTCAATAAATTAGGTACTGATGGGATGTATCTCAAAATAGTAAGAGCTATCTATGACAAACCCACAGCCAATATCATACTGAATGGGCAAAAACTGGAAGCATTCCTTTTGAAAACTGGCACAAGACAGGGATGCCCTCTCTCACCACTCCTATTCAACATAGTGTTGGAAGTTCTGGCCAGGGCAATTAGGCAGGAGAAGGAAATAAACGGTATTCAATTAGGAAAAGAGGAAGTCAAATTGTCCCTGTTTGCAGACGACATGATTGTATATCTAGAAAACCCCATTGTCTCAGCCCAAAATCTCCTTAAGCTGATAAGCAACTTCAGCAAAGTCTCGGGATACAAAATCAATGTACAAAAATCACAAGCATTCTTATACACCAATAACAGACAAACAGAGAGCCAAATCATGAGTGAACTCCCATTCACAAATGCTTCAAAGAGAATAAAATACCTAGGAATCCAACTTACAAGGGATGTGAAGGACCTCTTCAAGGAGAACTACAAACCACTGCTCAAGGAAATAAAAGAGGATACAAACAAATGGAAGAACATTCCATGCTCATGGGTAGGAAGAATCAATATCATGAAAATGGCCATACTGCCCAAGGTAATTTACAGATTCAATGCCATCCCCATCAAGCTACCAATGACTTTCTTCACAGAATTGGAAAAAACTACTTTAAAGTTCATATGGAACCAAAAAAGAGCCCGCCATCGCCAAGGCAATCCTAAGCCAAAAGAACAAAGCTGGAGGCATCACGCTACCTGACTTCAAACTATACTACAAGGCTACAGTAACCAAAACAGCATGGTACTGGTACCAAAACAGAGATATAGATCAATGGAACAGAACAGAGCCCTCAGAAATAATGCCGCATATCTACAACTATCTGATCTTTGACAAACCTGAGAAAAACAAGCAATGGGGAAAGGATTCCCTATTAAATAAATGGTGCTGGGAAAACTGGCTAGCCATATGTAGAAAGCTGAAACTGGATCCCTTCCTTATACCTTATACAAAAATTAATTCAAGATGGATTAAAGACTTAAACGTTAGACCTAAAACCATAAAAACCCTAGAAGAAAACCTAGGCAATACCATTCAGGACATAGGCATGGGCAAGGACTTCATGTCTAAAACACCAACAGCAATGGCAACAAAAGCCAAAATTGACAAATGGGATCTAATTAAACTAAAGAGCTTCTGCACAGCAAAAGAAACTACCATCAGAGTGAACAGGCAACCTACAAAATGGGAGAAAATTTTCACAACCTACTCATCTGACAAAGGGCTAATATCCAGAATCTACAATGAACTCAAACAAATTTACAAGAAAAAAACAAACAACCCCATCAAAAAGTGGGTGAAGGACATGAGCAGACACTTCTCAAAAGAAGACATTTATGCAGCCAAAAAACACATGAAAAAATGCTCATTATCACTGGCCATCAGAGAAATGCAAATCAAAACCACAATGAGATACCATCTCACAACAGTTAGAATGGCAATCATTAAAAAATCAGGAAACAACACGTGCTGGAGAGGATGTGGAGAAATAGGAACACTTTTACACTGTTGGTGGGACTGTAAACTAGTTCAACCATTGTGGAAGTCAGTGTGGCGATTCCTCAGGGATCTAGAACTAGAAATACCATTTGACCCAGCCATCCCATTACTGGGTATATACCCAAAGGACTATAAATCTTGCTGCTATAAAGACACAAGCACACGTATGTTTATTGTGGCATTATTCACAATAGCAAAGACTTGGAACCAACCCAAATGTCCAACAATGACAGACTGGATTAAGAAAATGTGGCACATATACACCATGGAATACTATGTAGCCATAAAAAATGATGAGTTCATGTCCTTTGTAGGGACATGGATGAAATTGGAAATCATCATTCTCAGTAAACTATCGCAAGAACAAAAAACCAAACACCGCATATTCTCACTCATAGGTGGGAATTGAACAATGAGATCACATGGACACAGGAAGGGGAATATCACACTCTGGGGACTGTGGTGGGGTGGGGGGAAGGGGGAGGGATAGCATTGGGAGATATACCTAATGCTAGATGACGAGTTAGTGGGTGCAGCGCACCAGCATGGCACATGTATACATATGTAACTAACCTGCACAATGTGCACATGTACCCTAAAACTTAAAGTATAAAAAAGAAAAAAATTAATAGATGCTAAAGCAGTGGATTAAAATTTGACATGGAAGAGACTATTTACATAATCTCAAAATGCCTTCTTTATTCAAGTGATCAAAGCTAACATCACTATAAGTGGACGAATTTAAATTATGTTCCACCTGATGGGATGCAATAAACAGGCAGGGCGCGATGGCTCACACCTGCAATCCCAGCACTTTGGGAGGCCAAGGCAGGTGGATCACTTGAGGCCAGGAGTTCAAGACCGGCCTAGCCAACATAGCAAAACCCCATCTCTACTAAAAATACAAAAATCAGTCAGGCATGGTGGCAGATGCCTGTAATCCCAGTTACTCAATGACTGAGGCTCAAGAATTGCTGAAACCCAGGAGGCAAAGGTTGCCGTGAGCTGAGATCATGCCACTGCATACCAGCCTGGCGACAGAATGAGACTCCGTCTCAAAAAAAAAAAAAAAAAAACAACAAAAAAAAAAACAACAACAACAACCCCAGCATCACTTCTGTGATATTCCTGCCAGAAATACATAACCTGAATCTAATTGTGAGGAAACATTAAACAAACATAAACTGAAGAACATTCTCCAAAATTACTGGTCTGTATTCTTCAAAACTTTTGAGATCATCAATGTTATGGGAAGACTGAAGACTAAGAGGGAATGACAAGTGAATGCAGCGTGTGCTTCTGACTGACATCCTTTCGCTTTTACAAAGGATATTATTGAGACAAATGGTGGAACTTGTCTAATCTACAATATATATCTATACTCTAATGAGGGTAGTAATGTATCTGTTAATTTTTTATTATGACTATGTTGGAAAATATCCCTTTGAGAGAAATAAATACTAAAATATTTGGGAGTGATGGGCATCATGTTAGCAAATTACTCTCAAATGTTTCAGGTGAGGGGAAAGTTTCTTACACTATTTCTGAAACTTTTTTGTATGTTTAGAATTATTAATAAATTTTTTATAAAGGAATCAATCAATTCAAAAAAAATACCAAGCAGCTAAAATATAAAAGTTGAGTATGTGAATGAGGTGCTCTCCAACTAAATTTGGAAATACTACTCTAAGTAAATGTAAAGAGGAAATGCAGCCATACCAAGCATCTAAATGCTCACAACCCTTCTCCTAGGGTAAAAATTATGCGGGGTATTGTTAAAACAATTTAAATTAAAAATGCTCTGAGTAATCTCTTTATATAAAACATAAGCTCTGAGGAACTGAGATTTCTTCCTTAGGGAACCTAATATATTTAAAGCACGGGGATCCCTGAAACAAAGAAAATTCTAAATAAGAGTAAAGCCAAATTCTAGATTGTATAAAGCCCTTAGAGACTCTTACATTGTACTCCTCATAGAAATAGGGTAATATAGTCATGGACTAGTGTTGGATAATACAGGTCTTGGCTATATTCTAAAACTCATTTTTCTCCTTTTACAATTAATATGGTTCATAAAACAATTACCAAAACTGAGCTCTAATATTGGAAAAGTCATCCCACAGAAAACAAAAACAGAAACAAAAGGTAAAGACAATCCTGATAGAAAAAGAAAGTGATATTATTCTATTTATCGAATGATGGCTTTCTATAAAGTACAAATATAAAGACTGCTTTTAGAGTAAAAGAAAAAAAGATAAATTCTGTAATCAGAAGCTGAGCTCAAAATCAATTTTGCTAGCTCTATCACCTTCAACAACGTAAACTAACCTCTATAAACCCCAGTTTTCTCATTTCTTTTTTCCTTTTTTTCTTTCTTCCTTTATTATTTATTTATTTATTTATTTGAGTTGGAGTTTTGCTCTGTTGCCCAGACTGGAATACAGTGGTGCAATCATGGCTCACCGTAGCCTCGAACTCCTGGGCTCAAACAATCCTCCCACCTTAACCTTCTGAGTAGCTAGACTACCAGCACTACATCCAGTTAACTTCTTTCTTTTTTAGAGACGGAGTCTTGGTATGTTGCCCAGGCTGGTCTCGAACTCCTGGCCTCAACTGATCCTCCTGTCTTGGCCTCCCAAAGTTCTGGAATTACAGGCATGAACCACTGCACCCAGCCAGTTTTCTCATTTCTAAAAGCAGAAATAAATCAGGGCTTTGGTTTCTCCATACAATAAGCACATGAAAGTGTGCTCAGTATCCTTGAAGCCTGTGTATTTGGAGGAAAAGAAAAAAAGAGAGAAAATGTGCTCAGTATCATTAGCCATGAGGGAAATGCAAATTCAAACCACAATGAGATACCACTTCACACTCAAAAGAAGGACTAAAATTTAAATGATGGGTGTATTAGTCTACTCCAGTTGCCATAAAAAATTACCACAAACAGGGTGGCTTAAACAACAGAAATTTATTTTCTCACAGTTCTGGAAACTAGAAGTCCAAGATCAAAGTTTTAGCAAGTCTGGTTTCTCCCAAGGCCCCTTTCTTTGGCTTGCAGATGGCCCACTTCTTGTGTGTTCACATGGTCATCCTCTGTGCATGCATGTGTATGGTGTCTCTGTGTGTGACCAAAGTTAATCTTCTTGTAAAGACACCAGTCAGAATTGGATTAGGGCCTACCATAACAGCCTTATTTTACCTCTTAATTACCTCTTTAATTACCTCTTTAATGGGCTTATCTCAAAATACAGTCACACTCTGAGGTACAGGGCATTAAATCTTCAACATATGAACTTGGGAGGAGGATATTCAGTCCATAACAATGGAAATTATCAAATGTTGGCAAGAATGAGGATCAACCAGAACTCATATGTATTGCTGGTGGAAGTAAAATGACATGTATCAACCCATTTCTACTTAAATGAAAGAACAACCCATAAATTATATGGAAAGGAAAGAGAAGTCACAATATAGCACCCCCAAAACACTTGTTTAAGAATGTTCATACCAGTAAAAAACTGGACACAGCCTAGGTTTCCATCAACAGGAAAATGGTAAGGTAAATTGAGGTAGATTCATGCAACAAAATACTACTATGTAGCATTACAGATAAAAGCAATGTGGAAAAATTTCAAAACCTTTATGCCTAGTGAAAGAATCCTGACACAAGAGTATACACTATATGATTCAATTTGTGCATTTCTCAATTTTATAAACATTATAAATTTTGCTTCAGTAAAAAAAATGCATAAACAGACTATTTAATAATCTGCCTTTCAGATTATCCAGATAGGTCCAATGTAATTACAACAGTCCTTATAGGAGGGATACAAGAGGATACAGAATTGGAGGAAAAGGCAATGTGAAAACAGAAGTTCAGATTGAAATGATGTGGCTATAAGCAAAGGAATGCCAAGTCAGCCCCAAGAATCTAGAAGAGGCAAATAATAGATTCTGGAGTCCAGAATGAACCAGCCTTGCTGATACTTTGATTTTAGGGCTGTATGACTGATTTCAGACTTCTGACATCCAGAACACTAAAATAATAATACATTTGTATTGTTTTAAGCCACTAAAAGTTTATGGTAATTTGGCATAGCAGCAATGAGAAACTCATATGCCCATCACTGGCATCCCAGAAGAAGACAAGAAAGAGAAGGATACTTAAAAAGTACTGGAAGAAATAATAGCTGAAAACTTCTCACATTTGCAAGTCATAAACCTACAGATGCAATACACTAAATAAACCCCAAACAGAATAAACCCAAGGAAATATACACCAACACACATTACAGTTCAGCTTCTGAAAACTAAAGGCCAAGGAAAAATTCTGAAAGCACTAAGACAGAAATGATACCTTAACTATAAAAGAGAAACAATTTAAATGACAGCAGGTTTCTCATAAAAAAGATGGAGGCCAAAAGAAAGCAGTATATTTTTCTTTTTTTTTTTTTTTTTTTTTGTGAGATGGAGTCTCGCTCTGTCGCCCAGGCTGGAGTGCAGTGGCGGGATCTCGGCTCACTGCAAGCTCCGCCTCCCGGGTTCACGCCATTCTCCTGCCTCAGCCTCCCGAGTAGCTGGGACCACAGGCACCCGCCACTACGCCCGGCTAATTTTTTGTATTTTTAGTAGAGACGGGGTTTCACCGTTTTAGCTGGGATGGTCTTGATCTCCTGACCTCGTGATCCGCCCGCCTCGGCCTCCCAAAGTGCTGGGATTACAGGCGTGAGCCACCGCGCCTGGCCGAAAGCAGTATATTTTTCAAGTGCTGAAAGAGAAAAAACTGCCAACCCAGACTCCTATACCCAGTGAAAATATCAAAATATTCTCAGATGAATGAAAACTAAAAGATTTTGTTGCAGCAGATCTACTCTAAAAGAATAGCTAAAGGAATTTCTCTAAATAGAAAAAAAAGAAATCTTTAAATATGAGGAAAAAAGAACACAGTGAGAAAAATATAAGTAAATACAATGAACTTTTTTTCTTCACTTCAGGTTTCTAGACTGTTTGATGGTGGAAACAAAACTTATACTCAAATGTGATTCTAAATGTAAGTAGCAGAAATATTAAGATGACTAAATTACTTGTATGGGAGAGTAAAGGGAAGTTATGGGAGCTAATGTTTCTATACTTCACTCAAACAGTTAAAATTACATCAGTAGATTGAGATAAGTTATTACATGTTATTACATATATATGTATACATATTATATGTAAATGTATATTACATATTATATATATGTAATATGTATTACATAATATATGTATACAACATATATAAGTTGTTATAAGTAATATCTAGTGTAACTACTGAAAAAACAATATAAAAAGATACATTTAAAAACACTGTTAGGGCTCGGAGTGGTGGCTCACGCCTGTAATCCCAGCACTTTGGGAGGCCGAGGCGGGCAGATCACCTGAGGCCAGGAGTTCAAGAGCAGCCTGGCCAACATGGTGAAACCTGTCCCTACTAAAAAACATAAAAGTTAGCCAGGCATGGTGGTGCACACCTGTAGTCCCAGCTACTCGGGAGGCTGAGGCAGGAGAATGGCTCAAACCTGGGAGGCAGAGGTTGCAGTGGGCCAAGATTGCACCACTGCACTCCAACCTAGGCAACAGAGTGAGACTCTGTCTCAAAAAAGAAAAAAAAAAGTGCTATTACATACATCAAATGAAATTCTAAAAAGAAGTTCAAGTAACTCACAGAAAGACTGGATAAAAGAAACACATAAATGAAAAACAGAGGCTACAAACACAAAACAAAAATTAAAATAGTTGGCTGGTATCCAAATATATCAAAAGTTTTGTTAAATGATCTAAATATAACAAGCAAAAACAAACTGGCAGAATTGGTTCCAAGATGACCGAATAGGAACAGCTCCAGTCTACAGTTCCCAGTGAGAGCAACGCAGAAGACAGGTGATTTCTGCATTTCCAACTGAGGTACCGGGTTCATCTCACTGGGGATTGTCAGACAGTGGGGGCAGGACAGTGGGTGCAGCCCACCGAGCGACAGCCAAAGCAGGGTGAGGCATCACCTTACCTGGGAACCGCAAGGGGTCAGGGAATTCCCTAACCAAGGGAAGCTGTGACAGACGGCACCTGGAAAATCGGGTCACTCCCACCCTAATACTGCACTTTTCCAACGGTTCTAGCAAACGGCACACCAGGAGATAACATCTCGCGACTGGCTTGGAGGGTCCCACGCCCACAAAGCCTCGCTCATTGCTAGCACAGCAGTCTGAGATCAAACTACAAGGCGGCAGCGAGGCTGGGGAAGGGGTGCCCACCATTGCTGAGGCTTGAGTAGGTAAACACAGCAGCCTGGAAGCTAGAACTGGGTGGAGCCCACCACAAATCAAGGAGGCCTTCCTGCCTCTGTAGACTCCACCTCTGGGGACAGGGCATAGCTGAACAAAAGGCAGCGAAAACTTCTGCAGACTTAAATGTCACTGTCTGACAGCTTTGAAGAGAGAAGTGGTTCTCCCAGCACAGAGTTTGAGATCTGAGAACGGGCAGACTACCTCCTCAAGTGTGTCCCTCACCCCCGAGTAGCCCAACTGTGAGGCAATTCCCAATAGGGGGCGACGGACACCTCACACAGCTGGGTGCCTCTCTGAGACGAAGCTTCCAGAGGAAAGATCAGGCAGCAACATTTGCCGATCTGCAATATTCGCTGTTATGCAGCCTCCGCTGCTGATACCCAGGCAAACAGGGTCTGGAGTGGACCTCCAGCAAACTCCAACAGACCTGCAGCTGAGGGTCCTGACTGTTAGAAGGAAAACTAACAAACAGAAAGGACATCCACACCAAAACCCCATTGTACATCACCATCATCAAAGACCAAAGGTAGATAAAACCACAAAGATGGGGAAAAAACAGAGCAGAAAAGCTGAAAATTCTAAAAATCAGAGCACCTCTTCACCTCCAAAGGAACACAGCTCCTCGTCAGCAACGGAACAAAGCTGGACAGACAATGACTGACAAGTTGAGAGAAGGCGGCTTTAGATGACCAAACTTCTCCAAGCTAAAGGAGGATGTTCGAAACCATCACAAAGAAGCTAAAAACCTTGAAAAAAGATTAGACAAATGGCTAACTAGAATAACCAGTGTAGAGAAGTACTTAAATGACCTGGTGGAGCTGAAAACCATGGCACAAGAACTATATGACACATGCACAAGCTTCAGTAGCCAATTCGATCAAGTGGAAGAAAGGGTATCAGTGATTGAAGGTCAAATGAACGAAATGAAGCAAGAAGAGAAGTTTAGAGAAAAAAGAGTGAGAAGAAATGAACAAAGCCTCCAAGAAATATGGGACTATGTGAAAAGACCAAATCTACGTCTGATTGGTGTACCTGAAAGTGACAGGGAGAATGGAACCAAGTTGGAAAAGACTCTGCAGGATATTTTCCAGGAAAACTTCCCCAACCTAGCAAGGCAGGCCAACATTCAAATTCAGGAAATACAGAAAACGCCACAAAGACACTCTTCGAGAAGAGCAACTCCAAGACACATAATTGTCAGATTCACCAAAGTTGAAATGAAGGAAAAAATGTTCAGGGCCACCAGAGAGAAAGGTCGGGTTACCCACAAAGGGAAGCCCATCAGACTAACAGCAGATCTCTCGGCAGAAACTCTACAAGCCAGAAGAGAGTAGGGGCCAATATTCAACATGCTTAAAGAAAAGAATTTTCAACCCAGAATTTCATATCCAGCCAAACTAAGCTTCAGAAGTGAAGGAGAAATAAAATCCTTTGCACACAAGCAAATGCTGAGAGATTTTGTCACCACCAGGTCTGCTTTACAAGAGCTCCTGAAAGAAGCACTAAACATGGAAAGGAACAACCGGTACCAGCCACTGCAGAAACATACCAAATTGCAAAGACCATCGACACTATGAAGAAACTGCATCAAGTAATGGACAAAATAACCAGCTAACGTCATAATGACAGGATCAAATTCACACACAACAATATTAACCTTAAATGTAAATGGGCTAAATGCTCCAATTAAAAGACATAGACTGGCAAATTGGATAAAGAGTCAAGACCCATCACTGTGCTGTATTCACGAGACCCAACTCACGTGCAGAGACACACACAGGCTCAAAACAAAGGGATGCAGGAAGATCTACCAAGCAAATGGAAAACAAAAAAAAGGAGCAGTTGCAATCCTAGTCTTGGATAAAACAGACTTTAAACCAACAAAGATCAAAAGAGACAAAGAAGGCCATTACATAATGATAAAGGGATCAATGCAACAAGAAGAGCTAACTATCCTAAATATATATGCACCCAATACAGGAGCACCCAGATTCATAAAGCAAGTCCTTAGAGACCTACAAAGAGACTTAGACTCCAACACAATAATAATGGGAGATGTTAACACCCCATTGTCAACATTAGACAGATCAACGAGACAGAAAGTTAACAAGGATATCCAGGAATTGAACTCAGCTCTGCACCAAGCAGACCTAATAGACATCTACAGAACTCTCTAACTGAAATACACAGAATATACATTCTTTCCAGCACCATATTGCACTTATTCCAAAATTGACCACAAAGTTGGAAGTAAAGCACTCCTCAGCAAATGTAAAAGAACAGAAATTATAACAAACTGTCTCTCAGACCACAGTGCAATCAAACTAGAACTCAGGATTAAGAAACTCACTCAAAACCGCTCAACTACATGGAAACTGAACAACCTGCTCCTGAATGAATACTGGGTACATAACGAAATGAAGGCAGAAATAAAGATGTTCTTTGAAACCAATGAGAACAGAGACACAACATACCAGAATCTCTGGGACACATTTAAACCAGTATGTAGAGGGAAATTTATAGCACTAAATGCCCACAAGAGAAAGCAGGAAAGATCTAAAATTGACACCCTAACATCACAATTAGAAGAACTAGAGAAGCAAGAGCAAACACATTCAAAAGCTAGAAGAAGGCAAGAAATAACGAAGATCAGAGCAGAACTGAAGGAGACAGAGACACAAAAAACCCATCAAAAAAATCAACGAATCCAGGAGCTGGTTTTCTGAAAAGATCAACAAAATTGATAGACCGCTAACAAGACTAATAAAAGAGAGAAGAATCAAATAGATGTGATGAAAAATGATAAAGGGGTTATCACCACCAATCCCACAGAAATACAAGCTACCATCAGAGAATACTATAAACACCTCTACACAAATAAACTAGAAAACCTAGAAGAAATGGATAAATTCCTAGACACTTACACCCTCCCAAGACTAAACCAGGAAGAAGTTGAATCCCTGAATAGACCAATAACAGGTTCTGAAATTGAGGCAATAATTAATAGCCTACCCACCAAAAAAAGTCCAGGACCAGACAGAATCACATCCAAAGTCCACCAGAGGTACAAGGAGGAGCTGGTACCATTCCTTCTGAAACTATTCCAACTGATAGAAAAAGAGGGAATCCTCCCTCACTCATTTTATGAGGCCAGCATCATCCTGATATTAAAGCCGGGCATAGACACAACCAAAAAAGAGAATTTTAGACCAATATCCCTGATGAACATCGATGCAAAAATCCCCAATAAAATACTGGCAAACTGAATCCAGCAGCACATCAAAAAGCTTATCCACCATCATCAAGTGGGCTTCATCTCTGGGATGCAAGGCTGGTTCAACATATGCAAATCAATAAACATAATCCAGCATATAAACAGAACCAAAGACAAAAACCACATGATTATCTCAATAGATGCAGAAAAGACCTTTGACAAAATTCAACTGCCCTTCATACTAAAAACTCTCAATAAATTAGGTATTGATGGGACGTATCTCAAAAAGAGCTATCTATGACAAACCCACAGCCAATATCATACTGAATGGACAAAAACTGGAAGCATTCCCTTTGAAAACTGGCACAAGACAGGGATGCCCTCTCTCACCACTCCTATTCAACATAGTGTTGGAAGTTCTGGCCAGGGCAATCACGCAGGTGAAAGAAATAAAGGATATTCAATTAGGAAAAAAGGAAGTCAAATTGTCTCTGTTTGCAGATGACATGATTGTATATTTAGAAAACCCCATCATCTCAGCCCAAAATCTCCTTAAGCTGATAAGCAACTTCAGCAAAGTCTCAGGATACAAAATCAATGTGCAAAAATCACAAGCATTTCTATGCACCGATAACAGACAAACTGAGAGCCAAATCATGAGTGAACTCCCATTCACAATTGCTACAAAGAGAATAAAATACCTAGGAATCCAACTTACAAGGGATGTGAAGGACCTCTTCAAGGAGAACTACAAACCACTGCTCAACGAAATAAAAGAGGACACAAACAAATGGAAGAACATTCCATGCTCATGGAGAGCAAGAATCAATATCACGAAAATGGCCATACTGCCCAAGGTAATTTATAGATTCAATGCCATCCCCATCAAGCTACCAATGACTTTCTTCACAGAATTGGAAAAAACTACTTTAAAGTTCATATGGAACCAAAAAAGAGCCCGCATTGCCAAGACAATCCTAAGCAAACAGAATGAAGCTGGAGACATCACACTACCTGACTTCAAACTATACTACAAAGCTAGAGTAACCAAAACAGCATGGTACTGGTACCAAAACAGATATATAGACCAATGGAACAGAACAGAGGCCTCAGAAGTAACACCACACATCTACAATCACCTGACTTTTGACAAACCTGAGAAAACAAGCAACGGGGAAAGGATTCCCTATTTAATAAATGGTGCTGGGATAAGTGACTAGCCACATGTAGAAAGCTGAAACTGGATCCCTTCCTTACACCTTATACAAAAATTAATTCAAGATGGATTAAAGACTTAAATATTAGGCCTAAAACCATAAAAACCCTAGAAGAAAACCTAGGCAATACCATTCAGGACATAGGCATGGGCAAAGACTTCATGACTAAAATACCAAAAGCAATGGCAACAAAAGCCAAAATAGACAAATGGAATCTACTTAAACTAAAGAGCTTCTGCACAGCAAAAGAAACTACCACAAGAGTGAACAGGCAACCTACAGAATGGGAGAAAATTTTTGCAATCTACCCATCTGACAAAGGGTTAATATCCAGAATCTACAAAGAACTTAAACAAATTTACAAGAAAAAAAACAACCCCATCAAAAAGTGGGCAACGGATATGAACAGACACTTCACAAAAGAGGACATTTATGCAGCCAACAGACACATGAAAAAATGTTCATTATCACTTGTCATCAGAGAAATGCAAATCAAAGCCACAATGAGATACCATCTCACACCAGTTAGAATGGCGATCATTAAAAAATCATCAAACAATAGCTGCTGGAGAGGATGTGGAGAAATAGGAAAACTTTTACACTGTTGGTGGGAGTGTAAATTAGTTCAACCATTGTGGAAGACAGTGTGGAGATTCCTCAAGGATCTAGGAGTAGAAATACCATTTGACCCAGCAATCCCATTACTGGGTATATACCCGAAGGATTATAAATCATGCTGCCATAAAGACACACGCACATGTATGTTTATTGTGGCACTATTTACAATAGCAAAGACTTGGAACCGACCTAAATGTCCATCAATTTTCAACTGAATTAAGAAAATGTGGCACATATACACCATGGAATACTATGCATCCATAAAAAAGGGTGAGTTCATGTCCTTTTCAGGGACATGGATAAAGCTGGAAACCATCATTCTCAGCAAACTATCACAAGGGCAGAAAACCAAACACCACATGTTTTCACTCATAGGTGTGAATTGAACAATGAGAACACTTGGACACAGGGCGGGGAACATCACACACCAGGGCCTGTGAGTGGATTAGGGGGGGCTTGGGGAGGGATACAATTAGGAGAAATACCTAACGTAAATGACGAGTTGATGGGTGCAGCAAACCAACATGGCACATGTATACCTATGTAACAAACCTGCACGTTGTGCACGTGTACCCTAGAACTCGAAGTATAATTTAAAAAAGTTTAAAAAATAAATAAAAGAAATAAGATATTTATACATGTTCATATGTATAGTATATAAAAACCAATCAACAATAGTAGACAATGACTGAAGTACTAAAATGAAGTAGATAAGGCTTTTCATGGATTTATGACACCATTTTTATACTTGGCCTCAAATCTTTTTTTTTCTTTTTTTTTTTTTTGAGAGGGAGTTTCACTCTTGTTGCCCAGGATGGAGTGCAATGGCGCGATCTCTGCTCACTGCAACCTCTGCCTCCTGGGTTCAAGCGATTCTTCTGCCTCAGCCCCCCAAGTAGCTGAGATTACAGGTGTGCACCACCACACCTGGCTAATTTTGTATTTTTAGTAGAGAAAGGGTTTTACCATGTTGGTTAGGCTGGTCTCAAACTCCTGACCTCAAGTGATCCACCTGTCTCGGCCTCCCAAAGCGCTGGGATTACAGGCATGAGCCACCACCCCCAGCCTTGGCCTCAAGTCTAATGTTACAACTTACTCAATCATTTATTGATTGCTGTACTCAGTTCACTAGTACATCTTAAAAGTGTCAGGGCACATCTCCTACTCTCAAAGAATTTACAGTCTAGTGGAGGAAGGAGACATGTAAACAATTATAGTATAGTGTTCTGGCATTTTAATAGAAGTTGTAAAGTGAAGAGCAGTTCAGTGAGGATGGAGGACAATATAAGGGAGAGAAGCTTTGTAGAGGTTCCAAAGTAAGAGACAACAACTTTCTTTCCTAGAAGTGAGAACCCTACCTTAAGCTAGCTTAAGAAGGAAATCATGTTTTTATTTAAGCCCAATGTCTATTTATTTTTAATAACAAATAACTTTCACATGATTGAAAATTCAAAATACTCAAACTGATATTTGTAGTAAGACATCTCCCTCCTGCCTCCATCCTCATTCATTTGACTAACTTCTCACTGTGTCTCCAGTCACCCAGCACTCCACTACAGAGGCAGCTAATGCCATCAGTGTAAGAGGTAGCTAATGTAATCAGTGTCTTAAACATTCTCCAGATATATTTAATGTGTCATAAGCAAATGTGAATATAGTTTCCCCCTTTTTTGCAAATGTTTTTACTAAGCCAATGACAGTGTTCAAAACATTCCACAGAGTCTAGAGATCCCCATGCCCTCTTCCAGCTTCACCCTCTCTGTCTTAGTCAAGTAGCCTCACTTCACTCACCGATCCTGCCCTGGCAGCATCCATCACCATGTGTTCATTCAACAAATATCTCTTGAATGCCGGGAGTGCCTGGCAATGGGGACGCAGCAGTGAATAAATCAGATAAATATCCCTGCTCTCGTGGAACTCCCTAGTGGAGAGTTCTCTCCATAGCTCTCTAGTAGAGGAAGAAACCAAAATACAACATAAATATTAATATATTAGAAAGTGGTAAGTGCTATGGAGGAAAAAAAAATGAAATAGGGAAGGGGACATGAAGTGCTAAGATGGACAGGAAAGGCCCCACTAAGAAGGAAAAAGGGAAATGGTGCCAAGTGTGTATCTGCAGGAATAATGATCTGAGTCAGAGGAACTTTAAGAGCCAAAGCCCTGAGGCAGGACCCAGCACGTCCAATTGGAAGGACAGCAAGGAAGCTTATGTGGCTGCAAAGAAGAAAAGAAGAGACACAGTCAGAGGGGACCAGGAAGCCAGATGGCACATAATATTGTAGGCCATTGTGAGGTCTTGGCTTTCACCAAAAGGCATACAGAGAGCAATGGGAGAGAAAGATACTGAACCCAGCAGAACCAGCAACACTGCAGGTGCAGGGTTAGCGCAGAGCCAGAAGCACCAAGCGCAGATGTAGTAAATGCAAGTAGGGCATCAGGTGAAGGTTATTTAAGGACCTAAAAATGGTTAGAGATAGTGGAGCCAGGCGGGGCACAGAATAAAAACCCATTTCAACAGGAGGAAAACATAAAAGCAGAAAAGATTCTGCCTACTTCTTGTTGAAATACTCCACATAATCCAGAGAACAACAGACAAGGACTGGAAGGCCATGTTAAAATGCATTTTAAGTTCTCAATTTCTCATTTGCATTGGCAGTAACTTCAATTGCTATAATTATAAACAGCCTTTTATAAAAATTGGCAGTAACTTCAATTGCTATAAACAGCCTTTTATAAAAATTATCTTAGCAAATAAATTTTGACTATCAAAGCTTACTGCTTTTTAAAGACTTTTCCATTGCAGGCACATTTGTTGCCAAGCACTTATTTGTTTTGCCTTTTAGTACTAACATTTTTATCCTTACTCTCATTTCATTGAGAAGTTTCTGGTAGGTTTGGTCGAAGGTAGTAGTTATTATTGTTTTGATAGACATATAAATTGTGCTAGGAAAGTTGTGATTTATTTCAATTCTTCTTTTGCAGATAAATTAATCAACATAATTCCCTCAGTCTTCCAAGCAATTGAAAAAAACTACCATTTTTCTCCCAGTTATTGCTTTAGACCTCTATTTGTTTATAATTTTCTCACCACCTATCGCTTTATCTTTTACAACCTGACTTCTGGTTTCACTATTTCACCAAACTTGCTATCTCTAAAGCTTTCTTCTTTATTTATATCCCTCTAGACTCATCTTTGACACTTATGACCATATTTTTTTTTTTTTTTGAGACAGGGTCTCACTCTATTGCCCAGGCTGGAGTGCCATGGCCCAATCTCAACTCACTGCAACCTCCACCTCCCAGATTCAAGTGATTCTTCTGCCTCAACCTCCCGAGTAGCTGGGATTACAGGCATGCGCCACCATGCCTGGCTAATTTTTGTATTTTTTTTTTAAGTAAAGATGGGGTTTCACCATGTTAACCAGGCTGGTCTCAAACTCCTGACCTCAAGTGATCCACCAATCTGGGCCTCCCAAAGTGCTGGGATTACAGGTGTGATTTTTGAATGGCACTCAAAGCTCATAATCTATGATAACACTCACTCATAGTCTAATGAGAAGAAAAGGACAGCGAATGAAGGCAAAGACCATGGAGACAAAATATGTATACATGAACATAGCCTAAGTGAGAGGCAGAGCTGAGTCACAGCAGGGGCTCAGTTAGGAACGATTTTTATTTTAAACCCAAGAAAAGCCTTAGGAGTCATTTAGGCCAATGCCCTCATTTTATAAGATGAAATAATGAGGTGTAAAAAATGTGTCATGAAGACTTTGTCTGCAAGTGATAGAAAACAGCAACTAAATTTGGCTTAAACAACAGGAAATATATTCTCCCATACAACATGACGTCCAAACATCGTGCATCAAGGAGCTTATAGCTGCTCCTCTCTGCAGTTCTCTTGGCAAGGCCACCTTCCACGTGTTAGCATTAACTTCCAGATGTGAGCAAGATAGCTGCAGCAGTTATCAGACTCAATATGTCTGACATATTGGTCACATCTGGAAGAATATTTCTATTGAGTCTCTTGTCAGTAGCAAAGAAACCTGACCAAGAAGCCCTAAGACTTTCTCTCTTGTCACTTGCCCATTTCTAAAGCATCACTGCCAAGGGAAATGAGATTCCAAGATTGGCTTAGCCTTGGTCTAAGCTTGTAATAGAATCAGTGCTGGGGAGTCAAGGTTAAATAAAGTGACTATAATCAAAACATTACTTATAGGACTGAAATACTTTTATACCTATGTTTGTTCTACTACACTTCTAAAAATTTGCTTCTTTACCTCTGTCCAATGATGGGCTCTTCTTTCTTTTAGCAAACTCCTCTGGGGAGCTTACTTATTTTTTTGGTAATTACCTTAGGTTTCTGTGGAAGTGGCACAGGGTAATGGTAAACACTAATTTTAGAGCCAGGCTGCCTGGGTTCAAATATAGGCCTCCACCAAGTCTAACTGTATGCGTTACCTTAGGCATGTTATTTAACTTCCTTCGTCTTCTATAAACGGGGACGCTAAGAGAATCCACCTCATAGAGATATTGTGAGAAGTACGTAAGTTAATATGTATTAAGTGCTCAGAATGATGCCTGTTACACAAAAGGTCCTCTGTAAGTGTGTGCTATTACTAAGGGGCATCTACTATTTTTGCATGTCCAGCATCTGTTCCCCCATCTTCTGATAAGTGTTTCCATTTTCCTTTGAAGAACCACCCCTCCGCCATGCCATATGATATTAGCATAATTCTAGTCAGTATAAACAGCTCCCAACCCACACTGGGCAAAAGGTGGGCACAATGGCCAAGAAAAGTCAGTCTTACCATTTCCCCCAGAATCTGAATCTTAAGGAGAAGGACTCAAAGAAAACAGTTAAAATTCAGTCTCTCTAATGTCAATGCCTTAAACAGGTTTTTCCTGAGCCTCTGCTTCCTATATTCCTAGAACTATTTTGTCCTTTCAAAAATCTGATTAATAATCCTTCCTTTCATTCTTTTAGCTACCCAATACCCTTTAAAAACCCTTTATTGCTTAAATTAGCCAAAATTGATTTCCATTGTTTGTATAATCACTATGTTGAAAACATAGGACTCCCAAATTAACTCAAAGAGTAACTTTATTTTTGTCTGTCATCTCTTTAAATCTATTCAAGAGCCTAGCTCTTCTCTGGACCCTTCACATAGATAGCATAGAAGTTAAGACAGTGGCTCAAAAGTCAAACTTTTTCTTTTTTCCTGAAATGGAGTCTCATTCTGTTGCCCAGGCTGGAGTGCTATGGCACAATCTTGGCTCACTGCAACCTCCTCCTCCCAGGTTCAAGATACTCTCGTGCCTCAGCCTCCTGAGTAGCTGGGATTACAGGCACCTGCCACCATGCCCAGCTAATTTTTGTATTTTTAGTAGAGACAGGGTTTCACCACGTTGGCCATGTTGGTCTCAAACTCCTGACCTCAGGTGATCCACCAGCCTCAGCCTCCCAAAGTGCTGGGATTACAGGCATAAGCCATTGTACCTGGCCTAAAGTCAAACATTCTGGACTCATTTCTAGCTCTACCTCCCACGAACTCTGTTACTTAATGTCTCTTTGCCTCAGTTTCCTTACCAATAAAATAGGGGAATAACAACATCTACCTCATTAGGATACTGTAAAGCTTAATTTCCCAAACGTAAAATGCTTGGAAGTGTATCTAGCTCATCATAACTCCCAAAAAATGTGAACAGAGCAGATGACAGAAGTGGTCCAATGAGGTCATCTCTCACTGACGTCAGGCCCTGACCATTTTTTGTTTCTATACTTTGGTTCACATCAACCCCCTCCTCTTTTCTAAGTCATTCAAGACATAATTAAAGCAGTGCCACTTCCTCAAGGTCTACATTGATCTACAAAGACTACATTAACCTGATACTTGTAGAAATTATACTCCATAGCAGATACATTAATCTTAACTTCATATCATTTCTATTCTTTTCAAATTATGCTTGGGTATAAATCATGACTCCCCAACAAAAAGAGTGTTTGAATAATAATATATTATTTTATGTCGTTCCTGTTAGTTAACCTAGAGTAAGGCTCACAGTTAAGTCCTTAATAATTAACTTCTGAATGGCTCTCTGAACAGTTAAATGTGTTTCCAATCACATTACTTCTGGGTTTGTAGAGCTGCAAGCCTTTAGGCCTATGCTTTTATTGTATGTGTAAACACACCAAATGGACAAAAGTCTAGAACTTCCCATTTTCTTCCCACATTGACCCACAAACATTGGGTATCCAATAAGTATTCTTAAATATCTACAAAAAGGCTAAAAACTTCAGGAGCTACATATACTAATTATATTAATAAATATGGGAGGAAATTCCAAATGCATCTGCTACAGTGAAGATTTAAAACTATAATACTGAAAGATCCTGTTTTATTTAAAAATATAAAACATGAAAATAAAAAACAGATACACTTACATACTTTTTTCCCTTCTAATACTTTTATTTTTTCAAACAAGAGTAATTCCCAAGAGAATTGTTAATGAAGGACAAAGTTGAGAAAGTGACTATCATATATTTTCATTGTCATTTCTGGAGAAATTCTTATTTTTTAAACTCTGCATAACAACGTACATAATCTTCTCTCTTTGATTCCTCTAAGCATGTGAAAAAAAATATACTTAGAAATAAAAACTTCTGTTGATATCCACAGGTATATCATCTAATATAAAAAGATGGCATGGTTTCATTGCTGTTTGAGTTGCTTTTTAGTGATGTGAAAAAGTCAACTGGGAAAAAGAAACTGAGGAAGACTAGACTCAATTCCATGTGAAACTATCTGTGAAATGGAGATACATAAACTGATTCACTTAACCAATCCTGGGAACAAGCTTATATTACATGTAAATGACAGTTCTATAAAATTCCATACTTTCTGGATTATTATGTTTAGTGGATGTGGTTATTTCAAAATTAAGAAAAAATGCTTTTTGCTAAATGCTACCCACTGTGAAATTTTCAACCAGACCAATTCTTCATTGCTTTTTTCCTATGGGAATACTCAGTCTAGGAGAAAAAGAAAGGGGAAGACAGAGAAAGATAAGATGACAAAAACTATATATCTTACCTGGATTGTGAAAGACAGCCTGGTGCAACCACATTATAATTTTCCTCCTCAGTATGGAGTGCAGTGAGCGCTATCATGTTAACCATCACATCATTTGTGTGGCCTGGGAGCTGGGGAAGTGCTGAAATGATCTTCTCTACTAAGTTGTCTCCATGATGTCCAACTGCTCCTGTTTAAGCAGACAAGATGATGTAAATTCATAAAATGGGAGGAAAAAGCAAGTTGGATAAATGTTTTATCACACACCTTCTATCAAAAATAACATACATTTTTAGTTTCTGTTCAACAAAACTCACATTTTGCCCTTCATACAGCTAATCACATTCACAATCACCTAGTCAACATGTACCTCACAGGTTGTAATTAAGGCTCCATGAGGGCAGAACTCATGTCTGCTGTGGCTAGTACTGTATCCCTAGCACCTAGCGTGTCTGGAATTGGTGAGTTCTTGGTCTTGCTGACTTCAAGAATGAAGCCGCAGACCCTCAACGGTGAGTGTTACAGTTCTTAAAGATGGTGTGTCCGGAGTTTGTTCCTTCTGATGTTCGGACATGTTCAGAGTTTCTTCCTTCTGGTGGGTTCGTGGTCTCGCTGGCTTCAGGAGTGAAGCTGCAGACCTTCGCGGTGAGTGTTACAGCTCTTAAGGCAGCGCGTCTGGAGTTGTTCGTTCCTCTCCTCTGGGGTTGTTCATCCCTCCCAGTGGGTTCGTGGTCTCACTGGCCTTAGGAGTGAAGCTGCAGACCTTCACCATGAGTGTTACAGCTCATAAAGGCATGCACGGACCCAAACAGTGAGTAGCAGCAATATTTATTGCAGAGAGCAAATGAACAAAGCTCCAACAGTGTGGTAAGGGACCCAACCAGGTTGCCACTGCTGTCTCGGGCAGCCTCCTTTTATTCCCTTATCTGACCCCACCCACATCCTGCTGAGTGGTCCGTTTTACAGAGAGCTAATTGGTCCATTTACAGAGAGCTGATTGGTCCATTTTGCAGAGAGCTGAGTGGTCCATTTTGACAGGGTGCTGATTGGTGCATTTACAAACCTTGAGCTAGACACAGAGTGCTGATTGGTGCATTTACAATCCTTTAGCTAGACACGAAAGTTTTCCAAGTCCCCACTAGATTAGCTAGACACAGAGCACTGATTGGTGCATTTACAAACCTTGAGCTAGACACAGGGTGCTGATTGGTGCATTTACAATCCTTCAGCTAGACACAACTTTCTTCAAGTCCCCACTAGATTAGCTAGACACAGAGCACTGATTGGTGCATTTACCAACCTTGAGCTAGACACAGGGTGCTGATTGGTGCATTTACAAACTTTGAGCTAGACACAAAGTGCTGATTGGTGCATTTACAATCCTCTAGCTAGACATAAAAGTTCTCTAAGTCCCCACCCAACTCAAGAGCCCAGCTAGCTTCGCCTAGTGGATCACGCGCCAGGGCTGCAGCTGGAGCTGCCCACCAGTCCTGCACCACGTGCCCACATTCTTCGGCCCTTGGGCCGTCGATGGGACAGGGTGCTGCGGAGCAGGGGACAGTGCCCGTTGGGGAGGCTCGGGCCCCATAGGAGCCCACAGGGGGAAGGGGTGGTGCTCGGGCATGGCGGGCTGCAGGTACCAAGCCCTGCCCCGCGGGGAGGTGGCTGAGGCCTGGCGAGAATTCAATCGTGGTGTGGGTGGGCTGGGAGTGCTGGGGGACCCAGCGCACCCTCTGCAGCTGCTGGCCCAGGTGCTAAGCCCCTCACTGCCTGGACCGGCCGGCCACTCCAAGTGTGGGGCGCGCCGAGCCCACGCCCACATGGAACTCACACTGGCCTGCCAGCGCCGCAGTGCAGGCCTGGTTCCTGCCCGTGCCTCTTCCTCCACATCTCCCGGCAAGCCAAGTGAGCTGGCTCCGGCCTCAACCAGCCCAGAGAGGGGCTCCCACAGTGCAGCGGCAGGCTAAAGGGCTCCTCAAGTGTGGCCAGAGCAGACACCGAGGCCGAGGAGGCACTGAGAGCGAGCAAGGGCTGCTAACACTTTGTCACCTCTCACTAGCACAGTGCCTACATATAGTAGGCATCAATAAGCATTTGCTTAATGAATGAATAAATAAATAACCTGTATCTAGTCAGTCAGGTAAATAGTGTCATAAGATGATACTATCCTGAAATTTTAAAGCTGAATTTTTTTATATTCTTTTCTTTTTCTTCTATTTTTTTTTCTTTTTTTTAGAGGCAGAGTCTCACTCTGTTGCCCAAGCTGGAGTGCAATCATAGCTCACTGTAGCCTTGAACTCTGAGCTCAAGCAACTCTCCCACCTTAGTTTCCCAGATAGTTGAAACTATTCCCAGGATTTGAGATCCTAAATTAAGCCAATTGCTTCAAGGATTTGAGATCCTAAATTAAGCCAATTGCTTCAAGGGCTAAACTTTTCAAGTTACCGGGACCAGAAAATACCAATTCTGTATGATCCTGTGGATTTTATGTGTGTCAGTGTCATTATCATAAGGCATGTAACATCTTCACTTGTCTTTAAGTCTTATATGGAATAAAATGAGAAGCAAGCATTGAGAAGTCTTCATAAGAGCTCAATACATATATTCCGTTAGTTCTGTCCCTCTGGAGAATCCTGACTAATATGCTTATGAAATGAACAGAGATCATTCATACCATTTTTAACACTGTCTTGAGTAACCAGAATTGTAGTGATCTTGCAGGATCATGCAGGGGGAACCTTTCACTTACTCTACTTCATTTTTTTCTCTAGCTATTCTAGAAGATAGACATGTTAACTTATTTTACCCTCTCAGTTACTCTCTGAGGTCCTTATTTTACAGATCAGGAAACTGAGAGGCAGAAGTTAGGCAACTTGCCCAAGGACTTTTGACTAGGAAAGGGCAGAGCTAAGATTACTATAACTAAGCTCTCGTAATCTCTTTAGTAACAGTAGCTACCATATATTGAGGATCTACCTCAATCCTCATACTCTTTACATAAATGATCCTATATAACATAAATTTGATCATATCACATCACAGCTCAAAACTCTCCAACTGATTCCCATTATACTTTGGCTATTATTCTAAATCCTTATTTTAACCTACAAAGCATTCCCTCAACCTACCCCTCCAACTGATCTCCTATCGGTGTTCCCTCTTGCTCACAACACTTTAGCCAAACTGGGCTCCTAGTGGTCCTCAAGCATGACACACATGCTCCCACCTTAGGCCCATTGCACTTGCCATTCCCTGGATCTTATATGTTCTATCATTAGGTAGCCACATGGTATGCTTCCTCCCTTCTTTCGGCCTCTGTTCAAATGTCGCATCCTCTCAAAACTTACTGTCTTAAAACCACATGTATTAATCTCAACTGTTTCTATGCATCCAAGAATTCAGAGTGGCTTAACTGGGTCTGACTCAGAGACTCTCATAAAATTGCAGTCAATATGTCAGCTGGGGCTGCAGTCATCTGAATGCTTGACTGGGCTGGAGGATCTATTTCTCAGATGGCTCACTCACAAAGCTATTGACAGGAGGCCTCAGTTCCTCATTGGCTGTTGAAAGGAATCCCATTTCCTCACTACATGGGCCTCCCATAGGGCTGCTTGAGTCTCTTCATGACATGGTAGCTAACTTCCCTCAGAGCCAGTGATCCAAAAGAACAAAGCAAAGAAAAAGATGCAATACCTTTTAGGACCTGGTCTTGAAAATTACACTTCTGCATTTCTGCCCTATGCTATTTTAGGGAGAAGGGGATAAGTGAGTCACTAAACCTAGCCCACACTCAAGGGCAGGGGAATTTAAACTGTATTTCTTGAAGGAAGAGGTATCAAAGAATTTGTAGACATATATAGAGAGAGAGAGACAAGGTCTTGCTCTGTTGCCCAGGCAGGAGTGCAGTGGCTCAATCATGGCTCACTGCAGCCTAGATTTCCCAGACTCAGGTGATCCTCCCACCTCAGCCTCCTGAAGAGCTGGCACTACAGCATGCAACACCATGCCCAGCTAATTTTTTGTATTTTTTGTAGAGATGGGGTTTCACCATATTGCCAAGGCTGGTCTCGAACTTCTGGGCTCAAGTGATCCACCACTTTGGCCTCCCAAAGTGCTGGGGTTGCAGGTGTGAGTCACCACACCCAACTTGTAGACTTTTTTTTTTTTTTTTTTTTGTTGAGACATAGTCTTGCTCTGTCACCCAGCCTGGAGTGCAGTGGCGCGATCTCGGCTCACTGCAAGCTCCACCTCCTCGGTTCACGCCATTCTCCTGCCTCAGCCTCCGGAGTAGCTGGGACTACAGGCGCCTGCCACCACGCCCGGATAATTTTTTGTATTTTTTAGTAGAGACAGGGTTGTAGACATATTTTTAAACCACCACACCTACCTTCATTAATATTAATAGCCCATATTATTATACTGATATTAGTAATTTGTTTACTGTCTTCATTCCCAAACAAAATTTAAACTTCCTAACTGGAAGGATTTGGATATTTTTAGCACTATTTCCCCTATTCCTTGAGTAATAGATAATATGTATTTTTGAATGAAGGAATTATTTCAAGCCAGGCTCGGTGGCTGATGCCTGTAATCTCAGCACTTTGGGAGGCTGAGGTGGGAGGGTCACTTGAGGTCAGGAGTTTAAGACCAGTCTGGCCAACATGGTAAAGCCCCATCTCTACTAAAAAATATATATATATAAATTAGCCAGGTATAGAGGTATGTGCCTATAATCCCAGCCACTCAGGAGGCTGAGGCACAAGAATCGCTTGAATCCAAGAGGCGGAGGTTTCAGTGAGCTGAGATTGAGCCACTGCATACCAGCCTGGGCAATAGTGCAAGACTCTGTCTCAAAAAAAAAAAGGAATTATTTCATATTCTTCCCACAGGTTAGAATACAAAAACAGGTGGATATTTTTCCCTCTTTACAAATGAGAAAACCTCAACAGCTCAATGAGGGTCAAATAGCACAAAAAAAGTCACTAAGCCAGGATGTGAGGTTATCCTGGCATGGATCTAACACCAAAAATCTAGTCAGCCTTTATATGGCTTCCCAACTGTGTCTCATACCTATTTATTTTAAATAGTATCTTCTGAACCCTGAAATAAAGATATAAGTTAGTTAGTTTGCATGTTTTGGAAAAGCAGATCGGGGAGAAAAAAAATCAGACACTTTTCTGAGCACTAAAGCAGCACTGGAGTCCAAATGTTTAGTCTCTGAAGCTGCTAACTTCCGGACACACCATATAATGATCATCTCTACTGTGCAGGACAACAGTTCTCAAACTTTTCCCACACCCACATATGAGAGTAGTCACTGGAGCAAACTGCCAAGGTTCAAATCCTAGCTCTGCCACTTAACACATGTGTAATCTGAGGCAAGTTATTTAACTCCTCTGTGCTTCAGTTTCATCCGTAAAATTGGGATAATTATAATACTTATCTCAAAAATTATTGTGAAAATTAAAGGAATTTACATATGCAGAGTGCTGAGATAAACAGTTCATTTTCAAATGTTAGCCATTACTAGTGGACTCAAATTTCAATACTTTGACAAGTAATATAAAATCACACCTTAAAGCAAATATAAACACTTCAGTGTATCATAATCCCAGGATTAAGAACCATCCACTGGAATGAGAGTTAATCTTTAATCAAAAGGATTTTAATTTAAAAGTTTGCATGAAGCTGCCTGTAATGCCAAAACTTTGGAAGGCTGAGGTGGGCAGATCACTTGAGGTCAGGAGATCAAGACCAGCCTGGCCAACATGGTGAAACTCTATCTCTACTAAAAAACAAAACAAAACAAAAAAATACAAAAATTAGCTGGGCGTGGTGGTGGCTTTCCTGCCTGTAATTCCAGCTACTTGGGAGGCTGAGGCACAAGAATCATTTGAACCTGGAAGGTGAAGGTTGCAGTGAGCCGAGATGGTGCCATTGCACTCCAGCCTGGGCAACACAGTGAGACGCTGTCTCAGGGAAAAAAAAAAAAAAAAAAGTTTACATGAAGCTAAAATTCAGAATTGAACTAAGAGAGTAAATTTAATTCCCATCGTTACCACCATCTCCTACCTTTTAATTTTGAACTTGAAAACTATTAGCAAAACACTCTAGCCAATCTCAAGAGCCAGAACATGAAAGGAAACCAAACTCAA
The DNA here is from genome assembly GCF_000001405.40 of Homo sapiens. Classification (NCBI taxonomy): domain Eukaryota; kingdom Metazoa; phylum Chordata; class Mammalia; order Primates; family Hominidae; genus Homo; species Homo sapiens. The sequence continues at coordinate 53,358,732 of NC_000004.12, forward strand.
ATATTTTAGGAATTCATGAATCAAGTCTCTTTTTTAATTGTCCCTGGAAACAAATCAGAAGCCAGAATGGCCCACAGAATGCTGACTTAAATCCTCTATGCAAACATGCCTGACCCATAGGTGTCCAAACTCTGGGTAGTCTGGACATGGTCAAAGTAAGCCAGAATGAAAGAGATGGGCATCAGTGGCCATTTACTTCTCAAACAATTACAACTTTTTATATTTAAGCCCTGAGTGCTTATCAACTGGATAACCAGGAGAGAAAGGAACTTGTCTATCTTGTTTACCACTGTTTCGCTATTACCTGGAACAGTGCTTAGCACAAAATAGGCACTCAATAAATATTTGTTAAAAAAAAAAGTACATTTAGACAAAGAAATACTACTTTCAGCAAAGATGATAACCAAAAGATGAGAAAGAAACTTGTCTACATTGTAAACATGATGTTAACAATGTCAAGTACTTCTGAATTATTTGAGGTTATTTTTGATACTGCCAATTTCACATCTAAGAAGAAATATAAATATATAAATTTTCTAATAGTAAATTAACAAGGCTAGCATCCAAAATATTTAGCATCTAATAACATAAATTAATATATAAATTAACGTCTAAATCAAAGACTGAAAAATGTATTTCCTTTTGGTCTCTATATTAAAATGGCTGTCAAGTCTCTTAAATTGAAATTCAAATCATTTAAGTCATTCTAACAATTTTCAAATCACCTCTCAGGCCTGTAATCCCAGCACTTTGGGATGCCAAGTCAGGAGGATTGCTTGAAGTCAGGTATTTGAGACCAGCCTGCGAACAAAGTGAAATCCCTGTCTTTACAAAAAATAAAACGTAAAACCCTTCTGATTTTTAGAAGTTGTTGGTACAATCTTTTTTTTGCTTCAGCTGTCACTGGCTAAACAATGCCTCAATCTAAGCCACAATTTGATGTAAGAAACCTCACCAAACTCTTGTAACAACTACTCCATTAAGCTGATAGTCATGAGCTTCCCAGCTCCCTAAGCTTGCTGCATCCAGAAGGGCAAATCCATTAAAAATGTGAGCATCATGACCATGTATTCTCCAGAATGCCAGGGCCAGGAGCACCCTTGCCAACAATAATGCCACTAACATCATCTACCCTACTACCTCATTCAATGTGGGGCCACTCTGAAACAGTGGGCAAGTGCTGCCTTTTCTCATTCACTATTACCATGGAGCCACCATGACCTCCACTGCCTCAGTTCCCTCAGTGCCCCTAGGGGGCCAGCTGCATCCACACTAGCATGCTTCTAGGCTCTATCTATTGCCTCCACTGGACAACAGTATTTGGTGACTTGTGGTCTTAATAAGTAGAGGGGTTATTTTTACTCACTAATACAGAAGTACTTCAACATTTAAACAAAAGGTTTGACAATACAGCTATGTACCCACTGAAAATCAATCCTGTATATCACTAATATGGGATGTAACACTATGTGGAAACATCTTTGAACCAAATGAGATTTTAAGCTGATCATCTGGAAGATAATCTGGATGATTATCCAAAAGGTATCTATTAAAAAGACATCAATTTATCAGTTATTAGGATCACAGTAACAAACTAGCCCTGATTAAAATCTATCTTCCAAAGTCTACCCTCCACCATCTAGCAGTAATTTTAATCCTTCTAAAAGTGAGCAGGTGATAATTTTTAAATGGGATGTAGATCATGGACACTTCTTGAGTATCCTGTGCTCAAAGCTGATTGGTTTCAGAGAGGACCACAAATCAAAACTTGGTTCCATAAACCAGTAGATAGGCAAATACACTGGGCCCTGGCCATTCTGGCTTTATCACCCTACCAGGCCATTGCTGCTGTCACCTACCACCACTAAGCAGGTGACCTCACCCTTCTCAGGAGATCTCACCCCACTTGGGATCCAACACCCAGGGCCCAGCCAAGGTCTTCCTCCCTGCCAGACACCTACCTCACTGAGCCCTACCTAAATGTTTTTGAATTTAATTATTCAACTAGGTAAGAAGGAAGCGGAGTCTTTATAATTTTTAATGTATTTGAGGAATACCTCAAGTAACTTTTGGGGGTTCAATCTCATTGCTTTATCATCATATCTTGTGTTAGAATGCCCATAGCATCCCATTGAGACTAATATTTTCATGGTTCCTCTCAGGCTCTTGACAGGGTAGCTGAATTTTTCTTACTCTTTTTACATGTTGCCTTGAATCTACCCAGAGAAATCTTCTATTTTTTCCCTTTGAGCAATGCCCCTTTCAACATTAAATATTGTTTCACTGATCTCATGTACCTAAAATGCCCTCTCCCACACAAACCTGCTACTGAGTACCTTCGCTAACTTAACCATTCATTCACCCTGGAAGACCACCTACTAGCAGAAGGATTCTTAACAAATGTAAAGAAAGTAAGGACTTTACACTAACAATACAAAACTAACTCTCTCTTTGACAATTCAAAAAACAAAAGATGTTGAACTTTGACATTTACAGAATTAAATGTCAAATGTGACACAATACCATCACATCTGGCTAACTAACTCTTATGCTTTTTTTAGTAAGGAACAACTTTTGAGCCTCAATATCTTAATTCTTAAAATGATAAAGAACACTTAACTCAATTTGTTGAGATCAAATAAGGTAATGTAAAAGTGGGATTTTTATTTTTACTTATTTATTCGAGACAAGGTCTCGCTCTGTCACCCAGACTGGAGTGCAATGGCACGATCACAGCTTACTGCAGCTTCAAACTCCCAGGTTCAAGCAATCTGCACACCTCAGCCTCACAAGTAACTGAGACCACAGGCATGAGCCACTATACCTGGCTAATTTTTGTATTTTTTATAGAGACAGGGTCTTACTCTGTTGCCCAGGCTGTTCTTGAATTCCTAGGCTCCAGTGATTCACCAGCCTCAGCCTGGAATTACAGGCATGAGCCACCACACCCGGTAAGAAGTGGTTTTTATCTATAAAATACTCATATAAATATGACTAGCTAATATCATTATTTTCTTTCTTAAGTTTTCCTGTGAGCCCAAGCTGCCAAATCTTAGACTATTCAGTGTGCATCGTTTTTTCTGCATTTGTGTATTACTAATGATATGATTCAAGAATCTCGGAAACATTTTCAATTAGAAAAAATAAGTGTGTTAATTTCAATTAATGTCTGGTATCTACGACCTTTAATCCACTCATTTATCCATTCATTCAATAAATATATATTGAATACCTACTGTTTTGAAGGTACTCTTGCTGGTTAATAAACAGTAAACAAAACAGAGTCCCTCCCTTCAAGAACTTCCATTCAAGTGGGAGGAGACAGGTAATAAATGATCAATTAGTAGTGTCAGGGAATAGTAAAGGCTATGACAAATAAAGCCAGGTAAGGGTAAGAGAGTGTCAAAGAAGTTCACCCAGGAAGGCCTCTCTGAGGAGCAGGAATGATGTGAGGGAGAAAGCCATATGGATACCTCGAAGAAGAACATCCCAAGCAGAGCTGCAGAGGAAATGCAAAGGCCCTGAGGCTGGAACATGCTTAGCATGTCTGACAATGGCAAGGTAGCCAATGTTGTAAGAGGGGAGATCAGGTATGGCCTTGAAAACAACAGTGAGGAACTTGACAGGAGGTATGATCAGAGGCCACTTGAATACTGAGCAAGTAAATGATATGTCATAGTTATGCTTTGAGGGATTATATAAGAAGCTGGCCTAAGTGGTTGCTTGTCTGTATAGGTTTCATACTTCTTTAATTGTTTTTTAACTATTTGCATGCTTTCCTGTGTCAAATGCTGCTTTGAAGTTCAGTAGAATTAGTGTGGTAATAAAACAAAGGAAGTTTCTGGGAAGTATTGGAAAATAAAACTCTAACTGGAGTCAAGAGAAAATTGGAGCAGATGTTTGTGGAGACAACAAGTATAGACAACTCTTTCAAGTTTGCTATAAAATAAAGCAAAAAAAAAAATGGAATTGAAGTTGGAAGAGCATGAGAGGTCAAGACAGAAGATGTTCCCTGGGTGAAAATACAGAGAAAAGGAAAAAATGATGATCTAAGAAAGGGAGAGGGTATTTGAAAAACAGTAAATCTATGAGAGAAGTGAAAAGAGAGGCTTTAGTCTACATAGGTGAAAAAGTTGGCGTTAGTGGCAGGGACAGTATATTTCTTTTCAATATGAAGGAAGGAAAAAGACATGGGTACAGATGTAGGAAGGGTGGTAGATTTGGTGATGGGAAAATACAGATTTGTTTAGTGGCTTATATTTTCTCAGTGATATTAGAAGCGAGAAAAGTGAGTATGGGGAAGGAGATCTGGACACTTGATAAGGGAGAATCTATAAAATGATTGCTGCCAAATGGCAACTTTGTCTTTCTATGTGTCTTTATTTTGCAAATCATTCTTTTTTTCTTTTTTTTTTCTTTTTTGAGACAGAATCTGACTCTGTCACCCAGGTTGGAGTGCAGGGATGTGATGGTGGTTCACTGCAACCTCTGCCTTCTGGGCTCAAGTTATCCTCCACCTTAGCCTCCTGAGTGGCTGGGACTACAGGTCACCACACCTGGCTAGTTTTTTCATTTTTTATTTAATTTTTAAATTTTCTGTAGAGATTGAGTTTTGCTGTGTTGCCCAGGTTGATCTCAAACTCCTGAGCTCAAGCAGTCTGCCCCCCTCAGCCTCCCAAAGTGATGGGATTACAGGCATGAGCCACTGTGCCGGGCTCTAAATCATACTTGACTACGTTATATTGATACTTGACTACATTATATTGTAAACTTTTAGAGGGCAGAAGTTATGCTCACCTTATTTATTCTGTATGTTTAAAAAAAGGGCGCGGTGGCTCACGCCTGTAATCCCAGCACTTTGGGAGGCCGAGGCGGGTGGATCACGCGAGGTCAGGAGATCGAGACCACGGTGAAACCCCGTCTCTACTAAAAATACGAAAAGTTAGCCCGGCGTAGTGGCGGGCGCCTGTAGTCCCAGCTACTCGGGAGGTTGAGGCAGGAGAATGGCGTGAACCCGGGAGGCGGAGCTTGCAGTGAGCCTCGCGAGATTGCGCCATTGCACTCCAGCCTGGGCGACAGAGAGAGACTCCGTCTCAAAAAAAAAAAAAAAAAAGCATTACCTACTGAAGATGTAAAGAGCTGTTACTATGATGCTGGACAGTGGGATATTAAGTTTTGCCTAACAGAAGTCTTAGGGGAGGGTACAAAATTATGTGAACTTCCCAGTTGATTATGAAACAACTTTGCTACATTTTTGGCATAAAGAGATAGAAGTAACAGTAATATATAGCATCCACAAAAAAACTCAACAAGCATCTACTTATCAGGTTTTATCTTTTAATCCCCTATGGACTCTGTGATGCTACAGTTATTACTTATATATTTAAATCACAGACTGGACACCTGGTTTTTCCAGTCACATAATTAAGTTTACATCTCAGTATTACCATTTAGCCTACTTTCCATTTTTTATCTGAAAATTAATCTTATTAAGATTAAAAACTCAAATATACCTATTTCGTTTTTTATAACTTAATTCAACTTTTTTTCTGACCGATTAAAGGGAATGCCTACCAATGTCAGTTTTCCGATTATTCTCCCTGGACTTGGAAGTGGCTAGGCTATATTACTAACAGTATTATACAACCTAATTAGAGAACAATAAAGTTGACCTTTGAAAATAACATATCAAACATCAGAAAGTGTCTTTTCTTCATCTGCTTTAAGGATTACATTTGTTTCTTTTGTGTAAATAATACATTATTACAATTTGAGATTATTTACTTAATCTTTAATACAATGAGAGCTAAAAATAAATCAATAAACATTTGAAAATATTTTCTACAATTCTATTTCATCTCATTTACTAGTAACATTTAAGTTCAGCCTCACTTTTGAACACTCATTTCCTAAACCTCAATTGTCTGTAATAATTTTATGTTTTCTTGTGCAGTAGTTTTCCTTCCGCTGGGTCATCTATTAACACTTCTCCAACAAACCAGAGTCTTCTTATGAAGGACTGTTGTGAATACTGGCATTCGTAAATTTCTAAAAATAAAATTTCCCAGGTGCACAGTTTTCCTCCCTGTCAGCATAATCTTGGGCTAAAGTTGTTGTTTAACAAGGCAATGGGCATTTATGACATTTCTACCCATTACAGCATTTAACAAATGTTATTGTAATTGCTAATTCACCTGTCTGTATTCCACTTTAGACAATAAACTCTGTGAGATTAGAGACCGTGTCCATCTAGTTCATCTTTGTATCCTCAATCTAATATATAATAAAAGGTCAATAAAATATATGCTGAATCAATGAAAGTCCCAGCAATGTGGGGAATGGTAATGAAGAACTCCAGAGCAATGCACTTACCTGTGAGATCCAGGGTTCTGTCCACAAAAACCACTGATGCCCTGCCTGCAGCAGTCTTCTTCCTGTTCTTTGCAGGGGCATAATTGGCCAGATCCGCAGCGATGACCTGACTTAAGGAACCTACAGCAAAACACTCCTCCCGTACTCCTAAATGTTCACACAGAGAACTGAGGCCTGACACTAGGCATCTGATCTGCAGCAGCAGCTCTGGGGTTAGCGTAGTGGAGTCCACATCACCCAGGCTTCCCAGCTTCCTCTTGTCCGGTCGGGCGCTATTAAGGAGGTGCACATCCTGGGGTAGCAGTGGGAAAAGGGATGCAAAAGCTGGAGTCAAGGCAAAGTGGGGAGCAACAGGGGCAAGCAATAACGGGACATGGAACACCTCGGCCGTGTAGTTCATGTTGCCCATCCATTCACACAGCTTCTCCTCCAGCTGCTCGAACACCGGCTGCTGCCCCTCCATCTCGGCCGCTGCCGCCGCTGGGACATGATTAGCTGTGAGGTGGACAGCGTGGCTCACGGTTGTGACCACCACACAATACTGGAAGTGACTGCGGCAGATGATGTCCCGTAGGATCTCCACGGTCCGGCCTTTCAGCAGGCAGCTCAGCACAAACACTGCCTTGGGCTGCTTGGCTCCACCACCAATTGCGTCGGGCTCGAACTCTCGCAGGTGACAGTCAGGACCCCCCACCGCCTCCAGGAGACGGGTGGATCCGCAGCCCCAGTGCAGGCTCTCGGCGCAGGCGGCGTCCAGGTAAACCACAGCCCGTTTCACTTTGGCCAGCACCTGCTCCCATCCTTGCTGGGTAAAGGACAGTACGCCCGAGGCGCTCATGGTTGGGGATTCGCAGACTTGGGAAACTACGGTGCAGGAACTTCTTTCAGAACTCACCGCTTCCGGAAATTGGGCTCCGGGAGACTTTGACAGTCTCCACAGTACACGTGGTCGGCCTCTGACACGCTCCCTGATGGCGCTCGGTGATGACGTTAAACTGAGCGGTGATTGGCTAGAGAGGAGGCCGGGAGTGAGGAAGGATGGCGCGGTCGGGAAAGAAGTGGGTGGGGCTCTGTGGCTCCGGGCTTCCTCAAAAGCTCGTGGAGATCAGGTGTTTCCTGAGATGGAGCTGAACTGAGTTCTTTCCGTCGCTCGGCCTGTCTGCGCAGATAATCTTCTCAGATAATCTTCTCATGTTCCTTGAAAAGTCTCCGAAATAAAAACCTAATCCGAAATTTGGTATCTTCCTTAGATATGAACACGTCTCCAAAAGTACAGCCACCTTCTCAATCTAAACTCAGAGCAACTAGAAAAAGATAATAAAAACAACCGTGTGCAATATTTTGGGTTTATAGATTGCTGTCACATACGTTATCGCCCACAAGCCTCATAACAAACCCTGTTGTTCTCATTTTCACTTTCTCCATCTTTCCTCCCTCATCTCATCGTCACTACATCTTATAGGCTTAAAAACTCTCAGAATTCAGCCCTTCCTCTCCATTTTTGCTGTCACAAAAACCCAACATCATCGCTCACCCAGGCAATGATCTCCCAACATTTTCTGACTTTTGATCTCTTTACCCTCCAATTCTATTTTCTTCCTAATAAACAAAGTTGGTCCTACAACTTTCCTGCTTAAAAGCTTCTCCTAGCCCAGTTGCCTATAGGATACATCCACACTCTTTAAAAAGCATCAACATCCTTCTTGATTTCTCAATTTCTCTCCAGCTATTCCCAACATGGAGAAAAATTGTACCGATACAATGAAGTCAATAGGCTGAACCCAAAATGTTTTATGGGTTCTGTTTGTTCCACCAATATACTTACATTACTAAGTATAATCTCTGTGCTAAGCTTCAAAGATGCAATGGTTAATAAAATTCATTACCTAATCCACAAAGAATTTACCTGGTAAACTTACCGAAAATAATCATTCCAACAGTACTGCCTGTGAGAGACTTTTTCTAACTCACCACCACTATCACCCTATCACCTCTCACTTCCCCCACCTATCAAACCACTCAATTGATACATTCGCTAAGTACTTGCCATATCATGGGGTAAGTATTAACACTATTTTCTTTAAACTATCTGTTTTGCTAAATTATGCACTAGATGCTTGGTATCCCCAACACTTATAACAGGTGTTCAATAAATGTTCGTTGAATGAATGTTCAATTAATATCCATGGCCAGGCGCGGTGGCTCATGCCTGTAATCCCAACACTTTGGGAGGCCGAGGTGGGCAGATCACCTGAGGTCAGGGGCTCAAGACCAGCTTGGCCAACATGGTGAAGCTCCGTCTCTACTAAAAGTACAAAAAATAGCTGGACATGGTGGCAGGTACCTGTAATCCCAGCTACTCGGGAGGTTGAGGCAGGAGAATCACTTGAACCCAGGAGGGAGAGGTTGCAGTGAGCCAAGATGGCACCACTGCACTCCAGCCTGGGCGACAGAGCGAGACTCTGTCTCAAAAAAAAAAAAAATTCCACATAATAATATATCCAGCCAATTTTTAATAAATACGTACAGTATTCCAAACACTGTCTGGGTTTTAAGGATATAAAGAAAACTAAACCACAGCCCTGATTTCAAAATAATTATGATGAAATAAAGGGACCCACACATGTAAAACAAGTGCAATAAAATGTTACAGAAGCAAATACTTTTTAAAATTTTTTGTATAGGAGTCAAGAAGGAGGAAAAATAAATTCTAAGAGAAAAAGGAAGAAGTCAGAAAAAGCTTCATATAGGGCATGAGTTTTGACTTGCCTTCAAAGAAACCCAGGTGTTCACCAGGTGGACAGGATGGGGAGGAGGATTCTTAGCAGTCCAGGCACAGAGTGCAGCATAAACAAAGTCGTAGAGGCATAAAACAGTACAATATGTTCTCTGGAACTACAAAGGGTTTCCTATAGCTGGAGTGCATTGTATGAAAAAAGGCGCAAGAAGAAATAAGAGCAAGGAATTAGAAAAGAAAGAAATGGGCTAGATCAGCAAGAGCCTTATTTTCCATTCTAAGTAGTAGCAGCCAGTGGGGAAGTATTAATGTATTTTGGGGTATGGAAATAATTTGTTCACATCTGGATTTTAGAAAAAAAATGGTTCTAGTCAAAACATGGAAAATAATTTGAAATGGAGCAATTTAGCGCAGAGGGAGCAGTTAAGAAAATAATAGTATCAGCAGCAAATCTGGGTGAGAGAGTTGAAAAGCGTAACAAGCAGATGGACAGAGTGGGGAGTATGAATAGACGTTAAGAATATAGTGCCAAAGGGCTTGCTTATTAGTTTGACAGAGAGGGTGACACGGAAGGAGAATTTCAGGTTAGCACCCAGCTTTCTGTCTGGATGACTGATGAATGCCAGTCATTGAGATTTGAAAAACCATTAAGAGAAGCAGATTGCGGAATAAATACAGAGTTTAGTGGGGACATATTTTTGTTTGTTTGTTTCCTTATGGCAAGATAAGTGTAACATAAAAGTCACACCATCTTAACCATTGTAAAATGTACATTTTGGTGGCATTAAGTACATTCACATTGTTGTATAACCAATCTCTGAACTTCTTGTCTCACAAAACTGAAACCCTGTACCCATTAAACAACAACTCCCCATTCCCCCTCTCCACAGTCCTTGGTGACTTCCACTCTACTTTCTGTTTCTATGAGTTGACTACTCTAGTTGTTGGCAATGTAGTAGTTGACTACTCTAGATACCTCATATAAGTGGAACAATACAGTATTTGTTTTGTTGTGATTGACTTATTTCACTTAGCATAAAGTCCTCCAAGTTAATCTATATTGTAACGTGCATCAGAATTTTCTTTCTTTTTGAGGCTGAATAACATTCCATTGTATGTTACACCATTTTGTTTATCCATTCATCTGCCTATGGACATTTGGTCTGCTTCCACCTTTTAGCTATTGTGAATAATGGCACCTTGAATATGCAGCAGAAGAGTCATAAACCTGGTAGAACCTAGTAGGTAAAAGGGCCAATGACAGACCCAAGTTCAAATGTTGAACTAGTAAACAAGAAGATATTCCTACATGTTTGTATCCTTGTCAGCATGAAAATTATTTTAAGGAGCTTAAGTTGAATAAGTTGTTGGATGACAGCCCTTGCTCTTCCATTTAAACCCAGGTCAGTGCCTAGTTACTAACACCTGCATTAATCTTGATCTCAAGCTCACTTTTTGTTTCTACCCCTTGCATCTCATGCTGAATCATACATTCATTAGGTAAGTTTGAGTGAATTAATACTTCATCTTCTCTGAAAGGGCAAGGCACTCATGAAGTCATGGTTGAATATTGTGCCAGTAAGTGCTAGTGGTCGCCTCAATATTTATTTGTCTCTTCTTCTGTAGTAATAGGTTTATTCTGAACTCATAGACACACAGCTAAAGACTACTTTTCCAAGCCTCTTGCAGCTAGCTATGGACAAATGATGAGGCACGGGTGAATAAGATAGTTGGAAGTGACACATACAGATTTCAAATAATTCCCTAAAGGTGTATGGTTTTCTTTCCCTACAAATCCTACTTTCAGTTCTTTTGTACATGGACCCAGAGTGGAATTGCTGGATCATATGATAATTCTATTTTTAACTTCTTGATGGACCTCTGTTTTTGTTTTGTTTTTTACAGAGGCTGCAACATTTTATATTCCTACTAATAATGCACAGGGGTTCGGATTTCTCCACATCCTTGCCAACACTTGATATTTCCTGGGTTTTTTGATAATGGCCATCCTAATAGGTGTGGGGACATGAGGTTTTCAATATGCTTGTGGGACATCGAGGCAGAAACATCTAGCATGCTGTTGGATGTGTGATTCCAGAATACAGAAGAGAAATATGGTAATTGGGATTATTAGTAAATGGGTGTGCTTCAGAGTGCCTTAAGAGAACACAAAAAAGAAAGAAGACAATGATGGTGATGGAGAGAACTCTGAGCAACTTTTCTTGATGGGCAGAAGAAGTCAAGCCAGTGAATGGAGTAATGAGAGGTGCAAGTTTTAAGACTAGAGTGGCCAACAGTGGCAAGTGTCAGAAAAGGGAAAAGAGAGGGAATATGAGAAGAATCTACAGGATTTGACCTGTGCAGGAAGAAAGTACAGTCATGACAAGGGAGTGCTGGGGGTGCAGTGCAGAATGAGTCAATGGATTGGGGAAAATGCAGCTTCTAGAAATTATCTACACAGTTCCTAGAAAAGAAGGTGGTAGGGGAATGAGGAGGTAAAAAAGTTGGAAGAATATGAAGTTAGGGTCAAAGAAAGTAACTTGGCCTCTACGATTCAGGGAGGGAACGCTTTTTTTTTTTTTTTTTTTTTTTTTTTCAGAGACAGAGTCTCACTCTGTCTCACAGGTTGGAGTGCAGTGGCACAATCATAGCTCACAGCAGACTCAAACTCCTGACTTCAAGCAATCCTCCGGCCGCAGCCTCTTGAGTAGCTAGGACTACAGGTGCACACAACTACACATGGCTAATTTTTTTTTTTTTTTGAGATGGAATCTTGCTCTGTCCCCCAGGCTGGAATGCAGTGGCACAATTTCACTGCTCACTGCAAGCTCCGCCTCCAGGGTTCACACCATTCTCCTTCCTCAGCCTCCTGAGTAGCTGGGACTACAGGCACCTGCCACCACGCCTGGCTAATTTTTTGTATTTTTAGTAGAGACAGGATTTCACTGCGTTAGCCAGGATGGTCTCGATCTCCTGACCTCGTGATCAGCCCACCTCGGCCCCCCAAAGTGCTGGGATTACAGGCGTGAGCCGTTGTGCCCGGCCAGCTAATTTTTTTCTTTCATTTTTTTTTTTACAGAGACAGGGTCTTGCTGTGTTGCCCAAGCTGGCTTGAACTCCTGGGCTCAAACCATATTCTGACCTTGGCTTCCCAAAGCACTGGGATTACAGGTGTGAGCCACTGCGCCCAGCCAAGGAGGGAAAAATTCTAGGATATAATAAGATCCAGGGTATAACCCTGAATGTGCCCTAAGGAAGTAGAGTGAATGAAGACCATTAGACTCCAGAAGGTCAGAAAACATGAGTCAAGCAACATATGCAAGTCACACATCATGATGGAGGAAAGGAAGACTGTGGACTTCAACCGCAGATATCACTTGTAGTTGAAGGAAAATGAAAAAGGAGAAGAGGTGGTAAATACAAATGGTATGAGCTGGAAAAGAGGAAGGTTTTTTCACAGCAAAATGGGAACCGTAATGGCCTGGTAGTGGTCCACAAGAACCGGGGGAATGACAGCACTATCTCAAGCATTCACAGTACAACAGGGTGAAGGATAATGGCAGATATTCAGTATAGAAAGATAAGGAGAAGTCCTGTCCTTGGAGGGAAGTTAGATTTTGGTTTAGTGAACAAGTAGAGACATCCTTCTGCTAAAATACTGAAACTGTTGGGCATGCACATAAAATGGAACAAAGGTAGGGACTGAGAGCTAAATGCAGAGTTGGGGATCAGGTCTGGAAGAACTTGGAGGGAATAAGCACAGAGACTGTCTTAGTTTGGGCTGTCACAACAAAAATACCATAGACTGGGTGACATAAGCAAAGAAAGTTTATTTCTCACTGTTCTGGAGACTGGAAAGTACAAAATCAAGGTGCTCACATAATTCATTTCTAATGGCAGCCCTCTCTCTGGCTCACCAATGGCTGGCCACCTTTGTGCTGTATTCTCAGTTGGTGAAAAGCAGGCAGAGAGGAAGCAAGCTCTCCTGTCTTTTCTTATGAAAGTCCAAACCCCTCTCCATTAGGGAGGACTTAATTACCTCACAAAATCCCCATATCCAAACACCATCACATTGAGGATTAAGGTTTAGGCATATGAACTTTGGAGAAACACAAAAATTTAGACTATAGCAGTGATATGAGGGAAAACATTAAAAGATTTGACAAATGATGACTAAGAATGAGGTGATACAGACACCCCTAAAAGTTGTGCAATGCAGAGCCTGTATAGCCACATGCAACTTGAGGGACTGTCAGACCGTGAAGAAGCTTGTAGGCCATATGGTAGGAAGTTTAGATTTTATTTCATATTTAAGAGAAGGCCACGGAAGGGTTTTGTGTTCCTAGAATTTCAGTGTGGCAGTGCAGATGGAAAGAAGTAGATAGATTTGAGATACGTTTTAATGAGAAGCACTAACAGATCTTGCTAACTGATTTGCATAGTTGTGAGAAGAGCAGATGGGGAAGACAGAAAAGTCAAGGATAATTCTTTGATTTATGGCTAAAACAACTAGTTAAATGGTGGTTACTGATATTAATATGAAGAAGTCTTTGGGAGTATGGGAGTGGGACAAGACAGATATGGGAGAGAAATTTATAAGTTGTGTTTTGAACATAAGTTTTAAAGGCCTAAGAGAGGCATCAGGTGAAGCATTTGAGTCAGACCGAGTATCTTGAGCTCAAAGAGAAGTTAAGACTGCCCAGAGAAATATGGGTGTCAGTGGCTCTCAATGACATGACATTAAAAGTCATGGAGGCCAGGCGTGGGGCTCAGACCTGTAATCTCAGCACTTTGGGAGGCTGAGGTGGGCAGAACACTTGAGGTCAGGAATTCGAGACCAGCCTGGTCAACATGGTGAAACCTCATCTCTACTAAAGATACAAAAATTGGCTGGGCATGGTGACATGAACCTGTAATCCCAGCTACTGGGGAGGCTGAGGCAGGAGAATTGTTTGAACCTGACAGGGGGAGGTTGTAGTGAGCCAAGATCATGCCACTGCACTCCAGCCTGGGTGACAGAGTGAGTCTCCGTCTCAATAAATAAGTAAATACATACATACATATGTACATAAATAAAAGTCATGAAGCTGGAGGAAATGACTTGGGAGACAGGGTGGACAGAAAAGGTAGGAGAGCCCAGGCAAAAGTCATTTCTTGCTTTCAGATGTTATGGTGGAGTAAAATGAATTCCTATTAAAATGACCTGCTTAAGACCGTCATGTTTATTTTATTAAAATGTGATTTGTATTTCTCTGCTCAAAATAGTCAGCTATTGTTTCTCTTCTGTCCAAAATCCAACATATCTCTCTTCACCTCATTTCTAGGTCATCCATAGGCATGATCAGTTCTTAGCTTAAGAACTTTCCATGTACTTGATGTTGTAAGAGAGGACCTGGCAAATACAGAAATAAAACGATTTTGTTCTCACCTTTAAAAAGAGTATGCGAAGTTTACTGACAGCACAGACATGAATAGGAAATAATACAATTTTCCAGAAACAACTAGCAATAGAAAATTTATTTTTTCTTTTTTGATGAGCTAAACTTAGGACTAGGTAAAGTTTATTGTTAAAAGATGTCAGGATGTAGAGGAAGATGGCTAATTGGGGTTTAATTTATCATGGAAGTACATAAAGAGGAAGGAAAGCTCTACACACGTACAATTACTTTGCTTGTTCAAAGAAGAAAAGTCCTAAACAACATGTTACCTGCTTGTCAATAACTTGTCAAATGCTTTGACTTTTTTTTTTTTTTGAGACGGAGTCTTGCTCTGTCGCCCAGGCTGGAGTGCAATGATGGGATCTTGGCTCACTGCAACCTCCTCCTCCTGGGTTCAAGCGATTCTTCTGCCTCAGCCTCCTGAGTAGTTGGAATCACAGGTGCGTGCCACAATGCCCAGCTAATTTTTGTGTTTTTAGTAGAAACAATGTTTCACTATGTTGAGCAGGCTGGTCTTGAACTCCTGACCTCAGGTGATCCGCCTGCCTCGGCCTCCCAAAGTGCTGGGATTACAGGCGTGAGCCACCGTGCCTGGCTAGATGCTTTGACATTTGAAACCTCAATTTAGCTTTGTTATTCTTCCCCAATATTGGTACAAATGTCATTTTAATGTATCAATTTACTGCTGAGGAAACTTAAGAACATTGAGAATTTAAGAACATTGAAATTTATGTGACAGCAAAGAGCACAGTTGGGCATAAACATCATATGCATGCCAAACACATTTATGTGTACTTGCTATATATACTGGATAGTGAGCAAGGCATTTTTATTTGATCTCCAATTCTTGTCATCATTTAACTCATCATCATCTACTAAACACTCTCAGTACTTCTCAGAGATAAGTATATTAAAACTTATCTTTTAATTTTTTTTGCCAGAAACCAACAGACCACAAAACAACAATAAAATGGAAAACAAATAGAATATATGGAGCACTGTAGTTTGATAAGGTCATAATATAAGAAATGGAAGGAGGAATATATAATATCTTCAAACTACCTACCTTTGATGTCTCCCCTGGTGAGCAGGGAGAGAAAGATACCTTTAACTAAGAAAGCATATTCAGGCAAGAAACTCAGCTTAGAAGCAAGGAGGAAGAGGTCTTTTCAGAGTAGTTATTAGTGATTTATGTGCTTCTTTGCTTGTGGAAATCTTCATTTTCAAAGCTTAGCTCAAATGCTACCTCCACCACAAAAGCTATTCTAGTATTGTTCATCATTTCTTCAGTTATGTTTAAGCAATGCCTTGAAAGGCAGCTGAAAACAGAAAAAGATCCCTTAACAAAAGGCAATTGGTTTTCTCATGAAACCAATTAAATAAATAGAACGATCAATAGACAGGACTGTGAGTGATTGCCTTACGATACTCATAAACAGTCTATAAGACTTCATTCTATTACTTTCAACAGTGACCAAGAAGATTTACTCAGCGTTAAGCACTATACTAGGAATTGAAGTGATGGCTATGGGATGCCCTGTTTGGAGGTGGACTTGGTCTAGCGAAGAGCCTGAGGCAAACAGAAATATAGTCAAATAATTACTATACAGTGTGATAGGCACATGGCATAGAAGCAGCATGGTGTCTAGAAGGAGTGAGTTGCTCTGTCCCACTCACCCCCCAAATACATCTGACCTCATCTGCATTCTCTCTCACTCACTATACTTTAGCTACATTTTGAGTTTCTTGAACATGCCAAGTATGCTTCTACCTCAGGGCCTTTGCACTTCTTATTCCTCTGTTTGATAGTCTGTCACCCCGAAATCCACGGGGCTCACCTCCTGTCTCCATTCAAGTCTCTTGTATCACTTCATCAGAGTAGCTTTCCCTGACCACTCCATATAAAATTGCACCCCATCACTTCATTTTATATTGCTTACTCTTTTCACAATTCTTGTCATCATGACATATCATACGTTCATATGTTTATTATCTGACTCTCTTATTAGAATCAAAGCTCCACAAAAGAAAGAACTTTGTTTTATTCACTGTTGAATCTACATAGCTGGAAGAGTTCCTGGCAAAACAAATGGGAAGAGATAAAATGGGATTCAGGAAAGATTTCACAAAGGTGATTATACCCCCAGAGAGTTTAGAAGGATGCAAGAGATTATCATAAAAAGATAAGGGAGCTGGGAATAGCTGGCAGAAGTGTGTTCAAAGGTAAGAAAGATTAAAACCACATGGTTTGTTTAAATAATGTGAGATATTGGTTGGGCGTAAACCCTTCATTTGTGCTTCTATTACAACACATTCACCTCTTCTCTTGTAGGAGAGTTGTTTACTGCCCCTCTGTCTTTCTCAATAACTTCAGAGTTCTTTAAGGGGTGGGACTGTTTCACTCATGTCTTCATTTTCCAAGTTCTTAAACAGAGCAGATATTCTGTAATTGCTAAATAAATAAATGATAAAACAATATTTATTCATCAAGGAGCAAGAAAACTCATTTAGTTGTTCAATCAAAATGGATTTCTCTCTGTTGACAAGCGAATGCCCTGTTTGTAAACTTTATAAATGAAAGAGACCTCAGAGATCATCTAACTTGGCCTTTCCATTTTATAGATGAGAAAACTGAAGCATAGAAAGGTTGATTGCCTGACTATACAACCTGCTAGGTATAATGAAGAACTGAGGCCAGGCCTGGTGGCTCATACATGTAATCCCAGCACTTTAGGAGGCCTAGGTGGAAGGATTGCTAGAGACCACGAGTTCCAGACCAGCCTAGGCAACATGGTGAGACATTGTCTCTACAAAAAATAAAAAATTAGCCAGGTGTGGTGGCACCTGCTTGTCTGTAGTCCCAGGTACTCAGGAGGCTGAAGTGGGAGGACTGTTTGAGTCTGGGAGGTAGAGACTGCAGTGAACAGTGACCCTGCCACTGCATTTCAGCCTGGGTTACAGAGTAAGACTGTTTTTTAAACAAAACAAAACAAAACAAAACAAAACAAAACAAAACAAAAAAACAGGCCGGGCGTGGTGGCTCATGCCTGTAAGCCCAGCACTTTGGGACACCAAGGTGGGCAGATCACCTGAGGTCAGGAGTTCAAAACCAGCCTGGCCAAAATGGTGAAACCCCCTCTCTACTATAAATACAAAAATTGGCTGGGCATGGTGGTGCGTGCCTGTAATCCCAGCTACTTGGGAGGCTGAGGCAGAAGAATCGCTTGAGCCCAGGAGGTGGAGGTTGCAGTGAGCAGAGATCGCACCACTGTACTCCAGCTGGGCAACAGAGTGAGACTCCGCCTCAAATAAATAAACAAACAAACAAAAAACCTAGACAAACCTAGAGCTCCAGTTTGAACCATGGTATGTCATCTTTTCACTGGAAGATGTGCTTTCAGAAGCGGCCTGAACATTTGGTTTACCTATTAAAATAAAAACTGTACATACTTTATGATCTATCTTTGAGAAACAGACAAATCTGCAAGGAGCCGTGTGGATCTTCATTGTCATTTTTTGTTGTAGTTAAAAGTGTAAAGTCAAAAGCAATCTGGGTGTACATCAATGGAGAAATAGCCATATTCACTCTGTGATAGCCATACTATGCAATTTTATGAAGCACTTAAAATAGATATAGTTTGATTCATACTAAAATGAAAAAGAGCTCCAAGACACGGATGCTAAAAAAAAAGAAAAAAAAGGAAGTCGAAGGATGATACTATACTGTACTGTACTATTTAAGACTTGTCAATCTCAGGTTCTCCCACCAAAACAGCACAACACATGAAGTAAGTGTATAGGAAATTTCGGAATGATGAACTCCAAACAGGATATGCATCTGTAGCAAGGGCTACCTCCGGAGAGAAGGGTAGGGGAATGAGGCGGTCTTTGACCTTGACAGTAATTTATGGTTTTTAACAAGGAGAGTGCATTCTTCATCTATTAGTTTTGCTTTTGTTGGCTGTGAAAATTAATTTTTTGAGAAATAGTACTGATTGTGATTTCTTCTCTATTCAGTGAGGAAAGGGAGTGACAGGTAATGATTCTGTATCAAGGCTGATTAAAGAATAAAAGAAGGCCTTTCTGAAGATTAAAAAACAAATAAAAAGTTGAGAAGAAAGAGCACGAAGAGTAGAAGGGAACAATGGTGTACTCGCCAGCAATGGCAATACGGGTTATTAAAAAGAAGGGTGGGGGCGGGGAACCCTGGCCGACTCAGGACGCCACGGGAGGAAGCCACGCAAAATAGCAAACCGGGATCCTAGAGGGGCGGGGCCCACCTCAGCGCGCAGGCGCAACCAGGCCCAGGTGGCCGCCGCGGAAGCGAAGCCACCTATACGCGCCGCGCCGCTTGGGTCTCCTGCGCATGCGCAGACGGACCTGCGCTGGAGGCTTCATCTTTGCCGCCGCTGCCGTCGCCTTCCTGGGATTGGAGTCTCGAGCTTTCTTCGTTCGTTCGTCGGCGGGTTCGCGCCCTTCTCGCGCCTCGGGGCTGCGAGGCTGGGGAAGGGGTTGGAGGGGGCTGTTGATCGCCGCGTTTAAGTTGCGCTCGGGGCGGCCATGTCGGCCGGCGAGGTCGAGCGCCTAGTGTCGGAGCTGAGCGGCGGGACCGGAGGGGATGAGGAGGAAGAGTGGCTCTATGGCGGTACGAAACTTCCTGTCTCTGTCTCTCGGGTTCTCTCAGGCCTCCCCTCTTGGCCCTCAAACGGCCGGCGTCCCTGGCCTCTCGCGCCGCCGCTTCGGGCCTCTGGTTGGGAGTCCTGTCCGGCCTGACTTAGGCCGAGCGCGGCGTGCGCGTGCCCCCAGTCCCCGCGGCGGTCTCCCGCCTGGCCCACGCCCACCATGCGCATCCACCCCTGTGGCGGCCGGGCCGGGCTGGGGGGCTGTGACCGGTCCTGGCCCCCGGCTTCGCTGTGCTTTCCCCGAGGCGTCTCGATCGCCTAGCTGCTGCGCTCTTTACCCTTGTTTTTTTCTGTCGATTCTGAGGTGGTGGTTTTTGGTGTCTGTTTTTGCCCTGTGGCCTTAGGGTGCCCTTCCTGTCCCTTCTTTCAGAAACAGTCATTCTGTAATAATAGCTAAATAAAGTTAATGCTGTACAACTAACGTCTTGTTTCTTGATGGTCAGTTTGTATGGAATGCACCTGCAAGGGTACCTCCTTGTCTGAAAGTCGTGCTTTAAAAATAATTAATTAAGAGAGAGAGAGAGAAAGATGGCCCATAAAGAAAACTCTGAATGTCTCCTGTATTAAGGTGAAGTTATTCTTTTTTAAGAGACTACCGTTTAACCTACATCATGGAGGTATCTCATGACCCTTCGGCTTATAGTTTTCAGTGTCATCTCATGTATTTGTTTTTCTCAAAATAAATTTAATGCATCATGTACTTCTCTCTAGAAGGGTACTTGTTTGACATCTGGTTTTTAACTTTAAGTCACAATCCCTTCTTGCTTGTTAACACCAGATTTGAAAGTTAATGTTTGTTCCTTGCCTAAAACATATATTCTTGATTGTCTTTAGAATAGAATAGTAAAAGTGCACTTTGGGCACCATGCAGGTCCTTGATGATGTGACTTTGATAAACTTGTAAAAAAAAATCGTTTGGTGGCAAGATTTAGCATTAGTTACTACTCTTTGAAATGTGAATGTGTAGGATTTCTTTTACAAAGATCTGGAAATCTTCATTACCTCTTAAATTTAAGCTTATTTTTATAGCAGTAAAGTCTGATTTTTTTTTCCATAAAATAAGTATCTTGTTAAGTAATTATAAGGTGATCTAACTTTGGATGTGCTTATAGGCCCATGGGACGTGCATGTGCACAGTGATTTGGCAAAGGACCTAGGTTAGTGCTTGTGATGATCACTTCAGATTTTCATAATACTAGTTTCTTTAAGAGTGGTTTCTTTATTTTGTTTGCTTATTTATTTATTTGTTTATTTTACTTGGTAGATGAAAATGAAGTTGAAAGGCCAGAAGAAGAAAATGCCAGGTTAGTGAAATTTTCTGTTGATGCCTATTACACAGGTTGTGTGAAACAATGGTTCTGTCAGTTGTCAAAATTATTTTCTTACAATCATTGGCTTCATTACAACACTGACTTACAACATTTTGGAGGACATTGAATCCTTTAAGGATTATTCCAGTTTCAGGACCTAATCTTACGCCAATTCTATTTGTTGGTAGTTTAAAGGACAAAGTTTTTGAACTTAGGATTGGACTGATTTTACACTGTTAAGTAACTTGTTACTCTTAAGTGAATTCAGTAGTGAAGTATACAGTATAATCGTTAAGCTACTGATAAAAATATTTTAACTTAATTGAAAATGTTTTTAAGTAAATCAGGAACACTCCAAACTACTGCTTTTCCAGTTTATTAACATTTTTGATGATATAATGGCAGTTTGGTTGTAATTTCAATGCTATGTATTGTTTGCATTCAAAATGTAATTAGCTGATTTGTTATAAGGTTGATTTCTTTGTTAGATTGTAAGAAAGATGTAAGTGTTCATTTATAGAACATATACAGGGAGTCAGAATTTTACCCCAGATTTCAAAAAGCAAGCCATGTAAAGAAGTACATGGAGATGTCGGCTTTACCCTGACCACATGCATTAGTGTCTGTAATGGAGGGAGAGGTAGTTAGAAGATTTTAAGGAATATTTGGGTTTAAAAAGTGGAAGATATACAACTTCATACCGAGTAAGCTGCAATCGAAAAGATAAAACAGGTGTTAGTGAGGATATGGGGAAATAAAACCCTCATACACTTCTGGTGGGATTGTAAAATGGTGCAGCTGCTTTGAAGAACAGCCTGGCCATTTTCTCAAATGGTGAAACATGGAGTTACCATGTGAGTCCTCCACCTTAGAGGAATGAAAACATATTCAGACAAAAACTTGTACGTGAATATTCATAGCAGCATTATTCTTAATAGAAAGTGGAAAAAGAAAACCTCGCAGCTGCATCAACTGATGAATGGATAGATTAAATGTGTTATATCCATACAGCGGAATATTATTTGGCAAGGACAATAAAATGAAGTACTGGTAGATGTTACAACACGGATGAACCTTACAAATGTGGAAGCTAAAGATGTCAGTCCGTAGAGACAGATTAGTGGTTACTAAGAGTTGGGTGAGTGATTGCTAATGTATACAAAGTTCCTTTTGGGAGTGATGCATACATTCTGGAATTAGATAGTTGTGATGGTTGGACTATGTGACCATATTAAAACTCAGTTGTCCTGTTTGAATGGGTAGATTGTATAATATGTGAATTGCATCTCAAAGCTGTTACAACAAAAAATGGATAGAGGGAAAAAGTGAGAAATGGAAGTAGAAATAGCTTAGGAGGAGCTGAAACTACAGTTCAGCTTCCTTACCCAAAAAATCCCCTATAGTCTTTTCACTCATTGGTATATTATCTGAAATGTTATTTCATTTTAAAATTTATATATTCAACTCAGTTCCTAATTCTGATCTCAACCACAAAGTTGAGATTAGTTTTAGTTTATGTTATGAAAGTGATTGAATATTTCTTTGTACCCATTCCTTCAGTTGGTCAAGAAATTAATTACAGGTATAGTTTTACAATCAAATATACTTTTCTATATGATAATCTTTATCCCATTAATTTTTATTTTTATTGGTTACAATTTTAAAAGCTTACTTTCTAATCAAACATTCTTTAATTTTAATTCCGCAATACACAACTTGCTAAAATTTATTGGAGGGAACCTTCTACCTTCCCTGAGTGTCACTGTCAACATAGCTTTATATTCCTTTCTGCAACTTCATTTGGGGAGCCGTTGAGTTGATTTCATCCTATGGGGGAAAAAACAATTTCCTTTACAGTGTTATTTTTCTAGAAAAAGCTTAAAATTTTATCATGTTTCTAACATTTTAATGGTGATAGAAAATTAAAACTTCCAAAAGAGTAGGCCTATTGAAGAAAGGTACTCTGCCAGACCTACTGCTATCTGGCTTGGTACATCATTGCATTGCTCTACCAAAGTTCCTGCTATTAGAATTTGCCCGTTTCCTACTGACTGGCTCATTGCTGAAGCCTCTGTTTTTCTTAAACATTGCATTGCAGTCTCCAATTGTGTTATATCTATCCAAGTTTTGACTAAAGAAGGGATACTGTTTTGTGACGTAGAAAGCAAATGGGACTTGCTTCTGGCTACCTAGAAGCTTATTTCAGCAGGAGGTAAATGTACTGAACAATTATAGCTGCATATTTGTTTTCTTGAAGCAAGCAGTAGAACAATGAAAATATAACAGTTATGTTTTGACTTTTTATCTTTCATTTTGCTTTATTTGGTGATTGTGCTATAAAATGCCACTGTAAAGATCAAATTGATTTAGGATAATTAAAATTGATTAAGTTTGTCATATATTTTTAAAATGTGTAAAAAGCTTGAATTATAGCCCACCATCAAATTATAAATCATTAATAAACTGTGAAGGCATTTGCATTCTTTTTTTTTTTTTTTTTTTTTTTTGAGACAGCATCTCACGCTGTCGCCCAGGCTAGAGTGCAGTGGCATGATCACTGCAGCCTCACTGCAACCTCTATCTCCTGGGTTCAAGCAATTGTCTGCTTCAGCCTTCCGAGTAGCTGGGATTACAGGTGCCCGCCACCATGCCTGGCTAATTTTTTTTTTTTTGTATTTTTAGTAGAGACGGGGTTTTACCATCTTGGCCAGGCTGGTCTTGAATTCCTGACCTCGTGATCCACCCACCTCAGCCTCTCAAAGTGCTGGGATTACAGGCATGAGCCTCCACGCCCAGCCTGGCATTTGCATTCTACTTACAATGTTGAGTACTTGTCTTCTGCAAGTTACTAGAAATAACGGAATAAGACAGTCAGATTTTACCATTACTGTCTCCAGTGGAGACAATAATTTTAGGAGCTTTATTAAAGCTTAGAAATACTAATATAATCTATCTGTACTTCCGAAAAGTAATGCCTGACATGTATACTTACTTTTGTTGTTTGTAGTGCTAATCCTCCATCTGGAATTGAAGATGAAACTGCTGAAAATGGTGTACCAAAACCGGTAACATAAGGCTTTGAAATCCAGTTACTGATACAAATCTTTATCAATAGCTTCACAGTTTACATAGAAAGCAAGCTGGCATTTTACATTACCTTCAGTATCAGGTGTTATCTGGCCCTTTCTTACATCTCCTACTTCATCTGGTGCCATCAAAAACATATATAGGAATTAAAATGAGGAAAAGAAATAGTAGAAAGACTGCAGAGGAAAATAGTATGTGCAAAGGCTTGATGTTTATTGCTTTCAAGGAATTGAATGGTTATAAATCTACTGAATATAGTGAGCCTGGTTTTCAGAGCAAGTTTTGAGCCCACAACCTTTCACTGTTACGATTTTTTAACGTTGCTTTTTAATGTATGTGACAGTCCCTGACTGCATGCCTGCATGCCATTGATACTTTGTGAGGTGAACATATCATTGGTCCTATGAATATTTGTGCATTTTAATCCTATAAAAGGAAGGAAGTTATTGTTCCGGAAGTTTGAAGTTGTATACAAAAAAGTATTTTGCCTATGTGATCTACTTATTTACTATGATGTGATTAAGCACAAAATAGCCTTTAAGAGCCAAAGTAAAATCTTCACAAATATAGAATTTGCATGTAGGGCCTCTTCTAGGTATACAAGAATACCAAGAATAACTGAGCTTCTACTTAACTATTTGGTACTTCTTATGCTTTGGGGTTTTTTTTTTTAATTCTTTAATTGATTTGGTACATTGTATTTGTGACACTGTGAATCTTAAAATTGTTTTCCTCTTAGATTCTTTTTTGCCAAGACTTCTCAAATACTTATTTTTTATAATTTTATCTTGTAGGTATCTTAGTAAGTTGCTTTAGATCTTTTTGCAAGAGGGGCAGATATGATAGTTAAAAAAAAAATGAGGTGTTGTTTACCACAAGGAGATGATGCCAAAAAGATTTCATTTCTTTATTCATAGTCTTATCCTTTTTATCCTGTAGAACATCAAAATTATGAGTTGAAATAGGTGGCAGCATTATAAGCTTGTAACTTTTAAATTGTATCTCAAAAAAATACAGAGTGGGGCCGGGCATGGTGGCTCACGCCTGTAATTCCAGCACTTTGGGAGGCCAAGGTGGGTGGATCACCTGAGGTCAGGAGTTCGAGGCCAGCCTGGCCAACATGGTGAAACCCTGTCTCTGCTAAAAATACAAAAATTAGTTGGGCATGGTGGCGGGCACCTGTAATCCTAGCTACTCTAGAGGCTGAGGCCGGAGAATTGCTTGAACCTGGGAGGTGGAGGTTGCAGTGAGCTGAGATCATGCCACTGCACTCAAGCCGGGGCGACAAAGTGAGAGTCTGTCTCAAGACAGAAGAAAGAAAAAAAAAAACAGGGTGGTTACTTTTTTTAGTTATTAGTATTAGATGTTGAAATGGATTACTGAATGTATTTTATAATTTGTTTATGTTCATGTAGAAAGTGACTGAGACCGAAGATGATAGTGATAGTGACAGCGATGATGATGAAGATGATGTTCATGTCACTATAGGAGACATTAAAACGGGAGCACCACAGTATGGGTAAGTTATTTTTTAGTAAGTAACAATTGTGTAAATGCTATATAGTAAGGAGAGTGTGCCTATATCAAACTCTCAGTGGTTGAGTCCATTGTTTTTACATTTTTCTATTTTAACATAAAAGAACTTGTTAAAGTTTCATCATGAATATACTTCTTTGCTAAAATACAGTTAATTGATTAGGCGAAGGTACATAGAAGCAGCAGTTTTTGATGCTGAATTTAAAGTGTTTTTATAAAAGAATTGAGTGCTAGGCCAGGCATAGAGGTTCATGCCTGTAATCCCAGGACTTTGGGAGGCCGAGGCGGGTGAATCACCTGAGGTCAGGAGTTCAAGACCAGCCTGACCAGCATGGTGAAACCTTATCTCTACTAAAAATACAATAATTAGCCAGGCATGGTGGTGGGCACCTGTAATCCCAGCTACTCCAGAGACTAAGGCAGGAGAATCACTTGAACCTGGGAGGTGGAGGTTGCGGTGAACCCAGATCGAGCCACTGTACTCCAGCCTGGGTAACAGAGTGAGACTCTGTCTCGAGAAAAAGAAAAAAAAAAAGTACTATAAATTCTTTGATTAGAATTAGAAATCCTTAAATTGTAATTTGTATCTGTACTTATTATTATTTCACTTTATTATCCAGACCTGAGTTTAGGTTTTTAATTTTTTTGCCTAATAAAAACAATATCAAAAGTATTTCTTTTTGTTCTTAATAGTGTTTTCAGGTTTCTAATTCTCCCTTAGGCCTTTTAGGCCAATGTTTGTCTCCAATTTTGTATTCTATAAACTGGACCAAGTAAATGGACTGTCATTGACTCATTGAGCGCATAAAGAATCTTACAGAAAGATTGGAAGGGAAATACATTGAAGTACGAATTGTGATTTAGTTACGATAGGAGAATAAGAGTCAATGTGTTTTGTTTTTCAAATTGGCTGTATAATGTGGTTATTATAGCTTATGCATTGGAAACATAAAATACATTAATTTCACTATAGTTCATTAAGCAACCTCATCTGGAATCAACCAGTATATACAAAAATATTGTTAAATATTTTATTAGTAGAGTCATTTGTTTTCAGAAGTCATTTCAGGAAGCTTAAAGCCAATTCAGTTATTGTCATAGTCAGTTTTGTATTATAATAATGACTACCCATGTAATTTTAAAATCCTAGCACCTTTTTAGGGAACAGAGTAAAGAGGCTGATTTTTCATGTTAGGGGTGGATATTCTAAATGTGCTCCTCATTCTCATTTGGGAAAGTAAATAATTACTTAATGAGAAAGTTGGGCTTATACTGTAGTACTAGTAGGCCTTTACTATCTGCATGATGCAAAAGGAACACATAAAATTGTAATAATTGCATGTTCATTAAATGTTATGTAAAATTATTTGTATTTGCAAGTTATAGAACAACTTGAAGCAAATGACAATTTTTTTGGATTATGGATGGGACCTTTTTTTGGTAGAAATTGCACTCAAATATTAAATATACGTGGACTTCCATAGTACCTTACTAAACTTTATTTCTTATAGCAATTTTCAGTTTTATGCATTGTAATTATGTTTATACATATTTATTACCTTTACACACTTCAGATTTCTATAGAGTAGAAACCATTGAATTCAAAACTCTTCAAAAAAACAAGAAACTGTGATTTATGGAGTTTTCTATTCCTCACATTGCCTTAAATACAGTTAAGTGTGCAGTAAATGGTTATTGACTAAATAAACTGAATGTTATTTAGTTACAGTTGTCTCTGAGGGTTTTTCCCCTTAGACATTTGATTATGAAAATTTTCAAATGCTCACAAAAGTTGAAGGAATTGACATGTGAATGCTCATTTACCCATCACCTAGATTATACAATCTACATTTTGCTTTGTTTGCTTGAACTCATATCCCTCTATGCGTTTACCCATTTATCAGTTGATTTATTTTTTATTCATTTTATGCATTTCGAAAGTAAAGTACAGGCATTTGTGAAGAGTGTAAAGTTGTTTAACCTCTATATTTCAAGGTATATCCCTTGAAAACAAAGTCAGTGAGAAAATGAAATTTGATAAACATTTACTTATGCACAGCGTTTTCAGAAGCAAATTTAAAGAACAAACTGTGTCCAAGGACTGAATTGATTTATTGTAAATTGTTAGGAAATACAAAATAGCATTTTTTTTTTTTTTTTGCGTAACATACCTTTGTTACAAGTTCATTTTATATGTAAGTAAGGTATGAAGAAAAGCAACTCTTAAAGTAGAAATAATTTATCTTGGAAAGTAGTTTGTTACCTATCTCTGTGAGATTGATCCATTTATGTACTCAATAAATAATTTTTAAAGACATAATTTATCTGGCACTGTGTTAAGTAGCAAAGATAATGTGCCTTTATCAAACCATCTGTGATCATTCCATTATTATTATTGTTTTTACATTTACCATGCTACAAAAGAACCCTTGGTAAAATCACCATGAAATTTCATGGAGTTAACAAATTAGATAAAGTTACATGAAAGCAGCAATTTTTTATCTGTGAATGTATTAATTGATGAGAATACAGGAAGTTATTATTTTCCAGAGGTAGTGAGGATGCCAGACATGTGAGTAAATATTTTCAGTGCAACATAAGTGCTAGAATAGAAACATGTACAAAGTGATTCGAAAGGTTTGAGAGGAGAGTTGCTAAAAGCCTACAGGTGTTGAAGAGAAGATCCCAGAGGTAACATTTGAACTTGTTTGAATAATTTTTGAGATGGGAGACAGTGGTTTTTAGGTGGAGGACACTGCCTAACAATAAATATATTAGATGCGTGCCTTGGAGGAAGTACATGGCTGGAGGATAAGGTAGATGAAAAGAGATGGTTGAAATCACTTATGGAAGGAGTTAGGATGCTTTTGCTATGTCTTTGTAGACCTTGCAAGCTTGTCCAATGCACCTTATTTTGTTGCTGTTGTTGTTCTGTTTTGCTTTGTTTTAGTCTTTTAGCTGCCCAAAGCCATGGTTTTTAGTTTCTGTCTCCAGTGATAAGTGGAAAAGAGGGGTGATAAAGGGGCTTTACTGGCCTAACCAGAAACAGAAACTAAGGACTCATGACTGTATTCTCTCCCTTAGACACCCCTAATTAGGTTTTTAGACAGGTCATATCATTTGAAAAGATAACTCTAGCATCAGTAGTTGAGATGGGTTAGATAGAGAGACATTGACTAATAGATGTGAAGTAGTTGTCCAGGTGAGATGATAATCTAGACTAAGGCAGCAGTAGTAGAGAGATGAATGGGAAAATAGTACATTTGAGTATTAGAGAAACAGAAATATAGTCAGGCATGTGGTATACACCTGTAGTCCCATGGACTTGGGAGGCTGAGGTAGGAGGATTGCTTGAGCCTTGGAGTTTCAGGCCAGCCTGGGCAATATAGTAAGATCCTGTCTCAAAGAATAAATAGAAACAAATAACATGGGTAACTGGTTGGTTGTGGATGGAGGAGGAGATAAAGGGCTCAGTGACTTAAAGATTTCTAGAGCAGTTAATTGGGTACAGGTGGGTGCTACTGCTCCCACCTCCCACAAAACAGATTCATTTGACATGTTTATTTTGGAGTTCCTATAGAAAGTCCAAGTATAGGATCTAGCATTTAGAGTGGTCTGAGACTTCATAGGGATCTATTGGACATTATATCAAATTTGCCTCTGCAATTTTTCATACCACTAAGCTTCTCTACACAGGCTTCTCTACAAAGGCTTGTGGCTTAAAAAAGAAAAATGATGTTTTAAAAGGCAGAATGGGGAATAGAAAGTAGCTAGGTGGAAAGCGAAGAAGCTCATTTATTGAACACTTGTGGCTAAGCCTTTTATAAAAATACTGTTTTATTCTATACGGTCCTGTAAGAGAACAGTTTAGAGAAAATCCTTGATTTTTGTACATTTGTAGAAAAATCATGTACATCATATGTAGATACCGCTAAGTCACTTTTTCTGAATTTGGATTGTTAAAATGTAAACATCGTGAAGGCAGGAACCGTAATTGTCCAGCTCCTCATACTTTTTCCTCAGCCTAGAACCATACTTGACATGGTTTGGTGCTCAGTAAGCATTACATGAATTAATCAGCCTATGAAATGATTATTTCAAGTTGGTGACGATAGTACTGCTTGACAGTAGTAATATTTGGTCCACTTTGTAATTTTTGCATTTCTAGCTGTGGAGCTACAGTTATTTGATACAATTAAACATTTTATTGAATTTACATTTTTCTTTTTTAAGTAGAAAAGAAAAGTGACAGTGCAAATGTAACTAAACCTAAGTCTTAAATGTAGTACATCAGAGACAAAAGATGGAAGTAATTATTATTAGACCCAAAGCAGTGAATCTGAAGTCCAGATGGCTGAAGTTCTGAGAGAAAAGAACCAAATATATAACATGAATATAATGTGAGAAATATATCATTATAAACATCTGTGACTTGAGGTCTTACTGATATCTTTTTTTTTTTTTGAGATAGAGTCTCGCTCTTTTGCCCAGGCTGGAGTGCAGTGGCGCGATCTCACTGCAAGCTCCGCCTCCTGGGTTCACGCCATTCTCATGCCTCAGCCTCCTGAGTAGCTGGGATTACAGGCGCCCACCCCCATGCCTGGCTAGTTTTTTCTATTTTTTAGTGGAGACGGGGTTTCATGGTGTTAGCCAGGATGGTCTTGATCTCCTGACCTCGTGATCCACCCGCCTCGGCCTCCCAAAGTGCTGGGATTACAGGCGTGAGCCGCCGTGCCCGGCCGTCTTACTGATATGTTTTTGTTCAGTGGGAGTTGGTCCTTCTTTGCCCATTCCCGTTTTCTTCTAACTTCCCTAGTAACAGAAAAGTCTCTTTTAATTAGTATATTTGATAATACTACTCATATATAAGAATCCATTATATAAAGAAGTAAAGAACTGTCTGTAACCCCGTATTACAGAAAATGTATACAAGGCTCATTTATACAAGTAAAAATGCAATGAATTATTCAAATAATTGTATACAAGTCTTAGGTGTTTTGGCCAAGATTACACAACTAGCAATTGACAAAACATTTGAATGTGGGTTGGTCCAACTTCAGATATTTTTTTCTTTATCACTGTGTATTATATTACATCTAAAAAGGTGCAGCTTAATATTTTTTCAAATATATACATTCATGTAACTACAGCCAGATCAAGATATGAAACATAATTGGCATCCTAGAAGTTTCTCTCATTTTGCCTCTTGGTCATTAACCACCCACCACCGGCAAACACTGTTCTGCTTTCATGCTAGACTTATTTTTGAATTTCTTGTCAATAAATTTCTGTTATGGACTGAGTACTCCATGAATAGTTGAAAAAGGATTTATTAACAATATCAAATGCAAGAAGAACTGAAAGGCCACTAGATTTGACAACAAGTTGGAGGAATTTTACTTATGCTTAAGAGTGCTGTATATTTAATAACTGGGAGGCAAGGAAATGAAGACAAGGGGTGTAAACTATTTTTCCCTTCTTAGCCTTATTTCTTGTGAAGTTTGTTACAGTAGAATGTTGAGTTATTGGCAAAAAGGTTTTTGAAATGGAAACAAGTCAGGCTTTTTTTTTTTACTGTTTTTGCCTTTTATTGAGCAAGTGACTTTAAAAATCAGTTTAAAATGTTTTTTAAAATATGTGTTAGCTGGGCACGGTGGCTCACTCTTGTAATCTCAGCATTTTGGGAAGCCAAGGTGGGAGGATTGCTTGAGCTCTGGAGTTCGAGACCAGCCTGGACAACATGGTATGAGATCTCATCTATACAAAATTTAAAAAATAAAGATAGAAATAAAATGTGTGTCACACTATCCATTTACTATGTGATTGTATAATTTGTTTGTACAAATGGAATATATTACTGTTTTGTTTAAGCTTTTCAGGATAATTTCTGTTTTTTTTTGTTTGTTTGTTTTTAGGAGTTATGGTACAGCACCTGTAAATCTTAACATCAAGACAGGGGGAAGAGTTTATGGAACTACAGGTAAAATTTGTATTTTCTGTTGCATCAATAGGGAAATAAGGCACATATCTTAAATAGGTCTTAATAGCTTTTTTTTTTAGTCGGGGACAGAGTCTGGCTCTGTCACTCAGGCTGGAGTACAGTGGCGCAATCTTAGTTCACTGCAACCTCCGTCTCCTGGGCTCAAACCATCCTCCCACTTCACCTTCTCAAGTAGCTGGGACTGCGGGCGTGCACCACCATGCTTGGCCAATTTTTGTATTTTTATGTAGAGACCAGGTCTCACCATGTTGTTCAGGCTGCTCTTGAACTTTCGAGCTTAAGTGATCTACCTGCCTTGGCCTCCCAGAGTGTTGGGATTCCATGTGTGAGCCACTGCGCCCGGCCAAGGTGATAATAGCTCTTTTTAAAGAGTAATTTTTGACCGTACATCACAGAGACTGGTAAAGTTTTTCTGGCAAGAGTCCAGTAGCACGTATTTTAGGCTCTGCTTTGTTTGGAACCCTTGCCAGGTTTTTTGCCAGGAATAGTAAAAAGATGTTTGTTTTCTGTTTGTGTGTGTATATGTGCCAGGAATAGTAAAAAGGTGTTTATATTTTCTGTTTGTCTATGGTATCGCCTGGCTTCTTGCAAGTATAGCTCCTTCATTTTGTAATTTTATAAAACAGGGACAAAAGTCAAAGGAGTAGACCTTGATGCACCTGGAAGCATTAATGGAGTTCCACTCTTAGAGGTAGATTTGGATTCTTTTGAAGATAAACCATGGCGTAAACCTGGTAAGATTATTGTGGATTATATTAATTTCAATATTTTCAGTGTGAAGTCATCAGAAAATTTTTTTGAACATCAATTTAGAATTTTATTTTTTCATTATAATTTTAATTGTCTTAAGCAAATGATGAGTAATAATGACTTGGGATTATTAAATCTTACTGGTGGCCTTGTATTACTTAAAATGTAGACTTATTGTTTATTATAATGGCGTTTGTAAAGGGAATAATTTGATCAAAAATGATATAGTCTTTTTGCCACCATAAATGATAGAGTGATAACTGATAGAACTCTAAATTTATATTTTTATAGTTTAGTATATTTTTGATGCTGCATAAAAATAGAGCTGAAATATTTGTACACTAAAGTTGTGTTTTATCTTTAGGTGCTGATCTTTCTGATTATTTTAATTATGGGTTTAATGAAGATACCTGGAAAGCTTACTGTGAAAAACAAAAGAGGATACGAATGGGACTTGAAGTTATACCAGTAACCTCTACTACAAATAAAATTACGGTAATTAATAAATACTCCGGAATACCCTTGGCTTGTCTACCGTCCCACTTTTACTCCCCAAATAAATCGCTTCCCTATAAAAGTGGTTAAATGCTATATGATAGTTTAAAAATTCCATTTTGTTTACCATGTTTGTTTTTCCCTTCCCTCCCTTTTAGAGTTTCGTATTTAATGATTATCTGATGTTCTTACTTTCAAATCACAGACTAGCCACAGCTAGTTTGTCTTTATATGGCCTATTAATTAAATATTATGTGGTATCTTAATGGGGAATATGTTATTTAACTTAGGCCGAAGACTGTACTATGGAAGTTACACCAGGTGCAGAGATCCAAGATGGCAGATTCAATCTTTTTAAGGTGAATTTTAGTAAATTATCCTTGGTTGCTCTCATTTTTTGTTCTTGAGTCTGCTCCCATGCCACTACTCAAGGGACAAGATTAAAGTGGAAATAGCTACCTTTTTTCCAAACCTTCAGCTTCCTGGTGACTTACAAATTTGCTGATTGTTGTTTTATCTCCACTTTTGCAAGCATGTGAATTTATAGCCTATTATACTAACAAATGCCGAGTAAAACTATTGTTTGCTATATGTTGTGATTTCATTTTGAGTCGTAATACATGTTTGTAGGATAGAAAAGTTAGTGGCAACAGATTATGCTCTCATTGTAGATAATACTCTAATCTTTATCAACAGAATTGGAAACTTTTTTGTTCTCTTTAAAAAAATGGTAAGGAAGGTGGCATACTGTTTATCTCTATGACACTTATAACACTGATATCATTGGTGTAATGCCCTGATAGCTCAAGATATCTTCAAAAATCTTAGGCATTCTCTGAGAGGCTTTAAGAACTCAACATAATGAGATACTGCCATTGATTTTAAAAATTTGTTCTTAAAAGGAGTAGGTTTATGTGAGAGACTTTGAGGTTGATACTACAACTTGTATAACAAGTCTGATTTCTGGCTTCTCCATTCCATGGTATGATCACAGACCCAGTCCAAAGAATAATACTATATTGTCATAGTTCTTTTATGGAAAACTGATTGTGTACTCTTTTTTCTTTACCTTAATAGTTGACTCTTATATTGAATGACACTGGGATGAAGATTGGGAGTGGCTTTTAGATTGGGTTGTATACTCAGGGAACTTTAGTGGACTGGAAAGAGACCACTGCTCCCCTTTTGGGTTTGCAGCCCTGTCCACCAGAATACTGCCTTATGCAGTGTGTGTGCTATGTCTGCAGATACAACCACTCTACTGTACACAGTTCTATATAGATAATTTTATTTTAATTTACATCCTACTTTGCGTAAGTATTTGGTTCTTCTTTTGCAAATATTTTGAAAGTATGTGATGATGTCTGTTGTGTTTTAAAGGGTCATCAGTTTTTTCTGGGTTATATTGTCTATATAGGCATTGAATATATTAAACTTGACTGCAATGGGTAGAAAAGTTGTCTTAATGAACTAGTTCATTAGCAGCAGTGCATTTTATTTTCTTTTAATAGAAATGAGAACTGCCATCATAAACTGTTAGCTTCTGTATACTTCATTTTTTGTAGTAGACTTAAAAAGAGAATAAAAAGAAACTCCTAGGGGTCAGTCTCATTGAAGGTAGCCGTTATGAATGTGTATTTTATATACATACTGTGTACTGAAAAATTTATTTTGAAGTTTCTTTTGGCTATGTGAGAGGAGGTCATAGAGTATTCCATTCTGATTGGATTCTGAATGAAAGATTTTAATTCGATGGGTACAGTCTTCATGGTTTTCTTGCCTTGATAGTGTGTTTAAATACTAATATGTTTGGTAGAAATACTGATTTGGGAATAGGGTGTGTATTAAGAATATGTGTGGCAAACATTTTTTCTTTATGTATATTGTGGTCCGTAGGAAATGGTGGAAATAGGGCCATGATGAGCAGGACATTGATTTTAAACTAACCTGCAAACATTTGTGTAGCCAATAGGAAGCTGTTTGAAAGTTCCTGAGCAGTAGAATGAAGTGGCAGATCTGGTATTTAGAAAAGGAACTGGCAGCAGGATGGGCTGTAGAATGAAAGGGGTGTGAAACAGATAGGGAGCTGTTGCCATACTATGGGACTAAAATGAACTAGGGCCTGAACTCACTTATGAGGATGAATGGGCAAAGGAGTGGATTTAAGAATTAAAATTTATTTTCATATCTGCTGCAAATAGAATTTTTTCATCCTTAAGTGTGAGACAGCCCATCAGCCTCTTTAAGATAACTTTATTTACTTTTCATTAAACAATTTGCAAACCCAGTAACAAGTAGAATAGTACACATGAACCCTTAGGTGCTTATCATACAGCTTCAACACTTAACAGTGTTTTGACATTCTTGAGGTAACAGCCTTTTATGTACTTCAATATGAATAAAGTTTTTTTAAAAAGCAAAATAAAAGAAATTTAATAGGTATAAAAATAAAGCCACTCAATTGGGTACAAAAACAATTGTGTAATTATTTAATTAGAGTGAATGGCAAGAGAGAAGTGACTAGTGGGAATAGATAACATGTATGTATGAGAAAACGTTGACTACAACGTTTTCTTAAAATATTTTTTATTCATTTGTGCACATATGCATAGATTTTCCCCCCGGCCCCCCCCCCCCCCCCCGCCCCCGGCTGTGAATGTATGAGCTTTGTCACCAGTTTTCTGAAATTTTACAGTTATGTGTCTTGGTCTGTTTTCATCCATTGTACCAAGCATTCTCGATTTGGAAGCACATATCCTTCACTTATGGAACACTTTCTTCTTTTACTTTTTTCTCTGCTTTCTTTTCTATTCTAGATAATATTGGATATCTTCGAATGGTCTTCTAATTTTTTTTATTGTTTTTCTCTTTTTCATCTTTTCCATTATCTGGGAGAATTTTTTATTCTTATAATGTTATTGTACTTAGTTTTCATTTCTGTTGTTAATTTCCAAGAAAATTTTTCTTTATTATTTAGTTGTAGCATCTTATTATTCATGCCTACAGTAATGCAATATCTTTTTCCCTCCTCTCTCAAAGGATATTAATGATAGGCTGTTTTGTTTCTGTTAGATTTTTCTTTTCCTGCATAGTCTGTTTTCAACTTGATTATTTAAGTTAGTTATTTTTATCTTCTGACTTAGACTTTTCTGAAATGTTTGTTGATTGTTGGCCATTCACTCATGTAACGGTGGGCTGCTAAAATTGATTGGAAGCTCTGTACATCTGAATAGAACTTGCTTGACTGCAGGCTTCACTGGAGGGCTGTTTTTTCACATTCCCTGATGTCAGTATTTTTAGGTGTTTTTCTTTTTGTGGTAATCAGATTTTTTCAGATAAGGTATTCCAGTATTCTATCTAGAGGGTATATACTTGGCTGATGCAAATGTTCTGGTAGCTGGAGCTTTTAATTTCTGAATTTTTGAGGGTCCTGACATGATAATCATTGTCTTTGCTTTCTCATCGCTGACTTAGGATTCAGTTTTCTTTGGTCTGCTCAGTCAGTTACTATTTTTTAATCTAATTTCAAAGTTCTAAATTTTGTTGCTTTCTCAGTTTTTTTCTTATAGGTTGAAACAAAATTGTGATAATTTATTTATGGTTGTCTGTTTTTCCTTTTTTTGACTTTAACATGTAATGTTTTCATAAGTTCTTAAATTTTTTTATAAATATAATTTAAAATAGCTACATAGTTTATTATTTGGATGCACCTTAGTTTACTTAACAAGGGTTTTTTTTTAAGATATTGTTTGTAAAGTTAAACTTTTACAAATGAAGCTGTGATAGGCAGCCAAAGGAAATTTCAAAAATATTTTTCAAACTTTTAGTACAGTGGTAGCATAATTTGGGTGAGTATTTAGCTTCTCAAGGTTGTAGACTTAAGTTTTGTTTGGATTTGTCAGATCTGACATAAATTTGTTTTTAGAAAATTAGTCATAATGTCTTATGGTCATTTCTTAAGATATTAGGTCATGTGAAATAATCTCATTATGTTACTGGTTAGACAAATTTTGAGTGTGTAATCTTGAGTGTAACATCTGAAGACAAACAAATGGATAATCAAGTTGACTAGAAAGGTTGCTAGAATAGTGAGGATTTTCAGAATTGTTTAATAGAATGAGGATATTATGAAGAAATTAAGGAAAAAAGAAAAGCTGGGAAACACGGGCAATTTTTGTGTGTTTAAAAATCTATGCCATTTTCCTAATATCTTCTCTGACCCCACCTCTCTCTTTCTCTTTTAATGTCTCTCCCACGTCTCTTTCCCCAATCCTTCCCGGTTCCTCCTTCCCGGTTTTTAATTGAGCATTGACTGTGCCAGGAAGTACCTTAGGCTTTGGGGGGAAGGGGAGGTCACCATAATAGACATGGAGCCTATAGTCTAGGCATTTATTGTGCTTAATGGGAAAATTTAGGTATTAATTAAATAATCATGCTAAAGATGATATAGTTATAAACTACATGTTCTTTGGAGTTTGAAGAAGTGACATTTAAGTTGATTCCCAAAGACAGTCAAGTAACAAATACTTATTGAGTACTTATTGCATGCCAGGTACTGTTTTAGGATGAGACATAGTAATAAAGTGATGGAATTTTGTGTGTGTGCGTGTGTGTGTGTATGTGTATATCTACGTTAATTTTTCTGATTTCTTATTTATATATCTCAGCATCACAGGGTTGAAAAGCACCTCAACAAATCCTATTAGAATAATGAGCACTCATCTTGTGGATATAGATATCACCCTGAGTAGGCCTTAATTGGCATAACTGTATTTTATGATTTTTTTTTTTTTCTTGAGACAGAATTTCACTCTTGTTGCCCATGCTGGAGTGCAATGGTGTGATCTTGGCTCACTGCAACCTCTACCTCCTGGGTTCAAGTGATTCTCCTGCCTCAGCCGCCCGAGTAGCTGGGATTACAGGTGTATACCACCACATCTGTATGTTTTTTGTATTTTTAGTAGAGACAGGGTTTTGCCATGTTGGCCAGGCTGGTCTCTAACTTCTGACCTCAGGTGATCCACCCGCCTCGGCCTCCTGAAGTGTTGGGATTACAGGCGTGAGCCACTGCACCTGGCCACAACTGTATTTTAGATGTTAACTTTAAGTAGGCCTTTTAAAGGAATTATCTATACAAAGCAATCATGGATGTAACAGAACTTCAAAGGAAATAAAACATTGGCTTTTTATAATTACAATTACATGGTGAGAAAAAGATTCAAAAGCAAATGTTTCTATGTTGAGATAAAATGAACTACAATTAGAATCTTTTTTTTTCCCAAGATGGAGTCTTGCTCTGTCACCCAGGCTAGATAGAGTTCAGTGGCGCGATCTTGGCTCACTGAAACCTCCACCTCCCGGGTTCAAGCAATTCTCTTGCCTCAGCCTCCCGAGTAGCTGGGATTACAGGCGCCTGCCACCACACCTGGCTAATTTTTTTAGTTTTAGTAGAGATGGGGTTTCACCATGTTGTCCAGGCTGGTCTCGAACTCCTGACCTCGTGATCCACCCACCTCGGCCTCCCAAAGCGCTGGGATTACAGGCTTGAGCCACCACGCCCAGCCTACAATTAGAATCTTATGCTTTCTTTTACAACCTCAAATGGACAGTGCTCATAAAATTAAAAAATCATGCTTTCATAAACATTAAAACCTGTCATAAAATTAGTGGCAATTAATAGGCTTTCTTAGTCTCTCTATATAAATAACCAGTGAACCATTTATTTTCTCCCTGTTGTGCAAAGCCAAGTGGTCAATGCAGTTGATTTCAGATTGAGCATTTTTTAACAAAATTATTGAAGCATACACAGACTTAATACTTTTGGAGAATTATGGAGTATGAAAGGAAAATTTTGAACTCTGCAGTTTTTACTGCTAGAGAGTTCTAAGACATTCAAAGTTATTTTTCTTTTTAACCGATGAAAGAATGTTTATGTGCAGAAAAAGATGAGATATTTTTGTTGAAGCAAGTGATTGTGCTTCAGACTGGAATCCTTTTGAATTCATGTTGTTTTCCCTGTAAAGAGAAACCAGGAAGAAGAAAATCCGATGACACTAATACATCATCCCAGATGCTTTCAAAGGATTCCTTTTTGTATGGGAACTTATAAGCAATCACACTATTGCCATAATGAGATTCTTTTGGGTGGTTGAGTAGCTTTCCTTCATTCCTCTTCTGGTAGACTCAGTAAAATTGGCTAGAGAGATCAGTGATCACCAGAGAGTGAGCTGTGTGGCTAGAGCTTGAATCCAAGTGGTCCAAAAACACCGTTTTTATTCTTATCCCCTCTCAGGAGAATGGTACTCATGAATGGAGTGGCATGCATCTTCTCTGAAGGCAGGATGTCTGTGCTGTTTTCTTCTCATGGCTAAATTAGGTAGTCTCTGTCTGTTGATAAAAAGGCTCATAATAAAAATAAAAAATGCAAAAAGGAATTGTTGAAATCTCATTTCTCTGCCACACATAAGTGATAACCTCTCAGTGTAAACCAAACAATCTGTAAATAGTCTGGAATATCTGTGTGACAAATGACAAACCTCAGAGTACTGCCAGCTGTGTTTTCCAGGAGGGTTACTGATCGCAGATTGGAATTTGGCATATATTGTAAAGTTGACATATTGGGTGTTCATATGTATTAGATAATTTCTATGGTTCTTTTTTTCCTTGAGCAGCTCAGTAGATGATGGTGCCATTTATTTATATGGGGAAGACTTGTAGAGGATCAGATTAGGGGAAATTAGTAGTTTTGTTTTGGCCATGGTAACTTTGAGATGTCTGTTAGACATGAAAGAAGTTACATAGAAATTACTGGTGGTCAGGGGAGCAATTCGGACAATAGTGTCAACTCTGAATATTCCTTGACATCCCCAGGCAGAACAATGCGTTTCTTTTTGTGTTATTATAACATCTTTTATCCTTTAGATTTTTTTCATAATATTTATTATATTGCTCTGATTGTTGGTGTGTTTGTTTTTTCCTAAGGTCCAGGATCCTGTTGTGTTTCTATCAGCTTCTGGTACATAATAGATATTCAATAAATGATGTTTACATTCTCTCACCAGATCCTGTCAGTTTTACCTGTCAGGTATCTGTCAAGTCCATTTCTTTCTGTTCCCATTGCCTTAGTGCCGATTCTCATCATCTCATTAGAATCAGGGCATTTAAAAATTTTTTTAAGTGGTAGAACTCATTTTCAAATAAACTAAATGTAAGATCCTCATTATATGAGAGTATCAATTAGAGATTGGGTTGGACACTATTAATAAGAGAGCTATCTGACTATAATGGCTCAAGTGTAAAAGAGTTTCTTTTCTTCACATAATGATTAGTTGGGAGGTAGATGATTTTGGAATTGAATTGGTGGTTCAAATATATCAGTCAAAATGTCTTGAGATTCTCTTGGCCTTTGCCTCATGGGAAAGGAGAGTGATGCTGAATTTAAATGGAGCAGGGAATTTAAATAGAATTTAAGTAGAACATAAAATATGGTGTGATATTATTTAAGTGTAAGGAAACTTGAATTTGTTTAAATTGAATAGTTTGATGATAATTTTAAGATAAAAAGGTGAGTATAAAAGCAGAAGAGCATAAAGAAGTCATTTCAACAGACTAGAGGAATGTGACTGGGCTACAATCAAAGGATCTAATAAGAGCAGAAAGG
Source organism: Homo sapiens (assembly GCF_000001405.40). Lineage (NCBI taxonomy): Eukaryota > Metazoa > Chordata > Mammalia > Primates > Hominidae > Homo > Homo sapiens. Next base: position 53,398,800 of record NC_000004.12, read on the forward strand.
TTAGGCAAATCTTGGAGAAATTATGGAGTAAGTAGATAGATGGTTTTAAAATTAATATTAAGAGGGAGAAGGCTGGGCCTGGTGGCTCACACCTGTAATTCCAGCACTTTGGGAGGCTGAGGTGGGCAGATCACTTGGGACGGGAGTTTGAGACCAGCCTGGGCAACATGGTGAAATCCTGTCTTTACTAAAAATACAAAACTTAGCCAGGCATGGTGGTGCACACCTGTAATCCCAGCTACTCGGGGGGCTGTGAGGCAAGAGAATCACTTTAACCCAGGAGGTGGAGGCTTCAGTGAGCCGTGATTGCACGACTGTACTCCAGCCTGGGTGACAGAGTGAGAAGAGGTATTAAGACAGATGATTAACTTCAAGCTTTTAAGCCTACTGAACTGTCAGGATGATGGTACTTTTAATGGTGATGGGAAAATGGGAGAAATTGTATGGATGTACAGTAGCAGATTATTCACATTTGTGTTACAGGAAATCACAGTCTGAATAGAAAATGGTCAGAATGGCTAAAATGGTCACCTATTGTTTTCTTAGAATAAGGGTGGTGAACACAGAACGGGAAAATTCTTCAAGGTCTTTCTTGAATTCGAAACATGAAGTCATAACCAAGTATCTGGGACCTATTTGTAGTGATCTGCAGGAATTTATGAAAGTGCCAAAGAATTAACAGTTTATTCGGCTTCTAAGTGTTATTAATGTGAACTTTTTGATAGTTGGAACATTTTGATCCCATACTCTCTTTGGTGCCTTTCACCTAATACTGTTCTAAAATAGGCTAATTTTAATAAATATTCAGCAAAGGAACATTCTTAGTGTTTAACTTCAAATTAAATGTTGTAAACTTATTTTAACATCTAAAGTCCATTATGTTTGAGTGTTCTGTTAAATTCAACAAGCTAATAACCTTTTTTTTTTAAGGTACAGCAGGGAAGAACTGGAAACTCAGAGAAAGAAACTGCCCTTCCATCTACAAAAGCTGAGTTTACTTCTCCTCCTTCTTTGTTCAAGACTGGGCTTCCACCGAGCAGGTTAGTTACATAGTTATAACTCAATTACTGTACGACATTGGTATCTTTACATTGTATTTGTGCTATATTAAGTATAAAAGCTCTGAATGTTTTACCAAAAAACTGGAACATTTTACTTTGGTTTAGTACAAAATGAATTCTTCACAAGAAACTTCTTGATGTTTTTCCATCTAAAAAGCCTAGGGTAAGCAAGAAGTGAAGTGCGGTATATAGTTTTGTGTATGAATAAAGAGACAATCTTATATTCAAGAGAGGTGAATAAAGAGACAGTCTTACATTCAAGAGAGGTGGTAACAGTAGTATTTGCTGTTTCCTGTGCTCCCTATTCTTACATAAAGAATTATTGGACTTCTAAGTCTAGATCTATTGGCCTGAAGGTCTTTTGCTAATTGTAGTGAAAGAGGCTATTGAAATTTCAGCTTGGAAAATCTTTAAAATTGGAACCATTTGTTGTTGTTGTTTGATTTTATATGATAATACCTCATATGTTCCCGAAGGTATCAGATGTAAGAGGCAAATATGCTAGAAAATGTCTTTTTTACTTAAATGTGACAAATGGTTACCCTATTATGCCATTACCAGGAAACTGGTAAAGGATAGTAGGCTAAGACTAGCGAAGTTTGAGGTCAGTAGTTTAATCTTGGACTAGATAAGATGACTAAAGTCTGGGCCTGAAACAAATTAATAACCCAACTATTACTAGTTCTCGGCCAGATCACTTACCTTTTGTGTTACTGGTTTAAATTTATTTTATATAGTTTTCTGTTTTTGTTATTCTACAGTTTTGTATTGTTATAAGAGACATTTTAGAATAATCTAATGCAGGAAGAGACTTTATAGTGGCATCTAGTCTAGCTCTAAGATAACGATTCTTGAAGCCTTCAGCCAAAATTAAATGGCATAAAGTGATCCAGGATTTTTGTGAATTGTCATAGACATAATGAAATGTGATTATTTAAGCTAAATATAATCTCAAAATGTTTGGTTTTAAAGAATTTATGACAGCTAAGCTTTAAATATGTAGTAATATATAATATTGTAATATGTAGTATTCTTTTGGCTTATACATTTTTTAAGAGGTTAACTTTCATTCATTGAGTTTATGGTATTCTGCAGTATAGAGTGATGGTAACAGCTTGGACTCTGGAGTCAGATTTCTGGAGTTCAGATGCTGGCTCTGCGGCTTACTAGCTGTGCTGTCGTTGGGCAAATTCTCTAATCTTATGCCTTGATTTCTTAATCTGTAAAATGTAGTAATAGTACTTCCCTCACAGTGTAGTTATCTATATTCAGTGGATTCATTTATGTAAAGTGTTTTAGAACAGTGCTGGTACCTAGAAAATACTCTAGATGTTTGCTATTATACTTAAACTATTTAAAAATCAATAGTTTTTCTGTACTTTGCCTTTTGTTTTTTTATTGTTGATTGGCCTTTCAAAATTTGGGCCAGATTATGTAAGGGCTGTGTGCCATTATAAAGGCTTTGGCTTTTCCTATAAATTAAATAAATGGGGACTCACTGGCGGATTTTGAGCAGAGCAATGAAATAATCTGATTTAGGTTTGTAAAGTTTCGATTTAGTCGCTTTACTAAAAACAGACTACAGAGTTACTTAGGGTGGGTGAAAACAGGGAGGCCAGTTAGGAGGTTGCAGCAATTATCTAGGCAAGAGATAATGGTAACTTGGACCAAGATAATGGTGTGGAGATGTTGAGAAGTAGTCAGATACCAGTTATATTTCAGAAGGTAAGCCAATAGCCTATCTTGATGGATTGGATGTAGATTGTAGAGGAAAAAGCAGTTAAGGATGAATCCAAGGTTTTTGTTCTGATCAACTGAACCAGAATGATGGTTTTGTCATTTACAGAGATGGAAAAGACCATAAGGAGGAGTGGTTATTGGAGGAAGAAGACCAAGAGTTCAGTGTAGAATATAATAAAAATGAGATGCCTATTGGACGTGCAAGTGGGAAATTTGAGTAGGAAGTTGGCTATATGGATCTGGAGTAGAAGGGAAGAGTATGGGCTGGAGATAATGAATTTAGGATAATCAGTGTTTAATATTACTTAAATGAAACTACAAAATGGAATTAGACCATAAAAGAGGTAAGTATTGATAGAGAAGTGGTAAGAGACAGCCTTGGGGCACTCCCTTGTATGTCAGGAAAATAAGGATTAACTAGTAAGAGGAGACCATTAATAAGGAGGAATGATGAATGAAGTAGGAAAAAAACCCACTGTATGTCTTGAAAATGATGTGTTTCAAGGAGAAATGTCAGCTATCAAATACTAAATCCAATTGATTGGTCAAGAAAATGAAGACTAAGAATGACCATTGGATTTTATTGATGGTCATTGGTGATCCTGACCAGGATCATTTTCATTTGTATAAAATGAAGATAAAAGACTTTGGAATGGATTAAAGAAAGAGTGGGAGGAAAAGAATTAGAAAGAGAAAATATGGGCACTTTTTGGAAGACTATTTTCTTTCTGTGGGGGCCAGAGAAATGTGACAGTATCTGGAGGGAAATGTGGGGTCAGGAGAAGTTTTTTTTCAAAACAAAGAAAAAAACAGCATTTTGGCTGGGCACTGTAGCTCATGCCTGTAATCTGAGCACTTTGGGAGGCTGAGATGGGCAGATCTGTTGAGGGCAGGAGTTTGAGACCAGCCTTGCCAACATGGCAAAACCCCATCTCAACTAAAAATACAAAAATTAGCTGGGCATTGCGAAGCAAACCTGTAGTTCAAGCTACTCGGGAGGCTGAGGCGGGAGAGTCACTTGAACCCAGGAGGTAGAGGTTGCAGTGAGCCAAGATCACACCACTGCACTCCAGCCTTGGCGACAGAGTGAGACACTGTCTAAAAAATAATAATAATTACAGCATTTTGTATATTTATGGGAATGAGTTATTAAAGGAGAAATTGGTGGTGTAAGACAGGGAAGTTGTAGAGGAATGTCGTTTAATAAAGCCAAAGGGATGAGATGTAATATGAAGTAGAGAAGTTGCCCTTAAGTAGAAGCATGGACCGTTCATTCATAAGAACAGTAACGAAGGCAGGATACAGGGCACCAGTGCAGATGGGTAGGTGGATAATGGAATGGGAATAATTGAAAGTTCTCTTCTGATTGCTTTCATTTTTCCCGGCAAAATAATATGCACACTTATCTGGTGAGAGTGAGGCTGTTGGAAATAAGAGGCCATTGGAAGGTAGCATTGAGTGTTTGAGAAGAAAAGAGGTCTGAAATAGTTTTTTGGAGTTCTGTGAATAAACTAGGTGAAAGGAGTAGCTGGGCAGCTGGAGTGAAGTGTGGGGTCAAGAGAAACCTTTTTTTTCAAGATGAGAGGAATTACAGTATTTTTATATGCTGATGGGAATGAGTTAAAGTAAAAAATTGATGACACAGGGAGAGAAACTGTACAGTACTACTTTCTTATCTAGGTTTTGCTTTCCTTGGTTTCAATTACCTGTAGTATGTTACAATAAGGTATTTTGAGAGAGACCACATTCATACAACTTTTATTATATTAGATTGTTTTTAGATTGGTGTAAAAGTAATTGCGGTTTTGGACTGTGAAATTTAAATCATAACTAGGCTCAAACACATCTTTATTAATCAAAATAGAAACCATTACAATCACATTTTTTGCCAATGAGAAATAAGTTTCTTTATTCCTGTAGTGTAAAAATCCGTGCTTCGGATTTGACAAACTCTTGGAAAGCATTTTCTGTATCCTGCTGATTGTGGAAGTGTTTTCCCTGCAAAAAGTTCTTAAGATGCTTGAAAAAGTGGTAGTTGGGAGGCAGGAGATCAGATGAATATGGCGGATGAGGCAAAACTTTGTTGTCCAATTCATTCAACTTTTGAAGCATTGGTTGTGCAACATGCGGTTGGGCATTGTTGTGGAGGAGTATTGGGCTCGTTCTGTTGCCCAATGCCGGCTGCAGGCATTGCAGTTTTTGGTGCATCTCATCGATTTGCTGAGCATACTTCTTAGATGAAGTGGTTGTGCTGGTATTCAGAAAGCCGTAGTGGATTAGACCAGCAGCAGACCACCAAACAGTGACCATGATCTTTTTCTGGTGCAAGTTTGGCTTTGGGAAGTGCTTTGGAGCTGCTTCTCTCTCCAGCCACTGAGCTGGTCATCTCCAGTCATCGTATAAAATGCACTTTTTTTTTTTTATTATACTTTAAGTTTTAGGGTACATGTGCACAATGTGCAGTTTAGTTACATATGTATACATGTGCCATGCTGGTGTGCTGCACCCACTAACTCGTCATTTAGAATTAGGTATATCTCCTAATGCTATCCCTCCCCCCTCCCCCCACCCCACAACAGTCCCCAGAGTGTGATGTTCCCCTTCCTGTGTCCATGTGTTCTCATTGTTCAATTCCCACCTATGAGTGAGAATATGCGGTGTTTGGTTTTTTGTTCTTGTGATAGTTTACTGAGAATGATGATTTCCAGTTTCATCCATGTCCCTGCAAAGGACATGAACTCATCATTTTTTTATGGCTGCATAGTATTCCATGGTGTATATGTGCCACATTTTCTTAATCCAGTCTGTCATTGTTGGACATTTGGGTTGGTTCCAAGTCTTTGCTATTGTGAATAATGCTGCAATAGACATACGTGTGCATGTGTCTTTATAGCAGCATGATTTAGAGTCCTTTGCGTATATACCCAGTAATGGGATGGCTGGGTCAAATGGTATTTCTAGTTATAGATCCCTGAGGAATCGCCACACTGACTTCCACAATGGTTGAACTACTTTACAGTCCCACCAACAGTGTAAAAGTGTTCCTATTTCTCCACATCCTCTCCAGCACGTGTTGTTTCCTGACTTTTTAATGATCGCCATTCTAACTGGTGTGAGATGCTATCTCATTGTGGTTTTGATTTGCATTTCTCTGATGGCCAGTGATGGTGAGCATTTTTTCATGTGTTTTTTGGCTGCATAAATGTCTTCTTTTGAGAAGTGTCTGTTCATGTCCTTCACCCACTTTTTGATGGGGTTGTTTTTTTCTTGTAAATTTGTTTGAGTTCATTGTAGATTCTGGATATTAGCCCTTTGTCAGATGAGTAGGTTGCGAAAATTTTCTCCCATTTTGTAGGTTGCCTGTTCACTCTGATGGTAGTTTCTTTTGCTGTGCAGAAGCTCTTTAGTTTAATGAGATCCCATTTGTCAGTTTTGGCTTTTGTTGCCATTGCTTTTGGTGTTTTAGACATGAAGTCCTTGCCCATGCCTGTGTCCTGAATGGTAATGCCTAGGTTTTCTTCTAGGGTTTTTATGGTTTTAGGTCTAACATTTAAGTCTTTAATCCATCTTGAATTAATTTTTGTATAAGGTGTAAGGAAGGGATCCAGTTTCAGCTCTCTACATATGGCTAGCCAGTTTTCCCAGCACCATTTATTAAATAGGGAATCCTTTCCCCATTGCTTGTTTTTCTCAGGTTTGTCAAAGATCAGATAGTTGTAGACATGCGGCATTATTTCTGAGGGCTCTGTTCTGTTCCAATGGTCTATATCTCTGTTTTGGTACCAGTACCATGCTGTTTTGGTTACTGTAGCCTTGTAGTATAGTTTGAAGTCAGGTAGCTTGATGCCTCCAGTTTGTTCTTTTGGCTTAGGATTGCCTTGGCGATGCGGGCTCTTTTTTGGTTCCATATGAACTTTAAAGTAGTTTTTTCCAATTCTGTGAAGAAAGTCATTGGTAGCTTGATGGGGATGGCATTGAATCTATAAATTACCTTGGGCAGTATGGCCATTTTCACGATATTGATTCTTCCTACCCATGAGCATGGAATGTTCTTCCATTTGTTTGTGTCCTCTTTTATTTCCTTGAGCAGTGGTTTGTAGTTCTCCTTGAAGAGGTCCTTCACATCCCTTGTAAGTTGGATTCCTAGGTATTTTATTCTCTTTGTAGCAATTGTGAATGGGAGTTCACTCATGATTTGGCTCTCTGTTTGTCTGTTATTGGTGTATAAGAATGCTTGTGATTTTTGCACATTGATTTTGTATCCTGAGACTTTGCTGAAGTTGCTTATCAACTTAAGGAGATTTTGGGCTGAGACAATGGGGTGTTCTAGATATACAATCACGTCATCTGCAAACAGGGACAATTTGACTTCCTCTTTTCCTAATTGAATACCCTTTATTTCCTTCTCCTGCCTAATTGCCCTGGCCAGAACTTCCAACACTATGTTGAATAGGAGTGGTGAGAGAGGGCATCCCTGTCTTGTGCCAGTTTTCAAAGGGAATGCTTCCAGTTTTTGCCCATTCAGTTTGATATTGGCTGTGGGTTTGTTATAGATAGCTCTTATTATTTTGAGATACGTCCTATTTACATACCTAATTTATTGAGAGTTTTTAGCATGAAGGGTTGTTGAATTTTGTCAAAGGCCTTTTCTGCATCTATTGAGATAATCGTGGTTTTTGTCTTTGGTTCTGTTTATATGCTGAATTACATTTATTGATTTTCGTATATTGAACCAGCCTTGCATCCCAGGGATGAAGCCCACTTGATCATGGTGGATAAGCTTTTTGATGTGCTGCTGGATTTGTTTTGCCAGTATGTTACTGAGGATTTTTGCGTCAATGTTCATCAGGGATATTGGTCTAAAATTCTCTTTTTTGGTTGTTTCTCTACCCGGCTTTGGTATCAGGATGATGCTGGCCTCACAAAATGAGTTAGGGAGGATTCCCTCTTTTTCTATTGATTGGAATAGTTTCAGAAGGAATGGTACCAGTTCCTCCTTGTACCTCTGGTAGAATTCGGCTGTGAATCCATCTGGTCCTGGACTCTTTTTGGTTGGTAAGCTATTGATTATTGCCACAATTTCAGAGCCTATTATTGGTCTATTCAGGGATTCAACTTCTTCCTGGTTTAGTCTTGGGAGGGTGTATGTGTCGAGGAATTTATCCATGTCTTCTAGATTTTCTAGTTTATTTGCGTAGAAGTGTTTGTAGTATTCTCTCATGGTAATTTGTATTTCTGTGGGATCGGTGGTGATATCCCCTTTGTCATTTTTTATTGTGTGTATTTGATTCTTTTCTCTTTTCTTCTTTATTAGTCTTGCTAGCAGTCTATCAATTTTGTTGATCTTTTCAAAAAACCAGCTGCTGGATTCATTGATTTTTTGAAGGGTTTTTTGTGTCTCTATTTTCTTCAGTTCTGCTCTGATCTTAGTTATTTCTTGCCTTCTGCTAGTTTTTGAATGTGTTTGCTCTTGCTTCTCTAGTTCTTTTAATTGTGATGTTAGGGTGTCAATTTTAGATCTTTCCTTCTTTCTCTTGTGGGCATTCAGTGCTATAAATTTCCGTCTACACACTGCTTTGAATGTGTCCCAGAGATTCTGGTATGTTGTGTCTTTGTTCTCGTTGGTTTCAAAGAACATCTTTATTTCTGCTTTCATTTCATTATTTACCCAGTAGTCATTCAGGAGCAGGTTGTTCAGTTTCCATGTAGTTGAGCGGTTCTGAGTGAGTTTCTTAATCCTGAGTTCTAGTTTGATTGCACTGTGGTCTGAGAGACAGTTTGTTATAATTTCTGTTCTTTTACATTTACTGAGGAGAGCTTTACTTCCATCTATGTGGTCAGTTTTGGAATAGGTGTGGTGTGGTGCTGAAAAAAATGTATATTCTGTTGATTTGGGGTGGAGAGTTCTGTAGATGTCTATTAGGTCTGCTTGGTGCAGAGCTGAGTTCAAGTCCTGGGTATCCTTGTTAACTTTCTGTCTCGTTGGTCTGTCTAATGTTGACAGTGGGGTGTTAAGTCTCCCATTTTTATTGTATGGGAGTCTAAGTCTCTTTGTAGGTCACTCAGGACTTGCTTTATGATTCTGGGTGCATATATATTTAGGATAGTTAGCTCTTCTTGTTGAATTGATCCCTTTAGCATTATGTAATGGCCTTCTTTGTCTCTTTTGATCTTTGTTGGTTTAAAGTCTGTTTTATCAGAGACTAGGACTGCAACCCCTGCCTTTTTTTGTTTTGCATTTGCTTGGTAGATCTTCCTCCATCCTTTTATTTTGAGTCTATGTGTGTCTCTGCATGTGAGATGTGTTTCCTGAATACAGCACACTGATGGGTCTTGACTCTTTATCCAATTTGCCAGTCTGTGTCTTTTAATTGGAGCATTTAGTTCATTTACATTTAAAGCTAACATTGTTATGTATGAATTTGATCCTGTCATTATGATGTTAGCTGGTTATTTTGCTCGTTAGTTGATGCAGTTTCTTCCTATCCTCGATGGTTTTTACAGTTTGGCATGATTTTGCAGTGGCTGGTACTGGTTGTTCCTTTCCAAGTTTAGTGCTTCCTTCAGGAGCTCTTTTAGGGCAGGCCTGGTGGTGACAAAATCTCTCAGCATTTGCTTGTCTGTAAAATATTTTATTTCTCCATCTCTTATGAAGCTTAATTTGGCTGGACATGAAATTCTGGGTTGAAAATTCTTTCCTTTAAGAATGTTGAATATTGGCCCCCACTCTCTTCTGGCTTGTAGAGTTTCTGCGGAGAGATCTGCTGTTAGTCTAATGGGCTTCACTTTGTGGGTAACCCGACCTTTCTCTCTGGCTGCCCTGAACATTTTTTCCTTCATTTCATCTTTGGTGAATCTGACGATTATGTGTCTTGGAGTTGCTCTTCTCAAGGAGTATCTTTGTGGCGTTCTCTGTATTTCCTCAATTTGAATGTTGGCCTGCCTTGCTAGATTGGGGAAGTTCTCCTGGATAATATCCTGCAGAGTATTTTGCAACTTGGTTCCATTCTCCCCGTCACTTTCAGGTACACCAATCAGATGTAGATTTGGTCTTTTCACATAGTCCCATATTTCTTGGAGGCTTTGTTCGTTTCTTTTTATTCTTTTTTCTCTAAACTTCCCTTCTCACTTCATTTCATTCATTTGATCTTGCATCACTGATACCCTTTCTTTCAGTTGATCACCTCGGCTCCTGAGGCTTCTGCATTCTTCACGTAGTTCTCAAGCCTTGGTTTTCAGCTCTGTCAGCTCCTTTAAGCACTTCTCTGTATTGGTTATTCTAGTTATACATTCTTCTAAATTTTTTTCAAAGTTTTTAACTTCTTTGCCTTTGGTTTGAATTTCCTCCCGTAGCTTGGAGTAGTTTGATCGTCTGAAGCTTTCTTCTCTCAACTCGTCAAAGGCATTCTCTGTCCAGCTTTGTTCCGTTGCTTGTGAGGAACTGCGTTCCTTTGGAGGAGGAGAGGCACTCTGCTTTTTAGAGTTTCGAGTTTTTCTGCTCTGTTTTTTCCCCATCTTTGTGGTTTTATCTACTTTTGGTCTTTGATGATGGTGATGTACAGATGGGTTTTTGGTGTGGGTGTCCTTTCTGTTTGTTAGTTTTCCTTCTAACAGACAGGACCCTCAGCTGCAGGTCTGTTGGAGTTTGCTGGAGGTCTACTCCAGATCCTGTTTGCCTGGATACCAGCAGCGGTGGCTGCAGAACAGCGGATTTTCGTGAACCGCGAATGCTGCTGTCTGATCGTTCCTCTGGACGTTTTGCCTCAGAGGAGTACCTGGCCATGTGAGGTGTCAGTCTGCCCCTACTGGGGGGTGTCTCCCACTTAGACTGCTCGGGGGTCAAGGGTCAGGGACCCACTTGAGGAGGCAGTCTGCCCGTTCTCAGATCTCCAGCTGCGTGCTGGGAGAACCACTGCTCTCTTCAAAGCAGACAGGGACATTTAAGTCTGCAGAGATTACTTCTGTCTTTTTGTCTGTGCCCTGCCCCCAGTAGTGGAGCCTACAGAGGCAGGCAGGCTTCCTTGAGCTGTGGTGGGCTCCACCCAGTTGGAGTTTCCTGGCTGCTTTGTTTACTTAAGGAAGCCTGGGCAATGGCGGGCGCCCCTCCCCCAGCCTCGCTGCCACCTGGCAGTTTGATCTCAGACTGCTGTGCTAGCAATCTGCGAGACTCCGTGGGCGTAGGACCCTCCGACCCAGGTGCAGGATATAATCTCCTGGTGCGCCGTTTTTTAAGCCCATTGGAAAAGCGCAGTATTAGGGTGGGAGTGACCCAATTTTCCAGGTGCTGTCTGTCACCCCTTTCTTTGACTAGGAAAGGGAACTCCCTGACCCCTTGCGCTTCCTGAGTGAGGCAATGCCTTGCCCTGCTTTGGCTCGCCCATGGTGCGCTGCACCCACTGTCCTGCGCCCACTGTCTGGCACTCCCTAGTGAGATGAACCCGGTACCTCAGATGGAAATGCAGAAATCACCCGTCTTCTGCGTCGCTCACGCTGGGAGCTGTAGACCGGAGTTGTTCCTATTTGGCCACCTTGGCTCCATCCTTAAAATCCACTTTTCATCGCACATCACAGTCAGATAGAGGAATGGTTCATTGTTGCATAGAGTAAGAGAAGACAACACTTCATGAGGATGATTTTTTTGATTTTCGGTCAGCTTATGAGGCACCCACTTAACTGAGCTTTTTCACCTTTCTGATTTGCTTCAAATGCCTAACAACTGTAGAATGGTCGTTGAGTTCTTCGACAGCTTCTCGTGTAGTTGTAAGAGGATCAACTTCGATGATTGCTCTTAGTTGGTCATTGTCAACTTCCAATGACCAGCCAAGGTTCTCGTTTCCTTTGTAAAACTTCTGGAACTACCACTGCACTGTATGCTCATTAGCAATTCCTGGGCCAAATGTGTTGTTGATGTTGCGAGTTGTCTCTGCTGCTTTATGACCCATTTTGAACTTGAATAAGAAAATTGCTCGAATTTGCTTTTTGTCTAACATCATTTCCATAGTCTAAAATAAACATAAAATAAACAGCAAGTAATAAGTCATTAGCAGAAAAAATAAAGAAATAAAACGAGAAATGCCCATTAACATGATGTGTAACATAACTATTTGTTTAAGAATGTATTCCAGTATCAAACTGCAGATCCCAAAAGTGCAAAAACCGCAATTACTTTTGCACTCACCTAATTGTTCTCTTTTATTATTGTTAATTTCTTACTGTGTTTAATTATAAATTAAATTTTATAGGCATGTATATATAGAAAAAATCATTGTACATATTGGGTTCAGTACCATCCTCAGTTTCAGGCATCCACTGGAGGCCTTAGGATATATCCTCCACTGAGGGTCTTAGAATGTATCCCCCAAGAATAAGGTGGGGGGGGCTGCTGTATATTTTCAACTTTTCTTGAAATTAATGGCCATGGGTTTAAAGTGTGACAGTCTTGTCGCTGCTTTTTGGGTGTTTCTCTGACTCTTGTTAGGTATATGAGTGTTTATGAAGGTTAGCTAGAGTTGGATTTAACAGAGGTTGATGTATCAGGGAATTATAAAAAAGGGATGAAGGGGACAGGTACATGAGCATTTACTTGAGGGAGTTATTGTAATGATGGGCCATTGGCTAAGAAGAGATGGAGGGCAAATATAGGTAAGGGACAGCTGAAAGGAGGTAAAGAAAGGATGGAAAAATTAGCAGGGCTATCACTACTAAAAAACGAAAAATGAATAATTACCACTGCTACCTATAAAAGTTACCTAAGTTGTCAATACTGTCACTTTCGTACGTAAAGGACAGTAGCCACAACTCATTAGGAAAGTTTGTTTTCTGGATTCCATTTGATAAAAAGGATACTTTGCAGTCATTGTGAAATATTTCCCATAAAAGTATTTTTTTTGTTTTATTCGTTATATTTATGGAGATTGGATAGACATCTTTGAAAGTAAAATTGTATTGACCTTAGGGAGAAAACAGTAAATGTTATTCATAAAGATATAATACAGGGTGCACAGTAGATGTTTAAGACTAATGAGCTGTGCTACTGACCTAAGCACTGTATTTCCATTGTTTACAATCTTAGATTGCCTTATTAATGTATATGTAAGTGTTGATATGCTTGCACAGAACTTTTAAAAATATTTTTTCGTACTTTATCAATAGAAATGCTGGGTTTCCAACGTTCTGTAGTACCCATCAAATTGGCACTGTTAAGTAAAATTTTATATTTAATATATCAGAATGCTTTGCTTAATCTTTAAACGTTAGCATCTTAACTTTTTGTGAAATACATACATACAGAAAAGTGGCATATCAGGAATGTACATCTTGGTTAAATTTTTACAAGCTAAACATACTTTTGTAAACCAGGATATAGACTGATAGAACGTTTTTATTACCCCCAAAAGTCCCCATTATGCCTCCTTCATTTGTTGTTGTCATTGAAAAAAATAAAGTTTTATTTTGAAAAAAATTTAAACTTACAAAGAATTGCAAAAAAAAGTACAAATAACTTCCATATACTGTATCCAGATTTTCCAGTTAATAACATTTTGTCATATTTGCGTTATAATTTCTCAAAAACATTTTTCTTACTGAGCCATTTGAATATTAATTGTAGGCATCATGCCCCTTTACCCTTAAGTACTTAAGCATGTATTTCCTCAGAACGAGGACATTCTGTTAGATAATCATACGGCAGAGTTATCAAAGTCAGAAAATCTAATAGTGAATCAGTACTTTCATCTAATTGCAGGCTGTAAATTTTGCAAATTATCCCAATATCCTTTATGGCAATGTTTTCTTTCTTCATGGATTTAGGACTTAATCCAGTGTCACGCGTTAAATTTAACTATTTTATCTTTTTGTTTTTCTTAAATCTGGATCAGCTTCTTAGCTTTTCTTTGTATTTCTTAACATTGAATTTTAGAAGAGTACAATCTAGTTGTTGAGTTAATTGTTCTTGGTTTTGCCTGATATTTTCTCATGATTAGATTCAGGTTTTGCTTTTTGGGCAGGAATACTATGTAAGTGATGATGTACCCTTCTCAGTGTATTGGCTTGGAGATACAGGATGTCAGTTTGTCATGTTATTTTATTAGAAATGATAATTCTAATGCCTTAGTTGTGATGGTGTCCTTTGGGTTTCTGCACTGCAAAGTTGCTATTTTTTCCTTTGTATTTAATAAGTAATTTGTGGAAAGGCTAAATATCCTGTTCCTCTTCAAACTTTTTAGGGATTTTAGTGCCAGTGATAATTTTTTCTTTAGTCAGTTATTACTGTAATGGCTGCAAAATAGTGATTATGTAACTCTTATTTCTCTTAACATTTATTAGTTGGCATTCTACTTTAAAAATGAGCTTTCCCACTCCGCCACTTATCACTTAGACTCATAAATTCTTATTTTATGTGTGAGAAAGTGTGTATGTGTGACTTACAAATGTAGCTTATTTGTATACATGGTGTTTAAACCGTATGTATGATTTATATATACTGTAATTCATTTTGATGTGAACATCAGATTGTTCCTCTTCAAACTTGCTCTGTGACCTTTGATATGTCTCCATCATGTTTTTTTTTTTAGGGTGTTTTTATAGTTTGGCATTACCAGGATGTTCCAGGCTTATCTTGTAGTTTCCCTGTTTCTTCCTTAGAAGCAGCCATTTTCAAAGGCACTCTGATTCCTTTTAGTGGGGAATGGTAATTAAAAAACAAGATCAGGGTGCTAGCTGTGCTCCTTATACTAGGGCATCCTTATTTCCAGGCCTTTTCAGCACTCAGAGCTAGGAAAGAATTAGCATTTTCAAGATGAAATTTCCATGTGTGTTTTTTAAAATACATTTTAGTCATGAAATCATCATGTTTCTTTTACTTCCATTTGAACATCACAGGATTCTTATTCCTATTTCTCTTTCCCTATTCCATATTGCATCTCCTTTTTTTTCCACAATGAGAACGTGGCTCCCAGAATCTTGAAATACACATATAACAGATTCAGAACTTTTACTGTTATAAGAAAACCTATTCAGTAGTTTAGGATTTGTTTACAGTTTTTTCTTTGTCTCTTTTTAGGCTAAGGGTATATAATTCAGATATTGGGTTCAGAAGTTTCCTACAGAGTTGTTATATTAAGAATTTAAAATATATAATTTGGTTTATTGTGTCTGTTTGTATGCAGTTTTAGCATTTATTTTTCCTTCCATGTTCACTGATTTATTTTTTGCATATGTAAAACATCTAACAGTTCGAAAGGCAAGAGTATCCAAAGGTATATAGAAACTTGTCACATCTTTCTCTGTTTCTTTCATTCCTGTCAGAACAGATTTCATTTCGTTTCTGGTTTGTTTTTCCTGTGTTTCTTTTTACATAAACAAGCAGATGCATAAACATGTATATATATCCTGTTGCTTTGAAAGAGCATCTTATTAGTTCTGTAAAGTATTGGCAATATTGCAAATATCTGAACTTTTTATGAAGTATGTCAACAGGGATAAAATTAACTTTTTTGGGAACTTTACTTTGAAAGAGTTATTTTGAAAGGGATTTTTTATAAAATAGTATAGGTTTTTATGAAACACGTCAGAGTGTTGCTGTTAACTGGTTGCACTAACAATACTTATATCCATTGTTGAAGAATATAGGGAAAGAAATACCAAAATTTTTAGTAAGATTTTGTAAAATTGCAAAAATTAATATTAAGAATTCATAGAGGCACAGAAATGTATTTTTTGATTAATGTATTGTAACCTGATGTAAATCCTTAGTTCTTTTCTCATTTCTGCATTGACATCATACTATGTTGAAGAATATTTCTAAAAATATTCTAGAGTTAAGAAAGTGTTGATAGCACATCTATATTTAAATACTTAGTACCACAGCAAGTAGTTTATATGACTTGAGAATGATACTGTAGGAACATACTAAAAGACTTTAGAAAAAGCATGTCAAGAAAAAAAAAAAAACAGAACAAGGGGGGTCAGAGACAACAATATGTAAGAAAAAACATAGAAAATTTATCTCACCAGAAACAGCACTTCTTCTCAGTCTCAGACAAGTACTGCCTCCAGAAAAGCCAATTCAAGCGTTGGGAAGTGGCAGGATCGATATGGGAGGGCCGAATCACCTGATCTAAGGTAAGGCTATTTTTAAACATTGGATACTCCCTGATGTTTAGATCATCAATGTTGTTATGCCTTATTAGTAAGATAATAAATTTTGACTGTACCATATTTTTACCCTCCAACTTATGCTTTTTCAGGGTACAGTTGTAGGTTTTTTAGTTACCTTATAAATCAAAACCCAGCACTTGTCTTGCTACCCATCTTTCTGGCTGTTTATAATATTTAATGAATTATATTGAACCGTGCTAATGGATGCTCAGTAATTTTTTTTTTCGTTCTCTTGCTGCAGGTTAATTCTTTCTCATACCACATCGCATTTAAAAAAAATTCCCAGGTGCTTTTCACTACTTATCGAATAAAACCTAACATTCTGAGCCAGTATTTAGGACCCGTAAAATTTGACTCTACTGAATCTTTCCAATCTTATACCCACTACAGTGCAAAAACCCCTGATTTCATTAAGCAGACGTAGTAGCTGCCCTGGAATATGCTATTTCCCTTATTGTTGTTATGCTTTTGTTAATGATCTACCCTCCAGTGAATTTTGGTTTGTGTTCTGAATCTTAAATTTACACAGCATACAACCTCGAATGGATATTATAATTTCTCTGAGCCTGAAAATTGAAATAATAACTTCATCTTTAAGGGATGCAATGAGAAACAACTATGTTCCAATATGAAACTACATTACTTGCAGTGATCAATCTGAGAGATTGTGCTTTGATAACCTGACTTCAAAATACAGACCAAGATACTTTCCTAATTTATCATTTGAGGTTTTAAATAATTATGATATACAAGGGGTAATTTTGTTTTTTGTTTTTTTTTTTGCTTTTGTTAGAGAATTTTAAGCTATTTACCTGGTTAGCTCAATGCTATATAAATATGTTTGCAATTATTTTAATTTAAAAACTTAAAAAATACAAATGTAAATTATGATCAGATACCTTTGATCATAACACCTAAAAGAAAAGGGAGGAAACACTATCAAAATTTGATTTTCTTATGTTTCATTTTCTATACAGTCTTAATTATATGTTCCACATGAGTTGTAAGTATTTCCTGTTAGGAAAGAAGTTAGTCATTCTTAAAAGTGGATATACATCTCAAAGTAAGAATGTCTAAACTGTAAGTCTAGCAACTAATGTAGATAAAAATATATTAGCTGCATTCTTAGAGTAGTGTCAGTTGCATGTGTTGCTTTAGAAGGTTAAGGAAAGTTTTCATCTTATTATTTTGAAAGTACTCATTGATTTTTTAAATCTATGTATTATATAATATTGATTTATCTTTGTTTTCGAACACTAAAATTCTATTTGAAAAACCAGTAGAAATTTCAAGAGTTATTTTAAATAAAGAAAAGTTAGATCTGACAAGTGTAGAATGAAGTGTATGAGTCTTTTCACATACAACATTTCCATGGAACCTAAAAGTTCATAATTGTACTAATACAACTTCTATGTAACAACTAACTCAATTATTGCATAGAGAAACACTTGGGTTTATATTTAACCTGGCAGTATGGACAGCCTATTTACTGAACCTAAAAGGGCCAGACAACAAGAACTTATAAATTTATCATGCTATTGGTAAAGAAACTTAAACTTACAATTGTTTTGTTGCATAAGTATTGGACTTGGATTTTAGGTTTAGTTTTGTCAGTAACTACCTGTGTGAATTAAGGAAAGTTTCCTAACATGCCTATGCCTCCATTACCACAATCGTAACATAGTGGAGCTAGACTGTGTAATTCGGAAAGCCTCTTCAAACCTGAAACTCTTTATTTTCTGACTAGTCCCTGGTTTACAATGGAAACTAGTCCTTAGAGATTTGAGAAATCAGAGAATTTGCCCAAATTCACAGCTAGTTAAGAGGCAAAATCAGGACTAGAATACCTGCTTTTCTGGCTTGTAGTACCAATAGTTCAGGCAAGTCAACTTTCATAGACAAAGGCATAGAAATACTTAAAATAGGCCAGGTGTGGTGGCTCACACATGTAATCCCAGCACTTTGGGAGACCGAGGCAGGTGGATACTTGAGGTCAGGAGTTCAAGACCAGCCTGTCCAACATGGTGAAACCCTGTCTCTACTAAAAATACAAAAATTAGCCAGGCATTGTCACAGTCACCTGTAATCCCAGATACTCAGGAGGTTGAGGTGGGAGAATCACTTGAACCCGGGAGGTGGAGGTTGCATGACCCAAGATCATGCCACTGCACGCCATCCTGGGTGACAGAGTGAGACCCTGTCTCAAAAAAAAAGGAAATACTTAAAATATGTTATTTTCAATGTAATTTTAAACTTTGTTTCTTTGGCTTTGTTTTAACATCTGGAATTCCTTTTATATCAGCTATTTGACTTAGAAGTTTTTATTTAAAATTGTTTTACTTTAGATATAGTACTTTACTTTTGGACACCAGATGGCTAATTTATAGCGAAAATGTTGTTTCCCATACCTGAAAGAGACACATCTCAGTGCTTTATGTATAGCAACTCCATCTATACCTACTTCTCTCTAAAAAAGATGCTCTGGAAACAAAAAAACACCCTTCACTTTAACTTTGTAATTAGTCTCAAGAATATATGTGGAAGGAAATTTGAAGCTGTATTTTCATTACGTGTTTTGTGCTTTAGAAAATTCCAAAAATAGCCTGGCTGTGGTGGCTCATGCCTGTAATCCCAGCACTTTGGGAGGCCGAGGCAGGCAGATCACCTGAGGTCAGGAGTTGGAGACCAGCCTGACCAACATGGAGAAACCCCGTCTCTACTAAAAATACAAAAATTAGCTGGGCCTGGTGGTGCATGCCTGTAATCCCAGCTACTCGGGAGGCTGAGGCAGGAGAATGGCTTGAACCCGGGAGGCGGAGGTTGCAGTGAGCTGAGATTGTGCCATTGCACTCCAGCCTAGGCAACAACAGCAAAACTCCTTCTCAAAAAAAAAAAAAAAAAAAAAAAAGAAAAGAAAATTCCACAACAGATACCCTGGATAAAAGCTACTTTTTCTCTTTGCTACTTTTTCTCTTTTTAAACACACACACACACACACACACACACTCTCTCTCTCTCTCTCTCTCTCTCTCTCTCTCTCTCTCTCTCTCTCTCTCTCTCTCAGGCTACTTTTTCTCTTTTAAAACACACACTGTCTCACTCTCACTCTCTGTTAGTGTAAGAAAAACTAGATTCCTGCTCTTGTAGTTAATGTAACTGACAAATGTGGAGTTTGAGGCATTGCTTAAATGTTTGTAAAGAGCAAGTAAATAATGATTAAGATGTTTTTCGTAAGTTATTATATTTGGGCTGGGCGCTGTGGCACATTGCCTGTAATCCTGGCACTTTGGGAAGCTGAGGTGGGTGGATCACTTGAGCTCAGGAGTTTGAGACCAGCATAGGCAACATAGCAAAACCCCAACTCTACCAAAAATACAAAAATTAATTGGGCATGGTTGTGTGCACCTGTGGCCCCAGCTACCTGGGAGGCTGAGGTGGGTGGATCACTGGACAGGTGAGGCTGCAGTGAGCTGTGATCGTGCCACTGCATTCCAGCCTGGGTAATGGAGCCCAACCTGGTCTCTAAATAAATAAATAAATACATAAATAACAGTTATTATATTTGAAGTTGTGGCCTTATCATATGCTAGTTACTATTAATTTGTATAATACAGTGTTTTCCCGATTTTAACAGTATTCTTCAAGCCAAATCTGTAAGTGTTTTTCAAACTTTAACAGTATTCTTCAAGCTAAATCTATATGTATAACAGTGGCATTTTATTGGTGTAAGTTTGCTTTATAAAATCAAATTTTTAACTCTTGTGAAACTAATTAGAAGAGTGAAGCAGTTTCAGTGAGTGCAGGAAATTGAAACTGGTAATATGGATGATTGCTGTAAACATATCCTAATGCACAGTTTATTTTTTTATTTTGTTTCCATTTTATGTTACCAAGTTCTGTTCCTCTTAATTTTCAAGTGATAGTTTATTTTTCTTAAGCTTATGTTCCTATATTACAATGCTTTTTAACTGATTCATACTCTTGAATGAATAGTAAAAATTGCTTTTCAATGTTAAATCACGAATACATTTAAACATGCATGTATTTCTTCTATTAAACACAATACTTATAATAAAACTGGACGTTAAATGAATATTATATCTAAGAATGACCTCTTCCTCTGACTATCTCCTTTTATGTCTTGATGAGACACTGTACTGAAAAGATGTGCCCATACCTTGGGGCATTTGATCAAGTGCTCTGAATGCATGTTGCTATAGTGTGTAGTTTGTAAGATTTTATGTTATTGGACATATGAAGGCCTTTGGGGTTTTTTGTTTGTTTTTTTAAGATTCTTGTAGAGCTGTGTCTTTTCCTATCATTGATACATTTAAAAGCATGAAATTAAGCATAAATATGGAAGGTAGAGCTTTATTCCAAGCTCTGTACAAAAGTGAGTAAACTTGTTTGCACTTTTGAACACACTTATGTCCTCCAGTGAGTGAAATTTGGGCTTATTTCACCTTTAAACATTCAAGGTTTTTTTGTTTTGTTTTAAATAGAGCTTAAAAATTGACATTTAAAAAATTCAGACCCCAGAAAATTAGTATGATAAACACTGTTGAAGAAGAAGGGAAGGGGTTTGAAGTTGGTTATGCTAAGCCTGAATCCTAGTGCTGCCACTTTACAATGCAAAAGAGCCTCTTTCCACATCTGTGAAAATGAAACTAATTGGATATGTACTTTACTTTTTATTTTTTCAAGACAGAGTCTCACTCTGTTTCCCAGGTTGAGTGTAGTGGTGGGATCATAGCTCCCTGCAAACTCGAACTACCAGGCTCAAGCAGTCCTCCCATCTCAGCCTCCCGAGTAGCTGGGACTACAGGCATGCCCACCATGCTCGGCTAATTTTTTATTTTTTGTAGAGATGAGGTCTCACTATGTTGCTCAGGCTGATCTTGATCTCCTGAACTCAAGTGATTCTCCTGCCTCGGCCTACTCCCAAATCACACCTGAGATTACAGGTGTGAGCCACTATGCCGGCCCCATATACCTTAAATGTGATGTACTTGTAAGGATTAAATAAATTCTAAGCTGTGAAAGCACCTATTTCAGGGCTTGAAAGATAAATCAGCCAGGCGCAATGGCTCACGCCTATAATCCCAGAACTTTGGGAGGCTGAGGTGGGCGGATCACCTGAGGTCGGGAGTTCAAGACCAGCCTGACCAGGCCAGGCGCGGTGGCTCACGCCTGTAATCCCAGCACTTTGGGAGGCCGAGGCGGGTGGATCACGAGGTCAGGAGATCGAGACCACGGTGCAACCCCGTCTCTACTAAAAATACAATAAAAATTAGCCGGGCGCGGTGGCGAGCGCCTGTAGTCCCAGCTACTCAGGAGGCTGAGGCAGGAGAATGGCGTGAACCCGGGAGGCGGAGCTTGCAGTGAGCTGAGATCGCGCCACTGCACTCCAGCCTGGACGACAGAGGAAGACTCCGTCTCAAAAAAAAAAAAAAAAAAAAAAAAAAAACCAGCCTGACCAACATGGAGAAACCCTGTCTCTACTAAAAAAAAAATTAAAAAAAAAATAGCTGGGCGTGGTAGCATGCGTCCGTAATCCCAGCTCGGGAGGCTGAGGCAGGAGAATTGCTTGAATCCAGGAGGCAGAGGTTGTGGTGAGCTGAGATCGTGCCATTGCACTCCAACCTGGGCAACAAGAGTGAAACTCCATCTCAAAAAAAAAAAAAAAAAAAGATAAATCAGACACTCAGTGAGTGTCGGATCTCCTCTTTCATCATGGGCTTTATCAGTCTCTTTAAATGTAGTACTGATAGAAAATAAATTGTATGTCCAGAAAAGTGTTTTGAATTCTGTGATTTTTATTTTAGACTAGGTTCTTTTTCTGGGCGGGATTTTTCATTAATAAATTGTTACTCGAACATTAGAATATATTTTCTTTATAAATTGTGTATATACTGTAGAGAAAATTATTCTTGTGCTTGTGGAAGTAAAACGTACACACAGGTATAGAAACAGTACCATTTCAGACCAGTCATGTTGCCCGGGCTGATCTCGAATTCCTGGGCTCAAGTACCACAAAACTAAAAGATCTGTAGAAAAATATGTAATCAATGATATTCTTATGTTGATGGATATGACTTTAAATTTTTCTTGAAATAAATATTAATTTTTTATGAGCTACTTTAAGTTCTTTCTGGAGGGAACAAAATGTCTAGCAGTCTCTTGAACATGCCCTTAGATTTGTAGTCTTCAACTTTGACCATATTGGAATTACCTAGGAAGCTTCAAAAAAGTATTGATGCTGGGTCCCAGAAATGTAATTTTAAATAGTCTGGTGTACACCCTGTGCATCAGGATTTTGATATGCAGGCAAGGTTGAGAACCACTGATTTAGAGCCTTGATTCTGGGTTGGCATAAAGATTAAAATCAAATGATAGCTAGGCACCTACGGTTTTGAAGTAAAATGATAGATGTAGTTACAATGGGAGCTGATATTTGTATAGCATTTTACAGCCTCACAGTCTTTTTCTTTATGTGCTTCTCATTTAATTTACATTTTCTGCCTCTTTGAATGTCTTTTGGTTGGTAACCACTATCAAAGGTGCATGATACTTCTGTTGCAAGCAAATGGATAGGTAATATATTTGCCACGTAGAAATTGTGCACATATCTACCCCTCTCCATCTTTTCTCTATGCTCATAGTTGTCCCTCCATCTGAAATGTTCTATCTTCCCATCCTACATGTCTTTTAAGGCTCATCTCTTTCCTAACGTAGCTTAAAAGATGCTACACAATTTCCATGCAGAACTGTTTACAGCCATCTATTTACATATGTGACCTGAATTAAATGTCATAACAAGTGCATCTCTTTTCAAGTTGGGAATATGAGATAGCCACATTCTAGGCTTTTTCTTAGCAAATGGACCTTTGAACTGTTTGCTGCCCAGTTCTTATTAGAAGCCCTTCTGTGAGAAAACATTCATAGATGTCTACATTGATATGTGATTCACCCATTCTTTTAGAATATGGTTATAAACTTTCAAGCAATAATTCAAGCAATATTTCAAGCAAAATAATTTGAAAATTTGCTATAAACTCTGGACTTTTGCCTGGAAATTGCATCTATACATATCTATTTATTTAGAAATCAGGGACGTCCTGATTCTTCTTTAGAGAACCATGTTGCTAGTTAAGAACCTGAACTGTTCTCAAAAGCACAGTTACATTATTAGATCAAGCCTAACCATTAAGAGGGCTAGATACACAGACCACGTTGTTTTGCTTCCCCTGATTAAATTGCTCTTATTGAATTGGGCATTGTTGTGCTTCACTCAGCATTAAAGGGCATTTTGAGAAATAGCTCTTTAAAATTCAATTTTTTTTGGTAGGAATTTTGGAGACTTTATTTCCATATTTTTGAAAACATGAGATTGCAATCCATTAGTGGGTTGTGAAACAATTTGGTGGTCCCAACCAGTATTTCTTGGTTTTGTATTGTTTCTTTTGCTTTTTTCCTATGCTATATTTAAATATTAATAAAATTACATTTTATCTTAGTGTCACCATTTTTCCTTTTTTAAGTATTGTTTCATGAATCTTTTTTAGTTTTTAATGTATTGTGGGTACTGGATTGCTGTGTAAAGTGTACTTCTTACTGTGTTTTGTAGTCAATAAAGTTTAAAAACTATTGTACTCATATTTTCTCTTAGACTCAGAGGAGAATCTTTTTCTGTTTATTCTCATTTGTAAAATGACAATAATGAGAGTTGCTACCTTATGGGTTTATCATGAAGACTAAATATATATAAAGTATTTAGAACAGTGCTTACCTTGCGCATAGTAGGTGCTCCATAAATACTAGCTGTCATTACCAGGAAAACAATCTTAGAGCAAATGCTTTGTTTTAATCTTAATGCACATTAAAGACATTTGTTGTTAATGATGTCCTTTGCTTTGGCTTCCAAGAAAAAGCAGCTGAGATATATATATATGTATATATATATATTTTTTTTTTGAGACAGGCTCTTGTTTTGTTGCCCAGTCTGGAGTGCAGTGGCACAATCACAGTTTACTGCATCCTTCATCTCCTGGACTCAAGCAATCCTCTCACCTAAGCCCTCTGAATAGCTGGGACCACAAGCATGTGCTACTATGCCTAGCTGATATTTTAAATTATTTGTAGACACAAAGTCTCGCCATGTTGCCCAGGCTGGTCTTGAATTCCTGGGCTTAAGTAATCCTCCCGCCTCAGGCTCCCAAAGTGTTGGCATTACATGCGTGAGCCTGACCTTCAGAGATCAATTTATGGCCTTTTGTCTATCTTCTATTAGCCCTGATTTGTCATCTTAAACTTTCTGTTGCATCTCTGCAGGGAGCCCTCAGATTCTTTCTGGGATATCAGAATCATCAAAATATGATAATTTAATTCCATTGTAACTTCAGAGATATTTTTATATTCATTTACTGTGCCAGGAGGGGAGGTAGAGGCTCTTGGGAACATTTACTGCCTGTTTAAACTGTACATTAACTCAGACACCCAGAGTGGTTAGTTTCTTAGCTTTTTACTAGATGGTTGAGTCCAATATGGAGAAGAGGATTTTGATAATAGCATTAGCTGTCTACCTTACTGAACAAGTTTGTTGGCCTAATCAAACCTACGCTTTGGGGAACTCTTAAGTTACAGTAGATTTCCTCATAGGGAAACTCTATTAAATCTTCTTAAGCAATGAAAGAAAAAGCTGTCCATTAAGAACTTTCGTGGAATAATATGGTTCAATATTTTTTTCCATAATGTGGCATCAGAATAATATTAGATTTTTAAATTATTTGTCAGTGTTAGATATTATGTGCTTTTTGTTGCTGTGGTACATACTGTGTGTCTTATCATAAAACATTTTGGAACAAAACGGTAAGCTTAATTTATATGATTAAAGTAAATCAGTTTATGTGGTTAAAAAATACGGGCACAAGGAGATGTTTTGAAAATGTGGAGAATTGTAATTTTCTGAACTCCCTTTAGGGATATATACTTGTTAAGGCTGATTTCTCAGTTATATGTTTTTAGAAACATAGTATTTGCCATTTTGAATCTTTAGTGATTAAAAACAATCAATTTAAAGTTGAAAAAAACTAATTAGACTTCTGACCATATTTAAGGTACATTTTAAGAGGTGAATACTTCCATGTGTCCCAGACTTTTTGAAAACTAGAGATCCTCAGAAATAAATGGTAAAAGACAGGCTATAGAAAATTTTCCCCTCAACAGGAAAGTTATATCTAGATCTAATTTTTACCACTTTTAACAATTTGGAGAATTTGCTATCTGACTTGCAAGTCCAAACAAATTTGGTAGAATTTGTTCTTGATGGGAATAAATTTAAAAATGCAAAGGAGAGAGTCCAGTGATTGGCAAGAGAAAATAGTAGAAAAGGAAATAGAGCGAAAATAAAAATTTTGACAATGGAGGGCAGCAATTAACAGAGAGGAAATTACAGCCTCAGAATGCACACCTGTATTTAGTAGGATGTTGGAATATGAAATGTTTGTATATCAGAGGGCTGATGGCATGTGCTTTGATAATGCAGTCATGGTAGGCATAGCTTTGCAATTTAAATTATAGGGAAGAAATGGAAGCAATATTTGTTTTATTGTAGAGATATTTGGATTTTTGTAACATGTGAATATTAAGATCTTTCCCCAGCTGTATTGGAGGATATGTTAATCCTCCAATGAAATCATTCATGATCTTTGGGATCATGAGGAAATCTAGGAAGTCAGTGACTCAGGCATAAAATTAGAAAGGCTTGAACATTTTTAAATTGTACTAAAGTTATAGAGAAGGGAAGTCTTAAGTGGGCAAGGGATGGTAAGTGGGAACTGACTATGTACTTGAAAACATTTCAGATGTCATGATGTGCTTTTTATAGGGCTGTCTTTGTTAGCACAAAATAATTTGTGGAGTGTTTCAAGGTCTACTTGAGATAAACTCTTACTAACTCATGATTTCCAGAAAAGCCTTAAATTCCTCAAAGGTCTTGCTGGAAGGAAACCTAGCTCAAGGGGAGGGGAGGTCTATAGTCTTTGGGATTAGAAAGACTCAGGTTTGAAAGTTAGTTTTGCTATTTAATTCATGCTTGTGTCAGTGATTTCACTTTGGACCATGGCTTGTCTCTAACAAGTATACAGTAATTTTTCAGTTTTTGTGAAGTTTAGATATAATGGGTTTGGCATCCAACCTATGGTAGCTGCTGTTATTTGTCATTTTAGGAGCCTAATCTAGTGACTGTGGAAGGATCTATGGTATTTTAATTGTTTTGCTTCTATAAAGTTTTAAAGGCAGTATTGTTCAGAACTGAAATATAGATGAAGAGAAATTCATCTAATTTGCATCCACTTTTCATTGCCTATTTCTCCAAGTGACTTCTATATCATCTTAGGCATGCATACTTTTGTAAAGTCCTTTATCTGCATAATAGCTTTTAACATTATTTTATTTAAAATACAACTTACTAGGTTTTTCTCTTAAATTTATAGCATTGTTTTATGATAGACTATTTTTCCATATCCTTATAAACTTTAAAAAGATTGTAGAGGTGAGGCGGGTATTTAAATATTTGAATTTTTCTATCTAAATGCAAGTTATCAGAAATGGCAAACTGGTTCCTTTTTTATGTTTTTTAACACTTGGAATATATCACAAGGAAAATATCTTGTGTATGTTAAAATGAGCATTATTTTCAGGCCTTTTTGGGGAATATTTAAAGTTTCTGTAATAGAGCTGTAGTATGTGTTACAATTGTAGTGGTCCCAAAATTTCCATTTGTCTAGCATTTGCTGTCTTATTTAATTTCACAAAGATAAATTTATTTGGAGACTACTAAAACTAGTAAGTGTAGAAGAGCTCTACAGAGACTTAAAACTTAACATTATGATCATTGTTGGGTATGTTGGTTCTAGCTTGTTTATTAATAAAAATTTTTATGACAATGCAAAGTAGTGAGCTTAAACTCAGGGATATTTTTCAATGTGTATTGTGATCTGGTTTTATTTTAAAATTTATTGCAAACACATTTTGTTTTTATTTCTCACTGCTTTTATTATTTTTTAAGCATCTAATTAGGTGAAACTGAATTGATTCAATTTTTATGTTACAGGAGATTACCTGGGGCAATTGATGTTATCGGTCAGACTATAACTATCAGCCGAGTAGAAGGCAGGCGACGGGCAAATGAGAACAGCAACATACAGGTTTAGTATTTTAAAATAAATAATTTTCTTTAACTGAAGGATGATATCAACATTATAATTTAATTTATTCAATAGATAGTCATAGTGCTATGCTGTGTTTTAGGTGATACAAAGAGATTTAAAATGTGAAGCCAGTCATTTATTATAAAGGCATTTCCAGTTAGAATTTATAATCTCTGAATCTTTTTTTAATAGGGTTTTCTTTCTTTTCCTTGGTAGAAACATAGTACAGGTTGAGTATCTCTTATCTGAAATGCTTGGGACCAGAAGTGTATCAGATTTTGAAATGTTTGGATTTTGAAATGTTCATACGTATGTAATCTTAGAGATGAGACCCAAGTCTAAACATGAAATTTATGTTTCATAAATAAGTTATTTAATTTGTTATAATGATTTGTTAATTTATGATAATCTTTTTTCCTTTGGCAACCCTGAGTAAACTGTGTAGTGGGCCTGAGTTTTGATTGTGATCCGTCACATGTGAGGTTGGGTGTGGAATTTTCCACTTGTGATAAAATGTTGATGCTCAAAATGTTTCGGATTTTAGAGCATTTCAGATTTCAGATTTTTGGATTAGGAATACTCAACTTGTATATAGGTTTACTGAATGAAAAATAAAAGACCACCAGTGATTTTACCACCTAAAGATAACCACATCTGGTACATCTCTTGATACTAAGCAAAATTGGGATACTATTATAATTATATTTCTGTGTATACTTTTTTCCCCATCTAAAATTATCATTTGTATGTTTTCATATTCTTAAAATATGATTAAAATATCTTCATGATAGCTTCATTGGATAAATATACCATGATTTATTTAATGTGACATTTCTGGAGGTGGCGTAGAGCTGCTTTGTTTTTAGGTGAAAAATTGAGGGGAGATAAATTATCAGTAAGTTGGATAATTAATGTTAGAACTTTAATAACTGAGACTTCCAGCTATTCATTTTGGCCATACTTTTTTTCATTATTTATTCCTATTTTCTGAGTCCTTTTAAAAATGTCCAGAGCACTTTATTCTTACCTTTGATAAGTTGATCATGTAAAATATTCCTTTTAGCATCTTTAAAGGCAAATCATTTCTATAGTGGAAGATGTTAGTCCATTTTTCCTTTCCCCTTACCATTAAAATGCCACGATTTCTCAAAATAAATACTTTAAGAAATAGCTTATCAGCATAAGCCCTACAAAAAACACTGCACTTAAATGTAGGAAGTGTTAATGGAAAGAGGGATTGTATGTTTAAAAGATTGCTTTAGTCAGCAAGGATCTGAGAAGTATAAATTAAATATACAACATTATGTTGGCTGTCTTTCCCAAATTTATTTACACATCCTTGGGGAGCTTATCAAAAATCCAGATTTTGAGGTGCCACTTTGCTTGTTTTATTTCAGTAGGTTTGGGGTGCTTCTTATGGTGCCTGTCCCTTAACCTGTTCACACAAAGAAGCATTTTGCAAACATTGCTTTATTTTTCAAGAATAAACCCTGGTCTTAAAGTTACAAGGCTCACATGATAAAGTTACTTACATATCTTGCTGCCTATTGCTTGCAGTCTGTTGACACATGCCTGACAGTTTCTTACTTTGCAACCTGGTGATGACAGGCCCTTGTACAGTGAATGTCTGACCTGCTGCCATGTTAATTTCTTAAGGCCAGTGTCTGTGATTAATGATTACATTGCCTTAATTGAATACTTCAACTTTGGTTGGGTGACAAAGATAATACTTGTTAAATGATCTTTATGAAGTACTTTTTTCTTGTGTGGAGTGTTTGTATTAATTACTTTTTATTAAGAAATTTTTGGTAATGATCCAGTTGTTTTTTCTTAAGATTTGAATATGCACATTTTTAAAACTGTATGTATGTGTATACTCACACAGGCGTATGTATACACATATCACACATGTAGAACTATTACTCTCCCCCCAAAAATACATATATGTGAATTAAACTACCTTTTACTTTGTTTCTTAGATTAAATGAAATTAATTTACTAAGATTAATCTTACATAATATTTATGCATCTGTTTAATTAACTGTGCTCTAATTTTAGGTCCTTTCTGAAAGATCTGCTACTGAAGTAGACAACAATTTTAGCAAACCACCTCCGTTTTTCCCTCCAGGAGCTCCTCCCACTCACCTTCCACCTCCTCCATTTCTTCCACCTCCTCCGACTGTCAGCACTGCTCCACCTCTGATTCCACCACCGGGTAAATAGTAAATAAGACATTTGACTTTGAAAGAAAAATAGCTTGCGAGTGTTTTTTAAAATTTTTGACAATTAAAATAATATCTTGATCACATTTCATTAAAAGTAATAGATATAATATCTTCAACAGATTCACACTGAAACAGATATATATATGTTTATTGCTATTTCAATATAGGAAAGAGACAATGTTCTAAAATTAAGAAGAATATACAGATACCAATCTTGTGATTCAAAAATATGATAATGATCCCCAAACTTAAGTTGCTAATAGAATATGTATAAATCCATACTCAGTTACAAACTTTACCAGTGTTAATTTGTTTTGAAAAAAACATTAAAAGATACTTTCAGGATGGGAGTAGATCAAAAAATTATATCTTGCGAAGAGATTGATTAATATTTCAGTCTGGTCTTCTTCTGTATACCGGTTTCCTTTTAGGAGACTGCTACTGGGTGCCTGGTATTTATTTCTTTTAAACAAAAGTAAATGTTGATCATATTTTTAGCTACTTTTGATTACAATTAAAAACCAGGTTAGTGGTGATAGAGAAGAAACTCACAAATAATTCCCAAATTTTATTTTTATTTGAATTTTTCATCGGGTTGCCTTTCTTACTTTGTTTTTAACCTTTATCTGCCTTAACCAAGTTTTTATGAAACTAGCAAGATTGATTGAGATAATAATTACTTCTTCCCAGGGAGAAAGCTAGTAGTAAATGATGAAAAAATAGCTGCTTGTCCTCATCAGGGCAACATGAAAGACGTATGTTAGGCTTTACTTCCTATTAATCAAATCAGTTTATACTAGAGAGCCATGTACTCTCACTCACTTTTATTTGCAAGAGAGCTGTCTTTGTTTTAAGGTGCCAGTTGTGATCCGAGTACAGAACCAAATCCAGGGTCTGAATAGTCCTTCCCTAACATATTCATCCTTGGCCTCTAAATGTCAGCCACTGCTTCTGTCTTTCATCTTCAGTGCCTTTGATTTCCTTCCACTGTCACCTCTACTCTCAAAAAGTATGAGAAAAATATGAAAAAATGACTTGTGGCTTTAGAGGGTCTGTTGTCTCAACAATAGTGGAAGGAAGAGGTTGGAATATAGGTTAGAGGTCCTTATTCCAGACAACATTAGTATTTCTAATTTCAGTGAATTTCTAGTTCCAACAAATAGATTGAGCAGAAACGACTCATTAGTTGGGATTGACTTGTGGTTCTTGTGTCTTTAATATGCTGAGTATTAACCAAATGAAAGAGGACTTAGGTGATTCAAAATGAGGACTTCTGTGATTTCTATGTGAATCCTTTGTCCTCTGAAAAAGAATTAGATAAATAAAAGGTAGAAATAATTAATGTTTCAACATATTTGATTAATGATACTAAAAAAATTATTAATGTTTGTGGTACTCTGTTGGATTCCTTTGTAATATTACTTAAACTTTACTAGGTAGTGATTTGAAATAATTTTCTTTTTTTAATTCTTAAAACTTTTTAAAAATTTTATTTTTGACAGTAATACTTGTATATGTTTATGGGGTACAATGTGATGTTTTGATTATGTCTACATTGTAGTAAATCAAGTTAATATATTCATCACCTCACATACTTAACATTTTTTTGTGGAGAGAACATTCTGAAATCTCCTAGCAGTTTTGAAATATACGGTTATTAATTATAGTCACCATGCTGTACAGTAGAGCTCCAAAACTTGTTTTTCTCATTTTACTGAAACTTTTGTATCCTTTGAAAATCATCTCCCCTACCTCACCCGTGGCCCCCAGCCTCTGGTAACCACCATTTTACTCTCTGCTTCTATGAGTTGGATCATATAAGCGAGATTGTGCAGTAATTGTCTTTCTGTGCCTGGCTTATTTCACTTAGCACAGTGTCCTCCAGGTTCATGCATGTTGTCACAAATGACAGAATGAAAGGATTTCCTTATTTACAAATATAGTATATCCCCAGATGGCTAACATTTTGTATGTTCAGTACTAATTATTAAAGTAAGTAGGACAGAGTTGGTATGAATTAATGACAACAAATACTTAGCTGGTATAAGAATATTCGAAACTCCGTAGAATATTGCTACAGAGGTAATTGCTACACATAGGCAGTAGCATTATCTGGAAGTTTACTTTTTTTCAAAATGATAAAATTACTTTTTTTTTTTTTTTTTTTTTTTTGGAGACAGGGTCTCACTCTTTCGCCCAGGCTGGAGTGCAGTGGTGCGGTCTCAGCTCACTGCATCCTCCACCTCCCAGGCTCAAGCGATCCTCCTGCCTCAGAGTAGCTGGTACTACAGGCGTGTGCCACCATACCCGGCATTTTTGTATTTTTTGTAGAGATGGTGTTTCGCCATGTCCAGGCTGGTCTTGAACTCCTGACCTCAAGCAATCTGCCCTCCTCGGCCTCCCAAAGTACTGGCATTACAGGCATGAACCACTACCCCTGACCATTTCTTTTTCATGTAACCTTTGTTCATAAGTATAACAAATCTTTGAAGAGTGTTTAGGTTATTAATGACATTATACTATAGAGTGCAGCTAATTATTTTTCTGTTGCTTAATCTATTTTTCTACTTAATTCTCAGCTACATGCTTTCCATATTTTAAAATCGAGATTTCCTTTTATGTTTATTCTTGGTTTACATTTCTATGCTCTTCTGTCAACATTTAATGAGTGCAGATTCAAATGAATTCTAATGCTGGTTTAAGCAGTACCTAACTGGTATATGTGCTGAGCAGGATACCAGTTCATTAAAACCAAATATTTGAAGTTGAGACTCTCTGAATTGCTCCTTACTTTTAGTAGAATGTGAGCTGTTGGGGAGCGTACAGGCTATGTATTTCTATCTATGTTTCCCTACAGTTTTAGTCAAGTGGTCTTGTACGTACTTGGCATTCCCTAATGTGTTTGCTAATTGAGTTAACGACATATTTATGTATCCATAACACCAAAGATGATTTTCGGATTTATACCTGGTACATTCAATCAGGATGGGCACTGGCTCTGAATAACAGTACGGCTGCATAGATATATGCCAGCTGCCATGCTTAAAGCTGTGGTTTTCAGTTACCCTTTACCACAGAACCACATGATTACACTATGTTCCGTAGTTTGTTGTAATTTAAATCACCTTAAGAATCATAAGCAGCTAATGAAAGAAAGCTATGATTCAGGATTCTTTTTAAAGTATTGCCTTAAAAGATATTCCATTTTTCTTAGATAAACTGTCTTGTTTTTTGCTTTCTTCAAAAATAATCAAAAGAAAATGGAAAAACATTTTTTTAAAGAATTAATTTAAATGTATTTTAATGTTGCCTTTTTAACATTAGACTTCTAATGTTTTTAAAAGTAAAGTCCAAAATATGATGAGATAAGTATAGTAATGATATTTTATTCTCATATTTTAGGATGCTACTAGATTTTTGTTTTGTTTTGTTTTGTTTTCAAATAAATAGGGTGACCATACATCCAGATTTGCCTGGAAGAGTCCTACTTTATACCTTCTATCCCAGCATAATTATTATTCATTCTTAGAAAGAAATTCCCTGGTTTAGATGATACAATTTCTGATTGACTCTTGGAAATTTACAGAGGTCTTATTGCATAAGTAGATAAGTTACTGTTTAACAATTATAAGGTGTTAGAGATAACTCTCATTTGAAGGACTTTTAATGTCAAATAGTTCACAGAAGAGGAGAAATGTATTGCCTCCTCTCACCCTTAAACACACACCTGCAAACGTATATGAAACTTTGCTAGTAACACAGAGAGGACAAAGTATTTCTGGCCATAATAGATTTGTATGAAGAGTAGAGGAGATTTATGTATTAGAATACAACAAAGAAGGAAGAGATGTCTGGAAGTGCAAAAGCATTTATCGTGGTTCCCTGCAGCCATACTAACAGTAGCTTGAAAACAAATACTGGGCCAGGCATGGTGGCTCATACCTGTAATTTCAGCATTTTGGGAGGCTGAGGCAGGAAGATCACCTGAGGTCAGAAGTTCAAGATCAGCCTGGCCAACATGGTGAAACTCCATCTTTACTAAAAATATGAAAAAATTAGCTGGGTGTGGTGGCATACACCTGTAGTCCTGGCTACTTAGGAGGCTGAGGCAGGAGAATCACTTGAACCCAGGAGACAGAGGTTGCAGTGAGCCGAGATCACACCATTGCACTCCAGCCTGGGCGACAAGAGCAAAACTCCATCTCAAAAAAAAAAAAAAAAAAAAAAAAAAGAAAGAAAACAAATACTGGCTAATTTAGTTCTTCTATAATATCCAGAAAATCTGTTATTTCATTTTCTCGTGAATCAGAAAATAGTTTCCATTGTATTAAGTTTTTTCAGAAATACATTACAGTGGTTTCATGCTTTTTCTGAGTAATAATAGATATAATAGCTAATACTTATTGAATGCTCACTTTTCAGGGTACTATTCTGAGTACATTCCATGTGTTAACTCATTTGATTCTTGAACAATATCTGAAGTAGATGATATTCTAATTTTGCACTGAGGAAGCGGGGACCTAAGTCATCTGAGTAATAGCTAGAAAATAGTAAAACCAGAATTCTAACCCAGGCAGTTTTGCTTGAAAGCCTGTTTTCTTTATTAACTATGTTGAAATGAATCAGTACCTATATCCAGAAAATCGTATTATTGGATTACGTGTATTTGTCACAGTCCTAGAAACTTTTTTTTTTAAAGCATTTCTCTGATGTTGAAGTACATGCATACGTATTTGTGGGTAGGGAAGTTAGGGAGATTATAAGGAACAGTCATCACATTTTTGAAAATCTGAATAAGGTTTTTACTGTTTGCCTGGCTTGTGTTAAGAAGTCTGTGTTTAGCTGAAGTCAGTTTTGAAATATTTGTTTATTGGAAGAAAAACTGTAAAACTGGAAGTATTAATGTTATAGGGTAGGTGATTTTGTGTGTTTGTTTATTGTGGTAAAATACAATCTATTTGTCATTTTAGCCATTTATAAATATGTAGTTCATTGGCATTAAATACATTCACAATGTTATGTAACCATCACCATGAGCTGTACCTAAAACTTTTTCATCATCTCCAGTGAAAACTCTGTGCCCACTAAACTCCTTCCCTCCTAAGGATAGCCCCTGTAACCTCTATTCTACTTTTTGTCTCTATGAGTTTCCTTATTCTAGGTACCTCATATAAGTGGAATCATGCATTTGTCTATCTGTGTCTGACTTACTTTGTTTCTAAAATAATAGAATTTAATTAATGATTGTGAGCTAACTTTATGGTAGGCTTTAATTTAGGCTTTTAAATGTTAATTTACTTCAGTGTCATCATATTTGATGTTCATTTTTTTTTTTGTAGTGGAGTTTACTGTAGAATAGAAGGTAAATTCAGTTAAACTCATTTGTTTTTGTATGAACTCTTATCAGCCTCAAATGACTAGTTCTGTGGGTCTTGGGAACAATTGAAATGTAGCCCAGTAGTGGAATTCTGCTGAGTTGAAGAAGGGTCTTTGCTTTACTGAGATATAGCCCAACTACTGTGGACCACAAACCAGGATCCCTGCTTTTAAAGTTAGCTATAGGGTTTAACTGTTTATCTAGATACCAGATGTGTAGGATTCTGCATTTTAGAAAGAAGTAGATTTCTTCCTAAAAGACTGTTGTCTTGTATCAGTGTCTGGCTAATCATCTAGTACTACTAATTTCATGAACTTTAAAATCTTATTTATTCCTTAAATATGTTAATTTCGGGTTAGGGATGATATATAGGAATCGGGTCAGGGGGTGGGGGCGGGTGGCGAGTTGCTCATATCTAGGGTCATTCTGCATTTCCTCTAAGTCCTGCATTCTCATTAGATTATTTTTCTGTTAGCAGTCTGGTTCTTTAGCACAGCAGTTCTCAAAACTTTTTGGTTACGTCTTCTTTAAACTCTTTAAAATTACTGCAGATCCCATAGAGCTTCTACTTATGTATGTTTTATCTGTTTTTTAATATTAGAAGTTAAAACTGAGAAATTAAAATATTAGAGATATGTATAATACACTCATTACATGTTAACATTTTTAAATTTCTTATGAAAAATAACTGTACTTTTCCTAGAATAATTTTAAAAATTTAGTGGGAAGTGGTCTTATTTTATGCTTTTGGAAATCTCTTTACTATGTGGCTTAGTAGAAAAAGCTGGTTTCTCCTGTTTGTTTTCACATTAAATCTATTGTGATATCACGAGTTATGTGGCCCCTGGAAACTACACTGTAAGAGAATGAGCATGAAAAAGGCAAATAACATCTTAGTAAATTTTTTTTTTTTTTTTTGAGATGAAGTTTTGTTCTTGTTGCCCAGGCTGGAGTACAGTGGCACTATCTCAGCTCACTGCAACCTCTGCCTCCCAGGTTCAAGCGATTCTCCTGCCTCAGCCTCCCGAGCAGCTGGGATTACCAGCATGTACTGCCACACCTGGCTAATTTTGTAATTTTAGAGATGGGGTTTCTCCATGTTGGTCAGGCTGGTCTTGAACTCCTGACCTCAAGTGATCCACCCACCTCGGCTTCCCAAAGTGCTGGGATTACAGGCGTGAGCCGCTGCGCCTGGCCACAGCTTAGTAAATTTATGAAAGTAGTTTTGACCTGGCAGATTCAGTAGGGTCTCAGGGACCTCCGGGAATTCCTGGACAGAACGTTGAGAACACTGCTTTGGCAGAAGCTTGGCCTGTATTGGATGAATATTATCAGTGCCCTTGAGGAAGTACACTTTTATCCCTTTAATTGAGAAACTAGTTTATGACTATAATGTTTATTAAGCTAATTTTATAATACCATGAATTTTTGGTCTTACTCAACAGATTACCTCAAATTAACTGGCACTGTTTGCCAGAAATGTAAGCATTTTCCAGAGTTACCATTAAAAAAGAACTCAAAGTTTTTGAAAACTGTATTTATTCTTGTGTTTTTCTATATTCAATTTAAAAAGCCTGCCTATCAGTGTTTTCATTAAATTCAAAACAGAGAGCAATGCTAATTATCTATAATAAATAGAATTTTCTGGCACAATTAAAATTTATTTAAATGTAAATTTAATAGAGATTAAAAGCTTTCTTAGGATGTTGATTTTTGAATGTGCTTTCTCCTCCAGGATGCACCCTTTATAATAGTTACATTTTGAATACATCATTGACACCACATTTTGTTGAATCTAATTACAGTTTAATTTGTGCCTTCTGCTTACACTGCTCTTTTGATCGTCTCATGATTATATGGAAGCTGGTAGAGATCATTTCTTTACAAGTTCTCTATTAAAAAACATAGGTATTTCTATCAAAAATGTTTTGTGTAAGATAGAAGTTTATCTTCTGTAGGCTTTAGATTTTATAAAATAGAAGAGTAACAGATCCTAATAAAGGTAACATAGTTTGTCCATTTTATAGTGTATGTAAAATTACCTTTTTTACCTTTTAGACATGAAGTATGCTGGTAAATTTTTGGTTACTTTGTTGTGTGACCGTACCACTTTTTAACCCTTTTTTCTTTTCTTAAAAATAACTTAAAACTTTTTTTGCACCTTGTAATTGTTTTAATTATGAAATAATGGTTTTGCCATATTCTTTCTACATTCTGGTTTGTATTTAAGGGTGGATGGTAGATGAGATGATACACGTGTGTGTGCGTATGTTTTTGTTTGTGTTGAATTTTTAAAATCCTGATACATAGAAACGCATTTCTGGTAGAAGGTGATATTTAAAGATTTTTGTAAACCTTGTCCTTTTCTACTCATTTTGAGTAAAACTTCTGAGCTTGATGGCTTTGAAATACAAGTCATGAGACTTAAGGAAAGTGATCAAGTTTATCTGTTTCTTAAATAATAGTGCCGACGGAACTTGGAATTTACTAGTGAGAAATAGGAAGCGTAGTTTACATATTCTGCCATTTTTTTTCTTTCATGTGAATTTGAATAGAGAAAAGATAGATGGTTATTGCATGTATTGGGTTTCTACTGCCGTATAACAAGTTACTCCAGAATGTAGTGGCTTAAAACAACATACATTTATTATTGAACAGTTTTCATGGGTCAGGAATCTGGGACAGCTTAGCTGGATCCTCTGCTTTAAGGTCTCTCTCAGACCTCACAGTCTTCTCCAAAAGCCTGACTAAGGAAGTATTTGTCTCCAAGCTCACTCACCTCTTTGTTAAAAGGATTTTGTTTTTTTCTAGGCTGTTGCATTGACAGGGCTTCAGTTCCTCACTGGTGTAGGCGTCTTAATATGTTAGCTTGCTTAATCAAAGCATGTAAGCCAAGAAGGCAACAGAGAGGGTGCCAGTGAAATAGAAATAACTGTCTTTTGTAACCTAGTCATGGAAGTAACATCCTTTGATTTTTTTTGTGTGTGGTAGAAATAAGTCACAATGTCCAGCCCCCACACAGGACATAAATACCAGCAGACAGGGATCATTGAGAGCCATGTCAGAAGCTATTTTGCCTTAGTTATATAAAATTATGATAGACTACATTGAGAATGAGTTTATAGACAATCTGTTTAGTTTTTTTGTGAGTGCAAAGCCCACTATTAATTTTGTGGGAATTTTTAGTATGGGTAAATTCTTTTTAATATGATGTTTAACAGGAATGCTGCCTTTCTGTTTCTTTGCCTCAGTTCTTTCAATCTCCAAAATAGGATTTCAGGTCTTACCCCCACCCACTTTTACATTTAAGTGTATGTGTTATATGCTGGAAAAATTAAGCTGGGTGTGGTGGCTCACTCCTGTAATCCCAGCACTTTGAGAGGCCAAGGCGGGTAGATTGCTTGAGTTCAGGAGTTCGAGACCAGCCTGGGCAACATGAAGAAACCCCATCTTTATAAAAAATGCAAAAATTAAGGCCAGGCATGGTTGCTCACACCTGTAATCACAGCACTTTGGGAGGCTGAGGCGGGTGGATCGCTTGAGCCCAGGAGTTTGAGACCAGCCTGGGCAACATAGCGAAACCCTGTCTCCACAAAAAATGCAAAAAATTAGCTGAGCATGGTGGTACACACCTGTAGTCCCAGCTACTTGGGAGGCTGAGGTGGGAGGATTGCTTTGAGCTGGGGAGGCAGAGGTTGCAGTGAGCCGTGGTCATGCCACTCACCCTACACAACAGTGTGAGACCCTGTCTCAACCAAAAAAAAAAAAAAAAAAAAAAAAAAAGAGAGAGAAATCATCTTCTCTTTTGAGAATGCCAGATGGTGTAGGCTCTCATAGTCCTTTTAAGTGTCATAGGTAGATGCTTTTGTTTCATAAAAATTCGGAATGGGATTTATTTAGTCTGTACTAAATTGCTCAGCAGTGAAATTAGGAGGGAAGCTTAGAATCGGATCCAGTGATCCTCATAGTATAGTCCTGGGCCAGCAACATCATCTGGGAAATTTAGGGGAATGTAGGTTTTCTGGTCCCACCCCAGACTTACTGAATCAGAAATTCTAGGGGAAGGGCCCAGCAATCTGTGTGTTTTAAGAGACTCTCCAGGTGATTCTCATGCATGTTCAAGGTAGTTTTTATTTATTTATTTATTTATTTATTATTTTATTTTATTTTTTTGAGATGGAGTCTCGCTCTGTTGCCCAGGCTGGAGTGCAGTGGCGCGACCTCGGCTCACTGCAACCTCCGCCTCCTGGGTTCAAACGATTCTCCAGCCTCAGCCTCCTGAGTAGCTGGGACTACAGGTGCATGCCACCATGCTTGGCTAATTTTTTGTATTTTTAGTAGAGACAGGGTTTCACCATGTTAGCCAAGATGGTCTCCATCTCCTGACTTTGTGATCTACCTGCCTTGGCCTCCGGAAGTACTGGGATTACGGGTGTGAGCCACCGCGCCCGGCCTATGTTCAAGTTTTAATACCACTAA
The DNA here is from genome assembly GCF_000001405.40 of Homo sapiens. NCBI lineage: Eukaryota > Metazoa > Chordata > Mammalia > Primates > Hominidae > Homo > Homo sapiens. Next base: position 53,438,050 of record NC_000004.12, read on the forward strand.
TCTGTTCAGTCTGTTAGAGCTTGAGTATTACTTTTCCAAAAGGTTTTGGCTGGCACTAGAAATCTACTTTTACTACTGTTACATACAGCTTTCCAGGAAAATCAACATTTTTTTAAACTCATTTTTCAGATAAAGGATATAGAAAAGAAACAAAATACTTTCCTTATTTAAGTCTGTTGTCTAGGTTAGGCAGCATGTGTTTGCCAGGAAGATGGAGGTGTTGGGAGGGGAAAGAAGAGGGACGTTTGAGATGAATTTTCTCTTCCCTTACACTGTTTCTCTTTTATTAAGAAAAGTCAAATACTAAATAGTGATTTTTAAGTGAGAATGATGTTGGCCTTACATGATATCACGTATCAGTTTGAAAATACATTCAGTAATTGTCAAAGAATTGGTTATATAGTGTTTCATCAACTTTATAGTCTTGTTTTAATGAACATTTACTTATAAAGATTTGCATTGAAATAACATCTTAGATGAAATGGAGGTCTCACAAGAAGGGCCCTTGCTAGTTGCCATGCCAACTTTCTGATGTGTAGGTATTGATTGGAAAGACCTATAAATGACATGGTTTTTTCTTTGATTATGTCTTTAATTCCAGTAGATTATTTTTGTCTGTCCTATGATACTGCTGTAGTAAGATTAACATTAAAGGCAGACAGTAATTTTAACTACCTTTGTAATGTACTTAATTCTTTGGTCATATGTCTTTTATCTCTACATTTTGTGGAAGTTTAACAACTTAAATGTTTTTGAGGACTAAAGTTTGAAGGGGCTGACTAGTAATTTTTTAGTTTTTAGCATGAATTTACATTTTAGTAAGCTGTAGTAAGCCTTAGCTAAAGTGATACATCCTGCTCACATAATCATTTAGGTAAAGTTATTAGGATTATAGTATATAGAATGGGTGGATGATTTTGGTATATTCCTTTATCTTATAAATCTTATCTTACAAATCTGTATCTTATAAATCTACGAAAATAATCATGTATTTACTTATGAAAACTAGATCAAATAGTGAAGTTAAGTAGTGTCCGTATTGTTCTAAAGAAAATTAGGTTGTAGTATATATTAAAAACATTTAATGATCTGCCTTCCTTACTTTTCTCATTTACTTTGGAGTCTGGGACTCTACTAGCTTGTATGGTTTGTTGGATTCTTTTAGTTTAGTAATTTGGGAAACAGGAAGGTAACCTCAGGATGGATGAGAATTGCCATTAGCTATGGGTCAGTTTAGTAGACTTGTGGATTCATAAAGATTTTTGAAACTTGATGGCTGCTTTATGTATCTTTAGTCTTGTTGGCTTTGTAAGTTTGGAATATGTTTTTATTGTATGGGTGGTTAAAATCAGGTGCTTTGGTCTCTTTTTTAAGGCCATTTGCTACCTTAAGATCTTTTTAATCTAAATCTCTTACTCTGATAAAACATGCACATCAGAACATGTTTAGTGTTAGAATATGTTTCCTTTGACAAGAAAACATTTGAAAACAATTCTGTTTCTTTTTTTGGCATACATTTAGCTAATAAATTAGATTATTTTTTGGACTAATTTTGATGCAGTTTTTAAGATAGGATTTAGGAAACCGTTCCAACTGTTTTAGTTATTTATGGTATACAACTTTTCATGAAAAAGTTACTTTAAATTGTCTTACTTTTTTTTATTTTCCTGCTTAGAAATCTCTCATTTTTCCTCCACTGAAGATAGTTAAAATTTGCATGCCACATAAATTGCCTTTCATGTATCTCTTAAATTTAAAATGCTGAATTTAATTTTAGTATTTAGTAAATACATTTTACATTAGGCTTTAAGGGCACATTTGGTCCCTGTAAATTAAAAATATACATAGTTTATTCCTCAGAGTTTATAATGTGTACAAATAATGAGTGAGAGTCACTCAAATTAATATTTGCTAGCACCTGTAGAAGTAAATCATTCACGTTTATGTTAATGTGCCCTGGGGGTGTATATATATGAATTGGTTTTTCCCCCTTTCTCTCCTACAAATCAAAGGAAATGTTAGCCTTTTCTCACTTCTGCCAACAATACTAGAACAGTCAACACTTGAATGAACCACAACATATTGAGCTTTACAAAAGTCAGTAATATCCATCATCTTGAGTTATCCTTGTACTACCTGCAGTATTAGAGAAAGAACCCACAGATCAGTTTTTCTATTAAAATGTTAAAATAACAACCTCAGGCATTGATTATCATATTTAGTAAGGATTAACTTCATGGCATTTGATAATTGTGTGTGCATAAGTGTGCTTTTTAACTGATGTCTAACTTTGTGATTACTAGTGGGGGAAACCTTGTTATCAAGTTGTTAGACTGGGTTTTCATCAAGGAAGTTGGATGTTATACTCGAATTGTTAGTCCTCTACGAGAAAACAGAATGGTTCTCTTGAGTGAATAAGCCAGGATAATGAGGCGAGGGGTTTTATTTCAAAGTTTGTTTTGGTGATGGCATAAATACATAACAGGTTCTGAAATCCAATTACTATATTAAATTTCATCACTTGTTTTTTAGGTATTCCAATAACTGTACCACCTCCAGGTAAAACTTTTTTCATGTTTTCTCCATCATTGTTAATAAACATGAAATTTCAAGCTTATAGTTACAGGAGAGACGGTGTTGATGCGGTTAGAATATGGAATAGGCTATGGGGATTTCAAGGTCCTATTTTCAGCTCTGCCTTTGCTTCATTCCAGTTTTGATTAAGATATTTAGTTTTCTTATACCTGTCTTACCCGTTTCTGTAGAAATAGAGATTCTGAGAAAATTCTTACCTATTCAATTTGTGAAGAAAACAGTATAGGATATAAAATAAAAGTTTTCTTAAAAATGTCTTTACAGACCAATGAATTTTTTATGTAATATAGTGACTATAAGAGAAGAGAAAGATAATTTATTTTGTCTTTATCATTATTTCCGATTTTTTAATTTTAGTCCTGCTGGCTTAGTATCGTGAGAAAATGTGTTCTAAACCCCACATAGCAACTAGACAGACAGCTGGTCAGGTGGCTGTTCTTAGAGTGGTGATTGTTTATTGTTGTAATAGTATGATCACTAGGAGTTTATATGTGGCCCAGTGTTTTATTTATTTATTTATTTATTTATTTTTACATTTTTGTCAGTTATTTCTTTTTATAGTGTGATATCACACCTGGTAGCAAGTGTGTCTTCCTGAGTTCAGTGTTAAAAGCCAAGGTGTGTAAAGAGAATGAGAGGTGATAATGCTTGCAAGGGTGGGTCTAAATTCAAAATGACTTCAATAAACAGAAAGAGTGAAGTTTAGGTAGCATAGTACAGTATACATACTTAGATGTGGAATACAGACATTGATTATGTGTGAATGTGTCTGAAAAAGACTCATCAGGGAAAGTCAAAGGAATCATTTGTGTCTTTTTAGTTTAAAAAACAATGTGGTTGTGAGGCTGTATGAAATAGGATTGTGGACTTTAGGACTAATGTGGTAATTGCCAAATTTTGTACTTTTAAGATGTTTAATAGAGGAATTATAGATCCTAACACTGGATACAGTGAAGAACATGGTAAACATGAAAACAATTTGAAGTGGGGCTAAAAATGGATTTAAGTGGACCTTTGAGAAGGATTCAGAGAACTGATTCATTTTTTCACAGAATTACTAAAACGGAGGCTTAGTGGAAGTGTTTTCACATAACTAGAAGGTGATAGACAGTATGACAGTGGAATACCTCTTGTTCTCATTTAGGACAGTGTCTGAATTGTAGTATGAGAGACTTAAGTTAGATAATTTAGTGCATTTCCTAGTAGTGAGAGTTGTTAATTGTTAACACTTGGAAGGAATTGGTATCATAAGGAATTGACATCATAAGTTTTGGAAATCTTTTTCTGCTAGGATGCTTTATAGCCTATCTGAATTTGAAAGTGTAGTGTAGATTAACTGTTTTTTAGCCATATTATTCTGTGGTATTCCATTTAGGTATTGTGAATTATTCAGAATGCAGACCCCACGATATAGAGGTACAAATTATATTCCTTCCAAACTAATACACAAACTATATTATGTGCTTTTCTTTGTAAAACAGTTTGTTAGGGTTGTGCTATTTGAACATATTTTCTGGTGGATATTCTCAGCTTTGAACACTGTACATTTACTGGTAAGATTTTATTTATAAATTACACATTTTAAGGAAATTTCTATACTTCTAAAACTCGAAATATTTTTTGAAAGAGGTAATTGCTATATATCTGCTTTCCTTCTAAAATATTTCAAATATATCTGGTGGCTACTGTTTTATGTATGGAGAAGGTAAGGCATTGAGATTAACTTTCTCATACTTACAAAATGGGCTGTGTGTGGTGCTGAAAATAAGACCGGTGTCCTGACTCCCAGTTTGTTTTCTGTGTATTAGACCAGACTGCTTACTTAAAGTTTTATTGCGCTAAAAATCTGTTCATAAGTTTGAGCTCCATTTTTTTCTGTCCATTATTACAACATAGAGAAGCACATTCATATCCCCAGAGAAATTTAGTGATATGCAGCAACTTTGTTTCACTCTTGACATTAAGTGTACATTGTTAACATTTTTTATCTTATGATTGAATGTTTCAGGTTTTCCTCCTCCACCAGGCGCTCCACCTCCATCTCTTATACCAACAATAGAAAGGTAAATCAGTATGGATACTGATTTTTGATCATTGATAGCCTTTTGACAGAAGAACCATATACTTGGAAATATTTTCAGATATTTAATTTTATAAACACAGCACCTGTCTTTTAATTTATAAATCTAGATCTATGTTAGTTACTTTTATATAAGATGTTGGACCTGTAGCCCGATATCAAAACAGGGCAAAGAAAACTAAAATCGTAATATTTTGAAATAATATCTTGCTTTGATTTATGACACACTTGATTAAAGAAGCTCCTAGACTGTTAAAAACCCAGCAAGTCAGTTTTATGGGAAATACAAACATAAATTACTGGAAATCATGAATAATACATGTCTGTTTTGGGATAAAGTAGGGAAAACTATTATGGGACCATAGTCAAGAAAAGCTGTCTTATTCCTTGATACACCATCTCAGCTTCCACAAAGAAGGATTAGATCCATTCTGTGTGGCAGTAGCCTTATTTTTTGTACCGTGTATTTAAGGCTTATGCTAACTAGAACGCTGTACAAAGAATATTTCCTTCATGGGTGGCAGTATGGTGTTTAACAACATAGAAATCAAACAGTGTTGCTAGGCAAGGTTCGTAAGCCCTTTGAGACTCAGTTTTCCTTTTTACCAAAAGGGTTGATAGAATTGTGAAGATTTAAAAGGCTACTGAATATAAAGTGCAAGTATAATTCTTGGCAGATAGAAATCACTAATAAGAGTTATTGTTATTTCCTCTTAAGTGGCAAATAAACTGTTAAAAATAGTGTGTTTCTGAAAAAATGATTCAAATAATGTAAAAAGGCAAAATATGTGAGAACTTTACATCAGTAGCATCAAACCCTGCATATGATTTTCAGAGGAAACTATAAAATCAAGAAAGTATGAATTGTGAGAACATAAGGATTTAGTTTTATTGAGTGTCTGTTAGACACATTTATTTTCTCAGTCAAAATGTTAAAAAGTATTCTTTGTTAATCCTGTCAGTGGGGCTGAATTACTGATTTATCACCAAAAAACCAATTATTTAAGACTAAATTTTTAGTCTGAAATATTCTGATAGCCTGAAATTTTCTATTACTTTACTTGTAACTCAAGCTAAGTTGATTGGATTATTTATGTTAAATAGTATTAGTACATCCTATTTTTCTGTAAAATTAGGTATTTTAATATTTTTTAGGTTAAAAAAAACCCCATGTTTTATTAATAAAATTATAGAACTAAATTATCATTAAATTGGTGGTTGGATAAAAGTTGTAATTTTGCCTTGTTTTTCCTTTTGTACTACATTATTAAAATTCAGAACTTATTTGTACCAGACATAAAAATATATCTTTTTCTTCAACAGTGGACATTCCTCTGGTTATGATAGTCGTTCTGCACGTGCATTTCCATATGGCAATGGTAAGTAGTATTATTTAGATGCCTAGATTCAGTTTGAATCAGTAAAGTACTTGAATATTTTTAAAGCAATAAAAACGTGTTCATGGTTTAACATCTTACAGAGCAATTAAAAAATATTAACTACAGGAATGAGTGGTCTATGTATCTGCCAGGTTAGCAAACAATAAATTTAATGTATTTATCAACTGTGCTTTTAAAATTAATTCATGGTGACACAACAGGGATATTTGTACTTTGCCTTTTCTAAAAGGATTTAGGATTTGTCACCAATTTGTCTCAATCTTCGTTGTTTGTAACGTTTCTATTTCTTCACTTATGGCACACACCTAACCTTGTTTCCATCTTTCTCCCTCGCTGGTTTATTTTTTTTCTGTATCATGTGTAGGTCCCCTTTCATGTTCATTCTTGACAACTTTATCCATTCCAAGGCCTTCTGACCCCATTTTCTTTTGCACCTCTTGATCAGTCATTTATTTTAAAAATGCTGTGCATTGTACTAATTTTTTTTTGGAGACAGAGTCTTGTCTGTTGCCTAGGCTGGCGTGCAGTGGTGCGATCATGGCTCACTGTAGCTTCAACCTCCTGAACTAAAGTGATCATCCCACGCAGCTAGGACTACAGGCGTGCATCACCATGCCGGGCTAATTTTGTAGAGATAGGGTCTCATCATGTTGCCTAGGCTGGTCTTGAACTCCTGGGCTCAAGCAATTCTCCTGTCTCAGCCTCCCAAAGTGCTGGGATTACAGGTGTGAGCCACCACACCTGACCTGTACTAAGTTTTAAGGATAGAGTAACCTGTATAGAGTGCTTGCCCTCATAAAAGTTATAGGCTTATGGGGAGATAGCTGGGTGACAGGAGTTAGAGGGTGTCATGGGAGCATAGCAGAGGGGTCTCCTACTCCAGAGAAGTGGAAGGGTAGATAATTTGACTTCCAGGCTATTCAGAGATAAAGGAGTGAGAGGGAACATGGTAGGTATTAGGAGCTGGAAGAAGTGTGTTGTGGCTGGAATGTAGAGACTGTGTGCTTATGCAGGACGTTATAGCCATGCTGTGGAGTTTGGACCTTATTCAGAGGGCTGTGTGGAACCAGTTAGTTTTATGCTGAGTTGTGAAGTTGCTACATTTACATTTGAAAAATCTCCATTCTGGCTAGTTACGATGAGGAAGTTTTGAATTTATAGGGTGAGTAGAAAGGTGGGGTTGGCCTTCTTGGATTGGAACAGCAATAAGAAGTTGTGGAACATGTGGGGGAGTAAAAAATAATTTTCTCCCTACTCTTCCTAGTTCTTAGGATGGACCCTGTATTAAAAGGCACATTAACAAGAGAGAAAAGAACAAGTTTATTAACATGTATACCTCATATATCCATGGGAAATAACCAGGGAATGAGTAGTTCTCAAAGAGATGGCTTAGAAATCCAGATTATATAGCATCTTCAGTAAGGAGCAATGAATTTTTAGAGAAGTGACAAGATAAAGGAAAAGGGCCTTGAGTCTTCATGAGCAACCAGTTGTGGAAAGGCAATATATACTATATAAAGGCTAGTTGGTGAACATTCTCATGCAGTTTCCTCTGGTGCCTTGTCCATGCCGATAAGGGTCTAAATTTGTCTTCAGTGATCAACTTTTGTCCTTTCTGGTAGAGAGAGGAGGAAGGACACCTTTGTCTTTGTAAACTTACATCGTGCTTTTAGGCAAATTAGGGAGGGCGGGAAGCTTTTCTTGTATCTGCATCTGTTCAGCTACCTTCAGCTCAAAATAATCCTTATGTCAGAGAGGGATGTTTTGGGGTGACATATTCTGGTCTCCTACAGAAGTAATCCAGAGGAAAAATTAGGATGTCATGTACTCAATACCATTGAAGATGGAGATGAAGAAAATTGAATAGACTCCGAAGGATTTATTTGATAGAATAAAGTCTTAGTGGTAGATCAGAAATAGGTACCAGTCATACACTTCTAGGTATCTCTATCAGGGTATCGTACTGTCCTTCAAACTGTACCTGTTCAAACTGCGCTTGCCATTCATTCACTACAAAAGATGGTATTTATGTTGACTTACTTGTTTCAATGACTATGTTTCTTCCCCTTCTCCCCTTTTTTTTTTGCTAGATATTTAAGTAGTCATAGTCCTTGGGTTGTAATCTTGATTCCCCCTCTTACCATTTATGTGACTTAAAGATATTCAGCCATTAAATGGACAGCTCAGTTCTTCCTTTTAATGTGGAGTTCATTGAAATACATTGAAGCACCTTAGTCCTGCCATTTAGTAAACCATCAAATGTTACCTGTTATTTTTTATAATTATCACCCTAATCTCCAACAAGCTCCAAGTTCCTTCCCTTTTCTGCACTCTGAGGCAGTGTAGCATCATTGTTAAAGCATAGGCCCTGCAGTTAGACAGCCTAGGTTTGGGTCCTGGGTTCATCTCATGTTAGTAGCTTTGAATAATAACCTACATCGTTTTTTTCATCTGTAAAATAAATTTTGACTATTAAGTACTTGGTATGATGCCTTTAATATGTAAGCATTTGGTGAACATGACTTATTAAAGTTTGATTGTTTTACTATTTTAATGAGACTTTCCAGTTTCTATTTTGTTATTCAGTTCCATGTATATTTGTTTCAATACAGATAAACATGAGGAATACTCCATATTAGAAAGAGAGTAATTCTTGAGATTACCCATTCAGTTTCATTACAGAATATTTTATTTTTTAAAAATGCTAACTTGGTATTTAACTTTTTCTCAAGGTAATACATGCACATTTTTATAAAAAAGTGAGAGTCTCTTGCCCACTCTTTCCTGCCCCCAACTCTTCTCTCAGAGACAAGGTTTTTTGTTTTTGTTTTTGTTTTTGTTTTTTTGAATGGAAAGCCTCTTTAGTAATAACAATTATAAACCACATTGTAAGAAGTAAATAGAAGAAAGTTAGAAGTTTCCTAGTAAAACAAGGTTTTAGAATGCATTTGATAAATACAGCTTCTTTGTTGGTGATTTCTGTTTTACCTTTGTTTTTTGATGTGTTTTTAGTTCTTTCAGTGGTCTCTACAGCATTTCTATATATGTTTATCACCTTATTTCTTGAGTATATAACTTACATACCATCTGTTATCTTTCAATATGATAGATATGTATTTTGCTCAGTTATCATTACTACCCTTCTGTTTTCTCCCACCAATAAAATTATATTACTATTTTTGCTCCTCTTCTCATTTATATATGTATTACTATTTTTGCTCCTCTTCTCATTTATCTGTTTCATGTACCATTCTACTGTGGTAAAATGAGAATATTAGTGCGTCTTTCTAAGCCTTCACTGAACTTTTCTTTCTCCACCACCTAGCTTTGCTCAACTATACTTCTTACAATGTTTACATTTTGTCCTGTAACAAAAATAATTCGTGGTCTGACAGATTTTTAAATCTAAAAGCTAAACAATAAACAACATTTACATTATTATGAATGTGTAAATATTGTGCACTGCAGAGATAATTATACACCCAAGCTCCACAAGGGAGAAAGTTACATGACAAATAATTCAAATTACAAGTTGAGTATTCCTTATCAGAAATGCTTGGGAGGAGATGTGTTTTGGATTTCGGATGTTTGTTTTGGAATATTTGCATATACATAATGAGATATCTTGGGGATGGAAACCTAGTCTAAACATGAAATTCATTTTTTTCATGTACGGCTTATATCTATAGCCTGAAGTTAATTTTACTCTATTTTAAATATTCTTGTGCATGAAACGAAGTTTTGACTGTATTTTGACTGATAACCATCACATGAGTTCAGGTGTGGAATTTTCTACTGGTGGCATTGTGTTGGCTCTCAGAAAACTCTGGATTTTGCAGTATTTTGGATTTTCAGATTAGGAAATCTCAACCTGTACCATTGTTTTTCCTTGTATGTCATCAGTTGTGTAAAGTCTTACACATTTTAGTGGGGTTCATATTTGGAACATGCCTTTCTCCACCTCAAGTACATAAAGATATTCTTTAATACTTTTTTCCTCCCAGAAAAAGTTTTCAAGTTTTGCTCTTCACATTTAAGTCATTTGGCCATCTGAAATTAATTTTTTAGGTATAAAGATCTAGTAGTTCCCAAATCATTTATTGAATAGTCTGTCGTTCCTGAGGGATGTACGATTGTCGTCTCTGTCATCTATTACATATCTATGTGTATGAATCTGGTTTTGGGCTTTCTAGATATTCAGTTGGTTAGCTGTCCCTGTGCTAATAAATTCCATAATATCTTTAATTATGAGTTTTATAGTAAATCTGATATCTAGTGCATCAAAATCAATTGTTGCTTTTACATATGTATTTTAGACTGAACTTAGCAAGTTCCATGAAAAACTTGAGATTTTGATTAATAACATTTGTATAGTACTTACTACATAATGCTCTTTGAAGCAATTTATGTTAATTTATGTAATCCTGACAGTTTTAAAGTAGGTGTATTGTTACTATCTCCATTTTATAGATGAGGAAATCAAAATATTAATTTCCACATGTCACACAGTAAGTGGCAGAGTCAGGATTTGAACCTATGTTGCCTGGCTTCAGAGTCCTTGCTTTTATTTACTATACCATATTGCAATTGCACTGATGCTCTAGATCAGTCTGTGTGGAATTCATACCTTTACAGCATTGAGTTTATCAGTGATCAAGGACTTTCTCTCCATTTGCAGAGGTGTTGTTTTCAATAAACTGCTATAGTTATCTCCATACACTTCTTGAATGTCTTTGGTTGGATTTAGTCCTTAGGTACCTAATGTTTTTGTTGCTGTTATAAGTGTTATATACATTTGAACAGTGTGTTCTGTTTATATTTGCTTGTATTCAGAAATAGTTGTTTGGTTGGTTATTTTTATAGCCATTTACCTTTCTGAACTCTCACTATAATTTGTAAAGTCTATTTGGGAAATACTCTTGCAGATAATGACAGTTTTGCTCCTTTTTTTTTCAGATCCTTGTTTGTCCCTTTTTTTGTTTTGTTTATTTGTTCTGGCAAGAACCTCCATTATAATATTATATAACAGCAAATTAAATTATAACAACATTATAATGTCGAAGTACTCAAAGTGGAGTTCTTGTATGATTCCTTTTTTCTTTATAAAGGAAATGCTTCTAGATTTTTACTGTTAGGTTTTTGATAGAACCATCAGGTTAAGGAAATTCTGTTCCTCTCCTGATTTTCCAAGGGCTTATAAAACTATGAATAGGTACTGGGTTGTATCAAATGCTTTCTGAGATGATCATAATTGTTTTTCTTCTCTAATCTGTTAATGTGACAAATTACATTGCTACATTCTTCTAATATTAAGCTACTGTTGATTTGCTGAAATAAACCTAACTTGCCCATGATTGATTATCTTTTTTCTAGATAAACACTGATAATGTGTTTCTAATTATTTAGGATTTTGACATCTAAGTTTATATGTATAATAAAATTGGCTTAGGATTTCCCTTTATTTATACTGCCCTTACCTGATTTTGACACCAAGATTATACCAGCCAGGTGGGATAAGTCAGGGAATAATCTTTTTTTTTCCCTATTTGCTGGGAGTTTGTGTAATATTGGAATGATCTGTACCTTCACTCACCTGTAAAAGGCATGTGGCCTTGTAGGAAGATTTTAAATTACTGATTTAATGTCTTTAATAGTTATTAGACTCTTCAAGATTTCTTTTTTGTTTTGAGTTTGGTAAGTTTTTGTTTTTGTTTTTAGTAGTTAATCCATTTCGGCTAAGTTTTTAAGTGTGTTGGTATAAAGTGCAGCATATTCTCTTTATTGTTTAATCTGTGTTGTCTGTAGTTGTGATCCCTTTTTGCTTCTGATGCTGTTTATGTGTTCTCTTTTTTCTTAATCTTGTCATAAAATTGTCGTGTTTTATTTGTTGTCTTCAAAAACCAACTTTCAGTTTTTTTCCATTATATGGTAGTTTTCTATGTACTTGATTTCCATTCTTTGTTATCCCTTTTTTTGTTGGATTATTCTGTTTTTCTGTGTTCTTATATTGGAGACTTAGCTCATTAATTTTTATTCTTTTCTAATGTAGTATTTTAAGACTAAATTTTCTTCTGGAACAACTTGTATCCCTAAACTTTCGATAAATCTTATGTTTGTCTATGTTTAGTTCCTAATGATTTAAATTTATGATGTTTTTGACCCATGAATTATCAGAAATGTGTTTTTAATTTGAAATGGTTAGGTATTATTTTCTCATAACTTTTAAATTTGACTTCTAACTTAAATTGCGTGGTGGTCAGAGAACAAATCTGTTACTCTCATCCTTTGAAAGTATATGTACATTTTCATAAATGTTTCATATGTGCTTGAGAAGAATAATATCCTTTGTTATGGGCAGTATCCTATGTGATGTCCATTACATCAACCATGCTAAGAACATGTAGCTCAAGTCTTTATTTGCATGGTGGCCTGCGCCTGTAATCCTAGCTATTTGGGAGGCTGAGGTGGGAAGATCACTTGAGCCTGAGAGTTCAAGGCTGCAGTGAGCACTGTTCTGTAGCCTGGGTGACAGCAAGACCTCATCTCTTAAAACAAAAAGAAACCACTTCTGTATTTGTACTGATTTTTTCATCTGCTTAATCCACCAGTAATTGAGAGAAATATGTTAATCTCCCATGATCATGGTGAATTTCCTGTTCCTACCTGTATTTCTATTAGTTTTTACTTTCTAAAACTTAAGGTGATGTTGTTAGCTACCTGGAAGTTTAAATCTGTTCTGTTTCCTTGGTAAATTACATCATCCATCTTCATGTGATCATCCTTTCTTTCCTAAGTAATGCTTTCTGTTTGAGTCTGTTGTGTCATTAATAAAGCTACTCTTTTTTTTTTTTTTTTGAGATGGAGTCTCACTCTGTTGTCATGCTGGAGTGCAGTAGCGCCATCTCGGCTCACTGCAAGCTCCACCTTCCTGGTTCAGGCAATTCCTCTGCCTGCCTCAGCCTTCCAAATAGCTGGGATTACAGGCATGCGCCACCATGCCTGGCTAATTTTTTTTTTTGTATTTTTAGTAGAGACAGGGTTTCACTATGTTGGCCAGACTGTTCTCGAACTCCTGACCTCAGGCAATCCGCCCACCTCTGCCTCCCAAAGTCCTGGGATTATAGGCATGAACCACCGCGCCCAGCCTGAAAGCTACTCATTTTCGATCGGGGGTTGTTTTTTTTTTTTCCTCATCTTTTTTCTTTCAACCTTTCTGTGTGTTTTTATGTTGTTTATATTCAGGTTATAGTTAGGTTTTTAAAAAATACAAATCAACAATCTTTGTTTTGTAACTGATGAGTCAGTCCCTTTTTATTACTGAGAATATTTAGCTATTTGAACTTAACTGTCCACCTACATCTTCGTCAAGTCGTCTTGAATTGACTGAGTTTCTTTCTCACTGATTTTCAAAAAATCCTGTTTTCTTCATTGTTTTGAAACTATACATTTTCTTTTTTTTTTTTTTAGTGGTTACTCTTGAAATTTATTATTCATACTTAACAATGTGTAGTTACATATAATTTGAACATCTTTCTCCATCAATACAGAGACTTTAGAATAATCTTTCTCTTCTAACTTATATCCTATTGTGGTTCATTATTTTAGTTTTCTTCTTTTTTAAAAAAAACTCTGCTATTGAATAGCGTATATTGTTTATTTGGATTTGCATATATGATTACCATTTATTTGTTCAACCATTACTTCTTTTCATGTTAGATCCTCTAGGATAATTTTTCTTTTTCTCTATCTGATAGACATTCCTTTTTTTTTTTTTTTTGAGATAGAGCCTCACTGTGTTGCCCAGTCCGGAGTATAGTGGTGCAATCTCGGCTCACTGCAAGCTCCGCCTCCCAGGTTCATGCCATTCTCCTGCCTCAGCCTCCCGAGTAGCTGCGATTACAGGCACCTGCCACCGCACCCTGCTAATTTTTGTATTTTTAGTAGAGACAGGGTTTCACCATCTTGGCCAGGCTGGTCTTGAACTCCTGATCTCATGATCCACCCACCTCGGCCTCCCAAAGTGTTGGGATTACAGGCATGAGCCACTGCACCTGGCATGATAGACATTCTTTTGGTAAAGTCTGTTGGTTGTAAGTTTTGCTTATTTTTTTGTTGATGTTTACAAAGGCTGTTTGAATCTTGAAATAAAATATTGTTGAGTACACTTTTCTAGGTTGAAATTTTTTTCTCAACACTTTTTTTTTTTCTTTTTTTGAGATAGTCTCACTCTGTCGCCCAGGCTAGAGTGCAGTGACATGATCTCTGTTCACTGTAACCTCCGCCTCCCGGGTTCAAGTGATTCTCCTGCCTTAGCCTCCCAAATAGCCGGGATTACCGGCATGCACCACCATGCCCGGCAAATTTTTATATTTTTAATAGAGACGGGGTTTCACCATGTTGACCAGGCTGGTCTCAAACTCCTAGCCTCAAGTTATCTGCCCGCCTTGGCTTCCCAAAGCGTTGGGATTACAGGCGTAAGCCATCGCGCCTGGCCTCCTCTCAACACTTTGAAGATGTCCCAGTGTATTCTGGTTTCCATTTTTTATATTGGGAAGTTTGTGGTCAACCTAATTCTGATTCCTGTTCACCTTGTATAATGAAGGGTCTTTATATGTTAGGTTTTTAAGATTTGTTTCTGGATCTTCCCGATACTGTGGGTATTCATTCACCATGTGATATTTCTCTTTTCTATTTATAAAATGAATTTCTATTATAATCTCATGACACATTTTTGGTGGGCATTTTGTTTTTTTAAAGTACCATAACGTTTGTTTTTAATCGTGTTTTTTCTTTAGTTGCCTTTCCCCATCTTCCTGGTTCTGCTCCTTCGTGGCCTAGTCTTGTGGACACCAGCAAGCAGTGGGACTATTATGCCAGAAGAGAGAAAGACCGAGATAGAGAGAGAGACAGAGACAGAGAGCGAGACCGTGATCGGGACAGAGAAAGAGAACGCACCAGAGAGAGAGAGAGGGAGCGTGATCACAGTCCTACACCAAGTGTTTTCAACAGGTTTGTTGGGTGTGCAGGAGTTTATACTATGTATTTTATAAGCACTTACAAATTTATTTTCGTTATGAGGAAGTGAATTTCAGTTCACTTGGAAAAGAGATGCTCAGGGAGTACATAGGAAAGCCATCTTAAAATGATAAAGGATTAGAGGCTTCCCATTACCTTGAACAGTAGTCCTTAAATTTGTTTGTTTACTTATCTCTTAAAAGAATTTTCTACCCCTTCATTTATTTTTATCTTGCCATCTAAGTTTTTCATCTTAAGCTTAAATTAGTTGACCATATAGATATTTCCAGTGTATTATAAATATTAATATTTAAAAAGAAAATTATCACCACTTCTATTATTATTCTATTTTTAGAGACGGTCTTGCTTTGTCATCCAGGCTGGCTGGAGTTCAGTGGCATGATCATAGCTCACTGCACTCTTACATTGGAAGAAGATGCCATCTAAGACTTTCAGAGCTAGAGAAGAGAACTCAGTGC
Source organism: Homo sapiens (assembly GCF_000001405.40). Lineage (NCBI taxonomy): Eukaryota > Metazoa > Chordata > Mammalia > Primates > Hominidae > Homo > Homo sapiens. The sequence continues at coordinate 53,453,619 of NC_000004.12, forward strand.
CTGGCTTCAGAGTTTGAAAGGACAGGCTGACTCTCTTGTTTCCCAATGCATTGTTCCCTAACGTAGGAAGTCCTGGGCTCAAGTGATCCTCCTGGCCTAGCCTCTCAAGTAGCTAAGACTACAGTCATGCATCACCATGCTTGGCTGATTTTTAAAATTTTTTGTAGAGTCAGGATCTTGCTGTGTTGCCCAGGCTCACTCTCTTAAAATATATCCAGTGGATTAAAAACACTATAGTGATTTTCCAAAATTATCCATTTTTTAAAGAAAATGTACAAATAGTCTCTCTTTAAGAATTGGAAATTTTACATTTCTTTTTGTATTCAAATTTTTACTTCTGTACCACTTCCCTCAAAGAATTTTGTTCTAATGTAAAAGTTTCATAATCTTAAAACTTTTTAAGTGGGTTTTCCTATTAGTCTTTCCTGCAACACACTTATGTGTTAAGTTTTAATGTTTAAGGAAATTTTTCTTGTATGTGTTTTAAAAAATTTTCATCCTGATTTTAGTTATTTATATTCTGTCAGTGCAAACCACATGTACAACAGTGGTCTCATAAGATTACAATACTGTTTTTACTGTATCTTTTGTTTAGATACACAAACACCATTGTGTTAAAATTTTCTACAGAATTCAGTGCAGTAATATGCTGTACAGATTTGAAGCCCAGGAGCAATAGGCTATAACATATCACCTAGTGTATAATAGGCTGTACCATCAAAGTTTGTGTAAGTACACTCTGTGGTGTTTGCACAACAATGAAATCACCTAATAATGCATTTCTCAGAACATATCCCTGTCATTAACTGACACTTGACTGTATACATATACCGCAAATTTTGAAAATAATGTAATGGAATTGCATCCTTTAATGAGAAGGAGGAGCTTTCCACCATCCCCAGTGAGTATTACTATTGTTAGGAAAAAACAGAGTTTGTTCAGAATGCTTAAAATATTCAGTAAACCATCCTGTAAACAGATGTGCTGCCATTCAGGCTTTGGTGTTCCATTGATAGAGCACAGGCAGAGTCGATTTACCATAATTCTAAGTCGATTTACCATAATTCTAAGGACTCCAGGATTTTCAGGGTGGTAAATGGGCACCAACTTCAACTTAAAAACACCAGCTACATTAAGGAACAATGCATTAGGAAACAAGAGAGTGAGCCTGTCCTTTGAAACTTTGAAGCCAGGCATTGCCTTCTCCTCTCTAGCTATGAAAGTCTTGATGGCATCTTCTTCCAGTATAAGGCTATTTGGTCTACATTAAAAATGTGTTGCTTAGTGGAGCTACCTTCATCAGTGATTTTAGCTAGATCTTCTGGATAGCTTGGTGTAGCTTCTACATCAGCAGTTACTGCTTCACCTTGTACTTTTATGTTATATAGATAGTGTCTTTCCTTAATCCTTACAAACCAACTAACCTCTGCTAGCTTCCATTTCTTCTGCAGCTCCCTCACCTATCTCTGTCTTCATAAAATTGAAAAGAATTGGGCTTTGCTCTGGATTAGGCTTTGGTTTAAGGGAATGTTGTGTGGCTGGTTTGTTCTTCTATCCAGACACTAAAACTTTCTCCATATCAGCAATAATGCTGTTTTCATTTTCTTAACCATTCATGTGTTCACTGGAGTAGCACTTTTAATTTTCTTCAATAGCTTTTTCTTTGGCTTGACAACTTGTCTGTTTGGCACATGAGGGCTAGACTTCAGCCTATCATTACTTTTGACATGCCTTCCTCTTCAAGCTTCCTCATTTTTTAAAAGCTTAATCATTTTTAGCTTTTGATTTAAAATGAGAGATGTGCAATTCTTCCTTTCACTTGAAGGCGTAGAGGCCATTGTAGGGTTATTAATTGGCCTCATTTCAACATTATTGTTTCTCAGGGAATAGGGAGACCCAAGGAGAGGAAAGAGATGACCTGAACAGTGGATCGGTCAAGAACATGTACATTTATTAAGTTTGTTGACTTACCTGGATGCGGCTTATGGTACCCCTAAACAGTTACACTAGTGCCTCAAACTAGATCCTGTTCAGAGATATTATAACAAATTACTGAGTTTATTTTGGTGCAAAAAAAATTGATATCGATGCATAATTTTTTCATAGTATGCATTTTCCGTGAACTTTTTGAAGACCTCTCATATTGTCAAGCTGTCTAGGACTGGTCGGTAGCTTAAAACTTTACCAAAAAAAAATGCACAAGAAGGAACTGATGAGGATTTACTCATCTTTTTTCCGTCCTTTGGCTCCTGCTAATATGACTTATACATTGTAGGCACTTAATAAAATTTTATTGACCAAGTAAGTAAACACTATGACACATGCGTGTGTGTGCATGAGTATATGATTTGTGTTTGCTTGGTGGGAAATGTGCTGTTGACTTTAGCCAATTGGAAATGTGCTGTTGACTTTAGCCAATTAAGTGCATGATTCTTCTAAGTTCAAGGGCATTACTTTCCAGAAAGTCAAATTGTTTCTAATGTGGAAATGAATATATGTGAGATAGCATTGCTGTCTCTAGAATGTACATGTTTATAAGTAAGGAACTTAATGCAAAACTTGATAGGAAATAAGAGTAAAATAAATTGCTTTGCCAAGCAGGACTCATAAATTTTCTTTGCATAAATAACACATTGTTTATAGAAGATTTGGCTAAATCCTCTAATTCTTCTGCTTCAAATACATGCACAGATATTACTGAGTTTTTATTGAAACTTAAAAAGTGTTAATGTTTAAACCACATTTGATATTCAGGTTGCTGAACTGTAGGGCATTAGGAGTCAATGTTTACCTAAATTTGACTAAAATGTTTAAGGCCACAGAGGCAAAAAGTGGAGGAATTTTGAGTTGTTCTGAATTATCCCAGGAAAAAATTACACTCTGGAAAATCCAAGTGAAGTATAAGTAAAGGTTTCTGAAGGCTGGTATTTTAGCAGTATGGCATGTAGTATATGTTGCTTTACAAATTACAGGGCCATTGTTTTGAAAATTACAGGCCAGTTTCAACTTCTGTTTTTTAGGGAGCTTAATTATGGGCCAGAAAGAAGGCTGGTCATTCTAGGATGTTTGAAATGAACTCTAATAATTTCCAGGTCCAGAGAAACCTTTGTGGTTCAGCCACTTATCAGAAAAGGGGATGGAAGGAGGAGGGTCTTTATATTTTGTGTGTAGGACCCAATCTTCTACCATCTGTTATAAGGTTCCCATCACAGGGCTGCTTTCAGAATCTAAAGGCTCCAGGTTCAACAAGAGCTGGTTTTAGGGTAAGAGGAAAAAGAGTTAACAAATGACACATTATGAGATAATTGACTTTAACTATTTTTATGTAAATCTAGTTGGAGTCATTGAAAAGCCTCATTTTTTGAGAGAAGTTAACTATATTTATTTCCTATGGTGCTAGTTTATTCTACTTGAAGACATGATACTAAAAAGTTCTGCTTCTGAAAAAATTAAGCATTAAATTCACCAAGGACTGTCATTTATTGAGTGCCTACTCTCATACCAAGCACTTTATAAATGTTGTCAGTTCTGTAAGAAGTCTTGAAAAAGACTGTTGGCAATTTTACAGGTGAGAAAACCGAGGTTTAGAGAGGTAATAGGTAATAGCCTCGGTCACTCATTTAGTAAGTGGCAAAATCAGGATGTGATCCTGTGTGTACTCCACTTGTACTCTTTCTGCTCCTCTCTACTGACTGGCATGGCATGTTACTTTTCAGGTGACATGCCTCCACACTCCAAATACAAAAGTACATATTTATGGGTAGAAAAAAATAGTGGAAATACATATACAAATATGTGCAAATGTGTATATTAATACATTTTCTGTTTTTTTAAATAAGATTCTAAAATTTTAATGTATCACAGATAATAACTTGGTCAGCAGTACAATTGGGCATTAAGCATAGCATTAATGAATCATTACTTTTGCTAGAACACAGGCTGACATGTCTTTTAAAACATGGCTTATAGTTGTCACCTGACTATGTTAAACCCTGAGATTCCTTACCATCTTGATGTTTCATACAAATTACTACTTTCATAATTCATATTAAACACTTCTAGAAATCAAAGCTCTTCAGCATATTCTTCTAAAAGATTATTTTATTCTAAGTGAATTTACTGATGTTAAGTTGTAGAAAGTGTTGACTTCTATGCTAAACATAAAAAAAGAAAAAGGAAGAAATAAGAGACTTGAAGGATAAAGAGAAAGATGGAAAGAGAATGTCAGTTAAAGGACATGAAAGGAAAAGAAGTCTAGGGAGGTAAAGAAAGACCACCCTCTAACTCTAGCCATTAGTCTCAGTTTCACCAGTCTGTGTAATTCAATCCAAAATCAGAAAATGGAGATGCAGCTTCTATTTATGCAGTTGAAATTATTAGCCATGTAGCCCCCCTGCCCACACAGATGTAATTAGGATGTCAGAATGCAGGTATGTCCAATCTGCATTTTGTATGGATGCTGTAGAAGTTGCTTTGATGTCTCTGTTCTTTATTTTTATACTTCTCTATTTGATGAATATTTAGTAATAAACCTAAAGTTTAAAAACTTATTTGCTTTCTGTTTTGTAGTAATTGTGAGTCGTGTATTTTTATAATGTTAAACGTATGTCCAAGACTTTCCAAGAATATTGATTAGAAATCTGAGATATACAAATACTATTTTAATTCTAAAAGGAGCAAAAATTTTAAAAGCTGATAACAATTTAAATCAGTTGCAGATCTCACTTTTTCAAGAAATGAAAAAACCAAAGCATTGTTATATTAAATCTTTTTAACAGCTATGAAAGCACAGAACAAAATTGGTCATTTAACATGTGTAATTATTATATATTTATATTCTTAGCTCTAGTGCTATTTTGAGAACAAGCATTATTTTCCTCTCAATTCAACGAATATTTCTTCCTCACTAATGTTATAAAAGATGCTAATGTGAGGATTTTGGATTTGGACTGCAGATCACATCTCTTTTACAGTTTGAATCCATTCAGAATTAATGGTCCAGTTGTCAAGAAAACATTTCTATTTCAATTTCAGCGATGAAGAACGATACAGATACAGGGAATATGCAGAAAGAGGTTATGAGCGTCACAGAGCAAGTCGAGAAAAAGAAGAACGACATAGAGAAAGACGACACAGGGAGAAAGAGGAAACCAGACATAAGTCTTCTCGAAGGTTTGCTCTTTAATAAAATAGTGAACCAATAGTATGTGAGAGATTTTGACTTACTACATTGTCGCATTGGAAGAGGGGAAATTTTGGCCTATGAACCAGTCTTGCTTGGTTTCATTAAAGAAAAATTCAGGGCCTTGTCTCAAATTTTTTTAAAAAAGCATTAAACAAAATACCTATTGTTTGCCAAAAATCAACCCTATACAGTATTTCCGGTTTTGAGTTAATGCCTGTTTCTAATTTGTTACTGTATATTATAATATGCATTTCAGAAGCTGTGTATAGGCACTGGGAATCTGAGATAATATCAGTGAAGATGGCCCTATAAAATAAATACAATCCCTGCATAAAAGTCACATAAAACTGATTATTCCTCACATTATATTTATGAGAAAATGCATTAGATTATTTTAAACCCAGTGTTATATTGAGAATTTCCTTAGAGTGATTGGATTTTTGTCACTGATTGTGTATTTAAACAGAACACACCTTTTTTTTTTTTTTTTTTTTCCAGTAATAGTAGACGTCGCCATGAAAGTGAAGAAGGAGATAGTCACAGGAGACACAAACACAAAAAATCTAAAAGAAGCAAAGAAGGAAAAGAAGCGGGCAGTGAGCCTGCCCCTGAACAGGAGAGCACCGAAGCTACACCTGCAGAATAGGCATGGTTTTGGCCTTTTGTGTATATTAGTACCAGAAGTAGATACTATAAATCTTGTTATTTTTCTGGATAATGTTTAAGAAATTTACCTTAAATCTTGTTCTGTTTGTTAGTATGAAAAGTTAACTTTTTTTCCAAAATAAAAGAGTGAATTTTTCATGTTAAGTTAAAAATCTTTGTCTTGTACTATTTCAAAAATAAAAAGACAGCAATGACTTTATATCCAAGAAAGGAATGTGAATGAGTCACTTAACAGGGAATCTAAAGAGCTGTGTTAGCTGTGTACATACACAGATTATCTGAGAAAAGGTCAAGGGTTCCACTTGGGCCACAGTTTTTTTGTTAATCAAACACCACTCTCTTAAGAGGCTGCATCACAAAAGGCAACAAAGGGCCCCTCTAAGGCTTGAGATTAAAACTAGTCTTTATCATTACTGCTGTGACACTCTTGCTTAGTATATTAAGAGACTCATACATTTTTGATATCACAACTTTTTGATGGCTTTTCAATATTCTAAATTTGGGTTCCTGGTGAAACCAAATGGGGTACACTTTCATATCCAAATTAATAAAACCTATAAGGCATCTGGGTGGCCTCTATGAAATAAATTAATTAATTACCCATAGTGTAGTTTCTAGGAGGCATGTGTACACACACTCTTCATTGTGGCACAAATTTAAATCGCCTCATGACCATGTCTGTGAGCCAGGGTCAAGCTGGTTTGGCCTTCTTGATGCATTTTCCAAGGCCCACTGGTGGAGCAGCATGAGTTTTTATACAGTTACTAACGATTGTGGAAAAAAAGAGCTTTAGCCATTTCTTACTAAAAACAAAACAAGTTTATAATTAATTCTCTGAGCGAGCATTTTTAGGGATAAGCCTAGGAGGTATTCATCGGTGATGGTAACAAATAACATGGTATTTGAAAGAATAAATTACTAGGATCTTTTAAATAGTGATAATACAAAAGTAATCTTAATTAGTATCACATACTAAAAGACAACTATAACTTCTGAAAAATATTTATTCTTGTTTGATGAAAGCAACGTTTCTCAGCAATGCATTTTAAAAAATATTTTAGCTGTAAATTAAAAATGGCCATAATGTACCCTTGGCAGACTTCAGCATATACCAAATTTTAAATTTAAATCAGCTTGAATTCAGTGGGGTATACAAATCATTTTAGTTGTTTTAGGGCTTTTTATTGAATAGAAAAAATATAAACAATGTTGTAGAGTAATGAGAAATCCTCCACACTGAAAAAAAACTAGTAGTTTTAATTTTTTTGGAATCATATTTTCTGAGGTGTAACTGGCTTTCATTAGATGATCATACTTTTCCTGACATTTTTACAATGTATTCTTTCTTTAAATATAAAAACTGACAAGATAAATATAGTGTTTCAACTTCTTAGCCTATTTGTGATTTTTCTGTTTTCCTCTGACCCATCATTGATTCTATAAAAAAGTGCCAGGCCAAGAAACAATAGTTAGAGTAATTCTTCCTTTAAGTTCTTTCAGCAGTCTTGCCAAGCAAGCATGTATCATTCCTGATGTACTTCTACCATTGACAGCAAGAAGAATATCACCACATCTAAAAAAAAAAACAAAACAAGATATGATTAGTATTTTAATTCGTTGCTGAAGTTAATGCAAGTTTATCTTAGTGGTGCTAGATTTTGCTACATCTGACCATTTTAATTATGTTAACTTCTAATTGAGATATTTCTTGCCTCTTATTTACATTCTCCAAACTCACTATCCATTCAGCTTGTGTTAGAAGGAATGCTAAAAGTATGGGGAGTTGTAGTATGGGACCAAGAATATGTGTAATTATTTTGGATTTCTCAGAAGTTGAATGCTACGTACATACTTTTAATCCCCACAAAGTATAATAAATACATGCCTTATCTCAAATGGGGCCAAGCTTTGGCATTTATGAAACAACATTTAATACAAGTATTTTTGATTAGTCATTATTATTACCTAATTCTTCCATCATTGTATGCTGGTGTTCCTTCAACAATGGATTTGATGAAAAAAGGTTTGTTTCCATTGTATTCTTCATAACCTCCTACAATGCAGAAGCCCAGACTTCCAGCTGTGTTTCTTCGTAATACAATATCTTTACAGTTATACAAGCACCTGAAATAGAATGTAATCAGTGTACATGCATATTTAAGTTTCACAGTTAAGGGAATACTTACTGTGACTCATCCTCCATTCCTTTTGTTGGCATTTTTAATGGCTAAGTACCACTGCATAGGTCCCACTCAAAATTGTATCATACCTTGGTGACCTTTGTGCTGTTAGCTGGCTTTTTGTAATTGAACCTGTTTTCCATAATTTTGAATATCCTTAAAAAACTGACAGCCCTATTGTGTTCTGTTACACATCTACTGGGAATGATAATCATATTTTTAACTTAAGACAATGCTTGAATATGTATTAGCAAAAAGTTGGATAAACCTAAATCCTTATTGGTGAACAAACACACTTATGGATGTCATATTTTTATTTACTTGATATAATTTTAATGAGGGCAAAAATCCTTTGAATAATCTCAATGAAAGCAGTTTAAGCCTAATCCTAATAAATGAATTCGTATACTTTTTTTGACCTTGGAAAAATACCACTTTACACCCAGTGCTACGTTTGATAAGTCATAGAGAAGCATGCACGCATAAAGTGAATGGAAACAGAAACGTTTAAAGATTATAAGAACAATTCAAATAGGAGGAAAAACAAACTGCAGGAAACTGGATAGGAAGTTATAAAAGGAATGGGAGAAGGAAAGGCCCAGCTCTTCTGTAAATTAGAATCCTCAACTAAAATAGCAAATGAGATTGAAGAAATTTTTATTCAGTGGCCCCCAATGGATCAGTGTTCATATAGGTACAGGCCAAGTGTTAACTATGTTATAATTGCCATAGAAGTGTGTGTCAGGAGCTGAATTTTACTCCAGGATGACGTTGTTGACCACATTTGTAGCTGTAGTCCGGGAATTGGTTTGAAAGGAAATTGGCATTTTCATGTTGCCAAAAATCAGATATGGCTATTTTGTTTATATACCGTACCTTAAAATATTAACTGCTTTTTAGAAACCAATAAAAAGTCTTGTGAAATGTTAAATGATAAAGTTGATCATTACATTTGTTACCAACCTTGTTAGTCAATGTGACGTGACTTTTTTCATGATGATGTTTTCACTTGAAATAAAATGAGCTTTAGGGTTTGGCAAATACCTTTAAAATGTAATGCTGAAATTCAACTCTAACCAGTTCTGAATCTATCGTCATACATACACATCATCTATAACAATTTCTTTTACTGAAATGATTGCTTAAAAGTATGAATTTCATTAAATTTCCTATTGTAAAATATTTATCTGCTGCATTTCACAGTAAACCTTGATGTCAGTGGTAAATTCATTCTTTGGGAGCTGTGGTGTGTCACATAACACACTTTACATAACGGTTCACTGACTCCTCATGTACAAAGCAGGTAACTGGCTATTCTGTAAATACCAAAGCATTACATTCCCACCTGGGAGGATGTGTGCCCAATTTTTTGGAGAAAGGTAAGAATTAGATGATTGTTATCTAAGGTCATGATCAAATATCAGTTTTAATTGCCCAGTTTGATTCTTTAAAATAGATAAATGAGTATACTTTTACTGAATATTTTATTTCATATGGAGAAGCTGTAAACATAACCATCAAAAATATTACGTGTTCTAGTTCAAAGCTTTGAACCCAGTAAGTCATAGTGTGCCTATTTTCTAACCTCTTGATACTGGAGAGAACATAACTGCTTTGATCATCTTTCTGCAGATGTTTAAACAAAACACAAAATCCCCTGCCCTCCTGAAGCATCCATTCAAGTTGATATCAGTGTTCCTAGTTTTATTTAATTAAAAAGTAAACGCCTTCTTTTAGTGGTGTTTTGAGTATTTAACTTTATTGCCGCAGCGAGAACTCCGTATGTTAATCTGTTTCAAAGTCATACCTTGGTTAGTTGGGTCTGACTTTGTGGGCATTTTTTTCTTAAGTTGGGTTATTTCACTCCCCACTGGGAAATGTGGCAGCTGTTTTTGATCAGTGACCTCAGATACTAGGTGGCTTTAAACTTTGAATGTGAATGTTGGCTTTTTTCCTATTCTGCACTCATTCTCTAAATTTAGGCCTATCGAAGATTTGGCATAGTATAAGGAATAGCAAGGAGTTTGGTAGTTTTTCCCAATGAGAAAATTATGGTTACCTCAAGAACAAATTTAATGAAATGAGTTAATGAGTATGGTGGCTCATTTGATTTCCACTGAAATGAGTTAATAAGTATGCTGAAGTCTTGAGCTGCTCAAGAAGCTAAGTTTTTTTCTAAATTTTTATATTTCCCCTTATATTACTAATTTAGTCAATACATATTTGAGAACACTGACTTTGAACTAAGTCTGCAGACTACAAAAAACACTAAGGCAGAGCCTCTTTCCTAAGAAAAACACTGTTTAGAAAATAATAAACCAAGTGCATCAGCCAAAGCCAGTTGTGAGATCTTATTTCTTCCTGATGATTTAAATTATTTTAAATTTTTCATTGCTAAGTGGTATTAGAATAGCAGAGGTTGGAAAGACGACAGTGGATGTAGGATGTTTTGAGCTCTGTGAGAGCAGAAAATTGGAAATTGAATCTATAGAAAACCGTCCTTTCACAAAATGTTGCTTTATTATTTTGCTAGCCCTGTGTTCAGAAAAGTTTAACTTCCTGGCCCCAATTTATATGAACTATGACCATTAACTTAATAGATTCCAGTGAGTAATGTACAGCCTCCTACTTTGATTAACCTAGCATTTATTCCCTCTTCTGGATCAGGTACCTCTCAGTCTGTGGTGAAGGGACCACCTTTCATTTTGTTTTCCTAGTTTATTGTAGACTAATACTTTATCGTTAAATAAAAAATGAATTTCTAGAAAAATGAAATATTTAGCTCCAATTTTTATTGTACCTAACAAATATAAAATGTTTTAATATAATCAACATGAAAAAGATGTTTATGGGAGATTAATATGGACAATCAGTGTTATAAACTCATAATTCTGTGTTCAACTTTTTTTTAAAGTTATGAGAGAAATGCCGAGTCCCCATATTAAATGTCTATATGCATACTTTGAACAAACAGGTATAGCAATGTTTAATATAAGTGAGGTTGCTTACTACAATAAGTTGACACTGCTACTTGCAGAGGATAAGGGATAACTAAACCATTTTCTACTACACTATTAGCAGAAAAGACAATCTCACGTAGAAATGTTCAGGAGAACAGAAGATTTTAAAGCAATTTTAGTAAGCTCAGGCAAGTGATAATTTAACCTCAAAATTTGTCTTTATTCCTCAATGATAGCCAATTACAACAATTTGTACTATAGAGTCAAATTTAAATTATCTCTCAGTGACATGAATTCTGAATTCATGAATTTCTTCTGTGTTTTTTCTGAAAATCAGAACATTCTATAAAATCTGTAAGATGTTTGATGATAACTTTTGCAGCTGTGCAATATCAAATTTATCACCTACTTGATAATTGTTATCAAGTTACATCCTAACAATTTATGGAAGCTATTCTTCCAAGCGTCTTGCATTTTGCCCTTTGATGTTATTGGCCATTGAAAAACATCTTGCATTTTTTTCCTTGCAGGAAATATTAAGCTCAGTAAAAATATTGAATATAATTTGGCAAATAAACAAGTTTGGCTGCCCAGTTTACATCTTTAAAAAGTTGGGACCAAACTGGCTTCCTATCTTGCAGAGAAAATAAGGGTTTGGATCTATGGTTCAAACATTTTTGACAGAACTTCTCTTTACTTGTTAGCATGAATAGTTCGTTATGATTAGCTTCCTTATTATCACATAATAAAGAGAATAAACTAGTAAACTAGTATCTAATGCACTAGCCTTTATGTAGTCACAATTTTTGCCATATCACTAAACACATTATTTAGTTTGGCTGACATCACGGCAAAATTTTCTGAAGGAGGCACTGTATTAAGTTACATTCTTCTCCAGCAGCTGCTTTAATCTGGGGAGCCAGTACTCCAGAAAGTTTTACAATCAATGCAACTGCACCAGCATAACATACCCCTACCTAAAACTTCCAATTCACCAACAATGTAAACTTCCTTAGTTTTGTATGGTCCAGAGCTAGTTGTGTTTATTGCCAAAGAACTTTTTAAAAATTCTGATACATGTTTAAATTGTACATACACTAAAAAGATTTGCCTGTGTATTCAAGTTAAAATGAAAAATATGTTGCTAGCTTTTTTTGAAGTTGGTTTTCATATCACTAGTTATGAAACATAGTACCCTTTTTACCACAGATTCACCCAATGTTTCTAAGCAAATTTTAGTTTTCACAAATACCTTGGCAATGTGTATACACATTTTTAATCTTACTAACTTAAAATGCTACTTTATTATAGGAAGTCCACAAAGTATAGAGTTTGTGCATAGTATATTGGCATCTACTTCCAGTGACTTTAATTAAATACTCTTTCAAAAAATTATTTTGGCTTTTTGTTTGTAAGAGGCATTTATGATTCCATTGTTTTATTAGCCAACACCTCTCCACAAGTGGTTTTACTACTTCACCAACAATGACAGCTGCAAACCCAAGCTCCACAGAGGAGTAAAAGCAGCATAAACTTTTTGTTTTAAGAAAAAAAAAATCACATATTATTTGGAATCACTAATATTGTACTGTTTTCAGAAAAGGTATGTCTTGTCTTGATAAAAATCCAATGAAGTTATATTCACCATCTATAAATAGGCTACTTCTCTAATTTGGCCAATAATGTTGAACTACATACTTAAAGCAGCTTTGATTAAAATTTAAATGATCGTAAAAAATATGTTTAAAAAGAAACCTGAAGACAGCCGAATAGGAACAGCTCCAGTCTACAGCTCCCAGCGTGAGTGATGCAGAAGATGGGTGATTTCTGCATTTCCAACTGAGATACTGGGTTCATCTCACTAGGGAGTGCCAGACGGTGCAGGACAGTGGGTGCAGCACACCGAGCACGAGCCAAAGCAGGGCAAGGCGTCGCCTCACCCGGGAAGCACAAGGGATCAGGGAATTCCCTTTCCTAGTCAAAGAAAGGGGTGACAGACGGCACCTGGAAAATCGGGTCACTTCCACCCTAATACTGTGCTGTTCCAATGGGCTTAACAAACAGCACACCAGGAGATTATATCCCGCACCTGGCTCGGAGGGTCCTATGCCCAAGGAGCCTTGCTCATTGCTAGCACAGCAGTAAAGTGCAAGGTGGCAGCAAGGCTGGGGGAGGGGCGCCCGCCATTGCCCAGGCTTGAGTAGGTAAAGAAAGTGGCCTGGAAGCTCAAACTGGGTGGAGCTCCACTGTGGTGAAGCCCACCACAGCTCAAGCAGGCCTGCTTCTCTGTAGGCTCCATCTCTGGGGGCAGGGCACAGACAAACAAAAGGCAGCAGTAACCTCTGCAGACTTAAATGTCCCTGTCTGACAGCTTTGAAGAGACTAGTGGTTCTCCCAGCAAGCAGCTTGAGATCTGAGAACGGGCAGACTGCCTCCTCAAGTGTGTCCCTGACCCCCGAGTAGCCTAACTGGGAGGCACCCCCCAGTAGGGGCGGACTGACACCTCACATGGCTGGGTACTCCTCTGAGACAAAACTTCAGAGGAATGATCAGGCAGCAGCATTTGCGTTTCACCAATATCCACTGTTCTGTAGACACCGCTGCTGATACTCAGGCAACAGGGTCTGGAGTGGACCTACAGCCAACTCCAACAGACCTGCAGCTGAGGGTCCTGACTGCTGGAAGGAAAACTAACAAACAGAAAGGGCATCGACACCAAAAACCCATCAGTACGTCACCATCATCAAAGACCAAAGGTAGATAAAACCACAAAGATGGAGAAAAAACAGAGCAGAAAAACCAGAAACTATAAAAATCAGAGCGCCTCTCCTCCTCCAAAGGAATGCAGCTCCTCACCAGCAATGGAACAAAGCTGAACAGAGAATGACTTCAACAAGTTGAGAGAGGAAGGCTTCAGAAGATCACACTACTACGAGCTAAAGGAGGAAGTTTGAACCAATGGCAAAGAAGTTAAAAACCTTGAAAAAAAATTAGACAAATGGCTAACTACAATAGCCAATGCAGAGAAGTCCTTAAAGGACCTGATGGAGCTGAAAACCACGGCACGAGAACTATGTGACGAATGCACAAGCCTCAGTAGCCGATGCGATCAACTGGAAGAAAGGGTATCAGCGATGGAAGACAAAATGAATGAAATGAAGCGAGAAGAGAAGTTTAGAGAAAAAAGAATAAAAAGAAATGAACAAAGTCTCCAAGAAATATGGGACTATGTGAAAAGACCAAATCTATGTCTGATTGGTGTACCTGAAAGTGACGAGGAGAATGGAACCAAGTTGGAAAACACTCTGCAAGATAATATCCAGGAGAACTTCCCCAATCTAGCAAGGCAGGCCAACATTCAAATTCAGGAAATACAGAGAATGCCACAAAGATAGTCCTCAAGAAGAGCAACTCCAAGACACATAATTGTCAGATTCACCAAAGTTGAAATGAAGGAAAAAATGTTCAGGGCAGCCAGAGAGAAAGGTCGGGTTACCCACAAAGGGAAGCCCATCAGACTAACAGCTGATCTCTCGGCAGAAACTCTACAAGCCAGAAGAGAGTGGGGGCCAATATTCAACATCCTTAAAAGAAAAGAATTTTCAACCCAGAATTTCATATCCAGCCAAAATAAGCTCTATAAGTGAAGGAGAAATAAAATACTTTACAGACAAGCAAATGCTGAGAGATTTTGTCACCACCAGGCCTGCCCTAAAAGAGCTCCTGGAGGAAGCACTAAATATGGAAAGGAACAACCGTTACCAGCTACTGCAAAAACATGCCAAATTGTAAAGACCATCGAGGCTAAGAAGAAACTGCATCAACTAATGAGCAAGCTAACCAGCAAACATCATAATGACAGGATCAAATTCACACATAACAATATTCACCTTAAATGTAAATGGGCTAAATGCTCCAATTAAAAGACACAGACTGGCAAACTGGATAAAGTCAAGACCCATCAGTGTGCTGTATTCAGGAAACCCATCTCAAGTGCAGAGACACACATAGGCTCAAATAAAGGGATGGAAGAAGATCTACCAAGCAAATGGAAAACAAAAAAAGACAGGGGTTGCAATCCTAGTCTCTGATAAAACAGACTTTAAACCAACAAAGATCAAAAGAGACAAAGAAGGCCACTACATAATGGTAAAGGGATCAATTCAACAAGAAGAGCTAACTATCCTAAATATATATGCACCCAATACAGGAGCACTCAGATTCATAAAGCAAGTCCTTAGTGACCTACAAAGAGACTTAGACTCCCACACAATAATAATGGGAGACTTTAACACCCCATTGTCAACATTAGACAGATCAACGACACAGAAAGTTAACAAGGATATCCAGGAATTGAACTCAGCTCTGCACCAAGCAGACCTAATAGACATCTACGGAACTCTCCACCCTAAATCAACAGAATATACATTCTTTCCAGCACCACACCACACCTATTCCATAACTGACCACATAGTTGGAAGTAAAGCACTCCTCAGCAAATGTAAAAGAACAGAAATTATAACAAACTGTCTCTCAGACCACAGTGCAATCAAACTAGAACTCAGGATTAAGAAACTCACTCAAAACTGCTCAACTACATGGAAACTGAACAACCTGCTCCTGAATGACTACTAGGTACATAACGAAATGAAGGCAGAAATAAAGATGTTCTTTGAAACCAACGAGAACAAAGACACAGCGTACCAGAATCTCTGGGACACATTCAAAGCAGTGTGTAAAGGGAAATTTATAGCACTGAATGCTCACAAGAGAAAGCAGGAAAGATCTAAAATTGACACCCTAACATCACAATTAAAAGAACTAGAGAAGCAAGAGCAAACACATTCAAAAGCTAGCAGAAGGCAAGAAATAACTAAGATCAGAGCAGAACTGAAGAAAATAGAGACACAAAAAACCCTTCAAAAAATCAATGAATCCAGGAGCTGGTTTTTTGAAAAGATCAACAAAATTGATAGACTGCTAGCAAGACTAATAAAGAAGAAAAGAGAGAAGAATCAAATAGATGCAATAAAAAATGACAAAGGGGATATCACCACCAATCCCACAGAAATACAAATTACCATCAGAGAATACTATAAACACCTCTATGCAAATAAACTAGAAAATCTAGAAGAAATGGATAAATTCCTCGACACATACACCCTCCCAAGACTAAACCAGGAAGAAGCTGAATCTCTGAATACACCAATAACAGGCTCTGAAATTGAGGCAATAATTAATAGCTTACTAACCAAAAAAAGTCCAGGACCAGATGGATTCACAGCCGAATTCTACCAGAAGTACAAGGAGGAGCTGGTACCATTCCTTCTGAAACTATTCCAATCAATAGAAAAAGAGGGAATCCTCCCTAACTCATTTTATGAGGCCAGCATTATCCTGATAACAAAGCCGGGCAGAGACACAACAAAAAAAGAGAATTTGAGACCAATATCCTGGATGAACACCAATGCAAAAATCCTCAGTAAAATACTGGCAAACCAAATCCAGCAGCACATCAAAAAGCTTATCCACCATGATCAAGTGGGCTTCATCCCTGGGATGGAAGGCTGGTTCAACATATGCAAATCAATAAACGTAATCCAGCATATAAACAAAACCAAAGACAAAAACCACATGATTTTCTCAATAGATGCAGAAAAGCCTTTGACAAAATTCAACAACCTTCATGCTAAAAACTCTCAATAAATTAGGTATTGATGGGACGTATCTCAAAATAATAAGAGCTATCTGTGACAAACCCACAGCCAATATCATACTGAATGGGCAAAAACTGGAAGCATTCACTTTGAAAACTGGCACAAGACAGGGATGCCCTCTCTCACCACTTCTATTCAACATAGTGTTGGAAGTTCTGGCCAGGGCAATCAGGAAGGAGAAGGAAATAAAGGGCATTCAATTAGGAAAAGAGGAAGTCAAATTGTCCCTGTTTGCAGATGACATGACTGAATATCTAGAAAACCCCATCATCTCAGCCCAAAATCTCCTTAAGCTGATAAGCAACTTCAGCAAAGTCTCAGGATACAAATCAACGTGCAAAAATCACAAGCATTCTTATACACCAATAACAGACAAACAGAGATCCAAATCATGAGTGAACTCCCATTCACAATTGCTTCAAAGATAATAAAATACCTAGGAATCCAACTTACAAGGGACGTGAAGGACCTCTTCAAGGAGAACTACAAACCACTGCTCAATGAAATAAAATAGGATACAAACAAATGGAAGAACATTCCATGCTCATGGGTAGGAAGAATCAATTATCATGAAAATGGGCATACTGCCCAAGGTAATTTATAGATTCAGTGCCATCCCCATCGAGCTACCAATGACTTTCTTCACAGAATTGGAAAAAACTACTTTAAAGTTCATATGGAACCAAAAAAGAGCCCGCATTGCCAAGTCAATCCTAAGCCAAAGGAACAAAGCTGGAGGCATCGCACTACCTGACTTCAAACTATACTACAAGGCTACAGTAACCAAAACAGCATGGTACTGGTACCAAAACAGAGATATAGACCAATGGAACAGAACGGAGCCCTCAGAAATAATGCCGCATATCTACAACCATCTGATCTTTGACAAACCTGACAAAAACAAGCAATGGGGAAACGATTCCCTATTTAATAAATGGTGCTGGGAAAACTGGCTAGCCATACGTAGAGAGCTGAAACTGGATCCCTTCCTTACACCTTATACAAAAATTAATTCAAGATGGATTAAAGACTTATATGTGAGACCTAAAACCATAAAAACCCTAGAAGAAAACCTAGGCATTACCATTCAGGACATAGGCATGGACAAGGACTTCATGTCTAAAACATCAAAAGCAATGGCAACAAAAGCCAAAATTGACAAATGGGATCTAATTAAATGAAAGAGCTTCTGCACAGCGAAAGAAACTACCATCAGAGTGAACAGGCAACCTACAGAATGGGAGAACATTTTTGCAATCCACTCATCTGACAAAGGGCTAATATCCAGAATCTACAATGAACTCAAACAAGTTTACAAGAAAAAAAAACCCCATCAAAAAGTGGGGAAAGGATATGAACAGACACTTCTCAAAAGAAGACATTTATGCAGCCAACAGACACATGAAAAAATGCTCATCATCACTGGCCATCAGAGAAATGCAAATCAAAACCACAATGAGATACCATCTCACACCAATTAGAATGGCGATCATTAAAAAGTCAGGAAACAACAGGTGCTGGAGAGGATGTGGAGAAATAGAAACACTTTTACACTGTTGGTGGGACTGTAAACTAGTTCAACCATTGTGGAAGTCAGTGTGGCGATTCCTCAGGGATCTAGAACTGGAAATACCATTTGACCCAGCCATCCCATTACTGGGTGTATACCCAAAGGATTATAAATCATGCTACTATAAAGACACATGCACACTTATGTTTATTGCGGCACTATTCACAATAACAAAGACTTGGAACCAACCCAAATTTCCAACAATGATAGACTGGATTAAGAAAACGTGGTACATATACACCATGGAATACTATGTAGCCATAAAAAAGGATGAGTTCATGTCCTTTGTAGGGACATGGATGAAGCTGGAAACCATCATTCTCAGCAAACTATTGCAAGGACAAAAAACCAAATACTGCATATTCTCACTCATAGGTGGGAATTGAACAATGAGAAAACATGGACACAGCAAGGGGAACATCACACACCGGGGACTGTTGTGGGGTTGGGGGATGGGGGAGGGATAGCATTAGGAGATATACCTAATGCTAAATGACGAGTTAATGGGTGCAGCACACCAGCATGGCACATGTATACATATGTAACTAACCTGCACGTTGTGCATATGTACCCTAAAACTTAAAGTATAATAAAAAAAAGAAGAAGAAGAAAGACACAAGGGATCCTAATAATAAAAAACAAAAAAGTGGGAAGTGAAATCTTACAACATGCCTGAAAATACTGGAAATTTTTATTTTATTTTTATTTGAAAAAGGTACAAATTTTGATTTTCTGTATTAAATCATTTATTTGAACAATGATTTATTCAACAACAACAACAACAACAACAAAAAAAAAAAAAACAAAAAACAATGGGGAAGTAAAGGACTCTTTGCAATATAATTGATGAACGTGAAAGCCGCCAAAGGTGTATGAAAGCAGATATAGAGGCCAAGCAGGGGGAAGGCTGATAAAAGAGATGCTAATGGCAATGAGAGAAATGAGTGTTCCAGAGAGTTGTTATATTGTGCTGTGTTGTAAAGCTGGAAAAGGCTAAGGTGAAATAACCCTACCAGTAAGAAGAGAATAACTGAGTTTGCTAGTTTCTGAGTTAAATGCTGGCCAAGTAGAAAGAAGTTTTTAATGCACCTTCTGGAGTGATTTTCAAATTTTTTTGTGACTCTCAGGCCTTGACTATGAAATACGGAAGGTGATTTCTTAAAACTAAATAAAGTTGGTTAGTGAGGTAAAAAAAGAAAAGAAAAGAAAAGAAAATTGATAACCAACCATATTACTATGAATGTAAAATATTTCTGAAGCAACTGCTCTATGAACAAGAGCTCAATGCAGAGATAAGACTTCAAGGAAGATGAGACAACAGAAGAAATGAGCCAATGGAACAGAACACAAAAGTGGAAGAGAAAAATAAAAACACCACAGCAATGAAAGTGGCTGCAAAGGAACAGAAATAATATTGAAAACACAGTGAGCATTGAAGGAAAGATGCAAATAAGCCAGGAAAACATGCAGCACTATTTACAATAGCAAAGATACAGAATCAACCTAAATGCCCATCAATGGTAGACTAGATAAAGAAAATGTGGTACATATACATCATGGAATACGATGCAGTCATAAAGAAGAACAAGATCATGTCTTTTGTGGGAATACGGATGGATCTGGAGGACATTATCCTTAGCAAACTGACTCAGGAACAGAAAACCAAATACTTCATGTTCTCACTTATAAGTGGGAACTAAAATGATGAGAACTCATGGACACAATGAGGGTGACAACAGACACCAGGGCCTACTTGAGGGTGGAGGATGGAAGGAGGAAGAGGATCAGCAAATATAACTAATGAGTACTAGGCTTAGTACCTGGGTACTGAACTCATCTGTACAACAAACCCCTGTGACATGAGTTTACCTATATAACAAACCTGCACATGTACCCCTGAACCTAAAATAAAAGTTAAAAGCCAAGAAAGCAAAATGGAGAAAAAAGAGTTGAAAAGGATCCGAGAACACTAAATATATGAAATATAAAATATATCAAAGAAACAAATTTCTAGAGTCCCTGAAAAGCAGCTACAAAATAATAGAACAGTTATTTTGAACGTTAAGTAAAAAGACCAAGCCACATATGGAGGGAAAGAAATGACATGAGCCTCCCACTTCTCCACACCATTCAATGCTACTTAGCAGTGATGCAATGCCTATGTAGTCCTATAGGAATGAAGTGATACAATAATTTGATATCCAGGCAACCTGGCGCATGGCTGTTTAGATGTACCATAACTTATTTAACCAGTTCCTAATTGGCAGTGGATACAACGATGGTGCAGTGCCTATCATGATACCCAAGAACATCAGATTTGTTTTTAAATAAAATGCATGGTACATAGGAGTGTATATGCTACCATTGTGTTTGTGTGTATGTGTGTGTATACATATAAACACAGGCCAGGGGTGAGCAATTTACAGCCCAACCCAACACCTGGTTTTATAAGTAAAATTTTATTGGAACACAGCCTTCCTCATTCATTCATGTATTGCCTGTGGCTGCTCTCACACCACAACAGCAGAAATGAGTAATTGCCACAGAGACTGCGTGGCCCTCAAAGCCTAAACTATCAGGCCCTTTTTAGAAAAGATTTGCCAACCTCTGACATAGAATACACAAGAAATTGATAATGGTGATCACCTTTATTGAATGAATCTGAAGGGAGGGAGACTTACTTTTTGTTCTCTTTACATTCTTTGGTGCATTCTGAATTTTCTACCATGTTTATTCTGTTACTACAGGGAGAGGATGGAATGAAAGAAACCAGGAATCTCCAGGGTTCTGAAAATCAGTGTTGTCTATGCCGGGATATCATGCTTCCTTACCACTGTCCATTTAGAGGAAATGAGCAAAGTGCAGACTCTACTTCTTCTTTTTTTTTTGAGACAGAGTCTCTCTCTGTCACCCAGGCTGGAGTGCAGTGGCGCGATCTCAGCTCACTGCAACCTCCGCCTCCTGGGTTCAAGCAATTCTCATGCCTCAGCCTCCCGAGTAGCTGGGACTACAGGCGTGTGCCACCACGCTTGGCTAATTTTTTGTATTTTTAGTAGAGATGCGGTTTTGCCATGTTGGCCAGGCTGGTCTTGAACTCCTGGTCTCAAGTGATCCACTCACCTTAGCCTCCCAAACTGCTGGGATTACAGGCATGAGCCACCACACCCAGCCCAGACTACTTCCAGCAAAAGTAGAGAAGTGCCATGCCCAAGGGCAAATGACAAAAGGTAGAGGGGAAGAAAGACATTCGCTTGGTTGTATTTGGAGCAAAAAGCACCTCACATTGTCCTCTCTTACACAAATGAATAATGAAGGACTTTGATTACATGACAGAATAGCTTTCAAACACAAAAAACAAAATAATTTTAATAGATCCTAGTTTCAGAAAGATTTTTAAAAATAAAACTTTAAAGTCATACTCTCTACTTTCACTCAGGCTCAGTTCTAAAATGTCTAAAGGGTTTTAAACTGACTCAACGCTCAGATTTTAACTGTTTAAGGACTTTTGAAAATGTACTGATTTAGAAAATAATTTATCAACTAGTGAAGGCTCAAAAAGGAATCTAGTTAATTTTGTATTTGAGGCAGGGTTTTGTTTTTCTTAAAAAACTCATTTGAAATGTAAAAAGAGAGAGAGACTTATCTCCACCCTCAAGAAAAACGTACTAAAACTAAACGTCTCACTTTCATTTTTCCATATTTAGTCCTATGCTAGTATATCTTCAGTGATGCTAATATTTAGCATTATTCACACATTGGAACAGCAAGATAATCATCTGAAGGCCAACAGTTTATGCTCTCATGCAGGTGAGCAAACACCAACTTGTCTGTTCTTTGAATAGTTCTGTACTGGCCATTTTGTAGGGCTGACCCCAAATTCTTCCCTGAAGTAATTAAGTGAGACAAGTAATTACGTCACTGTAAGGCTCTAAAATGTCACTAAAATGACAACCCAGCTACTTCCTGAAGTTTTACACAAGAACTCCTCAGGAGCAGGCCCTAAGGAGAGATGATCTAAGAAATGTCTCCAAACAAAAGGTGCTTAAACATCTTAGCAAAGGCGAAGTGCTCTGGGGCATTGTTTTATGTGCAGCCAAGGCCACTCAAAAGATAAAACTGGCTGGACATGGTGGCTCACACCTGTAATCCCAGCACTTTGCCAGGCCGAGGCAGGCAGATTGATTGAAGTCAGGAGTTTGAGACCAGCCTGGGCAACATGGTGAATCCCCGTCTCTACTAGAAATACAAAAATGAGCTGGGCGTGGTGGTGTGTGCCTGTAATCCCAGCTACTTGGGGAGGCTGAGGTAGGAGAATCATTTGAACCCAGGAGGCCAAGGTTGCAGTGAGCCGAGATTGCACCACTGCACTCTAGCCTGGGTGACAGAGCAAGACTCTATATAAAAATAAAATAAAATAAAGCCACAGAAGGCAGTCAGCCTCCCTGCAAGATCCCAGGGCTGCCACTAGCAGATTAGGCGAAGGTGAACCTTCTCCTAGGCAGTGCAACTCAGCTCCAAGGGGTGTAAACACAGGCTGGGTCTCTGCCCCCTCTGCCTGTCTGTGGAGCTCTCTGCTGCATGAACAACCTACACAGCTGTACATGGCAGTCCTGTGAGCTCCTCAACCTGAACGCCAAACAGTATTTCCACATCCAGGCTTTTGTCTTTGCCCTAGAATGTCCGCATGCATTTTCAGTTACAAATGGGAAGAGAGAATTATTTCACAGTCCCACAACCAAGACTGGGTCTAATTAAGATGCTAGTGCCATGAATCAGCCCTAGAGAGTGAAAGAGTGGTTTAAGAAATGTAATCGTTTTCTCCCACGCCCCTACAGGGATGTTGTGTTTGGACTTACCGTGGTAATTCCAGCCACATGACCCAGGATGGGGACCAGTCACTGGGTGGGGCCATGTTGTGGTTGGAGTCCAGGGCTGCTGGGCTGCTGCAGTCTTCCTGGGGCTCATACTCTTTGACTTCCAAAGCTTTGAGTACTATCGAGGATGATGTTCTTTTCAATAATGCCACTGCCTCACTCCGGCTGACCTCTGTCAGTTCGACCCCATCCACATTCAACAAAATGTCACCTGATGGCCAGAGAAGCAGAAGCTATCTTTAGTGAGAGCACAAACAGGGACTTCTGCTTAAAGTGCAAGGGGATAGGGGCTGACTGGGATTGCAGGGATGCAGAGAGGGCAAAGGTTTTCTTTGTTGACGGGAGGCTGGGTGCTCACATAGCAAATGGTAAACAGTGTGTGCATTCCAAGGTGCTGTTAAGACTTGTTTGGGGTTTTCTAAAGCACAGCTATCGGTGTTTTACACAAGAATACCGCTGAAGGAAGGAAGGAAGGGAGTGAGAGAGGAAAATTAGTCTTGTTCACTATTTAATCAAAGAAAACCTACTTTTTCACTCTTTTGTTTCTTGTTTTTAGCATAAAGTAGGAGGATTTGGCAAAAGCTCCAGCATTTGCACGGAGCCAGGCATGTAGTAGGCCTCCAGTAAATATGGATTGAATGAAAAGAAACTACCCATGAGAGTGTCTGGCAGAGGAGTCTTGGAGCTGCACTCTTAAAGAAGCAGAAAGAAAAACATTTTCATTGCTAAGGTGAAAATAGCTACTATTGGTTAAGCGCCTACTATGTGCAGGATCATTTCCATATAGATCATATAATCCTCTAGCTTATGTTCTGTTAACAAGTCATTTGTTAACAAGCCACTTTGTTTGGCCTCATCATTTTCCACCCAGATGTTTTGCAGAAAAGAGAAATTAAAATATACATCTCCCCTATTTCCATTTTCTATTTTTTTATCTTCATCCTGTTTTTTTCTGTCCCCTTTTGCTTAACTTTCTTATACAGAATAACCACAGCAAGAGCAAAAAGACAGGAGGAGAAAAAAGAGAAAGGCCTTGAGTCCTTTCTGACCCGAAAGAAGCATCTTTCAGACAGCTGACTAAATCTCTTAAGATACCATCCCCCTGTGGCTCCTCAGGCTCAGCAGCTGTACTTGGGAAACTTCACAGTTTATCTCTTGAACCTGGACTTTTAAATGGCATAATTCCTCACCCATCTGAGCTACCTACCCTCTTGAATGAATTGACAATATTATTAAGGATACATATTTGTAGAGGCAAATTTGATATCATCTTCCTTTATTTACTCAAAGTAGCCCAGAATACATGAGCTTAAAGTAGTGAAATAATTTTCACTCTGGGAAAGTATCCAGCATGATACTTTCACTTAATGAGTATTCATTGAATCAAATCTATCAAATGACTTTTTCTATCTAACCCATATAATTGAATAATTCATGAATTATTTCATGAATTCCACCACCGGATCAACCCACTAAAGAACCACTTAGAATGAATGGAACTACATTATGCCATTTAATAGAGGTAACTTGCTCATAACTGTAGCAGTTCTCTATTAATTCCTGGAACAGTTTGGAGATTCTAGCTTTACTTGCAGGCAAGTTGGCCTGCAACTAAGAAAAGTGGAACCTGGTCTAGTATCTATACTCAAACCAATCATGGTCAATGGGTAACAAAAGTCCTGGCCGATCACTCCCACATTCTCTCATTAATTTTGAAAATAGTCACCTAACAAGCTACTAATTTCTCTTGATTCTCTGCCACCCCAGTGCCTTTAAAATCCCTTTACTTTTTACCTGTTTTTATTCTTCCATCTCTGCTTATGACTCCTCCGGGCTCAACACTGATGACATAGATAGGCAAATCCCATTCTCTATGTGATGCTCCCCCTGCGACGGTCATGCCGAGAGATTCACCGGGGTCTTTTTGGATATTTACCACCTTCTCATGACAAGTAATTGTAGGATGGAGGGGCTGAAGGCACAGATGGAAAAACATGGCACATGAATTCACAACTCTGGTAGTTTTTGAATGTAGAAAATGCAAAGTGGGTTTCCATTTTCTAAATGCAAAAATTACCAAAGCTGCATAAATTATGCAAAGTGCATAAATACAATGGTGGTTCTTGAAATCACAGAGAAAGACACCTGGAAAGAACCCTCACCTTATCCACTCCCAACCATAATAGGGTTACATTGTCCCAAATTCTACAGGTTAACTCAGATAAAGTTTACACTTCAAAAGGAAAGAGTAAAAATGGAGGAAGGAACCGATTACAGACCATTAGAAAAATATATTTCTAAAATATTTTCATAGAGAAAAAGTATTGCTTTGTTGCTCAGGCTGGTCTGGAACTCCTGGCTCCAAGTGCCTTGGCCTCCCAAAGTGCTGGGATTACAAGCATGAGCCACTGCTCCTGGCCATGGAGGAATCTTAAGCACACAGAGTGAACTGCACCCAAAATTTCTCAAGTGAGTCATTTATTCCTGATAGTAGTGAGTCAGCATTTCAAAAACACTCTGTCATTTATAAATATCAGAAACTTTTCTATGTTAAAAAAAAGTAACCATATTTTATAGAGTCTTCTTTCACACCTGCTCAGTGCTTACCAGGCAGCCTTGCCTGCGGTGAGCAAGAGATGTTTAGTTGTGCACTGAGGGGCTGGATGCAATGGCTGAAATACCACAAATATGGCATGTGTGCATGTGTCCTGTCTCATGAACCAGTGTCCATGACCATTTCCTTTCTTAACCAGAAAAGCGACCAATGTCAGCAATGGAAAAAGAAAATCATCTGTGAAAGCTTCACACCCAGGGTTACCTGACTTTGGCTGGAGAGGAGGAGAGTTACGTATGAAAGAGATGACTTTTCTATCTATCTTTTTTCGCCATTCTCCTCACCCTACTTTGGACACCTTACAATGTTCCTTGATGTTTAAAAACATAATTTATGGTAAAATAGTTTAAGCTAATTAAAAACACAATGGGTACCTGAATATTTCTCAAACTATAAGATGTATTTCCATTTTAGAATATTTGCTTTGGATATTTAGAATAAAACATTTTAGACAAGTAAAAAAGCATAAAGAATAACAGAATGACCTACCCATGTACCTCAAAACCCTACATCAGAAATAAACATTCCATGTGCACTTAGTCGCTCTATGACTCTTTCTGCTCATAGGCCTTGCCTCCCCACAGAGGTAAACCATGCAAAATTTGATGCCTAGCATTCCTTAACTTTTTTAATTGGCTAAAAGTTTTCTGTCCCACAAATCCTGCTTTGTCTTCTTTGGTATTTCTTTGAATTGTTTAAGCTCTTATTTTTAAAAAGCTACCTGGTTTCCTAAACCAAACAAGATTTTAGTAAGAATATAAAAACTGAAATAATCAAAGAGCCATATATGTCTCAGTTTTTTTAAATATGTTACTTTTTTGTGAGGATATTTCAGAAGTCAGATAGAATATAAGTTAAAACGGAAATAATTACAATTCCGACTAAGTCAGTTTGCACGTTTCCAGGAATTAAGACATATGACAGAGGGTTGCAGCAGAAATGTGACCAGATCCTCCCAGCTCTTTCATGATGAGGAGGTGGAAGGAATTCTAAAACCACAGTGCAGATGGAGGCTACCTTCTCCATAATTTGATGACTTAGAATATGACGTATTCTAGTTAATTCAACTAAAATTAGTTAATTGGATAAAAACTTCAATTAATTAATTAAGCTAATAAACTAGTTTTTCATTAATAAAGATGATCAGTTAAATTTAAACATTAAGCATTTACTAGCAAAAAGACATCACGGAGTCCTTATCCATAAAATGTTTTAGCAGGATATATCTGGTCTGTCTAGACTCCTTATTGTAGAGAAACAGGTAATTTATGGATTTATGAGGCTTGGCTGGCTGGAGAACCTGGAGGGGTGTATAACCTTGTAGGCTATGTAATTAACATAGTATAAAGCAGAGATGTTCCAAAATAAAAAATTTGAATATTGTTTCTCTATATATTACTCAAAAACTCAATTTGTAAGCTATTCCAACCAACATATAGATTGACGTAGAAAGAAAAGGGCATTCCCTACTTTCTGTTGCAAGAAGAATGAGCTACCTTTAAGAATTTTTTTTAGTTACAAGTGATGCCATGAAACCAGAACTCAGGAGAGATGACTGAAAGAAGCTCATCAGCATCACAACAGGATGCCAAGCCAAAGCTATAGGACTCTTAATTTGGACTAAACAAGGTTTGTGTTGCTTAAACACGCATCCAAATGAAGAGGTTAAGGCATTGCCTCTAATAGAAGCCACAGAGAGAAGTACAAATTGGGCTGAGTCACTTCATTTAAAGTGAGGCTGCAAACTGGTGGCCTGAAGAATGAATTCCACCCACAGATCCACAGTGTTTTAGAGTTTTCTGGATTTGAATGCCATATAACATGTGCTCTCTGGTTTGCCCCAATCCCCACCACTCCCTAATGTTACATGAGCTTCAAGTGTTTAAATTATCTTCCTGGGCCCTTCGGCAAACACAAACAAAAACTAAAAGTAGCGGGGAAATCACTCATTTCTAGGCAGACTGAAAAATTCAAAAGCCAGAAACCAGGCAAACTGCTTGCTTCATTTCAAAGTGAATAAAATAAGTCCTCAAACAAGATGACTCTTGGTAAAAACATGCCATTTATTTGGCTTAGGCTAGAAATCAGGTCCCTGTATGAGGTCTGCATGATCAGGTTTCAAAACTTTCCTGCACCTTCTTCTCTCCTGCTTGGATGGGAGACACCTGTTATCTCTCCAAGTCTTAAATATGGGACTTTGGGCTTTTAGTTTTACAAGTCAAAGTGTTTCTTTAAGTAAAAAAGTCCAGAGATGACACTTAGACATGTTAAAACAAGCAGCCTTCCCAAGAAATAGCCCCTTGCAGGAGCAGGCGACCTGCCCTAGAGGCCTCACCTTGGGAGTGTTGCTCCTCTCCCCTGGCCCTGGGGACCAGCTGCCATTGCTGTTCCAGCCGGCTTCCTGAAAGATGTCAGGGCTCCGCTGCCGAACCTGGCGGGACACGACGAGGTGAACACGTCTTTCACTGGCCTGGGCAAGAAGACACAGGCATTAGCCACTGTCAGTTTCCATCCACTGCATTCAGCACCAGGAGCTTACAAAAACATCACTTTGATTATACCATTTTTTTATGGCAAAACATGATTTCTAGTTTGTTGGGTTTTTTTGTTACTATCCATCTTGTAATTTGCCAAGAGCATGAGAGCTCTTTCCTTTATCCTTAAACCAGGTAGTAAATGTTGCTCCAAGGGAAAACTAGGGAAGGTTTGGTTCCTTCCAATCTTTGAAAAGGCATCATCAGATATTGCTAATTCATTTTTAATTAATGGTTGTACCACACACAAGCCATGCCCTAAGTTCTTCCCAGATAGAATTAGGTGCACTGTGTAAAGTAGCAGCCCAAAGCAAAGATCTAAGATCAATGGTACACAGTAAAGAAAAAGAGATGGAGTTAATGGCAGTAACTTGCCACTGCAGGAAGAGAAATCCTGAGCCTGACACTTGCAAATATTTGGGCATAGGAAAGGTTTAGCACTTTAGAAATATGGGGATGACTTCATACATTAATATGTACAACCTAATCAAAATCCTTTACCTTCAATTCACAATCACAAAGACATGGAATCAACTTAAGTGCCCATCAACTGATAGGTAGATAAAGAAAATGTGGTATGTATATACCATGGAATACTACTCAGCCACAAAAAAGAATGAAAAAATGTCTTTTGCAGCAACTTGGATGGAACTGGAGGCCATTATTTTAAGTGAAGTAACAGAGGAATGGAAAATCAAATACTGCATGTTCTCACTTGTAAGTGGGAGCTTAGCTCTGGAGATGCAGAGGCAGAGTAATATAATGGACTTTGGAGACTCAGAAAAGGGGAGGGTGAGTGGGGTGAGGGATGAAAAACTGCCTATTTGGTACAGTGTACACTATTCAGGTGACAGGTGCACTAAAATCTCAGACTTCACCACCATACAATGCATCCATGTAACCAAAAACCACGTGTATTCCTAAAGCTATTGAAATACAAAATGTTTAAAAAACTGCAAAAGAGTAATTTGCCTTGATTTCTTTATTTTTTATGGAACTACCAGTTACTCTGCTAATTCTCTCTGCTATGTACATTGATATTTGGACAGGCATTCAGAATAGCAAATATAGTACTTATTGGAAAGGTCCACTCCACATCATCGATATGGTTTGACTGTGTCCCCAGTCAAACTTCACCTTGAATTGTAGCTCCCATAATTCCCATATGTCATCGGAGGGACCTGGCAGGAGGTAACTGATTCATGGGGGTGGGTCTTTCCCATGCTGTTCTCGAGATAGTAAGTCTCACGAGATCTGATGATTTTATAAATGGGAGTTCCCCTGCACAGGCTCTCTTGTCTGCCACCATGTAAGACATCCCTTTGCTCTTCCTTCATCTTCCACCATGACTGAGAGGCCTCCCCAGCCATGTAAAACTGTGAGTTCATTAAACCTTTATAAATGACCCATTCTCGGGTATGTCTTTAATAGCAGCATGAGAGCAGACAAATACAATGATACATTTACAAATTGTCTTTCTGCCACAGATTAGTTTCACATGTGTCAGGTAGTATGGGCCATTATTCCAGAATTGCTGACCATTGAGATTTCAGAGCTGCAGGTCATTCAGACTAAATCTTAGACCTATGAAACTCACATAAATAGAGCTCTCTGGTGGCCTAGGCTGAAGTAGCCAGCTGACCTCATTTATCACTTTAGTAAAAGTTGAAAATGAATGAGATATGGAAGATTTGATTAGAAAGATTCCCAAGACAGACCTGGTTTAGGGACAAGGGAGATGGAAGAGAGAGGAGTAAGGTTTGGTGGTTCCTCTCTTCATCCCATCCCTTGCCCACTCACCACCACAACAGAGAAGGGGCAGTGACCTGCCAGCTTTCTTCCTATACAGGGATGGTTATTGGGCTAGGGGAGAAAGGTCATGAAATGAGGGCATTGAAATTCCATGCTCTTTTGCATTGACTCAGACAATGGTGGTGGAGATATTTTCTTCCTGCCTGCTATGGTCTGAACATGTTTCCCCAAAATTCAGATGTTAAAATCCTAACCCACAACACGGCAGCATTTGGAGGTAGGGCCTTTGGGAGGTGATTAGGTCATGAAGGCAGGTCCCTCCTAAGGGGATTACAGCCCTTATGAAAGGGGCTGGAGGAATCTTGTTTGCCCCTCTACCATGTAAGGACAAAGTGAGATGGTGCCATCTGTGAGGAAGTAGCCATCCCCAGACACCAAACCGGCTAGTGTCTTGATCTTTGACTTCTTGACCTCCAGAACTGTGAGAAATAAATTTATGTTGTTTACAAGCCACCTAGGATAGTGTATTTTGTTATAGCAGCATGAATGGACTAAGACAATGCCTTTTCTGCATCTTCATTCCCAGAGCACACAACTCACTCACTCTCAGGAACTAGGACCTTGTTTTAAAAATCTCAAGTAAACACTTTGGGAGGCTGAGGCAGGCAGATCACTTGAGGTCAGGAGTCCAAGACCAGCCTGGCCAACATGGTGAAACCCTTTCTCTACTAAAAATACAAAAATCAGCCAGTCGTGGTGGCAGGCACCTATAATCCCAGCTACTCGGGAGGCTGCAGGAGGAGAATTGCTTGAACCCAGAGGGTGGAGGTTGCAGCGAACCGAGATTGTGGCACTGCACTCAAGCCTGGGTGAGAAAGCAAGACTCCATCTCAAAAAAAGAAAAAAAAAATCTTTAGTAAAAACCATCCACCAATGAAACAATATCCCTATGGTTGTCTGACACTAACCAGTCCAAATCTTCATGACTTTGCACTCTTATAACACTTCTTCTCAGGGCTCTCTTGAAACTTAGGGGTCATGATTTGGGTGGCTGTAAATTAAAGGAACTTTTAGAGACAACTGCTAGCGTACAGTAAGAGTGTCTATTGTAACATCAAAATGGATGATCGGCCAGGTGAGTTGACTCATTTCACAAAAACTAGAAAATCCTTCTGAAAAGGGCCCAAAAAAGAAGTTGGAGTCCTCTGCCCATGTCCTTCACACAAAGTCTGGCCATCACTTCTGATCTCCCCAGACAAGGCTAATGTGCCCTTCCTTTGTTTACCTATCTTGAATTCCCTGGTGTTTCTCATCACATATAAAGCTTGTGTCTGAACAGAACAAAAATAAAAAGCCCAGGAAACAATCGTGAAGAAAGCTGACATGAAGAACGATGGAATTAGCTGACTAAATCCAATTCTTGGAAGAGTATTTTGTAATAGCTGTGTCTTTCTTTGTACTATAAGCCTCCCTTCTTCTAAATAAGATTATCTTTGGGAACTCTCTAAAGCAAAACTTACTAAAAGATAAGAAGTGGTGAACATTCAGGTCAAAACCCCAATTACTGAGCTCGAATTTGCTCTCTTTGGGGAAACTCCGATGTTTTGAAGGATCCCAGCAGAGTGTCCATAGGCTTGCAAATTGTATCATGTTCATTTTGGATGAGGAGTAGCCACATGATCTAAGCACCTCATAAGAACTGAGAAAATTTTAGACTTGCACATCGAATCAACTTGCCAGGCAAAATCCAAATTGCCAAGGAGAAGCCTGCAAGAACTATTTAATTCACATTTTCAAGGACAAATTTCTCACTGGATTTTCAAATGCTGGCTTTGGTATTAAGTTGTTGACAGGAATAACACTACAATAAATAATTCTGGTATCAATTTACTTGGAAAGAAATTCTCTGCAAGACTGGATCTGTGGCTCTTACCAGCCACCTTGTAAATTGCTCACAGGAAGACTTTGATGTACTTTTGTGGTGTTTGAAGATATAAGGTGGAAAACGGGCTAATATGCTTGTCCTGGCTTTAACTCCTATCAGGAGCTGGATTCAATGCAGAGAAACATCCCCTAGCACCAGAGAATCTTTCTTTCCACTAGTATCAATGTGGTGTGAGTGTGAGGAGGGGGAGTATAGGGGAGACACAGAAAGACTGAATGAGAAAATGGCAGAAACTTGTTTATTTCACACCTATGTGATATGTACCAAGAAAGTGGATACAGCAGAGCTGTCATTCCAGCAAGCAAGGAATAGCTTACTGCAAGAAAGAGGTAAGACAGCTTCTCTCTTGCATCTCTTGGGATGTTGCAATTTGGGCAAAAGGATGGTTTAACAATGGTGGCTACCTTAATTAGAAGACATGACTTAAAGTTTCCTCTCCTCTCTCCCTTAAGAATCCTAGATTGTGATCTAGGCAAATTCTGGACACACTGGTTACAACCTGCATAGCTTGACTGCTGTACCATATTCTTTCCCTCCCAAGAGCTGAAGCATTAGACTCCCTCTCTCTTTTCCGCCCTGCGCCAGTTCACCCCTCCTTAGGAAACTTGGTGGTCCTCCGCTCCTGGCAGAGCACCATATTGATGCCAAACTTAGTGAAGCCACCCAATCGGCAGAGCGCACTACAGCCCCAGAGCTCCTGAGCTCAAACGACTCTCCCGCCTCAGCATCCAGAGTAGCTGGGGCTACAGGCATGCCACTTCACCCAGCATCCCTCTCTTTTTTCTACAGGCCAAGAGGAAGCGGTTCTGATGCCATCCATATTCTCCCCTGTGGACTTTAGCTTATTGGCAGCCTCCTGACAAGCACTCTGTCCCCAAGGCTGATCTGCCTGCCCTGGGCAGACAACACACTGGGAACCTTGAGGACATGGTTCCTGCCCTCCCGGAATGTTTCCTACTGCAGGGACAGTCAGATGGGAGTGCCATGAAAGAGAAATGGGGAATATACTTAAGGGTCTCCAGAGGTGGGACCAATTACTTCTGGCTGAGGAAATAGGAACCATCTAATATTCAGAGAAAAAAAAGAGGGTTAAAACTAAGTAGCGTCTGTATGGAAGGACTGGCTTTCTGTCGTTTTGTTTAATGACTGCTTTTCTCTGTTGAGATTTGACTCAAAATTGCCAATCATATTTATATGATGGAACTTAGCATTTTGCAGAGCTATACACTGGAGCACATGGCATCTTTCTACTGTTTTGGCATTGCATGAATCCATACAGTGACTAAGAGAAGAAAAACATAGTCCAGAAGCCTCATTTATATGTACCCATCTTTAAATAACAAAGCCTATCTCTTATAGCTGGAAGGAGTCTGGGAGCGTTGCACTGTGACCTCTTGCCAAGCAAGCATCTTCCTTTGTGTTCAGCCTGCAACTGACTCTTTCTCTTCCAAAATCCACTATGGCTGATGAAAACTGCTCATACTGTCAGGGCGTAACATAGATTTGCAACTTCCCAGAGCAGAGAGATGGAAGTCAAACATGCCACCACACAAGGAGCAGCATTTTGCAGAGCTGTACACTGGAGCACAGGGCATCTTTCTACTGCCTTGGCATTGCATGAGTCCATACAGTGACTATGAGGGCCAGTGAAAACGTACAGGGGGAGTAAGAACTGGTCAAGTACCTGTTCTCATCCAGCCAAAGGCTTCACCTGCTCATTGGCAGAGACAGATTGGAGTTAAGCCAAATGCATGATAACATTTGCTGCCTTTTTGAGATATAGGTATATGCTTAAGTAAAATGTATGATAAACTATATAAAATGCACTGGGTTCATTTGTTATTGTGTTTCTTGTATCAGTTTTATAAAGTTTCAAGTTAAGAAAGTTAAGAGTTGCCACCCTCTCCCCACAATGCCCCAGGGTATTATTCTATACACACACTTGAAAGGAGACTCCAAACCCACTGCTGGGCATCAGGACCGTGTTGTTCAAAGTAGGCAGACCATGTACATAGCTTCCTTTATAGCATAGCCTTGGTCCACAGGAGACTCATGCTTGATTGCGTGGGCCCCTTGTTACAGAAACAGGTGAGAGCTGTAATGCGACTGATAACTATATAAGCTGCTTATAGAGCTCGTCCTCTAGGGTTTCATCATCAACATATTTTACATTAACCTGATATTTTAATAATCACTTCTTTAAAAAATGTATTCTGCATTCCTCATTGGTTTCTTTTCCAAGTATCTCAAAATGAGACAGTTTGGCTTTAAATGATTTTTCAACATATGCTTGTGGGGATGGCTCTTTCTACACTGTCTGTGGTTGCCCCATTTTAGAATCCCTTCCAGCAACTGTTCAAATATCATTCTCAGTGAATCCATCTTGTGCTCACAAAGCCCTGGGAAATTGTGAAGGCACTGGTTCCATAAAATTAGAAAGTCACAGACACACAAGAAATGTCAGACATCATCTCATCCAACATTTTCTCTATAGCCTATAATTCAATTTCCCTACAAATTCCTTGCCATGTTGTCACCCAGTTCATGCTTCAGTACCCCCAATGACAGGGAGCTCACTGTGTCCCAAGGCAACATTGGCCATTTTTAGATAGCACTAATTTGAATGTTTGTCCTTAGGTTGAACTTAAATTTGCCATCCTATTGCCTGCCTATTGGTCTAGTTATGCCCAGTAGGGCAACCCCACATCAATTTCCCTGTGACAATCCTATTTGAGGATCACTCTCATTGCTCTCTCTTAGCTCTTTCCCTTTCCAGGTCAACTATTCCTAGTTTTTTCCACATTAAATATCTTTTCAAGTCATCTAAAAAATGTAATAAGTTCTGGACTCGCTGTAATAAAGTTGTGTGTGTGCACATGCAGAATAGAACCCAGAAGATGAGTTCTGGACTGACCAGTATAGAGTGCAGTAGTTTTGTTGATGAACCAGCTGCACTGAGGACCTCATTAATGGCGTTTCAATTTTGTCATTCATACAAGCATAGGGGATTGTCTCTATGCTCTATGAATCCAAAAACTCAATCGATTCCTGTCTTTACCTATGGATTAATTGAAAGGTGACAAGGAGGTATTCAGGACTGCACTATAGGACAAATTATAGCAGAGCAGCCCACCCCTGAGACCACATGATGCCATACAGACCTTACATGACAATACAGACAACTGGAAGCATCAGAACCGAATGATATGCTAGAAAAAAATCAAAGTCATCAGTCATTCCGGTTGATATGTCAGTGTATTTCACAACAAGGTTTGGAAACAGAACCCTTCCCCTTCCCTTCCTTCCAGTGAACAAAAGAACTTCCAGGGAAAAAAAATCCTCCCACTGAGCAACGAGTTGGAGGCTCCAGAAATATAACTCTAGAATGAATTAATGGTGTACTATAAGTTGATATTCCCTATAAAATGAGTTTGGTCAGAGCAAATCTGGTCTGTATTAATTTGTTTGCCATTGAAACTTTGGACCCCCAGAAAAGTGCCTGATATATTATTAAAAAGTTTATGAGTATCTCATGCTGAAGAGGTGGTAGCTCCTTCAATGAGCTAAAAGCAATCAGTCTGGCCAAGGAGAGAGAAAATTAAGGAGGCTTTGAAGAAACATAGTAAATAGGATCTTAAGATTTGATCAGGGTGGAAAAGGAGAATTAGGGCAGCAATATGGTTTATTTTTCCCAGTAGACTATAGCTCCATGTTCATCCTTATGTTCCCAGAAGCATGTATCTTTAGATGCAAAGACATTAATGATAATACAGATGGTGACTTATATGGGGTCATACAGATGTCAGTGACAAGGGCAAGACACAAGGATTTAGTTCTTGAGTCCCTGAATCTGCTGGTGGCTGAGTCAGTAAAATGACTCAGCATCCTTGCCTCAGACACCATTTCTTTTAGGATATCTAGAAGTTACTCTCATGATTATGTTCTATAAAAATATATATATTTGGGGGGATATGTGGGTTAGAGGAAGGGTAGTGAAGTTTCAAGATCCCCTAATATTTGCAGTGTGTAGCTGCACATAATATTCACTCATGAAATTCTAAGTTGAAAAGCTGTACAGTTTACCAAGTCACACACTTTATCAAGAATGCATAAAATTTGGAGCCCTAGATAAAAATCACTTGGACTTTGAGAATTCAGCTCAAGGAGATTAAAAAATATTCTATAATCAAGTCTATGTGCATTAAATTTACCACAAACCATGGTAAGACAATTTATTTAAGTAGGGATTTAATTCCAGATTAAGTGTACTGATCTGTTAAAAAAAAAATACAGATCTATCAGCTTTTATTTCACTGGCAATTCTTACTGGCTCCGGGGGACTTGAATGTTTACAGTACCACAAAAGTTCTACCCTTTTTTGCAGGTATGGCAATGCAAATAGTCCATTATTGGCTTTGTGGCTCTGTCTGAAGGTCTATCTCATTAAAAAAAAAGTTTGAAGAGCCTGTTGTCAAATGTTCTTTGATGAAATGAATTCTCATTTAAATATTGATTCATATAAGGAAAAAACAATTACACATATGCCGGTATTGATGAAAGCCCCTATTATCATTGGCTCTAGAAATGGCTTTGAGTATTTTCAGTTTCTGCATCAAGTCTGGAATTGCCTATGGAAAAAAGGCTTAAGAGGGACATTCAAATTTGAATCTTTGGTCCATTATTTCTTTGTTCTGTTATCTTAGCTATGACATCAGACAGTTCCAAAAAGCTGCCTCTTTCATACAGTTATTCCAGTCATGATTGGGAAATTGACTTGAGAAATTGACAATGGAGAAAAATAAAATTGTACTTAGTAGCTACATAAATCATCAGCACCATATTTGAGGCTTCTATCTCCATAAGGACTTTCTTCTTAAAAGGGCCTGGCAAACCCAGGCTGCTGCTGAGTAAGCTGAGGTTAGAGCTCAACATATGTAAAGCTGGTCAAATATAAAATGGTTGTGGCCTCTCTGTAATAACTCTTCCCTGAAGTAATGCAGAAAAAAAGCTGAATGTGGGGTACTGTGGGAGAGAACATGACCAAAAAACATGTTGTCTGGGAATTTCTTTGTAAGGCAAATGTGATTCACGGAGTAGACATACAAAGGCAACATAGCCAAGGATTGGTTAGAAATTTGAGTCTCAACATTTGAAGGGTATTTAGTTTAATCCCCTCAGCCTGGTGTGTGTTACAAATATCACATAAATAAAATCCACTCTTCAGAAACGGCATGCGATTGCTTAGCTAGGTTTTTCCAACATTCCGTGTTTTCCATTTCTTTTTCAACTAGCTTTGCTCCCATTTTTTTTTAAAAGGTTTTTCCTGCTTATAAAGCACGTTGGCTTTGTTTAGTAAGCAAAAGAATCTTTTAGGAAGTCCCAGTGTTAGGCAAGGTTTTATTCCATAAATTAACTTTCTCAGGGAAGAAACTGTTTTTGCTCTTCTGTTATTAATCTACAAAAGCA
The DNA here is from genome assembly GCF_000001405.40 of Homo sapiens. Classification (NCBI taxonomy): domain Eukaryota; kingdom Metazoa; phylum Chordata; class Mammalia; order Primates; family Hominidae; genus Homo; species Homo sapiens. The sequence continues at coordinate 53,491,082 of NC_000004.12, forward strand.
AAATGCCATATGTAGTCAAGATTTTTCCAAATGACATGATGAGTAAGAGTTTTTCTTTTGCTTATTGCGAAGTATAGTTGGCAAACATTATCTCCAGGATGTGAGTTGCACCGATTGACCTGCAGAGGGAGTTAACAAGTGTAACATGAAAAAGTACTGGTGGTCACCTAAAAGGCTAGTTTTCAAAGTGAGAAAAAAAAAAAAAATCTTGCTAAGAATGCAGTTTCTTCATAAAGAAATACAATGGACTCTCCCTTTTCCATGTGTGAAGGTTTTCATAAACATAGCATATTTTCTCTTCTCATTGATTGGCCGGCTAATGCCACCTGCCTAATGCTGACTTGGTTCTTTTGAGATAAAAGGCAGGAATACATTCCAAGCTCTACCAGGCCAGGAACTGTACCAACCTAGTTCAGCATGGTACCACACACCTCTTGGCACAAAGAAGTTGCTCAGTCAATAATCACTGAACAAATTCAAGGAGACAAAGAGTAGATATGGTATCTTGGGGACAAATGGCACATGAAAGCAGATTTGGTGCTTCTTTGGTAAATGGTTTGATAACCAATCCCTAGGAGATAAAGTTAATGTATAAAATATATTTTATATACACATAGATGTTCATAATTTGACTCCATTTACTTATTTGGCAAATATTTATCAAGTGCCTACTATTGCCAGCCATTGCTTTAAGTGCTGAGGATACGATACTTTTTTTTGTTTGTTTGTTTTTTGAGAAAAGTTTCACTCTTTTTGCCCAGGCTGGAGTACAATGGCGCGATCTTGGCTCACTGCAACCTTCACCTCCCGGGTTCAAGTGATTCTTCTGCCAAGTAGCTGGGATCACAGGCGTGCGCCCCCACCCCTGGCTAATTTTGTATTTTTAGTAGAGATAGGATTTCACCCTGTTGACCAGGCTGGTCTCGAACTCCTGACCTCAGGTGACCCACCCGCCTCGGCCTCCCAAAATGCTGGGATTACAGGCATGAGCCACTGCGCTTGGCTGAGGATATAATACTTTACTTTACTGTCTGGCAGGTAATATTAGTTGGTAGTAATTGAAGAGTATTGTAGGATAAAGTGTATATGAGCAGAAATGGACACAATTCTTAGTAGAATTGACAGTGAAGAGCTCTCTGACAGTTGAGAGGAGACCTGAATGAACTGTGGGAATGCAGCAAATGGATATTTAGAAGATTCTTCCAGGCAGAGGAACAGCAAGAATGCCAGGCCTGAGGCAGAAATGCTTGAAGAGCACCAAGAAGGCAATGGGGCACATGGTTAAACATGGGGAGAATACTAAATATCCTCTTCTGTAAGAAATGAGGTTGGAGAGAGAACAGGCCACAAGACGTATGGCATTGCAGGCCATAGTAACGATCTGCAACTTTAACCTAAGTGTCTCAGGAGGCCTCAGAGGGCTCTGAGAGAGAGAGAGAGAGAGAGAGAGAGAGAGAGAGAGTGGCATCCTGACTGGAGTGGTTTGGTAAAGAGCTCATTCTCTCTGCTGTGCATAGAGTAGGAGAGAGATGATTAAGTGTGGAAGGCAGAAGGCCAGCAAAGAGGCTCCAGCCGTCACTCAGACCAGGTCAAAATGGGTTGGGGGAGCAAGACGCTGAGGTGAGTCAAAGTTCTTTTTGGTTCAAGTCACTGGGTAAATAGAGGTGCCATTTTTATAGACTAGGAATGGCCTAGGGGAGAGCACGTTGGGCAAGGGGTGGAATGGGAGGAGCCAAGGGTTCAGTTTTGGACATTAAGTTTGAGATGCCTTTGCCTTATCCACAGGAAGATATGAAGCAGGCATCTGGAGGTGCAAGTGTGGTCAGAGGAGAAGGTGAGGTGGGCACATGAATTTGGGAATAGATGGCATACACCTCAGAAGGAAAATGTCTCTTTGTTTATTTTTTGAGACAGAGTCTTGCTCTGTCTCCAGGCTGGAGTGCAGTGGTGCGATCTTGGCTCACTGAAACCTCCGCCTCCCGAGTTCAAGCAGTTCTCCTACCTCAGCCTCCCAAGTAGCTGGAATTACAGGTGCCTGCCACCACACCCAGCTAATTTTGTATTTTTAGTAGAGATGGGGTTTTACCATGTTGGCCAGGCTGGTCTCGAACTACTGACCTCATGATCTGCCTGCCTCGGCCTCCCAAAGTGCTGGAATTAAAGATGTGAGCCACCACACCCAGCCAGAAAATGCCTCTTCTAACTCTGGTTTTGTTCCCCACCTGCTCTACTTGGCATGAGCTCGGGCCCTCTAGGGCAGATGAGCATCCATGGGGGCCGAGAACCACCTTGGAACTGGGACACCACCAAGTGGCACAGCTCAAAAGCTAAGGTACCACGTGTGTTTTCTGCCCTGGTGGGCAGAGGGAGAAGGCTAAGTCCCCTTGTACCCTCTGCCTCAGGCTGCCCAGGTCTACAATGACAGTAATACCATCCAACACTTGGTCCTCTTCCACGAAGAGGGATAAGCTACTGTACAGGACAGTGCAGAGAGTTGCCAGCACCTACCTGAAAGAATCACATAACCAGATCTCAGGTGCAGGCAAATTTATTTGTGTTTAGATAACCAAGTCCTTGAAAGCAAACAGTCTTTTGATGATCACCCTCTGTGGAACTTGGTGCAGGGCTAGTCAGTTACTGCTGCTGACTTACTGCCTATTCTCAAAGTATGAAGACTTCAGTCACTAAGTGGAAGTTGACATAGACTTGCTGGATAATTGAGAATGCTTCTTAAGGCCGCTGGATCTTGCCCTTCTCTTTTCAGCTCTCCACTGACTTGAGAGAGATCATTCTAGAAGATCATGCCATTTCCTTTCCTAAACCCTTCCAAGAATGCCCCCGTGGCTTTGCGGATAAAGTCTGAGGTCCTTAGCATGGCTCGCAATATTTCACATGATCTGTCTCTTGCCTCGTCTATGGCTGCTTTTTAAAATACACACCCCAGGCTCCAGGTACTATTTATCATTTCCCTAATAGGCTGATATGGTTTGGCTGTGTCCCCACCCAAATCTCATCTTGAATTGTAGCTCCCATCATTCCCATGTGTTGTGGGAGGGACCCAGTGGGAGATAATTGAATCACGGGAGTGGTTTCCCCCATACCATTCTTGTGGTAGTAAGTCTCACAAGATCCAATGGTTTTATAAAGGTTTCCCCTTTTGCTTGACCCTCATTCTCTCTTGCCTGCTGCCATGTAAGACTGGCCTTTCACCTTCTGCCATGATTGTGAGGCCTCCCGAGCCATGTGGAACTGTGGATCCATTAAACCTCTTCTTTTTAAATTACCCAGCCTTGGGTATGTCTTTATCAGCAGCAAGAGAATGGACTAACACATGGGCTATTAAGGAAATGTTCTTTTGTCTTGTGTCTCCTTAGGATGACCCTTGCTGACTTGTACACTGGAGAACTCCAGCTCATTCCTCAAGCCCCAAGTTCAAGATCTTCCTCCTCTGAGGAATTCACAGGCCTAGTCAAGCAAAAATCTCCCCTGCGCCTGCATCAGCATCATACTTAATTTTTTCCATTGCAGCAGTGTTAGACTGCATGGGCAGTCATTTAGATAAAGTCCAGCTTTCCTGCCACACTGGAGGATCCTTTGGAAGAATAATCTAAGTGGTCCTCCCTCCAATTTCTGCATCTAACCCAGGGGTACATAAGCAGCAGAACTTAACAGATATTTGCTGGATGAAGTGAATGAATGGGTTAGAACATAAGAGCCCAGAACAAAGTCTATTCTTCCAAGAATAAAGCTCACAGCTTATGAAACGTCGCTGAGACACAAAACTATCAGAACATTATACCGGGTGAAAAAAGCCAGTCCCCCAAGTCCGTATATGATTTCATTTATATAACATTCTTGAAATTCAAAATTATAGAAATAGAAAACAGATTAGTTATTTCCAAGGGTTAAGGAGGACGTGGGGCGGGGAGGGAAATGGATGTGGCAATAGAAGGCAACTTTTATAGGGATCTTTGTGGTGATGGAAATCTTCTGTTATGACTGTTAATGTCAATAGCATGCTTGTGATGCCATACTATGGTTTTGCAAGATGTTAACACTAGGAAAAACAGTAACGAGACATGGGATCTCTCTGTATTATTTCTTACAATTACATATTAATTGATAATTATCTCAAAATACGAAGGTGAGTTACAATTGCATACTAATTGATAATTATCTTAAAATAAAAAAGCTAAAGAAAAAAAAATTTCAACAGTGACCCTGACGAAGTCAACAAAATACATACAGGTGCTTGATGACATTATACTGGTCAGAAAAGTGGATTAGTTTGAACAGTCATGAACTCTACTTGCCTGAGTGATCAAGAATTTGCGTCCCTCTCTTCTTAGGGGGCTTCCTCTCAGGTTCATACTTGGGTTTCCAAGTGCTTTCGAAGTCACCTGGACTTAGCCATGGAGACTAAGACTTACTCTGTCCATAGGATCCCTGGAGAATGCATGGCATAGCTTTTTTTTTTTTTAAGATGGGTCTTGCTCTATTGCTCAGGCTAGAGTGCAGTGGCACGATCTCAGCTCACTGCAACCTCCGCCTCCCAGTTTCAAGTGATTCTCCTGCCTCAGCCTCTTGAGTAGCTAGGATTACAGGCACCTGCCACCACACCTGGCTAATTTTTTGTATTTTTAGTAGAGATGGGGTTTCACCCTGTTGGCCAGGCTGGCCTTGAACTCCTGACCTCATGTGATACACCTGCCTCGGCCTCCCAAAGTGCTGGGATTACAGGCATGGGCCACCACGCCCAGCCGAGTAATGTTCTTACCTGGGCAGAAGCTTTGAAAATGTTGGTCTTTCCATCCTGACTCCTTGAAAGGGAGGCACTGCATGACACATGTGGTAGTGACAGGGTGCCTGGTTCAGGGGGATGTGCATTCTTGCTCATGTCCGGGGTTTCTGACTGGGATCCTGGAATGACCTCTGACTCACCTGAATCAGATGAGCCGCACTTTCTGGGCTGCCATATCGAAGATCATGTCCATTGATGGCTAACACACGGTCATTCTCCTCAAGCTGACCATGTCGATATGCCACACCGCCATCCAGCACATTGAAGATGAAAACCCCAGGCTCATCCACCTTGCGCACCAGTTTTATTCCAAGCTGCTCCTCGGGGCTACTTTTGTTGAGAATCACATGAAAGCTGTCATCTCGGGGTCTGTAGGCATCCGGGGCCTGTCCATTGTTCCTGCTGCGGAACTTCTGTTCACGCATCACAGTCAGCCACAGCACCTGGCAGGGCTGCCGCAGGAGACGCACAGCGTAGTTGTGAGGGACATTGCTGATGTCCATCCCGTTGACCTGGGGGCAGGTGGAACAATCGTGCGGTCAGCTCCACCTGCCACAACCCTTCCTGAAAGATCCAGGCCCACAGAAAAGCCAGGATCCTGTCTTTAAAGACTGCTCTGCTCTCCCACCTCATCCTGTGTCCAATAACCGCACCTTCCAACAGCGTTTCTAACCCTGTTCTCTCCAAGCGTGGCCTGCAGCACCTCTCCAGGCCTCTGTGAGTAGACACCATCTTTCTCCACCTTGTTCTTACCCAAGCCCACATATTTATTCCCAGAATCCTAGCCTTCATTTCTGTTGTCATTATTTTTTAGCTGGCAGGAAGAGAGGGAAGGAAGATAAGGTAGGAAAAGGCAAAAGAAAAGCATTTTTCCCATTTGCCTCAGTCAAATGATTGCATTAAACAGCTCTTCAAGCCGAGTTGACATTTTCTTCCCAAAAATCTCCAATTGAATTTTTCTCCCTGGGTCAACTCATACCAGAACTTCCAGTCCTCACCACTGTGTGTGTATGTAGATGTGATAGTGTGTGAGTGAGGGTCTGAGTGTGTGAGCACGATGGAGTGTATGTGCGTGTGATACTGTGTGTGTGCGGATGGGAATGTGTCAGGTCTCAGGGTGGTCCCCTGCAAGGTTTTTTTGCCCATGTTCTCAGCAAAAGGAAGAAATCCTTGCACAGTTTCAGACAAACTGATATGAAAGGAAGTTTCCAGGCTCTTTTATTGAAAGGCTAGATCTCTTTATAAAGCTACTTAAACAAGCTTAAGCTCGGCCCTCTCATTTGTGCCTCACTAATGATGTGTAGGGCTGATACTGCATGGGGCTTTCTGGTTTTAATTTCTCTGGCTACACAGGCCCAGCCAGAGCCCCCTATGTTGGAAGAAAACAATTTCGCAGCAATTGCTGCACTCTGTGTTTGAGGAAAGAGGCCCCATGGAGGAGAAATAACTTTCTTGAATTTCTGTAGTTTGATAAGATTTCTTGTATTTGCAGCCAATTGTTAGAGAAGGCTTGGAATGGGCTTTACAAAGGCCTTTCTTGAGGATATAATCACCTGTTCTCTGGTGCAGCTCCAGAGGCTCCCTCATGCAAAGGCAAAGCTCACCACCTTTGTCCAAGCACAGGTGAGGAGAGCACCTGAGGTGGCAGGGCCGGGTTCCCCCATCACCTCTGGGCCCAGAGAAGGTCAGGGGAGTCAGGGTTGCCTGCTAAATAGTCCTGGCAGCCCTTTTGTTTGTAAGCTCCAGTTGAAGGCCACAAGAATCAAAATGTTTTGTTATGCAACCCTGCCAGGCAGCATAGTTTCCACTAGAACTGGGAGGCAGCAGTGCACAGTGTAGCTGATTGTACTGCGGCCTGCCCCGAGGGCCCTGTCTTATGCTCCACCTCGGAGGCCAGCAGGAATTTCAGTATTTCTGTGAAAACTGCTTTAGGTTATTTCTCCTCTTATTCCAATCAGTTTGCCAAAGAAACAGCTCATAATGTGACAGGAGCCGGTCCCTCAGCAACCTAGAAGGGATGGGATAGAACTGTTATCTGAGTGTCAGATAGAAAATATACGAGCAGGGAGGGGTTTCTTGGCACTTTTGGCAAACATTGGACTTCTGCCTGGTAAACAGATCTTTTTATCCTTTCTGTTCTGAAAATTCCTCCTTCTCCTTAACCAAGCCTCTGAGGACAGTAACACCCAAAGCATTCTATTCCAACACCTGTCTCCCCTGGTATGTCTCTGGGTTGGTGGAATTAGCATAGAGATTACTTTTATTTTCAGGGAGGGCCGTAAGACTATAGGAAATTGACTTTCAAAAAGTAGATGATTGTGATTAAATAAAATACAAAATGTTCTATTAATCTACTCTAAAAACAATTTAAGAAAATATATGTCCCAGTTTTATTTTATATTAATGCTCTTTAAAAAAAGAGATAAAAGGAGAAAGAGGAGGTGGAGAAAGGGAATGAAGAGGAAGATTGAAAAAGCTAGAAGGGAGAAGGCAGAAGAGTGGACAGACAAAATGATATAGAGACAGATAAATATTTATATACAGAGAGAAAGGGGGGAGAGAGTGAAAGAGCAAGACAGAGAGAAACAAAGATCTCAATTAAATGACAAATCTCAGAGAGTCATAAAATGATAGAAAGTCACTATCCACATTTATTTTACCATTTCCCTCATTCATCCATCCATCTATCCAATTGTTTGCTCAGAAGCATTTTTTTATATCAAGCCCCTTGCTGCAGCCCCACAGCCACAGTCTCTACCTTTAGAATGATGTCTCCTGGCAGTAGCCGGCCGTCTCTGGCGATCACCCCATCACGATAAATGTGTTGGATAATGATATGGACCAGTGGGGTTTCGCTACCTCCCACCAGCCTAATAGAGAGGCTTTCACTGGGATCTACTCGATTGATCTTGATGCTGGTAATTTCACCATCTGGAATCAGGTGGTACAACCTTGGAAAGACTGAAATGGACAAAGAGTGTTTATTTAAGACACCCACCCAATGGACCTTTCCAACTACTCTTCTTGCCAAACTTCAGTGTCAGCCAAACTAAACTATTCATTTTTCCTCATACATGTTTTCCATTTTCCTGCCTCTGTGTCAATGTAAGTTTCTCTGCTTGGAATGTTTTTCATCCTGAGCTTAAACCCAATTTTTCCTTCAAGGCCCTTCCAATTAAACTCTACCCTGATTCCTCCTTCCCTTGCTCTAAACAGCCCACTTCCTATAAAGCTTTCTAGCTATTTCTCATGGCACTCAACCCATTATTGTTATTTTTACCTTTTTGTTTTTGTTTCTGTTTTTTGAGACAGGGTCTTACTCTGTTGCCCAGGCTGGAATGCAGTGTCTCACTACAACCTCCGCCTCCTGAGCTCAAGTGATCTTCCCACCTCAGCCTCCCAAGTAGCTAAGACTACAGGCACATGCCACCATTCCTGGCAAATTTTTACATTTTTTGTGGAGACGGAGTTTTGTCATGTTGTCCAGGCTGGTCTTGAAATCCTGAGCCCAGGTGATCCACCCACCTCGGCCTCCCAAAGTGCTGGGATTACAGGTGTGAGTCACCTCTCCCAGCTTATACTCATTTCTTATATACCTCATATCATGCCCATAAAACCTGAGGGCATAAACTCTCGCTGTTCCATGGTTCTCTGCATATATCTCTGCATGCAGAGGCCTTCAGCTGAAGTTTACTGAATTAATAGAAGTGAATGAATCATTTTTAATGGAATGAATTGCAGTTTTATCGCTTGCTTATTGAGAGGTAAAAAACAGAACCAATTTGCCACTTTGCCCTCTCAGATAATTTTGAAAATTTCTTCCTTAAAGACTCTGCTTTTCAGGCTTGGGGGAACATCAGTTCTTTCTACCAGACATTGTTGTTAACAAATGGAAGAGGCCTGATTCATGATCAAGAAGAGGCCAAGGCCTAGTTGGTGGCCTTGAGCAGTTCATCCCTGGTTTGCCTGAAATCACTGAGTTCAGAGCAAGGAGATTCAAAGATCATCTAGGCTGGTGTTTTCAAACTGTATTTTTAAACTGATGAATCTGCTTTCCCCAAGAAATCTCTCCTAGCTCTCTTCTCATCTTTCATCCCATTGTGACCACACAGAAAACAGCTGCTCTAATTGTCCTGCTGCTTGACAGTGATAGTCAAACACTACAAGTGAGGAGGTTTAAGGCTGAGAGAAGGGGAGTGAAGTAACTGACTGGACATCCCAAAGTTAGGTGGTCCTGAGAGCCAGGTCAGAACCCAGAGTTCTTGTGACCGGTACTCTCTGTCAGGTATCCCTGGAGCCAGGGGTTCACAGCCAGGCCAGAGCCCATGAGGGACTTGCTCTATGGACCTATGAGCCAGCAGCACCGACTGGCATTGTTTTTTTTTTCACTTCAGTTTGAATAGAAGTGTTCAGAGGGGACACCAACAAGTGATGGGAACAAGCCACACCTAGCTTGGTGGAAAAAGGGGCTCCTCCAAGCAGCTAGAGGCTCAAGTTTGAATGTAAAGGGCTGAGATGCTTCTGTCTTCCGTAGGTGCTGACAGCTGCCTCACCTTAAGAGTCTCCTTTCGTTATGGCATCTGGAAAGATCTCACATGGCAGGCCTGCTTCTAGTTCCTTGTGAGCATTTTCAAAACCCGTGACCTTAGTCCATTTTCCCTAATGAATTAATAAGTACTCAACTCTCTAAGAACAATAAAGAATTAAAATTATTTCTAAGTATGTTAGGGCAAAGTAACTTAGTGGGCAGAGGAAACCCGAGATGTTGTAAATGTGGGTCCTTAATCTCTATACTGATTGAACTGAAGTGACTGCATAAGGCAGGGGTAAGCTGGCTTCAGCAGTCAGCTCCTGGTACTAACAGTACTCGGGTGATTGAGTTCAATTAATGTTTAAACTACTTTGGTTATATTAAGTAGGCTATACCACAGGCAATTGCTAGAACATGTCTGGTATAACAAGGGAATGGAAAAAAATTCATTCTGAGCAAAGAAAGATTTGGAAATAATCACAAAAGCCAATTTTCCCTCCCTCATTCCCCTTCCCTTGTTACCATCTTTTCCAACAGATTTACAAAAACCACACTGCCAAACCTAAACCGCTAGAGAATGTTTGATTTGATAGCTTGAAAGGACATACCATTCACACTTGTAAATGATGTTAGAGCAACACCAATGAGATCCTAGTGACCTTAAAGAGATAAAGGAATTTTTAAACTGCCAAACTTGTGTTGGTCTGGAAAGTAAAAAATTTGCTCAATATTATGTCCTTACTCAAGGACTAAAGGATATAATCTTATTAGCTGAGAGTTTGTTATATGCTGACATTGAGTTAAGGTATTTGAATGCATTTTTTTGTTTAGTCTTCACAATAACCCTATGAAATAGATGATAATAATCTTTTTTTTTTTTTTTTTTGGGGGTGGGGGGACAGGATCTCACTCTGTCACCCAGGCTGGAGTATAGTGGTACAATCTTGGCTCAAAGCAGCCTTGACCTCATGGGCTCAGGCAATCCTCCCATCTCAGACCAAGAAGCTGGGAGTACAGGTGTGTGCCACCATGTCCCACTAATTTCATTTTTTGTAGAGACAAAGTCTCACCATGTTCCCCAGGCTGGTCTCAAACTCCTGGGCTCAAGAGATCCTCTCACTTTGGCCTCCAAGTGCTAGGATTACCGGTGTAAGCCACCATGCCCAGACCCATCTCTGTCTTTTCAGATGAAGAAATGCTGAAGCTTAGAGCATTAAGCAACCCAGCCAGGGTCACACAGTTGATAAACAGTGGCGCCAGTCCCTTTACTGACATTAAAAGGATGGATAAACCATGCCAGGAAGCTAACTGTAGGTTGCTGAAGCAATGAGGCCCTCTGGCCATTTTGAAAGCATTGTTGCCTCACAAATGCTGTGACGACATTGATACCAGGCTAGCTGAGTCTTAACACCTCACTCCATTCTGGAATTACAGCTTCCTAGTGTGTCTGAGGAAATCCAATCTCTCCCACTCCAGCCCGCCTACTCATTGAACATGGCTGCTATCTCTGTCTTCTGGAAACACGGCTCCAATCCTGCAACAACTCTATACAAGAGCTCCCAGGTGTGTTCACTACCCCCAAATCAAGTACAGACTCCTAAATAATAATCAGGACACACTATGATCTGACCTTCACCTCATCTTCTGTATTGGTCTGGAAAGAAAATGATTTGTTCAATATTATGTCCTCACTCAAGGACTAAAGGATATAATAATAATTATTAACTGAGAGTTTACTATATGCTGGCATTGAGCTAAGCTACTTGAATGCATTTTCCAACACACAGTCAGCATCCCAACATCCATCCAAGTCACATGGATTACACTGTCCCCTATGGCTGCTATGGTCATTAATTTATACTTCATTCTTCATAGTACAGGCATACCTCTGAGATATTGTGGGTTTGGTTCCAGACTGCTATAAGAAAGTGAGTCTTTTGGTTTCTCTGTGGTTATAAGAGTTATGTTTACACTGTACTCTAGTCTATCAAGTGTACAATAGCATGTTTTTTAAAATGTACATATCTCAATTTAAAAATACTTTATTGCTAAAACATGCTGTTTAACGATCATCTGAGGCTTCAGCTTGTTGTAATCTTTTTGCTGGTAGAGAGTCTTGCCTTGATGTTGATGGCTGCTGACTGATCACAGTGGTGGTTGCTGAAGGTTGGGAGTGGCTTGGCAATTTCTTAAAATAAGACAACAATGAAGTTTGCCACATGAACTGACTCTCGTGAAAGATTTTTATGCAGATTCTCTGTAGAATGCAATGCTGTTTGATAGCATTTAAACTTCAGTAGAACTTCTTTCAAAATTAGAGTCAATCCTCTACTAACCTTGCTGTTTTATCAACTATGTTTATGTAATATTCTCAATCCTTTGTTGTCGTTTCAACAATGTTCACAGCATCTTCAGCAGAAGTAGTTTCCATCTCAAGAAACCACTTTATTTGCTCATCCGTAAGAAATGCCTCTACACTCATTCAAGTTTTATTATGAGATTGCAACAATTTGGTCATATCTTTTTTTTTTTTTTTAGATGGAATCTTGCTCTGTTGCCCAGGCTGGAGTGCAGTGGTGCGATCTCGGCTCACTGCAAGCTCCGCCTCCCAGGTTCACATCATTCTCCTGCCTCAGCCTCCCGGAATTTGGTCATATCTTTAAGCTCCACTTCTAATTCTAGTTCTCTTGCTATTTCCACCACATCTATAGTTACTTTTCTCCACTGAAGTCTTGAACCCCTCAAAGTCATCCTTGAGAATTAAAATCAACTTCCTCCAAACTCCTGTTAATGTTGATATTTTGACCTCCTCCCATGAATCACTAATGTTCTTAATGGCATGTAGAAGGGTGAATCCTTTCCAGAAGGTTTTCAATTTTCCTTGCCCAGATCCATCAGAGGAATCACTATGTATGGCAGCTATAGCCTTTCGAAATTTATTTCTTAAATAATGAGACTTAAAAGTAGAAATTACTCTTTGATCCACGGGCTGCAGAATGGATATTGTGTTATCAGGCATGAAAACATCATTACTCTTGCGTCTCCATCGAAGTACTTGGGTAACTAGGATGCATTATCAATGAGTAGCAATATTTTGAAAGGAACTTTTCTTTCTGAGTAATAGGCCTCAACAGTGGGCTTAAAATATTGAGTAAACTATGCTGTAAAAAGATGTGCTGCCATCCAGTCTTTGTTGTTCCATGGAGAAAGCACAGGCAGAGTAGATTTAGCATAATTCTTAAGGGTCCTAGGATTTTTGAAATGATAAATGAGCACTGGACCCCACCTTAAAATCACCAGCTGTATTAGCCCCGAACAAGAGAGCCAGCCTGTCCTTTGAAGTTTTGAAGCCAGGCATTGACTTCTCTCTAGTTAAGAAAGTCCTAGATGGCATCTTCTCCCAATATAAGGCTGTATCATCTACATTGAAAATCTGTTGGCTGAGTGCGGTGGCTCACACCTGTAATCCTAGCACTTTGGGAGGCCGAGGCAGGCGGATGACCTGCGGTCAGGAGTTCAAGATCAGCCTGGCCAACATGGCGAAACCCTGTCTCTACTAAAAATACAAAAAATTAGCCAGGCATAGTGGTGCACGCCTGTAATCCCAGCTACTTGGGAGGCTGAGACAAGAGAATCACTTGAACCCAGGAGGCAGAGGTTGCAGTGAGCTGAGATCATGCCACTGCACTCCAACCTGGGCTACAGAGCGAGCGAGACTCCGTCTCAAAAAAAAAAGAAAATCTGCTTAGTGGAGCCACCTTCAATGATTTTAGCAAGATCTTCTGGAAAACCTGCTGCAGCTTCTACAATCAGCATTTGCTGCTTCGTTACAATCAGCATCTGCTGCTTCGCTACAATCTGCATTTGCTGCTTTGCCTTGCACTTTTATGTTATGGAGATGGCTTCTTTCCTTAAACCTCATGAACCAATCTCTGCTAGCTTCCAACTTTTCTCCTTTAGCTTCTTCACCTCTCTCAGCCTTCACAGAATCAAAGAAAGTTAGGACCTTCCTCTGGATTAGGCTTTGGTTTAAGGGAATGTTGTGGCTGTTTTGTTTTTCTATCCAGGTTACTCAAACTTTCTCCATATCAGCAATAAGGCTGTTTCGCTTTGTAAATCATGTGTTCACTGGAAGTAGCACTTTTAATTCCCTTCAAGAACTTTTCCTTTGCATTAATAACTTGGCTGTTTGGCACGAGAGGCCTAGCTTTCAGCCTACCTTAGCTTTCAATATGCCTTCCTTACCAAGGTTCATTTCTAGTTTTTGATTTAAAGTGAGAGACATGTGGCTCTTCCTTTCACTTGAATACTCAAAGGCTATTGTAGGGTTACTAATTGGCTTAATTTCAATACTGTTATGTATCAGGGAATACGGAGGCCCAAGAAGAGAGACATGGGGAAATGGCCAGTGAAGTAGTCAGAACACACAATTATTAAATTTACTGACCTATAAGGGCATGGCTCGTGGCACGCTAAAACAATTACAATAGTAACGCCAAAGATAACTGATCACATGTCACCATAACAGATATAATAATGAAAAAGTTTGAGATGCTGCAAGAATTACCAAAATGTGACACAGAGACATGAAGTGAGCACACGCTTTTGGAAAAATGGAGCAAACAGACTTGTTGGCTACAGGGTGACCACAAGCTTTCAATTTGTAAAAATAAAAATGAGGTATGCTTTTATTTTATTATATTTTAGTCTTGAATAAACCCCTTGATGCCAAGAACTACATTTTATATTCTTTATATAAAATGACAGCACCTAGGCCGGTGCCTTACATATAATAATCTGTTTTATAAATGTTTTTGTAATAAATATGCAAATAAATCTTTTTCAAGATAACTTTTTTTTTTTTTGAGATGGAGTCACCCAGGCTGGAGTGCAGTGACACAATCTCAGCTCACTGCAGCCTCTGCCTCCCAGGTTCAAGCAATTCTCCCGCCTCAGCCTCCCAAGTAGCTGGGATTACAGGTGCCCGCCACCATGCCCTGGCTAATTTTTGTATTTTTAGTAGAGATGGGGTTTCACTGTGTTGGCCAGGCTGGTCTCAAACTCCCACCCTCAGGTGATATGGCTGCCTCAGCCTCCCAAAGTGCTGGGATTACAGGAGTAAGCCACCACGTCTGGCCCAAGTAGTAGAGAACTTTACATGGAGTGGAATTGAAGAGTCTTTAATAAGAGGAAGAGACTGGTGGAAAGGAAGTTCTAATCTTTTCATTTAGCCATTGCACAGACATTTAGTGGACACTTATGTGCCAGACACTGTGCTAGGCCTTAAGAACAAAGATTCAGAAAAATAATCCCTGCACTTTGAGGTACAGTTACATGAAACATGATCATCGCTGATACAGGTGCTTCAAAAACACCTAAAAAGGGGGCTGAGGGAGTGAGGTTTCCAGGAGGAGGCAAAGTCTTACACTAAATCTGGAAGAAGGAACGTGAATGCCAGCTGAAAGGAGAGTGGGAGCGCAGGCTGGATAATGGAAGGGAGGTGAAAGAAAGATATACAGCATTTATAGGACTGTAATAAGCTGAGAGCTGTTAGAGCATGCAGCATGTACGTGCAGGGTGAGAGGCAATCATGAATAAGTATACAAGAAAAGGTCTGATAAGGCTGCTCATGAATTTTGAGGGCATAATACATACAGTGGTTTGGGTTCTGCCTCCCAACTCCCAAGAGTAGAGGGCAGTATAACCCAGGAGCTAAGAGAGTAGGCTCTGGAACCAGAGGACCTGATTTAAAATCTTGGTTCTGCCATTTTTTAGCTGGGTGACTGGGCTAGTTACCTAATCCCTCTGGGTCTCCGTTTTCTCATCTGTAAAATGGGAATGATAGTCCTATCCCCTTAACATTATTGTCACATCTAAATGACTTAAAACACTATGTGCATGCAGAAAGAGCTCAATTTTTTAAAAAAGCTGTTACTACTACTCTAAAGTTCTAACATAAAATGCAAAGACAGTAGGACAGTATTTCCTCAGCTCCACTTATATTGGGGAAAACATATGGGATCTAAGACTCAATAGCTTCCTTTGCATGAATTCTACAGCCATGTTACCTGGATTCAAAGTTTAGCAAGGTAATTTGAGCAACCTAAGTAACCTCTCTGTGCCACAGTTTCCTCATCTGTAAAACAGGAATAGGAGTGGCGCCAGGTGCGGTGGCTCATGCCTGTAATCCCAGCACTTTGAGAGGCCGAGGTGGGTGGATCACCTGAGTTCAGGAGTTCGAGACTAGCATGACCAACATGGAGAAACCCCGTCTCTACTAAAAAATACAAAAAATAGCTGGTTGTGGTTGTGGGTGCCTGTAATCCCACCTACTTGGGAGGCTGAGACAGGAGAATTGCTTGAACCCAGGAGGCAGAGGTTGCAGTGAGCCGAGATCATGCCGCCGTTGCACTCCAGCCTGGGCGACAAGCAAAACTCTGTCTAAAAAAAAAAAAAAAAAAAGAGGAATAATAGTAGCTACCTCATAGGGTTGTTGTGAGGCTTAAATGAGGAAATGCATGTAAAACACTCAGCACCACACCTCAAATGTAGTTGAAAGAGTAAGGAGAGCGAATATATATATTGCATTTATTATATGTGCCAGTCATTGTTTTAAATGTTTTTCACTCATTAATTATAATTATTCTTCCTCATATGCATAATGGTACTAGCGCCTGAAGGTGAGGGTTTCAACACTTTTTTCTTCAATCTATGTAAAAAGATGATAATACTTTCTGCCTTTAGCTACATACGTGAGAAGTAGGCTAATCAAAGTAAAAAATATTGTATACCCTTGGGAAGAGAGGGGTCACAGAAGGTGGAAGGTGATCAGATTGCGTCATCCCTGAAGTCCCCCTGGAAGCCCAGCCCATGTCCATCCAGCCTTATGGGGAGTTCATTTACCTTCAGGGGCAGTGGTGTTTTCAGAATTTTCCCTGCCCTGGTCGGCATGGTTGGCAACTGCACTCCCGCTCTTTGTCCTTCGAAGAACACTCAAAGCTCGATTTATTTTTTTAAATGATCTGCTTCTAATAGTGGATCTCTCAAAGGGCCGTGCTGAGGAATAGCGACAGGAGGAACAGTAGTTATGATTTAATAGAAATAATCATTTATGTACATATCTGATAAGATATACACAATAAGACATTAACAGTGACTACCTCTGGGTGGTAGGATTGTAGAATTTGCTTACCTGTATTTTTTAAGTTTTCTACAGTGAAATATGTACGACGTGCTTAAAATCCTGCTTTTCTTTTTTGTTTCTGGGCTGAACTGAATACAATACCACTTTTCTTGAGCAGCATGGCTGAAAAATTACTGACACTGCAGGAGTGATGAATCATTAGGTCTAGTTTCAGCCCCTTTCACCAAGTCAGATTACACACAGTTTTAATGATTGGAGGTACTTGCGGTTTCATTTCACTTTGGCGAATTGGACATTGGGTTCCTGCCAAAACTACCAGAACGATTTCCCCTTAAAAAACATTTACAGAACTTTCCACAGTAAGTATTCCACAGAGGGCAATCGCAAGCCAAGGAGCCCATTCCCGGACAACCACCCATTTGACTCACCCCTAGTTCGGTTGCTCCGGCCAGAGTCCACTGGGCTGATTGCTGGCTGCCCGTCCTCTGCCGAGGACACGTAGGCAGGGTTGTCTAGGCCAGGCTCGTCTGTCATTAAGGAGATGGTGGCAGCTGCAGAAACCTCTGGGGAGGGAGCCGTGGCTGTGAGGCTCGCACAGCCGTCTGGACAGCCATCTTGTGAGCGCCTCTTCCTATCTTTGGTCAGGCCGTAGTGGGAGGCACCTTTACAGCTGTAACAGAACCAGCGGGGAGGTGAAGAAGAGCTTTGGCTCTGCTGCCATTCCTCAGTCAGCCCTCTTCAAATACAATTGAAGAATGTATAATAGGCTTGTTGAACTTGGAATTTGATTTGCCTGCCGCTATATCCTCTCTTCCCTTTTCACACATCGGTACTCAATATACATTTGCCAACCAAGTGAATTCATAATTTGAGATTTTTTAAAGACGCCCACTGCATTCTCTTAAAGCAATCTCTACATTGGCTGCTGGAATGCAAATTTATTCAGGTCACCATGGTGTCTACATGAGTAGGGTTTGAGGCTGGCAATGTTCAACTATTTGGTAATTCCTGCTTGCTGGTGTTTATTTTGACCATGAAAGCCCTTAGTCACACCCTCACTCTTCTTTTGGATTTTGTTCCCAGAGCACTGAACGTAAATATAAAGCTCCTCCCAGATTCCATATTTAACTGTTCATGCAAACAGAATCACCCTCACCACAAAGCCACAGGAGTGAGTTCAGCATTGCTATCCTCTAGTGGCAGCTTGGTGGCTTCCATTCTCTTTCTCTGGGCTGGTCTGGGAGGGCCTCCCTGGTGTTGGGGGCTCCCATGATCTGAGAAGTGTCATTCATTGCCATGTTGTCTACCATTAAGAGAGTAAAACAGCTTTTGTGGTTTTTAGCAAAAACATATTTGTCTCTACCCATTCACTATCCATGCTATAAAAAAAAATCCAGAAAACTCCACAAAAACCAAACTTTGTGAGAAAAGCAAGTTATTGGTGCAATAGAAAGAAGTTGAAAAAGAACATTCTCGAGGCTCAGAAGACCAAGGTTGGAGCTGATCTAGGTCCATATTTTGCCATGAACATGAACACTGCCACTCGGCAAGTCATTGCAGCGCACAGGCTAGGTTTTGGTCAGGAAATGGTGATTTAACTATCTCACTCTACTGTGGGGAGGGTAGCTACAGGTAACCACTCCAGTTTCCACAGTTGTGAAGGCAGAAATCATATCACGAGCCCCTTTAGGAAGTGTCCATTTGCATATAATGGATGTGTTAATTATAAATTCTTATCAATTCATTACTCAAAACCCTATATGATTGAGCTATTTTAAATAGCCCTTTGAGATCCTACTTCAGGGATGCTTCATGTTTTTGAAAGTAGATGAAATCAAAGGTCAGTCTACCGTGATATGCACACATGATTTTTACTGCCCATAGAATCATAGAAATGGCAAGATGGAAGGTCCTATTGTCTAGATCTAAATCCTTGCTCTGAAATTTACATAGCTGGGTGATCTAGGGAAATTTTATTTACCTGGCTAAACTTCCAAATTTGCATATACTTTCTGGATTGCTGTGAGGTTTGATCGACATTAAGTCTTATCAGGGGTTTAGTACTTTTTGCCAAAAGTACTAGAATGCAAATTCATTAAAGTCGTCATGGTATCTACATGACTACAAGCAGTTCTCATGAGATTGTCGCTATTTCCATATTTTGTACATCCTAAGATGCTCTTTTCATGCTTTAACATGTCTAAAATCAGGATGCATGTGTGATTGATGGGGTTGTGAAGTTTCTGTTGCCAGGTGGCAGTCATGATGCAGACGTCACCATCCCAGCACTGCAAACCCAGTCGCACGAGTACCCCTTATCACTTCCATTGAGTTGCCTACATACTTGGTATTACACCATTGAGTTTAATTGCCATTTGAATGTAATGATTCAGTACTAAAATGAAAAGTTATAGAAAGCCTCAAAAACAGAACAATTGGATATTGATGAAGTACATATTCATTGTTAGAAGCAGAATCACAATTCTGTGTTTTCTTGCAAAGGGACAAGCAAATGTTTTATCTGCTTAGAAAGATGCACCCAAGGGAATTAAAAGTGGTGTTACATTTTGTTATTGAGAACATTCAAAAAGGATTGCCTATTTCATGCCAAGCAACACAACCAAGGGCAGGAGAAGCTGCCAAATTCATCTGAATGGATTTCAAAGCCACAAGAGTCTAGTTCACCAATCTATGCATCATGGGGATATCTTTGGTGTTTGGGGATTATTTAACTGATGGCACATTTTAAAATGTCATCTTCTTTGCTGTTATATGAACATACCTCTCATAGTCAGTGGCATCTTAGATTAGATGAAATGTGGTTTTAATATTAGTAGAAAAGGAGTTTGGTTATACAACCTTATGTCCTCATCTTCTAGATGAGAAAACAGGCCTCCAACTTACACTGCTAGTGCTTGTCCTCAGCTGGAAGAGTTCAAATTCCTGGCTTGAATTCGTGAGGTTTTACTGTACCGATTAGCTGCGTTGGCTTGGAATCATTCTGTTTAAACATAGTGAAGAGGTTGATCTGGGAAACTCAAAAATTGGTGAAACACTGTGTGATGGAAAAAATAAAAGCCAACTTGCATTTGAGCGGCTCCAACGTAACAAATACTTGAATGAAACACTTCCAGGCAGGCTGGTAGTATCTGATTAGCAGTGCATGGAAAGGAAGTTCCTAGCTGGTCTGGAAATGGTCTTTTCTGAGGAGGCAGCAATGCTCTTGACCATGTGCCCTGCCAGAATAGTAACGTTATTTTCCAGCTGGACAAATGGCTGGCAAAGGTACAAGCCATGGCTTTGTTGGGAGGACACAGCATGTCCTAGTAAAAGAAACTGGCACCTTTCTCTGCTGCCCCATCAATGGGGGTTACAGTATTTTAAAAATATCTGAATCCCAAGATTATGCCATTAAGAAACCATTGCACTTTCAAATTCTTGGGGTTCTAAAGATAAGTTTTTGAGTCCAGGAAAGGAAAACCTCATAAGGTAGGTAAGTAGCCTTTCCTTTGGTCTCATATCACAGCTGTTCTTACAACAGCTGGGGAGGGTGCAGATTCTTGATTTAAGTATTCAGACTCACGTGCTTTGTGTAATAAAGGTTCTGCTAATGCAACTCATACTGTGTAATGTTAGCTTTCTCCAGTCTCTTGGCTTAGCTTGAGCCAGAGACAGAGTGATCTATGAAGGTAGCAGCTTGTACTTACTAATTATCTCTTTTGTGGTGACTAATACTGGGGCAGCTTGATTTACAAGCATTAAAGATGGAAGAAGCGGGGAAGAGCTGATTAGCATTGGCCAGGACAAGAACATACGGTAAACCCTGGGTTGTGTTCAAAGCAAGGAGGATTTATGCTTCCTTTCAGTTACTCTGAGCACTAAGTACTCTCAGATGGTGATGGGTGATGGCCATGAACTTGAAGGATGAATACAAGGAACACAGAAAACCCCTTTTCAACCAAAGCACAAGCTTTGGAGGTGCTGTCCATTCAAATGAGCAACTCTGAAAAATCAGTTTTCTTGGGAGATCCTGAGCTCTTTTATCAAAGTGAGTAGAGGTAAATCTGTCTTAATATAAGAATGTTAATACTCAATGCCAGAATTTTTGTCTCTTTTGGGGTTGGAGGGGGGATAAGGAAAGAAAATGAATCTCCTTCCTGCAAAACTTCTGAGTTCACTGCTAATGAGAGTTGGAGACGAGACACAGGAGGGAACTCAGATGTGATTCACAGACGTTCTGATAGGGTATCCTCTGCAAAGGTCACCCAACAGGGCAGCGTGATCTGGGTTCCCATGAAGAGCTCCTTTCTGATGCTGAACTTACCCACTTATAATAGAATAAGAGTTGTTCACAAAGTGAACCTCAATACTCACCAACATCATCCAGCCATACGACCTCCCTTTGATCTCTCCAACTTTCTGTAAATTCTTTCTCTTGGTTCACTGTTGCATTAGCAAACATTGAGTCAACTCTCACTTTGGGTTCATTAATTGTCCAGTCTGATCTGACTTCAAACAAGAGCTTGCAAATTCATATGCTCGTCAGGTGAGAGAATGAGGGAAGGAAGGCCATTGGGGACCATGGTGAGCAGTGCTGCTTGACTTAAGGACACAGTGGCTGCTCCACCCTTCCCTGTTAAAAAGGCTGGCCCAGTGTCCCTGGAGAAATTTGGAAGTTTTTCAATGTAAAATCTCTTGATTTTTTAGATGGTAGCAAGATTTTAAGATTCGAAAATCTTAAAAACACTGTGTGGTCCAAACAAAACACATCTGCAAGCCAGCTCTAGCTCCAGAGATGGCACATTCTAATCTCTGGTAATTAAAAAAAACTGCCAACACAAGTAGATCAGACCCATTTTTCTTTCTCAGTCCTCTAGAATGCAACACTACCCTTTCCTCTTTCTCCAGTCTTCCTCCCTACCCAGTGTTTGTGTGTGTGTGTGTGTGTGTGTGTGTGTGTGCATGCAGAGGGGAGATGACCCCTAAAGAGGGCTTTCCTATGATTATTTGCCCTGGCCCCATTTCTGATCCAAGTCCAAAAATGAGACTAATTTTTCAACTGTATTTCTTTCACCCATGAGAGCACTAATGGCTGGCCCATAGCTATTATTTAATGAGAAAGGGAGACACTCAGTCCTAATTTATGTATTCTTTCTTTCAGGCAGCGAGAATCAAGATTAGGGGACTCTGTAGGGAAGTAAGTCTCCTTGCCAGCAGCTGGGTTTTAGGTATTAGCTGCTCTACTGAATGGGATGAGTGATTCTGAAACTTTGCTTGAGGTGGGGTTCCTGGGGCCAGGCTGGGAGACTGTGCTGTCAGGAAGGAGATGGTCACTGGGAGACTGAAATGGGCTCTCCCTGAGCACTCGGGTGAGTTTGGGCCTCAGTAATGTGTGCTCAGCCCCCAACTCCATCTCCACGGCCAAACCCTGGAGCTGGTCCTCCTGACACCACATCTCCATGGCTTTGCAACCAACCCTGGCCTATCCCTCTGCCCCTGGTCTAGCCCTCCATCCTCTACCCCACTGCATCTTAACCATACCAACAATTTTTTTTTTTAACTCAAAAACCGCCCAGGGAAATGTTCCCATCGCTTCCAGGCCTTCCCTGATCCATATTATCGATCACGGTCTCTTGCCTACAAATCTATGGCAGCCCAGAAGGCAGTCTGGCAGAAGACAGCTCATATCTATTGATCTTTTTTAATGTATTATGCTTTATGGATGTGGTCTCATTTAAGCCTCCCACTTGTCCTATTAGTTATACCACCTCACTTCACAGATGAAGATATGGACAGTAGAAGGGAGAAATGCCTTGTCCGAGTTCAGAGGTGGAGCTAGACTCTGAAGCCAGGCTGTGGGTTCCATGCTTTCTCCCCTTATATGGCTTCCCTGATCCCTAGACTCATATCAAACTGCCCATTCCATGTCATCACTTAGAAGTCTAATGGGCAGCTCAAACTTAACACTTTCATCCTCCCTGCCAAACCAGCTCTTCCCACATGTTCCTGTGTTACTAAATAGCTCCTTATCTGTCATTCAGGCCAAAAATCTCAGATTCATCCTTGATTTCTTTCTTTCTCTGGATACCCCAAATACAATCCAACATGAAATATTCAGAATCCAACTACTTTTCATCATGGCTACTGCCACCATACTGGTCCAAGCCACCATCATCAGTGCCTGGATTATCCCAACAGTCTCCCAAGAGGAGTCTTGCTTCCATACTTGTGTTGTCTGCCCATCTATTCTCAACAGAGCAGCCACAGTGATCTTTTCATAATGGCTCTCCACTTTACTAAAGCATAAGGTCCTTACAACGATCTATACGGCCCTATATTTTCTGTCTGTTGTGACTTCTGACTTCCTCTCCATCCCTTGCTCATACAGCCCTCCTGCTAGTCCTCAAACTTGCCCACCATGTTCCTACTTCTTCAGGGCCTCTGCACTTTGCTGCTGCCCCTGCTGCCTCAGATATGCCTTCCCCAGATTCCCATCCAGTTTGTTCCTGCATCTCCTTCAGGCCTCTGATTAAAATCCCTCTTCTCTGACCACCTGATTTAAACAGCGGCTTCTTTTCTGGCACATCCTACCCCTGCTTATTTTCTGTCTATGGAATGCAAGTTCCAAAGGGCAGGGATTAAGGTTCTGCTTTGTTAATTGTTTTATCTCCAGTGCCAAAGACAATGACTGGCATATAGAAGGTGCTCAGTGTATGACTTTTAAATGAAAGAACGACTTTTGCTAATGAAAGAGCATGGGGTTGTATTAGTCCATTTTTACACTGCCAATAAAGACATACCCAAGACTGGGTAATTTATAAAGAAAAAGAGGTTTCATGGACACACAGTCCCACCTGGCTGGGGAGGCCTCACAATCATGGCAGAAGATGAGGAGGAGCAAAGTGACGTCTCATATGGCGGCAGGCAAGAGGGCTTGTGTGGGGAACTCTCCTTTATAAAACCATCAGATCTTGTGAGACTTATTCACTACCATGAGAACAGTATGGGGGAACTGCCCCCATGATTCATGGATCTCCAACCGGGTCCCTCCCACAACATGTGGGAATTAGGGGAGCTACAATTCAACACAAGATTTGGGTGAGGACAGTCAAACCATATCAGGGGTGAATTATCTAAATTGGCTATCTACACTAATCAGATGACTCAGGCCATCTGTGTTTCTGCCCAGGGAAAGTACCCCCCTTGGACTATAGCATCTCAGTGTAAACACCATACCATCTCTGTACTCAGACTTTTCAAGCTAAGGGACCTGAACCATGAACAAGGCATGGAACTATATGTTTAATGAGTTTTGGGTTATTGACCTCAAGAGAACATTTAACTGACAAATTAGGCTAAACATTTTAATTTTAAAAAATATTTAATTGAGGGACAATATTTTAAAACCTAAATACCCCATCCAAACAACATATTTAATGAATCTAAATCCAAATGCAGCAATATTTTCTATACCAGAAAACTGTGACTCAAGGATATTTCACAGAGAGATGGGAATTAACTGGTTGGGGGAGAAAAGTCTAGTTCCACAATTACACCAGTAGAACCAAACTTTGAATATGTAGGAGCTCTCTCTCCAGGACTGAGATGGCTTCCTCACATTAGTGCCAGAGAAGTGTTGGCTCATGGAGTCCCACATCACTTAAGGCCGCCAGTCAAGACACATCAGCTCTGCCTTGGCTAGCTGGTTAGCTGCGGGCAAGTTGTGGCCACAGAGCTATACAGTAAACATTTCTTGAATTGATCTGAGCAACTGTCACCCTTTTGGTATTCCGTTGATTGAAATTACAGCATTGGGAATTGTGGGATTCACTCACACCACCCTGATAATGCATAATTACTTGTGGTCGATTGTGATACCAATGCTAGTCTCTCCTTTCTCCTAGCAAGCTCATGAGTTCCCTTTCCATTTCCCTGCACTTCAATTTAAGGCCCCCACCCCACCAAAAAAAAAATGACAAGAAGACCGACTTAAGAAACTGATCTTTTTTTCATGTATTTCCCTGGTAATTTTGATATGATTTTATTTGCTTTGAGTTTAAGAAGCATTATGCATGTAATAAAACTGAAGGGTAATGACCATAACCTTTCTTTGATGGGTTATGCTGCTACAGTGGGTTTTTAATCATAATATTGAAATACATTTTTCAATAAACACTCATGGGAGGGTCTTCTAAGAAAGATGGCACAGCACGGAGGAAAAAGCACATGCTTTCACTTCTAAAGAATCTGGATGTGAATCCCAGATCTGCCTTATGGAAGGGTCTCCTAAGAAGGCAACTCTACTGGCTCTGCAACTTTGGACAAGTGTCTTAATTCCTCTGAGCCTTGTTTCTCATACATAAAATGGGCACAGTGTTTATTTACCATGAGGTTTAAAGATTCGCACAAAAGGCCGAGTGTGGTGGCTCATGCTTATAATCCTAGAGCTTTGATAGGCTGGGGTGGAAAGATCACTTGAAGCCAGGAGTTAGAGACCCGTAGCAGGACCCATATTCTACAAAAAAATTTAAAAAATTAGCTGGGCATGATGGTGCATGCTTGTAGTGTCAGCTACTCAGGAGGCGGAGGCAGGAGGACTGCTTGAGCCCAGAAGTTCAAGCCTGCAGTAGGCCATGACTGGGCTACTGCACTCCAGCCTGGGCAACAGAGCAACACCCTATCTATCTCTTTTAAAAAAAGAATCACGCAAAATGCCAAACAGTACCTGGAATATATAGTAACTCAGTAATCAGTAACTAGCATAATTATTGTCTAACATCAAGGCATAATGTTAGACACTGTGGATGCAAAGAAAACGACAATGTATGCACTTGGTTCATGAAAACAGAAAAACCTCCATGCCACATTATCAGAGAGACAGAGAGGGAGGTAAGAGCTAAGTGTCAGGAGAGCTCAGAGGAAGGGGCTACTGATTCTGCTTGGGGTAATTGGAGAAGGCTTCTTAGAAGAGATGAAATCTGAGCTGAGTCTAGAAAAATGAGTGACATTGGTCTAGCAGACTAAGTATGAGTGGTATATTCAAAAGCTCCAAGGATGCAGGTGCATGGCAGGTGCCAGGAATGGTAGATTCTGGGCAGGTTTTGTCCTATGTGACACCAATGAGGAAAGAACAGACCTGAAGTGAGATCCAAGAGGAGCAACATGTTGGTGGCAGTGCTGGGGATAAACCCAGGATACCTGATGGCCAGTCCATCTACCTACTTCTGGGGTTCAGTAATCCTAAACCATGCCCGTGGGGGTAAGAGACAAGTGGGCATTGCCAAGTCTGATGCCAAGACAGGAGAGGGGAGGAGGTTTCAGAAGGAATGAAGTTGACAACAGAGGGCTCGCAGTCAGCTCCTTGCAGAGACTCCCTGACCATCAATCCAAAGTGAACTGCTGCCCCTGCCTGCCAGTCACACTCTTTGGAAATTATATTGCTGGTTTGTTTTCTCCCAGCAGAATATAGATAGCTTCCATGGGAGTAAACGTCCTGCTTTTCTTGCTCGCCACTGAATCCTCAGCACTCTGCAAAGAGCACTGGCGGACAGGGTCTGGCAGGGTGGGGGTGGTTGGGGGTGTTAAAGGAGCCTGAGAGATTCTAAAAGCAGCTAATTGTTTTCTTGCTCCTTTCATTAGAGTCTGTTTATGCTTTTGATTGTGTTAGCCTAGATATGTTTTAATAGTTATGGGCCACCTTGATCTTTTTTTTTGAAAGAAAGCAGATATATAGTTTAAATATATGATAACTAATTATTTCATGACTCCTTTAGTGAAAAGCACTAGAAATCTTTATTGTGTGAGATAAAAATAAATGCATCAGTCAGCGCCTTCCAAAACAGTTCCACTTGCACTCCCTGAGCCCACCCTCAAATAGGTCCTATCCCTGCTAATTGAGTCCTGATCATGCTACTTGGAGGACACTCAAGTAACAATAATACAACTTCTATTCATAGAATTCCTCTAGTCCTCAGGCATCCTGGTCCTCAGCACAGACCTCCTGTAAAGAACTTTCCGAGTTCAGTTTGGATAATTACGTTCTACGTGTCACCTCAACTCACCATACCTGCATCTTCTTAAATAATAGCTCTTTGGCCTAAAGACATTAGGTAAAGACATTCTTCCTTGTTTGGATTACTTTTTCTCCCCTTCTAAGTTAAAACCCATGTTGCCTGGCACTGAATTACATGGCTGCTCACATAGCTACCAGAAACTGCACATGGAAAAAAGTTATGAGCATTTTTGCGTAGTCAGAGGTGAACTGAATATCAGTTGAGAAGTAAAAGAGGTCATCAGCTGGGCAAGTCCACCATCTGGTATTCAGTGTAGATCCGAGTATGAACTTGAGGCTGAATGGCCCTCGCCCCAGAGGACAGGTGGATTTCTGACATCATTTACCACCAACCACACACGGCTTCCCCTCATTAGCCCCTTTCTTCTGCCTCCAAACTGCTGGGAAAATGTCCCTAGTCCTTCCAACCACCACTGTTTCACTTGTTAATGAACACCAGACAGGAAAAATTCAAAACAAGCTGGAAAGTCATGTGAAAATGCAGGCCACCATCATGGGCACCTGGAATCTGTCTTGGCTTGTCAGGGTGCGGCCAGGAGAGGCGTGATGTGCCTTCAAGGTAGAGTCTGCTCAGGTGACAAATGGTCCAATCCCAACCTAAGCAAGCACACTGACTTGGTTTACCAAAGATGCTGACATGTTCCTATGGCATGGATCACCTAGTGCTGAACAGGCATGAGACACACTGGCTAGTCTCTGCACAGTTCCAATTTCAGGGTGAGAGGGAGGCAGGGAAGAAGTGGACATTCTTCCACTTAATGTTAATGACTCTCCTTTAATGCCGATGTTTTTCCTATCGGTTTACAGAGTTAGTGTCTGTAAGAATCTGTGGCTGCATCTTTTTATCCTTCAAATCTCAACTCACAAATTAATAGTAACATAATTACAGCCAACACTTACAGTGCCCTCACCAGAGACCACATACTGTTTTACATGCTTCCTATTAACCCATTCAATCCTCATATCATCCCTATGAGGAGGGTCCTATTATACTCCCACTTTACTAATTAGAAATTAAGGCACAGAAAGATTAAGAACTTTCCAAAAGTCACACAGCTGGTAAGTGGAAGGGCTAGGATTTAAACTGAAGGCAGAGAGAACTTTAATTGAAGTGTGCACCTCAGGACTGTTAATAGGCCATGCACCCTGGTGGCTGATTATTTGGGGGGCAACTGTAACATGGGACGTAGGGAAAAGCATGGAAAATTAGAAGCAGGTTTTTCATAACCTTATATTCTTTATAGACCTATAAATGCCAGCTACTGAGTAACTGCCATGAGGAATACAAATGGCACAGGCTGGCAAGTGAGTCTGTCATAACGGGGTTGGCATCTTCAGCCTGGAGTTGACAGGCAGGAGTGGTGAGCATCACACTGCCAGGCCTCTGTCCTGCTTTGTCATCAGGGCCATTTATCATTGCTGCATGCCTCATAGGTCAGTGCATGGGGGAGGTGGTTGTGGTGGTCCCCACATGCCCAGGCTGGCTGTCTCACTGCCCCTCTTCCTCTCCAAAAATAATTAGCTCCAAACACAGGCAGCAAGCATCGTAGAAGCAGAGGCCTAAAAGGATCTTGTCTAAGTGTGCGGGCACCTCCAGGTGATTTATTTCATCCTTTTCTAGAGAAAGCACCTTAGTCCAGGCACTCATATATTCATATTCATGGTCTAAACACATAGCATTTGAGGTGGGAAACAGGAGGCCAACTTACCCATCTCCCACTGGGTGGGGAGGTACCCTTTCTCTCCTGTTAATAACAGCAGTCATAACAGTAACCACCTGAGCTATCATTTGTTCAGTTTTGTTCAGTGTTTTTTTTTTTTTTTTTTAATCACAAGGCATGGTACCAGGACTTATTTTATGAAAACTTCCCCCCACTGGTTGTATTAGGCCCATCTTATAGATGGGGAAAATGAGGCTCAAAGAGGTTAAGTAATTTATCCAAGCTGACAAAACATTAAAGCAAAAGAGCTGAAAGAGTAGCTCTGTCTGAGATCTTGTTGATTTAAGCCCTGTGTCTGTCAAGGTATCTGACACACACACACATGCGCGCACATGCACACACACACACTCCTTAACAGGCGTCAGGCTATTCTGAGCACTCTACCCTTTATTCATTTAATCTTCACAACAACCTCATGAGATGGGCAGGATTATTATCCCCAGTTTGCAAATGCGGGAACTTAATACAAAGATTCACTTGCGCAGGTTTGCGCAGTTTGCATATAGGGTGACCAACCATCTCAGATTGCCCAGGACTGACTGGATTCTTGAGACGTGGGATTTTTGGTTTAAAAACTGGTCAGTCCAAGGCAAACCGATGTGCTGGTGCTCACCCTATAAGTGACAGAGACAGAATTTAAGTCAAGAGTTGTGAATGCTCATAACCATGACATACACTGCATCTTTTTCCTTTGTGGATGTTCTGTCCCCACGTTTAGTAGAAACAGAAGCTAGTTTTGGAGGAGCTTTGTGGTTTCAGGTACCTCCCAGTGTGCGCTCATCTGGTACTAAGATGGGTGTCCAGAATGTCACCCCCAAACTGCTGCTGAAGGCACAGCCTCTCACAGCAACCCCTGCGGGTCCAAACCTTATGCAGTTGCAGGGCTTCCCAGGGACTGAAAGAACTGATTCCATTGTTTAGTTTAAGAAGACCTGAGCTGATAGCCTGGAGTGCCTGATAAATACCAGTGCTGCTCCCTGGAGTGACAACTCAGAATTCCAAAGCCACAACCAGATGTGGAGTTGACAGTAGTTAATGAGGGATGGTCGAGGGCTTGGGCACAGTCCACATGCCAGGTCAATTCTTCAGAGACGCCAGAATCGTTTGTTCATTCTGTGAGTCTCTGGCATCTTTGGGGTCACCGAGTTCATTTCCTCCATACTTTGGGGAGGGGGAGCAGGCAATTTCCATGCGACAGATGATTTGAGTTTTCTGTTATCTGTCCATGCATTCAAGTGTGTATGTGATGTGATGGGGTGGGGGTCAGGTTCTTTTTGGTTAACTTTTGGTCCCTGCAATTCTTGGTTCAAAATTATTCTGTTTACTTTTGGCTGGGCATGGAGGCTCATGCCTGTAATCCCAACACTTTGGGAGGCTAAGGTGGGTGGATCACTTGAAGTCAGGAGTGGGAGACCAGCCTGGCCAACATGGCAAAACCCCATCTCTACTAAAAATACAAAAATTAGTTGGGTGTGGTGGTGAGTGCCTGTAATCCCAGCTACTTGGGAGGCTGAGGCAGGAGAATCACTTGAACCCGGGAGGTGGAGGCTGCAGTGAGCCAAGATCGTACCACTGCACTCCAGCCTGGGCAATGGTTCGAGATTGTCTCAAAAACAAACAAAAAAACCCCAAATTATTCTATTTACTTTTAAAACACTTGGAGACAACCAAAGTCTAGCTTTTGGTTTTTGGGAAACTGGGCTATGGATCAACGGTGCTTTCTATTTCAGGACTGACTAGGAAGTGTTTTTAGAATAACTGGAAAGGGTGGGTTTCATGGTGGTGAGGGTTTCTAGAAGTCAGAACTGACTGCCTAGTGAGGTTTTCTGATCAGTTTTGAAAGCAGCCTGGGTTTTCAGCTGCCTGTGATGAGCTCTTTTTGAGTCCTCGTGTTTTTGTGAAGTCTATGCAACCCCAGGGGCTCTGCAGAGGTTGTCAGAGCTTGATATCGAGATGGAGGTGTGGGGGAAGGTGAAAATCATTCCCAGACATTTGAAAACATTTCCTCCGTTCCTCAAAGTGCATTCCATCGCATTCTCAGAATAACCAAGATATCTCCGAGTTTGCCCAAGCCCCTTCTGGGCTGGGTGTCACAGGCCCTCCTGGATATGCTGCATGACACTCAGTGGAAAATTGTGTTCTTCCTTGCTCGGGGTTTGGAAACGTGTCATGCAAAGATAGCTGGTTCCTCATACCAAATATTTTTACATGAAACAAAAATCCTATTTTTCCAGCCAGTTTCTGTATTTGCTAAATGAGCTTCCTCTTCCCTCCCAATATATTTAAAAGAAACAACCTTACTCCTTCTATAAAACATATTCCCAAAAATTGTGTTATGCAAACGAAGGGGGAAAGGAGGGGATGCTTTTCCTGTTTGCAGGAAATGCTATTATATTAAAATATTTATTGGATAACTGAAAGCTCTTCTTCTTCTATCACCCTTGGGCCAGGCTTACTCTTTGGTTACTGCTCTGCTGGATTCCTCTGACCCCAGGCTGGAGTGCAGTGGCATCATCATAGCTTACCACAGCCTCAAACTCCTGGGCTCAAGGGATCCTCCCTCCTCAGCCTCCTGAGTAGCTAGGACTACAGGTGTATACCACCACACCTGGCTAACTTTTTCATTAATTTTTTTGTAGAGACTATGTTGCCCAGGCTGGTCTTGAATTTCTAGGCACAAGCAATCCTTCCATCTCGATCTCCCAACTAGCTAGACTACCAGCGAGAGCCACCACACCCAACTCTGCTCAGTTCTTTTTGTTTGGCAGACGAGGCTTCTTGGGCTAGACAAGGCTTCTTGCAGTCAGACACATTGACAAACTGTCCCTCTTCACATCAAACCCATCTCTACCACAGGTCTTTGTCCAATCTGGCTTCCCACCTGGAGTGGCCACCACTCAAACAAATCCTACTCTTTTTTCCTAAGGCCTGCCTCTCATCTCACTTTCTCCACTGATGCTTCATAGTGATCTCTCCCCTCTCAATGCATTTATTTATTCCACAAATACTGAAGTGATTACTAAAGTCTACTAAATGTAAGGCACCAGGCTTGGTGCTCCTATGACTCTATACCAGTTAGCAATCCAACACAGAAATAAAGCAGACAGGCAAACAAGTCCAATATGTCTATACTTGCTTAGTGCTGGGACCTTAGGGTTTTATTACATATTGACACAGAGAGTTGCATGGATGTTGGTTGAGCCTGTTTTACTAGACTGCAAACTTCCTAAGGCCATGTCTCCTGTCTTTTGTATCCTCCACTGTACATACAGGGTTGAAGACACAACAGACATTCATGAAATACTTCTTTACTTTTATTAGGATCAAATAGGAATTGCTCTTTTTCTGATTTCAAAAGTAATTGAGGCTCAGAGAAGAAACTTTTTAGAATATGGAAAATAAAGAAAATATTATCCAGCCTGGGCAACAGAGCAGGGCCCTGTCTCAAAAACACAAAACCAAAACCAAACCAAACCAAACCAAAACCCTGTAATTCCACCCCCAGAGAAAACTGCTGCTAATGTGTTTTATTTATTCTTTCAATCTTTTTTCTATGCATAGACACATATACTTCTGTATGTTTATGATTTTTGTATTGATTCTGCTATCAATTATTAACATGCTTGTCCTCCTATCCAGTGGTTCTTAACCTTGGCTGAGCAACAGACCCATTTGGGAAGATTTTTAAAAATCTAGCTTATGAGATACCTCAGATCAATCAATCCCTGGCAGTGGGTCTGCTAAACATCAGATACAGACAAACAACTGCATAGATCTCCAACTAGATTGAAGAACAGGACCCTCCAGAGAGCTTCCAAGAAGACACCAACCTAGGCATGGGTTTATGTTCCTGACAAAGAATAAGGATTGTTATGAAGAATGTTCTATTTTGAATTGTGAAAATAATTATTTAAAGCTGTACAATTTTTTTTGTTTGTTTGTTCTGAGACAAGGTATCACTCTGAAGACAAGGTCACCCAGGCTGAAGTAATATGGCATGGTCTCAGCTCACTGCAACCTCTGCCTCCCAGGTTCAGGTGATTCTCCTGCCTCAGCCTCCTGAGTAGTTGGGACTACAGGCGTGCACCACCACGCCTGGCTTATTTTTGTATTTTTAGTAGAGATGAAGTTTTGCCATGTTGGCTAGGCTGGTCTTGAACTCCTGACCTCAAGTGATCTCCCTGCCTTGGCTTCCCAAAGTGCTAGGATTACATGCGTAAGCCACAGCACCTGGCCTCAAGCTGTATGATTTTATATGATATGCACATCTCATGTGAAATCAGATAGTAGCCTATTAGTAGGAGACTAGGAGACTAGGGATTTTTCTGCTTCTTAGGTACATTTGGAAATACAGTTTTTGCATCTCCAAATGAAGACAGACCCAGATGCATTGTAGAAATCACTCTGCTTTTAGGTAGTTTTAGACTTGAAACAATTAGTGGCCCTCTTTACTTTGCTAATTATCCTAAAATACTCAATGAAGCCTCCATTCACACTGTCCCACCATCCTCCTGCTTCCCCTGGCAGTGATAGAGGATTTGGTTATTTATAGTCATGGAATAAGTTGATTAGGATACTGAGAACTTACATTCAGAAGACATCTTTCTTTTCTGTTCACTTAATTATAGTCTGGCTGGTCAGCCTAGTCTTAAATTGACCATCAATTTGATGACATAAAACTTACATTTTAGATAAGGGTCTTTGTTCTTCTGGAAAACCAGGAGATTTGGTTCATTGTTCTCTTACTGTTAATAGTATTAATATGTTTCGAGGAGATATGGTTTGATAAGAAATAGTCCTACGGTTTAAATTATATATATATTTTTTCTCTTCTAAAATTATAGTGAAAGCTTTCACTAGACCTTGATGGCACTATGGTCATTATCTTGTCAAAACTGTGGTGGATTTGAAGAGCTAGTGATGAAGAATGGAGGTTTCCTGTCCTAGAAATAACCAAAGGCCCAGGCTTGGAGGTGGCAGAAAAAGTGGCACTTAAGGTAACAAATGTTTGTTGAGACCTGTACTACCATTTCACACATAGCATCTATCACTTTTAATACTCGCCTCCAAATCTGAGGACCAAGGTGGTACTCTCTCCATTTGACAGATAAGAAAATAGATTGAAAGAAGCTAAGTCACACACCCAAGTTCACGCAGCAAGAAGGCCCAGATGATTTTTCTTAAACTTTATTCAATTCTAACACAACCAGTAAAATGACAGATCAAGAAATGAAAAACAGGTCTGTAATGCTTTAAGCCTACGCTCTTTCTAGAACCACTCAATATTGTCTCCAGGGCTGACTCAATTCCTAGAAAGTGAATTGGGCTTCTGAAGAGACTACAAGTAAGGTTTAGGGGAAATAAACATAGTTGAGCCATTTGGGTCCTGCACAAAGATGCCCAGCTGAGGAATTGAAGGAACTGAGGAATTTAACATCCAGCTACTGCTCTGCTTTCCAAGAGGCATGCTAGCAGGAGATGCATCTGTCAAGAGGAAGGAACCCTTTCTTTGCAAAAAAAGCTCTGTCTGCTTGCCCAAAGGGGTGTTTTCTTCTGATTTCACATGATCTGGGGGTGCTTTCTTCTAATGTACACAAGATCTTAGACTTCCCCTTGTGGAGGGAGTCTTAGAGCGTAAAGATGGGGATTTGTGGTTGATTTGGAAGCTTTCAGAAAGCTCTGTGTATTGGACAAACAGTAGTGGTCTACATTGGATAGCCTTTTACAACCACAGGGCCTCACGTGTATCATGCTCCTCTTTCACTCTCATTTACAACTCCCCAAACTACTCATGGTGGGCTATAATCCCCTTTCGTTACACATTAAAAAAAATTAACTAAAAGCTCTGGCCAGGCTGGGAGCAGTGGCTCACACACATCCCAGCACCTTGGGAGGGTGAGGAGGGCGGATCATTTGAGGTCAGGAGTTTGAGACCAGCCTGGCCAACAAGGTGAAACCTGGACTCTACTGAAAATACAGAAGTTAGCTGAGTGTGGTGGTGCATGCCTGTAATCCCAGCTACTTGGGAGGTTGAGGCAGGAGAATCGCTTGAACCTGGGAAATGAAGGTTACAGTGACAAGATCACACTACTTCACTGCAGAGTGGGTGACAGCATTCTGTGTGTATCTAGCTAACCAAACAGCTCAAAGATGCTTGGTTTCCTGCCTGGAATTCCAGCTCTATTTTGACCTCAGCAGAGCTTAGAAATATTTCTGTGCCTCAGTCGAAGTTCACTGGCCATCATCCCCCATAAAGAGAGAACTGTCAGGCCAGTGGATGAAAACATTAATTGCAAAAACCACAATTAC
Source organism: Homo sapiens (assembly GCF_000001405.40). Classification (NCBI taxonomy): domain Eukaryota; kingdom Metazoa; phylum Chordata; class Mammalia; order Primates; family Hominidae; genus Homo; species Homo sapiens. The sequence goes on from NC_000004.12 coordinate 53,525,660, forward strand.
TTTTGCACCAACCTAGTAACTTGAGGGTTCAAAACTGCTTACAGGCAGCCTCAGTTAGGGGAGGTTCTTCTTGGATCAATGCTATGGTAGGCAATCCTGTTAATCTGTGGCCAAAACAGTATCTCCCTTTCAGGGAGGGCACTCTGAAGGCCAGGAAAGGGCTGTGTTGGGGTTGGTGTGGGGAGGCACTGGCAAGCTAGGCTGGGCTGGTTAAGATAATGAAATTCTTTGTGAGGTCAGTCACATCTTTAGGAAATACCATCCTATAATTTAATAAAATGGGCAAAGAGGTAATTTGCAAATTGGACTCTGCAAATTTCTAGTATCTAATTACTATTTAATCAATAACTTGTTTATTGACATTCAATTTTTTAAAATGCAAGCCATTGTGTGAAAGACTTTGCTTAAAGGAAAAGCATTACAGTATGTTTTGGGCACTTTCTAGAAAAGAAAAAATATTAAAAAAAGATAACATACGCCACGTTCAGCAGGAAACCTCTTCCAATCAACAGTGATATGAACAAACAAAACCCCATCACTGGACACGGCACACTGCTCCCTGAACACATTCCTGTGTCCATCCTCATGTTGATATCAGAAATTCAATTTGAGGAGCTTATGAATGTTGATGTAAAATGATGAGTACTGGTTATTAGTGAGACACAACAGCTACTTCTGAATCGTTTTCATAATCTTGAATTCTCATGTCTGAATTACCAACTGATCAAACCACCAAACCCTGGCACAAAATGGGGAAACCAACAAATGCAACTTAGTATCAGAATGCCTACTTTTTGGAAGAAATTTTAAAGCCCAATGAAAACCCTTGGCCAAGCAGCTGGTAAAGATAAAGTAAGAACTAAGGCACAGCTTTTCACAATAACAGTGATGAGAGGCTTTTCCTTCCAGACCCCTGTGCTACTCTGGAAGTAAATAGCCCCTATCTCAATGCCTTTCCATGTAATCTAGTATCTGCTTGAAATTCTCTTTTTTCTGCTCAACAATACCCTATTCCATCTTTCTGCCTTCACAACCCAGCTTAAAGGCATCTTTTAAGAGCCTTTCCTTCAGGCTCATGGTAAAATTACTCTCTTTTCTCTTGAACTTTTGTAACCTCTGGAACTTATCAGTTGTGAATTCCTTCGACCTCTTCTGTTATATTGTGAGGACCTTAATGGTTGAAACTCTGTCTTAAAATCTTTGAATCTCCAGCAGCTGGCTCCACAGAAGGCTCACGATGTTTATAAAATTATAGAGCTAATTCTTCTTTGTAAGAGACACAATCATTATGCTAAAGCAATAGAAATGAAACACCTAAATGAAGGGTGAGGAATACATAAGAGGCTAAATATATGCTGGATCTAATAAGGTTTTAGACTCTTCCCTGCCCCTAAAAAAAAAAAAAAAAAAAAACTAGAAGAACAAAACCTGACCCAAGCTTGTGTGTATAAACATTAGTTACAACTGAAATATACTATTGGGAACTAAAATATTCAGTTTTCTGTTCTCAGCACCAACATCAGTTTCTTCAATTCACATTTATAAACATATGAATTTCAATGAACAGATATTGTTTTATTTCTACATGTTCAGTGAACTAGCAGATTCAAGGTGTAAGCTATTTTTCTAAGACAAGGATTATTTATTCAGTATAACTGACTTTCTTCTATTTTAGGAATTTATATACTTAGATGTAGAGCACTTTCATAATGTGGTGTGATGCTCCCTATATGATGGCTTCAAAATCCTTCTGAGAGTGAGTTTGCATGAATTCCCCCACACCCATAATTAGTCTCTACGAGCCTGGTGCTGACTCCTGGTGCTGACTCTGTTATTAACAAAAGTTCTTAGCCCCAGGGCACTCCTTGGCTCCACTGGTTCTGGAGGGCAGGCTCCAGCCTCCTTTCAAACACTGCATTCATGCATAGGAAATGCTTTGACTCTTCTGTACATTTCCAGTGTCTCTCTTTACATTCTTCAGCATTGTCACCTTTGCTCAGCAAAAGCCTGAACTTTGCACCCTCACTGGATTGGTGGTAAAGCTCATACTCACACATCCAAATTACAGGGTGGAGAGTGCAACAGTGAGCCTCAGCAGGGGAAAAGGGGCTACCAGGGCTGTCAGCTACTGGACTTCGTGAGGACAATGACTTTATGAAAGTTGCCTCCTCCCTGACAGATTCAGTATCTTCTCCAACAAATAAGGGAAGAATTACAGGGATTCTAGTTCCATTACAAAGGCAAAATGCCACCAGCAATTAGGTGATGTTTATGGTCTAATAAAGTTTACTTTTTCTTCATTCACCCACAAACTAATATTTTTGAGCTTACTATGTGCCAGGTTAATATCTTCTAAGTTTATTTAATACTCAGAATTCAGGATTGCCCATGTTTAAGTGTTTTCCAGTCTGTCTCCTAAAATTCTTTGTAATAACACGTGCAGGTTGTTGCCTAATCCTTTGTGTCCGCTCAGCGTATTTTCCCTTTGAAAACTGCTCTTTTGCCAGTTGGAAGAACTGTCAATCAATCATTGGGGGTCATCCAGAGATGACAGCCAAAATATTTAAGAAATACATAGTCCTCCCTTATCCATAGTTTTGCTTTCCGCAGTTTCAGTTACCTGTGGTCAACTGCAGCTTCAAACTATTAAGTAGAAAATTCCAGAAACAATTCATAAGTTACAGTTCAATAGTAGCCATATGCTATGTCACAATGCTATGTCATAGCTATGTCATTCACTTCACTTCATCTCATGTGGGCATTTTATCACCTCATATTATCACATGTAGAAGGATGAGTACTGTACAATAAGACATTTTGAGATAGACCACGTATGCACAATTATTACAATATATTGCTATAATTATTGTATAGCATTGTTAATCTCTTCCTGTGCCTAATTTATTAATTTAGCTTTATCACAGTTACGTACATGTAGGAGAAAACAGTGTATACAGGGTTCAATACTATGGTGGTTTCAGGTATCCACTGAGGGTCTTAGAACACATTCCCTGTGGATAAGGGGGGGACTACTGTATAGCCTAGACAGCAACTAGTGAGAACAGATAATTGACCAAAGCTGGCCTAAACAAACTGGGTAAGTTTACCTACCCTGGCACCATCTCCCTGGAAGGTGGGGACTAGCTGGGAGAAGCATGTGATCAAACCTAGCCAATCAGGACATCCATAGCCAAAGGTATTGGCTCTGGGATGGACATGTGACTCAAACATCAGCTCAATCAGAGTTGAGACCACACATGTCTGGTTGGTGGGAAGAGGCTACCCATAAAAAAAAGCCATCACAGAGGAAAGCAGAATAGCCCAATACAGAGAGAATGCATATTGATGTAGTTCCAAGATACAGGGGTGTCTGGAGTTTTCAGTTCATGAACCATTCTGGTCTTGCTGGCTTATTGGCAATTACAGCTTAAGAGTCCTGACCAACACACACACACACACACACACACACACACACAAACACATGCACACACAGAAAACAACACGAGAAAACTTAGAAAACCAAAACTTAGGCACTGAACTGACACAATCTAGGAGATAAGGGCACTGGAGCTGGAGCTGGACTGAGAAACACAATAGCTACCTTCCCCCAGGCATTAACTTCAGAGACAGGAGGACAGAATCTGCCTGGGAGCAGGCAGTGGGGACGGCAGCATAGTTGAGGAGACAAGGTACTTCTAATTTTCCCTAGTCCAGAGAACTAGAGGCCATTGCAACAGAAAAACTGGGTAACGTGGGTGCTGATTTTTAAGGCAACCAAGCTACTGCTTTACATTCACATATTTCTACATTCACATAAGACTGCGATGCCTTGGAAATGAGAACAAAAGTCTAGAAGAGAAGGGACATTGGTGGCACATTTCATCCTGGAAGAAACAGTCCACCCAGTAAAACATGAAGCTCTGTTGGCAGGGACAGATGCAGGGAGACCCTGGGAACAGAGCAAGCACGGCATCTGACAGCTCCATGTACATTGTGAGCTCCCAGAGTGTGAGAGAGTCAGGAGGAGGTGTACAAGCTACCACCATAGTAGGACAGAGCCACATTGGAAAGAACTTATTACACAGTGCAGGTAAGGCTGGGCTGAACTTACTCAGCATCTGTGGGCCAGAGACAGCATTTGCCTGGTTCCTAAATGCATGACAATCAGAGCCACAGGAAATGAACATACACCATCCAAGGGCAAACACAGTTCTCAAAAAGCTTCTCTATTCCAAGACATGTACAGAGAACACATTAACATGGGGCCTGCGGACAAAAATGCTACAGAGACTAGAAAAAATGTAGGCGAATACTTTTCAGACCTCAATATGGAAAAAAAACTTTCACACTTTCTACCATTTAAAGAAATAGAAGTTTGATATGTTTTATCAAGTAAAAATTAAATACTTTCTCCATCAAAAAGTGTTCTAAAGCTATTACAATTATGTAAAAATGTTTGCCTTCACCCACAGGCCTAGCAAATAATAGTTGTGTTAGAGCAATTTGGTTATAGAGTTGTGCTCTCTACTTTCCCAAACATTCGTTAAGATTATTTTTAAGTAACGTTTTAAAATATACAGAAAGAATCGTAAGTAAAAAAGCCTAATGATAATAGAAAAAATATTGCAAGATATGTAATCAAAGATTGTATTTAACATATAAAAGGTATACAAAAGTCACCCAAAAAAGCCACCAAAAATGACTAATATTGAAGAAATGTATATGGGAAATTAAACATAAGAAAATTGTTTATCCTCATTTATAATTAAAGAAGTGCAACATTATACTTAAAGAATACTGAGATTATATTTTCATGTATCAAATCAGCGATGATAACATCCATTGCATATAAAGATCTTCAGTGAAACACTTCATAAAAGCTGATAGTAGGAGTATAAACTTTTTAGAAAGCAATTTAGCATATGTATCAAGTATTTTTAAAATCTCTTACTTTGAATCAGTAATTTTACATCTAAGAATTCAGAGTAAAAAAAGTAGTATTATTTAGGATAGTGAAAACTTAAGTATGTATCTAAGTAAATGTCCCTATGTCTAGGGGATAGTTTCATTGACTATGGCATGCCAAAGACAAGACTATGCAGCCAGTTAAAACTATAATTTTTGTTTAAGTATTTCAGGGTCAAATTACATAGTGTCTAGAATTTGCTTTAAAATGCTCCAGAAAAAAGGAGGGGGTACAGGGAATTAAAATTGTAAAATGAGGCCAGGCATAGTGACTCACACCTGTAATCCCAGCACCCTGGGAGGCTTAGGCAGGAGGTATTGCTTGAGCTCAGGGGTTTGAGACCAGCCTGGCCAACATGGTAAAACCCCGACTCCACAAAAAATACAAAAAATTAGCCGGTGTGGTGGTGTGTGCCTATGGTCTCAGCTACTCAGGAGGCTGAGGTGGGAGGATGGCTTGAGCCTGGGGAGGCAGAGGTTTCAGTGAGCCAAATACACACACAGACACACTGCTTTAGTCTCATACTTTCTTGCTTCCAGTAAGTTAAACTCAGCTGAGAGGTTTCCCCCACCCCACTACTTTGTCTAGCAGGAAGTGCTGTGGACATGAGGTGGGGAAAGAACACTTTATGGTCAACAGAATTCTGTGATTAGCAGAAAACTGGGTCAGAAAAGAAAAGGCCACCTGTTCTTTTCCTGCACCAGCTCACTTCATTCTCTTAAGTAAATCACTTTATTTTCCAGAGCCACAGTCCTCTCATCTATAAAGTGAAATGCTTGGATTGGACAATCTCTAAGACCCCTAATAATCTTGAAATTCGATGGCTCAGCCATTATCCATCTCATTCTATACACACAGCTCCCTGGATGAGACACACGGAAATAGACAGTAGTTGGGACAATATTTAGTTTTCAAAATGTTTTTGGTATAAATGATTTTAGCTTGAAACTAGTTTTAAGTTCTTCCTGCTCTGATGCTTCTCCACCATGTAAACATATAAGCCTGGGGTGAATGTAAAGGGAGGTGGATGAACTCATAATCGTGTAAACTGTGAACAGGATTAAACGTGAGACTGAAATGCCCCACATTTGTAATATGTTTGAACCAAGCTGCTGGTAAGCCACAATTTCTGCACTTCATTTTTCTTGACATCAGATCATAATTGCTGCTCAGAGTTCTAAGAGAGATCTTAGGACAAGTTCTTCCAGGCTCGGGTGTTGTTGCTCTTTGTTCTATCACAACAACATCCTGGCAATATATTTATTTCTCTCTCTAGAGGAATGTTTAGGGAACAGACACAGTGAGTCCTCTTTGAGGACTGGAAACCACTTGCTACTTCAGTTGTTCTTTTTGCTAGAAATGAGTTAACAGGCTCTGGTGCAGCTGTAAGAAATATACAAGACAAAAGCTGACACCCCAAGCATCTATTCAGTCTTGCAATGAGAAACAAGGATGACGTTATTTCTAAATACAACTATGCAATGGCTTAAGTTCTTAAGAAAGGGATGGACCAAGGACACAAATACTATCACAATATATTGAGTGTTCCCTTCAAGAAAGCAGCAGGTGGCTAGGCACGGTGGCTCATGCCTATAATCCCAGCACTTGGGGGTGCTGAGGCAGGCAGATCACCTGAGGTCAGGAGTTCAAGACAAGCTTGGTCAACATGGTGAAACCCCATCTCTACTAAAAATACAAAAATTAGCCGGGCGTGTTGGCACGCACTGTAGCCCCGGCTACTCGGGAGGCTGAGGCAGGAGAATCACTTGAATCTGGGAGGCAGAGGTTGTAGTGAGCCGAGATAGACTCCATCTCAAATAAATAAATAAATAAATATATGAATAAATAAAATAAAAAAAAGAAAGTACCTGGTGACACAAAACCGTCAGCTGCAAAATGTTTGCTTTCCATAAAGACCCTGCAAAAGGCCATTCCCTCTTGAATGGAGCAGCTCATCCACAGCACTGCATTTTGATAGTCCCCATAGGAAATTCTCCTCATGCCAGTTGGAAAATAACATTCCCTATGTGACCATTTGGAGAGGAAGTTCCAACCACAGGAGACAGACTAAACAGAATTCCTGAGAGCATTCAAATCATTCTGCTAGAAACAAAGATATCAGACCATACTTTGCTAGTGCTCAGCTCCTGTGGGGCAGCAGGGCGATGGGTTTCTGCTAAAGGCTGCCTCACCTGAGGGTGAATTCAGGTTCACCCTTCCCTCAAGGAACACTGCAGGCTGCCCAGGAAGTTGCTGCCAGCATCATCTGTTCCAAATATTTCCTCCTCTGGGAGCCTGCTAGGCTGATGCTCTGTCCTCATTTGGGTCCAAAGATCCCGTCAGGGGAGCCCATATATTGTTTTCCTGGGGTTACACAACAGCACAGACATTACCTCCAAAAGGACCCTGTTATTAAGCACATATGCTCCCTAGGTGCAGAGAAAGGGCCACATATCAACACATGGCATAATTGTGTTTATTTGGTTAATTAATTGCCTTCTGGACAGCACAGTGGGCCTGGCCTGAGACTAACTGAGCTTTACCTTTTAAGACTGCAGTAAATCCTCCAGACAGCCATGGAAGCAGGGGCTGAGGCACACGGAGACTTGCAAATGAAGAGAGGTCCAATAGAACATACAAAGGAACCAGATTTGCCCGAGGAGCTTGGTAAAAATAGAATCCTGGGCCCCATTCTCCCTTTAGCAATTAGAATCCCTAAGACAGTCATTCTTAATCAGGGGCAATTTTATCCCAAAGAGACATCTGACAATATCTGGAGACTTTTTTATTTGAGGTGGCGTCTCCCTCTGTCGCCCAGGCTGGAGTGCAGCGGTGCGTTCTCAGCTCACCGCAACTTTTGCCTCCCAGGTTCAAGCAATTCTCCTTCCTCAGCCTCCTGAGTAGCTGGGACTACAGGCACATGCCATCACACCTGGCTAATTTTTGTATTTTTTGGTAGGGATGAGGTTTCACTGTGTTGATCAGACTGGTCTCAAACTCCTGTCCTCGAGTGATCCGCCCGCCTCGGCCTCCCAAAGTGCTGGGATTACAGGCATGAAACACTGTACCCAGCCTGGAGACATTTTTGATTGCCACGATTTGGGAGGGTGCTCCTGGCATGTAGGGGGTAGAGGACAGGGATACTGCTAAACATCCTACAATGCCCAGGACAGCCCCCACAACCAAGAATTATCTGGTCCAAAATGTCAGTAGTGCTAGGGATGACTACTTGATGTGAGAGGGGTGCCAAGCATCTGTGTTGTTGACAAACTCTCCAGGCTATTCCAGTGCACGCTAAGGTTTGAGAACTTCTGCCCATGCACTGGCAGCCAACTGACACATCAAGGTGCCAGGGCAGTGAGGGTGGGCAGAGGTAGATGAGAGTGGACACACCAAAAGCATGAGCACTGACAGTCACAGCCTACTTTACGAGTGTATCCAAGTAAGACTTGTGGAAGACTTTCATAATAGGACCTATCAGAAAGGGATGGTTCTCAGGAGAAGCCTAGGGCCCAGTTACCCCATGGAGAAGGGGGCAGGGCAGGCTGAACAAGTGCACCTCAGAAATATCAACCTCATTGTTAATTATTCCACCATTGCCTTCACGGCTTTGTTGGTTTGGCTCTTAAAGGGTCTCTGTGAATCCTCTTCTCAAGGGCATATGTTTCTGGGTAGGGGCCCATCTTCAACCCTGAATGTCATAAATTGATATAAGGAGAGCAGGAATTAGTGGTGGGGTGCAGTGGCTCACACCTATAATCCCAACACTTTGGAAGGCTGAGGCAGGAGGGTCTCGAGCCTAGGAGATCCAGAGCAGCCTGGGCAACATAGCAAGACCTTGTCTCTAAAAAGAAAAAATAAGAAAAAATTAGCCAAGCATTGAGGACATGCTTGTAGGCCCAGCTATTCAGAAGGCTGAGGTGGGAGGATCACTTAAACCCAGGAGTTTGGGGTTGCAAAGAGCTATGGTCACACCACTGTACTCTAGTCTGGGTAACAGAGCAACACCCTGTCTCTAAAAAAACATAATAATTCTAGGCCCTGTATTTTGGTCACTTGGCGTAAAACAACCTATTTGTCTTTGGGGGAGGATGTAAATATTTTCACAAGAAATATCTCAACTGTCTTCTGTACTCAAGAGAGTACCAAATCAAGAGTCAATGATTTGTGCTCTTTCTCATTTCTATTCAGCCATATACATTGTCCAGACTGCTATGTCTGGGGACCTTGGCATCCTTGCCCATAGTAATGGTTGACCTGTCTTAACAGCCTTGTTGTAAAAATCGTTGAGTGAGGACCTGTAAAACAATTACAACAGAAAGAAATGATTGCTCATGGGTACAAAGAAACCAGTAGTGTTAACCTGTTGAGATGAAAATGTTTTTCTATTAAGTCATGAAGCTGATGGGAGATGTTTGTCATTTTGCAGGGAATAATTATGAATCCTCCTTGCTATAAGGAAAGAGAGGAGAAATAGCACCAATGTTTTCTCTCTGCATCATAAAGGTTTAGACTTTTTTAAGGAACACAAAGGATGTAATCAAAGTCGTATGAGACTCACCAATATTGCTGTTTCCATTACAAACTAAGTCTGTTTAATTAGGTTATGTAGACCCCATAAACCATGGAGACCAGGCTTTGTTGTTTTGGATGCTTAAGCCATGACTCTTTTAGTCCTTTTTGCAAATTTTACCGTAGTCATTATCTTTCTCCTTGAAATGTTATTATTTCCATGACACAAAACATACATTTTGATGTTGTCACAAATGAAATCTCTCCCGTCCATCAAGAATAGCAAACTTTATTTCACTCTGCTTACCTGCAAGGGTACATGACAAATCAATCTAACAAAACAAATTGGCTCATTATGTTGTAATGAAGTTGAACATAAATTATTTTTTATGGCTAGATTTTATCATTCTATTTTGTTAGTGAATACTTTAAAACTCTGCATTAATGTCCTCAGAGGTAAATGTTACTATCAATTATAAAAATCATTGCAATTCATTGATACAGATGTGAATAAGATGTGGAAGGATGAGAGCCAGGGAAATGAGTTGAGTTTCTTGGCTCTATAGCCAGCGCCTTACATATGCCATGTACTTCCTAGTCTATTCCCTGCCTTTATGCCATCTCTCTTTCACTTCCTCATTCATAGTAATTCAATAGATGAATTACTTCTCATTCATCTGTTGGCACAGTTCATGAGCATGTCGGGCTGGGACTAACTGTATGTCTACATTTGATATGACCCCTGATAACTGTTGACAAAAGCACCATCACACCCATTTTACCGATGGGGAAGCTCAAATACCAAAGGATTGGACTTAGTCAAGGTCAGTACTTCCGAGAGGTATTCAGGGACCACACTGATAGAAGCCTTGTGGGTTAATTACTTGACCCTGCCCCCAAGTCCTCCTACCTGTTTTTAATAAGCATTTTACAGTACCCTGTAGCTGCTTTGCCATTGTTTTGTTCATTATTCCATGTAACAAGGTTGCCTGGTTTTCCTTACATAAGCAGGAAGAACTGGGTAGACACTAAAACCATTTCTACATAAACACAATGCTCTCCATCTGTGAATACACTTCCCATATTCTCAGGTCAGTCTCTTAGTGGAAATCCCATGGGAAATACCTAACAATTTCTTCCAGTGCCCAAAGCCACCTACCTCGCAGTGCGAATGAACAGATTCTCACTCCACATCTTCAAGAGGGGACTTTTACACAAACGCCACACACAGTCAAAGTCGTTCCCTAAGGAACTCTTACAAAAATGGTCCCAGTAAAATATCTAGAAATGTATCTAGGAATGGTGCCTAGATCACCAGCAACTCCTGACCTAAAAAAGTTTCCTCTTCCTCCCCAACCTTTGTCCTAGAACACACTGTGTTCTACAAAAGCACATTACAAAAAAATGATTTTGGCAGTCCTGATTTACCAGCTCTGGACCAGATCTCAGGGCCTCTGTGTCCCTGGTTTGGTGCTTCCATTTCCATATTGCTTCTTCATAAAAAGTTTTGCAAATACTGATGTGACACAGCTTCCTCAAATGAATGCTTTAAATGCCTCTAAAGAGACTTTGATTACACTAAGAAGCAGAAAATGTTCTTGACAAACCACTCCTTTGTTTTTCTATAATTAGTTGGGTTCTCTTCCTCTTCTCAATTCTACACCTAATGATGCATCTTGTGTTGTTATTTAAATAACACAAAAGACATGGTAGATTGCATTTATTACACTATGATACAAATATTTTAGTATAGATGTAGAATTTCTGCTCCAACCCCAGGATCTTTATTTTCTGTTTTTAGCAAAATCCAAATATCTCTGACTTGGTGTTAACAGTGATGATTTCTAATTACTTAGGAAAATCTACCTTTTTGTTTACTGCTTTTTTATAACGTGAGCCACTAGGCATGCCATTAGGTGAAAAGACTCACCTCTAGGTTTGTTTACTTTGCATTTTAGAGTGGTAGTGGGGACGGTATGAGTACTGATTTTCCTGTCAAAGTTAATTTGCCGTAAGACATATAATAAAAGTGCATGTATTAATAAATAAAAAAGGCAGCTAACTTGCACGAACATCTGACGCTTCTCATGGAGTCAAACACCAAACAAATTATAAAGGAAGTAAAAGCATTCCTGTAAATGCTTTCAAATGGTAAACAACACCCTTGAAGTCCTATGTGTGCAATAGCCTTGGGTCCACCCTTTCTTAATTGACAATGTTTTGTCTGAGGGTCAAGTTCTAGTCTTCCCTCTGTCTAATCTAGTTCATGGATGGAGAAGGGAGGAAGGCTGTGGGTTTCTTCTACCAACAGGTGGCCAGATGCAAGTTCCTTGGAAAACATTGATTAGCTTTATTCCTTTTATAGCAATACACAGTGAGTAGTTTCAAAGGATCAGAAAATGGACATTTTTTATGTTCCTTTAGTATTTTCTCACTCTTTCCATCTCTCCATTTACATTAGTGTGACTTTGCATCAAACACAGGGCTCTCCTGCCAGGCTTGTGAGACTCAGCACTGCCAGGAGCCCCACACAGGTGGATGGCCCCGGGCACCTTCTTTGTACCATTTCCCCATCTGTCATTAGGCTGTGCCCCGAGTTCCACAGGAGCCTACCCAAACCACACCCTGTAATACAGTCAAGGAAGAGAATGTCTTTGTCACTGACAACAAAGGAACAGCTTTCAGTGAGCAGCACTCCTTCCTCATGAAACACACTCTGGTCCAGCCAGTTTGCTTCCTTTCAGGAAACGGTGTGGGGAGGTCAGTGACCTGAGTGAGTTGCATCTGTACCTCTCTGAGGACAGAATATCCTAAGGCTGGGGGAGAGAGCCTTGGCTACTGTCAATAATTGCTTCTCTAATTATTCTGTCTCATTCTGAATACCAAAGATTAGGGAACATAAAGTATGTGATGAAATTTACATAGCAATTGGTTTCAACCAACCATTGGCTAGATATGTTTCATTAAAACAAAACAGAACAAAACAAAACAAAACAATCACAAACTCACTCCCAAGCACAGAATCCAGAGGAAAGGAAACACACATGGCTTGAAGGATGGGCATGTGGATTGCTCCTGTGGTTGGGACACCATGGCATCCAGGTTTTATCTGCACCCCTTTCCACTGGACTGCCTACAGAACAGTTGGGCAAGACCCTCTTCTTTCAGGCTAAGAGCCAGAATCAGCAGCCATAGAAAAATACCTTCTGGCAGCAGAGTCTTCTGCTACCTAGAACAGCTTTCCCTGTGAAGTTCTGCTGTATTTGGGGCTCCCACTAACTCCAAGGAAAATTAGTGGAGGAGGCAGGCATGAGGGGTGGCATGAGACTAGGACCCCTGCTTTTTTGAATGCATGAGGGTTCATCGTTGAAAAACCACTCCATTACTCTTCAGGTACAATTAATCTGAATAAGCCCTACAATAGGAAAAGTCAGAGTCAATCCACTTGCTCTGTTAGATTGCTTAAACCTAGTATCATGGCATGCATTTGGTTAAAAGCTCTTCCCCATGTAGCCTGAGTCTCACTTGATTCATCTATTATTCAAAAGCTGTGATTGAAAGAGCCTTCAAACTCACAGGTGTTCAGGTCACTGGGGATGCTGCACAAAGATTCGAAATGCAGCAGCCATTAGTGTCCAGTCTCATTATTTTCAAGCCAGGAAAGGCTAAACATTAACATGCTGGAACAAGAGCCCTTTTGGGGAGAAAAAAAATAAAAGGTAACTGAAGACCCTCAATAGCGACAACATGTTCTGTAACTTCTGGAAGTAATCACAGGGAACAAGCCAAATGGCCGATTAACAGTCATGCACAGACAGTCTTCCATGGCCAAGTCCAGGAGATCTGACGGGTTGAAGGGGATCCAGAAGGAAGACTAAATCAACTTGGTCCCCCTGAAAGTGAAGTCAGTTCCAAGGGCTGAATGTGTTTTAAAGGTTTTTGTTTTTTCCTTTAGGTTAAATTTCCTGGATAAAATCAGATCAGCCGTGTAATCACCCTGCTACAATAAAAGGAGCTCAGTGTGCTTTATGGCAACCACACCAGTCAAGGGCTCTCTCTGGCACCAAGGGAGCCATAAGGGCCCCCTGCCAAGTGGAGCTGAGGGATGCTCGAGGCCAGGGTCTGGACCTTCTCACTATAAAAAGAATAGTGAAGTATACAGATATTTACCTACTGAGTTATGTTTGGGCTGATAAAAATGCTCAGATGTCCTTTAGTTTCTCTTTATTGTATTAGTTTAATTTTTGAGACCTGTCTCACTCTGTCGCCCGCCTTGGAGTGCAGTGGTGCAATCTCTGCTCACTGCAGCCTCAACCTCCTGGGGCTCAAGCAATCCTCCCACCTCAGCCTTCCCAGTAGCTGGGACTACAGGCATGTGCCACCATGCCCAGCTAATTTTTTTAGTTTCTCCTTTAAATGACTGTTTGTGTAAGAATTGTAGGACTTTGAAAAGATTTGAGCTTTGAAATTTCTCTAGTATAATGTGAGCACATGATTCATATGAATATTCAGTTGCAGAAAATGTTTTTGTTCTAACTTGTTTAATGCCTGCTCTGATCTTAAAATGATCTCCTTAACATGTATGTATACACAAGTCTCTAAATACCAGGACTGCTGTTACCCAAAACCCACACTATCAAAGATATTGCTCGCTTCATATTTTCAAAGTCAGCTTTTGGAGGACAGGGACAATGGTTTCTTGTAATCTGCTGAGGGAGTCAACCCCAGTGAGGCTGTTCCTTCTCTGTAACCAGCTGCAATTAGGATTTCTACTGTCCTTGCATGGGGCATCCATGGCAAAGGTTGACTTGGCCATGTGGTTAGAACTGGAAATTCAGTATTTTCAGTATTTTCAGTTGCTCCAGTTGTTTTTGCTCGGGCTACTAATCAATACCAAATCTAGTGCTATCTGAATAAAATAAGATGGCATAGCAACTACCCCATTCTTGCTAACAACTCCAAATGACAACATGGTGGCTCACATCTGTAATCCCAGCACTTTGAGAGTCTGAGGCTGGCAGATTGCTTGAGCTCAGGAGTTTGAGACCAGTCTAGACAACATGGCAAAACCCTGTCTCTAAAAAAAAATACAAAAATTAGCCAGGCATGGGGGCGTGCACCTGTAGTCCCAGCCACTCGGGGGGCTTAGGAGAGAGGATGGCTTGAGCCCGAGTGGTTGAGGCTGCAGTAAGTCATGACTCCGCCACTGCACTCCAGCCTGAGTGAGAGTGAGACCCTGTCCCCGCCTCCCCAGAAAAGATAGTGAGGCTTTACTTGAGTGTGCTCCAACTCAACCTCAAGGTGCCATGCCACCTTGTAAGAAAGCTTGTTAAAAATAAGTGTTATTAGCCTGGCTGACATGGTGAAACCCCGTCTCTACTGAAAATACAAAAAATTAGCTGGGCATGGTGGTGGGTGCCTGTAATCCCAGCTACTCGGGAGGCTGAGACAGAAGAATTGCTTGAACCCAGGAGGGGGAGGTTGCAGCGAGCCGAGATTGCGCCACTGCACTCCAGCCTGGGCAACAAGCAAAGCTCTGTCTCAAAAAACAAAAAACAAAAAACAAAAAAACCCCCCTGTTATTATTATAAACAGAGCTACAGACTGTGTAGACATCGACACAGTGCTGATTTAAGTATCCTCACTTATTGGGGTCAAACATTTGTCTTTAGTAAAATAAGGGCACTGTATTTGATTCTAAAAATAAATGGCAGGAGAGCTGGGAATGGTGGCTGACGCCTGTAATCCCAGCACTTTGGGAGGCTGAGACGGGCGGATCACTTGAGGTCAGGAGCTCAAGACTAGCCTGGCCAACATGGTGAAACCCTGTCTCTTCTAAAAATACAAAAATTAGTTGGGTATGTTGGTGCTTGCCTGTAATCCCAGCTACCTGGGAGGCTGAGGCAGGAGAATCCCTTGAACCTGGGCGGCAGAGCTTGCAGTGAGCCGAGACCACGCCACTGCACTCCAGCCTGGGTGACAGAGCGAGACTCTAACTCAAAAAAAAAAGAAAAAAAAAAAAGAAAGAAAAGAAAAGAAAGAAAGAAATGGCAGGAATGCGTTCTGTGATTTCAGGATTCTCTAGTGAGTGGGTGGAGGTAACAACCAAGTTAGGATACCATTAGCAACTGAATCAACTTCAGCAAATGGCTCTCTAAAACTACACTGACTTGGCAAGATCATGTCAAAAAAAAGAGGTTGGGCTGAAAAAAATTATTTCTCTAAGGAAAAGTGTGAACAATTAGTGCCAAACTATTCACATAGTGGAAAGTTCCATGCTTTTGGAAGATGACACACTTGGTAGTTTCTAAGACTGATCTAATCAGCACATTTCATATATATTTTTTTTCTAAAAGAGACTTAGAGTTCATGATTCTTTTAGTGTAGATTCTAACCATTTATATCAAATGGAAAAAGCAGGGATCTATTCAGTTGTGTGTCAAATTCTTAGGATCACTGAATAGTTCTGACTTGAGACAAGAACAATATAAGGCCAAGAAAACGGACTGTTTCAATTAAGCTCAGCAGAAAAAAATACACATGAGCCAAAACAGAACGACTTAATACTTAGCAATCACTTAAAAATTTGTAAGCTCAGTCTGAGTCATTAAAAAAAAGTAGGCCAAGAAGCTTGAAGGAACACAGATTTACAAGTAAAAGAGGCAAACACTAAAATAAAAATGTTTAAACCCTGCAGTGCTAAACTACTTTCAGATAGCTTTGTAATAAGTGAAATTTGGAGAATTATATAAACCCCTCACAGATAAGCTTGGACAAAAAATAGGTGAAGGAATATTTGGCAAACATGAGCATGCATAAATCAGCTGCTCCAGATGACACATGGCCCTGGGGAATAGAATTTGACTAATATGCTTACTGAACAATGGTGCAGTAAAAATGAATAATTATTTCTGAAAAATTACCTTGCACTCAGGGGGATGTCAGAAGACTGGAACAAGGCCAACAACATGTGATAGTGATGCAGAGAGAAAACAGAAGGAAAGGGTAGTGAAAAATTAGTGTATGAGATATGCAATTGTCAGCTTGAAAAATTGGGAATAACTATTAGGAAAGTAAAATTGAGTTTCCAGAAAACCAGGGATAAATAAACAAAGGACAGTTTGCATTTAAATGATCACAGACAAATTCATGAGATTATCTTAAAGATTGTAATACTGTTGTTGTAATTAAGAATACAAAGGGATGGGGTAGGGGGTGGATTGAGCTGAATGCGCAGTGTCTTGGGATTTTATATTCACTGTTAGTCCAAAGAAAGCTGAAAATGATCAGAAATCACAAACTAAGGGGGCATTAAGCCCAGCCATGGGAAGGTGTTTCAAAGAGTGTCCTAACAATCACCATCACATTGATCTGAATCAATACTCTGACTGATGACCTAGGAGCAAGTGTCACAAAATTTATGGATGACACTGAGGTGGGGAATGCCATAGAGGACAGAGGCAAGAGGAGGGAAAAAATAGGTTAGACATGGGTACATCTGCAATTAGAGAAAATCCATGACAAAGACATGAACAGACTGGAGTAATTTAGAAGGCAACACAATTTCGGAATGAGAAAATTCAACATTAATTTACACTGAGTAAGAATAGGGGTCAAGGTGGAGAAGGCCATTGGCATTTGCAATTGCATTTAAATCTGTATTCGGAACACGTGACCCAGAGTGATGTTTAACCCGGTAAGAACCCCCCTCTCCCATCAGGAATAAATCAGGGGGAAAGCAAGTGGAAGTAGAGGGAACTGATGGTCATGAGCCCACCCAGGTGCCAGCTCCTCTAACGTGGTTCTCACTTGCTACTCAGGAATCCTGTGCTGTAGGAATCATTAGCACTTCATAGGTGTGGATTTGGAGTCAGATTGTCCTGTCTGCTACTTTTGTTTTTAAATAGAGATGAGGGTCTCACTATGTTGCTCAGGCTTGTCTCAAACTCCTGAGCTCAAACAATTCTCCTGCCTCAGCCTCCCGAAGTGTTATAATTACAGAAACGAGCCACCACGTCTGTCCTGTGTGCTACTGTTATCCGAAGGTCAGTTGCCCTCATGGCTGGCTCCCTTCCTCACTTCTTTCTGGGTTCTGCTGCTTTCTTGGCAAGGCCTGCTTATGTAGAACAGCATCTCCTTACCTGCTTTATTTATTTCATGCCACTTATTTCCATCTGATGTACTACATGTGTGCTTATTTACTGCCCTCTCACTGGAATATAAGTTTACTGCAGAATCCCCACAGCCTAGAACATGCCTGATATGTCATACACATTTGATAAGTATTTGTTATTAAATTATACTCTTCCCAGGAATGAATGTTTTCTTTATGCTACCTAAGTGTAAACTCTTAATTCATCTACCAGGAGGCTACCTAGCTTGGAAAAGAAGAAAAAAAAATCACACTATACAAAGAAAACGCTGAACAGAGAACTTCCAAGAAGTAGGAAATATCTTGCTCAATTTTTTTTTTCAGAACATTAATTTACTTTCACTGGACAAGGAAAATCTGTTTCTGTAAACCACTATTTTTATTAATAGAAATTCCCTGCCTTTGCTAAATGGTAAACAAATGTTAAGAATTTGAAGGAGGATCACATCACTGGGCTCCTTTGAGATCCATATGCCTCAATTCAACCCTGTCAACCATGCCAAGAAAGAAGAGAGCAGCTTATGTCCAAAGAAACTGGGAAAGAAAAAACAAATCTCCATGATGCTTTCTTTAGATGACACTAAGCAACTGAATGGGGGATTAAAAAACAAAAACAAACAAAAAAACAAAACAATAAAAACACCACCACAGTAAACAAACAGAAAAAACCAAACACACATTGACCTCATCTCTGGGTCTTTTGTAACTGAAGAAACAACACCTGAGTTACATGGAACAAACACTTTATCTTAGTCTTCTTCACCTTCACTGTCCTATTTTTGAACCCTAGACACCACACCTGCCTAGCTGTCATTGGGCTTTTAAATTCTCTGAAATAGACTATCTAGGTGTTTGAGAGCAGTACATAGAAATTAGTAAGCACCTGAGAGGTGCTGATTTCTCTCTCTCTCTCTCTTTTTTTTTTGAGACAGTCTCACTCTGTTGCCCAGGCTGGAGTGCAGTGGTGCCATCTCAGCTCACTGCAGCCTCTGCCTTCCAGGTCAGGCAATATTCGTGCCTCAGCCTCCTGAGTAGCTGGGACTACAGGCGCATGCCACCATGCCTGGCTAATTTTCTGCATTTTTAGTAAAGACAGGGTTTCACTGTGTTGGCCAGGCTAGTCTCAAACTACTGAACTCAGGTGATCCACCCCTTCGGCCTCCCAAAGTGCTGGGATTACAGATGTGAGCCACCATGTCCGGCCTGAGAGGTGCTGATTTCTTTTGTGATGTTAAAGGAATTAGTTTCCTGATGAGGTTGAGCTGCTATCTGAGTAGAACCCAAGGAGGCCAAAAGGTGGGTACTTCAGGGAAGACCCTGGAGTGGTAAGACACCAGCACTGCTGCCCAGTACCATGCGAGAATCTTTTCTAAAGAAAAAAGTGTGCAGGGGGCGAAGAAAGGAAGCTGGCTTGTACAGTAGCAGAGATGGACACGTAAGTAGCTGACACTGATCAATAATGCCCATGCGCCAGGCACTGTACTGGGGCTGCATGTGCATGATATAGTCTGTCAGTCCTCACAGTAGCTCCATGAGGTTGATGCAATGACATCATAACAGAGAAGTTAAGGCAATTGCCCAAAGACACACAGCCAGCAATTGGCAGGGCCAGGCTCTAACTCTGGAGTCCCGCTTGTGATCATAATGCACTCGACCAGCACGTCCCCAGTGACACCTCAGACCTATGTAGAGTTTGCATTGCACGAAGGTGGAGGGAGTGGTACCCAGATGCTTTTTTCTATTAAAAACTGCACCAGCATCTAAGAGGGAAGGATTATTCCAGATGAGTTTGCAATAAGATCCCTTTGATCCTTTGTAATCTTTCATCAATTAGCTCATGCAGCCAAAAATATTTCTGACTAATCACTTTAAAGAATGACTTTGAGAACTCCTGTAGTCTGCTCTCTTATGCCTACTTCAATGGGAAAATAGTTATACAAACTAGGAACTGCCATCTTCAGCATAATTTTAACTGGCCAGAGAAACTACCCAATCATTACCCAGAAAAGTTGAATCTATAAAGCAATTACTTTTCTGTTTCAGAATCCATCTCAGCCCCCCAACCTGGCCCTACTGAATTATAAAGGTGTGAAACAACCTAACACATCCAAGCAAATCCATCTCCATGACAACACAGTAGCGATGCAGTCCTGGAATCAGGATGCCTGCATTCCAGGCTGGCTGGATTACCTAGGGAAGTTTCCTCAGCCTCAATAAATCAGAGTTTTCTCATCAGTGAGATGGGGAGCCATTGCATTTGCTGCAAGGTTCCTAGGAGATCATTTATTTCTCATCACCATTAATTTCTCATCTCTGATGTTTATAGTGCACTTAAAATGTTCCAGGCATCTAATGCTTCCTGTGTATTGCATTTAATTCTTACCCCCATGAGGTAGGTGCCATCATTAAAACCTGATTTAAGGATGAGAGGCTTGAAGCTTAGCTGAAGTTACACAGCTAGTCAGTGATGAGCCAGGATTTGTACTCAGATTTGAATGACTTCAGAGGCCACATTTTTTTTTTTTTTTTTTTTTTTGAGACAGGGTCTTACTCTGTCGCCCAGGCTGGAGTACAATGGTGCTATCTCAGCTCACTACAACCTCTGCCTCGCAGGTTCAAGCAATTCTCCCGCCTCAACCTCCTGAGTAGCTGGTAGTACAGTGCACCTCACCATGCCCAGATAATTTTTGTATTTTTAGTAAAGACAGGGTTTCACCATGTTGGCCAGGCTGGTCTCAAACTCCTGACCTCAAGTGATCCACCCACCTCAGCCTCCCAAAGTACTGAGATTACAGGCATGAGCCACTGCACTGGGCCAGAGGCCACATTTTTAATCAATACAAGCTAAAGCTTGTTAATGTTTCATGACTGAACTCTGCCCTGCCTCTCTGCTGCCATCCTTTGTATATGAAACTCTTAGAATTAGATAAAAATCCCTGGAAGAGCATATTCAGACATAAAGCCTTATTGCTGTCAAATGGACCCAGGCTGCACGTGTTCAAAATTGGTCGAGGAAATCCCATGTTACCATTCTGAGCAGGCCCAGGTGGTCAGACTCCATCAGAGGATGCTGCATTCATGATGGGTGCTGTGCAGGGTCACTTGCCACACTGTGTCACCTCTATGTCATTGCTTTGCCTAGAGCTGGTAGTTTAAAATTTTAACCACTAGCTCCAATTTTATTGCTTCCTCAGGACACATATCATAAAACGATGAATGCTTTACTCTTATTTCCAAAAAAATGTCATAACTTGTTCAAGGTCACATAGCTTGTTACTGGCAGGGCTGAGTCATTTGGGTAAATTATTAGGCCTTAGTTTCTTCATCTATAAAATAGGGGGATTAGACTAAATCATCTCCAAGCTCTCCTTCGGCTCTCAAAAATTTATGGTTCTGGGCCACAGACACCACCAGCCAAGCAACAAGCTGGATTCAGTCTTCCTCTTCAAACTGGGGAAGGAGGAAAATAGGAAAGAGGAGCTGCAGTGTGAGGGCAGCAAGGAGCTAAATAGCTGAGGAATGAAGGCTGGGGAGGGAGTCGGGGGCAGAGTCAAGAGACTGGCAGATGTGGTAAAGACCGAGCCACTTGTGGAGGCAGAGCTGTGTGGAAGGCGAGGCCTCAGCCACTGACAAGTAGCTCAGGCCTCTCTCCATGGAATTTCCCCTAAGCTAGTTACCCCTTTCTCAGCTCAAGTCAGCCATTTCCCTGCCTCTTCAGTGAGAGGGAGGAAGAGACTGTATGGTTACAGCAACTCCAGTTTCTTGATCTCAGTCCACCTGTGCTTACTGTGGATAAAGTTAGTTGTTACCAAATTATATCAAATCGAAGACTATGTCTATTGTGAGGCGCACCATTATTTTTACAGATAACCAAGAAAGATAGACACTGCAAATTATCTTTGCATGGCGTTATCAATTCTAAGATGGAATCTATTTACAGGAGACATTAAGAAGTATGTCTTAGAATTGATGAAATATATTCTAACTCCCTCCATTACTCATGATAAAATCCACAAGTTAAGGGTTTCCTATGTACCAGGCACTATATTAAATGCTTTACATAATCTCACAACAGCCTGTGAGGTAAGTGTTATTCCCATTTATAGGTGAGAAAAGCTCAGAGAAGGTAAGTAACCTGCCCAAGTTTGCCCAGCTAGAGGAGACTATATAGGAACTGGGGTCAGTCTGACTGCAGAGCATGTGCCTTGAATCACTAGGTCATCTCACCTTCAGCAGAGAGCTACTGGATTACAGTCCTTGGGATGACAAGTGGACTTGTTTCTGGGGTCCCTGACCTCTCCCTCCCCTACTGTTCTGGATAGAGCTGCTAACAAAGGAAGAAAGTCGGGAAGGGCTCACAGGTACATTCTTGGCTCATGGGGCAACCAGGAAGACAGCTCCAGCTCTGGGTATGCAAGAGTTAAACATGGGAGAAGTGGGCTTAGAAGGGCACCAGAATTCCCAGAGATGGCTTTACAGGAAAATATGAGAGAATAAGAAGAAGGAGTCAGAAAGAAAGGAAGGTGAATTTGGTACCTCAGAGCTCCCATGGAGGGGGATGATGACTGTAAGGCTGATGAATATGGTTCGGGGGTCCTGGCATGCATGTGCCTTTCCAAGAACCTGACAGGGACCTACCAGTTGTGAATTCACAATTTTACCTTCCTTTTTAAAAAGAGGACTCAAATTCTGAACATTTCAAGTTTCATAAACCTGGATCCTCCAGTTCCAATCTTGGTGGTAATGAAAGCAGGTGTGGTTGGGGGTGGTGGGCCTCAGAGAAAGCTGGAAGGGCGTGGGGCCACATGAGCACACAGAAGGAGTGATGGTTGAAAAAAAAAAAAAGTCGGGGGAAATATGACTATGAGAAAAGGATGTCTGCTTCCTTGGCCTGCCAAGTTTTATTTGGCCTGCAGAAGTAGACCATTTCCTGCCCCATTCCTTCCAAGACCAACTCCACAGACTGGCAGTGAGCAATTTTCCTCCATTTACTTTGAAGAAGTTGTTTTACCAATGAGCCCTGAAAGTGGGCAGATTGTCATAGAACTCTTAGGTATATTTTTTCTATTCTTTAACAATGTTTTTGTGCCTGTTTTATCATGGATGTATTAATGTAGTAGTATATGTATATAATTTTATATAGATAACTATACATAAGACAAGCAATGGAGAAATTTATTGATTGATATAGGTCTGTGATCAAGAAGTTGCAAGATTATTGCCCTGTGGAGATATTTCTCCAGTCTCTTAAAGTTCTCCCATTAGAATACTTATACACTGTTGGCAGGAGTGTAAATTAAATCAACCATTCTGGAAAGCAGTATGGCAATTCCTCAAAGAGCTAAAAGAAGAACTACCATCCCACCCAGCAATCCCATTACTGGGTATAAACCCAGAGGAATATAATTCATTCTACTATAAAGACATATGCACGCAAATGTTCTTTGCAGCAGTATTCACAATAGCAAAGATATGGAATCAAACTAAATGCCCATCAATGACAGTCTGGGTAATGAAAATGTGGTATAGATATACCATGGAATACTATGCAGCCATAAAAAAGAACAAGATCATGTCTTTCACAGGAACATGGACGGAGCTGGAGGCTACTATCCTTAGCAAACTAATGCAGGAACAGAAAACCAAATGCTGCATATCTAAGTGGGAGCTGAATGGTAAGAACTTCTGAACACACAGAAGGAAATGACCGACACTGGGGTCTACTTGAAGGTGGAGGGTAGGAGGAGGGAGAGGAACAGAAAGGATAACTATTGGGTACTGGGTTTAATACCTATGTGATGAAATAATATGTGCAAACCCCCATGACATGTATTTACCTATGTAACAAACCTTGACATGTACCCCCCAAATCTAAAATAAAAGTAAAAAAAATAAGTTCTCCCCTTAAAGCTTCTGGGCAACAAGGTCATAAAAGACACTCATCTTGGGTAAAATTGTAGTTACATTCATAGACTTCAATGCTCAATGTTTTGGACCTTTGCTTTCTTACATTTCTTTCAACTTGGACAGTAAATTAAAACCATTGTTCTATTTTTCTCTTTTTCAGTTACTAGCCCAGTATTTGGAATTTGCCAAAGCTATATTCCTCAGAATTTACTTCAAGAGCTCCTTTGTATCGGCGGAGAATGAAGAACGGAGAAGAGGAGGAGGAGGTTGAAAGAAACTTAAGAGATGTGGCAACTAATTGCAACGTGTAGATTGTATTTAGCTCATGATTCACACAAACTAGATATTTGTTATTAAAGAATTATGGTTGTTTTTGGTGTGATATTAGTATTGTGCTCACATTTCTTAAGAATCTATCTTTAGAGATAGGTGCTGAAATTCTTGCAGATGAAATGACATTATCATCTGAGATGTGCTTCAAAAACAGTTAAAGGAGATATCGATAAGATGGCCTTGAATTCACAATTGCTGAAGATGGGTATAGGCCACATGGAGTTTTATTATAATCTTTTCTCTCCTTTTATATTGTTTGTAGTTTTCCATTATAAGTTAAAATGAAGAAAATAAGTCAACCAACATGAAGCGGTCAGTGAGATTCTTACGGACATCCCAGCTTTGCCTCTTATCCGCCTGACATAGTCATGGAACTAGAAAGACAAGCACAATTTGCCAAGCATCAGAGTGGCATCTTGAAACTGCTGGGTTTTGTTTAGGGTGGCCTCCCTAGGAGGAGAACACTTTGGACCAGGGAGTGAACAGCTTGGAACTGGAGTGGCTTTACTGCTGGCAAAAAAGAATTTGCTAATTCTCAAAGGGGGGAAAAAATAAAATCATGAAACAGGATCACAATGCTCTTTGGACATCAAAGAATCATTACAAAACAAGATTTTGGTGAGTTCAATGTAAATGAATGAGGGCCATGCGGCTTCAATTTCCTTCAAAATACACAAGTTTAAAAATTCAAGGAAAAATGCCCTGTTAAACATGTGCTGAACTGAAATGCTTCGAGAGTCATTGAGCCCAAATGGGCCCTGGCTTTGCCCCAAGACTGGATCTTGTTCCTGTTGGAATATGATTTCTCCAACATACCCCATTTCCTCTGTAAACTCTACCTCCTTCCTTCCAGGTCCTCGTCCAAATTCTACTTCAGATGCTCAAAACACAGGACAAGACAAATCCAGGGATCAGCAACACTTTTTTTTCCCCTTTTCAATTTTGATAAGAAAGAAACAAATTCTTGGAGACTCAATTTGGAAAACATTTGCTGGCAAATCCATAAAGCTCACCCTGTTGGTTTGAACTTTGAAAGTGTTGGGAATGGCTAACACAGTGAAAATGAAGTGGGGAGGAAATGGATGCTAAGGCAATCCACTGTATTCCACTCACTCCCGACTCATTCACCCCAGAAAAAATCCAACCATAATCATCTGGACCTTCCTGTGTGGATCTCCATTAGTATAAAGCTTTTTTAAAAAGGCACTTCCCCAGGTCCTGGAGTTCATGGCCCAATACCTGGCCCAGGTCTGACTGAAGTTAGTAGGCAGGAAAAGGAGCTACTAAGGGTGGTCTTGCCACACAGCCTTCACCTAGAGAAGGGGATACTGAAAAGCCAGACCAGGGCGTAATGGATAGATGGAAATAGATACAGAAAATGGAGGCAAGCAACCTCCCCACTTGAAAGCCTGGAACGCCCAGCTGGGTTTGATTTAAAGCTCTCTTTGGGCCTGTGAGCCCCAAAATGAATGTTCTTGTTGCATGAAGTCTGTGCAGTTTGTCAGAGGTGTATGTCGCAGGTTAGGTTAGAGTCAGTTAACCTAGGAGGCGGTTGGTGGTTGGAATCCTTGGTTCTAAGAGCTTGGTGTGTTCTGTGGCTCTGACTCCTGGGGCCTACCACATTTTGCAGGAAGGGCATACATAAGGCTGCCCATAACTCTTACCGCTTTTGGCAGTTTCTCCCCGAGGCCTCATCCTTCTGTTACAGTAGGTAGTTAGACAGACATGAGGCAGGGAAGGCCACCCTCCCCACAATGAGGAATGTCAGGCAACCATCAGGTGATGGTCAGGCAGTTGTTAATTGTCTCTCTAAAATAATCATTGGTTGAAGCCAGGGCCAGGCAGTTTCCCAATAAATAGAAAACACCTGAAACTGGTGATCAGCTTCCTAGTAAGATCTCAGGAGTTGGGTGAGTGGACTCAAGCATGCGCACTAAGAGGCAAAATGGCAGAGTTTAACTGGTATATGAATCCTCAACTGATAAGGAGAAAAAGCCCTCAAGTGAGCACGTACACAACTTCAGTAAACACACTGCGCACGCTCACCCCCCAAGTGCCTGAATGCCACTGTGGATGCGGACAGCCCACTCCAAGGGAAGAATCAGGGGAGAAGAGATGCAACCCCCCTGGAAGCATGCCAACATATGAAACACCAAGTCAAAGGTCAAACCACCCGGCTGATCTCAAGTCACCCGCTTGGCCCTCTTCTAAGTGTACTTCCTTTTGTTCCTGCTCTAAAGCTTTTTAATACACTTTTCACTCCTGCTCAAAAACTTGCCTTGGCCTCTCACCCTGCCTTATGACCCTTGGTTAAAAATTCTTTCTTTTGAGGTGTTAAGAATTGAGGTTGCTACAGATTTGCCACCAGTAACACTTCCATAGCCTTAGATGATTTAGGTTTCAAAATTGGAATTGCTCATTTTAATCTCTGGAGTACAAAACTCCAGTGGGAATAAGCTATCCCCACTTAGTACTACTATCTCTATAGGGATAAGAAAATAAAGTATAATTTTCTCTCCAGATTCTATAATGAATATTGTTCCTAGTGATTCCACTTACAAACCAAAAATATTTGACTCTAAGCTGGAAAGAGCGCATCATTTCCTGGCTTCCTGGGAAGTCAGTCACGCAGCTAGTGGCACCAGTTTCCAGGACTTGTCGTCCTCCAGTGACCCCGCCTAGCTGTCTTGTTGATAACTGTCTTCCTAAAATGAAGGGCAGGTACTTTGAAAAGCGAGTCCCAAACTAACTGTGCATCCACTCAAAGCTCACTCAGACTTTGTACCACAGGCAAGAGCAGGTCACACCATCAGAATATGGCACAAACGTGAGAATAATTTTCAAGGATGATAGGAACTAAAAGTTTTTAAAGTGGGAAGGAGATGAAAAAACTCCACTTTTCTGTAACTAGCTCATGAGGGTTTGGTGTGTGGAGAACGAAATGCACCACCAGTACTAGCACCACTCCACCAAATTCTAAGTTTTTTTCTTGGATTTTTGTTAAACTTAAATATTTAGGCTAGGCGCAGTGGCTCACGCCTGTAATTCCAGCACTTTGGGAGGCTGAGGTGGGTGGATCACCTGAGATCAGGAGTTCGAGACCAGCCTGACCAATATGGTGAAACCCCATCTCTACTAAAAATACAAAAATTAGCCAGACGTAGTGGCAGGTGCCTGTAGTCCCAGCTACTCGGGAGGCTGAGACAGGAGAATTGCTTGAACCCGGGAGATGGAGGTTGCAGTGAGCCAAGATGATGCCACTGTATTCCAGCCTGGGCAACAGAGCAAGACTCCATCTCAAAAAAAAAAAAAAAAAGACTTAAATATTTAAAGGAATGTTACAAAAGCCACAGGAGATGACTGACCAGCACAATGACAATCCCAGTTATTCAAGTACAGTGCTGCATCCTGAAACATCTGAGATGAGCCTAGCTTGTATCATTATGAGCAAGGTCAATATTCCCTTCCGTAGAAACCAACCAGGGTCTTCTTTATCACAGCTTGCAACATTTAGGAGTTGGCCAAGATATGAGGCAAATTCATTCAATTTGGTTTAACTTAATTCTGCCCTGACCTGTGCAGAAGCTGGCCATATGAACATTACTACAACCCGAGATCTCAGAACTCACAGGGTAGAAGTTCCTGATGCATATAGCACTGAGTGGGGACACAGAGAGGAGTGATAATTTTCAACAGGGAAAGTCAGGGTAAGTTGGCTTTCCAGCTGGAGTGAAGAGTTCTTAAACTGTAGTGCCCATACGGATCCCCTGGGGAGTTTGTCAAGAATGAAAATGGGGTGGCCTCATGAGAATCACCTGGAAGACTTAAGCATGAAAATGGATGGGCCCCCTCTCCCAAAGATTTTCATTTTAGTAGGTTTGATTTAGAGCCCTCCAAATCTGCATTTTGAAAACAAACTCCACCCCTACTTCTGATATGGGTGGTCCTCAGAACCTACACTGTTCTAAGGTTTTCATCTACAAGTCTCTCCACATGCAGGGCTGTAAATATAGGGCCAGAAAGATGAGAAGGCTGTTTCCATGCTCATGCCCATGATGCTGAAAGTTATTTTCCCAGATTCCCTTTGGGGTCTAGGAAATTCAAAAAGAATGTTCATGGAGGTCTGCGGATGAGGGCATGTGGGGAAAGAAAGCACTGTCACTCATTCTTAGGGCATGCTCTTTGTAGACCTCAGGGCTGTCCTAGATTCCCCATGCCCTGATCTATGGATTGGGACTCCACACCAAATACTCTGGTTTTAGGGTTATTCTGTCGGATTCACTGTCCTCTAGGTCAAGGCATCAGGTGACAATAAACATATTTAAAGAAGGAAAGGCCCTGGTATAAACACACCTGATAGCAATAACTTAAGCATACCCTGAGACTGACCCTGTATAGCAGACACACCTGCATGTGGTTCGGAGTTCCAAGCTAAGGAATCCGGGAGTAGCCAACCCGGAGGGTCATTCCTTATCTATGAGAAACAGCTTAGCCCCTAGCCTGTCCCAGGAAACGTGGGCTGTATAGGAGACGGATGACGTCCTTTCTTTTGGGTGAATGTTGCTAGGTGGAGACTGTTAGGGAGAGGGTCCTAAGCAAATATAAAATGCATGCCTTTTGCAAGCATTTGCAGTTCTGTCCAGCTCTCGCCATTGGACTATATGCAAGGGGTTTCTCCTGTCCAGCCCGCTGCCACTGGACTCTCTCCCCTATATGTAAGTCCCCAGTAAAACCCAGTGTCTCATTTGCCAGTTCTGGGTCTGCTCTTCATCCTTTTGAACCTGGTGTCTTTCCCACTGGAGTCAATAGGTGTTTGGCCCAACATTACGAATTGGTTTGGCCAAGTCGTTATAAACTATTGGCCCTCAAGGCCAAACCAGGCATGCCTAAGTGATCTGCTAAATTGGACACAGGGTTGTTGTTTTGTTTTAAATTGAATTTGAATGCTTTCAGGCATTATATATTCATTCTGCAGTTGGCCAGAGGCCTCACCATCTCCCTTTGTGTTATGCCCGAATGATACATGTTTTAAAATAATTCCTGGCTGGGCACAGTGGCTCACGCCTGTAATCCCAGCACTTTGGGAGGCCAAGGTGGGTGGATCACAAGGTCAGGAGTTCAAGACCAGCCTGGCCAATATGGTGAAACCCCTTCTCTACTAAAAATACAAAAATTAGCTGGGTGTGGTGGTGGGTGTCTGTAATCCCAGCTACTTGGGAGGCTGAGGCAGGAGAATCACTTAAACCCGGGAGGCGGAGGTTGCAGCTAGCTGAGATTGTACCATTGCACTCCAGCCTAGGCAACAGAGCGAGACTCTGTCTCAAAAAAAAAAAAAAAATCCTGCCTTGCCCCTGCAGGCATTTGACTTTGAGAAACCTGGGCCACATGCCAAATTTGAATCCATGTACTGGATTAGTTCCAGCGTCTGAGCTGGGCATGAACTCAGGAACACAAGAGTGCATTGCTGTTAGAGAGAAAGGAAAATCCAGGAGGGTCTGTGCATCTGGAAAAACAAGGAATACAGGGCAAGCTTCCCCCAGTGTCAGGAATCCAAAGCTCGGATAAAGGGTGGAGGAAGCCCAGCAGATCCCCCAAGCTCTGCCTGCTTTTGGGATCCTATGGCCCAGAGTAGGGAAGAGAAGGCCTCCATCTCGGACATGCAGGCATCACCCATCATTCCTGCTCCCAAGCGTGCTAAACTGGCCCAGCAGCCCTATTTACTGTTCCAAATGATAGTTTTTCAAGCTTTGGTGACAACCACAGCCAGCCCCTAACCTTTCCGCTGGTGCCACTTACCATCCCTGAAATACTTCCTCTTTCTACCCGTTTCTGCCTCATTCCTCTAAGCACTTCAAGATCCAGCTTAAACCCCCAACTCCTCTGGAAGCCTTCCCTGATCAATTTCACCAACATGGACAATCTCTACCTCCTCTCAACTTACTACCTACTCTACTTATAAATGACTTATTTCCATCTGCCTTGAATCATTGCTTATATCTCTTATGTGTATAAATTTCAGCTTCTCAATTAGACTGTCAACTCCTAGAAAGGAGGTACCATGCCTCAATTCTTATTGCCTGGATTCCTTAGAGAACATGACAGTACCTGAAATGTGTCACTAATTCACTGATTAATTATCCCCAGTAGCATCGGGGAACAGCTGCACAGAATTCTCTCACAAAGCATACACAGCAATTGGAAGCTTCTAAGAAAGTCAGATAAATGTGGAAACACCATCCTGGTAATGGTGATTCCTGGCAAAGTATGATTCCCTAGCATCATACTTTTATAGATTGCTTGTGTCCGTTCAGTTATTCAGCAAAAATGTTGCCTTTGATTTATGTACTTGTAGAAGAGAAAATTTTTAAGTGGTATAAGGACCTTCCTTCAATTAGGCTATAAAACTGAAAGTAAACAAATGGAAAGATTCCTCAATAGCAGGAATCTTTGTGTAGGAATAGCAGGAATCTGTAGTCAGTGGAGTGGTGGCCCCCAAAAGATGTCTACCCAGAACCTGTGAATGTGACCATATTTGGAACAAGGGTCTTGTAGATGCAATTAAGGATCTCAAGATAAGATTACCATGGAGTATCCAAGTAGGCCCTAAATCCAGTGATAAGTTTCCTTATAAGAAGAGGAGAAGGCAAAGAGAATTGAAGAGGACACTGAGGAGAAGGACATGTACAGACAGGTGGAGGCAGAGGTAGAGTTATGCAGCCACAAGCCAAGGAACACCTGCAGCACCCCCCTCCACAAAACTAGAAGAATGCAAGAAAGCATTCTCCCCTATAGCCTTCATAGGGAGCATGACCTTGCTGACACCTTGATTCCAAGCTTCTGGATGCCAGAACTGTGGGAGAATACATTTCTGTTGTTTTAAGACATCCAACTTGGGTTAATTCGTGACAGCAGCCCTAGGAAACCAACATAGCAACGAAGAAGGATAGCGCATGGGAATGGGTGGGCAGGGAAGAATATCATGGCACTGGATTTCAAAGATCCCAACCTCAGCATCCATTGAGAGAGGAATGAGCCTTTTCATAATCTCTGCCATTGTCTGTTTGTCTAGAAAAGCTTCTGCAAGGTCATTATTTCCTCAGAGATGCTCATGATTCAGATTTAAGCTAGACACTTTCTCTTGGATCCTGGAGTTATATTCCAATAAGATGGGACCAGATAATCCTGAAATGCAGAACAAATGATCACTTCCAAGAACCTAGCTGTATTTACCAAAGAGCATCTGCTGTGTTAGACAAATTGGCTGGTCCAGCTAATTACAAAGGAGGCACGGGCTACCACTACATAGTCATGGGTGGTAGCACTATCTAATGTGACCAGACAAGCTTTTCTGATCTGAACTCTATGAACTCTATTTAAAGTCTCTGTTTTCATTTGCCCACTGACTGTAATTTACACATAAGCCAACTCTTGCTATTTTTCCCGTCTGGTTAGGTTCATAAGGAGGAATACATTTTTGCAAATGTTCCAAACACAAGGCACACACAGCAACACTTTTCATATGATTGCTAGAAGTCATTCACATTAGTCTATAATCCTTATTGAAAGCTTACTAACAAAAGGAGCTGGAAAAATATCACTAGAGGTTGGTGACATGAGGCATTTCCTTGCATAAAATGGACATGTGTCATGTAGGAAATTGTCTTTATTTTTCAGAGATGCACAATGATGTATTTAGGGGTGATATGTCATGATGGCTACAATTTGCTCCAGACCATTGCAGCAAGAAATATATGAAGCAAATGTGGCAAAATGTTAACCCATTAAATCAAGGCAATGGAAATATGGGTGCTCAAGGCATGTTTCTTCGTATCCCATAGGTTTCAAAAGCATCAAAAATAAAAATAACATGGATATATACATTTTATACATAGGGTTCTTTTTTTACTGATACTATACCTGTTTTCAGGTATAGAGACTGTCTCAATAAAGGGACGATGCCTGCTTGCAATTATAAATACCCAATAGAGGCAGCAGATCTATGCATACAAATTCTATTCTTAACTGCTCTTCAGTTCTATTTACGGAAGGAAGAGAAGTTACATCTATTGAGGAAAAAGAGTACCCCAAAAAAGCAGCACTGACACTGAAGCAGGAAAAAAAAATGCCTTATTGAGAAAGTACTGCATCTGTTAATATGGGGCTTTTTTGTTAAGTCACAGACAGCTAAGCATGCCGTTTTAAACTGCTGGCAGGGTGCTTTGTCCAAGTGCATCTAGTATGTGTGGAATTTAAAATGGATATATCAGCTAGGGAATGGACTCGGGTCCCACCCCCAACATACTAGGCACATAAACACACAGGCACGGACAGAGAGGGGACTCACAGTTCTGAATACAGGAAGTGCAGGTTGCCCACATTGTCAATGTAGTTAGCAGGACTGAGCCAAGGCAAGACCAGCAACAGAAGCGCCTTCATTCTCCGAGCAGTGTGCTGCCTTCTCCCTGGCCACCTTCTGTCAGCTACAAGGGCCCAAACCAGCCAAGCTCCTTTAAGCAAACCTTGCCATGCCCCCACAATCAGTAGATCACAAAGAATTTGACTGAGAACCTTCAGATTAAGCCACGTTAATAAATCACGGGCCCGTAAGAAGATTATGCTCTCTGATTCTCAGATGAGAGGATGTAGGAACGCAAGGAGCCACCACGGTTGGCGAGAGAGCTTAGGCTGAGAGCAGGCAAGCTGATGCCCAGGAAAGGAACCAGCCCCTCCTGCAGGATGCGGACTGGTTCTTGGGAAGCAGCTGGTACATTTACATCACCGGCTGGGAGCAGACAGGCTGGGAGTTAAAATGTGTTGGAAGAGGACATGAGCATGACACATTCAGACCCCACGGTGTGAATAATTAAATAATGAAAAGCTGCCCTCCAGTTTGCTATAGCGACACTGTAAGAAATTCCCATCTTTGGAGCAGCCTGGAGAGCTGAGCTTAAAGCAAGCATTCACATATTCAGTGGCTGAAATATGAACCAACCCCACCTTCCTCCAGCACCCATCACTGTCTTGACTGCACTGACATATGAAAGAGATGTGACAGTGACAGCTTCCTCGCTAATTTTGAAATCTGGCTCTCGAGAAGAATAGGCTGTGCCATTCTCTGTCAGAATAACAAAGAGCCTGGATAGACATAAAGTTCTGTCCAAACAATGTACAGGTTCCTGTTTGGTGAGGAAATGAGTCACTCCATTCTTCCTTCTCCCTGGGGGGAATGAATTGAGCTCTGAAATCAGCTGTATGACACTTGTTTCATTTAAGCTCTCAAGCCTCAGTCACCTTACCTTTGAAATGGAGCTAATTATGCCTTACCTACCTGGTCTGTCAGGGACTGGGCCACATCCCCTCTTCCAGCTTTAAGATCTGGGATTTGAGACTGCATCACCGGCCTCAACACTAAGACTTCTTTGCAGGCCTAAGCTCTGGAATGCCACAGAAGCCCCCAGGACTCTCGCTTACCCCATATTCAAGAAGATTAAATTCCATTTTGCCAACTCAAGACCAGAATCTTAATAGAAATGGCTCGAAGGGATAATTACATTCATCACATTAATGACAGCCAAGCCATGATAGCAAACTCCACTCCACAGGAAGTAGACCAGAGAAAAGTCTACAGGATGAGACGAGTTGCAATGAACTGCGTAGTCATTAGGAATTTGGCATCAGAGGCAGGGCTAAAGAGTTTAAATACAGAAGACTCTTAGAATGTGCAGATTTAATTTCTACAGTTTAAAGTGCAGATGAACAACCTTGATAAAACATGGGATATAATAATTCATGATTTTGTTGAGGTCCAAATTGGAATTCTATTCTCTGTAAGGCTGCTCTGCAAGAGTGAGTCAGAGCTCATGGAAAGCAGTAGAAAGAAGTTAGGTTTGATATGTAGGTGCTGGGGTTAGAGAAGCTTGAGGTTAGAGTTCTAGCTCTGCTGCATACTAGCTGTATGACAGTAGGCATGTTTGGTTAACCTCTCTGAACTTTCATGTCCTCCCCTGTAAAAGAAAGACAATAGTAATAGTGCTTAACTCAGAGTGCTAGTAAGAAGGTGAAATGAGGCAATGCCCATAAACAACAAAGGGCTTAACGAGTATTAGCTTAATGTTATTGTATTTTATTTTTTTCAGAGATGGGGGTCTTGCTCTGTCACCCAGGCTGTAGTGCTGTGTCACAATTATACCTCACTGCAGTGGTGAACTCCTGGGCTCAAGCAATCCTCCTGCCTCAGCCTCCCAAGTAGCTGGGACTACAGGTGCGTGCCGCCATGCCTGGCTAAAAAAAAAAAAAAAAATTAAAATCTTTTTCAGAGATGAGGGTCCCTCTATGTTGCCCAGGCTGGTCTTGAACTTTTGGCCTCAAGCAATATTCCTGCCTCAACCTTCAAGTAGCTAGGATTACAGGTGCAAGCCACTGCACCTGGGTCTACTGTTACTAATAACTATTAGCGATAGTGAATGAGCCTACTTGGAAGCTTAACAGCTATCTCCAAGAGGTTTTGTTATTCTTTTCTTATCCCTTCTTTCCTCCTATACTATTAGAGAAGTGACATGTTATAGTCTTATCCTAAATATGGAGTTTCACAAAGTCCTGAAACATGCTCTTCTTGGATGTCCACGACCTCCTATATAGATCAGAACTCTTAAGTAGCATGATGTATTATAAAGGTTGTGGACTTCATATTGGTATTGGATTGTATTTCTGACGATCTTGGACATGTCAGATTGCTTCTGACATTTGATACATCTTTTATTAAAAAAGGATGACTGCCCATTCACCACCTTGCATTTAAAGGGGATGAAATTAATTAATTAATGTGACTGCAATATAAACATGAATGTAAGGTTTTCTGTTGTTTTTTATGTTGCTATTGCAACCACTGCTGGTTGCCTATCAAATATTTAACCTCCCCTTCTTCCTTATAACAGAACCCAGGTTTTATTTATGCTGTTACTACATGTAGACCCTCTCACAGATGGGCATCTGTATAACACAATAGTGACTAATGAGGTATGAGTAGAAATTACTGGGTAAGGCATCTCAGAAGGCTCTTTAAAGGAAGGTGTCTCCATTGGCACATTGTATTTTTCCCTGCCTGCCTAATTCTTTCTGCCTGGAACTTGTACATAACACTGAAGCATGCAGCCATTTGAGACCATGAGGTGACAAACTTGAGGATGAAAACTGAACCGATTCCTGCTGGCATCATGTCATGGCAAAATCATAGTAATCCTGGGCTTCCTACCCTTAGACTTTGTATTACATGAGAAAAACAAAACTTCTACCTGGTTAAACCAATATAACACAATTTTCCATTACCTGCCATCTGATGTAATCCTAATTAATACAATCCCTTGGGGCTAAAACCCAACCTCAAATGAACAGAGATTGCTCCATGGCTTCCTTGCCGGTAAACAGCCCTAACTCTAATCTTTGCCCTATTCTTTGCCTGGCTGTCCTGTTTATCCTTAAATGTTATCTCAGATATCACTGATTATCTCCTATTTTCTT
The DNA here is from genome assembly GCF_000001405.40 of Homo sapiens. Taxonomy (NCBI): domain Eukaryota; kingdom Metazoa; phylum Chordata; class Mammalia; order Primates; family Hominidae; genus Homo; species Homo sapiens. Next base: position 53,561,047 of record NC_000004.12, read on the forward strand.
GCTTCTTTTCTTTTCACTAAACAAGGTTTATTTAGGGGCCAGGAAAATGTTGGGTTCAGAGTTAGAAGGTCACAGTAAGGATGTATGTCAAAGCACAATTATTATGAGATGCTTAGTCTGGCTAAAATGACCAGCAAGACTAATACATGCTTACTTTTCATAGGTAATAGTCCCCTGTATTTCTTTTCTTTTCTTTTTTTGAGATGGAGTCTCATTCTGTCACCAGACTGGAGTGCAATGGGGCGATCTTGACTCATTGCAACCTCCGCCTCCCAGGTTCAAACGATTCTCCTGCCTCAGCCTCCCGAGTAGCTGGGACTACAGGCATGCACCACCACACCCAGCTAATTTTTCTATTTTTAGTAGAGATGGGGTTTCACTGTGTTGGCCATGATGGTCTTGATCTCCTGATCTCATGATCCGCCCACGTCATCCTCCCAAAGTGCTGGGATTACAAGCTTGAGCCACTGTGCCTGGCCCTCCGTGTATTTTTTCTTTCAATAAAGTCTTCCCCACTTTGTAGACAGCTAGCTGTGTTGTCCTGAACACACTACCCTGGATGGAAGTAAAGGTCAACAGACGATCCAGGTTAGACCTTTGGAGAAGAAACTCCCAGGACACTGGATGCAAAGTTAATCCGGAAAATATTCCCAGCCAGCCTTCAGCCACGTATGTCTTGGGCCAATTACATCACGTTTTCATTCACAGCTCATTTCAAATTATTGAACAATGAACTCTGTATTCATACTAGTAAATACTTGAGGAGGGTCAGTTTTATTATCTTCCATTTTTAGAAAATAAGAGAGTAGGTGCAGCAAACCATCATGACACACATACACCTATGTAACAAACCTGAACGTTCTGTACGTGTATCCCAGAATTAAAAAAAAGGAAAAAGGAGAGAAAGTAAAGGGCAAAGTGAGTTGTCCTATGAAACAATTCACGTATGTTTTCAACTTCTCTCTTTTACCTTTAAAAGGTCATTTCCTTAGAGGCAGAAATCACAACTTATTTTTCTTTCATTCAGGGCCTGACCTATTGTGAATCCTTGCTAAATACTGTGTATGCAGATGATGAGATTACAAAATGGAAATGTGGTCTTGAGCCTAAAATAAGTCTCGCTCAGGATCAAGAAGTAAAAGCTTGGCTTCCACACACCTTCTCATTGAAAGTCTGGGTCAAGAGAGATGAGCAGATGGGCCCTCTCCAGGGGCCCCACTACACACTGGTAATGGCCTCCAGTTAGGAAGGCTGCCATTCAACTCAATAAGTCCATCACCACCCTGGGAATTCTCTACAGTAGACCCATGTGATGGGAGTCTGTAAGCATCTAAGAGGGCAGAAATCAACAGAATTAGCCAGAAGTTTCCAACTGCTAGCTCCAAACTCAGACTTATTCCCATAAAAGAGCTCTCTAGTCTGAAGACAATCAATGATCTAGCCAGTCATGCATACCTACAGCCAGTCCTAAATGTTTTGCTCAAGTATTTATATTTAGTAGACAAGTATTGTTTACAAATGAAACGCATTCTGGAGAAAACAGGCACCAGCTGTTTAAAGATGTGATTCTGTCTGCCTGTACCCTGACTTAAGTCTCCTGTTGGGCAACAGGTGCAGAAATTTCAGTTAGACAGGAGGCATAAATTCAGGAGATTATTTGTACAACGAGGTGATTATAGTTAATAACAATGTATTGTGCAGTAGAAAATTACTAAGTGAGTACATTTTAAGTGTTTTCATCACAAAAATGGTACATATATGAGGTAATGCATGTTGATTGGCTTGCTTTAGCCATTTCACAATATATACATATTTTAAAACATCATATTGTACACCATACACATATACAATATGTATTTGTCAATTAAAAAAATAAAATTTGGGCCTGGCACAATGGCTCAAGCCCGTAATCCCAGAACTTTGGGAGGCCGAGACGGATCACGAGGTCAGGAGATCGAGACCATTCTGGCTAACATGGTAAAAACCTGTCTCTACTTAAAATACAAAAAATTAGCCGGGCATGGTGGTGGGCACCTGTATTCCCAGCTACTCGGGAGGCTGAGGCAGGAGAATGGCATGAATCCCGGAGGCAGAGCTTGCAGTGAGCTGAGATCGTGCCAGCCTGGGCGACAGAGTGAGATTCCAACTCAAAATAAATAAATAAGTAAATAAAATTTAAAACAATTTTATTTAGATGCATATTTATTGAGTAAAGTGATGTTAAAGATCAAGCAAACCAATGCAAAATTTATAAACAAAAGCTATGACAAGACTCCCATACAAGCAGCCACCAGCCTGGAGGCCTCACAGAGAAAAGTAAACACTTGCCTGTTAGTTTTCTAAATTCAAGGGTCTCCAGAGGTATTAACTACTTCTTAAGTATTCTTCTTAATATCCCTCCTAAGGGGAGTAAGAGGGGGGCCTACTGGCCCATCACAGACCCAAAGGCCAAGAGAGATCCACAGTCTGGTTCTAGGTTAGCTTCAAATTCTTTTTTTTTTTTTTTGAGACAGAGTCTCGCTCTGTCACCCAGGCTGGAGTACAGTGGTGTGATCTCAGCTCACTGCAACCTCTGCCTCCCAGGTTCAAGCGATTCTCCTGCCTCAGCCTCCCGAGTAGCTGGGATTACAGGCATCTGTCACCACGCCTGGTTAATTTTTGAATTTTTGGTAGAGACGGGGTTTCACCATTTTGGTCAGGCTGGTCTTGAACTCCTGACCTCGTGATCCACCCGCCTCGGCCTCCCAAAGTGCTGGGATTACAGGCATGGGCCACTGCACCTGGCCAGGTTAACTTCAAATTCTTAATCCTTGCCAATAAAATGTCAAGGGGGTGGGAGGCGAAGGAATGTATATCAGGCATATGGTGACTAATACATACAACATATTTGTGGAAATGTTGGTTTCAACCTACTTAGGAAGCAGAAGTGTGGAGGCTTGAGAGCATGTGTTGAGGCCCACGCCTCCCTGATGTGGGGGCATCCTCTCCAGAGAGCTGCTGTGGGCGCCTGTGAAGGACTCACTCACAGGGTGCAGCTTAAAAAGGTGACTCACTTTCAGTCAGTTTTGGTTTCTCTCCTCACTGCTGTTTTCCAAAAGTGCATCTCATTATGAGCTGAGTGTTCATCAAGCCTCTATCTCAGGCTTCCTTGAGGTGTGTGGGGGTCACACGGGCTGCATGGGCTAAGGGTGAATGAAATTCCCAGTCTGCTTCAGGCAGCTGAGGGGCACCTGTGTCATCTTTCTCCTGAAGACCTCACAGAGTTCCAACAGCCACCTGCTAGCCCTTCCCCTTCCCCACATCCCTTCTGGCTTCACCCTCAGATCCACACACCATCTTCTCCCTATTTTTAGAAAAACTCTCAGACCCCAAACAGTCCTGGATGAGGGGATGAGGAGGAGTGGCTGGGTTTTCACTTTCTCCCCAGAGGATGACTCCAGTGCTGTCTTCTGTCTCCCCACTCTTACTCCTGGGGTGGGCAGAATAATTATTCCCCAGAGATGTCCAGCTCCTAATCCTCAGAACCTCTGAGTATGTCACTTCATATGGCAAAAGGGACTTTGCAGATGTAATTAAGAATCTTTTGGGGAGGAGCCAAGATGGCCGAATAGGAACAGCTCTGGTCTACAGCTCCCAGCCTGAGCGACACAGAAGACGGGTGATTTCTGCATTTCCATCTGAGGTACCGGGTTCATCTCACTAGGGAGTGCCAGACAGTGGGCGCAGGTCAGTGGGTGCGCGCACCCTGCGCCAGCCGAAGCAGGGCGAGGCATTGCCTCACTTGGGAAGCGCAAGGAGTCAGGGAGTTAGTTCCCTTTCCTAATCAAAGAAAGGGGTGACAGACAGCACCGGGAAAATCAGGTCACTCCCACCCGAATACTGCGCTTTTCCGACGGGCTTAAAAAATGGCGCACCACGAGATTATATCCCCCACCTGGCTCGGAGGGTCCTACCCCACGGAGTCTCGCTGATTGCTAGCACAGCAGTCTGAGATCAAACTGCAAGGTGGCAGCGAGGCTGGGGGAGGGGCGCCTACCATTGCCCAGGCTTGATTAGGTAAACAAAGCATCCTGGAAGCTCGAACTGGGTGGAGCCCACCACAGCTCAGGGAGGCCTGCCTGCCTCTGTAGGCTCCACCTCTGGGGGCAGGGCACAGACAAACAAAAAGACAGCAGTAACCTCTGCAGACTTAAGTGTCCCTGTCTGACAGCTTTGAAGAGAGCAGTGGTTCTCCCAGTACGCAGCTGGAGATCTGAGAATGGGCAGACTCCCTCCTCAAGTGGGTCCCTGACCCCTGACCCCCGAGCAGCCTAACTGGGAGGCACCCTCCAGCAGGGGCACACTGACACCTCACACTGCAGGGTACTCCAACAGACCTGCAGCTGAGGGTCCTGTCTGTTAGAAGGAAAACTAACAAACAGAAAGGACATCCACACCAAAAACCCATCTGTACATCACCATCATCAAAGACCAAAAGTAGATAAAACCACAAAGATGGGGAAAAAACAGAACAGAAAAACTGGAAACTCTAAAAATCAGAGCGCCTCTCCTCCTCCAAAGGAACGCAGCTCCTCACCAGCAACAGAACAAAGCTGGACAGAGAATGACTTTGACGAGCTGAGAGAAGAAGGCTTCAGACGATCAAATTACTCTGAGCTACGGGAGGACATTCAAACCAAAGGCAAAGAAGTTGAAAACTTTGAAAAAAATTTAGAAGAATGTATAACTAGAATAACCAATACAGAGAAGTGCTTAAAGGAGCTGATGGAGCTGAAAACCAAGGCTCGAGAACTACGTGAAGAATGCAGAAGCCTCAGGAGCCGACGTGATCAACTGGAAGAAAGGGTATCAGCAATGGAAGATGAAATGAATGAAATGAAGCGAGAAGGAAAGTTTAGAGAAAAAAGAATAAAAAGAAACGAGCAAAGCCTCCAAGAAATATGGGACTATGTGAAGAGACCAAATCTACGTCTGATTGGTGTACCTGAAAGTGATGGGGAGAATGGAACCAAGTTGGAAAACACTCTGCAGGATATTATCCAGGAGAACTTCCCCAATCTAGCAAGGCAGGCCAACGTTCAGATTCAGGAAATACAGAGAACGGCACAAAGATACTCCTGGAGAAGAGCAACTCCAAGACACATAATTGTCAGATTCACCAAAGTTGAAATGAAGGAAAAAATGTTAAGGGCAGCCAGAGAGAAAGGTCGGGTTACCCTCAAAGGGAAGCCCATCAGACTAACAGCGGATCTCTCTGCAGAAACCCTACAAGCCAGAAGAGAGTGGGGGCCAATATTCAACATTCTTAAAGAAAAGAATTTTCAATCCAGAATTTCATATCCAGCCAAACTAAGCTTCAGAAGTGAAGGAGAAAGAAAATACTTTACAGACAAGCAAATGCTGAGAGATTTTGTCACCACCAGGCCTGCCCTAAAAGAGCTCCTGAAGGAAGCGCTAAACATGGAAAGGAACAACCGGTACCAGCCGCTGCAAAATCATGCCAAAATGTAAAGACCATCGAGACTAGGAAGAAACTGCATCAACTAACGAGCAAAATAACCAGCTAACATCATAATGACAGGATCAAATTCACACATAACACTATTAACTTTACATGTAAATGGACTAAATGCTCCAACTAAAAGACACAGACTGGCAAATTGGATAAAGAGTCAAGACCCATCAGTGTGCTGTATTCAGGAAACCCATCTCATGTGCAGAGACACACATAGGCTCAAAATAAAAGGATGGAGGAAGATCTACCAAGCAAATGGAAAACAAAAAAAGGCAGGGGTTGCAATCCTAGTCTCTGATAAAACAGACTTTAAACCAACAAAGATCAAAAGAGACAAGGCCATTACATAATGGTAAAGGGATCATTTCAACAAGAAGAGCTAACTATCCTAAATATATATGCATCCAATACAGGAGCACCCAGATTCATAAAGCAAGTCCTGAGTGACCTGCAAAGAGACTTAGACTCCCACACATTAATAATGGGAGACTTTAACACCCCACTGTCAACATTAGACAGATCAACGAGACAGAAAGTCAACAAGGATACCCAGGAATTGAACTCAGCTCTGCACCAAGCGGACCTAATAGACATCTACAGAACTCTCCACCCCAAATCAACAGAATATACATTTTTTTCAGCACCACACCACACCTATTCCAAAATTGACCACATAGTTGGAAGTAAAGCTCTCCTCAGCAAATGTAAAAGAACAGAAATTATAACAAACTATCTCTCAGACCACAGTGCAATCAAACTAGAACTCAGGATTAAGAATCTCACTCAAAACCACTCAACTACATGGAAACTGAACAACCTGCTCCTGAATGACTACTGGGTACATAACGAAATGAAGGCAGAAATAAAGATGTTCTTTGAAACCAATGAGAACAAAGACACAACATACCAGAATCTCTGGGACGCATGCAAAGCAGTGTGTAGAGGGAAATTTATAGCACTAAGTGCCCACAAGAGAAAGCAGGAAAGATCTAAAATTGACACCCTAACATCACAATTAAAAGAACTAGAAAAGCAAGAGCAAACACATTCCAAAGCTAGCAGAAGGCAAGAAATAACTAAAATCAGAGCAGAACTGAAGGAAATAGAGACACAAAAAACCCTTCAAAAAATTGATGAATCCAGGAGCTGGTTTATTGAAAGGATCAACAAAATTGATAGACTGCTAACAAGACTAATAAAGAAAAAAAGAGAGAAGAATCAAATAGATGCAATAAAAAATGATAAAGGGGATATCACCACCGATCCCACAGAAATACAAACTACCATCAGAGAATACTACAAACACCTCTATGCAAATAAACTAGAAAATCTAGAAGAAATGGATAAATTCCTTGACACATACACTCTCCCAAGACTAAACCAGGAAGAAGTTGAATCTCTGAATAGACCAATAACAGGATCTGAAATTGTGGCAATAATCAGTAGCTTACCAACCAAAAGGAGTCCAGGACCAGATGGATTCACAGCCGAATTCTACCAGAGGTACAAGGAGGAACTGGTACCATTCCTTCTGAAACTATTCCAATTGATAGAAAAAGAGGGAATCCTCCCTAACTCATTTTATGAGGCCAGCTTCATTCTGATACCAAAGCCGGGCAGAGACACAACCAAAAAAGAGAATTTTAGACCAATATCCTTGATGAACATTGATGCAAAAATCCTCAATAAAATACTGGCAAACCAAATCCAGCAGCACATCAAAAAGCTTATCCACCATGATCAAGTGGGCTTCATCCCTGGGATGCAAGGCTGGTTCAATATACGCAAATCAATAAATGTAATCCAGCATATAAACAGAGCCAAAGACAAAAACCACATGATTATCTCAATAGATGCAGAAAAGGCCTTTGATAAAATTCAACAACCTTTCATGCTAAAAACTCTCAATAAATTAGGTATTGATGGGACATATTTCAAAATAATAAGAGCTATCTATGACAAACCTACAGCCAATATCATACTGAATGGGCAAAAACTGGAAGCATTCCCTTTGAAAACGGGCACAAGACAGGGGGGCACAAGACAGGGATGCCCTCTCTCACCACTCCTATTCAACATAGTGTTGGAAGTTCTGGCCAGGGCAATTAGGCAGGAGAAGGAAATAAAGGGTATTCAATTAGGAAAAAAGGAAGTCAAATTGTCCCTGTTTGCAGATGACATGATTGTATATCTAGAAAACCCCATTGTCTCAGCCCAAAATCTCCTTAAGCTGATAAGCGACTTCAGCAAAGTCTCAGGACACAAAATCAATGTGCAAAAATCACAAGCATTCTTATACACCAATAACAGACAAACAGAGAGCCAAATCATGAGTGAACTCCCATTCACAATTGCTTCAAAGAGAATAAAATACCTAGGAATCCATCTTACAAGGGATGTGAAGGACCTCTTCAAGGAGAACTACAAACCACTGCTCAAGGAAATAAAAGAGGATACAAACAAATGGAAGAACATTCCATGCTCATGGGTAGGAAGAATCAATATCGTGAAAATGGCCATACTGCCCAAGGTAATTTACAGATTCAGTGCCATCCCCATCAAGCTACCAATGCCTTTCTTCACAGAATTGGAAAAAACTACTTTAAAGTTCATATGGAACCAAAAAAGAGCCCCCATTGCCAAGTCAATCCTAAGCCAAAGGAACAAAGCTGGAGGCATCACACTACCTGACTTCAAACTATACTACAAGGCTACAGTAACCAAAACAGCATGGTACTGGTACCAAAACAGAGATATAGATCAATGGAACAGAACAGAGCCCTCAGAAATAACGCCGCATATCTACAACTATCTGATCTTTGACAAACCTGAGAAAAACAAGCAATGGGGAAAGGATTCCCTATTTAATAAATGGTGCTGGGAAAACTGGCTAGCCATATGTAGAAAGCTGAAACTGGATCCCTTCCTTACACCTTATACAAAAATCAATTCAAGATGGATTAAAGACTTAAACGTTAGACCTAAAACCATAAAAACCCTAGAAGAAAACCTAGGCATTACCATTCAGGACATAGGCATGGGCAAGGACTTCATGTTTAAAACACCAAAAGCAATGGCAACAAAAGACAAAATTGAGAAATGGGATCTAATTAAACTAAAGAGCTTCTGCACAGCAAAAGAAACTACCATCAGAGTGAACAGGCAACCTACAAAATGGGAGAAAATTTTTGCAACCTACTCATCTGACAAAGGGCTAATATCCAGAATCTACAATGAACTCAAACAAATTTACAAGAAAAAAACAAACAACCCCATCAAAAAGTGGGCGAAGGACATGAACAGACACTTCTCAAAAGAAGACATTTATGCAGCCAAAAAACACATGAAAAAATGCTCACCATCACTGGCCATCAGAGAAATGCAAATCAAAACCACAATGAGATACTATCTCACACCAGTTAGAATGGCGATCATTGAAAAGTCAGGAAAGAACAGGTGGTGGAGAGGATGTGGAGAAATACGAACACTTTTACACTGTTGGTGGGACTGTAAACTAGTTCAACCATTGTGGAAGTCAGTGTGGCGATTCCTCAGGGATCTAGAACTAGAAATACCATTTGACCCAGCCATCCCATTACTGGGTATATACCCAAAGGACTATAAATCATGCTGCTATAAAGACACATGCACACGTATGTTTATTGCGGCATTATTCACAATAGCAAAGACTTGGAACCAACCCAAATGTCCAACAATGATAGACTGGATTAAGAAAATGTGGCACATATACACCATGGAATACTATGTAGCCATAAAAAATGATGAGTTCATGTCCTTTGTAGGGACATGGATGAAATTGGAAACCATCATTCTCAGTAAACTATCACAAGAACAAAAAACCAAATACCGCATATTCTGACTCATAGGTGGGAATTGAACAATGAGATCACATGGACACAGGAAGGGGAACATCACACTCTGGGGACTGTTGTGGGGTGGGGGGAGGGGGGAGGGATAGCATTGGGCGATATACCTAATGCTAAATGACGAGTTAGTGGGTGCAGCACACCAGCATGGCACATGTATACGTATGTAACTAACCTGCGTAATGTGCACATGTACCCTAAAACTTAAAGTATAATAATAAATAAATAAATAAATAAATAAATAAATAAAAGAAAAATATTTACATCTTGCATATTTTCAAAAAAAAAGAATCTTTTGGCTGGGCGTGGTGGCTCACGCCTGTAATCCCAGCACTTTGGGAGGCTGAGGCGGGCGGATCACGAGGTCAGGAGATCGAGACCATCCTGGCTAACACAGTGAAAACCCGTCTCTACTAAAAGCACAAAAAATTAGCTGTGCGTGGTGGTGGGCACCTGTAGTCCCAACTACTCTGGAGGCTGAGACAGGAGAAAGGCATGAACCCGGGAGGCCGAGCTTGTGGTGAGCAGAGATCGCGCCACTGCACTCCAACCTGGGCGACAGAGCCAGACTCCGTCTAAAAAAAAAAAAAAAGAATCTTTTTTTTTTTGAGATGGAGTCTCGCTCTGTCACCTAATCTTGGCTTACTGGCAGCCTCTGCCTCCTGGGTTCAAGTGATTCTCATGCCTCAGCCTCCCAAGTAGCTGGGATTACAGGCTTGGGCCACCATGCCCAGCTAATTTTTATATTTTTAGTAGAGACAGGGTTTCACTATGTTAGCCAAATTGGTCTCAAACTCCTGATCTCAAGTGATCTGCCTGCCTCCGCCTCCCAAGTGCTGGGATTACAGGTGTGAGCCTCCATGCCCCGCGTAAATTAAGAATCTTGAGATGAAGGAGCCATCTTGGATTATCCAGGTGGGCCCAAGGTAATCACATGAGTTCTTATAGGAGGGAGGCAGGAGTCTCAGAGTCACAGAAGGAGATGTGAGGATGGAAGCAGAGGCCAGAGAGAGCCTGGAAGATGCTATGCGGCTGGCTCTGAAGATGGAAGAGGAGGCCACGAGCCAAGGAAGACAGGCAGCACTAGAAGCTGGAAGAGGCAAGGAAAGGGATTCTCCCCTGAAGCCAACAGGAATGCTACCCTGCTGACACCTCAATGTTAGTCCACCGAGATGTACGTTAGACCTCTGACCCTCAAAACTGTATGGTAACAAATTTGTTTTTTTCTTTTTTTGAGACAGTCTCACTTTGTCACTTAGGCTGGAGTGCAGTAGCGCATCACAGCTCACTTCACCCTCAACTCCCAGGCTCAAGCAATCCTCCCACCTTAGCCCCCTGAATCACTAAGACTGCAGGCAGACATCACCAGGTCTGGCTAATTTTTAAATTTTTTATAGAGATGGGGTCTTGCTATGTTGTCCAGGCTGGTCTCAAGCTCCTGGGCTCAAGTGATCCTCCTGCCTCAGCCTCCCAAAATGCTGGGATTACAGGTGTGAGCCACTGCGCCCAGCAATTTGGGTTGTTTTAAGTCACTAAGTTTGTGATTTGTTACAGCAGCAACAAGAAATGAACACAGCTCCCCAGCACAAATGTATAATTGCAACACGGGACTGTGGTGAGGGTAGAGGAGCTCTTTCTCCTCCTCATGCCCCTCATCCCCTTGCCCAGTGTGGCTCCCACTCTCAAACCTGGCTCTGTGCCAACTCCTGTTGGCATCTACCTCACCTTTGACTCCAGACCTACTTCTTTCCCACCAACGTCTCCCATACCTGGGCAAAACTTTCAGCAAAAGTCACAAATAGACTACCCTACCCACTCCTCCTTTAACCACATCTATTTCTGGGGAATGAGGGAGGTAGGGCATCCTAGTTTAAACACCAGCAATAACAGCTGCAACCCAAAAACCTGAGGTGGAAGCATCTGGCTGAACGTCTTGGGGAGAAAAATGAATTCACTGACATAATGAGCGTGGAAAACATGTGCTAAGCATTACACCCAGGCCATTGCTTTTGATGCAAACTTCCATGTTAGAGAATCCATGCATGTCCCAAAAGACAAAGGCTCAGATTCATGACCTAAGGTATGTGACCTTTAAAAAAAATACCTGCACCTGCCTCTTGCCCTTGTCATGACAGGAACCAGGATAAACAACATCTTCCAAATTTCCTCTTACAAAATAATTGTGGTATGATTGTTCACCCTTTATTAAGCACCTTAAATGTTCTCAATGTCCAAGAACATGACAATGTAAGTGGACAAAATGAGAGGCAGCCAGATGGAACAGGTGATGTCAGCCATCAGCAGCGGCAATCACACCAGAATTCTGCCACCAGTGTGGGTGTGTGTGTGTGTGGGTGTGTGTGTGCACGTGCAACTTAGTAACTTGGCCACAAAGTTAGCAGAACAAATTGCTTGGAAGACAAAAGTTTCCTAAATTTCTCCTTTTAAAACTTAATTGAGAACACCTCACACCTTCTTGAAGGACAGTTGTGCCTTGTCAATTCCAATACAGAGGAAATTCTAATAATCAAGGGTCAAACTGGGGCACCTTTTTTTCCTTAAGTGAAAAAGCAAGCAGTGCCCAACAGGAAATCCTTTTGAGGCCCATAAGCCTCAGAGAAATCTGCTCATACACCCTCTCTGGTATATTTCACATTTCAAAACATACACACATGAGATGAGCTGGTCGCAAAAGGACAAATACTGTATGATGTCGTTGATATGAAGCACTTAGAGCAGTCATATCCATGGAGACAAAAAGTGGAATGGTGGCTGCCAGGGGCTGGGGGAAGGTGGAATGGGGAATTCGTGTTTAATGGATATAGAGTTTCCATTATGGAAGATGAAAAATTTCTAGAGATGGATGGTGGTGATAGTTGCACAATACATGAAAGTACTTAATACCACTGAACTGTATACTCATAGTGGTTAAAAATGGTAAACTTTATGTTACATTTTATTAGAATTTTAAAAAATCCCATAAACACATACATACAACACAACTCCACCAAATGCTATTTCCTCACACTGAATCATGACCATAAACACCTAGCTGTTTTTTTATTTTGAATGGATCATTTCATTGGTTGGAAGCCCTCAGGAGACTGGGGGGTGGAGGGGTCCAGCTGTCCCGCTTGGGGGTGGGACTTACCGGCTCGCTGATGGGGGACCTACCTGGTTTGAAAGTGATGCTCGAGGTCACAGCGCTGCAACACCTGGGTGCAGTGCTCCCTGAATGGGCAGGTCACCAGTAGCTTGTTGAGGAGTTTGTTGACCAGGATGCTGGACTTCTTGCAGTGCTGCAGAACCAGAGGCTTGCGGTCCATGGGACAGAAGTCCTTCTCCACCAGGAAGTTGGTGAGGCAGAGGGTGCAGTAGGTGTGTCCACACGGAGTGTCCAGGGGGTCCAGCAAAGCCTGCAGGCAGATGTGGCAGATGAGGTCATCATCCACTTCCTCTGGATAGCTGTAGAAGTGGTTTTCCTCCAAGGAGTGGGCTTGGCCACACACTGCACACAGGGGTTCAGGATCGTTGGCAGACTCTGGCTGGTTCATGATGGATTGGAGAGCAGTATAACAGGAAACTCAGTCACACAATATTTCCTCAGGAGCAAGTCAAGATCTAGGAGACATCCACACACCTAAAAAAGAACAAGAAGGCTCACCTTTGCTTCCCAGCACATGAAAGGCTTATGCTTATGGTAGACATGAGACAGGGCTGCCAATGCATGGGGAATTGAGCTACGATTCAGAAAGCCAGGGTTGAGGGTCCACTCTGGAGTGACTGACAGGACCTTGGGCAAGCCCCATGGCCTCCTCGTGCCTCTGTTTTTCCACGCATGCCAGTGGGAATAATGTTCACCTTTCACATCCTCACATTGGTGTGGTAAGAATCATTTGGGTAATATCTGGGAAATGCCTAAAGTAACTCTAAAAAATGTAATTTGTTAAGAAAATTAAATAGACCAGTGATTTGTAAAATTCTTGTCAGATCAGGACAAGAAAAAAAAAACAAAAAACAGTTAACACTGTGATGGCTTTCTCTTATCTTTCTTCCCCATCTTTCTCCCAAACTCAGAAAAAGTAGGAGATCAGAGCTTTCAACTAAGTCATCTGAGAGAAAATAGTGCTGTTGAGCCTTTCATATTTTCACTATGATAAATGCACTGTTGTCTCCTGTATGCATTTCACTCAGTTGGTCGTTAGTGGCTAAGTGGGCTCTGGACACTTTGCCTGGGTTCAAATCCCACCACTATGGGCCAATGATTTCAGACTCTGTTTTCACATCTGTAAAATGGGGATAATCACAGGCTACTTCATAGAACTCTTGTGAGGATGAAATGAGATATGATATATAAAGCTCTTAGATTTGCATCTACCACATACTAAGTGCTCAATAATTCTTACATGTATTTGTTACTGAATTCATTGTCTCTAGTCTAGCTCTGTTGGCCCAGAAACTGAAAGCTAGAGCTCCTATAAGGGGCCTTTAAGCTTTGTTCTAATAGGACTCTTTTATTCCATTAGATATTTCGTTTTTTTTTTTTCTTTTTAGACGGAGTCTTGCTCTGTTGCCCAGGCTGGAGTGCAGTGGCATGATCTCTGCTCACTACAACTGCCACCTCCCAGATGCAAGTGATTCTCCTGCCTCAGCTTCCTGAGTAGCTGGGATTACAGGCGCGCGCCACCATGCCTGGCTAATTTTTGTATTTTTAGTAGAGACAGGGTTTCGCCATGTTGGCCAGGCTGGTCTTGAACTCCTGGCCTCAAGAGATCCACCTGCTTTGGCCTCCCAAAGTGCTGGGATTACAGGTGTGAGCCCCCATGCCCAGCCTAGATATTTCTTTTAAACAGTAGAATACTACCACAATACATATTTTCCTTTAACATAGATAGGAGTCAACAATAATCAAGTTTTTCAACATGCTTGCTTTGCATCTAGGAAGTCTCTTGCGTAGAAAGTCAATAAATAGTTTTCAAGCGCCAACTCTGAGCTAGGTCATGAGTTTGATATGCAGACCTTTGAGAGAGACTTAAAGGATATGCTTCTGCCCTCAGGGAGTCCCCATTCCAGAGGTGACATGGACACACACACAAGTAGGAGCCCAGTGCAAACTAGGGCTCTGGGTCAACTTTCATGGTGATTAAGAATCCCACCTTGGGACCAGGCCCGCTTTTGGCTGCATTGGCTGGGGATCACTGGCACCAGGTATCTGCATCTGGGACCCACCCCCTGGGCTGGCTAATCAAGGAGGAAGCAGCAGCAGTGTCTGCTGTGGGGGCCACAGCTCTGTATTGCATCATCCTGGTGGTAGTCACAGTGGCCGAGTGAGTTTCTTGGGGGCCCAGCTTCCTCCAGAGGTGGCAGCAATGGACCAGCTACTAGGGGACCTAAACAGGAGCATGTTTAGAAAGTTGCTGAAGTTTGTGGTCAGCAGCCTGCAAGGGGAGGACTGCCGAGAGGCTGTGCAGTGTCTTGGGGTCAGCACCAACCTGCCGCAGGAGTGGCTGGGTGCCCTACTGGCAGGCATGCACACGCTGCTCCAGCAGGCCCTCCATCTTCCCCCCACCAGCCTGAAGCCCAACACCTTCAGGGACCAGCTCCAGGAACTCTGCATCCCCCAAGACCTGGTCGGGGACTTGGCCAGCGTGGTATTTGGGAGCCAGCGGCCCCTCCTTGATTCTGTGGCCCAGCAGCAGGGGGCCTGGCTGCCCCATGTTGCTGACTTTCAGTGGTGGGTGGATGTGACAATCTCCACCAGTGCCCTGGCTCGCTTCCTGCAGCCGAGGGTCCTGATGCAGCTGAAGCTTTCAGATGGGTTAGCATACCGCTTCGAGGTCCCCATAGCCAAGTTCCAGGAGCTGCGGTACAGCGTGGCCCTGGTCCTAAAGGAGATGGCAGATCTGGAGAAGAGGTGTGAGGGCAGCCTGCAGGACTGACCCCTCACATGACCAGTCCTATTCAGGTCAGGCTTGGACAGGCACCTCAGATGGTGCCAAAGTGCAGCTGACTCTTCCCAGGACAGCCCTGCCCTTCCCATGAGGCAGGCTCTTCATCCAGGTGCTTTTGTAGATCTTGTATTTTAGGTTGGGCATTTTCATTCTTCTGCCTTAAATCCCTGACTTCACAGAGCTGACATTCTAGTGGGGCTAAGGGGAGGGGAAACATTATAAAATAAATAATAAAAATAAATTAAAAAAAAAAGAATCCTGCCTCTTCCCTCAGCCCCAACTCAACTTTCCTCTTTTCCAAAAGTAAATTAAAAGACCTTATGCTTTCCACAAGAACATAAAGACACACGAATAACCTAACAGGAAATTAGCCACATTTGGAAACAGCCCAGCAGTCATAAACTGTATTATATCTCTTTTCTTTTCCAAATAAAGTCGGAGGTTGTTTGTGCAAACATAGCCTTATCTCAAAAAGAAAATACATTGACTTCAGGCTTTCATTGAGTCAGCTTTGTTGTTTACATTTCTGTACTGCAGTAATATGCCTGAGAGGACACTCTAGTGAAGAGGTTGCTGGCAAATGCCCTTAATATAAAAACATTTAGAAATTGTAGCATTTTATTTAGCATCAGATAGGACCACAGAAGGCAAAGATAGAGGGTGCAGGAGGGGGTAAAGTTGTTTCAAGGAAATCTGTATCTATGCAGCTGCTGATTGTCCTCAAGGCTGTTAGAAAGTACTGGAATCTCACAGGAAATACTTTAAGTGACATCAGAAACAGTTGAAAAACAAACATGAAAATGGAAATGGGCCATGCAAAAGATTATCATCTACAATCTATAGGGGAAAAATGGTTCACACAGGATGAACTAAAGCTCTAGGTCTTTTAAAGCTTCTCTGTAGTGTTCTGCCATATAGTCCCACATGCTACAGTCTTGGTTATTCTTTCTCATGATGCTGTAGGGGAATATAAATTCAGGCTGCAGTGCGGCCATACCACTGAAAATACAACTGCATGTTTCTGGGCCATTCCCTTGTTGGTGAAATGGTGGCATTGGACCAGATTTTCGTTTTTCAAACTGTGCTGTGGAAGGCATCAGATACTTCCAGATCTTCCAAGGGAGTGGAGATAGGAGGAAACCAAGGGGGAGCTTTGCCCACTCCTCCAGCTCTGCCATTACTATTATTATTATTTTTTAAAGATGGGGTCATGCTATGTTGACCAGGCTGGTCTTGAACTCCTGGCCTCAAGCAATCCTCCCATCTTAGCCTCCCAAAGTTCTAGGGTTACAGATGTGAGCCACCACACCCCGCCTGCCATTATTTCCTTAATGCATCATGTTCCTCTTAATATTCTGGTCAAAGAATCCTAGCTTTTAAAAAAAACTTGCAAACCACCAGACTAGATCGTGTACAACAGTCCCTTCCAGAAATAGAGTTCTATGATTCTGTGCTAATCAAGTGAGGTTTTTATGTTTTGTTTTGTTTTTGATGATTTGATGTTTGGGAAAAATCCTTTTTTCATCTAACAGTTCTTTGAATATTTACCATGCGCCAGGCACTGTGCTAGGGGCCTTATATTATAGTATATTATGTTATTCAATCCTCACAAATGGCATAGGAAACTGAAATGCAGAGGGTAAATAACTTGTCAATCACACCAAAAAAAGAAACAAAACAGGCAGGGGCTGTCTGACTCCAAGTTTCTGCTCCTACTTCCCTACTTTGTCTCCCAGAATCTTTCTTGATTATGGCTAGTCAGAATCCCAATAATGTAACTCATTAAATACAAGAGACCCAGGAAATTAGAAAGCTTTAAATCTCTTCAGGCTCTATTGCAAGTAGAATCATGTGTTGCTTAATGATGGGGATATGTTCTGAGAGGTGCATTGTTAGGCGATTTGGTCCTTGGGTGAACATCATAGAGTGCACTTACACACACCTTCACGGTATAGCTGACTATACACCATATAGATGTGTAGTCTATGGCTCTTACGCTGCAAACCTGTACAGCATGTAACTGTACCAAATACTGTAGGCAACTGTAACACAATGGTAAGTATTTATATATCTAAACATAGAAAAGGTACAGTAAAAACAGTATTTTAATCTTATGGGATCACCATCATATGTGGAGTCTGTCATTGACCAACATGTCGTTATGGGGTCCATGACTGTAGATATGTCAAAGATCTCTGAAGAAAAAGATTCCTTGATTTCACTGAGTGCTGAGGCAGAATGAATGGAATGGAGTAAGCAAAAATGGCAGATTTAGCTCCACCTCCAATTTTCTTTTATCTTTTCCCTTCCTTTCTTTTTCTTTCTGAGAGCAATTTGAATTCCCTGGCACTTACCCATGTGGATAAACCAAATTCTTAATATTATGTTAATGTAAACACTGCTGTATATATTTTCTGACTTTATTTTAGACTAAATAAAGCCTACATGAATAGAAACAGATTATGAGATAATTGACTGAACAAGCAGTTTTGGCTCTAAGGGAAAGAACCAGGTAGACTTAAAAAATATGATTAATATCTCCCTGGTGGTTCTTATTTGCAGTGTATAGCTTATAAACATGTATGATGTATCACGTTTTCAGACATATCAGAGCCTTGCTGCTGAATGGAGAAGAAATTATCAAAAATCATTAAGCCTGAAAAGGTAAGCTAGTTTCTCCCACCAAAAGTAAGAGAGAGGGCCTGTCAGCTTTGTGTCCATATAAATTTACTGAATGTATCAGCCATCAGCATCTCTGGCCCTAACTGAAGTAAGTAGACAGAGCTGTGATACAGTGTTTTGGCAGTTTAGAGTAAGAAAGAGTAGTGGAGTGGATTGATTCCCTCCTTACGTACGTGTATGATGGGTACGGTGGAAATCTTACACTTTTTCAGTATAACCCTGTGGTGCCTTAGGAATCACCCTTTCCTTCTTTCTGATCTGGAATAGGACAGAAACCAGAGGTGATTTTTAGAGATATATGGAGCCAAAACCCCCAATCTAGTGCTGAAAAGCACCCAGAAAAATAAAAACCCCCATCTCTTTTTGGTCCTAATCCCTGCTTCCTTTCCTATGATTTTATTGTCTAGCCTAAAACCTGTATAGAAGCTTCTCTGCCTAATTCTCAAATTTTGAACTTCCTGGATGACAATAAAGACACATACCAGAGCAAAAGCCAGTTGGTGCCGCCTGCAACCAAGAGGGTCATTCGAGATCGTGTGTCTACTGTCAACGCACTAGACAGATTTAAGAACAGCCTTTGGAATACAGCCTGTTTGGAAGTGGAAACATTTCTGCATCAGGTAACTCATCAGAACAATGGGATCCTTGGTGTGCTGTTGTCCTGCTAATTCTCCTTTCAATGCACCCTGGCTTTATAGAAAATGGTTATCAGATGTAGTTGCCAGAATAAACCACATACTCCACTAGAAGGACAATTGGATAAATATAACATTTGGCATGTGGCAACGATAATTTTACGTGTTCTTCCCATTGAAAGGACAAGATTTGACCCTAAAGCATCTCTGAAATTGTTGCCTGAGTCACAGTTTTCTAGTAATAGGAGGAGGATTCCATATTATGAAAAAGAATCCTTCTTTATAGTCACATGGCGGTGTGTCCTGCATTGGCACTTTAACCTTGTCAAAGATGAAACACTATAGCCACAGACTCTGAGTCAAAAGGAAGCCTGACAGATGAGAAAGGCCTTTATTACTTTATAAAATAGATGATTCTACCTTTGGATAGCTTTGATTAATAGAGGAAAAAGTCCACATAATGAGCAAAATTTTCCTTTCCTATACCTCACCTGCCCTTTCCACAAGTGCCACCGTTACCCTAGGAGCTCTTTAGAATATGCCTAACTTTTTAAGTCCTTTAATTATTTGAAGACAGATCCCATGTTCTCCCCCAGGGCGAGTAGCCTCGGGTTCAGTCAGTATTTCTTTCACATCCAAATCTCTTCTGCAAGCTCCCCAATTTATCAGTGTCTCTCCTATAATGTATGGGTAGAATGAACTCCAAAACTCCATGCCAGAGTGAAGTGAGGGAATCTGTTCCCTTGATGTGACTGCCAGACAGCCTGAAACTGCATCCACTTTCTTGCAGCAATAGCACACACTACTGCTGTTACTGGAGTGGGTAGAGGAGGAGACACTGCCCTGAGGCCTGGAGAAAACAATTCCTGGAGGTGGTGGAGGAGGTATATATCTTACGAGTAAAAAGGTAGAAATGAAGAAGTTTTTAAAAACAAAAGCAATGGCTATGAATGAAGCTTAGAAAATGCAAAAATATGTAGTGGCATTAGGTGGATTTATATAAACAGAAGATAGTCTTCAGTGGCTAAATAGTTCAGTACTGGAACTCATAATGTATATCCAATCCTTAGAACCATTGCTATCTGAGGAATGTGGGGCTCTCTTATTTGTTTGTAAACGTTCCTTTACTTTGATAAATCTCATTCCAAAATGTACCAACATAGTAAATAACACAAGAAAAGGGAAATGAAAACCATTTAAACAAATGATAAATCAGACATAATTTTTCCAACCCAGAAGTACAAAAATACTGAAGAACTTCCACTGACATTCACTATAAATGAAAAAGTTTAAACAGTGACAGGCCACAAGCAACTGATGGAGAGGCAATGGGAGGAAATGAAGCCTGCAGCTCCAGGTGCTCCGTGTCCCCACCCCACCCCCAAAAGATGCACAAATACTTGAAAAAGGAAAGTATCCAAGGAGGTATACTGGTCACCCGGGACCATGACAGTTGTACCCTTATCAGTTGCAGCCTGAGGTCAAAGGAAAAATGTATGTCCTGATATGTACATTTTTATTTTTTAATGGCTAATTTTTTTCAGATCATTAAGGAAGTTGAAAAATGTGGAAAACATGAAGAGTAGGTATATCAAAACTTAAAACATCAATTTAAGTTTAAATATTTTATTTATTCTCCAAACAATTTTAGAAATAGTTTTGTTTTCCTGGCTTTAAAGGAAACACACTCATCATTTTTTCCAAAAACCTTCCTCTTTGCTCACTGTATTAGTCCATTTTCATACTGCTATGAAGAAATTACCCAAGACTGGGTGATTTATAAAGAAAAAGAGGTTTAATGGACTCACAGTTCCATATGACTGAGGAAGCCTCACAATCATGGCGGAAGGTGAAGGAGGAGCAAAAACATGTCTAACATGGTGGCAGGCGAGAGAACATGTGCAGGGGAACCGCCCTTTATAAAACCAACATATCTCATGAGACTTACTCACTATCGCAAGAATAGCATGGGAAAAACCCGCCCCCATGATTCAATTACCTCCCCTTGCGTCCCTCCCACAACATGTGGGGATTATGGAAGCTACAATACAAGATGAGATTTGGGTGGGGACGCAGCCAAACCATATCACGCATCTTGTTTTTGATTGAGGAAATTGCCATGTTTGATCATTTCTCTTAACTAAGTGATGATCTTAAACAATTTCTAAATAACTTTAGCTTACTGATCTTGTCTTTATTTGAATACATTTTGATCTTTTGTTCATCATGGATTGTTTGCATTCATTTTGCATTTTTTTAAATATTGCATTCACATTAGGATTACTGAATTTTTCTGCACCTTAAATTTTGCACCTGAAGGTGAGTGTCTCACTTGCCTCACCTTAATTATGACCTTGTCACTGTTAATTTTAGAAACCTAAGAATATCAAAACTGTGGTTTGGATGCAGCTCTGCTACCAACTACTTTTTTGGATCTTGATATTTTCCTTTTACCTGACCTGGTGGCCAGCCAGCTACAATGACAAAACAGTAGAATTACAAACTCTTCCCAGGTGTGCCACTAAACTTCACCCAAGGTCAGAATTGATTGTTGCTTCAGCTGATTGTTACACTTGACAGAGACACACAGGTGAACAGTTTGCTGAAGGGTTCACAAGGCAAGAGGAATGACTCGCTTCAAAGAAGCAAAGAATGTAACCTAGGGCCAGGTCTCACAAAAGATCACAAAACGACCGGATCCTGTAAGAGCTTTGTTTCATGAGTACATAAGCGAGCCCAGTCAAGTAATAAAGAGTTCTCTCCAGCAAGGACACCACATGGAATGTGACATTTTACAAACAGTGTGAGGCTCTGCCCTACTGTATTCATGTTTGCTTTGAATTTTTGCACATTTAAAAGTTATTCAAAATATTTTACTCCCTTCAGCCAACCTCTTGTTTTACAGCATGTTTCAAACACACAAGGGCTAACTCTATATCAGATTATTTCTGAGGTTACTTTTAGCTTCAAGAAAATGAGCTTAAGATTTTTTGTTTTTTTGTTTTTTTTTTAATTGTTGATGATGCTTTAAAATTTGGATTAAGCTCCATGTGGCAGAATGGTTGCTTAGTTTCAAACTGGTCACTGGGGTGACAGCTCAGTGCAAAAATCACCATCACAGTCAGAAACACCATCCTGGACCACGAACAGCAGAAATATACCCACAGAGGAACCAAACAGACCAGCGCCTGCCACTTCTTCAAATGGTGGCCTCATCTCTCTTTCTAAAATAATTCACCCAGCAGGCATGTCTGCCTAACTACTGCCCTGGCCCTAGCTGTAACTCCTAAATCAGGTTACTGGGGGGAAAATAATTGCCAAAGTTAGGGCAAAGTCTATCTTTCTGTATTAAACAAAGTAAATGTACAATTACATTTTAAATTTTAGATAAATTTAGTAAGACTTGACAGGATCGATAATGTGCCATCAAACTCTTATGGCAATTTTATAAAGGCCAATTGTAAATGAACATACACAGAGGATGGGCAGTGTTCTGTGGGCTATTCCTTAGCTTACAGACTCTCATGTAATAGGGAAGAATTAGGAGCATTAATGACCTGGATAAAAATAGTCACACATGGAATAAAATTATCTTCAAACTAAGAACCTGGGTTGGAAGTTTGGGGTGATGTGTCTGTGTGTGCATGATGGGGGGCAAATACACTGCAGAGGAAAGAGTGGGGAGGCAGGTGCTTACAGGCTGCCGCCAAGGTCGTGGTTAGCTCTGCTTCTGCTTAATTTCTAAATCAATGATCTCGAAGAGGGACTAAGCCACTCATTAATGAATCTGTGAATGACATTAGCCTGTATAGTATTGCAAACACCCAAAAATACAGAAAAAAAAAACCCTTTTAAATGGTCTTTAAAGAGGTCAGAAACATGTCAAGAAATTACAGGAGAATTGAACTAAAGGGAGACCATGTAATACATCTGGAGTCAATAAAGGAGGACATAGATGTTCAGAATGTGGGAAAAACAAGGGAAGTGGTTAAGCGAAAAGAGTCCCAAGTGGCTAGACAATTAGACGCAAGTTTTAGAAGTCAGGGAATGCCTTTCATAAGCAGGTTAGAGAAGAGTGTTCCTTCTCTTGACGAGATTTTACCACCTTTCCCCTGGGGTGCCATACTTGGGTTTGTTTGTAAAAACTCTGTAACAGAAAAGATGTCCTTCCATTTCCTAGTCCATAAACATGATGAAATAGAACTGACCCCCTGCAAACAACAACAACAACAACAACAACAACAACAACAACAACAACGACAAATGAAGGCAGAGTATTTTTGCATTGATTCGGAGCTCTGTTCATGCTAGGAGTCACCAAGGATCCCGGGAAGAGCTGATATCAGAGGGGTATGGAAAAGAAGCAAACTGACATTCTTTCATCCAAAGCTGAAAAACAATTTCAAAAAGTGTTTATGTGTGTATGGTTTTTTTTCTGTTGTTGTTGTTTTTTTTAAAACAGATAACCAAGTTTTACAGAGGGAAGGACAAGATGAGGAAAGATATTTGAATTCTCAACATTTTCCGGCTGTGTTTCAATTCTACAGGGGTCATGGCTTTGCCTAATCCATGCCTGGGATTGGCCTTAAACTCTGTGGGAGTTCCTGTAGGGAATTCCATTTCATCTCCAATACATTTAAGTCTAATTATGAAAACAGAGTTTATCCACAGGAAAAAAAATGTAAAAACACTGCAAGAGAATACATAATACATGGCAATGTGTATAATGCCCCAAGACAGGAGCCATGGACAAGCTTTGGAGGAGAGACAATAGAGAGTGCATGTGGCCCAGAACAATCAAGGAAAGTTAATGGGATAGACGGTCCTTGGGAAGGATCACGAATGATAAATGCGATCTGGACAAGTGGGAAGTAATCCAGGTGAGAAGAACCTGAGCAAATGTGTCAATCAAGGAAGAGTAGTGATCTCTTGATGTGACCCATATGACGACCTCTATGTGAGGTTTTAAAATGATTTATTTAGAAGTCATAGGATTTTGATCGGTTAAGGAACTTAGATTTTCACCAAGTAGAAAAATCCTCTTTTCAAGATCCCTACAGCACCTACCAGCTTCTATCTGAAACACTTCCACTGATGGAGAACTGGTCAGTTTTTCAAATAGCTAGTGCTTCCCACGTTACTTTGACCTTTGGCCTTGTTCTGCCTTTCAGTGTAACGTATATCACATTTGCTTACTCAAAACATGACACACACATCCCCAAATTAAAGACAGCATTGGGTGGTTCCTCCCTTGTTTTTATCTTTGTCTTTGGTTCTTCCAATTGTCTTCCTGGGTAGTCCAGATGGTGGTAAAAGATCTACCCAGGATGCCTTCTAGTTTGTTAAGGTCCCTTTGAAAACCCGTACCTGGAAGTGAAGTTATCCTGTTTTGGTTTGGAGGACTCAGGATTCAGTGGAGTGATCACTTCCTTAACCAGGATACTATGTGTTTACTAATGCAATCTATGATGGTTTTTACTGTTTTGTCTTATTAGATATCTCACACTGTTGACTGGAAGAACTCAGTAGGCCTTTAGAGTACAAAACACTTACTACTGTGGCATGAACATAGAAATAAATGAAGGTAGTGATGATGGCTGCCAATTCTGACTCTCCTTGCCTGTACTTTGCTCAGTATTTCAGCCTCCAAGTGGACAAGAAATCTCTCCATAAGTAGTTGGAAGAGCTTGTGTATATGGTTGTCAGCTGGGGATACAGTGGGTAGAATGAGGGTCCCTGCAAAAGATATATCCATGTCTTAACCCCAGAACCTGTGACTATGACCTTACAGGAAAACGATCTAAGAAGGTGTCATGAGGTTTAGGATCTTGAGATGAGATCATTCTGGATTATCTGAGTGGGTCCTAAATTCAATGACAGATGTCCTTAGACACTTATAAGACAGGAGGAGAAGACACAAACGCAGAGGAGAAGGTGATGTGAGGAGAGAGGCAGAGATTGGAATTATGCACCCACAAGCTAAGGAATGTCTAGAGCTACTAGAAACTGAAAGAGACCAGAGAAGACCCTCTCCTGGAGCCTTCAGAGGAGTGTGGCCCTGCTGTTACCTTTATTTCAAACTTCCAGCCTCCAGAACTGTGAGACAATAAATGGGAGTTGTTTTAAGCCACCAAGTTTATGGGTATTTGTTATGGCAGCCCTAGAAATACAGGGGTTACATATTTCCAGGGGTATTCCTGCAGGAATGGGGTGAATGCTCCCAACGATCCTTTCCAACACTTCTCTATAGGGCTTAGAAATAGGGAAAAATATTTGGAGACAGCAGCCACATAGATTGCTACATATTTAGCAACTCTACCCTATTAGAAAATGTATTAATTTCCCTTTAATTCATTAATAAGTTAGAATACAGATGCTTTCAGAGATGACTGTTAGACTAAATTTGCAAAGGGCCTCAAGGGAAAAAAAAAAGGCCACAGATAGAATGGCTGAGTGTGTGTATGTTGTGGAAGATGTAATATAAGTCAGACAATCATATTTAATGAGGAGTCTGAAAACACATGGTGACTCATGTATTCATGCGAGTATGCAGGAGCCTAAACATGCTGCGCTCTATTCAGAAAAGGCCACGTGACTGTCAAAAGCAGTCATAAGCAAGTTATGCAAATCATCTCAGCAGATAGCAATGACATATTTAGACCTCCCCATCATGCATGTGCTATTGTGCCAAGAAGCTATTAAAGAAAATTCTTGGAGAGTTTCGACTCTGCTGCTGGTGAAGTCTTTTGTGTGCCTGTGACAAATGCGTCAAACACAAGAAGCAAATAAGAGTCACTTGAAAAAAATCATGGAGTCTAAGTCCACATATTCTAAGTCACAAATTAGTGATGTTACCAAAAATGTCCCCGGTTAATTGGGATAGAACTTGCTCCCACTGTTAGAAGTGTACTAGTCAGCCTACCATGCCAAGGAACTTGGCTTTCTAGAGCAGAGAGAAGTTCTTTCAGATGGATAGGTGAAGAAGGGCAAAGGCAAAGAGAACAAGAGTAAACAGATGATTGTAAAAACTGCAAATCTCAAATTGGTGGATCATCTTGTCTACCTTCTACCTGAGGCAGAAATTCTTTTTAGAATATAAAATAAAAAATAATGATTATTACTATTTAATGAGCAGTTTGCAATATGCAAGATACTGTGCTGGGTATTCAACATGTTTTTTCATTTAATCTAAAATAATCCTATGAGATCATTAAGGTAATCTTCACTTTACAGATGAGTGTATGTGCAGCTGAAAAACACAAATCCTCTTTGTCATTCATTTATTAATTCATTCACTCATCCAGCAAACATACACCATGCACTAAATATGCCAAAAAAAATGATCACCTTCAGTGACAAGAAACTCAGTATCCCAAAAGGCAACCTACTACATTTTCGGACAACTCTAATTCATAGAAAGTTCTTCCTCTTACTGATCTGAAGTGTGTATCTGTGTAACTAACCAAATAGGTCACTGTGGTGTCCTCATGTCACACAGAACAAAATGGAGGAAAGGGTAAACACAGAAAGTTTACGGGAGACAACAAACGTTTTCTGTTCCTGATTTCAGCTCAGTGTAGTTTTCCACATTTTATGGTTTTTTTATGGTTTTCATGTCAACCCTATTCTTTGGGGATAGTTAATGATTAAATCATATTAACCCAGGAACAGTGACACAGTCTTCCTTCCAAACAGTTTTGAAAAGCCTTTGATACTTTGGAGGCATTGTCAGAGGACAATAAATTTGCCAACCACATAAAAGAGAGTCTATGTAATGTCAGTACATAAATATTAGGAATAGTTGTATGCTACTGGGAAGTCCATGAATACTGAGGCAATGAGGAGGACACACTTTAGAGCATCTCTTATGTGTCCTCGCCTTGCCAGCATCTTACAGACGGCATTTCGAGTAGTCAAGATCGTATCCTGGTCAAGAGAGTGAAAGGAAAAAAAAAGTAGTCAAGATCCCACCAGACCCTATTTTCTCCACTTTAAGTGAGGAATTCAAATATAGAAAGGAAGTCTTAGCCAAGGTCTTGGAGACAAGGAGACAGTGACAGGTGAAGCCAGGAAATCACCGCTCCAGGAAGACCCGCTGTTTACTCACATCACAGAAGCCCACTCCCCACAGGTTTATGAAAGACCAGGCATTTCCACTGGCAGCCACTCTACCCTGGAACTCCAAGAGAAACAACACAATCTTTGTTAACAGGTTTTCCTCCTCTGCCTTTGGGAGCCTTTTGGGAAATCTTTTTTTGCTCAGTCTTTGGCCCTCAACGTACTACCGTTTCCATCATTATTACATCCAGATAGTAGCATGACCTAAGATGTCTAACTGTAAGCAATATAAAAATGTTTAAAATAATATAACAATAGTTAACACTCACTGAACATTTAAAATATGCCAGGCACTTTCCATGTAATTATTTCAATTATTCCTCCCAACAGCTCTGAGTCTGGGAAGTATTTCATTTCCCAGCTGATGAAACCAAAGCAAAGAAATATTAAGGAACTTATTTAGGCTAGCAACTACATGGTAGAACTGGGTCTGATACACAGACCTGTCTGATACTATCAACTATGCCTTCCTTTCAATATTTACAAGTAACACTGTGGCAGGTACCATTCCAAGCACTTTACACATTTCAACCCATTTCATCTTCATGATAACCCTATTACACAGCTGATGAGAGCAGCTTAAAGAATCTGTCCCAGGTCACACAGGTAGCACATGGTAGATCTGGGTTTCAAAAACCCAGGTAGGCAGCCTGATGCCAGAGACCAGACCACTATTCTAAAGCAGTAGCATTGCCCCACCTAGAATGGAATGAATAAGATTGATATTTTCTAGTGAGGCACTACCCAGTCCCCCCAGTCAGTCTGACCTACCCACCTGGACATGCAGCCCACCTTGCTTCAGTTGTAAGGATGGAGGGGGCCTGTGAAGTACACCATTTTAGCGTCCTTTGGGGAAAAATGTAGCTAAGGAAACTGACATGCAGGGGGGTTGAGGTTCTCCCTTAGGGCTCCGTAGGCAAGCTAGTAGAACAGTAGAACCCACTGACCTCAATCCACTAATCCCTTACTCTTGAATGATGAAAATTTGTGGTATCCCTGAAGGGCGAGACCCAGAGAAGTGACCAGGGCCCTGGGCACACAACTGCTCATATGCAATGACTCAAGGTCACCCAAGGGCACAGGGTATTGCATGACAAGGCCAATCACATCCAATGGGTCATGAACCTCCTTCTATGGTACAATGAGGCTCCAAACCAGGGGCTTCCTCCTGCCAGAGGCTCGGCATGAACCCTCACTCTGGTTAGGGAGAAGGGTGTTTATCTGTGAGACTGGAGGAGACCAAACACCCAGTCTGCCCTGGAGATAGCACGACTGACAGCAAAAAGAACTCTCTGCCAAGTCAGATTACAGCAATGACAACTGGACATTTCCCCCGAAAGGCCCATGGAGAATCACATTTTGTGGGTCTGTTGCAGGATGAGAGCCTTAGAGTGGGAAAAGGAAGAAATCACAGCCAGCCAGCAACTCCTAAAAGCTTTGCCTGTGAGGCTAGCGGAGACAAATCTGCCCACCTTGTTTGATGACATTGTTTAAGAATTCTCCTGCCTGTTTTCTTTTTCCAAACTGTTAACATTGCAGTTAATTACCTACAATTAATTACAATAACAAGAACTATCAAGGTTCCTACAACTGCAACCACATATGATCTTTATCTTGATAGAGTCAGACTCTCTCCTCCAAGCAACCTAGGAAAATTCCTTCCAAAGGAAGAACCTAGCCTCAGTTTAGCACCAGTTAACACCAGGCATTGGTCGCTGGATGCTAACATATATTAGCTACCTCATTTACTTCTCACAACCACATTAGATCATGGGGATTATTATCTCCCATCTTACCGATGAAGAAACTGAAAGTCAGAGAAGTAACTTGCTCAAGGATATAAATGAAGGAGATTGCACATTTTTCCATCAGGCCTATGTCCACTTGAACCAATGGGTGGAGTTACCACAGGAACTCTGGACAGGACTTGTGTGTAAATTACCCAACAGACCAACTGCATTCTAGTCAA
Organism: Homo sapiens; assembly: GCF_000001405.40. NCBI lineage: Eukaryota > Metazoa > Chordata > Mammalia > Primates > Hominidae > Homo > Homo sapiens. Next base: position 53,589,804 of record NC_000004.12, read on the forward strand.
TCTGACTCTGAATTCCAGTCTTTGTCACTTCTTTTCTTTCTTCTACCTGGGGGTACAGTGTCTACAGCTTTGTTCCTTTAGTACTCAGACATGCTGACATACAGTGATGAAATTATTTATTTAATCATAAATTAACTACTGTGAAAAGCACTAATCAACCATGGTAAACCAGAGGCAATGTAATCTTGAGGAGAGGTTTAGATGCACTTTTATCAGAAGATCCAAGCTTTGAATCAAGTGAGAACCTTAGTAAGAGACAAGTGGTGGCCAAACCCCCCCCCTTAAACTCACAAGCTTGGGGAAAATAATAAACAAAGGTCAGTTAAGGAAGAACAATAGGGACCTCCAAACAGTAAGACAGAAATTAGCAACAAGAACTGGGCAGATTCTTAGTGGTGAGGAACGACTGTCTGTCTAAGGCAAAAATGATCTCAGCTTGTTTCAATTCATACCTTGGGAGAATTTACATGCATTTTGTATTTCTGGGTGGATGAACAGGAGCATAATTCCTAACAGATTATTCCCTTGCAAACATCTGCTAACTTAAATCTCAGAAAAACAGCTGATGTTGGAATCTAGAATGAAGTGTCTCGCAGATTTATTTCTTTTTCCAGTTTTTCCAGCTCATCCCAGCAGGCAGCTGGGCTTAAAAATGGTTTCCTTTCTCTGACAACAATATTGGCTAAAGAGTTTGACTATTGGGCTGTCAAGATACAGGCTGTGTGATCAGGATTAAGAAAACAAAAATGGATCCTAGAGGTAAAATTACTTTAAAAGCCAGGTCCTGGCAGAACAACTTCCTCGGTATATTTGCTATTAAAAGAAAAAGAGACAGAAAAAGCCAAAGAGGTCCAAAAAATTAAAAATCAGACCTGAAGTCACATTCTTGCAGCAATGAGGGAATTAATTCTTACTGTAACCAAAGGTCAGCAGGCAGCCAGTCCAGGTCTAAATGTAAACAAATTCTAAATGCACACTGCAAAGTCGTATTTAAAAGAGTGTTCAACAAAGAGCAAAGAAAATGGTAGACTTTTTCAGAGAAGAGAGGAAAACTGGAACGCACAGCTTCTGAATAGGGCAACAGAATTTGCCCTGAGGAACAGGTTTTCAGGGGGAAAGAAAAAAAAACTAGGGACACTTCACAGGTTTAGATCAAAATACAGGGAGGAAGAAAAGGAAAAATAAGAACTCTGAATCCAGTCTGCACTGGCCTCCTAGCCCCCGTTAAACGGGCTGAACAGATCTGCACCTTCGCGCTAAGTTTCAAAACAAAAGCCTTCACTCTACTTCTCTTTAGGTTGTTGTTGTTGTTTTAATCAGATCAAGTACGAGGACAAGCACAGGCTGGATTAATGATCAGAGAAACAAAAAGGATTAAATATCTGGCCTGGGAGAAGTTTATTGTGCAACTAGAATGTCAAAGTCATCTCTCTACTCTTCTGTCTCAAAAAAGCTTCTCCCTCTGGGGCAAACACTAGCGACAAGCCGTTCAGCTTGTATTTTTTCATTCAAATTCCGTGTTCAGATCCCTCAGGGGCCAGTGGTCTAAATGCCAAGAGAGAAAAATGGAGGGTTTCAACTCACCTCTTCAAGCGACTGTCTGGGGCTCTCCAAGCAGCAGCAGGCAGGCAGCTCTCATTCCTTGTGGGTGAACCGAGCAGCTCCTTGGGCCGCCGGAGTTGTGACCAGCCTCAACTTCGGTGAACAGGTGCCTGGAGGAAGGAGGACGGCATTGGTCGCTCCAGACCAGGAAATGGGTGACATCACGGAAGCCCCGACAGATAAAGCATTGCTGAGACCTTAGGGATTGAAAGAGTCAGGAGGCCCCGCCCACCTGTCATTTACCTGAATACCTGCAAGCAGGTAGGTGGCGTCTCTTTGTGGACAAATAAATCAGTTAGAGCAATTTGCCAGGTGGAATTTACTTTCTTTCCTGAGCACAGCACGTGTCCAGCCCCGTGTTCAGATCTGAAGTCAAATGCCTGGTTGTTTCCCAGGCCCTCCCCTTTCCCCATATCTGCCCACAAAGGAGTTAAAAGGGAAGTTTAAACACCAAAATGAGACAGTAATTTAGCAGACACAAAAAGGAAGAGTGTGAAGCCGAACTTCTTAGAAATATCTGAGGTGCCTTTTCGAACCGCATCCATTTGAACACCAAGTGTTTCTCTAATTCCAATAAAATGACAAATTTAAGTTGACATTTCCAATTCATCTTTTAAACAATTTGAAATAGGATACCTGTCAGCAGTTTCAAAGTGGTTTTCAAACACTTTTGCGCTACCCCCTCCCCCGCCCAGCATTTTTAATTCCATATTCAGGAATTTGCAAAACTTCAGTCATTCCTATCTCGGCTGGCTTGGCAGTTAGAGTCATACGGCAGTTACAGTGCACTGCAGGCCTGCAATTAGGAGCAATTTAAATGATTCAGATTGGAATGGTAGTACTGTCATTAGGCGATGTTGTCTGCTGATATAGCCAGGAAAGAGACGTCAGAGTTATTTCTGTCCCAAGCGTGGTGTGTGACCCTGGACAAGTCACTGGTTGCTTCACCTTTTCCAGCAGGAAAGGAGGCGTAAACTCATCCAGCACCAGAGCAGGCAGCTGGGAGGTATCCCAGGACTGTTAAACTCTCTGGCATCTTCCCAGGAGGGCTGTAAACATCTCCCATCATCCCATTGAAACGCTGCGTATTTTTACCACCTGCATCCAGCATCCCTGGAACTCATTACCTGAGGAAACTGTGGATTCCCCGTCCCGGAAGATGGCCTGCCTGCCCAGAGAGAATTTTTTTTCCCCTTCAGGAAAATAAATGTTGACATTCCTATTTTCCTCCTACTTTTGCCTCCCTCGTCTTCTTCTTTCCCTCCTCCTGATTTTGGGAATGCTTTTGTTCCACCGGTTTTAATATTGGACTACCTAGAGGTTTTGGGGTTTGGTTTGGGGGAGGGTGGAGGAAGAAGGAAAAATGGGAGAGGGAAGAAAAGGAAGTCCGGATTCCCACAGCCTGGGCCTCAGCTGGCTGCAGTCAGTCAATAGCTCGCAAAGCAAGGGGGAGGAGAAGGAAGAGAAATTGTAGTCGAGGGCGGGGTCTGGGGGCCGGCTCTGGTGCTCGACCTCAGGGGAGCTGGCTCCTGTCCCCGATCCGCCCCAGACAGGTCTAAGCTACCTCTTTGCACCTGGGAACTCTGTGCCTTTTGAGAGTTGAAGGCTTAAAACAACAACAACCACCACAACAAAACTATTCACCTTTTTATCCAATAGAAACTAAGGTAGGTGTGGCTATTCCTTTATTATTTAAAAGAAAAAAAGGGAGGTAACAAAACCTTTTACACTCAGGTGTTTCAGGAAAAGGTTTCACGCCACTAGTTTGATAATTGAGAAACATCACTCACACAAAGGCCCCCCTCTTCACGCGGACAGGGTGTCCCCTGGGCAAGGGGGAGGGGAGGGAGAGCCCGCCAACCTGATGAATCATCTAGAAGGCCACGCCTTCAGCGGTCTTGCCTTTGGCGAAGGGCAGGATCCAACTTGGGAGGGGATCACAGGCTTCGGTTCAAGGCCTTGGGTGGGCAGGGGAAGGGTGTAGGTGAAATGAATTCGCATAAAGCTTCACCGAACAGCCTGGAGATCGTGAGGTTTCACTTGCCATGTTCACATACACACAGTCATCTACATATGTGGTGTGATGAATTGTTGTAAAACAGAAAGAAAATAGAGAAATAAGAGTTAATCCAGGAGTGGAGCTAACTCCCAGGTATAGTGTATAAAGGAAGAGAAAAAACTACACAATTAGCCTTCTCAGGTGAGATCTTTCTTGGTACTCCTGGATTTCGAATAATATGCAGGGGTTAAAAAAAATAATATGGGCTTTTTTTTTGGGCCATTAGGGCTGTTACATTATCATGGAAATTATATTTCTAAACTACTAGAAAAAAATGTAATCATAAAAATGAACATTGTGTTTAACAGGTGCTACTTATTGTTCTGAGCACTTTATACAAGAACCCTGTGTCAGGTATCATTGCTATTTGCATTCTACAGCTGGGAAAACCAAGACATAGTGAATCTGAGAAACTGCCTAAGGACAAGCTCATCGGCAAGCGGCAGAGCAGTTTTTAATCAAGGCCCACTTTTTAACCACTGGAAAGAAAAGAGGGAAGGTTCTGATTTCATGCTCACTGGGACACTTCCTGGACACATTCAGCTTCTTACCCATTATTCAGAAGGAGAAGTAGAAACCTGTAGAAGTAGCCCTGGGGAGGGTAGTTTCTGATAAAGGATGTCTCCATTTGGAAATTAATTAGTAATCTGGTCTATATGCTGAAAGTGTGTGTATAATATATATATATATATGTATATATAAATATGTATATATTCATAAATTCATGCATATATTTATGAGAAATCATACCAGGAAATCCATCGCCCCTGGGTGCACACTTGAAATCATCTTTTGAGAGCTTATCAAATCAACCCCAAGATGGAAGGCCAGCTTGAGGGACCCCTCAAGAATGACCAGTTGTAACTCTCTATGACATCTTTTATGGTCATTTTTCTCTGTAACTTCTGCGGCCTATCACTTTAAAATCTGAAAATTTAATCCGAGTGGCCATAAGAACATGGAACTGCATACATTTGGAAAATATGAGACAATGAAAAATTAAGTTTCATTATAAACCACTACCAGGAAGAATGGTTTAGACTAGGCTTGGCAAATCCTGGACATATAGTGCTCCATTCCCCCCTCCCATACCATTCTCACTGTCATTGCTAAAGACCATGACACTTTTCAACTCAGAAGGAACTTTGGAATCTTGAAGATATTACTCCAGGCACACTAGCAGTTGGTTTTACCCCCCAAGATCAAACCCTTTTCTTTTACTTTCTTACTTTCTTTTCTTTCTTTCTTTTTTAATTTTTTTTTTTAGAGACAACTCTCCCTTTGTCATCCAAGCTATAGTGCAGTGGTGCCATCATGGCTCACTGCAGCCCCAACCTCCTGGGCTCAAGTGATCCTCCCACCTCAGCCTCCCAAGTAGCTGGGACCACAGGCACGTGCCACCATGCCCTGCTAGTTTTTAAATTTTTTCTAGAGATGAGGTCTCACTATGGTGCCCAGGCTGTTCTCAAACTCCTGACCTCAAGTGATCCTCCCACCTCGGCCTCCCAAAGTGCTGGGATTACAGGTGCGAGCCACTTGGTCCCCTTTTCTATCTCTAGTTGGACAGTAAGTGAGACAGAGAAGAGGGCTGATCAGGAAGCAAAAATATTGGTGTTGGCTGGTGCCATTGGGGAATATTTCATGAAGAAAGGAACATGAATTGGGCCTTGAACGATTTGGAGAGGTGGTGAGAGGGCACAGATCATTCCAGACAGGGCAGTGGCATGGGTGGAACAGGAATGATCATAGCAGATATCTGTTGGGGAGGAACATGTGTGTGGTGGGGGAGAAGAGGAATACGAGACAATGAAATACCCACCTTGCTAGGGTGAAGAGGATCCACTGATTGCTAAATTTAGATGGGCTGAGACTGTAAAGAGCCTCGGGAACCTCAAGGGCTAACTGCTTCATGTCCTCACATGCCTGTTGACTACTTTTCTCATGATGATTAAACAGCTTAAGAAAAAGAAACTCAGTATCTTGGGCATGGGGTAATTTCTTATGCATGACAATGGTTTTCAGCATTGAGCTAAACTTCCAGGATATGCCATTTCGGCAACCACATGATCTTTCTCTTTAGGAGCAAGCCTCTTTTGCAGTCAACATATCCTGGAAACTTTGTTCTTTGGATAGGCAGGTGGAAAACATTAGAAAGCTTTCTGAACTCAAAGTTGGGCCTGTCCTAGTTAACCAGCCGGCTCACTTGGGCTTTTTGATTAGTTTGAATTCCTTTATATATCTTGACAGGGAAATCTAAGGGGGGAAGGAGGTCTGTCTTCAAAGCTCTTTTCTTGTAGATCCCCCCATGAAGCTTGGCGTTCTCAAGGACTCCTCCTGGCAATGAACCTACAGCGAAGACCATGCCTTGTGATTCAGCAGAATTACTTTGCCCATTTTGCTTCCTATTTTTTTTTCCCATGACATATTTCTAGAGTTGTCTATGATGATTGAATGCCACAATTAAAATGGACATATTCCATTTGACTTTAATAAAAGTCATCTCTACAAAAACCTCTTTGGCTATCTTCTAAAGGTATTTAACATTATGATTTGGACTTGCTTATTACATTACATACCATCATATTGGCCGTAATTACTTTTTTAAATGGGCTCAGCTCCATATCTTTTATTGGCTAATTATATGTGCTTAGCATAACGCAGATGAGCAGATCTCAGAAGGGCAATTATGGGAAATAAGAGTAATAATCACAAACATCAGCTGATGTGATAGAATGCCATCTGGTTCTGTGTATATGGAAGATATTCCATTTCTCTCACAAACTTACAACCTGTGTGTTGCCTGGTTTGCAGATGAGTTTCTAGGGTAACCTGTGGACCTACAGTTTAGGAGGAAACACTTCTCTGGTTTGTGTGCTTTTGGGGAGAGAGAGAGTATCTCAGGGAAATTAGCATTAAATCAATTATTGAAGTTGGCGCACATTTTGTGAAAGTTTACCACACTGATTTGTGGTCAGCATGTTCTTCTTTAGTAGGGAGAAAAAAAGAACTTCATTGTTACTGTGTTTATAATGGTCACGAGACCTATATCTTATGACAATTACACATATTTTTATGTTTCTATGATCTCCATTCTTGCATAAACAGGGTGGATTATTCCCAGGGAATTTTTTGGTGGTGGCTGTTGCTATTTCGAAGGTTGCCATGTCTTTGTTCTTTCTTGGATCCTTCATACATGGCTACTTTAATTGACCCAGTTCCACATACCAGATTTAAAATGTCTCTTCTCCTTGTTAACTTTGACTTCATCCTGAAGGCTTCCACATTCTTGTAGATGACCCCTCCAGCATCCCTGACTTCCCCCTATTATAATGACAATGACATTCCCCTCTACTTCTATTGAGTCACCCATTCTCAGGATCACCCCTTAGATCTTGTTATCACCCCAAAATCTCCCATTTCAAAAGAAATCTGAGAATGCAACTCTCTACTGTATTTTCTTATTCATTCGGATTTTTCATTCCCTTCCTCAAATTTTACATTCTTTCTGGATGGACTGTACTGTCTGGTTCCTGGACTCCGGGAGGCTGCCCAAGAATATCTGTTCCTTACTAGTTTCACTTTAGGTCCATCTAGCCCAGATCCTACTTCCTTGCCAGCATCTTCAGCTTCCTAAGGACCTGGCAAAACCATGTTGCCAGCCTCTTTTTCTACGAGCCTGGAGATGAGTGCCTCTACCTATGTATGCTTTGCAATGCTAGCTGCACTTGTCACTCTCCTTGGCAAACTATCAATTGATATTCCTGATCAGTCCCTCTTCCTGGCAATCCATCAATTGATATTCCTGATCTTTTCAGTAGTCATTCACCCTCAGCTCCTTTGCCTTGCCTGGCCTGTGAGGCTTTTTATGATCTGGCCCCTGTCTGCCTTCAAACTTTATCCATATCTCTGATCCTTTGCAAGCACAGAATGCCACCACCTGCCAGCCCCCATGCCATAGTAACACTGTGTTAGAGGGGTGCACTCCCCTCACCCCCATTTCCATAGAGAACTGGTTTTCTAAGCACATTCTGGCCATGTTCCACCCTTCATTCTCTCTGTCCCTGGGAGTCCTTGACTGGTAAAATGGAAATGGACAGCAGGGCAAACTTGGGTTTGCACCTCTCTTTCCTGTCTTGAAAGTGAGCCAGAGCTTTCGTCTGTGGCTCCACACTCTGAGTCTCTCCAGGGCAGATTTCTGTCTAGGAGGCTGCCATGCCTACATCTGCCCAGTCTGAGTGCCTTCTAGCTTTGTTTCCCTTGTTCTAACCTTGTTCTCCAATTTAGCCATTGTCATTTCAAAGGTGATATTTTGGCCTCCAAAATTATTCTTTTAAAATTTTCTCAAACTATCCTGAACCTAGGTGAGGAAAAGGGGTCCTCCTTGAATACTCCCCAAACCTGACTGTCTGTGGTTCTCATAACAACCAGACTGGACATTTTTATGGTTATTTCTCACATTTGTTGAACCATTGCCTAGATCAATGTTATGCTCTTTGCCCATGTTCTGAATCCTGGCAAAAAAATCCCATGAACTAACTACAAACAGGTGAAGAGACTGAGTCTCTGCGAGGTAAAGTAACTTGTCCAACATGCCTGGTTGGTTATGGGCAGACTTGAGATTCAGTCCCAGGCAGTATTATTCCTCCATCTGCAGGGCTCAGCTCAGATACCATCTCCTTTATAGGACCTTCCTGACTTCCCTAAGCAGATATTGATGCCTGTTCTGCACTCGTGACATACTCTACTTCAGCAATTATTTTACTGACTGTGATTTTTTTTTTTTTTTGAGACAGGGTCTTGCTTTGTTGCCCAGGCTGGAGTGCAGTGGCACAATCACGGTTTACTGTAGCCTTGACCTCCTTATGATTAAGGGATTCTCCACCTCAGCCTCCCAAGTACCTGGGACTACAGGCATGCACCACCATGCCCAGCAAATTTTTGTATTTTTTGTAGAGATGGGGTCTTGCCTAGTTGCCCAGGCTGGTCTCGAACTCCTGGGCCCAAGCGATCCTCCTGCCTTGGCCTCCCAAAATGGTAGGACTAGAGGTGTGAGCCACTGCACCTGGCCCTGACTGTAATTTTTAAAGACTGTTTCCTCTCTAGACAGCGAGGAAAGGAATGTGACTTTCCACGTACTCTCAGGACTTAGCCTGGTATCTGGAAGAAACATAGGAGGCCTTTGATAAATATTAGTTTAAAGAACTAAAGATGAATGTAAGTCAAGGGAAGGAATGGAGGAAGGGAGGGCTTACTCGTTGTTAAGTTACATCTTGAGTCATCTCTTCGTTTTCTTGAGAGTCAAAGCCTGAACACTTTGGGAAGGGAGCTAACTTTATCACATTTAATTTTCACAATAATTCACAATAATGAAGACATTAATTCATTCACTTATTTATACACCAAATTTATTAAGCACCTTCAATATGACAAAGATGGAAAGAATCTCTGCATTTGAGGAACTTAGAGTCAATAAGGAAGCAGAGCTAAGGACAAACAATTAAAGTGTAAGGTAGAAATTGCTTAACAGAGGAGTGTTACAGATGCAGTTACATGAGACAGCAGGCCAGATTGTTTCTTCTAACTTTAAGGCTCCAAGTTATTATAAAGTACTTTCCTGAGTTTGCAGAGCTAACATTTGAGTGGCATGTGAACCAGGGCAATTCATCTTGAATAGGGGGTGTGTAAAATAAGGCTGAGACCTATTGGGCTGCATTCCCAGACAGTTATGGCATTCTAAGTCACAGGATGAGATAAAAGATTGGCACAAGACACAGGTCAGAAAGACTTTGCTGATAAAACAGGTTGCAGTAAAGAAGCCAGCTAAAACCCACCAAAACCAAGATGGCTATGTGAGTAACCTCTGGTCGTCCTCACTGCTACACTCCCATTAGCGCCATGATGGTTTATAAATGCCACGGCAACATCAGGAAGTTACCCTATATGGTCTAAAAAGGGGAGGCCTGAATAATCCACCCCTTATTTAGCATATATCAAGAAATAACCATAAAAATGGGCAACCAGCAGCCCTTGGGCCTGCTCTGTCTATGGAGTAGCCGTTCTTTTATTCCTCTACTTTCTTAATAAACTTGCTTTCACTTTACTCTGTGGACTCATCCTGAATTCTTTCTTGCACAAGATCCAAGAACCCTCTCTTGGGGTCTGGATCGGGACCCCTTTCCTGTAACAGTGCCAGTTGACTATAGAGCCCATGATTTTCCCAGGTCCCCCACAGCCTTATCTTGGCTCTTATCCATGAAGGGCCAGGCAGAGGAGGCTCATGGGAACCAAGACTGAAGCACACTTTCAGATTCTATGTATGTCACCCGAGAAAACCTATACCTCTTATAGCTTTAGAATTTGCACAAATGTAGAGGCAGCTGCTCTGAGTGGGTAGAAAGACTATGTATATTTCAGATATGGTCTCAGTTTCGTGCCCACAGTCAGGGCTGGCTGGCATTGCACCTTGGGAAGAACTTGAAAAAGATCTGTGCTCAGCAGGTGACAGTAACATCTGTAGCTGTTTAGATGAATTTAAAATTCCTTTAAGGTAGAGTTGGCAGCTCAGTAACCTTTTTAAAAAGGCCCCTCTCCCCAATACCATATGCTTTTTAAGTGTTGTATTATTTAAATCCCTGTTAATTCTATTTTTATATAGTCAGTGCTCAGTGGATAGGAGCAAATTACTATTTTCCTCACATCAATCCTCCACGCACTTGCTGTTTTTTATGCTGTCCAATAGAGTACTCTGTCCTCTAAGAGCCCAAATTCTTCAAACTTTTTCCCAAAGGGGTTGAAAATTCATAATAACTAGTAACATAAAGTGACTCGAGGACACATGCACACAAAAAAAAGTCCTAGTAGGGAATGGAGTGGGAAAGGCAAAAGCCAGAGGAGAATTGTTTTGCTGGCCTACTCAGGTACGAGAAGCACAGGAGAAGCCAACTTTCTAGGTGGGAAAGTGTTTTCCTTCCCAGGAACTTTTGCTTCCAAGAAAGGGCAGGCCCTCAAAAACACAGATTATGGCCAAGGAGCTCATCCCTTTATTTATCTTAAATTAAAGAATACAAGAAAGAGAATATCATGAAAACCACTCACTATTACCAGAGAGAAGGACTCTCAGTCAGATTCCGACTAACAGGGTCTCAATATAATAATAGGGGAAGTTCATTTGACTTTTCTCAAATCACGAGCATGTGAAGACACCCCTTTTTAACTTGGACATGAACCTGGATGGACGGCCTCTGTTTTTTTATTTTTATTTTTATTTTTATTTTTTCAATTTTTGAGACAGAGTCTCGCTCTGTTGCCAAGGCTGGAGTGCAGTGGTGCAATCTTGGCTCACTGCAACCTCCAGCTCCTGGGTTCAAGCGATTTTCCTGCCTCAGCCTCCTGAGTAGCTGGGATTACAGGTGCCCACCACCACACCTGGCTAATGAAACCCCATCTCTACTAAAAATACAAAATTTAGCCAGGCGTGGCAGTGGGCGCCTGTAATCCCAGCTACTCAGGAGGCTGAAGCAGGAGAATCACTTGAACCCGGGAGGCCGAGGTTGCAGTGAGCCAAGATGGCACCACTGCACTCCAGCCTGGGGGACAGAGGAAGATTCTGCAAGAAAGAAAGAAAGAAAGGGAGGGAGGGAGGGGGGGAGGGAAGGAAAATATCTGAGAAGAGGCTTGCATTTTGTATTTAAATATATTCCACTCAGTTTTATGAATATGGAGGTTTAGGAGTTAGGAGAAGTGTTATTAACTAGACCGGGGATCCCTAAGTTCCTTGTTTGTGATGTCTTAATTTGAGTCTTTGTCCATATCAGTGCCAGCCATCAGCCCAGGGTGGCCAGACTGGTCCTTCCAGTTGTGGCTGTCCCCCTGAAGTGGCATGGTCCACCCCTCTCCCACTTTCGCTGAGTCTGCCCAGGGGGTGGACAGGAAATGCAGCTTTGACAAGTTCTGCCATGGGTATGCTCGCACCCCCACATTGGGTGACTCTCACTAAGTGTCTTGCCACGATGGCCAGTCCTTCTAAGTGATTAGGCTGCACCTGGACCAACACTGTTCGCGTTCTGGCCACCTGCCCATAAACTCGCAGCAGCTGTGACAACTGCGTGAGCCTGGTAGCAAGCCCATTGTCCCCTGGGATGCTAACTCCTCAATGCCATGTGGCTGCGGGGGTTTGGCAGAAGAGACAGCAGCTGTGCTAGGTATGTCCCCTCCTCATCTGTGCCCCCTAGAGGCAGCTGCACACACCAACTCATCTGAATTCGAAGCTAGGAGATCTATGAGGCTCCAGCTCTACTTTCAACTCATCTCAAGATGGCATCTTCTCCAGGATAAAGGAATAAGGAACCACATGCCAGGGGTCACTGCAGGTCACTCTGAAGCTGCCAGTCATCTCAAAGTCAAACTCTCCAAACTGGTTACTGCTGTTTCTCCCTGCCCTGCATCCCCTCTTCTGCATACCACCCCATTCTGTAGAATCTATACCACCAACCCTCCTCACCCCTGCTCACGTGACTGACTTCTCCAGTCAGCACCATTGTCCTCCCCTGGAAATGATCCCATGAAATTTCATAAAACATCAAAAATGGCTTCTTGTCAGTTAGCCTTATGGTTCTACTGGTGTGATAGAAATAGGGACAGAGTGAGAAATAGAAACTAGGATCTGTCTGTGCAGAAACCCAAGGTAGTGAAAATGAAGTTACTCTCCGAAGTGATAAGGGGATGGATCCAAATCTGTGACCTTGACATCACCATCTATTCTAGGTCCTGCAAGCAACAGATGCCAAGACGAAATTAAATATGCAGGGACTTGATTAGGGAAAATACCTGTGTGAGCAACAGGGGATGGAGGCTGAGAAAGGCTGGGAGAGCTGTCAGACCACCATCCGATCTGACACCAGTGAAGGAGAGGAGGGAAGGTTAGGTGGAACTGTACCTGGGCCAACATCAGCTGTCAGAGTAATCCCAACTTTCAGGAACAAGCCTGTCTTAGGGTCCTGCAGCACTCAGTCACTCTGACACTGACCAGGAGCTGCACCTTGAAGGGTGGCTTGCTGCAAATGCAGGGGTGGCTTTTAGAGTGCAGCCACTTGAGTCCTTTGTCAGTGACACCTCCTATAATGGGCGGTCTGTGAGGGCACTTGAATGGCCTTTACACGTGGTGACTAAACTAATGAAGTAGCTGAGGAGATGGGGAGTGGAGTCCACAGGACCCAAGTCAAGGGAAGGCAATCAGGATATTGTTTCAAGGAATGAAAAACACGTGTTGGGTGATAGTTCACAAGGCTTCAGTCTGATCACCTGGATTGGGCTCAGTGTGAAGGAAACAGAAAGTCTGTACATCCATGACATATCATTTTACTCTATTTTAAAACAAGCCAAATATACCTGAAAGCATAGAAATTTCAAAGCCTTGAAAAAATTCTTCTGTTTTCAAGTTTGCCTTAGCACTGACAGTAGATGTGAAGCTCTGAGACCACTTTTGAAGCTAGAAAAGGCAAGGACAAAAGTACAGAGACAGTGAGTTTCATGGACATCTTATGACCTTTCTGGGCCTCAGTTCCTTCATCCCTAAAAAGATCCCTTTCAAGTCTAAAATTCTAAAATCAATGCTCAGATTGGCAAAGTTTCTAATAATCAGGGAAAGCAGTTTTCCAGGATCCAGAGCACCACAGTGTCACTGTATTAAGGCAGCAAATAAATCAGCCCTGGTTGTGCTGGCCGTGGGGCCATGGAGGACTCCAGGGTGGTTGCAGGGCTTCCTTGGGAGCCGACTCCTCACTGCATGTGAGGACCTACTCATTTTCATATTCATGGTTCCTAGCTCATGGGGAAACTCAATAACATCTTCATTAAATAAACACACAAATGGACAAAATCAATTTGGGAAGAGAAAGAGAAAAGGATTGGGGTAAAAAGTGATGTGAATTAGCAGAGCTGGGTTATAGGCAGGGTGGATATGCAGCTGGTGTCCACCATGGAGCTTGTGTTAGGCCGTTCTTGCATTGGTATAAGGAAATATCTGTGACTGCTTAATTAATAAAAGAGGTTTAATTGCTTCATGATTCTGCAGGCTGTAAAGGATGATGCCCGGCATCTGCTCAGCTTCTGATGAGGCCTCAGGAAGCTTCCAATCATGGCAGAAGGCAAAGGGGAACCCATGTATCACATAGCAAGAGCAGGAGCAAGAGAGGCGCGGGGAGAGGTTTTAAACCACGTCTTGCAAGAACTCACTATTGCGAGGACAGTACCTTGGGGATGGTGCTAAATCATTCATGAGAAATCTGCCCCCATGATCTAATCACCTCCCACCAGGCCCCAACTCCGACACTGGAGATTACATTTCAACATGAGATTTGGGTGGGGACAAATATCCAGACTATATCGGGGCTGTACCAGCAATTGACTCCTGACATCTGTTCTGACTGGTCAGAGTCTGTTCTGATAGGTTGGTGCCTCTACTGATTATTAAATATTTTATGCTATACCAATTATTAAATATTTTGAAAACCACCTACTGTTACATGGGCTATCATATTGCCTAGAATATTTGGTGATGGTTTCATAAATGGAAAGCAATTGATTTCTGATAGTCATTCCACCGCAACCTAAGGTCACCATATCTATTAATAATTCCTGTAGATGGTAGTGGGATGGAGGGTGATTTAATCAAATTGATGACAATTTGAAGTTGCCAAACTGCTGATTTTTGTTCTACCCTTCGTAGAAGACAATTTGTATTACTCTTTCCCTGCTGCCCCACTAGAAATATATTAGCACCTAAAGCTTGTATATTCATTTATCACAAGCATAATATGTTCTCCTTAAGCTGGATAGAGAATGTTTGAGTTAAAAATGAACTGAGACCAAAGAGAAGTGACCTGTTATTCAAGTCCTTATACTCACAAATGCTTGGGGCAAAGGGAATGTTTGGAGAAAAGTGATGAATTCTCTAGACTTAAAAGCCAGTTGGATAAAAAGCAGAACTGGCAGAGCCTATGCCAATGTGGGATTATGGATGCAGGAAGAAGCAAGAGGAAGTAGCCCAGGAACTTACAGAAATTATAATGAGGGCTCCGAATTCTTATGGGTTGTGGTACTGGCATTCAGGCCAGGTTTAACTAGATGTCCAAAGGCTGTGCAGGGGGATATCTGATATCTGGAATATTCTTAGGCTCAATTCGTTTGTTTCTTCATTTGTTTCTTGCAACCAAAAATGAATTATGAATATCAGTCCAAAGTCAGAGACAGACTAATTTGTTTCTCATATAATGAACTAGAAGGTATATTTCTAAGACTAAGGATTTGTGCTTGTGTTTGGATTGGAGCTGAGCCTCTTGGGTGGGGAAGACAGGTCACAGGCCACCTTTCTCAAGAAAAGAGGCTGCAGGGGCAGAAAACTGGAAACATGAAGCTGTATATGTATAGAATTCCAGGGCAAGTAAAATGTAAATGAGTGATGAAACAACATCACTCCTCACAACCCGGGTGATTTGCAAAGTCACCAGGGAATTTCAGGACACCTGGATTACAAAACCATAGCAAGACTTGGAGTCCGCATTAGCATAGTGAAGTGGAAGCTGCCAGCTCAGTTAAGGGCTATGCCTAGAACTGGCATAGCACCACTTCTCCCATGTTCTCGTGGTCAAAGGAGTTACAAGGCCCACCCAGATGAAAAGGGATGGAGAAATAGATTCTACCTCTGGATGGGGACTGGCAAAGTCACATTGAAGAGCATGTGGAATGGGAATTGTGTTGTATGGTAGCCATTTTGGAAAATACAATCTACTGCAACAGATGATTAAAATACTTAAAAAGAAATTTTAGTGTGTTATCGTCTTTAAACATTGTACAAATTTAAGGTGTATAATGTGATGTTTTGATGTATATTTTATTAAAGTGATTACTAGTCAAGCAAATTAACGTATGCATCATCTTACATGGTAACTACCTTGTGTATGCGTGTATGGGGGTGGGGGGTAAAGTACCTAAATATGTTCCCAGTAAATTTCCAGTATACAATACAATATTTGTAACTATAATCTGCATGCTGTACTTTAGATCTCTAGACTTATCCACTCTATATAACTACAACTTTGTATCCTTGGCCTACATAACCCTGTCCTCTCACCCCCACACCTGGTAACCATCATTATACTCTGTTTCTCTGTATTCATGTTTTTTTTAAAATTCCATATATAAGTGAAATCACGCAGTATTTTTCTTGTCTGACTTATTTTACCTAGCATAATGTCCTCTAGGTTCCTCCATGTTGTCACAAATGAGAGGATCTCCTTTTTAACAGCTGAATAATATTCCATTGTACATATGAACTATAATCTCTTTATCCATCATCTATCAATGGACACTTTGGTTGTTTTCATAGCTTGGCTATTATGAATCATGCTGCAATCAACAACATGGGAATGCAGCAATCACCAGATATCAGCTGGTGATTCCGTTTCCCAGAAGAGGGATTGCTGGGTCATGTGGTAGTTCTATTTTTATTTTTTTAAGGAACCATTATACCCTTGCCAATTCTTATCATTCCTTGTCTTTATCACAAGTGGAGGAACTAGATAAACAAGAGCAAACCGACACACAGTTAGCAGAAGACAGGAAATAATCAAAATCAGAGCTGAACCGAAGGAAACTGGGAAAAACCATACACAAACCCAACACATCCAGAAGTTTCTTTTTTGAAAGATAGATAGACCACTAGGTAGACTAATAAAGAAAAAAAGGGAGAAGTTCCAAATAAACACAATCAGAAATGACAAAGGGGATATTATCACTGACCCCACAGAAATATAAAAAACCCTCAGAAATTATTATGAACACCTCTATGCACACAAGCTAGGAAACCTAGAGGAAATGGCTAGATCCCTGGAAACATACAACCTCCCAAGATTGAACCAAGAAGAAATTGAATCCCTGAGCAGACCAGTAATGAGTTCTGAAACTGAATCAGTAACAAAAAGCCTACCAACCAGAAAAAACAAACAAACAAACAAAAAACAAACAAAAAAAAAACAGAACAAGACAGATTCACAGCCAAATTCTACTGGATGTATAAAGAAGAGCTGGTACCACTCCTACTGAAACTATTCCAAAAAATTAAAGGAGGGACTCCCTAACTCATTCTATTTGGTATCATCCTGATATCAAAACCTGGCAGACATACAATAAAAAAAGAAAACTTCAGGCCAATATCTTTGATGAACATCAATGCAAAAATCCTCAATAAAATACTGGCAAACTGAATCTAGCAGCAGATCAAAAAGCTTATCTACCATGATCAAGTAGGCTTCATCCCTGGGATGCAAGGTTGCTTCAACATACACAAATCAATAAATGTAATTCATCACATAAACATAACTAAAGACAAAAACCCACATGATTATCTCAATAGGTGCAGAAAAGGCTTCTGATAAAATTCAACATCCCTTCATGTTAAAAACCCTCAACAAACTGGGCATTGAAGGAACATACTTCAAAATAATAATAGCCACCTATTACAAACCCACAGTCAACATCATACTGAATGGGCATAAACTGGAAGCATTCCGTTTGAAAACCTGCACAAGACAAGGATGCCTTCTCTCACCACTCCTATTCAACACAGTACTGGAAGTCCTGGCTAGAGCAGTCAGGCAAGAGAAAGAAAGTAAGGAAAGGCATCCAAATAGAAAGAGAGGAAGTCGAACTATCCCTGTTTGCAGATGATATGATTCTACACCTAGAAAATTCCATAGTCTTTGCCTAAAAGCTCACTGATCTGATAAACAACTTAGCAAAGTTTCAGGGTACAAAATCAATGTACAAAAATCACTAGCATTTTGTATACACCAATGACATCCAAGCTGAGAGCCAAATTGAGAATGCAATCTCATTCACGATGGTCACGAAAAGATAAAATACCTAGGAATATAGCTAACCAGGGAGGGGAACAATCTCTACAATGAGAATTACAAAACATTGCTCAAAGAAATCAGAGATGACGCAAACAAATGGAAAAGCATTCCATGTTCATAGATAGGAAGAATCAATATTGTTAAAATGGCCATACTGCCCAAAGCAGTTTACAGATTCAATGTTATTCCTATCAAACTACTAATGACATTCTTCACAGCATTAGAAAAAGCTAATGGTGATTTATTTTAAAATTCACAGGGAACTAAAAAAGAGCCCAAATAGCCAAGGCAATCCTAAGCAAAAAGAACAAAGCTGGAGGCATCATATTACCCAACTTCAAACTATAGTACAAGGCCATAATAGCCAAACAGCATGGTACTGGTACAAAAACAGACACATAGACCAACAGAACAGACAGCCCAGAAGTAATGTTGCACATTTAAAACCATCTGATCTTCAACAAAGTCAACAAAAACAAGCAATGGGGAAAGGACTCCCTATTCAAAAAATGGTGCTGGGATAACTGGCTAGCCAGATGCGGAAGATTGAAACAGTACCCATTTCTTACACCATATACAAAAATCAGCTCAAGATGAATTAAGAACTTAAATATAAAACCTAAAACTTTAAAAACCCTGGGAGAAAACCTAGGAAATGCCATTCTGGACACAGGGTATGGCAAAGATTTCATTAAGAAGATGCCATAAGCAATTGCAACAAAAACAAAAATTGACACATGGGACCTAGTTAAACTAATGAGCATCTACACAGCAAAAGAAGTGATCAACAGAGTAAACAGACAGCCTACAGTATGGGAGAAAATATTTGTAAACTGTGCATCCTACAAATGTCTAATATCCAGAATCTATGAGGAACTTTGACAAAACAACAAGTAAAAAACAACCACATTAAAAAGTAGGCAAAATAAATGAACATGCACTTTTTAAAAGAAGACATACAAGCAGTCAACAATCACATGAAAAATTGTTCAACATCACTGATTACAGAGAAATGCAAATCAAAGCCACAATGTGATACCATCTCACACCAGTCAGAATGGCTATTAGTAAAAAGTCAAAAATAGCAGAAGCTGGTAAGGTTGTGGAGAAAAGTAAACGCTTATACACTGCTGGTGGGAAGGTAAATTAGTTCAGCCACCGTGGAAAGCAGTGTGGAGATTTCTCACAGAATTCAAAGCAGGATTACCATTCGACCCAACAATCCCATTTTTGGGTATATACCAGAAGGAATATAAATTTTTCTACCACAAAGACATGCACATGTATGTTAATTGCAGCACTGTTCACAGTAGCAAAGACAAGGAAACAACCTAAATGCCCATCAACGGTAGAATGGATAAAAAAAATGTGGTGCATATTCACCACAGAATACTATGCAGCCATAAAAAGAATGAGATCATGTTCTTTGCAACAACATGGAGAGAGCTGGAGGCCATTATCCTAAGTGACTAATACAAGAACAGAAAACCAAATACCACACGTTCTCACTTATAAGTGGAAGCTAAATATTGAGTACGTGTGTACACAAAGAAGGGAACAACAGACATCAAGGCCTATGTGAGGGTGGAGAAAGGGAGGAGGGTGAGAATCAGAATACCCAACTTCAAACCATACTACAAGGCTACAATAACCAAAACAGCGTGGTACTGGTACAAAAACAGACACATAGACCAACAGAACAGAATAGAGAACCAGAAATAATGCTTCACTCCTACAACTATCTGATGCTCAACAAAGTTGACAAAAACAAGCAATGGGGAAAGGACTCCCGATGTTTATTACCTGGCTGGAAAAATCATCTGTATACAAAACCCCTGTGACATGCAATTTACCTATGTAACAAATATGCACATGTACCCCTGAACCTAAACTAAAAGTAAAAAAAAAAGGAAATCTAAAGAGAAAAAAGTGTTTAAGAACTATGTTTTAAAATATATCACTTTAAAAATTTAAAATTTAATTAAAAAGAAAATAGTACCAGAACAATATGTTTTAACCCATAAACCATTGCCAAAAACACCAAAAAACTAGTATTAGCTAAATATATCTCTTTGAACTGTATTGGAAAGTTCTGTAGAAAGAAAAAAGGAATTGACATATTTTTATTTATACGGAAATTTTATAGCATTTAAAATTCATAAATTTATAATTTATGTATAAATAATATATAAAATAATATATAGTATATATAATTATATATTATATGTTATACTATATGTTATAAATAGTATATATAATTATACTATTTATAATACTATTATAGTACTATTATACTATTATAGTACTATTATAATACTATTATAGTACTATTATAATATATAGTACAATATATAATATACTATTATATATTATATATAATATACTATTATATATTATATATAATATATTATTTAAATATAAAATATAAATAACATCAATATAAAATTTCTACATAATGCTATATAAATAAATCATGTAATTTAGATAGCATTATATATAACTATATAGCATATAATTTTTATTATAAATACTTTATGAATAGTAAATCATTTAATGCTCACAACCATGTGAGTTAGACACTGTTATTGTTCACATTTTATAAGTGTGCTCAAGGTGAAATGGTAAAGTCAAGATTTGAAAATGGACATTTTCTCTAAAGTCTTTACTTTTAACCTCTGTGTCACGCTGCTTCCCAACACAGTAAATAAATAAACCTCCATATTCCTGATCTAAAGTATTTTTATTGTTTTTCATATGTCCGCAGAACATTTATAGAGACTGATCAGGTACCTGACTACAAAGAAAACTTGAGCAAATTCAGAGTAATGATTTTATAGTTAACATTATCTGATCATAATTCAATAAATAAGAAAAAATTATCAAAAGGTAACAAAAAGTTGACTACTTGAAAATTTAAAAATACTTAGAAAATAATTGGTTCCAAAAGTTGAAAGGGAAATTATTGACCATCTTAAAAGCCATGAAAGGTCGAACTTTATAACATACTCTAGGATTCTGTGAAAACTATATATGAAAAATTTTGTAGTTAAAATGCTGCGGTGGCTCAAGCCTGTAATCCCAGCACTTTGGGAGGCCGAGGTGGGCGGATCACGAGGTCAGGAGATCGAGACCATCCTGGCTAACACGGTGAAACCCTGTCTCTACTAAAAATACAAAAAAATTAGCCGGGCGTGGTGGTGGGCACCTGTAGTCCCAGCTGCTCGCGAGGCTGAGGCAGGAGAATGGCGTGAACCCGGGAGGCAGAGCCTGCAGTGAGCCGAGATCGCACCACTGTACTCCAGCCTGGGCGACAGAGCAAGACTCCCGTCTCAAAGAGGAAAAAAAAAAAAAAAAAAGAAATAAACCAAATCTTCATTCTAAGAAATTAGAAGAAGAATAAAGAGAGATAAATAAAGGCAAAAGCTTAAATTACTGAAATAGAAGGCAAAATAAGTAATAGGATATATAAATAAATTTAAACTTGTTATATAAAAACATCTAAACTCTATACATGTCTATAACAAGTTTGATTTTTAAAAATGAGGAAATGCAAAATTATAAAAGATCAGAAAGCAGAAAGAAGACTATAGTGACTGAAAGTATTACAAGAGAATACGATATGAAACTTGATGGTAGCAAATTTTAAAACTGGAATAAACATTGGGGAAAAAAGAGGTAAAACTGTCTATTTTTGCAAATGATATGATTGTAAACCTAGAAAACCCAAAGGAATCTAATAAAAGTCTTCTAGAATTAAGAATAGAATTTGATAAAATAGGTGGATCTACAAACAGGCAAAAATACCATTAGCTTTTTTGTACTCTAGGAATAAGAAAAGGAATGAAAAAAAAAGTCTAAAATAGTGAAAAACCAACCTCTATGAAATACTTAGGATAACCAAAAAAGAAAATGCACAACAAAGTTATACTAAAATATGCAAAAGGAGAAATGAAGAAATGGAAAGATGTGCCATTTTCTTGGATAGGAAAATTCAATGCCATAAAGATATTAAATTCTACAAATTGATTATGTGTGTGGTGTGTTTTACTAAAAATCACAACAAAGTGGGTATTTCGGGTTTGTTTGTTGTTTTTGGTAATTGGATAAAGTGATCTTAAAGTTTCTAGAGAAAAATAAATATCAAAGAAAATACAAGTAATTTAGAAAAAATAAGTAGAGATGGAGTAAGGGACATCCTCGCTAGTTACTAGAACTGTCTATAAACCCATCGTATTAGGTTGGGGCAAAAGTAATTGTGGTTTTTACCACTAAAATTGCAAAACTGCAATTACTTTTGCACCAACCTAATCTTCAAATCAGTGTCCTACTGGATCTCAATTTTATTGCACACTCAAGGATACGCTACAAATATATGAATGAAAAATATAAAAGGTAAAGTAAACCAAAGCTCTTACCAAGAAATCTAGTGGATTATATGTACTGTTATATAATGGGGGTAGGACAAACCCTCCCAATAAAAACTGAGAAGCCAAAAGCTCTGAGAGTAAAGATAGCTGTATTTGACTGAAAACAGTATAACTTTTCAGGCAGAGATAATATAAAAATGCAGTAGACCATGGTAGATTTGAAGAAATCTATATAGTGTGAACACTAGTTATCATTTTTATAATATGCAAAGATTTGTTATGATTTGGCAAGAAAAACAAGAACAAACCAATAGGAAAATGGACAAAAGATATGAATGGGCAATATACAGAAAAGCACATACGAAGGGTTGAGAAACTCGGAAATATCCTCAAATTTACCAAAAGTGAGGGGAGTACAAATTGAACAAACAATAAGATATGACTTTATACCCACCAGATTGTCTAAAATTGTAAAGATTTGTAACACTTATTGCTGGCAGGTTAGTAGGTAAGGGAGAACTTTCATACAGCTTAGGTAGAATGGAAATACCTCTTGCAGGAGCAGCATGGCACTATCTATTACAATTTAAAATACAGACAGTCTTTAGGCCAGCAATTCCTTCCTCAGACTCTAATAGAAGCAAAGCCACCAGAATATAAAGATTCATACACAAGGTGTTTTAGCTTGCTTCCTTTACTTTGTTTTGTTTTTGCAAATTAGAAAAGCTAAGTGTTTTCTGTAATGGAGGATAGCTGAATAAATTATGGCATATCCATATGATGGAAAAATACAGTCATTAAGAATAAATTAACGCTTGTAATCCCAGCACTTTGGGAGGCTGAGGCAGGAGAATTGCTTGAGCCTAGGAGTTCAAAACTGGCCTGGGCAATATAGCGAGACCCTGTCTCTACAAAAAAATACAAAAATCAGCTGGGTATGGTATGCCAGCTAATTTTTGTATTTTTTTTTTTTGTAGAGATGGGGTCTCGCTATATTGGGTATGGCAGTGCTAGTCTGTACTCCTAGCTACTCAGGAGGCTGAGCTGGGAGGATTGCCTGAGTCCAGGAGTTTGAGGCTGCAGTGATCTGTGGTCGTATCACTGCACTCCAGCCTGGTTGACAGAGTGAGACCCCATTTCAAAAAAATAAAAAAGAAGAAATTAGTTGTGCTAGTTGACAGGAAGAATTTTAAAGGATATCGTTGAATGAGTAAAGCACAATGCAGTGAAAAGTATATGCTATGGTTTTATTTTTGTAAAACAAAAGCCCCTGTGTGTGTATGTGCATGTGTATGTCTACCTACGATTATATAGCCATGAGTAAAAATAGGAAAGACACATACTAGATTATTAATATGGGCTTTCTGGGTAAGTGGGTGGGTGGAGAATTTATATGTGTGGAAGAGAAGAGGAAGCACCAAGCCAAAAAAGGAAAAGGAATAAAAAGACCCCCTACACATAACTGTACACATGAACATATGTTTAAATTGATCCCATGCATGCATTTATGAAAATATATGAATGTGTGTTTCCATACATGAAGAAATCACCTTGCCAGTTTGAGGGTTTCTGTTTCACAGATAACCTCCTGCTTTCCAGGAATTTTTTTTTTTTAACTTTGAAGTTCAGGGGTACCTGTGCAGGATGTGCAGTTTCATTACATAGTAAACATGTGTCATGGGGTTTAGTTGTACAGATTATTTCAACACCCAGGTATTAAGCCTAGTATCCATATTTGTTATTTTTCCTGATCCTCTCCGTCCTCCACCCCCCACCGTCCAGTAAGCCCCAGTGTGCATTGTTCCAATGCGGTATTTGGTTTTCTGTTCCTGTGTTACCTTGCTAAGGATAATGGCCTCCAGCTCCACCCATATTCCCACAAAAGACATGATCTAATTCTTTTTCATGGCTGCATAGTATTCCATGGCATATATATGCCACATTTTCTTTATCCAGTCTATGATTGATGGGTATTTAGGTTGATTCCATGTCTTTGCTATTGTGAATAGCACTGCACTGAATATATGGGTGTATGTGTCTTTATAATAGAATGATTTATATTCCTTTGGGTATATACCCAGTAATGGGATTGCTGGGTTTAATGGTATTTCTGTCTCTAGGTCTTTGAGCAATCGCCACACTGTCTTCCACAATGGTTGAACTAATTTACATTCCCACCAATGGGGTGTAAAAGCATTCCTTTTTCTCCACAACCTCACCAGCATCTGTTATTTTTTGACGGCCCTTTTTTGATAATAGCCGTTCTGACTGGTGTGAGATGGTATCTTATTGTGGTTTTGATTTGCATTTCTCTAATGATCAGTGATGATGAGCTTCTTTTCATACGATTGTTGGCTGCATGCATGTCTTCTTTTGAGAAGTGTCTGTTCATGTCCTTTGCTCACTTTTTAATGGGGTTGTTTTATGTTTGTTGATTTAAGTCCATTGTAGATGCTTTTTCAGGAAAGTTTGCTGTTCCATTTGCCACCCTGTCCCTACATATTCTCCAGGAAAGAATTACTGACTCTGGGGCTTCCAGATTTACTTCCAGAACTACTGACTCTGGGGCTTATTCTAAGACTTCCCCTCCCATGACACACCATTTCATCTCACAAACAGCACTCAGAAAGCCTCCAAGATTCTTCTGGAAATGGATATCCCTTTGGGATCTCTACCTCTATCCCTTCTCATCCATACTTCCTTTAGTGAAGTGACCCCCACACTAACCTTTCTAGGCAAAGCAAATTGGCCTGTTAGGCAGATTTTCTAGGGGTGTCAGGTTCCTCTGCACCCACACTAGAAAAGCCAGAAGGTGAAGAGTTCCATCACAGGTACCCAGGAAAATGACCAATTGCTCTTAAGGTCATAGGTCTTAGAATTTTAGACTTGCCTAAGTTGTGAAATTCTTTAGGGTCTAATAAAAGTAATAAGCAGCCAAGAATGCTAATTTGAGATACCTTTGGTCAGCCTACGCTGTTTATGGCTCACGAGTTCATCTCCTCCTTGATGTCAACTGAATGCTTGCTAGTTTTACATTCCATGCTCACATCTGTCTGCTTCCTTCAGCCTCCTGGTCATGGAGCAATTTCCTTCACTTCAAAGGAGGCTCCAGGTGCAGGGAGGACTCCAGAGGTGTGGCCTGACCTCAGAATCTGGCTCCCTTTTATTTTACTAAAACATGTATTCTCTTCATCTTATCCCAAGTTGACTTTTGGAGCTATTCCGAAATTTGTTCATCTTTGAACACCGAGAATGAGAATAAAATATATTTTTCCTTTTCCTTCAAAACATTGACCCTAGTTTTGTCATGATGCTTCAAATGAATTAATTGCTGAAAGAAACAGTAGAGATAATTACACATGCCCCACAGGAGAAAAATGCCACGATTGAAACAGTAGAAAACAGGCTGTGGGAGATTTAGTGTAATAATGGCCTCTGATAAATCATGGAGAAGCAAGAAGTCGTTGTTGTAAGCCATTCGCTTTTAGGGTGGTTTCTTATGCAGCAGTAGTTGGCGAATGCTGTGTGTAACTCCTTCAGCAAGGTGAGGCTGCTTCTCCCAACAGGAGGCAGGGAGTATTTCTTACTCCCGTGAATCTACCTGGGCTGGCTTTGGGGCACTGTGGGGGTTCCAGAGCCTAGGTATTCAAGAGGCTTCGCAGCTTCCACCCTTGCCCTCTTGGAAGCTTGAAACTGCCATGCTGTAGAGAAGCTTAGCCTAGCTCCCTCGTGTATGAGAGGCTTAAGGAAGAAGACTGAGGCTCTAGCCAATCGCCAGAGCCAACTCCCAGACATGAGTGAGGCAATTCTGTACATTCTAGCTAAAGGCAGCTGAATGAAAACCCATAGAGGAAGAGCTTAGCCAACCCACAGAATTGTGAACAATAATAAAGGTTGTTGTTTTAAGGTATTGAGTTTTGAAGTGGTTGGTAATACAACCATGCCTTATTAATACAGAGCCTTGGATTTTTTTTTACTACCTTAACATAAAATTATTTATTCATTTATTTTTAGATTTAAAAAATTTTTAGTGGGCATATAGTAGGTGCATATATTTATGGGGTACATGAGATGTTTTGATACAGGCATGCAATGCGTAATAATCTTATCATGGAGAATGGGGTATCCATCCCCTCAAGCATTTATCCTTTTTATTATAAACAATCCAATCATACTATTCTAGTTATTTTAAAATGTACAATTATTATTGACTACAGTCACCCTGTTGTGCTATCAAATAGCAGGTCTTACTAATTCTTTCTAACTATTTTTTGTATTCATTTGCCCTCCCTGCTCCTCACCACCCCCGTCCTTCCAAGACTCTTGTAACCATCCTTCTGCTCTCTGTGTTCATGAGTTCAATTGTTTTGATTTTTAGATCCCACAAATAAGTGAGAACATGTGATGTTTGCGTTTCTGTGGGCTTGGATATTTTAATTCAGTATCTATCTTTTTTCTAGTTTTCTATATATATTGAGACATCTTTTTTACTTTTTTTCTTAGAAACCTAGATAGACACCTTCCCTACATAGACACAAATAACTCCTATATACCATACACTTAAAAGCTCATAGGAGACAAAAGTGCAAAGGCAGGCACTGCATCTAATTTCTACTCTTCAGTGTCCTGCGCCTGGGTCAGCAGCACATGATTGGTGGGAAGTCAGCATATGTTGACCAGATTATCTCATGTGACACCTGCTGCTGCTTTTATCTCATTTTCTTAGTACTTGGATTTGTCACAGAATGAATGGTCTGATTCATTTGGCCTACCTGGGCAGCTTTGCTTGTGTCCCCTTGTTCTCTCACTTTTCCACGTAGATAGTTTTCAAGGGTCCCAGCCTGGAGGAAGAGAATATCTTTCCAGTTGTTGGTGGACTGAGCTTATTGGTCAAGAGTGTTGTAGTTGTAGTAATAATAGTAGTAACAGCAGCAGCAGTAGCAGCAGCTAATATTTATTGAAACCTTATCAATATGCCATTCACTTTAATTAATTGGTTAATTTAGTTAATTAGTTATTTTGATTTCCATAAAGGAAATGGAGGCAACGATGGGTTACTTGATTCTCCCAAGATAACATAGGTAAATGGCAGAGTCTCATCTTTTAGCAAACACCCTGGCTTGAAATGTAGCTAGCTGTGTGGTTACTGATGTTTAAACTAAGAAGTATTAAGCATAGTCATTTATAAAAGTTCCCTGACTATAAATCACCCATAAGCTACAATCGTCAAAGCTTTTAAATATCATTTGTACTTCTCATTAGCCAAGAAACAAGTATTACTGAGTGTGTCATATAAGTCTGTGCTTGTGCCAGTTACTATAGAAAGTTATAAAACATATAAACTATAATACAAAAGCAGCATATAAGAATCTTGGCTCTAAAGGGACTTACACTATTTTGAAGAGACCAGACTTACACAGTAAAATGACCAAAAAATAAGACCTAGTACCTAGTCTAATAATAATAATTAAAAAAAGAGAGCAAAGGAGTTTTGAGACCTCACCTTTTGCAGGGAAGAATCTGAGTCATATTTCAAATCTCCTTTTCTTCTTCTCAGGGCAAAACCACAGCTTTCATTTTTGAAGGTCACAGCAGTAAAAGATGGTTCAATAGGCCAGACTAACCTGTGTTAGCAACTAGGATAATATCCAGAAAAGAAAATTTACTTTGGGATTTAAGATGATCAAAACTGATTACTTCTCAAGAGGCTTAGAAACCCAAAGCTGTAAACACAGCTGGGGAAACACTTGAATGTGCAGCCATAAAAACTCCAGTGAATAATCCATCCTTCTGCTTCATGACATGGATACTACACCACATACATGAATCTATAGGAAAGCAGTAAATATTTTTATACAACCTTGTTGGTGAAGAGGAAAGAAAAATGTGTAGAAACATGCCCACCCACATCATCTATGTGTGCACTGTAAATGTCTCTCTTGTTTTGTTGAAGTTAAGGCAAAAGGATTACATTCAGTCCAGCCACTAAATTGTAATACAGAGATGTTATTGACTAAACCTGTAACAACTGGGTTTGTCTTCTCAAGATTTAGAGAACCAATAGAATTATTTCTGATTGGATGATAAGTAAATGCTCTATTATTTGTTAACCAATAGTCAATGACAGAAATTGAGCCAGTTTTCTCCATATAGAAAATTTTTGACTTATCAAGACCTCTTTTTTCCCTGGAAAGATAGATATCTATATATTAACAATTATTTTCTCTAGTAGTGTGGTTAGGTGTTTGATTATTTATTTTTCTTATTGGTGTTTTTGAAATTTTTCAAAATAACATCTATAGTTTTTATAATCAAAAGATACTGTGATTTTTAAAAGTGAACAACTTAGCTTCTTACTGATAGACAGTCTTACACCATTTAAACAAATTGCCCTTAACTACTTTGCCTACCAAATAAATCCTTATCTTTGGTTTATTTTAAAGGAATTTTTCCTTTCAGCAGAGTTTTATGATCAGCTTTCACTGATATCTAGAAATACATGTCAAGGTTAAGAATGTTATGATGCAGGACTTGAGCCTTGGGAAAAGAGTATTCTAAAGAGGACAAAAATTATGCCTTAAAAATTCCTTTTTCAGATGACTTGCTGTGTAGTCCATTAGGCAGAGACACAAAAAGTACTTTCTAAAATAATAATGGCCCAGAACCTTGCTCTTTGAGATAACAAAGCTCTGTTTTTGCAGGTGGCTTTCTACTCAAAGAACAAAAACTGGAAATATCCATTGAATTGGCCTGTTTACTTGTGCTGAGTCTTGCTAATAGAACAGAGCTAATCAAGCCCTGGGTACAGAGCCCTGTATGTAAAGGAAAACACCCATCTCACTAACCCTCGGATGTGCACACTTTTCATGTTCTTTACAAAGACACTCACCCTGTTGGGGAGGGCCTTGAAGGCAGTGCTGGCCAATAGGATGACAATGCAAGCCACATACAGAGGTTTAAATTTTCCAGTAGCCACATTTGAAAAGCAAAAATCAACAAATCAGTTCATTTTAATACTGTATTTTAGCTAACTAAATATATCTAAAATACTGTCATTTCAATATTAAACATGTATTCACATATTTATGTCCCTTTTAAAAAAAATTTGGTCTGATTTCCAGGGTGTGTTTTACCTGCACAGCACAGCTCCTTTTGTTTTTTTTATATGTATACATATTTTTTATTTTTGTAGATACAGGGTCTTGCTATGTTACGCAGGGTGGTCTCTAACTCCTGGGCTCAAGTGATCCTCCTGCCTCAGCTCCCAAAGTGCTGGGATTACAGGTGTGAGCCACTGCACTCGACCTCACTTTAGTCACATTTCAAGAGCTCAAGAGCCACATGTGGCTAGTGGCTACCTTATCAGATAGTGTAACTCTAAAATGAAAATGTTAGCACCACCAAATAACATTAGATGGCCTTAATTTTTTTTACATTGAGATATAATTTATGTACTGTAAAATTCATGCTTTAAAACGTACACTTTAGTGGTTTTTAGTTTATTCACAAGACTATACTAAAATATATACAAACACTATTTCATTTCAGAACACTTTCATTATCCCCCAAAGAAATCCCATACCTTTATCAGTCATACCCCATTCCCTCATTCCCTTCTTTTCCCAGCCCTGGCAATCACTAACCTGATTTCTGTTTTGTGAATTTGCCTATTTTGGACATTTCATATAAATGGAATCATGCAATATGTGGCCTTTGTGTCAGACTTCTTTCTTAGCATCATATTTTCAAGTTTCATGCGTGTTGGGTCATGCTTATCCATGTTAGAGAAAAAAGTACTGCCTTCCTTTTTATGGTTGAGTGACAGTCCATTGTAAGGGTATACAGCACATGTTGTTTAGCTGTTCATCACTTGATGAGCCTTTGGGTTCTCTCCAATTTTTGGCTACTATGAACAATGCTTCTGATATTCATGTGAAAGTTTTCACAAGAACCAATGTTTTCAATTCTACTGGACATAAACTTAGGAGTGA
The DNA here is from genome assembly GCF_000001405.40 of Homo sapiens. NCBI lineage: Eukaryota > Metazoa > Chordata > Mammalia > Primates > Hominidae > Homo > Homo sapiens. The sequence continues at coordinate 53,619,736 of NC_000004.12, forward strand.
ATGTGCTGGGTTACATGGTAATTCTATGTTTAATTTTTCGATGAACTGTCAAACTGTTTTTCCAAAGTGGTTGCACCGTTTTACACACCCAGCAGCAATGCATGAAGTTTCTGTTTTCTCCACATCCTTGCCAGTGCTTGTTATTATGTCTCTTTTTAATTATAACCATCCCAGTGGGTGTGGCAAGTCAGCTGGTGTTCTTACTAATTAAGAACAAATAAAAACTGTGATTACAAAAATGCAACAGCAGTTTTAATATTCTTATAGATTTAAAAGATTAAGGGTTAAACTCACATTTGCCTGGTCTGTTTGTAACGAAACACATTGTGGCTTTTGTTAAACAACTGTTTTATCCTGTCTGTGCCAGCAGCAAGTGAGGTGAGTTCCTTTACTACAAATAATTAATATTAATTTGCAGTTACTGGGTGTTTTATCTATCTGTCATCTGTCTATTTATCTATCTACCTATCTATCTATCTACTCTCAAAATGTGGTCACCACACCTGCAGAGTTTGCATTTCTGATATGTTCACAGGTTACAATTTTGCATTATATAATTTTGCATTATAACCTGTGAACATATTATAAATGCAAACTCTCAAGCCCTGACCCAGATGTAGTGAATTACAAATGCTGGGAGTGGGATCCACCAATCTGTGTTTTAGCAAGCCCTGCAGGGGATTCTAATGCAGGCTAACATTTGAGAACCACTAATCTAGAGCAAACATATAATGTGACCAAAGTTTATGGAAAAAACTATGGGTCAGACACAGTGTTAGGTGTTGGGTGCATTCGGGTTGAGGATTCAAAACTAAAAGACATGACTGAAGACTGTGGACCAGAAGCAGTTGCTTGATGGGTACAACGTGCATTGCTCCACTGATGGATGCACTGAAGTCCCGGATTTCACCATAATGCAATACATCAGTGTAGCAGAATTGCACTTGTACCCCATGAATATATAAAAATAAAAATAATAAGAAAAGAAAAATTATATTAAATGTATGAAGGAAAAAAAAGACATTTCTTTCCTCCCAGTGCTTAGAGTCCAGTGCATTTGATGAGTGGGTGAATCAGTGTTAGCTCACAGTGCAGCACGCTCTAAATCAAGGTATGCATGTGTTCGCCACTCAGGGAAGGATGAGAAAGCTTCCCTGCAAAAATGACTTTTGAGCTTCCAATAAACTTAGAAAGCCAATATCGGTTTAAAGAAATTCAATTATAGTTGTTACTCCTGTTAGTTTCAAAGAGAATCCCAATATGATAGCATGGCTTTCAAACATTTTATTAACTGGCTTTTGCTGAGGTTCCCACCTTCACCTCCCAGGGAGCATTACTCAGAGTGTGGTGCACAGGGCACGGTGACATCACCTGGGAGCTTGTTAGTGCAGCAGAATTTCAGAGGTCACTCCTGACCTATGGCATCCACATTTCACCAAGATCCCCAGGTGACTTGTATGCATATTCAAGTTTCAGAAGACCTCCCCTAGCTGCAGTGAAGGAATTGCAGTTCTCTAAGTCAAATTATATTCCCTGTGCAGTGCCCTCTGCCTGGGATGCCCTCTGGGACCCCAGAGAAGTTGGATGTCCCTTTTCGGCATCACGCTCACTGTGGGGTTCTAGTTGCCTGTGCATCTTCAGTACTAGAAAGTGAGCATCTCCAGGACAGGGAGACTGTTTTATTTTTCTCTGTAATTTGCAGGATTCAAAACCTACTTGCTGCCTTGCATATAATGGGTGCTCGGTCAATGTTCATTTAATGAAACAATGGATGGATGAATGAGATGTGCCAAATACCCAGTGTGGACACTGCCTCTGCAGTGAATTGTACCTAAGGATTTACAGTCCACTCTGTCGCACTCATATAACTCCAGTCAGTTGTCTGGTTTGCTAGAGTTAGACAGAATCAGACAATCAGACAGAAATTTAAGGTATGAAGAGACTGGGAAGTGGCTATGGGTCAAAATCTAGTTTCTACTTTTGAAACGTTTATATTATGGTTTCTCATTATGTTTTGGCTTCTCAGACCCCACCTCAAATGATAGAGGCAGGGACATGAAATGGGCACCGATTTGAGAGTTGGATTCTAAGTCTGGTGCCAGCCAGTGGTAAATTGCTTTGGACCTTTCATTTCACCCCCACCGGATTTGTTGCCTCATTAATAAGTGAAGAAGTTGTAATAGGCAATCCTGTAGGTCTCCCCCACTACCCACCCCACCACCTGCCAATAGGTTTTTTTAAGCACAAACAATTCTCATATACATTGGTGCAGAGGCCCCTTTGGAAATTAAGGTTTTATTTAAAAAGGACTTTGAAGGTTAATAAGCAATTTTCTTGACATTTTTTATAGGCAAGTTACACTAAGTTATATGCTTCTCTTATTTCCCTAGATATTTTTAAAAACATGATTTATCATATATTTAGTGTTTCCTAAGAAGGAAACTGTTGAATGGAATCTGCTTTGGAAAGATGTACGTATGTCATATGCCAGGAAAAGTGGATTTTGATTAAGAAATTTGGCATTTGCAATAAATCCAACTTTGTTCTGAGTGATTAAGTTCTTTAGAAAACCTATTGACTTTTCAAAGTGCGTGGATTAGAAATACTGACAATTTTCAAACCACTAGCCTTGCATTTTAATGTCCCGGTGTCGCAGGAGTGAACAGTAAACCTCTGTTGCCACACACTGGGCCACTCAGCACACATGAAGTGTGTCAACCTGATTGGCGTGGCGAGACCACAGCTCCCCTTGTTCCCTCCCTCACTCTCTCACCCCAGGGCTAGCAATGGACCATTATCTCCAATTTTGACATCTGAAGAGAAAATCTGGATGCCAGGAAGGAAGTTTTTCCAAATTGGTATAAAAAACGCCAAATCCTCTTATTACAACAGGATACAGTAAATATAACAAAGGAGGAAGTTCATGAGATTGAAAAGGTTTAAAAGTGTAAATGAAAAATACTTCTGAGAAAAACAAGATAGCCCTAACACAGTGCAGTTGCTTGTGTTTATTGGGAAAACACTCACTGCTGGAAAGATGAGAATAAGAGAGGGAGGCTGACCCATGTGTTACCAGAAAGATTGCACATCATTGTCTGCCACAGGACTTGGAAATCTGACCTATGTAACTGGAAGCCAATAGCATTTTCTTTCACAATATTATTTCTCTTAGAAGTAAAATATTATTCTTCTGGAGGAGAGTTTTAATGAGTGAATACAGTTGCACAAGAAAGGTGGAAACAGTTTGTCTTTTACATTAGCCAGAGATTAGGGAAAATGAGTCATAAAGAGCTTTAATAACTTAACTTAGCTTGGGGCTGGAAGAGATTTCAAAATGGTGGGCTGATGTCATCACTCAGGATTCATGATCCTGGACTGATCACTTGAATACATTGCACGGCTGGACTATATGTGGGCTAACATCTTCTTAGTTGTACCTGAGGATGAGAGCGTTTGCGTTGAGAGCAATTCTTTTTTTTTTTTTTTAGGATGGAGTCTCACTCTGTCGCCCAGGCTGGAGTACAGTGGCATGATCTTGGCTCACTGCAACCTCCTCCTCCCAGGCTCAAGTGATCCTCCCACCTCAGTTTACCAAGTAGCTGGGACCCACCTCAGCTTCCCAAGTAGCTGGGACCACAGGTGGATGCTACCATGCCTGGCTAATTTTTTTGTATTTTTTGGTAGAGACAGGATTTCACCATGTTGCCAGGCTGGTCTTGAACACATGAGCTCAGGTGATCCACCTGCCTTGGCCTCTCAAAGTGTTGGGATTACAGGTGTGAGCCACCATGCCTGGACTCAAGAACAATTCTGATGCAAACCATAAGTTCTTCACAGATTTTTGTTAAGAGTATTGTGATTTAGTGGTAGCAAGAGTGTTATGATGGTATAAAATGTAATTTTAGCCAATCAAATTCTCAATTTGAAGTTATATGGCTATGTTTTATTTTTGTTAAAACCACCGAGAATTTATAACTATCAAGAGATTTATATGTAGTCCTCATATAACCCTCACACTAGCAACTTGATTAGGTAGGTCTATTATTGCTGCTATTTTATAGAAGAGGAAATTGAAGCCTAGAACAATTAAATAGCTTGCCCAAGGTTGCACAGTAAATGAGTAGCAAAGCTGGAAGTTAAACCCAGGTCTGTCTGCACCTGAGCTCAAGTTCTAGGTTTCGAACCTCTTTTAGCTTGAATACAAACTTGCATCAAAAGATCTGTATAAGGGTAGTTATTCCTCAAAAGAATATAGGTTTTTGTGATGCTGGGTTTTCATGTAACCCAAGCTCTTAACTCCATCCTTTTGCTTGCCTCTCAGAGCTGGGCCCTCCATGACTCCTTTTCTTGAGCTCTTTCCGTCTGTCCTCCTTACTTGTTTCCTCTACTCATCACCTACATGCATAGGCTTTCTTTATTTAGAGTAACTCTTTACATGACTCTTTTATACCTTTCCAATCATTAGCCTATTTCTCTCTTATGTGATTTGGCTGTGTCCCCACCCAAATCTCACCTTGAATTGCAGCTCCCATAATTCCCACATGTAGTGGAAGGGATCTGGTGGGAGATAATTGGATCATGGGGGCAATTTCCCCCATACTGTTCTAGTGGTTGTGAAAAAGTCTCATGAGATCTGATGGTTTTATAAGGGGAAACCCCTTTCACTTGGTTCTTATCCTCTCTCTTGCCTGCCACCATGTAAGACATGTCTTTCGCCATCTGCCATGATTGTGAGTCCTCCCCAGCCACATGCAACTGTGAGTCCATTAAACCTCTTTTTCTTTATAAATTACCCAGTCTCAGGTGTGTCTTTATCAGCAGCATGAAAATGGACTAATACATCTCCTTTTCACAAAAAATAGTCTCTTTGGTGCAACTTCATGGCCCTCACTGCCTACCCTCCCACCATGCTGAAATTATGCTCTCCTAGGGTTCTCAGAATCTACAACCACCAAACCCAAGGCCTTTCCCTGGGGGTCTTTCACCTTGACCTTTCTGCAGCATTTGGTCCTGCAGGCCATCTACCTCCTGGAGCACTGCACGTGCACAGTAGGCACACAAAAATTTATTCAATGATTAATTAACTAAAATATCCAAACATTTTCTGGATTCTTCAATAGAATGTATTTATTTAAGATTCCAGAATTTTTTTACATGTAAGCATCCTCATACATTTTAAAAGAATTCATTAGAAAATGATTTCAGTTAAGGAAATGCTCAACATTGCAACAATAATCCTCTTTTACAGAGTAAAGAATAAATTCAATTGTTTTAAAAAGATTTATATATTTGTGATAGATATTTTTAAAACTTGTAGGCACATTGTACATACAGATTAACTTGAAAGGGATCATTGACCTAAATGTAAGAGCAAAAGCTGTGAAACTCTTGGGAAAAAACATAAGAGTAAATCTTTGTGACCTTGGATTAGGCAACGGTTTCTCAGCTATGACACGAAAAGCACAAACAGAAGAAAAAATAAATTGGTTTTCATCACAATTAAATATTTTTGAGCCTCCAAGGACACTATCAATAAAATAAAAAGACAAACCATGGAATGTGAGAACATATTTGCAAATCAATATCAGATGAGGGACTTATGTTCACAATATATACAGAACTCTTGTAACTCAACAATAAAAAGACAAGCCAGTTAAAAAATAAGCAAAGGATTTGAATAGATATTAATCCAAAGAAAGTGCACAAAGGGTCAATAAGCACATGAAAAGATGTTCAACATCATTAATAATTTGGGAAATGTAGATTAAAACCTAAATGAGGCTAGGTGTGGTGGCTCACACCTGTAATCCCAGCACTTTGGGAGGCCAAAGCAGAAGGATTGCTTGGGCCCAGGAATTTGACACCAAACTGGGCAACATAGTGACACCCTGTCTCTACAAAATAAAAAAATAAAAAATAAAAATAGCTGGGTGTGATGGCATGCACTTGTGGTCCCAGAAACTTGGGAGGCTGAGGCTGGAGGATTGCTTGAGCATGAGAGGTTGAGGCTGTAGTAAGCCACGACTGCATCACTGCACTCCAGCCTAGGTAACAGAGCAAGGTCCTGTCTCAAAATGTTAGTTACCATATGACCCAGCAATTCCACCCCGTGTGTGTGTGTGTGTGTGTGTGTGTGTGTGTGTGTGTATCCAAGAAAACTGAAAATACATGTCTACACATGTGTACACAAGATGTGTACACAAACATTCATAGCAACATTCTTCACAATAGGCAAGAAATGGAAATAGCCCAAATTTCCACCAACTGGTGAATGAATAAATAAAATGTTGAATATTCATGTAACAGAATGTTATTCACCAATAAAAAGGAATGAATATTGACATATGTTGCGACATGGATGAACCTGGAGACTATTATGCTAAGTGAAAGAAGTCTGACACAAAAGGCCACATGTCACATGATTCCATTTAAAAGAAATGTCCAGAATAGGAAAATCTATGCAGATAGAAAATATGTTCGTTTTCAAGGACTGAGCAGAGGTGGGGTGGGAATAGAAAAAGATCACAAATTGGTCCAGAGTTTCTTTTTGGGGTCATAAAAATGTTCTGAAATTTAATGGTGGTGATGGTTGCATAACCCTCATATAATAAATATACTACAAAACAATGAATTGTACACTTTAAAAGGGTAAATTTTAGGTATGTGAATTATAACTCAATAAAGCTCTTTTAAAAAGTAGAAATTAGCTCTCTGCAACCTAGTGTTCATTTCCTCATTTGTTCATTTACCAAGTCTTTGTTGAGCATGCATTGAGCAAGGGACTATGCTAGTGTTAGGCATAACAGCATTTTGAAAAGATCACCTGGCTTCAGTGTAGAGAACAGCTTAGCAGGGCATCAGAAGCCTTATGAATGCTGACAAAATTGGGAGCTAGCCAATACAGAAAGTTACATCTCTTCTCATTCAAAAGTTATTTCTTTACGTTGCTCTTTTTGCCATAAATAGGCAAACCAAAAAAAAGAAGGAAATGAGCTCTTCTTCAGCTCTTTTGTGATCCAAGGAAAGCTCCAGGGTTTCTTAAGGGTTTCAGAAAAGAGCTTATAATCATAAAAACCAAATTCTTGAGTATTAAGTTTACTTTTGAAATCTAATAAAAACCACACCATGCACCCATCTGTGCCAACAGTCTGAAATGGAAATTGAAGCTAGAAGCATTGCTGTTTAGCCTGGGAAGCCTGGGAAGACTGAACCTTTACTCATCATACACCTTTGACAAAATGTATTATAAAGATTGGCCGGGGATCCCAGTTTGGTTTGGTTGGACAGGAGTGGGGTGTGGGAGCACTGCACGCTTCTGCAGGAGTTCCTCTTGTCCTCTGCAGCTTCCTTTGCCCCAGGTACACTTACTGGGTTTTCACAGAACATTTCAAGCTTTGTAGCCAGCCTTGGTCTCACAGGATAATGGTGGTTTCAGGGAGAAGGAAAGCGTAGCTGGCTTAATGAGTCTTCCCTAGATTGTATGATGGGAACAGAGTTTAGAGTTTTTGATGACCTTGGAGGTTCCCTGTTCACTTAATCTCTTTTCACGGCCTTTGAAGGTACAGGGTGGTCCTCAGTATGTGTTTATCTTCCTTCCCAATGTAAACTACTCATTAACATTTGTAAGAAAAGCGCAGTCAAGTGTTGGTAAACTGATTCTAACAGGGTTGAGCAATCTTGAAAGTTTAATTCCCTTCCAAATAACTTGGGTTGACTCTCACATTATTTCAATGAGAATTCCTACTAATGGTGAGCTCTTATGTTGAAAGTAACTCAACCACAGATCAACAAAACAAGATTTTCTGCTCTGAATTGATGCCCCCTAACTCTAATAAAGTGAATCCTGTCAAATGAAAGAAAAGAAAATTCAAATTAGAAAAATAATTTTTAAATAAATGCACAGAGGTGAGTAATTTTTCTCCTTTGCATGTGCTTAGAGATAGGCCAGTCTTGAGTCAGCACACCTCTGAGGATGGATGCCATATCTGTTCAGATTTAACTAACACAGCACATTGAATCAGCACCTGCTAACCCTCTATTGACTTTACTGCTCCTAAAAGACGGTCTAGAAGTGCTTGAGTTAGAGCAGAAACCCTCCTCATTAGCCAGTTCTCCTTCTGCATGCCCCTTTGGGAGATTTGAAGATGAGGGTTTCAATGGGATGAATGTTAAGCTCTGGGTCAAGTGGGCCCTGGATTTACATCATTCTGACTTCACAAGTCTCTGAGGAAAAAAGTGCATTTAGGAAAGAACCAAAGGAGGAAATCATGGATATCGGTTTACAACACTCCAACTTGAAGGCATTTTTCTTTAGTGCCTCTTCAAATTTTCAAGTGGGAGTGAAAATTAAATCCACTAAACACCAAATCATCTGGAGAATTTCTACTGGGCAGAGTTTTGCAGCAGACATTTGGTTGGAAGGGTAGAGGCAGGTAAGACTCTTCTTGAAAATAATCATCAGGAGAAACAGACAACCCACAGAATAGGAGAAAATATATGCAAACTATGCATCCAACAAAGTATTAGTATTCAGAATCTACAAGGAACTTAAACATATTAGCAATACAAAACAATCCCATCAAAAAGTAGGCAAATGGCATGAATAGACATTTCTCAAAAAAAGTTATACAAATAGCCAAGAAACATGGAAAAATGTTCAACATCACTAATCATCAGAGAAATGCAAATTAAAACCATGATGAGACACCATATTACTCCTGCAAGAATGACCATTATTAAGAGGTCAAAAAAACAGTAGAAGCATTGTGGATGTGACAAAAGGGGAATGCTGGCTGGAATGTAAAGCACAACCTCTATAGAAAACAGTATGGTGATTCCTTAAATAACAAAAAGTAGATCTACCATTTGACGCAGCAGTCCCACTGTTGGGTACCTACCCAAAGGAAAAGAAGTCATTATGTGAAAAAGACACATGCACTTGTATGTTTACAGCAGCACAATTCACAATTGCAGAGATATGGAACCAACCTAAGTGCCCATTGACCAATGAGTGGATTTAAAAACCGTGGTACAAGTATACCCTGAAATACTACTCAGCCATAAAAAGAAATGAAATAATGTCTTTTACAATGACTTGGACGAAGCAGGAGGCCATTTTTCTAAGTAAAGTAACTCAGGAATGGAAAACCAGATACTGCATGTTCTCACTTATAAGTTGGAGCTAAGCTATGGATACACAAGGGCATACAGAGCGAGATAATGGACTATGGAGGCTCAGAAGGGAAAGGGTGAGAGGTGGATATGAGATTCAAAACTACACATTAGGTACAATATACACTACCTGGGTGATGGGTGCACTAAAATATCAGAATTTATCACTACATAATTAATCCATGTAACCATAAACCACTTGTACCCCCAAAGCTATTGAAATAAATGTGAAAAACAGACCACAAACAAAAAGTCTCTTCTTGAGACACTGTCCACGGCAAATATACAGGTTTAGAATGTTTGTCTGGATTGATTAGGGGGCTACCGAAATAGAGGGGTGGCTAAAGGTCCCTCCTCCCTGTCTCCAGCCACCCCTGGGTGCATCCAGGAACTGGAAACTGTCCCCAGCAGAAACCAGAATAATGGCTGCAAGGCCCCAACCACCAAGAAACAGACCAGGTTTAGGCTGACTCTGGCAAAGAGGCAGACTTGCAGTGCTAAGAGCTCACCCTGGATCTTTCTGTCCTTGCTTTGGCCCATTCTTTTCAAAATGTCCCAGGCCCTGCCAAAGCTTGGGTTCATCCCAGGACCTGGAGAGAAAGTATGTTGTAAAAGATGCAGTCTGCCTTCCAAATGGCTTGTCTGCACCACAAACTGCAGCCCTGCCCAAAGCTGCTCGAAACCAGTGGCAAAGCCATTTGGCCATGGATGAAGCAACAGAGTTGAATGGGAGGTAAGGGACAGGCTCAGACCTGGAGGATGGGAAAAAAGACACTCCTGCTCTGTGTTTGTTCAATTTTTAGGGTAATCAGAGGTGGTAGGGTGGATGGACTGCAGCTCTTCCCAGCTGATGTCACCTGGAAAATGTGGAGGCCAACACCCCTGACTTGGATAGAGCCCTTCTGTTTGGTTTTATTTTTAAAAAATATTGCAGGTACGCCTTGGTTTGATTTTTAAAATGAGTGATGCTGCTTTATCCTCTATATGTATGCACAATAAAGACAACAATACATCAATTCTTCTCATTCCTCCAAAACACTGTTCCATTGAAAAGCCAAAATCTCCACCTTGTACCTATACTAATATTTTCTACTAAGTTTTACTGGTCCAGCAAAAAAGAAGACACTTAATCATGTTGAAAACATGAGTATTTTCCCATGAAAATAGTTTCTTCATTAAAAAAAGGTGGGGGGGGCATGCGGGTGGGAATAACAACCATGTAAGTTTTCCCTTTACCCTGTGCTAGAGAGTATTCCAGGAGCTCCTGCTTAAAACAGGGACTTTCAAATTAACAGCAAGTCATTAAAATGTTTTGTTACTCAGAATTGGGTATTTATACAGTCGAGCCTATTATTTGTGGATTTCATAGTTATGAATTTAGCTACTTGCTAAAATTTTTTTGTAACCCCCAGATCAGGATTCACGGTGTTTTCACAGTCATTTGTGGACATACTCAGAGCAGCAAAAATTGGAGTGAAAGGACACACACATTACCAGCAGAGTTCAGACAAGGTGACCTTCTTGTTTCAGCCCTCATACTGGATGTAAGTGTCCTTTTTGCTGTCTACTAGTGCCACTTTTTTCTTATTTTTGTGCTTTTTCTTGGTGATTTTGCTGTTTAAAATGGCCCCAAGCATGGTGCTGAAGTGCCGCCTGGTGTTCCTAAGTGCAAGAAGGCTGTGATGTAGCTTCCAGAGAAAATACATGCATTACAGAAACTTCCTTCAGGCACGCATCACAGTGCTATTGGCTATGAGTTTGATGTTAGTGAACCAACAACATATATTAGATGCGGTGTATTTAAATAGGAACACATATAAAACAGCTTATGTATTGATTGGCTGATAAAAATGTTGTCACCAGAGGATCATAGGAAGCTAACGTGGTAGTTCCTCTAGGAGCAATGATTCAGAATTTGCTAATTCAGTGTTTGCAGTGATTTTAAAGAACTAAGTTACCTCAAATATCAAGAAACAATTGCATCAGCTTTTAGAATTTGGGAAGGGGAACTAGGATAGGGCATGGGAACCATCCACCAGGGTGGATCAGGGCTTACCTGGTTGCAGAGGTCAACCTGGGCAAGCCGGTCAGGTAAACCAACAGGGGAAATGAGCCAGAACCTTGCAGTAAGTGCTCCTGGGCCAAAAGTACAGTTCTATGGACCGCTGGGTCAATATAGAGAAGTGTGTGTGAGGGATAGAGGAGGAGGAAGTCGCCCATGGAGTTAAGGGATGCAGCTACTTGGAGACAGTTTTAGTACCCAGGGGGAGACAGTTTGTCTTCCCCACTACCTGGTGAGAGTGAAGGATCGGGAGTGGGGTGGGATAATGCAGGAGCCTGGACTCTTTGGACTGAGTAAATTAATTCTGGGCTTAATTTCAGGTACAACGAAACACCCTTTTCCACCCACTATTTCTGGCAGAAGAAGGGAACTTCCCTGTGGGCCTTCAGCAGAAAGAGACCTGCTAAAGAAGACCTGAAGAAACAAATGATTCCTGAAAATCTAGTTCCACTTTACATTTGATAGGAAATGTGACCAAGTTGGCTGTTCCTTGCCTATTATCCATAGAGGCCTCTTTTCCTCTTCCTAGGACACTGATCCCAATATAATTCCAAATCTCCCTAACTTGATATGCCTCCCCATGGCATAGTTTAAAAAATCCTCAAGCCAGTGGTTTTTCATGTTGGCTACACATTACAAGTATCCGAGAGACTTAAGAAGTCCCTGATGTCAGACCACAACTTAAGACCATCGATCAGAATTTCCAGGGTATGAGACCCAAGCATGGATATATTTTTTTAATGCCCTAGGTGATTCTAATATGTAGGCCCAAAGTGACTGAGGAAGGCTTGTTTCAGTGATTCTCAAACCTGGCTGCAAACAGTCACCCCAGGGACATGAAAGAAATCCCAAGCTAATCAATTCAGAGTCTCTTTGGAGGTGGAGCCTGAGCCTTTTTTTTTTTAAGTCCTTGAGAATCCTTGACTCGGTGTAATTCTATAGTTGTTAGATGTTTGAAAATTTTAAGTAAAATCTGCTGAAGAAAAGCAAAGAAAGGAGAGTGGAGAAAGAGTTGGGGATTAATGTATGAATGTGGAGAAGGAGCGGCCAAAGCTCCTGGGTCCGCTGGTTCTTCTAATCCATTGAATCTTGACCTGGAGTGGAGGGAGGTGGGTCATTGAAGGGAGCAGAATGGTACCAAGGGCAGACCTAGGGCTGCATTATGAGGAGACCTCCCCCAGCATGAGGTCCACTGCCTGAGGCTGGCCGCTGCGGTGGCCAGGTCTTTGGAACTGACATCAGCACTTAGAGTGGGGTTTTCAGGGACCACCAGGACAGTGGTACTTTCTCTTCTGGGCTCCCATCCTCCCTTTTCTCTCACAGTGGGAAGCTGACAGCAGAATGTGCAGTGGCTGCTGTTGCCTTGCCCAGACTCCCATCTCCTAGCTTCTGAGAGTGTGGCTGCTGATGGCTTATGGCTGCCTCCCTTCTCAGACACCTGCCTTCTGCTAAATAGCTGCTCCCTTGAGATGTTACCCCCTACACTCTTGCTTCAGCCAAGAGGGTCAGTCAGACAATGATCGACTGACTAGGGTACAAAAGTCCAGCTCCTTTGCCTCATGGCAGGATGAATTCTGGGGTGCAATTCATGTTCCCTGTCGGATCAGGCTAAAGCTAGGTAGTTGAGGCTGTATCTTTGCTTGGAATTTTCCCTGCTCTATCTTGCTGCCCTCCTGCTAAGAACACTTCCCTGGTTTGAAAAAACACTGGCTTGAGGATTTTTAAACTATGCCATGGGGAACCATATCAGGTTAGGGAGATTTGGAATTATATTGGGATCTGTATCCTAGGAAGAGGAAAAGAGGCCTCTATGGACAACAGACAAGGAACAGCAACTTGGTCACATTTCCTATCAAATGTAAAGTGGAACTAGATTTTCAGGAATCATTTGTTTCTCCAGGTCTTCTTTAGTAGGTTTCTTTCTTACTCCCCTCCTCCTGATTACACTTCCTCAAGATATATCCTATGTACAAGAATCCTTTTGTAGGTTCTACTTCTAGACAACCTGTCCTAAGACAAGACATCATTAGTGTGTGAGTGGTGGGGAGTTCGGGGTGGAAAGAACATAAACTTTGGGATCGGAAATGTCTGGGTTCAGCCCCAACATCATCACTTTTTAGCTGCTTAAATCCATCAAGTTATATGGACTCTATGATCCTCTATTGCCCTCTCTATATAATGCAGGATGGCCACACATCCCTTGCAAGGATATTGTGATGATCACATTAAATTTGATGAGAAAATGGATGTGAAAACCTATGGCACATAACAGGGATTCAGTAATGGCAGCTTCCCTTGCCTGCTGGAACTTGGCTACCACCCCCATCCACGCATGGTTCTGCACTATCCTCTTTGGTCCCCCATGCACAATAACTTTCTTAGTCTCTATTCTCTTTCTCTTCTCCTTTTTATATCTTCCTCATATTATTGCTTCTTCCCAGGATTTCTTCATCTCATTTTTTACAGTGTTTTTCACTTCTTCTGGCCATGATAAACTAAGAAAAATGCATGACAATACTCAGAAATACTGATCCTTGTTCCGTGGGCTATGGCCAGGGAAGCTGCCATGAGTTTATCAGTTTTTGCCAGCTAGGCAGAGTTAGGTTGGGTTCATTTTTGTAAACAAGACTCAGGGGGCTGGTTTGTGGCTTTTCCTGAACTAGTGTTTAGCCAGGGAAGGCTATGCTATTTTCCTCACGAGATGAAAATAAAGGCCATTAAAAATGGATTAGGCTAGTGTTTGACATGAGCGCCCTCATCCATCTTCCTCCTCTGGGCCAAGTGGTGGCCCAGAAGAGAGCTGATTGCCACAGTCAGGCACTAAGATGAGAGTTTACAGCCTCAGCCACAAACCAGCTGTGGGACTTTGGGGAGATTGCATAACCTTCTTAGGGCCGTGTTTCTGCATCACCAGAAAAGCCCGACAGTGAAATGTGTGCCAGCTACTTCACAAAGGGTCTCCTAGAGTTCCTAAAATATGATCTGGAAAGCACCCACACCCAGTGCAGAAGCTGATGGAAAACAATGCATTTTGTTACTAATATTCTTGTTAATAACACTCTGAAACCATTGCAAATCAGCTCAATAGGGCAGGAAGTATGCGATAAATCATGTACTCCATAATAATGCTCTACAATGAAGAAGACAGGAAATCTCAAAGTCACACATTAGCCTTGTGCACCCAATACCACCTGCTCAATTGGATTTTTATTGTAATTATGATTTTCACAAGCCCAGTGGAATGGGCTGAGATAATTAACATGTTTTTATCTGTCCAGCTTGGCTTTTTTTTTTTTTGAGATGGAGTCTCTGTCACCCAGGCTGGAGTACAGTGGCAGGATCTCAGCTCATTGCACCCTCCACCTCCTAGGTTCAAGCAATTCTCCTGCCTCAGTCTCCCGAGTAGCTGGGACTACAGGTGCACGCTGCCAGACCTGGCTAACTTTTTGTATTTTAGTAGAGACGGGGTTTCACCATGTTGGCCAGGCTGGTCTCGAACTCCTGAGCTCAGGCAATCTGCCCACCTCAGCCTCCCAAAGTGCTGGGATTACAGGTGTGAGCCACCGCCCCCAGGCTCAGCTCGGTTTTCTATTCTTCTTCTTGCATGAGTACTCCCTTTCCTCTGGGAGTACCATCTCTACTGGTGGAGCTACAATCACAGTGGGGAATTGGCCAACCTACTTACTACCTCTCATGCAGGAAGGGTGGGCACATGACCCAGCCTCACAGTTGAATGTAGTCCATTTCTCTCTGATCACAGGGACTGCTCCGAGGGGTGGCGGTTTACTAAGTCAATCAGGAGTCTTCCCTGGCATGTTTGTCCTGGGAAGTAGCCCTCTCTGTTTTTTTTTCTTTTTTAATTTTTTATTATTATTATTTTTTTAAGAGAGACAGGGTCTCACTCTGTCACCCAGGCTGGAGTGCAATCATGGGATCGTAGCTCACTGCATGGGCTTAATTGATCCTCCTGCCTCAGCTTCCCATGTTGCTGGGACTACAGGTGCACACTACCATATACAGCTAATTTTTAGATTTATTTTTTGTACGCAAGAAGTCTCACTATGTTGCCCAGGCTGGTCTCAAACTTCTGGGCTCAAGCAATCCTCCTGCCTCAGTCTTCCAAAGTGCTGGAATAGCACGCATGAGCCATGGTGCCCAGCCCCTCTCTGCCTTTTTGAAAACAAGCAGTTCAGATAAGCCCCCGCTCCCACACCTCTTATCTTTCTTGTCACATGGGGTGAGGATGGGCAGAATGATACCATTAGACTCCAAAGCTGAATAGTGCAGAGGCCAGATGTGGAGAGAGAAGGAAAGCACTGACGTTGTTTGAACTAGATCCCCCCTTCCGGATGTGCCTGTTTTGTGAGCCAACAAAATTCCTCTTCCTTTAATTAATTTGAATTAGGGTTGTCTCACGTAACTCACTACAAAGTTTAAAAGAATCACATTTTGAAAATATAAATTTTCATTTAGATTGATGTTCTTTTTCCTCAAGTATTTTATACTAATGAATATTTATAATTAGAATAGAATGAGTCCATTTGGTATTAATATATTGCAATTATTTTAATATTATTATAAAGAAAAATAGGACTAATCTGTTATTAGCTCTGTTTTATGCTTTAATGTAAAAAATGTCTATTGGGAAGTAAGGGTATGATTTGATCAATTAAATCAGTTTAATGATTCTATGCAACTCATGAAAAACAAGCCATTTTATATACAAAACAGGAAGAAACAACCAAGAGATTGAAAAGGACAAAATATTAGCCTATAATCTCGGCACTCCCAGGTTTTAACCTAGTGCTTTTAATATCAGAGAGACTGTGCCCAGTAATTCAAGTTTATGTTTTCTCACATCTGTTTTACAAATGAATACAAATATATGAGAGTACTTCTTGTCCTAACTGCAGCTGGGAAGGTATTTCAAGCTGTAAATATTTACTAAGTGTGCATAAAATAGCAGTGTGGGCTGATACGGCCAGTGATGGGGAATTAGAAGCATTAGGCTCCACTTCTGGCCCCTTTGCTAATTCCTGTGTGACCTTGGGCAGGTCAGTTAAAATCTCTGTGTTGCAGTGCTACATTTACATGAAGGAGATGCTGAACTTTATTGGTCGGCACTCCAAAAATAATAACTACTGAGGACAATGCCTGCAATTCAGAGTGGAAATCAAAGAGGGATCTCAGAGACTGCACATCTATTACTCCTTTTTTTTTTTTTTTTTTTTTTTTCCTTTTCAGGGGAGAAGGAGTGGTGGTGAAAGAGGGATGGATGCATGCTTGCCTCGGTCGAGCAAAAACAAAACTTCATTGTCTTGAAAAAATTAGCATGCACCTCCTTCCACACATCACTGTGGTAAGAAGAACACAATGAGGATAAAGTGGCCAGGGTTGAAAAGCCCTTCAGAGAAGATCACAGGAGAAATGCTGGCAGAGGAACTGTGAGGCATCTTTGGGACTCTGGTGAGACATTCTTGTCCCTCAGAGTAGAAAAAGGAGGGCTCTGAGGCAGAAGGGCTTGAGTGACCTTAAGCAAATCATTTCACCTTCAAGTATCAGGTCCTTGAACCATAAAATGGAGATGATAATGCCCATATTGTGGTGTGTCAAAACAGTTATACAAAATGACCAGCACATAGAAGCAGCCTGATAGACCCTGGGTTTCTACCCACTTCCATTTATTCACTTACTTTGATAGTAATTTGGCAATAGGACAGCAGATAAAGCAGCCTCCACATTTTCCTATCAGGGAGCAAACCCTCAGCTCCCTTTTCATCTTACACACCCAATTAGCTGATTCCATCCTATGTCCATATTTAGACTCCAGTGAAATTTCTTGGATTCATATTCTCCCTTTACATCAAAAAGCAAACAAATGTGAACAAGGATACAGGGTCATGTTCTGTAGTTTAAAACATCTGTTTGGAGTGAAGGTGTTATACACTTATCTTGTATGCAGACCGCAGGTTCCCTCCCTCCCTCCCCAAGAAAGCAAAAATGGCAACTGAGATGATGATTTGGATGACACAGATGGAAGAATCTTGGGTTATATTAATAGTTTAGGACTGAATTACCGCCTCAATTGTTTCACTCTCCTGTTACTGCTAAGAGCATACAGCATAGACAGAAGCAGTTTGATGAGAGGAAACCCAATTTGCACTGGCAAAAAAAATCTCATAAGTATAAGAGGATCCCAATAATTGGACCAAAACACAACATCATGATTGCAGCATCATGGTCAAGAAAGGACTGCCTTGGCCCCTAAGAAACTTGTGTTTTACTTTCTTCACAGCTGTAGTTCTCAAACTCTTGGGGATCTCTTTCCAATGACACAAGATTTTATGACCCACTAAATGAATCTCTTTGTACCAACCACTGCTTGAAAAAAATCTAATTAGAATCATAGGGGTCCATGGTGCAGCTCTTATGATGTTCCTTAGTAATGTCAAAAGTAAAAGATTCACTGATTCTAGGAGTAAGAAAATACAGTCATGATAATAATTCCTTAATTCCAAATGCTTTGCACTACACCTGTCATTTCACATGTTATTTACTTTTTCACAACTCTGTGAAGTTGTAGCATTGCTCAATCCCCACGACACTGTAAGGTAGGCTTGTTTCATTACTACAGAATTTCATCACTTCTAAGATGCCAAAGGGTAGAATGTGCAACCTTATTTTTTGTGCCCACCCAGAAAGAAAACAGAATACTGCCAATTAATCCACAACACACCATCAATTACATAAACCAAAACACAGCCAGTTTCTGAGATATTAAAATGTAAAAGAAGGAGTGTCTTAGAATTAATGAAATATGGACTTTCCCTTTTGCAGATGAGGAAATTTCTGCTGTGTTAAAGACTAGGCTGCTGACGGAGATTAGACCACCACTCAAAGTCGCACCTTCTAACTTCAACCCAATGGACTCCACCCAACCAGACCTAGTGATTTTGAAGTTGATCTTGGAAGCAAGAGAGAAGGCTCCCACTGTGTATTCTTGAAACTACCACTTTAGAAGAAATGATTTATCACTGATAGATGGCAGCCACGATGGTGGCATTTTAACAAGAAACAACAAACTAGTTTCAGAGGGAAATATGAATGACCACTTGCTTCCTGTCATCATGATATACTGCATTAATACAATATAGGTACAGATCTTGTCATTGGGCATATTTTGTGTCTAATTAATATGTTTACATATATATAACTTTTGATTATTTCTCTGACTTGGCTTCTCTGCTGGGTTTGCAGTCATGAGAGATGAATGGCTGGTAAGTTGACAGCAGAAGAAATAGACCTTTCGATACTTTAATAATGCAGAACAGTCAATTCTAGTTAGCAAGACTGTACAATATAGGTATAGTCAATTGGTCAACCCTTATTATTTGCAGATTCCATAGTTGTGAATTTGCCTCCTTGATAAAATTGAATTGTAACCCCAAACTCAATGCTCATGGTGCTTTTGTGGTTATTTGTGGGCATGCTCAAAGCAGCGAAACTTTAAGTCATGGGATGCACGTGTTCCCAGCTGAGGTCCAACAGTGACGCTCTGGCTTCTTGTGTCAGCTTTCATACTATCAGCAAGTGTTCTCTTTGCAGACTACTTAGTGCCCCGTTTTTCCTCATTTTTGTGCTCTTCATTGGTGATTTTGCTGTAAAAATGGCCCCGAAGCATAATGCTGAAGTGCTGCCAAATGTTCCTAAGCTCCAGAAAACTGTGATGTACCTTACAGAGGAAGTATCTATGTTAGAGAAGCATCATTCAGGCATGAGTTATAGCGCTGTTGGCCATGAGCTCAAAATTGGTGTATTAAATAAGGTGCCCCAGTCAGAATGGCTATTACTAAAAAGCCAAAAACAACAGATGTTAGCAAAGTTGCAGAGAAAAGGGGACACTTATACACTATTGGTGGGAAGGCAAATTAGTTCAGCCACTGTGGAAAGCAGTTTGGAGATTTCTCAGAGAACTTGAAACAGAACTAACATTTGACCCAGCAATTCCATTACAGATATATATCCAAAAGAAAACAAACTGTTCTACCAAAAAGACACATACTTGCATGTTCACTGCTGCACTATTCACAATAACAAAGACATGGAACCAACCTAGGTGCCAATCAATGGTGATTGGATAAAGAAAATATGGTACATATACACCATGAAGTACTATGCATCCATGAAAAAGAACAAAATCATGTCCTTTGCAGCAACATGCATGCAGCTGGAGGCCATTCTTCTCATTGAATTATCACAGGAACAGAAAACCAAATACTGCATGTTCTCACTTGTAAGTGGGAGCTAAACATTGGGTGCTCATGGACATAAAGATGGCAACAATAGGCACTGGGTACTACTACAGCAGGGAGGAGTGAGTGGGGGTAAGGATTGAAAAACTATTGGGTGCTATGCTCAGTACCTGGGTGACAGGATCATTTGTACCCCAAACCTAAAAAAAAATTCTTCCTTATATTTATTTAAAATCTGCTTCCTAATAAATTTTCTTTAATTAAAAATGTTAATATCCCAGAAAAAATAAGGCATCTTGAAACAGAAACGTACATTAAACAAGGTTATTTATTGATTGGCTGATGAAAATGGTGCAAACAAAGGCTCACAGGAACCCAACTTCATTCTTGCTAAGTAGAATGGACTGTTTTGGGGTCCTAAAGTATCAAAAGGGCTGTTTCTTCTGTCGCCCACTTACCAGCTGTTCATATCTCATGACTGCAAACACAGTGGAGAAGCCAAGTCAGAGGCATAATCAAGAGTTATTTAGGTCAGGTGTAGTGGCTCATGCCTGTAATCCCAGCACTTTGGGAGGCCGAGGCGGGTGGATCACTTGACGTCAGGGATTTGAGACCTGCCTGAGCAACATGGTGAAACCCTGTCTCTACTAAAAATAAAAAAAATTAGCCAGGCATGTTGGCGCATGCCTATAATCCCAGCTACTTGGGAGGCTGAGGCACAAAAATTGCTTGAACCCAGAGGCAGAGGTTGCAGTGAGCTGAGACTGCACCACTGAACAGCACTCCAGCCTGGGCAACAGAGTGAGACTCTGTCTCAAAAAAAAATAAAAATAAAAAAGAATTATTTATATACATATACCAAGTAGACAAAAGTATGCCTGATGATCTGGAAGGAAACAGAAAAATAGAATGACAGTGGTGGTGGGAGTATAGGTTTTTAACATTCTTTTGTTCCCATTTCCAATTGTTGGCATTTCTTTGTAGATTTACGTATTAAAAACAAGAACGACTGTCAGGAAGGCGAGGAAGCACTGCCTAACAGAGCATGGCAGTGGTGGAAAAGCAGACCAGGGAGCCCACAAGGAGACAATGATAGAGAAGTCTTTCTTTGGGAGAGCATCCTTAGCTGTGGAACAGGCCGAGATGCTTACAGAGGAAGGATGGACCTCTGTATAAGCTCTGTAGCCTTCTCAGTAAAAAGTAAACAGAAAAAAATGGGGGGAGAGAAGGAATGAAGAAAGTGAGTCTATGGCCTTAGTGCTTCTCTGCTTAGGATAGAGCACTGGCAAGCATATGAAAACACATACATTTCATTGCTAAAAATAAAGAATCAAAAGTGCTTTTGTTTAAGCCTTGATGTGATATTAGCAATAAAGAGCCACCAGTTGCAGGAGAACCACAATACATCCATAACCCCCAAAATATATTAGTTTAGGGGAATTGTTGTCAACAGTAGGAACAATTAAGACTGTGTTGTTATAGAAATACTGTGCCTAGCTGGTTTGCAAAAGAAAACTGCCTCTGATGACTTAGGTCTGGAGGGCCTTTGAAGGCAGTTTCTTTCCTGTGACCAGTAACTGATTTTTCACAAAATTGTGCATTGACTATTTCTCACAAGAGGTTTTGAAAATGAAGCTGGGTTTCAGGTTCGACTCACATGAGCTACTTTTATTTGGACAGTCTTTGTTTTTCTCAGTCTCGTCGGCAGTCCTTCCGGGGCCTTCCTCAATCCCTGGCCGGGGCTGAGGCCTGGCCGTTGTTTGGGATGAAAAGGTATTGGAAGGCTGGCTGCTAATTGGAGCTTGCACCTGCAGACCCCAGCCTTGGAGGCGACTCGGCACAGGCTACTGCTCTATGTGTGTATGCTTGTGTGTGTGCATTTTATTTCCTCAATGAACACTGGAATGTGGCATGGTTTTTTGGCCTGGGTATGCTGGAGGAGATCCAAGCTGCTTGGCCACTTTCTCTGTTCTGGGGAAGGGCGGGGTGGGGGGGCACCTCCTTTACTCTCTAAGAAGGAGGGATTTCTAGCTATGCAAATATATCCAGTGCATTCTGATCTAATCTCTTCTGGCCCCAAGAGGGGACTTACCCAGATAAGAGGCGCTCTTCAGAGAAAGTGAGAGGGTGCCACAGCAGGGCTTTCACCCACCAATAAGCTGATGAATTTTTAATGAGTTTCTCACACTTCACTCTAGTAACATTATCCAGGCAGTGCTGAAGAGGAATGGCTACAACCTCTGTGCTCAGCCAAAGACGAGAGAAATGGACAAAATACCCAGGTGGACCTAACGACCATGCCTCTGTTTCTCCCCACCCCACAATACCCAGGGGTTCAACCTAATGCACATATTTAATTTTGTGCATCTGATCAATTTTGGCATACATATATGCCCATGAAATCATCACTGCAATCAAGGAACAAATTCATTTTCTTTCTCTTTGTAATCTCTCCCTCTCACTCCCCATTCACCAGGTCCCCAGGCAAGTATTGATCTGCTTTCTATAACTAGACTGCTTGCACATTCCAGAACTCCATATAAATGAAATCAAACATTGTGTATTCTTTTTGGTGTCTGGCTTACTTCACTTGGTATGATAATTTCAGGATTTATTCATATTGTAGGTATCAACAGTTCATTCCTTTTTTTCTGCTTAGTATTGCATTGTGTGGACACAGCACAGTCTGTTTATTCATTCACCTGTTGATGGGCATTTGGGTTGTTTCCAGTCTGAGGCTATTACCAAGAAACCTGCCATGAAACCAAGACAGGAGGATTGCTTGAGGCCAGGAGTTAGAGACCAGTCTGGGCAACATAGTGGAGAACTCATCTCTACAAAAAATAAAAACATCAGCCAGGTTTGGTGGTACACGCCTGTGATCCCAGCTACTTGGGAGGCTAAGATGGGAGGATTGCTTGAGCTCAAAAGGTTGAGGCTGCAGTGAGCCATGATCACATTACTGCACTCCAGCCTGGGCAATGCAGAGCAAAATCCTATCTTAAAAAAAAAAAAAAAAAAAAAAGGTCAAAGCAGGCCCAGACCATTTCCACTTTTTGAAGTTCTTGGGATATTAAAAATGAAAGAAGGAATCCCAAAATAGACCTATAAAATATGCTATATTTAAAATGTATACATGCTTTTGAACATATTAAAAATTCAACATGTAGGTAACACTGGAAATGATATCAGGATTTTGAATTTGAAGCTCAATGTGGGGCCTAGGACAAAGGGTCTCCTGGCCATTGACCACTTTGTGATGGGTCCTGAGGGGCCAGCACCAGCTAGGGGCCCTTCCCACATACCCTGTACACTCTAAAGTCATATGTGGCACGGTTATTCTTTATATGCTTGGGGTCAAATCAATGCTACAGAGATAGCTCTGGAAAGAAAGAGCATTTTCTGGGTGTACACAGATTTTCTGCCAGAACTGGGAAGGCCAATCACAAACACTGGCCTTTTGGAGAGATCCCTTGCTCTACTCACCAAAATCAGCAAGCCTGCGGGGTCTGAGGTTTCCTTTGGGTTGACTATAGTCTTGGATGTCTCTGCTTACTTTGAGATCAGAATGGTGCCATGACCATGAGAGGGGTCGCTCCACTTGAAGAATCCCCAGATCCCTCCCAGCCATGGCATGGAAGCTCCCACCCTCTGAGGACCGTTATGGTCGCCTGGGTGTAACTTTAGTCTCCTTTTGCCTTTGGGTGTGTCTAGTGTAATGGTTCTCTGTGTGGGGTGATTTTGCCCTCCAGAGGCCACTTAACATTGACTGGAGACATTTTTGGTTGTTACAACTTGGGGAGTGCTATGGGCATTTAATAGGTTGAGCCTAGGGTGTTGCTGAACATTCTACAATGCACAAGGCAGCTGCCCACAATAAAGAATTATTCAGTCCCAAATGCTAGTATTGTTGAGTCAAGAAATCTTGGTCTTTTTTTTTTCTTTTTTAAGACAGGATCTTGCTCTGTTGCCCAAGCTGGAGTGCAATGGCACGATCATGGCTCACTGCAGCCTCAAATTCCCAGGCTCAAGCAATCTTCCCACCTCAGTCTCCTGGGCAGCTGGGACCACAGACGCATGCCACCATGCCAGCTAATTTTTAAGTTTTTTGTAGAGACAGGGTCTCCCTCTGTTGCCCAGGCTGATCTCAAACTCCCGGGCTCAAGTGATCCTCCCACCTTGGCCTTCCAAAGTGCTGGGATTACAGGGCTGAGACACCATCCCGGTCAAGAAACCTTGGTCTTTATGATCTAATCAGGTGTCAAGCAGAGTGGACAGAGGGTGGCTGATGTAGTCTGAGAAAGGGGTTCTTTGTTCATTAATCCAAGAAGGCTGTGATATAGACACAGAGATAGGGTAACAAAATTCAGGGGACTGAAGAACTAGCTGCCCAAGACCTCTCGCCCTCTCTCTTCCCTTTCTCCTCATTTTCCTTCTCCCTCCTGTTGAGAGCTTTGGAGTGTAACAGACCTGTTTTCAAACCCAGGTCCTGCTGCCTGGTAACCTTGGGCAGCTTGCTAAAGCTCTTTGAACCTCAGTTTCTTCACCTGAAACATGGAAATAACAATAGGACTTTTCAGAATTATGAAAATTAAACAAGAGAAGTCAAACCATGTAAAAAGTTTGTTGGGGCCTAGCACATGGGAAGAATTCAGTAAGTGACAGTGATTATTATTATTTCATGAATGGAGCATGACCTGACACAAAGCACCTTGCCAGCTGTGTTCTCTAGCCACTCAGCCACAGTTGGTGTACATTTTTATTAGTCTACAAAATTATTTACTCTAAAAGTCTTATTAATAATAATCCCTGCTCCTCAAAAGCAAAACCCCGTGGGTAGACTGCACTTACTATGTTTTGTACTTCATTCTAGTGATAAAAAAAAGTAAATGGAGGTCAGGAACGGTGGCTCATGTCTGTAATCCATCCTAGCACTTTGGGATGGGGAGGTGAGTGAATCACTTGAGGCCAGGAGTTTGAGACCAGCCTGGCCAGCATGATGAAACTCTGTCTCTACTAAAAATACAAAAATTAGATGGTTATGGTGGCATGCTCCTGTAGCCCTAGCTACTTGGGAGGCTGAGGCACGAAAATCGCTTGAACCCAGGAGGTGGAGGGTTGCAGTGAGCCGAGATCACGCCACTGCACTCCAGCCTGGGCAACAGAGTGAGAGTCTATCTCAAAACAAAACGAACAAACAAAAACAAAACAAACAAAACCCCAAAACAAGAAATAAATGTAAAGTGACTTAAGCTAGACTGATGTATTATATATTGAAGTATTTATGTACCTGTGTTGACATATGCTATATGTTAGTTTGCAGTCCATGATAAGAAATTTACACAATGAAGTTTATCAGAAAACACACCACTAGCTGGGACTCTCATAGCAAATACCTGGGAACTCATAGGCTGTCCTATTCCAGGAGGGAGCGGGATTCCATGTCAGGTGACTTGGATAGTGTCCCAGGTTGGGTAGGTTACCCCAGCACCAGCAGGGCCTCCTTGCCAGATGGCCAGGCAGAGACTGGGAGGTTCCTGCTGGAGGGAGCTCAGAGTATATCTGGAAGGTCGTTATTACCAACCCAGAGAACCAGTTTGGTGAGGTTGGCTCAAAGGGCATATTTAGTCAGAGTAAGGGAGAGATGTGGTAACAGGGAGGAGGAAGTCTGGGTAAGGATTACAAGTAGCACAGTCAAAATGCGCTTCTCAGTTTTCAACAGAGTGAGGGAGAAGTAGTACCTTAGCCCCAGCCCTGAGACCTAACTCCTCAATTCTTGCCAACAGCAGGAGAGTGAGCCCAGGAAATCTCCAGACAGCCAAAAGATGATCCAGGTGATAAGGGCACAGCCAGGCAGTGTCCACGCCAAAAAAGAACAGAAAGTTTGGCTTAACTCTATTTTTGCCTGTGTTTTTCTCCTGGGGCAGGAGTGTAACCTAAAAACACTCCGGGATACACGGTGGCCCTTACACAAATTAAGAATCCAGAGGAAGGGCTCCTTTGGCAAGGGAACTCTCGGGAGGCTGGAGCCATGACAGAGCTCCCCAGGAACATTCTAGAAGACAGGCTAGATTTCCTGGCCTTTGGTCACCAGCCTGGAGTTTGGCAGAGCCCTCTTGTGCAGAGGGTGAATGAAGATATTTGGTCATTGCCTTCCCTGCTGTGGGCTGTTCTCAGCATTAAGTTGTCAGTGTGCACTACCATTGGGGTTACCCAATGGGGTCTATTCCAGAAAAGGGAAGGTGGATTTGCCTACTCAAGCCCAAAGAGCAAGGGCCACTGAAATTGCCTTCTGAGTAATAGGATTGGCAGACATTGAGGCACGTTGCAAAGAACTGTTAATTATAATCTTTACTTTCTCTCTAACCAGCTCAGAAAAGAGCTTTATGGGAGGAATATAGTTTGAATGAGAGGCATTCTGTTCATTCTCCCAAATACTCTGTGGATTGAGATCAGCAGGAACAAGGGGTCTACACTGCATTATCTTGGCCTCTCACATGACCACCTTCCCTGAGTTTAGTTTAGGTGAAGTATGCCACTAGAAAAAAATATCAGGCATGTTGGCATCTGTAGAACCTGTGTCTCAATAAAGATGTTTTGAATGAATATCTGAAACCGTATGAAATACCAGACTCCTGGGCATGCATTGGTGAGGATATTGATTACTATTTCATACTGATTACTATTTCACTCAGAGTTTTCTTATAAAGCTGATATACTCAATTTCTACTCCAAGTCAGATGAGGAAAGCTTGGTACTTATAAAGGAATTGCTTTATTTATTCCTTTCTGAAAAATGAGAATGATGTAATTGGGGATATTTCCCTTTTGCTTTGGTTGCCAGGAAGCTCAGTTGAATCTGATGCCCAACTATACCAGTCATGAAGGCTCTTATGACATCCATACCTGGTTTGTATTTCTATTGGTCTTATCATCCTATTCTCATATTTCCCTTGTTCTTGATTTAAATTCTTGTTTATATTTCCCATGATTTTATGGCAGAGCTCCAACTCTGAGATGCCTCCAATTGCCAGGCAGGTATTGGTAAATGACCGGAGTGGAGTAATAGGGCATGGTGGGGACTGTGGCAAATGGAGAGAGCTCTTCCCTGGCCACTCTGCTAAACTAACATGGCTCCCCCACCCCATTCTCAGTCTCTATCCTCTAACTCTGCTTTATTCATATCCTCTAACCCTGCTGTATTCATAGCACTTACAATTTCCTGTAATTATCTTACTTATCTGTCTACTTGGTTATTATCAGTCTCACCTCTGCTATATTCCCAGCATCCAGAACAGTGCCTGGCACAGAATTGTCACCCAATCTACATTTTTTGCTGAGTGAATGAACAAATATAGGACCAACATGGCCAGAGTTTCCTATGTTTTAAAAGAACTTGAAATTTGAATTTTTATATGAAATCTCCTGATTGTTAGATGTTTAGTAGCTAATATAAAAAATTAAAAACACTATGCTGGCCAGAAATGAGCCATGCTAATGTGGGGCCATTGTTCTACTTTCTATTCTCCAGTTGGAGCAACCACAGTTTCTTTGTAGAATAAAGTGGTATATAAATAAATGAAAACAGACATCTGTTTCACGTTTTACAAAGCATTGCCACCCACTGTTAATTTTTCACTATTATTTCATTATTGTTCCAATTTAACATGAGTAAATAAACCACTCCCACCCCTTTGCCCGGGAGTTGAAATGAACCTGTGTGTTTAGAAGTGGAGGAAGCTGTAAAAGGCAGGAAGTGTCCCGGCAGCCAGAGCTGGCCTCCTGGCCAGGCATTCAGGAAAGAGGATGGAAAGGTTCTCCATGCTCCATTTTTTCTCTTTTTCCTGTCCCAGCACCAGAGGTTAGGTGGATGCTTCATCTGACAGAGGCTGTGACCTCTAATTCACATGCAGCCTCACACTGGGTCTGTTTCTCTAAATTTTGTGTGCAGAACTAGACTATCTGTGTGCATGTTTCTGACAATCCTTTCACATACAACCTTTGGCTCACCTGCCACCTGTCAAGAACTGCAGTCCTAAATGTTTTAGTAATGTGCATACACAAACACACACACAATGAATAATTAAGCATAATGCAGAGTGTCTCTTTTATTTCTGCATAGTATAATATTAATCTTATTTGTTTTAGGAAGCAATCTCTCTCTCTCTTTTTCTCCCTCTCTTTTTCTATAATTGCTAGAGTTGTCAGTTCTTTGTGATTTAACAATGTCTCAGCCAATGATGGAGAATATGACCAATTTCTAACCAAGAGATATTTTTCTGTATATATTTATTTTCTCAGAGAAGAAGTCTGCTATTTTCCCAAGAATCACTGGTCCACTTTGCTAAGAAAAAAAAGCCAGGATTCATTGGCATTTTTTACTTATGGTAAAATACACATAACATGAAACTTGCCATCTTAACAATTTTTAAGAGTACAGTTCAGTAGTGTTAAGTGCATTCACATTGTTGCATAACCATCACCACCATCCATCTCTAGATCTTGCAAAACTGAAACTCGTCACCCATTAAACAGTAACTCTCCATTCTCCCTTTCCCTCAGCCCCCGGCAACTGCCATTCAACTTTCTGTCTCTATGAATTTGACTACTGTAAGTACCGCATGTAAGTGGAATTATATCGTATTTGTCCTTCTGAAACTGGCTTTATTTCATTCAATATAACATCCTCAAGTTTCAACCATGATGTGGCATGTGCCGGAATTTCCTTCCTTTTTAAGGCTGAATTTATCCCATTGTATGTGTATACTACATTTTGTTATCCATTCACTGGACACTTGGGTTGCATGTACCTTTGGGCTATTGTGAATAATGCTGCCATAAATATGGGAGTACAAATATATGTTTGAGTCCCTACTTTCAATTCTTTTGGGTATATACCAAGAAATTGAATTGCTGGGTCATTGACAATTCTATTTTTCATTTTTTGGTGAACCACCATACCATGTTACACAATAGCTGTATCAGTCTACATTTCCATCAACAGTGCACAAGCATTCCAATTTCTCCATGGCCTTCACAACATTGGTTATTTTGGAATTTTTTTTAACTTGATAGTAGCCATGCTAATGGGTGGGAGGTGGTATCTCATTGTGGTTTTTGATTTGCTTTTTCCTAACCATTAGTGATGAGGATCTTTTCCTGTGCTTATTAGCCATTTATATATCTTCTTTGGAGAAATGTCCATGCAAGTCATTTGTCCATTTGAATTGGGTTGTTTTTTGTTGTTGTTGAACTGTAGGGGTTCTTTACATATTCTGGATATTAACCCCTTCTCAGATAGATGATTTGCCAATGTTTTCTCTCATTCTGTGGCCTGTCTTTTTACTCTGTTGTTTGTGTCCTTTGGTGCCCAGACATTTTTTATTTTGATATATCATTGGCATTTCTGTGCTTCCACTTTTGTCTCCTCTGGCTCTAAGGGAGGTGGACTGTGGGGGAAGGAGAACTGCCTCACAGCTCCAACAATGGGGGCTGAAAGGCCACTGGAGAAAGGCCACTAAGTCCTATGGCAAATAGACTTTCAGAACAGTTTCAAAAACTCCCTCAGTCCTGCCCTTCCATCCCCCTGAACACATTCATGGTGCAGAATTGCTTTAGTGATAATTGAATTTCCCTCCAGCTTTGGGGTTGTCAGGACAATCATGACAATCACTATTGCCCTGAAACCCACTGAGTGTGTATAATGGCCACTCCTAACAGATCATGGTGAATGAAAAACCAATAGAAGAGAGGAGGTCTCCTTAGCATGCAGGGCAATGCTGGGACCTTTGGAGGCTGAAACGATAAAAAAATTATGGTGCCTGTAACCCAAAATATATCAAAAGATAAGCAACAGTAAGGCATAAAATGAATCCAAAAGGTTCTGATTTTACTCAAGATAACAACTTCAGAGTTTCTTTTACAATGCCAAAATCTATTTGTTTAAATTTCTGTCTTTTAATTAATTCATTATATTTTGGGGTGCTTCT
Organism: Homo sapiens; assembly: GCF_000001405.40. Lineage (NCBI taxonomy): Eukaryota > Metazoa > Chordata > Mammalia > Primates > Hominidae > Homo > Homo sapiens. Next base: position 53,649,209 of record NC_000004.12, read on the forward strand.
GCTTCACCAGTGCCCTAACCCCTTTTTGATCCACCTACTGGAAAATAACAGCTTTGTTATTATTGTTTTCCATATGCTATGCATTTTTGTGTACACTATGTAAAAGAATTTAATTTACATGTCAATCCCACAAGGCGACTACTATTACAATCTCTAGTTTTACAGTGAAGGAAACCAAGACAGAGAATAGTAACTTGCAGAAGATTCAACAGCTATAGATCAACAAATCTTAGGTCACAGAACCAGGATTTGAACTCCGGAAGTCTGGCTCCAGAGCTCTTGTCCTGAAGTCTACAATCCAGCACCACTGGCTCATCTCCACAGCCTGCACCTGTCTGGACAGCTCCTCCTCTTGCCTCTGGCCCTGCACTAGCCACCCTGAGGTAGCTCCTGATATTCTCTATCAGTTACAGTATTTCATCCTTCCTGCACACCACTCCCTTTACTCCCCTTCTAGTCAGTCTTTACCTTGTTAATCTCTGCCCATTTAGGATTCCCCTTGGGCATCTCCTCTGTGCCCACCCAGTCTGGGCTAGGTGCCCTCCGATGGCAGGCTGTGTAGGGTCTCATTGTACTTGGCCACATGGAATTGAAATTTATTGCTTGTCTGCTTCCCACAGTGGACTGGGAGTTCCTTGAGGGTGGTGACTAAGGTTTTAAATCTCTATGTTCCACCCTAGCCAAGCACCTGGAACCTCGTAAGCGCTTTGTATCTGTTGTTGAGTAAATGAATAATGGAGAACCTAGACAAGGACTTGACAGAGAAGAAAAAGGAGCAGGGACTGCCCAAATAGTAGTTTTCACCCTGGAAATGTTTTTACTACCCTGAGCAGAGAGTGAGCAGCCCACATCCATATAGATGAGCAGACCGAGTGGAATAGAATGAATGGAATGAGCCTGGCTTCTTCAGGCCTGATGCTGAGGACACGTGCCCTGCCTGTATGGAGGAGACAGCTTTGTCCCCCATCAAAGACAGTGACAACACAGGTACATACACAAATGCATAGCGCGTGTCACAGTCCTTAAATACATTACATAGGGCTGAGCAAAGTAGGCACCTGTGCGGGGTGTGGAGGACATACGGTAGCTCCAGAATTCCAGGAGCCAGCTCAGGGCAGCCCAGAACAAAGTGTCAGGGCCTAAGCAGGGTGCGGAGGGCATCTGCATGGGCAGGGGACAGTGGTCATGATGGCAGTTGATGACATTTGGGGGACTGAGCAAATAAGCAAATAATATATTAAGGATAATGGGAGCCGGCTTCTGATGAATGTCAGAGAAGGGAGTTACAAATGTGGAAAGGGAGAAAACTCTGTGGTGTTGGATTGGAATTGGAAGTATGAATTTATGGTTTTCTATACATATAGATTAACATAGAAATAAATAGATACGTAAATAGAGGAGGAAGCTGGGATTCAAAATTAGATCTGTCTAGCTCTTTTCACCGTTCTATACTACCGCCCTACATATAGGGCCTCTGCTGTGAAACCTCTGTCCCCTTCCGTGTCCCCCCAAGAACCTCAACCCTAACTCACACAGACTTAAAGGATTCCACCCTCATGGTTCCAGAGCATGCATCACACCTCATGTCATTAGTTGCACACAACTAACTCATGAGGTTTTCATTACACTGAGGGTAGGCCTCCTCTTATCTGTATTCCCTGCATCTCCCTTGGAGCCAGGCACATGGTCATCACAATAGTTAGTATTAATATTTATTGTGCAGTTGTTATGCACCAGGAAAGACTTCACATGCATAATCTCATTTACAGCTGAAGACAACGCTATGAGGGATGTATTACCATCATTCTCATTTTACATATTGGCAAGGTGAAGTTAGAGGTGTTAACTGAGGTACCCCAAAATGCAGAGCTAGTAGGAAGTAGAACCAAGAATCAAGAACAGACAGTCTAATTCCTCAGGCTATGCTCCTCTCCCCTCGGCTCTGCCACATGGACTTGGTGTAAGCAAATGTTCACTCAACAAATTCCTCCTGGGGGACTTGTGTATCTGAATGCTCTCCCTCAATCCAAGTCCACACTTTATGTTGAGCTCGTTTGAAGCTCACCTCTTTAGGGGAGCCCCACCCCCATCCTGCTCTGCACTGCGTCAGCATTCCTTGGGCACCGGACTTGCACCACGCCCTGACACATGACCAGTCAGTGTTGGAGCAGGGAACATAGTTTATCGACATTTGTTGAAGTGAATTCAATGCCCAGGAATGGAAGTAAACAGGAATACATGACAAGGTGGTATATTGTACAGGATACTGTGGCTATCTATTTCTGGATTTTCCAGGAGAGTTCCAATTTCTAAAATTCCATCCTCTCATCAGAACATTTGTCAGAATACGTGGCCAAGAATGTACTCTGGAATTTTGTTTAAAGAGTAGGGTCACCATTCTACTGAAAAGAGATGGGAATGGAGACAGGATGTGCTGCTGGTCACCCACAACCCTACACACCCGTGAGCAGGTCACAGCTTCTCTCAACCTCTTTATCCATGGGTAAAACTGCAATGCAACACCTACTCCTACTGTGGAATGAAACAAAGTCTGTGTGTGAATGTGTTTTAAATGACGATAAAGAATAATGTCACATAAACCCAGTTACTGTTAGTGGGAATACTTACATTTTTACTGACCTGTCTGGCAAGTCATTTTCATTTGTGAAAGTAAAGAAGCTTTTAATGAAGGCCACTGCAGAAAAAAATAGGGTATAAAGAGCGCAAATGCCCTGAGGCCTTTCTAGTGTTTTGAAAAAGATACCTAGATATTTCCATCTTTTAGACTCTCCTCAATTTGATGTGTGTGTGTGAGAGAGAGAGAGAGAGAGAGAGAGAGAGAGAGAGAGAGAGACAGAGAAAGAGATAGGGGTGAGAGCTGGAGGCTGAGTGGGCAGAGGTGAAGTTTTTTTTTAAATTGTATGAGATTCTACCTGGTGGAGGAACCGGGCCATCTTACCTTTGCTGTATTGCGGATCAGTTCCCAGCTGTGTGACGTCTCAGGAGATAGTCCGTTTGAGAGCTGAGCTTTTCTGGCTTAGCAGTAGCTCGGAAAATTTTTCTTTCTCTTTCCAGTGTTCTTCGTCCCAGCTATGCATGAAAACTGCTCCACCTTTGTACGTGCGGGGGTTAACCTGGGCATCCCCTGCCCCTTCTGCAAGGCTTTGAGTAGAGCAGATCCATAAAACTGAGAGCAGCTATGGGGAGCTTCGAGGGAGAGTGGTCCCCTGCAGAGCAGCATGCATTAGCATCAGTGACAAATCTCTTCTGGTTTGGATGGGGCTGAGACGCCCCTGAACTTCCTTCTGCTCTTGCCAAAAGCCAAGGTCCTTTTGTTCACCTTTAGGGTTGCCAAGTCAGGCCTACCTCGCCCCTAGATGTTGTTTCCTGCAGGCAATGGGAAAATGATCTTGGAGCCAGAGAAGGGAAATCAACAAGGAAATAAACACAGGGTCACCACACCTTCAGGCCATCATTAGGTCTGGAACATTATCATGCTGGGACCAGCTCCTAAATAGGCAGGGGCTACTGACTGGACAGGTCCTATAATCCTTGGCATCTTTTATTTTTGAATATGTAAAGGGGCATGCACCAAAATCTATATCAGGCAAATAAGTACTTCTGACTTGTTCCAATACCTTGCCAAAACTTTCAAAGATTTTCTATTGGCAGTATTGCTCATAACTGAACACTGGCTAATGTTTGTAGACGAAGAAAAAGAATGAGCAAGTTTGTGGCTGATACTATTTAAGACTCTTAACTCTAAAGATATAGAATTATTGTTTAAATAAGGATTTCTTCTGCTCATTCTTCAGCATCACCATCATCATCATCGTCAGTGGCTGCAGCATCTTTGCTAACATTTATTAAGTGCTTACCGTCTACCAGGTTCTGTAGTAATTACCTGACCTGCATTATTTTATTTAATTCTCCACAGAATCCTATAATTATCACTCCCATTATATAGATAAAGAAACTGAGCATTACAGAGACTAAGTCATTCCTGCAAAGTGACCCAGCTAGTTAAAAATGTAAACGTTGCACTTCTGGAAGTGTGCTTTTCTGAGTTTTGCTTTTCCCACTGGTTTGCTTAAGCACTTCTGTGGGCTGACAGCTCCAGCAATGGCCAAAGATTTTACTTAAATAAGCGATTAGCTCTGGGAATCAGATTCTAAGTGGAAACATGAATAATTAGTGAATTAAGTAGTCTCTTTCCAGAGATGTGAGTCGGGTGCTGGATGTTATCTTATGTATATGCAACATGCAAGAAAGACACATAGAGTCCAGGTACTTGTGGCTGCCTAATCACAGGTGGTGCCGCTGGCTGCGGTGCCTTCAGCTCTCCACTGTGACTCTGATTTACAAACAAGGAAGTACACTGCAAATCCCTTGGCCTCTGTGTGCATTTTGGTCATGGCCTGATTGCCACTTTGTCCTTTTGACTTTCAGAGCCAGCTGCTACAAGTTTCTTTTAATCAATAATCCACCGAGTGAATGAGGCAAAATTAGCAGCCTGGAAACTTCTGCCTGGTGAGATGAAGTCAGCACATGTATTTTCAGTCCTAAGGTCACACTTCTGACTCTTTTTGGTTCTACCCCTAATCTTTATTTTTAATTGCTAGCAGTTAGCTCTCTTGTGTCATGGCGGTTACCCAGGGCAGCTGGCATCTGGTCAAACAAAAGTAAAACAGTTAATTAGGAGACAAAAGGATGCCCTCCAGTGGGCCCAAGTTGTCTGTTCTCATAAACATAAGAGTTGTGACATCAGGGCAGTTGCACATTCTTGTCACCCTTGGATTTGTTTGGCGACGCTTTGGGGGTATTTTGCCCTAAGGCTGCATGAGCCTTTACACTTGAGGTTGGTCAGCTTTTTGTTCTTAACAGAGACTGAAGACTTATTTACTGGAGTTATGGTAACAAAGAGAAAAAAGTCTAGGCTTTTACTTATCATTTCATTTTTTCTCCCAGAGGTTTATAACTAAGTGCAGTTTTTAGATATGTTTATGGACTCTGGTCTTGGAGTTCTTTGATGAGGAAAGGTAATTTATAACAGTCAAATTGGCCTTTTCAACCTTATCACATGAAATAAAAAACCAAAATGTTGGAAAGGAGCTGATGTAATAGAGACTTTCAAGCTCCTCATCTGCTTCGTGGCTTTTCACCAACAGGAAACAATGATGGCAGATTTGGGGACTGTCATAAGCATGGGGTTTTCCATTCAGAAAGGTAAGGTAGGTGGGGATTTTATTTCTCCTTTCTCATCTGCGAGCAACCGGATTAGCACTGATTGATTTGGTTCCAAGAATTGAGTCCATTCCGAGATTGCCAACACACACACATACCTCCCAAACCTGCTTTTTTGCATGGTCATGTAACCAAGGCAGCTAACAGTTTAAAACTGGAAACAAAGAGAAGTCATGAATGAAAAGCAGGCATATTAATTTAGCTTTACAAGTGTGCCCTTTCCAAAGCCAGGATTACTCATTCCCTGGCAGCCTACAGCATGGAGACCTGAGTCTGCTCAAACGCCATGGCTTTAGAGTGTCACTTCCATTTGGTGTGGGATTTTAAGGAGAGAGGCTCCAACTCAGCAGAAATGTCCAACTGTAATTAAAATCCTTGTCATTATGAAGCAAACATAGCTTCACCGTAAAGGGGAGAATGGCTCATTTTTAGTGTCCCAGAAAAGTCACAAATATCATACCCAGTTACATGCAGAGAAAACTTCCTCATTATTGGTGCATTTTGGGAATGCATTAAAGGGACATTAAATCTCAGAAATGTGAAATGACAGTGGAGACATTTCCATCTTCTAACTGTGATAAAGAAATCAGAACCTGAGCTAGCTTTCTTTCAGGTCCATTTTCACTCTTATGAGATGCTCAGGGTGAAAATGAATTTATGTTAACAGGAGGGAGAAAATGGTTTCTTTGAACCATTATGACCTGGTTGCTTTCCTTTCTCTCCTCTAATGGTAAACCTTAGTGTACTCACATGTACCTACAAGTGGGGCAGGAAGTGAGGAGCCCAAAGCCCCACCCCAAGGCTTCAGATACTGTTTTTCTGCCAACGATCCCCATATTTGTGTCTCTGGCTCAGACTCTCTTCTGGGCTTCCAACTGCATTCTCAGTGTCTCATAGCCATCTCAAACTCCACACAGCCAAAGCCAACTCATCATCTTCTCTTCCTGCCTCGCCTCATGTTTCCCCATCTCATCCATCTAAATGTTGCAGCCTGGGAGTTACCTCTACAGGGTCCATCCCTCAAGTCCCACATCCAATCCACGAAGTACGTTCCATCAGTTTCACCTTCAAAATTTATATCCATTTCAATCATTGCCCTCTGTTTCCACTCCCACAATGGTCTGAGCCTCTGTCGCTCTTACCTGAATTTCTGCAGTAGTCTCTTCATGAATCTTCTTGCTTCCCTTCTTGCCCCTTGTCCCTCTATCAAATCTGCACTCCACATTCCAGCTGAATTAGACTTTTAAAAAAGTAGGTCAGCTCATGCCATTAGACTATCTAGAGGCGTCAAGGTTCTCCACTGCACTCAGGAGGAAACACAAAACCCCTGGTGTGGCCACTAGGTTTGGCTTAACGTGCTCCCTGCTCACTTCTCCAGCATTATCTCAGCACGCTCCCTTCTCAGTGTACTTGGACCACAGAATGCACCACTAATGGCAGTGTCTTGAACACACCCAGCTTTTCTCCATCTCACAGGCTTTCTTGTTCCTGGACTGGTCTTTACCCTTCCTCTCTCACACACAGACTCTCTGTCTCTTTCTGCCTAACTCACTCTTTCTCATCTTTCAGGTCACAGCTCAAAAGTCATTTCCTAGGGACACCCCACGACCTCGCCCCTTGTCCTCATTTCCTTTGAGCACTTGATACTACATGTAAGTCTATTATTTATTTGCCTATTTTGCCTAATATTTATGTAACTTATAATTTACCCACTTACAGAGACCCCTCCCTCCAAAACAAGGTTTCCTTCCATGAAGTCAGGAGCTAGGTCTATTTTGTCCCCAACTATATGTCCAAGACCTGCCTGCTACACAATACATTCTAAATAAAACAAAATGCTGAACGAAGACATGAATAATTGAATGAGATCATCTTTTTTCTCTCAATTCAGGTTAGTTAAGGAACCTGAGTTTCTTAAATAGTTGTTGAGAGGTACTCACATGTTTTTATTCACATACAGATCTAGTTTTCCCTGTGCAGATGTAGAGAATTAGCAAATAATTGTGGCCTAGAGAATCTACCAGAGTCCTCCTTTCAGAGGAACCACTTTCTGTTGCCTCTGGGAGTGCTGTTCCACAGCGCAGGGAAGAGATGGGGAAGAACCAGAAAATAAAGGCTTCTGGCTTTCCACTTTAGATTTCGTAATTCATTTTCCGTGAAAACGATAGGGCCAAGTGGAAATTGTACTGTTTTAAAAGTTTCTGGGGGCCAGCTCTGGGAAACCAAACATCATTTAGATTTAGAACATCAGTTTATGGGAAGAAATGTGTTCCAAATTCTAACAACCAACATATCCTCCAAAAATGACTCGGAACAAAAACTCTAAGTGGGGAGTTTGCCTGTTTTGTGTTTTAGATGAATTTGTAAAAATACTGTGACTCATCACCAGCCACACCCTCCCCGGCTCTCATCTTAATTTGGGTTCTGGTTAGCATGCATTGGACAACATTGGGAATGCCTCGGAGATAATTTATTCACACTGGAATTTTTTTATTTGCATTGAGGCAGAGCCAGGAAACACTTATTTTCTTGTCCATATTAGGAAGTAGCTTCCGATGCACCAAGAAAGTGCAATATTGAACCATTCTCCTGGCCTCCCTCAAGCTCCAGAGTTAATCCTCCTATTAGGAGTAAAAACCAATCCCATTGGTGAGATTGGGAGCTCCTGACTAATCTGATTGCTGAGATCAGGAGTCCCTGACCAATCAGATTGGTGAGACAGGATGGAGGACATCCTTTCCCAGACCTCTCGCCTGAGCACTAGGGGATTGCATTGAAAAAGCAAGGGCCTCCTTCTCTCGCATGCTGGATTCTGTGTGATGAGACTTGGAGGACATGGAGAGGGTGGCTGTTCAGCCTCCAGTCACCCTGTTTGTTCGTTTGTTTATTTATTTATTTGATGGAGTTTTGCCCTTGTTGCCCAGGCTGGAGTGCAATGGCGGGATCTCGGCTCACTGCAACCTCTGCCTCCAGGGTTCAAGTGATTCTCCTGCCTCAGCCTCCCGAGTAGCTGGGATTACCAGCGCCTGCTACCACGCTCACTAATTTTTTCGTATTTTTAATAGAGACGGGGTTTCACCATGTTGGCCAGGCTGGTCTCAAACTCCTGACCTCAGGTGATCCACCCACCTCGGCCTCCCAAAGTGTTGGGATTACAGGCGTGAGCCACTGCTCCAGGCCATCACCCTGTTTTAAACAGGCTGCGCATGCACAGGGATGCCAGCCCAGCTGAGACAGGTCTCTGCTCTCTTGCTTACGTCTTCTTCCCCGTCACTCTTTTGATTGGTGTAGTCGGACTCTTGCATACCATAGTTCAGAGAGGACGGGATACACCTTTGAGTCATTTTTAATCCAGCTCCTCAGAAAGCTGATACAATCTTTAATATCCCCTATTGGCTCTTTATTTCTGTCCTCAGCCAGAATGGAACTCTCCATCCTCAACCTCCAATTTTCAATCATTTGAATTGTATTTTAAATTGTTTTTTCCATAAACAACTTTGCTATACCTATGTATAAAATGCTTGTGAAAATAAATCTAGTGCTCGTGTTAGAAAGTGTATAGATCAAGTGTTTGCCTAGTTTGCAAAACCAGTGTTAAAACAAAATCTTCCTGCATTCTAGATTTTTCAAGGAAACAGGCAAACTCCCTGAGGAATTTTATATTAAGGGGCTTTGCCATGAAGTCAATCCAGTCAAATGCACGCCCATGTATCTTATCTCTGTAGCTAGCATTTCTGCTCTATACTTTTGTCATCATTTAAATAGTTTTGCAGTGCTTTGCTGACATAGAATTATTCCATCATGTCATTGAAGAGAACCAGGCCTAGAAAGATGTGGTGGCTTGCCCAAAATCACAGTGAGTCTTGGAGCTGGGCACACAAATCCAACATCCAGCTCTCAAATCTGCCCTCTACAAATTCCAAATTGCTTGCAGAGGCTGCAGTTTCCTTCTAAAAACAGTTCTCAGGAAAATTCAGCTTGCTGTTTTGGAGGAAGTGCCATCTTTTTCCTATCTTTATGCCTAAGGTATCTCACTTGATCTTGTCTTGAAGGGGATTTTTGGGCAGAGATGGGGCTAAAAGCCATGAGGATAAATGAAATGAGTTGTTGCATGGAGAAAATCAGATTTTCTTTGCAATGCCTCTAAGTTTTTCATCAGGGTAGGAAGAACATACAGATTTGAACTCTTCACTGTTACAAATTTTAGCCATTTTGAGCAATCTGGTTCGTAGGGGTCAGGAAGATGTCACCTTTATGACACATTCCTTTATTTCATGCCTTTTTAAAAGAATTAAGGACATTTCTCTTTGAAGTAAAACTACCTCCTCCAAGGCTCTGTGCAATGCTGAGTATTGTACATTCTGGGACAGTCATGGCAAAGAGAACCAAGCTGTCATTTATTAGGCAAAGGCTGTGTAGCCTCCTCTAGGATTTTGTTTCCAGCCCTGAGGACACTGTCAACACTTAATAAATGAAGAAAAACAGCAATAATAAATATCATGAATGGAAAGAACAATGTGAAAGGCACTCCAGACTTCTTTTCTCCAGGAAGAAATTTCTGAAGTTGTCTTAGACTTTGGAAAAAATCCCAAGATACTATTAATATAATGGCACTTACCTCTATTTTCAGGGGACAAAATCCTTTAGACTTCCTATTTTGAGAAGGCCTGGTTGATTGCACTGATTAATTAATTGGGTTGGCTGATTTTCCAAACCTCATCGCCATGAAAAAGCAACTGGAAAACATATTCTTTTTACATGTGGAGTTCTCTAAACTGGTTCAGACAGCTGGACCCCATTTTGTGTTTGTTTTTTCAAACAGATTCTTCGTGCTCTAAACCAAATCCAGCTGTATGTACTAATTGCATTTCAGTGACCAGGTTGGATGTTGTCTTTTTGAGAAAATTTCATTTAAAAGGAAAACAGATGCTTCCGCCTCACTGTGGTGCATTATTGCTTTTGTCCCAATGTTATACTTTGTCTGAGAGCATTCATCTGGTAAACCGAGGCTGTGCTGGTGTTCTGTGCATGTCGTACTGTTATAGGCAGACAATTATGCCAGATGGCCTCTAAAGGCTCTCAAATGTGTTTGCACCTCTTTCCTCACACTACTTCCTCATATACATGTGTACACACACGTTTGAAATATCAAGAGAAATTATTTTTTAATTTAAAAAATTATAGAAGTCAAACACTCTCAGTGAAAAAGCTAAAAGTAAGAAGAAAAAAATACTTCAAGTGAATAGTGTAAATTTACCTGCTCCTTTAGTACCCAATAACAATAACACACACATATACGCTCAAATGTGCCCACATACATAACCTTATCCCCAGTCTCTAGGGCTAATCTTTATCTGTCTATGCCACAGATTATTTGCAGCTTGTATTTATTATCTAAGGTTGCATAACAAATCACTCTAAAACTCAGTGGCTTAAAATAACACTAATCGTTTACTATCTCTCACAGTGTTCTGTGGATCAGGAGTTAGGGAGTGGCTTTACTAAGTGGTTCTGGCTTGGGGACTCTCATGAGGTTGTAGCCAGATGCTGGCTGAGGATGCAGTCATTTGAAGACATGACTGGGGCTGGAGGACCCTCTTGCAAGATGGCTCACTCCTATGGCTGGCATGTTGGTGCTGGCTTCTAGTAGAAGCTTCAGTTTATCTTCATGTGGGTTTACATAGCCTGCTTGAATGTCCTCATGGAATGGTGCCTGACTCCCCATAAAGAGTGATCCAAGAGAACAAGGTGGAAGGTGCAATGCCTGTTACATTCTACCCTTGGAAGTCACACATCATCACGTCTACTATATTCTTTGGTCAGTCAGGCTAGCCCTGGTTCAGTGTGGGAGGTGACTACAGAGAAGTACACATTCCAGAAAATAAACATAATTTGGGTCCATTTTAGATGACAGCTACCACAGAGCTCCCATTAAGTGGTGGGGTCTACTTCTCCACTCCTTGAATCTAGGCAAGCCTGACAATGTGCTTTGTTCATAGAAGTTGGTAGAAATGATATGGAATACTATGTCGTCATAAAAAGGAATGAAATTATGTCCTTTGCAGCAACATAGATGCAGCTGGAGGCCATTATCCTAAGGGAATTAACGCAGGAACAGAAAACCAAATACTGCATGTTTTCACTTCTAAGTGGGAGTTAAACTTTGGGTACCTGCGGGCATAAAGATGGGAACAATAGACAATTGGGAATATTAGAGGGGTACTAGAAGGGACAGAGGGGCAAGAGCTGAAAAGCTACTGGGTACTATGCTCACTACACGGGAGATAGGATTATTTGTACCCCAAACCTCAGCCTCATGTAATATACCCATGTAACAAACTTGTTCATGTACCACCTGAATCTAAAATAAATCTAAAGTAAAATAAAATAAAATAAAATAAAAGTTATTTTTTTAAAAAAGAATGGAAAGGTACCAGAACAAATACATAAAAAAGAAATTGGTAGAAATAAAATTGTGGCAATCCCAAGCCACGGCTCAAGATTTGCCTTTTCTGCTTTTCTCCTTGAGGATGAGAGAAAGGCCAGGTAGAAAGAGTTGTCCCAGCTGTCCCTGCTTTGGGGACATATATTAGTAAGCCTAGCCAACACCGTATCTAGCAGAGATGACTTGTCCTAGCTAAGCCCAACCCAAATTGCCAGCCCACAAAATCATAAACAAATAAGTGATTGTTGTTTTAAATCACTAAATTTTGGGGGATGGTTTGTTACACAGCAATAGAAAATTGATACAATACGATAAACAATGGTCTACATTTTGTTGATTTCATATCCAACAATATACTGTGGGTATCCTTTCATGTTAGTATGTATAGCTGTCTGTCATATTTAAAAAATTCCAATATGAAAATTTTATAATATGGAAGTGTCCTAATTTTTAACATATTTGCCATTAGTGGGCATTCAGGTTGTCCATAAAATTTTTGCTACTGCAAGGAATGCTTTAGGAACATTACCTGTTCTGTTACTTGTTGGTTACATTTGTAGAAGTGAAGTTGCTAGGGAAAAGGGATTAGAGATGTCATCAAATATTTGAAGTGTCAAAAATAGCTGTGCCAATTTCCATCACACTAACAATGTATCAAATTTTAAAGGAAAATCCTAAAAGCTCGTTGATGCCCTCTTCCTGAAAATTCAAAGCCAGGCCTTTGTTCAAAGCCAGGAGGTGGTGAAACAGAGCTGGGAGCAGTATAGGACTGTGTGGGACCACTGATTCCTCTGAAGATGTAGTGAGAACAGACCAAGGAACTCAGGGTAGAAATACAAAAGGTAGGTACATGACAGAGGAGTAAATGGAAATGTGGAGGAGGTTGGCTTTTCTCATAGAATCCTGACACTTTTTCTATCTCCAAGAGCTTTTTCAGAAATAAATTTAATAGACAAGACTGCTAACTAAAAGCCTTTTTTAAAAAAGTATTACAATAATCAGTAGTAAATCTGAAGTATTAAAGATAACAGTAGTGGTTAGAGTCTTATACAAATTCAACATTAAGGCCTTAAATCTAACTTGTCAGTCACTTATTTTAGCCAGAGCATTTGCATGGACCCCAGGCCCCCTGGAGGCCCTGTGCGACTCTAGAGGTTCAAATAATGATGCCTAACACCATGTGGCAGATATGATCGAAACGAATCTACATATATTCCTACATGCATTTAATTCACACAGCAGATGAAGAAACTAAGGCATAGTGGAGTAGCTAGGTAATTTTCTGAAGTTTAGGGTGGTAATAAGTAGAGGAGCAGAATGTTAATCTCTTTGTTCCGAGAAGCTCTGATCGTATCAACTTCTGTGTGGTTGACCAGTTGGCTGCTTGCTTCCACCATTCTTCCTTTCTGGAAGAGGCTTGGGATGCATTCACTTCCCAGCCTTGCTTGCAGCTAGAACATGCACACATGCAACCCAATATTGGCCAATGGGAACTTAGGGAAGTCAGCTGGGGGACTTCAGGGAAGACTTTTTTTCCTAATAGAAGAAGATGCCTGCAAAGAAACCTCTTTCTCTCTTCCAAATATTGTGGGAGTGTAAATGTGTCGCTTAGAATGTGGCAGCCCCTATGCTGCCAAGCTTGCAGATTGCAGAGTGGAGAGATGGGAAGAGGCTCTATTCTTCATGATGCTATTGATCTGCTAATCCAATCTCAGCCTTGCCTGCCTATCTCTCAACTTCTTCTATTGTAAGATTATTAAGTTTCGTTTTTGTTTAAAACCACTTTTAGTGGATCTGTTCTGTTACTTGTAGCTGAAAGCAACTGAAACATTATTACTTTATGCCTCCAAGAATACTTAATTAATTGTAATCTCAGTATTTTGAAACTGTATTTTAAATGGAGCTGGGAAACCCTATAAGAATACAGAGCACACATTTCATATACAACAATCAGACTCCTGCTTCATTCTGTTCTTTGAGCTACAAACACATAAAACATTATTAATGACAAATTGAGTCATTTTTAAATGAATCTTACTAAAAGTACAAATGAAAAAAAAACTAATTCACTTTTTTTAAGCTGGAGGAAACCTAGTTTTAAAAAGTGCTAATTTACTTTGCTGTGCAAAGGCCTAGTAGTAATTGTTGAAATAAGGGGAAATCAGAAATATGAATTGGAAGTACCCCCCTGCCATGGACCAGGATGTGTATACTTTGCTCTGTACTTTTACCATAAATAGTTTTCAAAATTTTATGTAACTATTCATCAAGAGATGGTCATTTATATTTTGGAAGTTTAAAAATTCAGAATGGTCCTCACTTCTGCATATTTCTATTGGAAAACAGGATCCATATTCTGTTTGGATAGAATATAATGAAAGGGAATAAAATCTTGAAAGCAGTTTTGGTAGAAATCAAAATTTTTGCTTCAGATTACACTGCCCTAAATGGCAACCTGACTGAGAATAAATTAGTGTGAACTGATTCCACACTGTCAGGCAAGCTGTCCGCACCTGCTGAGGTGATAGTTGAGGGTGGGGGAGTTCTGTATATATTTAGACAAAGAGAGAGAGATGGATTTGAAGGAATTGGCTCATGCAATTATGGAGGCTGGTAGGCTGGAGACCCAGGGAAGAGCTGATGTTGGAGTTCAAGTACAAAGGCCATCTGCTGGCAGAATTCCCTATTCTTCTGTGGAAGTCAGTCTTTGTCTATTAATGCCTTCACCAGATTGGATGAAGCCCATCCACATTACAGAAGAGTAATCTGCTTTACTCAAAGTCTACTGATTAAATGTTAATCTCATTTAAAAATACCTTCAGAGAAAGATCTATTTGGTAAAACATTATTCTATTAGGTTGGTGCAAAATAATTGTGGTTTTTGCCATTATGTTTTTATTATCATACTTTAAGTTCTGGGATACATGTGAAGAATGTGCAGGTTTGTTACATAGGTATACACATGCCATAGTGGTTTGCTGTGCCCATCAACCCATCATCTACATTAGGTTATTTCTCCTTATGCTATCCCTCCCCTAGCTCCCCACCTCCTGACAGTCCCCAGTGTGTGATGTTCCCCTCCCTGTGTCTATGTGTTCTCATTGTTTAACTCTCATTTATGAATGAGAACATGCGGTGTTTGGTTTTCTGTTCCTGTGTTAGTTTGCTAAGAACAATGGTTTCCAGCTTCATTCATGTTCCTGAAAAGGACACGAACTCATCCCTTTTTATGGCTGCATAGTATTCCATGGTATATATGTGCCACATTTTCTTTATCCAGTCTATCACTGATGGCATTTGGGTTGGTTCCAAGTCTTTGCTATTGTGAACAGTGCCACAATAAACATACGTGTGCATGTGTCTTTATAGTAGAATGATTTATAATCCTTTGGGTATATACCCAGTAATGGGATTGCTGGGTCCAATGGTATTTCTGGTTCTAGATCCTTGAGGAATCACCACACTGTCTTCCACAATGGTTAAACTAATTTACACTCCCACCAACAGTGTAAAAGCATTCCTATTTCTCCACATCCTCTCCAGCCATCTGTTGTTTCCTGACTTTTTAGTGATTGCCATTCTAACTGGCGTGAGATGGTATCTCACTGTGGTTTTGATTTGCATTTCTCTAATGATCAGTGATGATGAGCTTTTTTTCATGTGTTTGTTGGCCGCATAAATGTCCTCTTCTGAGAAATGTCTGTTCATATCCTTCACCCACTTTTTGATGAGGTTGTTTTTTTCTTGTAAATTTGTTTAAGTTCTTTGTAGATTCTGGATATTAGCCCTTTGTCAGATGGAAAGATTGCAAAAATTTTCTCCCATTCTGTAGGTTGCCTGTTCACTCTGATAATAGTTTCCTTTGCTGTGCAGAAGCTCTTTGGTTTAATTAGGTCCCATTTGTCAATTCTGGCTTCTGTTGCCATTGCTTTTGGTGTTTTAGTCATGAAGTGTTTGCCCATGCCTATGTCCTGAATGGCATTGCCTAGGTTTTCTTCTAGGGTTTTTATAGTTTTAGGTCTTACATTTAAGTCTTTAATCCATTTTGAGTTCACTTTTGTACAAGGTGTAAAGAAGGGGTCCAGTCTCAGTTTTCTGCATATGGCTAGCCAGTTTTTCCAACACCATTTATTAAATAGGGAATCCTTTCCACATTGCTTGTTTTTGTCAGGTTTGTTAAAGAGCAGATGGTTGCGTGTGTGTGGTGTTAATTCTGAGGCTTCTGTTCTGATCCACTGATCTATATAAAATGAGTTAGATATTTTGAGATATCTGTTTTGGTACCAGTACCATGCTGTTTTTGTTACTGTAGCCTTGTAGTATAGTTTGAAGTCAGGTAGTGTGATGCCTCCAGCTTTGTTCTTTTTGCTTAGGATTGTCTTGGCTATACAGGCTCTTTTTTGGTTGGATATGAAATTTGAAGTAGTTTTTTTCTAATTCTGTGAAGAAAGTCAATGGTAGCTTGATAGGGATAGCATTGAATCCATAAATTACTTTGGGCAGAATGGCCATTTTCACTATATTGATTCTTCCTATCCATGAGCATGGAATGTTTTCCCATTTGTTTATGTCCTCTCTTATTTCCTTGAGCAGTGGTTTGTAGTTCTCCTTGAAGAGGTCCTTCACATCCCTTGTAAGTTGTATTCCTAGGAATTTTATTCTCTTTGTTGAAATTGTGAATGGGAATTCACTCATGATTTGGCTTTGTGTTTGTCTATTATTGGTGTATAGGAATGCTTGTGATTTTTGCAAATTGATTTTGTATCCTGAGACTTTGCTGAAATTGCTTATCAGCTTTAGGAGATTTTGGGCTGAGACGATGGGGTTTTCTAAATATGTGATCATGTCATCTGCAAACAGAGACAATTTGACTTCCTCTCTTCCTATTTTAATACCCTTTATTTCTTTCTTTTACATGATTGCCCTGGCCAGAACTTCCAATACTATGTTGAATGGGAGTGGTGAGAGAGGGCATCCTTGTCTTGTGCCCGTTTTCAAAGGGAATGCTTCCAGTTTTTGCCCATTCAGTATGATATTGGCTGTGGGTTTGTCATAAATAGCTCTTATTATTTTGAGATATGTTCCATCAGTACCTAGTCTATTGAGAGTTTTTAGCATGAAGGGGTGTTGAATTTTATCGAAGGCCTTTTCTGCATCTATTGAGATAATCATGTGGTTTTTGTCATTGGTTCTGTTTATGTGATGGATTACATTTATTGCTTTGCATATGTTGAACCAGCCTTGCATCCCAGGGATGAAGCCAACTTGATCATGGTGGATAAGCTTTTTGATATGCTGCTGGATTCAGTTTCCCAGTATTTTATTGAGGATTTTCACATCGATGTTCATCAGGGATATTGGCCTGAAATTTTCTTTTTTTGTTGTGTCTCTGCCTGGTTTTAGTATCAGGATGATGCTGGCCTCATAAAATGAGTTAGGAAGGAGTCCCTCTTTTTCTATTGTTCACAATAGTTTCAGAAGGAATGGTACCAGCTCCTCTTTGTACCTCTGGTAGAATTTGGCTGTGAATCCGTCTGATCCTGGGCCTTTTTTGGTTGGTAGACTATTAATTTGTGCCTCAATTTCAGAACTTGTTATTGGTCTATTCAGAGATGCGACTTCTTTTTGGTTTAGTCTTAGGAGGGTGTATGTGTCCAGGAATTTATCCATTTCTTCTAGATTTTCTAGTTTATTTGCGTAGAGGTGTTTATAGTACTCTCTGACGGTAGTTTGTATTTCTGTGGAGTCAGTGGTGATATCCCTTTATCATTTTTTATTATGTCTATTTGATTCTTCTCTCTTTTCTTCTTTATTAGTCTGGCTAGCAGTCTATCTATTTTGTTGATCTTTTCAAAAACCAACTCCTGGATTCATTGATTTTTTGAAGGGTTTTTCATGTCTCTATCTCTTTCAATTCTGCTCTTAGTTATTTCTTGTCTTCTGCTAGGTTTTGAACTTGTTTGCTCTTGCTTCTCTAGTTCTTTTAATTTTGATGTTAGGGTGTTGATTTTAGATCTTTCCCGCTTTCTCCTGTGGGTATTTAGTGCTTTAAACTTCCTTCTGAACACTGCTTTAGCTGTGTCCCAGAGATTCTGGTACATTCTGTCTTTGTTCTCATTGGTTTCAAATAACTTATTTATTTCTGCCTTAATTTCGTTATTTACCCAGTCATTCAGGAGCAGGTTGTTCAGTTTTCACGGAGTTGTGTGATTTTGAGTGAGTTTCTTAATCCTGAGTTCTAGTTTGAGTGCACTGTGGTCTGAGAGACTGTTATGATTTCCATTCTTTTGCATTTGCTGAGGAGTGTTTTATTCCAATTATGTGGTCAATTTTAGAATAAGTGCAATGTGGTGCTGAGAAGAATGTATATTCTGTTGATTTTGGCTGGAGAGTTCTGTAGATGTCTATTAGGTCCACTTGGTCCAGACCTGAGCTCAAGTCCTAAATATCCTTGTTAATTTTCTGTTTTATTGATCTGTCTAATATTGACAGTGGGTGTTAAAGTCTCCCATTATTATAGTGTGGGAGTTTAGGTCTCTTTGTAGGTCTTGCTTTATGAATCTGGGTGCTTCTGTATTGGGTGCATATAAATTTAGGATAGTTAACCCTTCTTGTTGTATTGATCCCTCTACCATTATGTAATGCCCTTCTTAGTCTTTTTTTGATCTTTGTTGATTTTAAGTGTGTTCTATCAGAGACTAAGATTGCAACCCCTGTTTTTTTTTGTCTTTTTTGTTTTTTCTTTCCATTTGCTTGGTCAATATTCCTCCATCCCTTTATTTTGAGTCTATGTATGTCTTTGCACATGAGATGGGTCTCCTGAATACAGCACACCAATGGGTCCTGACTCTTCATCCAATTTGCCAGTCTGTGTCTTTTAATTGTGGCATTTAGCCCATTTACATTTAAGGTTAACATTGTTATATGTTAATTTGATCCTGTCATTATGATGCTAGCTGGTTATTTTGCCCATTAGTTTGCTGCAGTTTCTTCATAGTGTCAATGGTCTTTATAATTTGGTATGTTTTTGCAGTGGCTGGTACCTGTTTTTCCTTTCCATATTTAGTGCTTCCTTCAGGAGCTCTCATAAGGCAGGCCTGGTAGTGACAAAATCTCTCAGCATTTGCTTGTCTGTAAAGGCTTTTATTTCTCCTTCACTTATGAAGCTTAGTTTGGCTGGATATGAAATTCTGGGTTGAAAATTCTTTTCTTTAAGAATGTTGAATATTTGCCCTTACTCTCTTCTGGCTTGTAGAGTTTCTGCAGAGAGATCCACTGTTAGTGTCTGTTTGGCTTCCCTTTGTGGTTAACTCAAACTTTCTCTCTGGCTCCCCTTAACATTTTTTCCTTCATTTCAACCTTGGTGAATCTGACGATTTTATGTCTTGGGGTTGGGGTTGCTCTTCTCGTGGAGTATTTTTGTGGTGTTCTCTGTATTTCCTGAATTCGAATGTTGGCCTGTCTTGCTAGCTTGGGGAAGTTCTCTGGGATAATATCCTGAATAGCATTTTCCAACTTATGGTTCCATTCTCCCCATCAATTTCAGTTACACCAATGAAACGTAGGTTTGGCCTTTTCACATAGTCCCATATTTCTTAGAGGCTTTCTTCATTCCTTTTCATTCTTTTTTCTCTAATCTTGTCTTCACTGTTTATTTCATTAAGTTCATCTTCAATCTCTGGTATCCTTTCTTCCACTTGATCAATTTGACTATTGATGCTTGTGTATGCTTCATGAAGTTCTTGTGCTATTTTTCAGCTCCATCAGGTTGTTTATATTCTTCTCTAAACTGGTTATTCTAGTTAGCAATTCATCTAACCTTTTTTCAAGGTTCTTAGCTTCCTTGCATTGGGTTAGAACTTGCTCCTTTAGCTCAGAGGAGTTTCTTATTACCCACCTTCTGAAGCCTACTTCTGTCAATTCTTCAAACTCATTCTCTCTCCAATTTTGTTCCCTTGGTGGCAATGAGTTGTGATCCTTTGGAGGAGAAGAGGCATCCTGGTTTTTGGAATTTTCAGCCTTTTTGTGCTGTTTTTTTCTCATCTTCATTGATTTATCTATCTTTGGTCTTTGATGTTGGTGACCTTAGGTTGGGGTTTCTGTGTGGACATCCTTTTTGTTGATGTTGATGTTATTCCTTTCCGTTTGTTAGTTTTCCTTCTAACAGCCAGGCCCCTCTGCTGCAGGTCTGCTGGAGTTTGCTGGAGGTCTACTGCAGACCCTGTTTGCCTGGGTATCATCAGTGGAAGCTGCAGAACAGCAAAGATTGCTGCCTCTTCCTTCCTCTGGAAGCTTTGTCCCAGAGGGGCACCCGCCAAATACCAGCTGGAGCTCTCCTTTATGAGGTGTCTGTTGACCCCTGCTGGGAGGTGTCTCCCAGTCAGGAGGCACGGGGGTCAGGAACCCACTTGAGGAGGTAGTCTGCCCCTTAGCAGAGCTCAAGCACTGTGCTGGGAGATCCGCTGCTCTCTTCAGTGCTGGCAGGCAGGAACGTTTAAGTCTGTTGAAGCTGCACCCACAGCCACCCCTTCTCCCAGGTGCTCTGTCCCAGGGAGATAGGAGTTTGATCCATAAGCTTCTGACTGGGGCTGCTGTCTTTCTTTCAGAGACATCCTTCCTAGAGAGGAGGAATCTAGAGAGGCAGTCTAGCTACAGTGGCTTTGCAGAGCTGTGGTGGGCTCTGCCCAGTTCAAACTTCCTGGTGGCTTTGTTTACACTTTGAGGGGAAAACCACCTACTCAAGTCTCAGTAATTGTGGACGCCCCTCCCCCACCAAGCTCGAGCATCCCAGGTCGACATCAGACTGCTGTGCTGGCAGTCAGACTTTCAAGCCAGTGGATCTTATCTTGCTGGGCTCCATGGGGGTGGGATCCCCTGAGCTAGACTACTTGGTTCCCTGGCTTCAGTCCTCTTTCCAGGGGAGTGAATGGTTCTGTCTTGCTGGCTTTCCAGGTGCCACTGGGGTATGAAAAAAACTGTAGCTAGCTCAGTGTCTGCTCAATTTTGTGCTCAGTTTTGTGCTTGAAACCCAGGGCCCTGGTGGCGTAGGCACCAGAGGGAATCTCCTGGTCTGTGGGTTGTGAAGACCATGGGAAAAGCATAGTATCTGGGCCAGAGTGCACCGTCCCTCACAGCACAGTCCCTCACAGCTTCCCTTGGCTAGGGGAGGGGTTTACCCTACCCCTTGAACTTCCTGGATGAGGTGACACCCCACGCTGCTTCAGTTTGCCCTCCGTGGGCTACACCCACTGTCTAATTAGTCCCAGTGAGATGATCTGGGTACCTCAGTTGGAAATGCATAAATCACCCACCTTCTGAGTTGATCTCACTGGGAGTTGCAGACTGGAACTGTTCTTTTTCAGCCATCTTGCCAGCCACTGGCTTTTGCCATTATTTTTATTGGCAAAAGCCACAATTGCTTTTTCACCAACCTAATAGAATAATGTTTTACCAAATATCGGGGTATCATGGGTGTGATGGTTAATTTCATGTATCAACTTGACTAGGCTAAAGGATGCTTAGAGAGCTGGTAAAACATTACTTCTGGCTGTGTCTGAGAGGGTGTTCCTGGAAGAGATTAGCATTTGAATCTGTGGACAGAGTAAGGAAGATCCACCTTCATCAGTGTGGGTAGGCATTATCTGATCTATTAAGAACTGCAGTAGAACAAAAAGGTGGGAGAATGGCAAATTCTCTTTCTCTTCTTAAGGTGGGACATCCAACTTCTCCTGCCTCCAGACAATGAAGCTCCTGGTTTTTGGGCCTTTGGACCCTAGGACTTACTCCAGCAGGTCGTGCCCCCTCAGCCCTGCCACACTGGTGAGGGTAGATTTCCCCAATCCCTGTTCTCCAGCTTATAGATGGCATATTGTGAGAGTTCTAGGCCTGCATACCCATGTGAGAGCCAATTCCTATAATATATCTTTTTTCCTTCCTTCCTCCCTTTCCCTTTTTTCCTTCCTTCCTTCCTTCCCTCCCTTTCATTTCTTTTTCTTTTTGTTCTTCTCTTTCTTTCTCTCTCTCTCTTTCTTCCTCTTCTTCTTTTTTCCTTTTTTTTTCCCTTTTTCTGTTTCTCTGGAGAGCCTTGACTCGTCCAGTTGCCTCACCAAGTTGACACACAAAATTAACCATCACAAGGGCACAGTTGACTGACAGTTTGCAGCTGCCCCACGTTCGGATCCACTGGAACATTCATACCAGGGCCATGCTTCCTGGGGTCTGTTCCCTGCCAATGGCTAAGTGCAGGGCGAGTACTAGAGTCAAGCCATTCCTGCCCTACATGGGCTCCCCCAATAGACAGCCTTTGCTCAGGATTCCCCATCAGCCTGGCAGAGACTCTCTAAGCTGGACTGCAGGTGGAAGCTCCTCTTATCTAGTTCTCCTTGTATCTTGCTCTTTTTTCACAAGTTTTACCCTTTAATTGAAATTGAAGTCTCCTTTCACCTTTTCCAGCTCCTTCCTCCTTTATCTTTCACAGGAAATATATACGAATGTAGTTAGAGACACACATCCACCATCAAAAATTTTTAAAACTGGTGTATAGGTTTTCCAGCCAGTGTATACTAGGAATTGGCTCATACAATTATAGAACATTAATAGTATATTAATAGTATGGAACATTATAATTCATCAAAAGACAAATGCAAATGAAAGTTGATGCATAGTTGAGAAAAAATATTTCAGAATATCATTTTCTGAGCTACACAATTCCATGGATTCCATTTAAATAAGAAAAAAATAGACGACGAAGGGAATGGTAAAATCTATTGGCTAAAACATTGCTAGAAGTTAGGGTTAAGTTCTTGTAGGCTGCAGAATGGACCAGCTAAACTTAGTCTAGAACATTTCAATTTCTACTTGACTATATTTATAAAGAGCAAACTCAGTATCTCAGTGAATTTGACTCCTAAATAAGACCAAGAGTTAGTCCTTGAAAGCCACAAAAATTGCCAGGCCAAAGCAAATCTCTGCTCCTCTAGTGTTGAAGGTGAAAGAGGGAAAAGTTCCCAGCTAGCTGTGTGCTAATTTTAGAATTGCAAAGCCCAATACAAAAAGCCAACCGAAGTCATGCAAACACCGTGGGTAAACAATGCCATGCCAGCTGCTTGGGACAGACCAGACATATGGCAGGTGAAGGTAAACAAGATTTCCTCTGAAAGGTTCACTTATTATTCTTTATAATCTTACTTCTCAGTGGGAAAAAAAATGAGATTGGCCAGAATTTTGGAGTAGTATGTTTATCTGCTTGTTTATTTTTAAATATCTTTATATTTGTTTTCTCACATTAAAAAATGAAAGCATTCTCATCAAAGACAGAATTTCAGCAATCCTGAAGTGGATATTGGGAAAAGCAAATGTTTCCTAGCCCCTCCATCTCCCCTGCTTGTTCCCCTCCCTTCTGTGACTCTCCTGTCCCCCTCACAGAAGTAAGCACTGTTAGTAATTTTGTGTGTATCTAAACATTTTTCTATGCACACGAAAAGAGAATAGACTATTTTAAAAGAAAAATCTCTCACCATGTGTTTTCGAGGCAATCGATATTTTTTGTTACCACTCTCCAACATGGCTGAAAGATGCGATGAAGGAGGTGGTCTATGCTCATGACTCCCTGTTCGCGTTTCTGTTTCTCTAAAACTTCTGTACCTAATTTTAATTAATTTAAATGTACATAACTACACGTGGCTAGTGGGTACTGTATTGGACAGTGTAAGTCTAGGAAAAGTAATCTTTCTCCAGAGAAGACCCCATGGAAGGATTTGGAGGAGGAGAGCCACATCCCCATACTCCTTTTCAGTCCCTGAACCATTGCATAACTGGGTTTCCTTTTCAGTCCCTGAACCATTGGATAACTTGGACTCTGCAGACTACAGCCTTTAGACACAGCCGAAATATAAAACATACCACACTCATTGGAAATAAAGGTAGAGAGGAAGAATTGGGTTGGTCACCAGTTGCTATTTCCTCTTAGAATAAAGCAAAATATAAACTCTCTGTAATCACAGATTGGAAATCAATTGAGTCTATTTCTTTGGGTTTATGAGGACAATCACATAAACAAATCTTGCTAGATAGTCACGTATTTATTGTTAAGAGGCCTCCAGAGAAGGAAATCCCCAGTTTTTCTCCATACCCCAGGTCAACATTTAATTGGCCTCACTCTACATTACTCAGAAGGCATTTTGGTTCTTGTCTACTTCCTGGTACTCACTATGGAGCAGCTGGTCATCATCTCTCTTCTTGGATTATGATTTTTAAAAGCCTCATTCAGCTTCCATATTTGTTCTATGAGCTTCTCATCCTAGATCCCGGGTAATCATAATCAGTCATAAATAGCTCCCTTTGCCCTAAGGGGCAGTGAGCAAATAGCTGGAAAAGTTGAAGATGATACTGCATGGAGACACGAGCTATCAGATGGCCTGTTCTTGGCACATGAAAGGGTATGATCTATAACTTGTACAACACAGATACATCTTGAGATCCAAAACTGAGCACAGAGCTTATTTTCTTCCATTTCTACTCAACATGCTTGTGTGGCCAGAGGATACCATTTTGTATACAGGGCCATGTTAAGACTTCCAAGCATCCTGGAGGCAGAAATCCTGTTTGAAGCTAGTGGATACATGTAGTGGTTTCTTTTTTCCCAAATGAAAATAAAAAATAAAACACAAATCCCATCTTTTATGATTAAAAAATAATTTCAGTTCACTATTTTAAAACACAAACACAAAAAAGTAGAAAGAAGGGAGTAATAATCACTAAAGTCTTCCACCCAAAGATGATAGCTAGTTGTTTTTTTCGTGAACATTATTACAAACATTTTTTCTCTGCATGTACATACAAATATGTACCTCCACTCTTAGGCCTGCAACATCTGGAAGGATGTGAAGGCAAAACCCATTTTCAGAAAGAAAGTATGGATGATAGCTCACTTACTTGGGTCAATAAGATGGTACAGAACATTGCCTTTCCCTTGGAATTACATTTCAGGGCAAAAGCAGTCACCTCAGGTGGGCATCTGGCTCTGAGCCTCTTCTCTGGTCTATCATTCTCTTCCCCTCTTCCTCCTATAATTCTTATATGCAGTGGTGAGATCTCGGCTCACTGCAACCTCCATCTCCTGGGTTAAAGCAGTTCTCTTGCCTCAGCCTCCCAAGTAGCTGGGACTATAAGCATGCGCCATTAAGCCCAACTAAATTTTTTATTTTTTGTAGCGACAAGGTTTCACCATGTTGGCCAGTCTGGTCTTGAGCTCCTGACCTCAGGTGATCCACCAGCTTCGGCCTCCCAAAGTGCTGGGATTACAGGTATGAGCCATTGTGCCCGGCTGATAATTCTTACAGTTTCTTCTACTCCCTGCCCACTCCTGGAGGATCTAGCTCCATTCTAGATGTTCAGGGCCCTATCCTGTGCCATCCCCAAAGGGCTTCTCTCCTTACTAAGCAGGGTAGAAGAGGCTACGTGTTGCATAGAGAAATTGTCTTTGAGGACCAGCACTCACCATCAAGTTCATGTTGAGGGCCAAACCTGTCCACCTAAGTGCCTTTGCACCACACACTTCTACCACTGGGAATCTGTACAAAAAGAGGAGAATGTGAGTTATTCTAACACTTTGAGGATAGGAAGAGGCATCAATAAAACCTGAATTCCATCACAATGTTTTGGCAATAAGGCCAGACTCCCTCCCAAGACATTCCCTTTAAGCCTTGATGTTTTATCTGTAAAGTGAGAAGAGTGATATCTTCTTCACAAGGTTGTTGGGAAAATAAAATGAGATACATGTAGCAGTTTAAAGAAGGCCAAGAATGAGATAGACCCCCTAGGCAGCTGCTCTCCAAGAGGTCTCTAAAAGCATCAGTGCCCTGATATTCCAGGATAAGATCTTTAGCTTTGTAAGTTCAGAATTTAAATTATTAGTTCATTTAGATAGTGCCTTATGGTAAGTATTGGTATTGCAGAATATACTCACATTACCAAAACTCGCTAGAGACTGAACTATAAACTAGAATGCAATTTAATAAACAATAAAAATTATAACTTATCTTGCTGGTCAGTAAATCTACAGGGAAAGTAACTTATAAGCAGAATATTCCTCAGTGAACGGGAAACAGAGCCGGATTTTTTTGGGTAACAATAGTGATTAATGTCTTCTAACCATGATAGCCTGGGGGCAACCACCATCCTAACTGGGATAGTGCTGCTGCATGGACTGAATGCTGGAATGTGTAGATTAAGGCAGCCTTTTTTCTGCATAGTGCCTGGATGAATAAACCTTGTCTTTTTAGCTTCCACCACACCCCCTGTCACCGCCACCACCTTCTTCCTGCCACCGCAGTGCCCAGACTTGGATACATTAACGTTTCTCATTAGGATGCAATCATGCTTCTACTTAAATTATCTTAGGAAGAGCACATAGTACTACTGGAAGTTAATAGGCATTACTATAAAACAGGTGCCATCGTCAAGAAAGTTTAGAAAACACTGAATTAAACAAGCTAAATACTTAAAAAAAACCACAAAAACCGTCAGATTTCTCAGAGGCTGAATGTGAACTATGTCGACATTGTTCACCATTCCATCTACCTCCTTAAAAAAGAGCACTTACTAAATCTCTGTTGAGTGAATGAAAGTCCTTGGTGATCTTTCTATGTGACTGGGCAAGTTACTTCACCTCTTTATGTCCAGTTTCTTATCTGTGAAATGAGGATAAAGGATCTACCTTATAGGGTTGTTATGAGGAATAAATTGGTTAATGTATGTAAAGTGCTTAAAACAGTGCCTGGCATATATTAAGCATCATGTGTTTCATATTCATTACTTCCATACCTGTTTATACTTTCACTACATATGTGTGCATCCATGAACATATGTGGTACAATTTTGTGCTTTACAAGTTTGAATAAATTGAACCATACTAGATCCATCAATTTGCAACTATTAATATATGTATTTTTTAGTTTATTCATTTTTATTGTTGTGTAATATTCCATTGTATAAATAACTGCAACTTAACTATCTCCTTTTTTTGGCATTTAGGCTGTTCCTAGTCTCTGCTATTATGAATGATTACATTGTAAATATTCTTATATGTCTCCTTATAAACGTTGTGTATAACTGCCTAGATAAATTTTGTTTTTTTTTTTTTTTGTCACATTCTCACAAAGTAATCTTATCATTAAGTCCTTAGGGGGAATGATACCAATTACATAACATATTGAAAAGCTGATGCCTGGCTCAGAGAGGATGCCCTATTATTCCATATGATTTCATCTTCCCAATCAAAGCATGTACTCTAAGGAGAACAGGAAATGGGAGAATGCAGCAGATTATTCTTCAAAATAGCCTCGTGACCCTGGGGCAGATTGTTTGTTCTTTGGACCTCAGTTTCTTCACCTGGAAAATGAGTGGTTATCTCTTAGGTCCTTTCACACCTCCGAGTTTTTAAAGTCTGTATTCTACATGATCTAGAACACCACTGGAGCAAAAAAAGCACTCCATAAATGCTTGTTGATTGAAATGGGGCCAAGGTGACAAGATGCATTTTGAAAAAGCTGTTCCATGAGTGCCAGAACAACATGTTCCCATAAAGGAGCGGAAGAGCACAGGACTAATATAAAGCTTTTGGGAAACCTTAAAGCAACAGGGGAAAGTCCCCCAAAGCAGAAATTGGCTAGATAACCACAGGAGAAATATCAGGAAATTGCACAACTTTGTAAGAACCAGATTAAAAATGCTAAGGGAAGGAGACATTCTACTTTTAAGAGACATGAAGCAAGAGGCAAGAGCCAGTTGTTGCTCAGAGTGAAATAATGTAGAAAGTCAACAGCCTCTAAATATCCTCTCCCCCACAAAAGTTCTGCTCTTGTTGGAGATTTTTAAAAATAGAACAAAAGGTTATCACTCCCACCAGCAGACACAATGTCCTAATGTCTCCAACCAAAAGTTCTCTTCTTTGACCCTGCTTCCTCCTCTAATTACCATCATATGGCTAATGGCATTGCCCTTCACCCTATCGTATCTCCTCATCCCTGAAGGGAGAAGGAGAGAGACTTTTTGGTATAATAATGCATCCAAGTCTTCTTTCATTATAAGAATGCACCATGCTCCTCCCAGGTTGCACTGAGTGGAACCAATAATCTGGAGGTGAAACAAAGTGGGACAAAAGGAAAGTGCACAGAGGCGAGAAAGAGCAAAATTGAGATGCTGACATATTACACCAGAAAATAGAACATTTCCGGCTGTAGCTGGTACTGCTGGTTATTTCATGATATGGTTTGGATCTGTGTCCCCACCCAAATCTCATGTCAAATTGTAATCTCCAATGTTGGAGGTGGGGGCCTGGTGGGAAGTGATTGGATTATGGGCAAATTTTCCCCTTTGGTGCTGTTCTTGTGATCGAATTTTCATAAGATCTGGTTGTTTGAAAGTGTATAGCACCTCCTCCTCTCTTCCTCCTTCTCTGGCCATGTGAGATGTCTTGCTCCTCCTTCGCCTTCAGCCATGATTGAAAGTTTCCTGAGGCCTCCCCAGGAGCTGAGCAGATGCCAGCAACATGATTCCTACACAACCTGCAGAACTGTGAGCCAATTAAACCTCTTTTTTTGGTAAACTAGCCAGTCTCAGGAATTTCTTTATAGCTGTGTGAAAATGGACTAATATATCTCCTAACATCTTTTCTCTCCTCTGTGAAATGAGGATAAAGTATCTACCTTGTAGGGTTGTTATGAGGAATAAATCGGTTAATGTATGTAAAGTGCTTAAAACAGTGCCTGGCATATATTAAGCATCATGTGTTTCATATTCATTACTTCCATACCTGTTTATACTTTCACTACATATGTGTGCATCCATAAACATATGTGGTACAATTTTGTGTTTTACAAGTTTGAATAAATTGAACCATACTAGATCCATCAATTTGCAACTATTAATATATGTATTTTTTAGTTTATTCATTTTTATTGATGTGTAATATTCCATTGTATAAATAACTGCAACTTAACTTTCTCCTTTTTTTGTGCATTTAGGCTGTTTCTAGTCTCTGCTATTATGAATAATTACATTGTAAATATTCTTATATGTCTCCTTATAAACATTGTGTATAGATGGAAATAGAAGTTTAAGCCAGGATGTGGAAGTTCAGCTACAAAACCTACTTCCCAGCCTGCTTTGCAATTAAAGATGGCCATGTGACTAGGATCTGGCCAATGGGATTTGAGTGAAAGAGATATGTGTAAATTTCTCACACATTCTCTCGTTGTAAGGGCATGTTAAAGGGAAGAATTGTGTCCTTCCCTTGCTTTCTGACTGGAATGTGGATGGTGGGGGCAGTTAGAGCAGCTCTCTTGGGCTATCTTATCGACTGAATTGTGTCCCTGCCAAATGTATATGTTGAAGCCGTAAGTCCCAACATGACTGTATTTGAAGATATGGCCTATAGGGAGATGATTAAGGTTAAATAAAGTTACAAAGGTGGGACCCTAATCCAATAGGACTAGTGTCCTTTAAGAAGAGGCACCCAGAGGAAAGATCAGGTGAGGACACAGTGAGAAGGTAGCCATTTGCAAGCCAGAAAGAGAGACCTCACCAGAAACCAACTCTGTTGACACCTTGGTCTTGGACTTCTAGCCTTCTGAACTGTGAGAAAATGAGTTTCTGTTGTTTAAGCCACCAAGTCTGTGGCATTCTGTTATGGCAGCCTAATACAGGCATGAGATAGAAGTCACACATTGAGGATGACAGGACAACAAAATTAGAAGGAACCTGGGTTCATGGTGGCTGTGAAGTTGCCATGCCAACCTTGGATTACCTTCCTGAGGTTCTACATGAGAGTGCACAAGCTTCTGTTATTTGGGGGTCTTTATTAAAGCCTCGAAGCATGTATCCAAATTTACACAGCAACTCTCCTGGATAAAGAAGGATTGGTTCAAAGTGAAACATTCCTATGTTGTATGTTTATAATTAGCTATAGCGTTTAACTTAACTGTATGGTAATGTTAGTTAATAGTGCATCCATAGTGAAATAAATCATTTTAAGACATACTTTTTGGCTTACAACCCAGTTAAGATCCCTAACAGAATATCAAATACATAAACAATTATTTGAAATAAAGTGATGGCCACTAAATATATGTTCTCTAAACTAGTATCCACACAGTGATGTTTTAGTGCTTTCTTGTAGCTACCTGCTCCTTCATCTTCCATTTTGTAGAAAAAGAGATGGTACTGGAGATTAAGAATGTCTACCTGGAAAAGGATGGGTATCCATTGTGTCTGTGATGCTTCCAATCTGTAGTCTCACACACCCTCAAGAAACTAAGCAGAGATGTGAAAATCATGATCCACAACTGTTGTCCTCAGAAACATCAAAAAAAGAATTTATGATGATGGACAGAATTTTTGAAGTAGCTTAAATTTATTATACTGGTTGGTTGTCTTTGATAAGGAACTAAAGGTTTAAGTCAGTTCTCAGACTATGCAGACACAGACAGTAAAACGTATCCTTAAAATTTCATAAAAGCAACAAAGTTAATATTATTGAAATAATTTCTGAAGTTGATAGAAGGGATATGTTGAGACAATTTATGATGTGGTGCATGGAAACCTCTCCTGTATTGCAATTCTGAAGAATGGCCTGGCAGACCATGAGCTATTTATACAGTGCACATGTGTGTATATAAAACACACTTACAGACTTTGTGCATGATTTGTCTTCCACCTCTCCAAAGTCCTCTTCAGAACCAGGGATCTCTGCATTTGCTTATTTCCTGTGACATTTGCTATTTCACTGCATCTGGCCCTGTTTCTTCTCTCACAGTTTATAATAACCATCCCACCCGTTAAAGATATATGGACAGCCACCCCCTCCAATTGTTAATATTGCTCTTAAAATGGATGGCAAGGTCTCTGCTGAGTATGTTAAGGAGTCATAAAATCAAGTCTAAACTTTCAATTTGTCACTCTTGGAGTGTGGGAACCTGACCTCTGATATAAAGTCTATCTCTTATCCTTCCATCTCAAAGTTTTCTTTCTTCAGTTTTTTTTAATAAACATACAGTTATTGAGTGACTTGTGGCAGATGTGGTGTTAGACTGCTTTGCATACATTGTCTTACTTAAAACACAAGAGTAGACTCTGTTGGTATTGTCTATCCAATATCACATGCTCTCTTATTTCTTACTAACAAAACTTGAATTTTGCAGAAGAAATGATATATACAGAATTTTGCAGAAAAAGATATATACTTGCTTTTCCTACCCTCTTTTGCTGGTAGGCATAACTGTGTCAGACATGACTGTGCCACCAGCTGGCCAGTGAGTAGAAGGATACTGCTGTAGAGAGGTGGTTCTGAAGCGGCATTTGCTTTCTTGATAAAGGGAACAGAGATAGCTGGCATTACTGCATCTTCTTTCTGCCTAAAACCCAGACGTGATGGCTGGAGCTGTTGCAACCATCTTGCAGTGGTGAAGATGTCAGCCATAATATCACTGAGCTGTTGAACCTATGTAAGCAGCTGTCTGAACTAACTGTCAAGATTGACATCCTTGAACTTCTGAACCTGTGTCAGCAGCTGCCAAGTTCCAAACTTCATATTATGAATAAATAAAACTAGCAACTCCTTGTTTAAGTCTCTATAGTCAGATTTTGTTATTTGCAGTTATCCTAATTGATACAACTCACAATGACACTGAAGTTGGTTTTAATTCTGCTCAGTCTATCTTTTTTCTTCTTTTCCTCTCCTTTACTGTATTCTCAGTCCATTTGTTTCTCCTCTCAGCTCTGTTTATCCTGATCCCTTTCCATCCAGTGTTTCTACTTGATTTAATTTTCTTTTTGAGTTTTTCTTCCTTGCTCTGTTTCTTCCTGGAGTCTATAGAGGCCTGTCCTGTCCATCTATTGTATGATGAAATCTGACTTGGTCCAGGGAAATCAGTGATGTGGCTTTGATGTCCTTGTGGCCAGCCTTTCTTAGGTTACCCTAACCATGACACATACATACTCCTAGCTGGTTAAGGTAAGATAAGAACAGAGTTTTCCTTAGGTCTTCGAAAAGTATCCTGTAAAGAGCAATGATTTCCATGCTCTATGTGTACCCTCACAATACTGCTGCTGGTTGCCTACCTAATAGTCATTCCCTCGTCCTTCCTTCCTAGCCGAACCCTCATATTTTTCTCTGATAATTGAGGCAGTTTGTGCTGATAGAATGAAGGCCCCGCCTCCAGCCACAAGAAATGATCTATAACTATTCAAAGAATAATGCTAATCCCATTTCCCTTGACTGAAATAGTCCATTTCCATCTATTCATTCATGCAGTCAACCTTTTCTATTAGCACCTTCAACATAGGAATCCTAGTTATTTTTAAGTCCCTTTGTGATAATCCCAGCATCTCTAAGCTGTCTGTGTTGATTGCTTTATCTCTTAACGATGGGACTTTTCCCCCCCTTGCTTGTTTATGTCTCATAATTTCTACTGAATGCCAAGCATTGTGTTTGAAGAATGGTAGGGGCTGAAGTGAATGGTATTCATGCCCAGAAATGGCCATGCCTCTTCTTCTGTCAAGCTGTTAGTGTGGGGGAGTTGAGATAGGTCTGGGTTTTGTTACTGCTATCATTACTTGTAGTGTACCACAGACTTCGGATTCCTCTGGTGGGATGCTGTCTTTAGTTCTTGCTCAGTGGGAGGCCTTGGGTACTAGAGTAAGTTTTTCTGCTTTTGCTCCACTCTCAGATTTCAACTGTTCTTGCATGGTGGTTCCATGGAGGGATTTGCTTTCCCTGTTCTTGATCCTCTTCTTGCAGTAGACTACTGTCACTTTTCACCTGGTGCTAGGTTCTTGATTGGGTGGGGATGGGACCTTCTCAATTTTTCTAGTCCAGCCTCAGTCTTAGGTAGAAACAGTGCACCTTGGCTTCTTCCTCTCCCTTTACTGCCCATGGCCCCAAACTCTGTCTCCTATTGGTGTGTACCCTTAGGTAGGAGAGATTTTTCCTATACCCTCCCCAGAAGCAGCAGAACTCTGCCTTGTTTTGGTACAAGATCCTGGGGCCAAGAGGTTTTCTTGCTCCTTCTCTAGGGGCAGATTGTTTTTGTTTCTATTCCTCCCCTAGAAGCAGTAGATCTTTGCCTGGTTGCCAGGGCCAGGAAGGAGGCATTTATATACCCCTTACCCAGAGGCAGATGGGTTTTCCTTATACCCCTCCCCAGGAGCTCTTCGGAGAAGTTTTTGCTGCATTTTCCCCAGTGGTATAAGACTTTAGCTTTGCATGACAGAAAGGTTAGGGGAAATATATAGTGCTTGCTACCTCTTCTCCAATGGCACTTGATCCCTTCCTACAAACCTGGGCCACTGAGAGGTACTGTCTCTGGTCTCCTACCCTGCCTTCAGTCTCCATGAGCCCCTGTTAGAGGCCCATGAAGAGCTTGAGAGAGAGAGAGCTTCCCTTGTGTCTACAGCTCCTCATATACAAGCCCACACTAAGTCTTTAGGAATTTGTTAACATTTTGGCTTTCTTCTTACTCACTTCTATGGCAGCCACCTTTTCTCCCTATGCATTGCCAAAAAAATGAAACAGTCTGTGTATCTCATTTCTCCTAGGAGAGTCTTGTCGATTTTTGGCATTCAATTTCTTTGGTTGTCTTGAGACCTCAGCTCTCTGAGGGGCTTAAGAAAAGTTATGATTTTATAGATTATCCAGATTTTTCTCACTGTTAGTAGGAGAGCAATGTACTCTTGCGGTTTTCTATACTCTAGGTAGAGCCAGAACTTTGAGAAACCTTAGCTGTTTTAAATATAAAATTTGTCCAAAATCTGCCCACTTCTCACCATTTTTACCACCCGCATCCTGATCTCACCCAGCATCATCTCTCACTTGCTTTATTACAAAATCTTTCCAACCAGAGTCCCTGCTTTTCTTCATGCTTTGAATGCAGTCTTTTCTCAACACAGTGGCCAGAGTGATGCTTTTAAAACATAAATCAGATCATGACATGTTTTTTTTTTCTCCAAAACCTTCCAAGGATACCCCACCTAAAATAAAAACCGAAGTCCTTTAAGGAGGATAGAGGGTGTAAGGCACAGCCCTCTCCCTCACTCCCTGTGTCCCAGTCACGTGGCTGCTTGCTGTGCCTTGCACACATCAGGCACATTCTAGCCTTAAGTGTTTGCAATGGCAGTTCCCCTCCCTGGAACTCCCTCTCCCCAGGTACCTGCACCATTGCTCTCCTCTCACCCCCTTCACATCTATTCTGAAAAGACTCCCCTGGCAATGCTATTTAAATTGCTGCCCACCCACTCCCCACACCTCCAGTCTTGCTTATTCTGATCTACTTGTTCTTTTTCTGCATCACATTTATCATCTTCTAACATATTATGTAATTTACTTATTTTAGTCATTTTTGCTTATTTTCTATCTCCCTCTGCTAAACTGTCAACTCCAAAAGTAGAGGAATTATTATCTGTTTTGTTTTATGATGCATTTTAAGTATCTAGAACCACACCTGGAACATAGCAGGTGCTCTCCTAAATATTTGTGGAATCAATGAATAAATGTTCATGGTGGTATTATTTGTGGACTGGGTTGCTGAAGGCAATCTGTCTCCATAATTGGGACAGTGGTGGGTAAGTGTTGAGGTTGTATATCATGAAATATATAACATAATACAATATGTAAAAGTTAAAATGCATATGCACAAAAATTATTCATTTTGCAAACACACATACATGCAAAAATATATATTAAACATGTTAGGATGGATGGTGGTAGGGAAGGACAATGTGAGTGTGGAAGGGAGATAGGAGGAAACACATAAGGAAGAAAGAAAAGTGGAAGGAAGGGAAAGAATGGAATAGACTTCCCAAAGACAAATTAAAATAATGCATCGTGAAACGAGGAATGGGAATTAATTCAATACAAGGCATGTGAGGTTAAAAAAATGCATTTCAGAACTTTTATTAACTCAAATTACTCTTCCCCTCTGTGAATCAGAACAGAAGTTTACTGTGATTTAACTTCTCAGGTGGGGAATTTGTGGTTCAGGTTGAGTGATGTAGGAGCTAAGACTCAGAAGACCTAAGACTGCACCTCATGAAGGGGCACTGTGATGCCCCTTGTCTGCAAGTGATTTATAGCATTGCTACTATGGCTGAGTCAGCCAGCTCTACAATTTATTTCTTGAAGCTCTTTAACTTGTCCCAAGATTGATAGGTTTTCCGTCTCTAACCTAAGCTGTTTCTTTCCCTCCCTCTTATATCGTCTACCAATAAAATGTTTTCAAGCCAAGGGCAAAATTATCATGTAACTTTCTTTTTGCTGTTTGAAATCAATTATGGGCTTTTTGGGAGTTTATGAAGTTACCTACATACATAAAGCAATAAACAAGCTGAATCAAACAAATCCCAAGTAAAGAGGCTGGTCATTAAGAGACACTGAATGGAAGGGGCTCAGTCCCATGTGGTTCATATATTCTGAAGCTTTCCTGGAATAGAGCTTCACATTTCTCTGAACAGGAGACATGCAAGTATTTATTATGAAACTCTCTTATTCTGATCTGCATGGGACATTTTGTTCCTAATAACATGAAGCTGGTCCTTATCTCAACCAATTCTTTACATGCTTGTGTTTTACTTTATTTTATTTATACCCCAAACACTAAAAGAAATTATTTTACTGCCTTTCATAAAGAGATACATCAGGGAAGTGGGGTGTGAGAAGGAAGCTCTGCTGTTTAGGAAATGAGAGCCCGGCCGGGGACTGGGTCCCTCTAGCCTCAGTGTGAGCTCATTCAAAGCACGTCTGAGAGTTAAGAGATGGGGCTGTGCCCTTAAACAGAAACGATCACAAAGATCCATGATGAGTTCTTCCAGCAGATGGGGAAACTGAGGTTAGGATTGAATGGAAGGATTTTGAGGGTGAAGCTAGCAAAAGGAAATGTACTTACTCAGAAAGGGAATGGGTTGTGAGTCTCCTGCATTTCTTCTCCCTCCCTAGGTGCTGACAAAGCAAGTCTTCCCAAGGTTTCCAGGATAAATGGCCCAGAAACATATGGAATATATTTTCCCAGAAACTCAAATGTCTTTCAAGCTGAAGTGGAAAACTGCTCTGAAAATACACACCAGAGGTTACCTTTGGGCCCCAATTCATCCAAACACATTTTAAAATATTTTGCTGATTTTTAAAAACTAAGCAAATTTATAGACTTGAATATGTCCTTCGCACAAAGAATAAATAACAGTCACTGGTAGGTTTTTAACCCTTTATGTGAATTTCCCTTATTGTAGCAGGCCGGGCCAAGGCCCCAGGTACCCATGGTCTGGGGAGAGTTTCTAGGAATTGTGGGTTATTGCTGGCAGCTGCTTCTATCTGCTCTCGTGACCTTTCTTCCCTCCCTCTTCTCCAGCAAGGGTGCCATCAGCACAGCTTGCCACAGAGGGAGTGTGCCTCAAGAGAGGAGGTGACGGGAGAAGTCATTCATTCATGCAAAACCATACGTTCATTCATTCATTCCTTCATCCAGCAAATATTTCTCAAACACTTAATATGTGCCAGGCACTTAAGGTGCTGGTCATTTCGTCTTCTGTTGAGCTGGGCTGCATTCGATTGCTAGGACTACTGTAACAAGCTGGTGGCTTACATAACAGAAGTGTATTGTCTCACAGTTCTTGAGGCTACAAGCCCAAGATCAAGGTGTTGGCAGGGTCACTTCCTTCTGAGGGATGTCAAAGAGAGAATCTGTTCCATGACTCTCCTCTAGCCTCTGGTGCTTTGCTGGCAATTTTTGGCATTCGTTGGCTTACAGAAACATTACTTTGATCTCTGCCTTCATCTTCACATGATGTTCTTCCTGTGTGTGTGTGTTTGTTTCCAAATTTTCTTTTTTTATAAAGACATCAGTCACATTGTAATTAAGGTCTACCTTAATGGTTTCATTGTAACCTGATTAACCCTATAAAGGTTCTTTCTCTAACTGAGGTCACATTCTGGGGTATTGGGGGTAGGATTTCAACATATGAATTCAGGAGGCACATAATCCATGATATGGACTAAGCAATATCAGACTGGCTGATCTTGTCCTGTGTATCCAACCCTTTGAGCTATAAGAGAATAGCCTCTCTGCACAACCATCTTCTCTGGAACTTGGGAGCCAAGAGTCCCCAGAAATGCCCCCAAGAAGTAGAAGTTATATCTAGGAGGCATACTTGGACCTCGGGATCTCTTTAGTGGCTTCGCCAAAAGACCACGGTAAAAAACCTACTCCCAATTTGATTAAGAAGATTAGCAAGTTGCCTGGAGTCCCCATTCCTCTTCTAAGACAGGAGAGAGAAGCAGGTACCCTAAGCAGCAGTGTGGCTTCAAATGCCCTGGGCTACTAGCTTTTTTTTTGGCATTAAGTAAAATGTGATTTGCATATAATTCTTTTCTCTAACCAACAAATCATTATAATTTGCTCTGGGAGAGCCAAGGTGAGTTTAACAAAATTAATATGTTGTCTACTGGAAAGAAAAATATTCTAAAATGTGATTTTCAGGTCTCTTTAGGCAGTGTTAAACATTTGTATCATACTCAGATTCAGGGGATCAGAAAATTTTAGAGCTGAAGGTGTCTTTAGAAATCAACTCATCGAGTTTTTACACTGAACTCAGAAAGCAGTTAGCCTGGAGAGAAGGCTTATTCAAGGTAACAGTCAAGGCAGAACTTGCTATGTGCCCAAGATGCTGAGCACTCTCTGAAGATCTTCCTGTTTTCAGGAATGGCTGCTAAGTGGTGAGATGAGATGTGAATGCAGGGACTGCAGCTCTGGAGCCTGACTCTTAACCACTATGCAGTAGTCATTAGGGAAGCACTGGGTTTTTGCAGCCAGACCTCCTGACCCCGCTCCAGTGTTTTTCCACAATCCCACCCAGCTTTCTATCTTGCCTTACTCCAGCCCACTGTGCATACAACTGCTAGGACAATCTCTGTAAAGTACAACCCTCATCATAATATTTTCTGCTTACAAACCTGCAATCACTTTCTCTTGCTGACTGAGGTTAGTACAAATTCCTCACTTTGTATTGAATGTCTGTGACAAAAATTTCTAGTCTTGTTTCTTAGAGTTTCCTTGCACTCCTAAACTCTTAAACCAAACTTGGCTGCAAACACTTCTCTAAAAGGAGCCTGTTTCTTCTGCCTTTTCCCAAGCTGTTTCCTAGACCTGGAGAGCCCTCCTTCCCTTTCCTTTAGAATAGTCTAAAAGTCCCTTTATTTTTCTTTTTTCTTGTTCTTCTAATAGATATAATTTAATGTGCCAGAGGCTGCTGATTGCCTGTCAATATCTATTTTCCCTTTCACCTTTTAGAAATAGAATCTTTGAGTTTTGCTAGTCATATAGCTCCTTGGAATGAAGGCGTTTCCCAGCTTCCATCATAACTCAGTGTCCAAGGAGCTGTGACCAGAAGCAAGGTGTACAACAACTGCGTCACACCTAAGAGAAGGAAGTACGTCTTCCCTCTCCTTCTCCCTCTTTCCACTAGATGAAATACAGACCAAGGTGGTGTGTTGGGGAGCTATACAGTCTTTAGCCATGCAGATAAAGGCAACAACATGAGACAGCAGAGCCGAGAGTTAGATGGAACCTGGGCCCCAACAAAATGGACCTGTCATATAAGCCCTGGACTCCCTGTGCT
Organism: Homo sapiens; assembly: GCF_000001405.40. Lineage (NCBI taxonomy): Eukaryota > Metazoa > Chordata > Mammalia > Primates > Hominidae > Homo > Homo sapiens. The sequence goes on from NC_000004.12 coordinate 53,687,559, forward strand.
CAGACCATTAAGTATGAGGAAAAAATATTTCTATCTTGTTTAATTCTCTGGTTTTGGTATTTCTTGGCTGTCTTTGTTACAGTAGCCAATCTGTATCCTTAGAAATACATTCTTATGATGAGTTCATGTCCTTTGCAGGAGCATGGATGAAGCTAGAAGCCATCATTCTCAGCAAACTAACACAGGAACAGAAAACCAAACACCGCATGTTCTCACTCATAAGTGGGAGTTGAACAATGAGAACACTTGGACACAGGGAGGGGAACATCACACACCAGGGCCTGTCAGGGGTTGGGGGGCAAGGGAGGGAGAACATTAGTACAAGTACCTAATGCATGCGGGGCTGAAGACCTAGATCATGAGTTGATAGGTGCAGCAAACCACCATGGCACATGTATACCTATGTAGCAAACATGCACATTCTGCACATGTATCCCAGAACTTGAAGAACTTAAAGTAAAAAAAGAAAAGAAAAGAAATATAGTCTCACTTCTTTGATCATCTACACCCCTCTGAGTTTTTCCTAAAGGATTTCTTAAATTTACCATGTAGCAGAGTAAACATGGAATTTGAAGCTAGATAGCCCTGGCTTTGAATCCCAGCTCCACCACTTCTCAGCTGGGTGGCTCCAGCCTACTTGCTTAGTCTCTCTGAGCTTCAGTTTCTTTACCTGCAAGCACTGAAGACAACAGTCCATGGAGTAACTTTCCACTATTCTGAGCTGCCTCTCTAGGGTGATTTTCATCTGGCTGTGTGGACCTCATGAGTCACTCTTCTCCACTATAGGAAAATACCAACCACAGAAACCAAAATGTTCACATCTGCTACTCAGGCACCCTCTCCCACGAAGCAAGCTGGAAATGCTGACACATTCTGCAGCTCTCCCTTGGCTGTAATCTGGGCAGACCATCACCCCTCTGTTTGTAGATGCAAGGCTATGATTCACCCTTCCTCAATCCAATTCCTTACATAAAGAGATTATTATAATTCCAAATTCCCAGCTTATTCTTCATACACTCATAGATGCTTAGAGTTACAAGGCACTTGAGGGTCTTGTGGTCCAATCTTCCCTCTGAAATCAGTGCGGCCCTGGTGAGGACTTCCTCCACAGCCTGTCTCACCAACAGGCATCTTGCCTCTGCTGAATGTGCCTACTTGTCACATGGCAGCCTGTTCTATTTTTTGACAGCAAAATCATTATAAGTTTCTTCCTGATACCTTTATTTAGTCCCATTTCTGGAAGGCTCATTACTTAAAAATGTTAACCCAGGATGGAATAATTCAGAGACTGTGCTCTACAGAGCTAATCTAATTTCTTGTATACATCTTTATTGATGTCAATTTTGGGAGACTTATCTTCATCATCTTCTTCATCTTCTACTATCTCACACATGGCTAGTGGTTTTCAAATGTTTCTAATCAAGCATCTCTATCAGTAAATACTTTTTGAGCATGTCTCTCCAAACATATCCATACTTATTTATATAATAATATATGTATTACTGTGTTAGCATTTTAGAAAATGAATGAGACACATATAAAAATAGATATTAAAGATGATAAGAAAAATGTAAATGTGAGTTCAAATAGTTCCTGCTCGCATTTCAAGGGATCATCTTGCACATCCCCTGGGCTGCAGATCTCTCTCTTTGGAAATGACTGAGCTATTCATGATGCCCCTCCTCACCAGCATACAAGCCCTATATGAGGACAGAGATTCTGTCTTATGTTCTCTGTTGTGCCCGGTGCTTAGAACAATGTCTGGCTTAGAACAGTATCTGGTGCACAGGACACATTCTGTAACTTTTTTTTAATCAATCAGTGATTCCCAGATCTTTATTTATAGCACAGATTCTTCATTTCCAACTGTCTACAAGACAGCTTCACCTGGATCTCCTCAGGTATTTCAAACCCAACACACACCCAGCTGAACTCTTCATCTCTAGTGTCTTCCCCCACCAAAGTGTCATCATTTGATTCTCACTGCCTACTTCACACCTGTCCCCCATGTCGCTAAACTGGTTGACATTAAACACACAACTGACTGATCTCACTTTAAATTAAAGACCATACATCTCAGGTGGACAGCCTCCATTGCTCCTCAATTCAAATACATCTTCTATCCCACTTCCTCTCCTGATCTCGTGGCTAATTCGCCATATCTCCTTCCCACTTCTCAAAACTTCAGCACCCTTCTACTTCCTTACTATCAGCTGAATATTTTTCTGAGAAAATAAGAACAACTGAAGAGGACTTCTGTTGGTAGGACCAAATCCACCACACTTCAAGCACCTGAGTCCCTATGTTCTCCTTTTCCTCCTCTTCCAGTGAGTGAGATTGTACCTATTCCTAAGACTAACCTCTCTCTACTTGTGCACTGTCTCTCCTGCTCACTCAAAGCTTTGATGCCTACGATTCATTCCTCTTTGTCCTGCATCATTAATTTCCCCCTTTCTACTGAATATTTTCCATCTGCACATAAACATGCTCTAAAAAAAAATGAAGTAAAATCCTTTTGACTCCTCTCAGCCCCCACCCAGGTCTCATTTGCTTCTCGTACACTTTTAATGCCAAGATTTTTGAAAGTAGTGCCAAGATTTTTAAAAGTCGTTTGTAGTCGTTATCTTCACTTGCCTACCTCCCATTCTTTCTTCTGTTTGTCATTACCACTTTGCCAACATGGCTATTGTCTAGGTTACCAATGATCTCCATTTTACCATGTCCAGTGGTCAATTTTCTGGACATATTTTACTGGATCTTTCAGCAGCATTTTGCACATAAGATCACTTCTTCCTACTTGAAACAATTTCTTGGCATTTGAGACACCATGCTCTTGAATTTTTCCCACCAGCAGCTCCGTCTCAGTCTCCTTCACTGGCTGCTCCTCCTCCATTTAACTACTGTATCTTGAGTGGCCAAGGATCCGTCCGGGTCTACGTTCACTTTCCTATCCATATACAGCAACCTGGGTAATATCATCCAAGCTTGTGATGTCAAGTATGTTCAAAGTTATATTTCATCCCAAACCCTACCCATGAACTTCAGACTTGGGTATCCAGCCACCTCTCCTCTTGGGTGTTCAGAAGACTTTCCACATGTAATATGTCTGAAACAAAACCTTTGATTTCCTCCTCCACCTCCTTAAGTCCTATTCCTCTCAAACACTTCTCAAGCTCAGTAAATGGAACCAACACCCACCTGTTCTCAGGTGAAGAACCCAAGAGTAATTCTCAATTCCTGTTTTTCCCCACATCCAATCCATCAGCAAATCCTAATTTTTCTATCCTTAAAAAGATGAAAAGACAACTGCCTTCTCAGGACTTTCACTGTGACAACCCAAGTCTCAGCCACCATCTTCTTTTGCCTCTGTGTCTCTGAAATTTGTTCTATTCCCCAGAACCAGAGTGATTTAAAAGGACAACAAAAACATAAGTCAAATTATGTCTCTTTCCTGCTCAAACCCATTCAATGGCTTCCCATCACTTAGATTAAAATCCACACTCACGGCCAGGTGTGGTGCCTCACGCCTCTAATCCCAGCACTTCGGGAGGCTGAGGCAGGCGGATCACTTGAGGTCAGAAGTTAGAGATCATCCTGGCCAACATGGTAAAATCCCATCTCTACTAAAAATACAAAAATTAGCCGGACGTGGTGGTGGGCACCTGTAATCCCAGTTACTTGGGAAGCTGAGGCAGAAGAATTGCTTGAACCTGGGAGGTGGAGGTTGAAGTGAACTGAGATCTTACCACTGCACTCCAGCCTGGGTGACAGAGTGAAACTCCGTCTCAATAAATAAATAAATATAAAAAATAAAATCCACACTTACTATTATGGTGGTCAAGGCTATAAGAATCCAGCCCCTGCCTACTTTTCTCCTTTTCGTTGTTTGTTGAACAAGACTCTCTTGTTTTAGTAGAGGTTCTATATGCTCACTATCCCCTTTGCCTGGATATCTTCTCCCCAGGACTTCTCATGGCTTTCTCCATTAGTCTCTGCTCTAACATCACCTCCTCAGAAAAGTCTGTCTCCTGCATAAAATAAACATTGTGCCCCATCCTTATATCATGCTTTACTCTTCTTCAGAAAGCTTCTCACAAGCTGAAATTACATTATCTCTTGATATATTTACTGACAGTCCTCCAGTTGAACGTAAGGTCCTGAAATTAGGGCTTTTAAAATTTTGTTCAAAGCTGTATTCCCAGTGCCTCGATTAGTATCTAGTACATAATAGGCTCTCAATACACATTTCTTGGGTGAATTTATATGTTTACCTCAATTACCCAAGAAGAAACATAGGCAGTCATTCTAGTTTTTTTCTGCTCAAGACATTTTCTTCTCCCACAACATGGGTCAGCAAGTCCTTTGGCCTACTCTCCCAACATCTCTTAAATCCATCCTCTCTTGTCCTCCAATTCCCATCCTTCCCACAATTTTTTTCTCTATACCATTTCCAGAGAGGTCTTAAAACATAAGTCCAATTGGATCTCTCTTCTGCTTAAGAGGCTTCAGTAGCTCTCCATCACCTGAAGAAGGAAGCCCAAACTCCATACTATGATGTGATCTGGAGTCTGTCTGTATTTCCAACCTGGTTTCATGTCACTCCTTTTTCCACATATGTCCTATGTACCCAGACAATTTGCATCCATTGAACCCAGGCTACTTGAAGTTCCCACATGAAAACATTCTTTTGCTTACACTGTTCCCTCTACTTGAGTGCTTTTCTCTCTTTTTAAAGCCTGACCAAGTACTACTTATTCTTTAAGCACAAAATCACCTCTTCCCAATTTCTGAAAGCAAAGAGGATTCACCCTCTGTGTTCTCAAAAAACCATACCTGGTTAGTATTTTTATGGTTGTTGTTGTTTTACCTGAATGTCTTATTCAGTCACTTATTTATTCAAAAAATAAGTATATTCTTATTGAGCAACTACTATATGCTAGGCACTATCCTAGGCACTAGGGATACAGTTGGATACAAAACAGGTAAAACATTTGCTTTCAAGAAGCAAAGGGATGGTCTGGCATGGTGGCTTATGTCTGTAGTCCCAGCACTTTGGGCAGCTGAGGTGGGCAGATCATCTGAGGATAGGAGTTCGAGACCAGCCTGGCCAACATGGTGAAATTCTGTCTCTACTAAAGATACAAAAATTAGCTGGGCATGGTGGCATGCGCTTGTAATCCCAGCTACTTGGGAGGCTGAGGCAGAGAATCGCTTGAACCTGGGAGGTGGAGGTTACAGTGAGCAGAGATTGCGCCACTGTACTGCAGCCTGGGAGACAGAGCGAGACTCTATCTCAAAAAAAAAAAAAAAAAAAAAAGAAGCAAAAGAAGCAAAGAAGCAAAGCGGAGTCAGACAGTGAAAAATAATTAAAATACACAATGATTAGATGATGCTAAGTGCAATGAAATACAATAATTCAGAGACGGAGCACATGGAGGCTCCCACATGGGTGGAAGCTGTCATACTGACTAGGGCACTGGGGAAGGCTTCACTGGAATGACATTTGAGTTAAATCCCGAGCAGGTGAGGAGCATCTGGGGATGAGTATTCTCGGCCAAAAATATAGCAAATGAAGAACCATTGATGTGGGAGTGGGCTTGGCCTGATTTAGCAAAAGCACAAAGGCCACTGTGCTTGGAGCAGAGAGAACAAGGGAAAGAGAAGCATAAGATGGGGTCAGAGAGTAGCAATGGAAACCTTGAGTTTGTGGCATGAGTGAGGTGGGGCGTGTTGGAGGATACTGAGCAGAAAGGGGTGTGGGCTCACGCATGTTTAAACAGCATCCTGTGTCCTGAAGAGAAGGGTGAATGCAGGGAGACCAGGGAGGAGGCTCCTGCCATAGGCCAGGCAAAGTACTATAGCGGCTCGGGCCAGGATGGTTGTCCTTATTAGACTTGAGTGACTTGAAATCTGGGACTAGATCCCATTTATGTTTTAACCTCCAGCATCCAGCACAGTGCACCACACACAACACAATAGGTGCTCAAAGGCACTGAATAAACAAATAAGGCACGTTGTCTCAGCAAGCAGCTACAGCTTCTGAAGTCAGCACTGTTTGTTTTTCTAGGGCCATGTCTTAGTCTGCTTTGTGTTGCTATAAAAGAATGTCTGAGACTGGGTAATTTATAAAGAGAAGAAGTTTACCTAGCCCTTGGTTCTGCAGGCTGAGAAGTGCTAGGCCATGGCCCTGGCTTTCCACAAGGGGTGTCATGCTACTTTACAACCTGGCGAACAACAGTAAGGAGAAGCAGACATGAGGAAGAGGGAGAAACCTGAGGGATGTCCTGGCTTTGTAACAACACCCTCTTGAGGAACTAATCTATTTCTGGGAGAACTAATCCAGTCTTGAGAGAGTGAGAACTCACTCACAAACATGAGAACAGCACCAAGCCATTCATAAGGGATCCACCCCCATGGCACAAATACCTTCCACTAGCTCCCAACCCCCGACGCTGCCACAGTAGGGATCAAATCTCAACATGAGCTTTGGTGGCAACAAACGAACCATATCCAAACCATTGCAGGAGAGATTTTGTGACATTTTGTTTCCAGTAGGCAAGCTTCATCTTCTGTGTTTCCTAATTGAATGGCCCTTAGGCCACATTCTGAGGACAGCGTGGGTGTTTGCATGAGGGCCAACACAATCAAAACTTGATGATTGTGAAATTGTTTTTCTTTAAATTACCTTTGGACATTTGAAAAATGTGTTTCAAAAAATAAGTAAAAACCACCCATTCTCCAAGGCGGGCTGCCTTAGCTAATTGAGTGCCTCAAGACCCCAGGTGCATCCTAGAACGCTGTCCAAACCTGTCTGAAACCCAAATCAAGTCTTTGATGGTCAATGTCTGTCTTTCTAGTTCTAATTTAAAGATAAAAAAATACCTGTAATCCCAGCACTTTGGGAGGCTGAGGTGGGCAGATCACTTGAGGCCAAGAGTTCGAGACCAGCCTAGCTAACATGAAGAAACCCTGTCTCTACTAAAAATACAGAAAATCTAGCCAGGCATGGTGGTGCACGACTGTAGTTTCAGCTACTTGGGAGGCTGAGGCAGGAGAATCGCTTGAACCCAAGAGGTGGGGCTGCAGTGAGCCAAGATCTCAAGACTCCGTCTCAAAAAAATAAAAAAATAAATCTTCATTAAAAAAAATCCAAATCAACATTTGGATAAGGTAATTTGAGAAGGATTTATTAGCATGTGAATTTATGTATTTATTTATTTATTTTTAAGAAAGAGAAATGTACAGAGAGATGGCGGGAGAGCAGTCTGGTAGCAGTTCTTTAAACTCTCTGTAAAGCTGGATGGTTATATGATTTCTCAGAGTTGCTGCAGGGCTTTGATGAGATAATATCACTAAAATGCCTTGGACCAAGCCTACCATAGAGTGACACTCAAGAAATGTTAGTCCCAGCATTTTCCCTTAACAATTGCCTCTTCCCCTAACAATTCTCTCAGCTGTTTGCCAGGGATCTGAATGTCCTGGGTCCACCAGGCTTCTCAGTCTGACAAGATCACTTTTCTCATCTGGTAACCTCAAGGCTACAAGATGAGTTTTACGGGCCCTTTCCTTCATAATGTGATATCAATTTTTACATGATTTTTGATATAACTTTAAATTCTTCAACATTGTATTTAATTTTTATTTTAGACAAAGTCTAAATTTTCTTAGACCTTGAAAATTTCATTTTTTTAGATGTGAGCAATAATGCAAAATTTTTTAACCCTAAAGTTTTGTTGTTTTCCTTCTTGATTTTAAAATAAACTCACACATTTTTGTGGGTCCCTAAGAGTACCATGGACCCTGGGCACTGCGTCTAATGAGAAATAATGGAAAGAGAAACAAAAATGTGAAGAACAAAGTCCAGCAACTCAAAGTTGCTCAAGGAAGGGATATTGCTTCTGTGGGAAGTTTTACTCGTCCCTCAAATGGGTTTTCCTGGCTCTTTGACTCTTCAATCCCTTCCAGAGGACAATAATAAGATTTGTTCTTTGAAACTGAAGGAAAACCATAAACGGTTGGTGACTGGGTTGGTGAACATTAGCTAATGTGAAACAGAGCACAGGACTTGTCTAACAAGGAATTTGCATATTCTCATCCACGTAGCCTGGTGTAGGTTCTGCCTGGGGCCATGGGTAATGAATGCCTGCACAGCCTCTCCAGACTGTCAAGGGAGCCACTTGCACCCAAAACCTAACCTCAGGGGCCTCCAGGCAGATCAGGAGAGCAGGTCATTCACCACTCACGAGGACAAAACGAACTGACTCAGCCTTCTTTTGGGGGTAGGGGATTGATTCCTGGACCATTAGGGAGTGTTTAAAAGAGATTAATTGGCCACTGGTGGGACCACTCCAGTCACTTTCCAGGCAAGACAGGGCTACCTTCAGCATCTCTAGTGAAAGTGGTGAATTAGCACTTCAGAAGTGAGATGGCATGGACAGAAGCTTCTGGGGCTGAGCTCACCATTGGAAGCTTCTTTCCAGCTTCCTGAAGGTCTCTGGAGGTCTCTTCTTACCGGGGAGGATGATCCCTGGTGGCTCCCTGCTGACATTCTTCAAAACTCGGCTATTTCCCCAGTGTCCTGCTGATAAAACAGAAGAGGAAATGATGAAAGTAGGTTGCTCTATTATTAACTCATCTTTTAATTTCAGTTCGTTTGTTTTAGTATGTTTCTTGATGCTAGGCATGACACCCATTCATTCATTCATTTATTCATTAAACAAATGTTTATCAATGATATGTGACATTCTAGGCACTATTCTAGACATTCTAGGCACTATTCTAGACATTTAGAATACAGCAGTGAACAAAATAAAGATCCCTACCAGTGTGAAGCAAACATTCTAGAGGGGAAAAAAGGCAAGAAACAATAACACAACAGCACAGTTTATTGTCTCTAAGATGGCAGTGATACAAGATGCACTGCTAGTCTATGTGCCACTAAAGAAAGAAAGAATGCTGCTAATAAATTGCTGCCATTATAGAATGCATCTTGATTTTATGTATGTTAAGATGTGAAACTTAGAATTGATTACATAAGATAAATAAACTATAATATATCAAAATGTGGCTATGAAAAAAGTGAAGCTGGGAGGGGAGTGGTGATATTGAACAAAGGCTTGAAAGAAATGGGACTGTTAAATTAATGGCAACTATTTTTGCAAAACTGCTTTATTGAGATGTAATTTATATATAATAAAACTCACCCTTTTAAGTGTATAATCCATTTTAGTAAGGTTACAGAGTTACACAAACATGATCTAGATTACCATGATCTAGATTTATAATATTTCTTTCTTTTTTTTAAAAAAAAGAACACGTAACAGGAGATCTATCTCTTAACAAATTTTTAAGTGTACAATACAGTGTTGTTAACCAGAGTCACAATTTTGTACAGCAGATCTCCAGAACTTAATCATCTTGAATAACTAAAACTTTATAACCCTTGAATAATACCTTTCCATTTATACTGCCCCATCCCCTAGCAACCACCATTCTACTCTGTTTCTATGTGTTTGACTTTAGATACATTTAGATACTTATGTAAGTGGAATTATGCAGTGTTTGTCCTTTTGTGACTGGCTTATTTCACTTAGCATAATGTCCTCCAGGCTCTTCCATGTTGTAGCATATGGTAGAATTTTTTTAAAGCTGAATAATATTCTACTGCATGTGCAGTATGCCACATTCTCTTTATCCATTCATCCAGCAATGAACATTTGGGTGGTTTCCACCTCTTGGCTACTGTGAATAATGCTGAAATTAACATGGGAGTGCAGATATCTCTTTGAGGTCCTGATTTCAAATCTTTTGGATAAATCCCCCAAATGGGATTGTTAGATCATATAGTACTTCTATTTTGATTTTTTCATGAACCTCCATACTGTTTTCTATAGCAATTGCACCATTTTACATTCCTACCACAGTGTGCCAGGATTTCAGTTTCTCAACAGCTTAGCCAACACTTATCTTTGTTTTTTTTTTTTTTTGGTTTTTTTTTTTGGATAATAGACATCCTAACAGCTGTGAGATGATATCTCATTGTAGTTTTGATTGTATTTTCCTGATGACTAGTGATGTTGAGTACCTTTTCATATACCTATTGGAATGGCAGCTATTTATTGAACAACTATGATATCCAAGAGGGCAGATATCATTTGTTTACCACTGTGTCCCCACTGCTAAAGCATCTGGCACATGGTAGGTACTCAATAAACATTTGTTGAATGAATGAGCTACTATTCATATATGCCAGGTACTTCACAGTGAATTCTTATCAAATGTTTGGAGGTAAGCATGGTCATGCCTATTTTATGAACGGTGAAACTGAGGCTCAGAAAAGTAACTTGTTCCTGGTCACAAACCCAGGTGAGGAGAATATAGTACTTGAACCCAGGTCTCTCTGATGTTAACATGTAAACTCTTCCTCTACATCTCACTGGCTTCTCTGCTTCTGGCCATTTTAATATCCCTCTGGTACAAAAATAAAAATAAAAAAAAATTGGAACACCAGGCAAGCAGGGGCTTTGGATAAAAATCAGACTCATAGAAACCAGAATGAAACCTTTGGGAATAGAAAGCCCAATTCACTGCCTGGGAAATGTCACATTTTGTGGAGGTGCAAGCAGTTGGCTTGTTATCTCAGATCTCAAGTTCTAGCTACTTTCACTTTAAAATCTATTATTTGAGTGAATTAAGACTCCCTGCCTCCAAAGAGACGATTTTTTTTAGTAAAAACTCTCCCTTGTTAAACAGTTTAACTCAAACTGGCAGCATAACTGTTAAAAACAAACTTACTTTGATACTTTGCAAAGCATAAGGCCAAATAACAATGGACATGGAAACCCACCACAGTCTTTCTAAGACTAAGTCAAACATCCTATATATAGAAAAACATCTTGGGTAAAATCTGTTAAGCCAATATTGGCTGAATTCAAAATTACACCTAATTTGAAACAACTGCTTTTTCCTCAGCCAACTGGCTACCCTATTGTTCTTTAATAAAAATAACAGAAAATCCAAATTTGAAGTCAAGTTCTCCCCGAAGAAAGATACGTTTCATATTAAAAGGCTCTACTGGTGACACTTGTGATATGAGCTGGGGTCTCCATTGTCTATCCTGGTAGAGTGGGAAGATTATCAGTGGTTAGGCAAGGTCCCTAAAAACTTGAAATTTTTGCTACAAACACGAGGGAATAATTAAACTTGGTTGGAATAAACAAACTTTTGGGGCAGTCCAGGCAGAGATCAGAATTCTCAAAATCCAAAGGCCTTTGTTGTGTTTTATTCATAACCTGCTCAGAGGAAAGCCGAAAATGGATCCTATATACCATGAGCTCATTCCTTTTTTTTTTTTTTTTTTTTTTTTGAGACAGAGTTTCTCTCTGTCACCCAGGCTGCAGTGCAGCGGTGTGATCTTGGCTCACTGCAAGCTCCGCCTCCCAGGCTCAAGCAATTCTTGTACCTCAGCTTCCTGAAGAGCTGGGACTACAGGTATGTGTGCCACAACACCCGGCTAATTTTTGTATTTTTAGTAGAGACAGGGTTTCACCATGTTGGCCAGGCTGGTCTTGAACTCCTGACCTCAGGTGATCTGCTCGTCTTGGCCTCCCAAAGTGCTAGGATTACAGATGTGAGCCACCGCACCTGGCTTCATTATTTCTCATTGAGGCAAAATGTTCCATTGTATGAGTAGATCAAAGTTTACTTGTACATTTCTCTGTTGGTGGACATTTGGGTTTCTTCTAGTTTTGAGACATTAAGTGAAGCAGTAGTTACCAGCTAGGGGCTGGGCCTATTAGTCTGTTTTCATGAGTCTGTTTTCACGCTGCTGGTAAAGACATACCCAAGACAGGGAAGAAAAAGAGGTTTAATTGGACTTACAGTTCCACATGGCTGAGGAGGCCTCAGAATCATGATGGGAGGCAAAAGGCACTTCTTACATGGTGTCAGTAGGAGAAAAATGAGGAAGAAGCAAAAGCAGAAACCCCTGATAAACCTGTCAGATCTTGTGAGACTTATTCACTATCATGAGAATAGCACGGGAAAGACTGGCTCCCATGATTCAATTTCTTCCCCCTGGGTCCCTCCCACAACACATGGGAATTCTGGGAGATAGAATTCAAGTTGGGATTTGGATGGGGACACAGCCAGACTATATCATTCCACCCCTGGCCCCTCCAAATCTCATGTTCTCACATTTCAAAACCAATTATGCCTTCCCAACAGTCCCCCAAAGTCTTAACTCATTTCAGCTTTAACCCAAAAGTCCATAGTCCAAAGTCTCCTCTGAGACAAGGGAAGTTCCTCCACATATGAGCTGGCAAAATCAAAAGCAAGCTAGTTACTTCCTAGATACAATGGAAAAACAGGTATTGGGTAAATACATTCATTCCAAATGGGAGAAATTGGCCAAAACAAAGGGGTTACAGGGCCCATGCAAGTCCGAAATCCAGTGAGGTCGTCAAATTTTAAAGCTCCAAAATGATCTCCTTTGACTCCAGGTCTCACATCCAGGTCATGCTAATTCAAAAGGTGGGTTCCCATGGTCTTGGGCAGCTCCACCCCTGTGGCTTTGCAGGATACAGCCTCTCTCCCACTGCTTTCACGGGCAGGCATTGTGTGTCCGTGGCTTTTCCAGGTGCACAGTGCAAGCTGCCTGTGGATCTACCATTCTGGGGTCTGGATGACGGTGGCCGTCTTCTCACAGCTCCACTAGGCGGTGCCCCAGTAGGGACTCTGTGTGGGGGCTCCGACCCCACATTTCCCTTCTGCACTTCCCTAGGAGAGGTTCTTCATGAGGCCCTGCTCCTGCAGCAAACTTTTGTCTGGGCATCCAGGCATTTCTATACATCTTCTGAAATCTAAGTGGAGATTCCCGAACCTCAATTCTTGACTTCTGTGGACTGCAGGCTCAACACCATGTGGAAGCTGCCAAGGCTTGGGGTTTGCACACTCTGAAGCCACAGCCCAAGCTCTATGTTGGCCCCTTTCAGCCACATCTGGAGCAGCTGGGACACAGGGCACCAAGTTTCTAGGCTGCACACAGCACAGGGACCCTGGGACTGGCCCATGAGACCACTTTTTCCTCCTGGGACTCCAGGCCTGCGATGAGAGGGGCTGCTGTGAAGGTCTCTGACTTGGCCTGGAGACATTTTCCCCACAGTCTTGGGGATTAATATTAGACTCCTTGCTACTTATGCAAATTTCTGCAGCTGGCTTGAATTTCTCCTCAAAAAATGGGTTTTTCTATTCTACTGCATCATCAGGCTGCAAACGTTCTGAACTTTTACGCTCTGTTTTCCTTTTAAAATGGAATGCTTTTAACAGCACCCAAGTCACCTCTTGAATGCTTTGCTGCTTAGAAGTTTCTTCTACCAGACACCCTAAATCATCTCTCCCAAGCTCAAAGTTCCACACATCTCTAGGGCAGGGGCAAAATGCCGCCAGTCTTTTTGCTAAAACATAGCAAAAGTCGCCTTTGCTCCAGTTCCCAACAAGTTCCCCATCTCCATCTGAGACCACCTCAGCCTGGACCTTATTGTTCATATCACTATTAGCATTTTTGTCAAAGCCATTCAACAGGTCTCTAGGAAGTTCCAAACTTTCCCACGTTTTCCTGTCTTCTTCTGAGGCCTCCAAACTGTTCCAAACTCTGCCTGTTACCCAGTTCCAAAGTCGCTTCCACATTTTCAGCTATCTTTTCAGCAACGCCCCACTGTACTGATACCAACTGACTGTATTAGTCTGTTTTCACGCTGCTGATAAAGACATACCTGACACTGGGAAGGAAAAGAGGTTTAATTGGACTTACAGTTCCACATGGCTGGGGAGGCCTCAGAAACATGGCGGGAGGCAAAAGGCACTTCTCACATGGCAGTGGCAAGAGAAAAATGAGGAAGAAGCAAAGGCGGAAACCCCTGAAAAACCCATCAGATCTCATGTGACTTACTCACTATTACGAGACTAGCATGGGAAAGACCAGCCCCCATGATTCAATTACCTCCCCCTGGGTCCCTCCCGTGACACATGGGAATTCTGGGAGATACAATTCAAGTTGAGATTTGGATGGGGACACAGCCAAACCATATCACTGGGGGAGGAAGGCACCGTGGTAGTGCTATGGACCGAATCATGTCCCCTCCATATTCGTATGCTGAGGCCTTGAGCCCCAATGTGAATATATTTGGAGATGAGTCCTTTCTGGAAGTAATTAAGGTTAAATGAGGTCATAAGGTTAGGGCCCTGATCTGATAGAATTTATGTCCTTTTAAGAATAGACACCAGAGCGCTTGCTCCAGGTGCACAAAGTAGTGGCCATGTGAGCATACACTGAGAAAGCAGCCATCTGCAAGCCAGGAAGAGGGCCCTTACCAGCCATTCTAGTCCCCTGATCTTGGACATCCAGCTTCCAAAACTGTGAGAAACCGATTTTTGTTATTGAAATCGCTTAGCCTTTGGTATTTTGTTCTGGCACCCTGGCAGACTAATATAAGTAGGGGTAAGCAGGTTATTAACCAGAAAGAGACACAAAGGAGCTTTTCACATAAGGGCGATGGATATATTCTGTATCTTGATCAGGGTAGTAGTTACGTGGGTGGATACATAGGTGAACAAGTTTATCAAACTGTCAGTTTCAGATTTCTACATTCTTGTGCATATAAATTTTCCTAAACTTGAAAAAGGCCGTCTTATCCCCATCTTTCCCAATGGAATCTGTGTTTCAAAAAGATAACAATATAGTGTTCATGCCTTCAAACAGGCCTGGTAGAAAGGAAATTAACATACATTATTTATCTCGTATATATGTATGTTTCTGCCTGTAATAAATAATGGGGATTGAGCACTTAGCACAAGAGTAAGCAACTGCCAAATGCAGCTCTGGGTTCAGACCTGTATGGGGCAGACCTGAGAGCCAGGCCCCTTTCCCTACCATACTGAAACTGACAGCAAAGCCGCTCAGCTAAGGGGATGTGCAGAAAGGACGCCCTGGGGTCTCCTGAGGCTGCAGGGCGGCCGGGGAGCCCTGGGGTCAGGAGGGCAACTTTCTGGGGCACAGTGCTCGAGTCACCTCTCCGAGGAACGGCTCTGCCTGCACTGCTTCTTGTACTTTGTTTACCCGCCCCTAGGAAAAGAGCTGTGAAGATGATCGTAGGGAGCAAGCAGTGAGGCGGCAAATGGCTCTGAGAGGAGCCACGCAGACAGCTGGGCAGCCGTGCCAAGAACAACAGGAAGCTCGCGGCCCCACCCCTGCTCGCTGCAGCCCTGGCCTGGAGACCCAGGGTTATTTGCTTTGAAGGGCCCTCTGCAGATGTTACATAAACAAAACCTCCATTGACTCCAGTTCTGAGCCTGGCCTAAAATAGCCCGCGGGCTTCCCCCTACCACTGTGCAGTTTCGCCGCCATCCCTTTTGGTCCCCTTGTGTGCTAGCTGCTTCCCTCCATTGACCACATGTGCAGACAACTCTCGCCAGTGTCCCTAAGAGGCCAGTTCCCTGGGGAACAAAAAGTGGGGCTCGTTTGCCTTCCCTGGCAGGTCAGACACAAAGCATCCCTGTAAGACCTTTGATGGCTACTGGCCAAGGGACACGTTTCCCCTCCCCAGGGAGGCAGGAAGCTGGGCTGAGGCACAGTGGGGTTTGGTCAGCAGCCAGCACAAGAGGGACTGTGCTTTCTCTCTGTGTCTGTGTCTCTTTCTGTGTGTGTCTGCGTCTCTCTCTCTCTCTGTCTCTTTCTCTCTCTTTCCTAAGGGCAAGCTCTCCAGGTAAGGGCACGAGTTCTTCGTCAGCGTCTCTATTTTCACTTGATGTAACGACTGAACACTCTACTCTTGACTCTTCCTCCAAGCTCCTATAAAATTCCCTGACCCCATTTGCACTTCAGCTCCTTCATTCTGCAGAAAACCATTCCTTCGTGAACATCTGGAGAATCACAGATCCGTGCCACAGCACGGGGTCACTCTGGGCCTTGCCACTCAACATGGGTCCCTGGAAGCTATTATCATCTTTTCCCTTTGACCTCCTGCACTTCTCCAGGATCTTAACTCATAAAATAAAACCAAAAACAACACCAGCAATAAAAACATATTTATGTCAAATACTTACTATGTGCCTGATACAAGGCTAAGCATTTTATGTGTTTTATTTTATTTCATATTGAACAGTCTTATGAGATTGGTACAATAATTATCTCCAGCTGACAGAAGGACAAACTGCAGTTTGGAAAAATTATAGAACTTGTACAAGATGTGACAGAGGTGGAACAGTCAGACTTGTATTCAGTGTCTCAACCACTGCATTGCATGTCCGGGGAAAAAGAGGGCAGGACTCACAACTCCTCCTTTCCATGGTCTTTCTTCTATTCAAAGGCCATGCTATTGTATCCATGGTCAATGTCATTAAACATATCACTGATCAATTAATTATCCAATCAGTATTTAAGGACTATGTTTTCTGGGCAAGTTGCTATTTGAGTCTATACCAGACCAAAAAAACAAAAACGTATGATGTATACTATGTGAATATCTAGCTCCTACTGTATCAACAGTTGTACTTCGGTTGTGAGAGGGCTTTGTGTTTCTCTGGGCTGAAGATCCTCAAACCAGATGGCCATCCTGGAACTAGAAGTTCTTCTTTAATTTAATTTTTTTTTAATTTCAACTTTTATTTGAGATACCAGAGGTATATGTGCAGGTTCGTTATGTGGGAATATTGCATGAGGCTGAGGTTTGGAGTATGGATCCTGTCACTTATGTAGTGAGCATAGTACCCGATAAATAGTTAATTGCTGCCCCCCATCCCCCACTGTCTAGTAGTCCACAGTATCCATTGTTCCCATATTTATGTCCATGTGTGCTCAGTGTTTAGCTCCCACTTATAAATTTGGTTTTCTGTTTCTACATTAATTTGCTTAAGATTATGGCATCCAGCTGCATACATGTTGCTGCAAAGGACATGATTTCATTCTTTTTTATGGCTGCATAGTATTCCAAATGTGTGTATATACCACATTTTCTTTATGCAGTCTTACCACTGTTGGGCACGTGGGTTGGTTCCAAGTCTTTGTTATTGTGAATAGCACAGCGGTGAACATACAAGTGCATGTGTCTTTTTGGAAGAATAATTTTGTTTTCTTTGGGCATATTTTCCTTTGAGCAAGCCCAGTAATGGGATTGCAGGGTTGAATGGAACTAGAAGTCCTACCAACTTACAGGAGGGAAGATGGGAAGGAACGGAAGCAATATGGAGAGCTTTGAGGATCCGTGGAACAAGAGGATACTTCAGAAAGACCCACACTCAGGCAAGGGGCTGGAGCCAGGCTGTGGTGACCCAGCAAGGGGCTAATGGAGCCTGGGAAACCCTGGCATGCTGAGGAGTTTAGTTCAGATCCACATTCTCTTCACTCTGGGGGCTCCTGTGAGACTGGCTCTCAAATGAAGCCCCCGGGGCTGAGTCGGCTTTCCCTTTGGACCAAGTCAAAGCCTTCCTTTATCTTTAGAAAAAAGTCTTACTCCTGTGGGGTTCCCCTGGTTTTATTGTCTATTCACTTGTTTTATTCATCCACCCGTGTCCATTCATTCTAGAAACATTTCGTGAGCATCCACTATGTGCTAATACTAGGTACCAGGGTTACAGAAATGAATTTTAAATGTAATGGAATATGGTCCCGGCCTTCCAGGAGTTCGTACTGTAACATAGGAGAGAGAGAAGTAGTTATGCTGCAGGATGATAAGGCCAGCTATGAATGTAACTGCAGGCTTGGAAAGCCCCTGAGCTGGTTGGCCTGCCAGGTGCTGAGGAAGTGTGAGTGCCCACCTGTTCCTGTGCAGAGGGAAGGAGGGTGAATGTCCACAGAGACCTCCAGAAGAGATTGCTGGTGGATGCTTACTTCCTTCTCTTGAGCTTCCTTCTCTGTGAAAAGATCTCCACTAGAGGAAACTGGCCACTGTTTACCTCTTTTACTCATCTCCCCAGGAGATGAGGAATGGCTTATCTGATTGGAGAGTTAGTTCCAGAGAGGGAGCTAGGACAGAGTGGCTCTGGTTTTTCCCTGGTGGAGATCATTTCCTTCTACTGCTCTGTGTCATAAACTTTACAGAGGTTGGCTGTGGCCAGGAAGGTGCTGCTTGTAGCCCAGTGAATGAGTTTAGTTCAAGAGAAGATATTGAAACGTCCACCTAGCTAAGATATTGAAAGCCACATTCTCCAGCCTGACTTTTATCAATATTGTCGATTTGGATCTTCATTTGCCTGATTCCTGTAACAGAGACAAAATGTACTGTTTATTGGACTCCCTCAAACTCCGTCATACATGACACTTATGTGTGTGACAGGGATGGACTCAGCTCTCTGCCTGACTGGGAGTCATCTACATCCCTTGTGCTAAGCTCTGCAGAGAGAGGAGGCACATTTTCAGGGACTTCCCTGCCTCATTCCTTGCTTGAAAGCTTCCTTCTGACCCCACTCTGCAGCAAGAAAGGAAAAAGAACTTCCAGGATGAAAACAGAAAATCTGGATCGTCCCTTTTTCAGAGTCTGTGGCAGTTCTACAAAGGTCCATGAATAGTCTTTGGTCTGAGCCTGGAATGCCCACTGATGTCCCAGATAAGACTCTGCCTGGCTGCCTGCTGTCCTCTAGGGCTGTCTTTATTTTGGAAGGGGCCCTTCTGTCAATGTGTTCTGGCTTGGCTTTCAGGAACACCTTTGCCCTGTTGTTTCTGATGCTTGACTTCCCGTGGACTGAACTTGGGATCGTATTTTTCCCTAGAAGAATATGCTGTAACCGTATTATCCTGTAACCCTTAGAAGGCAGGTCAGGATTACTGCCCCTTTTTTCTCAGAAGACAGATTACTAAGATGCCAAAAGGGACCTAAGGTAGGGAAACACCCAAACAGGATTGGCAAAAACCCAGAGGGCCCCATGTATACATCCCTTAGTATTCTCGCATCAGACAATGCCATTTTCGCCTTCATTCTATCAGCTGGTTCCTCAACAGCTAACTGGGCTGGTTCTTTTCTCCCAAATTGGACACCAAAAGCTTCAGAGTAAGCAATAGCCCAGTAGAGGGAGCTGTGTTAAACAAGATTTCCAAGCTAAAGGGTAAAATACAATCAGCCAAGCAGGTAGCCCTGTGTATAATTCGGAAACTTGTATGTTAATGGATGGTTGCCTATTCGAAAGCTCTGAGCCAGAACACAGCTTTTGCAAGGTGGTGCCTTGCGTTTTGTGGGTTGCTCAGGATCATGCATCTTGCTTCCATCAGCAGAGCATGATCTTGGCTCCACATGGCAATTCCATGGTTAGACAGGTTTGTAGCTTCCACAGGTAGCCTTGGCTCTGGGAGCGGGAGGGAAGTGGGCAGGGTCCTCTGACCTTGCACATACCAGGCAGCGCTCATGCTCACGGTCTCAGGAGATAGATTCTGTGTCACAGAAACCTATAACTTAGGGGAGTTATTAGTGACAAGCTTTGAGGGCTCTGGCTAGGAAGGAGATGCAGTGAAAGGAGAATCTTTCACAAATATTTGGAGCTTCTGTTCACCTAACTCATCTAGCTGCCCGTGGGGTCTCAGACTGGGCTAAGTTCAAATCTAGGGCAGCCCTTGGTACAATTTCATTGAATAAACCTCTGTGATCAAGAGAATTATGAAATGTGGAAAATATCAAGGAAAGCAACATGTACTGTGTGCGTGTGTGTGTGTGTGTGCATGCTTTGGTGTGTGTTTGAGTTTGCCTGAGAACAGGAGTTTCCACAATTAATCTTGGATCATGAAAGATATCTATGGCAGAGATAAGAGAGCTAGCAAACTAGCATCCTTAAGGACTCAGCAGATGCCTACAGGTTAAAAATTCATGCAGACCTGTTGGGAAATAAGAGAGAAATGAGATGGTACGTGAGGTGACTTTACTATGTGCATTTGTTTGCTGGGGCCTGTCGTCACAAAATACCACAGATTGGGAGGCTGAAACAACAGATATTTACTTTCTCACAGTTCTGAAGGCTGGAAGTCCAAGACCAAAGTGCCTGTTGGTTTCTTCTGAGGCCTCTCAGTTGGCTTGTAGATGGCTGACCTCTTGCTGCCTCTTTGAGGTCATCCCTCTGTGCACACCAGCCCTGGCATCTTTCTCTTCTTATAAGGACACAGTCATATTGGATTAATGCCCCACCCTAATGACCTCAGCGTAATCACTTCCTTAGACCTTTTCTCCAAGTATGGTTACATTCTGGAATATGCCGGCTGGGGAGGGGTGGGGTGGGTTGGAACTTCAACACATGAATTTTGGGGGAAACAGATTCAGCCCATAACACTGTGTATGTCTATGGGGACAAAGAATTGTACTGATTAAGGTAAATTATGTTAGTTGTTATAACTGATAAATTCTGAAGTCTTAGAGCATAATACAAACAAAATCTATTTTTCACTCCCATGAAAGTCCATTTCAATCGGCCAGTCTATGGCTGTAGAAAATGCAGTCATTCCCAGACCTACCTGCCATCTTCAACACATGTTGTGTCCATGGATATTTTGAAAGGAGAAGTCAGAAGGAAAGTATGGACAAGGCAAAAGACTCTCAATGGCCTTCACCCAGAAGTGACACATTACTTCCACTTACACTGCATCAGCAGGAGCTGGTCTTATGCATGCATCTAGAGGAAAGGGGTCTGGGCAATGTAATTTGCATCTAAGCCCAGGAAGGGAAAGTGGGTTAGGTAAACATCTAGTCAATCTTTGCAGGGATGAAGTAAGCTTGGCCAGCTGAGTTCTAAAGATGGGCCGGGTGTTCTGGGGAACTAGTCAGCAGGTACTAGAAAGTCAAGTAAACATTCATTAAAGAACCCTTCGAGGTTCCCAAAGTCATGACGGACCTTGGTCTTGGGTGGTGTTCCCCAACCTCTTTCATGTCATGGCACACATAGGAAAGGATCATTCTTGTGCTGTATATTAGACTCTCTGGATGAAGTTATTCAAGGCCAGAGGTGATACATGAATTAGGAGGCCCCATGCACTCCAGGTGGCCACCTGGCCACTGTGAAGGCTGAGGATCTTATGGCATTTGCCATTTAAGATGTCCAGGGTTAATGGCTGGTAACCTGTTTGCAACATACTGGTGTGCTGCAGCTTACAGGTGGGAATGTTGAGGTCTAGAGAACAAAGCAAGTAACATGTGGATTAGATGTGCATTCTGTGAAGACCAAACCTACTGCCACCATCATGGGATAAAACAAAAAGGGAAACCAGGTGCTCTAAAAGCCAAGGACAGCAGAATTGTCCTGAAGGATTCTGCAAGATAATAAAGCATAGGGACCACAGATTTTCCCTTCATCTGCAGTCCGCGCTCTTAAAACTAGTGAGTTTTAATTATGTTATATTTGTAGCAACTCTTTCTTCTCTCTCTGGAGTAATTAATTGGAAGAGAATTACAAAGGAAACCCAGACATGGGTAGTAATATTCATCAGAGGACACAACAGAGGAAAGAAAATAGAACATAGGCTCTTGAACATTTTAACATAGGTTCAAGATTTTAACATTTATATACTGTCTTTGGTTTGGTTTAAATCATATCCACTGTGAACTAACAAATATTTCATGTTATCTATAAATAACTCAGTGAGTGCTTACAAATTATAGGGCAATATAGTTAGATCACAATGTGGCAGAGTGGCTGAAGGCCAATTAGAAAGCTCATATGCTTTTAACAAACACCCCACCGAAAGAAATCAATTTACATCCCGTGATTATTGCACCATCAGAGAATCTTTGCAATGTTATTAACCCTGGACATCCTAAATTACAAATGGAGATAACACTTAAAATTGATTAGCAGTGTATTTTGAGATAAAATGGTGTTTTTGCCTTGCTAATCACCTCTTTCACAGAAATTATTCTTGCTTTCCATGAAGTTATGAAAAATAAATTGGAGAAATCTTTTATTAAGATTTTAAAAGCAAACAAATAACTTTCAGGATAATATTCAAATCCTTTGTAATTTCCTTTCTCCATTTTCATCAACTGTGGGAATGCTTAACCACACAGGAAGAAGTTGGTGGACTTGGAAAGTTGCTGAATTCTCTTATTTGAATCAATCCACATTAAACACAAGCTATTGTTTTATTAGCAAGTGAAAGATAAACATAGCTTACACTGAGTGGATATGGAAGAGAAATTGGTTTCCTCTAGCCCAGTGATCCTTGAACAAATGAATGATTCTGACAGAAACCTAAGGAGAGAAGATTTTCCTGAGATTGGGTGGAAACAAACCATTCATGTATCGAATCCCTTGTCACCCACAAAATCCAGCCTACCAGGTTCACTAGCTCCTTAAATCTATGTACCACTAGGGGTGCATGAGACAATTTTAAATGGCATAAAGAAGAACAGCTTATTATTAACAGGAATGTTCTTAAATTAATGTATGTTAATAAAAATATACCCAACACAGTGAAACCATGATTTCATCAATAATAGTATCTAAAATGAGAATAAATATATATGTTACAAAAAAGGAGGTAAATAAAAATATTAAATATGATTGGGATGGGTGAGGTGGCTCACATCTGTAATCCCAGCACTTTGGGATGCCGAGGTGGGTGGATCACTTGAGGCCAGGAGTTCGAGACCAGCCTGGCCAACATAGTGAAACCCCGTTTCTACTAAAAATACAAAAACTTAGCCGAGCCTGGTGATGCATGTAATCGCAGCTACTCGGGAGGCTGAGGCTTGAGAATCACTTGACCCCAGGAGATAGAGGTTGCAGTGAGCCAAGATCGCACCACTACACTCCAGTCTGGATGTCCGAGTAAGATTCTGTCTCAAAAAAAAAAAAAAAAAAAAGTTAGGTACAGTTGATCTTCACTATTCATAGATTCAGTATTTGTGAATTTGCCAACTTGCTAAAATGTATCTGTAACTCCAAAGTCAGTATGTGCAGTGGTTTTGCTATTGTTTGCAGACATGTGTGGAGCAGCAAAACATTTGAGTTGCCATCTATACAAGTTTTCAGCTGAGGCCCAGCAAGGTAATGCTCTATTTTGTTCAGCTCTCATACTGTAAACAAGTGTCTATAATCAAGTGATTGATTTAGTGCCATGTTTTTTGCATTTCTGCCTTTTTTTGGGTAATTTCACTGTTAAAATGACCCCCACATGTAGAGCCACAGTACTCTCTAGCTTTCCTAAGTGCAGGAAAGCTGTGATGTGCCTTAGGGAGAACCTACATGTATTAGACACTCTTCCTTCAGGCATAGTTACAGTGTGATATTGGTCATGAGTTCAATGCCACTGAGTCAACAATATGTATTAAATAAGGTGTCTTTAAATGGAAACACATATAAAGAAGGTCATGTATTGACTGACTGATGAAAATGTTATGACCAGAGGCTCACAGGTATCTAACCCTGTATTTCACCTGGGAGCAATGGTTCAGTATTTGCTAATTCAGTATTTGCAGAGATGTTATAGAATATAACTAGTGTGAATAATGAGAACTGACCATGAATAGATGTCGAGGTGCTTTTGGTGGCACATGGAGATGTGCCACCCGGATCTCCTTTCAAGGAGGGCCTTGCTGAAGCCATGGGGAATGTGGTCAGCAGACTGCCTCCGGCTGGAAGCTCCTTCAGGGTCCACCTCAACTGCAGAGAGCCACCCTGCCCGAGGCCATGTCCTTCTCTGATGGTGGAACCTCTAATGGGGTCCCAATCCTTCCTCTTGCTCCAGACCCCCATTCCATCTCATTATATTGGCTGAGGCTTTGTCAGGCCTGCACAGCAGTTTGATTTCTCCTTCTGCTCAATCCTACTTCCTTCCTGTTTCCTCTGCAGTGCTAGTCCCTAATGAACATCCTATATCCCAACCTTCATTTCAGCTTCCATTTCTGAAGAAGCTAACCCATTATAGTGGTTCACAGATGTGGCAAAATATAGAGAAACATTTTGCTAAGATCCTCCCTCATTCCTCTCCTGCCCTCCACAGATATCAGCTTCCTTGCTCTCAACTTCTTGGTTCTGGACTCTTGGGTTATATCCAAATTCAGACACCCACCCCCAGCCCAGGGTCACTGCTGAAGGCTGTGAAGTCTGAGTCCTGCTCAAGGACCCATTTGAGGAGCTGAACTGAAATCCAGCCTGTGCTCCACTCATTAATTCATGGGTCCTGGTGAGGGATGTGCTGCCTGAGAGAAAGCCTGCTGGTCCTAACTGGCTCCCAGCAGCTGTGTGGCTAGCTGTGGCCATGGCTGTCTCTGCTCTGCCATCCCCCTGTGGCGTGGATCCCCACTTCCCGCTCCTACCCTCTGGACCCCTGCTCTCCTGAGCAGTGTTGGCCTTTGTCGTTGTTGCCTCTTGCCACTGCACCTTCCATTGTTTGGACTCTTCATTTGGGCCTTCTCATCTTTTCTGCCCCCAAGAGGAGGTGATCTGAGCTAAGCACAAAAACATTTCAATTTCTAAGCCTTTGGAAAGGTTTTCCCTTCAGATAGAGTGCTCGTACCAGAAAGCACCCACTAGAGAGAGCTCACATTTTCACTCCCTCCCAACCTCTCTGAATCATGTGTGTCTTCTGGACACTAAAATAAAGACTGTGCAACCTCTTGCCGGAATGTGCCTCCAAAGATCTGAGAGAAATTTGTAAAAACAATAGCTAATGTTTACTGGGACTTACTACATGCCAAACACTCTGCCAAGTGCTTTGTTTTTTTTTTCAGCTATAAATATTTTTTGTTTCTATAGCATTTAAGAGAAGCCTATAAAAAGTTGTTGTTAAATCAAATTTAAGAAAATTTTACATGGAAATTTTACTGAATCCTCATAGGATCCATAAGAGGTTGGTACTCACATTCCCATTTAACAAGTGAGGAAACACAGGCTTAGAGAGGTTAAGTAATTTGCCTCACACCTTGAATTCAGCAGAGTGGGGTTTCAGGTGTGCTTTCGTCTGACTCCGGCACTGAGTAAGCACTGTGCTTACTTCTGTGATAGTGAAGGTCACAGAAAAGCCGGGCTCAGCCTGAGACAAAGGCTACTGCTGCCAGAAACAGCAGGAAAGACGGTGAGAGCCAGGCTGATGAACAGGCCTCCCTTTAACTCAAGTTCAAAATCACAGTGGGATGAAAATCTGAGCATTTGAGGTTGGTTGGCTTCATTTTAACCATGTGCCTAAAAATTTGTCATCATTTAAAGACCATTTCCTCTGCACCTGCATCCAAAATGCATCCAGGGTCCAGTGTTTTAAGGAAGAATTACTCAGATGCTCTGTTTTGCTTCTTCACAATCCATGCATTCCACTTCTAATCACGTCGAATTTGTGGAGATAATGGCCTCGAGGGATTGGGAGGATGAAAATCAGGAGAAGTGAAGCTGATTTCTCCTTGACCATGTGGCTTCTTGAAATTTCAGGGTAGGCATTAAAAGAAGTGGTTGGTCGAGATTAAAGACTGAACTGTGCATCTTAGCTGTAATTTATGTCATTTCATCTGGGAGAAACATAAAAATCAACAGCTTTTAATGAATCTCTGCTTGGATGTTTTGTCACTCCTCAAAGAGTCTTTAGAAACACATTGAATCCCATGCCCAGATTATTAGGATTGAACCTTGCTGTGAGGGTATAGTGATGAGCAACATGGCTCTTATATTTCTCCAATGTTTGTCAAGACCAGTTTTTGTGAAAAAATGATTTATTAATTATTATATTAATAATCTGATGTATTAGCCCATCAATGAGTGACCTAGACAGGGATGTCGGTGGCATTCCAAGTGTCAGCCAGACACCCCACGCTTTCTATTTGCCCATCCGGTATGCTGGGTGCTACAGCTCTGGGGTCATTCTCCTTAGAGATCTTGGAATTCTTGAGGCCTTACATTTCTAGCTGCCACTCACTTCTCCTCAGCTTGCAGACATGGCCATGCTGCATTTCACTGACCCATTGCATACGAGTCCAGCCCCTGGGGAATTGCCTTAACTCTCAAGCATCTTAGGAATACACTTTTTCCTGTTTTAAAGAAGACCCTGGAAAGGGCAACAAAAACAGAACTCATCTCTAAGAATGCTGGCAGTGGATCCTGGAGGTTAACATCACAAGCTTTGGAGTCAAGCAGGCCTGGATTGAAATCCTTCCTCAATCACTTACTAGCTGTTTGGCCTTGGATGAGTTACTTGACTTCTCTATAAACGTCAATTCCCCGTCTGTAAAATGGATATAATTGTATATGTCTCGTTCTACTGTTGTGAGGATGGAGTGAGATTATGCATGGAAAGCACTTCAGCATTGAGAAGCACTCCAAATATGATAACTGTTAGTGTTATCAGAAGAGAAATTCAACATATCAGCAAAAACTCCCATCTACAATCTTAAAAACATTGTTAAGTGAAAGAAGCCAGACACAAAAGGCCACATGTTGTATAATCCCTTATATATGAATGTCAAGAGTAGGCAAATCTCTAGGGACAGAAAATAGATTAGCAATTGCCTAAGGCTGGAGAGTTGGAGGGGAATGGGGAGTGACTGCTAGTGGTTATGGTGTTTCTTTTAGGAGTGATTGCAATGTTCTGGAAATAGATAACAGTGATGGTTGTACAAATTTGTGAATACACTAAAAACCACTGAATTGTACACTTTTAAAGAATGTGTTTTATATATGTGAATTATATCTTTTAAAAAGTTATATTTAAAAAAGAACTATGTACGATGCAGCTAAAACCAGAGACTTTTTAAAGCTAATTTGTTTCCTGGAATCTCTCTACCTCTCCAAGCCTGGAAGAAGGATTAACTGTCATCTCACTGGAAGACTGTGTCTCTTTCTAGGTAAATCATTTGTTATATGATGACTGCACAGTAAATGTCAACCCATTGCAATTTTGGCATTTGTGGGGATCAGTAACATGCAGTTCTCTTGGCATTCTACGAGGGACTGCTAAACAGCCTGGATTTATGAGCATGAAGAGCCAGCCTACCATGCCTAAATCAGAGCTTCTCTGCATCTTGGTTCATTTGGCAGATGTTCCAGGTGATAAGTGAGATGTTTTCCTCCATTTAAAGTGAAAAAACCGAGGCAAGGAACAGAAAAAAAGAGTCTATTGGATTAACTGTGACTCTTTTGATGTATCATAGCCATTGGTTCTAACTGAAGGTGTGTGTGTGTGTGTGTGCACGTGTGTGTGTGTGTATGTGTTGGGGGAATGAGTAGGGTAGCTTTGCTAAAAGGGAAGAGGGAAGGAGATGTAGATGAGTCAGTGCCTACTGCAAAACTGGAGTGGATTAATTCTGGAATTTCATTGAGCATATTCAAAGCTTCCAAAGTATAATTTTAAAAACGTGTTTTCAGATTCACATCTCAGACAGAGTTGTCAGCGCTGCTTAGGAACAATTTCTTTTGGTGTGAGTAAGGTTACAAGATTTTGATAAAAATATTATTTCTTCATGTTTGGAATGTCTAAACAGATTTGTGGTTTTTCATTTTGCTTTAAAACATGATTAAATGTGCTTTAAAAAAATCAAAGCCTTCTGTCTGGGTTTTGAATCTCTTCCAGATTTATAGCTGCTTAATATTATATATGTCATGCCGATTTTCTTTTGGTTCAATCATGTCAATTGAGATTCTTTCAAAGAAAAAAAGGCTTATTAAAAAAGGAATTGTTTGTCCACCACATTAAGACTTTAAGAAATTTATCAAGATATTGATCAAGAACATTTTATTTTTAAAATTCTTTGCTGGAGCTGCTAGGCGGAGTAGATACCCAGAAGGAGAAGCTGAGGGAGATCTCAGGGCAGGCAGAGAATCAAAGTGAAAGTCAATTTGAGTAAGTTTTCCTTGGGCTAGCGTGCACACACTGGACTCTTTAATTACCTTTGTTTTTATGGAGAATGTACTCTCCAATGGGACTTAGTTGAGAGTGAAGGTAGTACATGTTGTGCTCTGTACTAAGAATCTTTGAGAGACTAAGCAGGAGAAGAGAAAATGCTCCCATATAGATGACCTGAACACTTAACAAGCAGTAAATAACAACAGCTACACGTATTGTCCATTTACTATGTTCTTGCACTCAGCTGGGAATTTCATTATTTTCCATAAAGCCCAATGATATTAGTGTGATTGTATCCATTTTAGAGATGAAGAAACTGATGGTCTAGAAGGTTAAATAACTGGGCCCAAGGTCAAGTAAGGGCATGGTTTATCTAAACTTTGAATCAGATCTGTTTGGTTCTTGCTTTTGACTACATCAAAAACCTGACAGATGGTCTTGCAATTGGAAACTGGGTTAATATCCTACTTCTAAAATCTTCTACTGCTTAGTTTCCCTATTCTTAGAGGAGGTCTTTTTTTGGAAGCCTAGTAAACTGCTCCTCCTAATGCCTTTCACTCATGAGTGATGCAGCTGCCCAAATCAGAAACTTGAAAGTTATTCCAATGCTCCCGTTTTCTCAGCCAGCACATGGATAAATCAAGTTCTAGAGATTCCACTCCTTCTATTTCCCTGCAATCCACCTTCTCTAGCTCTGCATCCATGATTGCAGTTCAGAGTGTGCCATTTTGCAGTGCTACTTATAGCAGCCTCTTAATTGGCATCTCTGCCTCCAGTCTTGCCCCCTCCAGTTCACTTCCCAAGAATGCTTTCATTCCCAACAGTGATTTTTCAAAAAAAAAAAAAAAAAGTGTAAGCAATCCTGTTCATTCACTACTAAAAAATGTTCACTCTCTTTTCATTACTTCAGGATGAAGTTCAAGTTTCCTAAGATTCCTTATAATGACTTCACTGATTTGGTTTTATCCTTCCAGCCTCATTTATTATATAACACTCTCTGGATCAGGAGTAGACTTGGTTACAAGTGACAGAAAAATGAAAATAACAGTGGCATAAACTACTAGAAAGCTGATTCTTTTCCTTTACATATGGGTGGTATCATTCAGTCATCCAGAATCCAAGTTCTTTCTAGATTATTTTTCCACTTCCTTAGCCATGTAGCTTCTGTGTCATTGGCTGGGGTGGCTGCTGGAAATTGAGCTCTCAGATCCCCATGTTAACCCGTGGAACAAAGGGAGGACCAAAGAAAGTCATGCCCTTCCCTTTTTGATGGTGTCCAAGAAGTTCCACTTAGGAACTCCCATTTCGTTTCCATGTAACTTGGTCACATGGACACATCTGTTGCAAAAGAGATTGGGAAATGTAGTTATTGTTTTTGTCAACCATTTGTCCAAAAACAAATTGGGGATCCTATTCTCAAGGAAACAGTGGATAAAATAAACTGAGGACAACTAACAGTCTCTGATACTTCCACTCTCAGCTGTTTGCAGTGGCCTGTAGTGAAGTGGCTCTTTCTGCCCTTGCTGTGCGTCTCACTCCAGGACCTCCTGAAGAGCGCTGATCCTGCACTATACATGTGGTTCTTCTCCTATGCCTCCCGACTTGTCAGAGAATTTCTTGAGGACATGGATGACTGTCTGGCAGCGACAGTTCCAGGTTTTTATTTTTGTTTCTTTAAATAGAGCCTTCTGTTTAGCTTAAATGTGGAAACATAACCATAGACGTCTGAGAATGTGAACACAGGTTATAATTCTGCGCAAGAAACATGCATTGCAAGAGTCCCCCAACTGCTGAGTCAGAGGTCTGTTTGAGGAGGCGATAGTTGAGTTAAGGTCAGCATTAGGAAAAGGAGCAAGCCACATAACAATCTGGAGGAAGAGCCTTCTTGATAGAGAATTCATTAGGACAAAGGCCTTGAGGCAGGAAAAGCCTTTGCATTTTCAGGGCAGAAGGAAGCACTGTGGCTAGAGGCTGCAAGTGAGAGAGAGAGTGGAAGTGTGGTAGAGATGGTGGGGACAGACAGCGCATAAAGGCAGCACAGGGTGGAAGTTACAAGTACCAGCTCTGGGACAGAGCAGTTGGATGACTCATGGTTCTACCACTTGCTAGCTGGAGATCTGAGTAAGGCACTTAGTCTCCCTGTGCCTTAGTTTTCCCATCTGTAAAATGGTTATAGACTAGTATGAAGATCATAGACTGGTTGTTAGATTTCAATGAGTTAACACATACAAAGCCCTTAGAACAGCACCTGGGATGTGGTGAACACTCAATAGATCCTTGGCACCTACATTCTTGACCCTGCTGATGTGCGTCTAGATTCTTGCTATGCCTGTCTTTCCAATATTGTACACCCAAACCTGGGCTCCTATTATCTTCCTGCTCTCTGCATTTAATTAGTTGCTTTCTCAGTGAGGGTTGGGTTTGACTGCATGTAACAGAAAAGTCAGAATGTATCAGGTTTTATGTGTAAACACATAAAACCAATTTTTTCTTTCAAGTAGAAATCCTGAGGCAAGCAGGCCACTCAGGGCTGAAATGGTGCCCTGTGCACCTTAGAGACCCCTAGTCCCTCCATCTTACTTTTTAAAAAATCATCTTCAACTTTTGGCTTAAGATAATTGCTGAAGTTTCAGCCATTTTGTCCACATCTCAGAATGATAAAAACAGAAGGATGGAAGAACAAAAAGGCATATCTGTTTTAAAAACTTTTCCTGAAGCCCCATCCTACAATCTTTCGCCATCACATTGGACAGAATTATTTATTTACATGACCAAACTTAGCTATAAGAAAGGCTGGCAAATGTAGTTTTCTTTTCCAGCCTAACACATTGCAGTTCAGTTACTAAGAAAAAAGAGGAGGCTGGGTGCAATGGCTCACACCTGTAATCCCAGCACTGTGAGAGGCCACTGTGGATTACCTGAGGTCAGGAGTTCAGGACCAGGCTGGCCAACATGGTGAAACCCTGCCTCTACTAAAAATACAAAAATTAGCCAGGCATGGTGGCGAGCACCTGTAATCTCAGCTACTTGGGAGGCTGAGGCAGGCAGGAGAATGGCTTGAACCTAGAAGGCAGAGGTTGCAGTGAGCTGAGATCCTGCCACTGCACTCCAGCCTGGATGACAGAGCGAGATACCGTCTCAAAAAAAAAAAAAAAAAAAAAAGAAAGAAAGAAAGAAAGAAAGAAGAGGAAAATGTTTGTTGGAAGAGGCCCATCTCCTTTCTTGTTGCCTAAATTCTAAACCAGACTCTCATTCTTTGTCTCCTCAGCCACTTCCAATGAGCTTTCTGCCTAAAGAATTTTCATCTTCAACACATTTTACACATAATGTGCTGTGGTTTGAATATGTGTGCCCCTGAAAAATTTATACATTTAAACCTAATCTCCAATGAGATACTGTTATGAAGTGGGGCTTTTGGGGAAATGATTAAGTCATGAGGTTAGAGCCCTCATGAATGGGATTATTGCCTTATAAAAAGAAAACTGAGGGAGCTTATTTGCCCCTTCTGCTACGTGAGGACACATAGAAGGCGTTATCTATAAGGAATAGGCCCTGACCAGACACTAAATCTGCTAGCATCTTGATCTTGGACTTAGCCTCCAGAACTTGGGGCAATAAGTTTATGTTATTTATAAGCCACTCAGTATAAGGTATTTTGTTATAGCAGCCAAATGGACTAAGACAAAGAGCCTTCAATTGCTCCCATTTGTATCAAGCAGAGCGCATAAACTGCTGTCCTGCAAGCTGAAGCAACCCAAAGTCATAGTTTGATACTTTCATGGCATTTTGAAAAAAAAAATAGAATCAAATTACTTATCGAAATTTAACAAACCAAAAGTTGCTCTAAAAGCTTGCATGCTTGCATTTCTTTCTTTCAATAGCAGAGGTTCTGGATCCACATTTCTGAATGGCAATAATTAGCTGCGGCTGAATAATCAGTCACTCCTTGGATAGGGCTTGAGATTTCTAGTTTGCCCAAATCCCCACTCTTCCTCTTACCTCACACCAAGCCCACTCCCCTAATTTACATTTGCCACCTGTCCCCTCAAGGCATTGACTTTATAAGTCTTGACTTTATAAAATCGAAAACTCCTATTATCTGTTTAAGTCCCTTCCTTGATCTGGTCTTCACTTACTTCTCTAGCAAAATGCCCCACGATTCCCTTCATGTTCTCTGGGATCCAACAAACTCCCCACACAGCACCTCTCAACTGTAAGTTCTATGAGGCCCATGTCTGTGTTTTTCATCAATATATTCCCAGCACCTGTAATGATGTCTCATTCATAACAAATGCTCAATAATTAATTTTTAAATGAATCCGTGAACCAATACCTTTCTTCTATTACCTCCCTGCCTTTGTTCATGTTGTTCTCAGTCCCTAAAATGATGGGGTGTTTTGTTTTGTTTTGTTTTTAAGATACAGGGTTTTGCTCTATCACCCCAGGCTGGAGTGCAGTGGCCCTCCATACTAACCCTCCCAAGTTGCTGGGACTATAGGCATGTGCCACCATGCCTGCTATTTTTAAATTTTTTTTCGTAGGGACAGGGGTCTTGCTTTGTTGCCCAGTCTTGTGTTAAGCTCCTGGCCTCAAGCAATCCTCCCATCTTGTCTTCCCACAGCACTGGAATTATAGGCATGAGGACCGCACCTGGCCTGAAATGACCCTCTTAACATTCACATGGCAGGTACAAACCACCCAGAGTCAAACAACCCTCCTCAGTCAAACCTGCCCTGACCCACTTGCTAGAAGTAACTTTCTCCTTCTGTGAACTCTTACAAAATCTTAGTGCTTTTAGCAATCATGGACGTTCCAAGCCACATCCCTGATGGCCTACGTCTTTCACACTTTAGAAGAGAACTAGGTTAGGGAAGATTCAACAGGTCTGGGAAGTAAAATCCCACCTTACTCTGGTGGCTATGTTTGGAGGGAAGTGAGAGAAAAAGAAGACAGGGGGCTACTGAGGCAGTCCAAGCAAGAAATGATGGTACTTTTGGCCTGGGGGGTTGGCAGGGAGGATGAAAAGAACTCCCTGGATCTGAGAGATTATTGGCATATGAAGTCATTGGGACTTGATGATATAATGGATGAGGTGGTAAAGGTGAAGGAAAGGGAGATTTCAAAGGAACTCTTTGATTGCTGGTTTATGCTAGAGATGAACTATCATCCCCTGAATGACAAAACACTTAAGGAGAACCAGGCTTCAAAGTTAAGGTTTGTTCGGGTTTACTTTGAAGGTCTTTGAGAAATGCAAGTTGAGATGTCAAGTAAAAGATTAGATTTATAGGTTTAGAACTCAGAATAACATTCTGCGCTGAGGACATAAATCTGAAAGCTACCAGAATTATCAGATGTCAAAGCCCTGGATATTGATAACCCTGGTAATAATAATTCCTGAATGTCAAGGGAGAAAGTATTAGAATAGATGAAGAGAAGGGGCTTATGACCAAGTCTTGGGAATCTAACATTTCATAGTCAGGAGGTTGAAATTGAGCCTGCAAAGGAGATAGAAAGGGAAGGTGCAAAGCCCTAGGAGAAACCAGATAAGGATGGTGTATTAGCCCGTTCTCACACTGCTGATAAAGGCATTCCCCGAGACTGGGCAATTTACAAAAGAAAGGTTTATTGGACTTACAGTTCCACGTGGTTGGGGAGACCTCACTATCACGGCAGAAGGTGTCTCACATGGCAGCAGACAAGAGAAGAGAGTTTATGCAGAAAAACTCCCATTTTTCTCGTGAGTCTCATTCACCATCATGAGAACAACCCAGGAAAGACCCACCCCCATGATTCAATCACCTCCCACCAAGTTCCTCCCATGACATGTTGGAATTGTGGGAGTTGTAATTCAAGATGAGATTTGGGTGGGGACACAGCCAAACTATATCAGATGGCATTGGACAGCCAAAGAAGAGAGTATTTCAAGATGGGAGGAGTGGTGTATTGCTGACAGGTTAGTAAAGATGAGAACTGAGCAATATCTGAGATGTGGCATTATGCATGCCTTGAAAGCCTCTGAATGAGCCATTTCTGAAGGCTGCTAGGCCAGGCAGGAGGAAGCCTGCTGTGCATAAGGAGGAGAGGAAAGGGGCAGTGCCCATGGCTATAGTACACCATAGCTGTGGTCAATGCTGGATTAAGGGAGGCAGATGTTAATGTCATTCCTGTGATGTGGCTAAAAAATATTTATTGGATTTAGCAGCCTGGAGGTCATGATGTACTTAGGGAGAGGCACCCATTTGCGAGGACAGCTAGGGTTAGAACCCAGGTGAGAGAGTTGGGGATTGGAAGAGAAGGAAGTAGAAACTGTGCCAATGATATGGTGCTGTAATGAACACTGGCTACACTATCTTTTGCCTCTCTGCCTCCATCTGCACAAGTGCTTAGTGGGAGCCCCAGTCACTACCCCCTCCTTCCTCAGCAAACGGGCTCACATACGATGTCAAAGAAAAGAAACTATGGTGTGTGAAGAAATGCTTCAGCTTTTTTGTGTATCTCAAAGCTAGTGAGTGCCTTGGAATTTTTTAAGAGAGACCACCCCGCCACTGCTCCCTGCACCACCTCACTCTGTGCTGGGTTTCTGCATGTGTGCATGTGTGTGTGTGTGTGTGCATGCACACATGTGCATATGTGTATTTAAATGGTTTTAATGTCAAAACTGAGGTCTCCTGCTGGTTTAAAGTATTTGAAAGAAACTCCTCCTCTGCAGTCCAGGGACATCCCTGTGTGGTTTCTGAGAAGGATGAGGAGTTCAAGAAGTGAAGGCTCTGTCATACATAAAGAGAAAACAATTTCACTGTGCAATCCAGGAGAGACAAAGCAGTGTAGCATGTGGCTTCAGGATTCTGGCCAGCAGAGGTGAGTTAGAGAGACAGCTCTTAACCTTCACATTTATGTGTAACATTAGAGGACAAGGTATTCAGTTAGTGGTGAAAATGCAACGAAAGTAAATGCTGACAACTGCATTTTTTTCCCATCAAAGTCAGTTTAACCTAATTTCCACTGACTAAGTGCCTCATCCTACTTTCAAAATTCCACTGAATTTTAGGCAACTAGATCTTTATAGCAAAAGTTGAAAAAATAGAAATTTTTTTTGTCACCTGGGCTTCAGACAGGCCTTGAAATTTCATTCTGTCTTTCCTCTATAACCAGCAATTGTCCAATAGCAATATAATGCAATCCACAAATTAATTTTAAATTTTCTAGTAGCCATGTTAAAAAATGAAAAAGAAACAAGTAAGATTACTTTAAGAACATATTTTATTTAACCCAATATATCCAAAATGGTACCACGTCAATAGGGAATTAATATAAAAGTTTATTAATGGGCTATTTTACATTCTTCAGTTCATCCTATGTCTTTGAAACCTGGTATATATTTTACACATACGGCACATCCTAATTCAGATTAGGCACATTTCAAGTGCTCAATAGCAGCACGTTGCTAGTGGCTATCAATCATACTGAACATCACAACTCGAAACAATCATAAAAAAATCAGGTACAAAAAGAATCTCATCTAACTGGAAAATAGGGAACTCATATTTACTGAACATCTATTAGGTGACAGCCACTGAGCTCTCATGTCATTTACTCCTCACCGCAATTCTGCCACATAGATACTATTATCTACTTTTTTTTTCTTTTTTCTTTTTGAGACAGGGTCTCACTCTGTTGTCCAGGATGGGGTGCAGTGGCATGATCACAGCTCACAGCAGCCTCAACCTCCCAGGCTTAAGTGATCCTCCCACCTCAGCCTCCCAAGTAGCTGGGACCACAGGCATGCACAACCACTCCTGGCTAATTTTTAAATTTTTTATAGAGCTGGGGCTTTCTTATGTTGCTCAGGCTGGTCTTGAACTGCTGGACTGAAGTGATCCTTCTATCTCAGCCTCCCAAAGTGCTGGGATTACACATGTGAGCCACTGCACCTGGTCTCTATCTTTCTTTTTGAGAGAGAAACTGAGGCTCGGAATGTTTAAATAAATTGTGTTTCACTAAGAAGTGGCAGAAACAGCATTTAAACTCAAGGCCGTGCTTTTCTTAACACATGCTTTTGCTTCCCTTGGCAGTACAATCAGTTAAACCTCCCTGAGTCCTTAATGCATATCATGATGTTCAGTCAAGACGTGCTCACGGTAAGAAGAGCAGCTGTAAGACCACAAAATAGTAAAAGCTTCAAAGAGCAACAAGAAAGAAAAAGGGCCACCCCATCAAACCCCAATTCTTATTAAATAATAGATGTGATAACCAATCTGAAAGTAAATTTCATTGATTGCCTTCCTTGTGTAAATGCGCTTTATGGAGGAAAAAAGAAAGTATGCAACCTTAGGGGTCTGACCGACTTCTCTGCACTCCCTCCTCTGCCCTTCTCATTCTCATCTTGCAGGGAGCCTTCTGTTTCCTGACACCTTCTTTCTGGCTTCACATTTGTGCACCTCTTCTTCTCTCTGGCGGGAAGATTCTCCCTTCTCCTGTCTGAGTGATTACCTCCTTCTCATCCTTCAAAGGCTGGCTCAAACATCGCTT
Source organism: Homo sapiens (assembly GCF_000001405.40). Classification (NCBI taxonomy): domain Eukaryota; kingdom Metazoa; phylum Chordata; class Mammalia; order Primates; family Hominidae; genus Homo; species Homo sapiens. The sequence continues at coordinate 53,723,881 of NC_000004.12, forward strand.
CCTGCTAGAAGTCCTCCCTGACACCCTAGGCAGAGTTGACCATTTTTTCCTTTGTGCTTTAATTGTTCATCTTTCTATCAGAGCAATTATTACACATTTGTTCTGAGGTCTGTTTTCCCACAGGGTGTGAGCTCCCAGAGGCAGGGAGAATGCCTTATTCAATCCCTGTGGAGTAAGTGTCTGACTCTGCTATTAGCTAAGGTCTCCTGGCCCTTAAGCCCTACAGAAGATTGGATCAGATCCTAATTACATTGATTAGGGAAACCTAAAGCACTTCGCAAGGGGTCTCCAAATTCTGGGGGAAGTTCTTATGGTTTATGGTCTTAAGGTTAATTCTATTCTCATGTCCTAACTTTGTCAAAATTTGTTCTCTGTGTCTTAGAGCTACTTCTTTCCACTCAGCTCTGATGTTGGGCCCCCAAGTAACTTCTCTTTGACTCTCCCTTCATCCCAAAAGCAACCATACAAAAAAGCCATTTTACCAAAGACCAGGGGATCCCAGGAAGGGTGATACACCACAAAGCAAATAGCTTAAAATCTGGTACTAGATTTTTCTGAAACCCTGTTGCCCTAATATTACATTCCTACTTCTTGAAAAGTTTCCAGCCTCTTTCTCTCAAATTCTTTTTCTGCCAGCCTCTTTGCTTGCCCCCTCCCTCCTTCCTCCTCCCCACTTCTTTTTTTCTTTTTTTTTCAGGAGCCGATACCCAATATTCCTCTTATTTTCACATGTAAAATGGTACATCTTTTCCTTCCTGCTAGGGCTCCTTCAGATACTGGCATCATGGATCTCCAGCCCAAACACTTAGCAAAGTATTTTCCCAGGCAGTTTCCCTCTTGAGAAAAATCTCAGCCAGCAGTTAAGATAATAATAATATCTCCTTCTATTCAGACCAGAGTCAGCAAACTTTTTCTGTAAAGGGGGAGATAGCAGATAATTTTGGCTTTCTAAGCCATAAGATCTCTGCCACAATGACTCAACTCTAAGTGTGGCCTTAGACTAGTTACTTTACTTCTCACAATCAACCTTTCTTACCTATAAAATGGAGTTAATGCATATTTCACAAAGGAGTTGTGTCTGTTCAGTGGGACAACATCTAAGACAGTCAGTGCAATGCCTGACACACACAAAAATACTGTTTTTCTTTCTTCTTTTTTTCCACTTCACAGAGCAACATATTGTAAAAAATATTGCATTAATCTGGGTTTAACTGTTTTAGTAATTCCTGAACAATAGCAATTGCAATTTAGATGATATTAAAGCAGGCAGACTATCACACATAAAGGATTTAGAGATTCAAGCACATTGCTAAATTTGCCAGTTGTTCTTTTCTTTATAAGTAACATAAAATCAGGGCACACTGACTTTTGAAAAAAGAACATTTAGTTAAGGACAGCCAGAGAGAAAGGTTGGGTTACCCTCAAAGGGAAGCCCATCAGACTAACAGTGGATCTCTCGGCAGAAACTCTACAAGCCAGAAGAGATTGGGGGCCAATATTCAACATTCTTAAAGAAAAGAATTTTCAACCCACAATTTCATATCCAGCCAAACTAAGCTTCATAAGTGAAGGAGAAATAAAATACTTTACAGACAAGCAAATGCCGAGAGATATTGTCACCACCAGGCCTGCCCTAAAAGAGCTCCTGAAGGAAGCACTAAACACGGAAAGGAACAACCAGTACCAGCCACTGCCAAAACATGCCAAATTGTAAAGACCATCAAGGCTAGGAAGAAACTGCATCAACTAACGAGCAAAATAACCAGCTAACATCATAATGACAGGATCAAATTCACACATAACAATATTAACCTTAAATATAAATGGGCTAAATGCTCCAATTAAAAGACACACATTGGCAAATTGGATACAGAGTCAAGACCCATCAGTGTGCTGTATTCAGGAAACCCATCTCACGTGCAGAGACACACTTAGGCTCAAAATAAAGGGATGGAGGAAGATCTACCAAGCAAATGGAAAACAAAAAAAGGCAGGGGTTGCAATCCTAGTCTCAGATAAAACAGACTTTAAACCAACAAAGATCAAAAGAGACAAAGAAGGCCATTACATAATGGTAAAGGGATCAATTCAACAAGAAGAGCTAACTATCCTAAATATATATGCACCCAATACGGGAGCACCCAGATTCATAAAGCAAGTCCTGAGTGACCTACAAAGAGACTTAGACTCCCACACAATAATAATGGGAGACTTTAACACCCCACTGTCAACATTAGACAGATCAACAACACAGAAAGTTAACAAGGATACCCAGGAATTGAGCTCAGCTCTGCACCAAGCAGATCTAATAGACATCTACAGAACTCTCCACCCCAAATCAACAGAATATACATTTTTCTCAGCACCACACCACACCTGTCCCAAAATTGACCACATAGTTGGAAGTAAAGCTCTCCTCGGCAAATGTAAAAGATCAGACATTATAACAAACTGTCTCTCAGACCACGGTGCAATCAAACTAGAACTCAGGATTAAGAAACTCACTCAAAACCGCTCAACTACATGGAAACTGAACAACCTGCTCCTGAATGACTACTGGGTACATAACGAAATGAAGGCAGAAATAAAGATGTTCTTTGAAACCAATGAGAACAAAAACACAACATACCAGAATCTATGGGACACATTCAAAGCAGTGTGTAGAGGGAAATTTATAGCACTAAATGCCCACAACAGAAAGCAGGAAAGATCCAAAATTGACACCCTAACATCACAATTAAAAGAACTAGAAAAGCAAGAGCAAACGCATTCAAAAGCTAGCAGAAGACAAGAAATTACTAAAATCAGAGCAGAACTGAAGGAAATAGAGACACAAAAAACCCTTCAAAAAATTAATGAATTCAGGAGCTGGTTTTTTGAAAGGATCAACAAAATTGATAGACCGCTAGCAAGACTAATAAAGAAGAAAAGAGAGAAGAATCAAATAGACGCAATAAAAAATGATAAAGGGGATATCACCACCGATCCCACAGAAATACAAACTACCATCAGAGAATACTCCAAACACCACTATGCAAATAAACTAGAAAATCTAGAAGAAATGGATAAATTCCTCGACACATACACCTTCCCAAGACTAAACCAGGAAGAAGTTGAATCTCTGAATAGACCAATAACAGGCTCTGAAATTGTGGCAATAATCAATAGCTTACCAACCAAAAAGAGTCCAGGACCGGCTGGATTCACAGCCGAATTCTACCAGAGGTACAAGGAGGAACTGGTACCATTCCTTCTGAAACTATTCCAATCAATAGAAAAAGAGGGAATCCTCCCTAACTCATTTTATGAGGCCAGCAGCATCCTGATACCAAAGCCTGGCAGAGACACAACCAAAAAACAGAATTTTAGACCAATATCCTTGATGAACATTGATGCAAAAATCCTCAATAAAATACTGGCAAACCGAATCCAGCAGCACATCCAAAAGCTTATCCACCATGATGAAGTGGGCTTCATCCCTGGGATGAAAGGCTGGTTCAACATACGCAAATCAATAAATGTAATCCAGCATGTAAACAGAACCAAAGACAAAAACCACATGATTATCTCAATAGATGCAGAAAATGCCTTTGACAAAATTCAACAACCTTCATGCTAAAAACTCTCAATAAATTAGGTATTGATGGGACGTATCTCAAAATAATAAGAGCTATCTATGACAAACCCACAGCCAATATCATACTGAATGGGCAAAAACTGGAAGCATTCCCTTTGAAAACTGGCACAAGACAGGGATGCGCTCTCTCACCACTCCTATTCAACATAGTGTTGGAAGTTCTGGCCAGGGCAATTAGGCAGGAGAAGGAAATAAAGGGTATTCAATTAGGAAAAGAGGAAGTCAAATTGTCCCTGTTTGCAGATGACATGATTGTATATCTAGAAAACCCCATCGTCTCAGCCCAAAATCTCCTTAAGCTGATAAGCGACTTCAGCAAAGTCTCAGGATACAAAATCAATGTGCAAAAATCATAAGCATTCCTATAAACCAATAACAGACAAATAGCCAAATCATGAGTGAACTCCCATTCACAATTGCTTCAAAGAGAATAAAATACCTAGGAATCCATCTTACAAGGGATGTGAAGGACCTCTTCAAGGAGAACTACAAACCACTGCTCAATGAAATAAAAGAAGATACAAACAAATGGAAGAACATTCCATGCTCATGGGTTGGAAGAATGAATATCATGAAAATGGCCATACTGCCCAAGGTAATTTATAGATTCAATGCCATCCCCATCAAGCTACCAATGACTTTCTACACAGAATTGGAAAAAACTACTTTAAAGTTCATATGGAACCAAAAAAGAGCCCCCATCGCCAAGTCAATCCTAAGCCAAAAGAACAAAGCTGGAGGCATCATGCTACCTGACTTCAAACTATACTACAAGGCAACAGTAACCAAAACAGCATGGTACTGGTACCAAAACAGAGATATAGATCAATGGAACAGAACAGAGCCCTCAGAAATAATGCCGCATATCTACAACAATCTGATCTTTGACAAACCTGAGAAAAACAAGCAATGGGGAAAGGATTCCCTATTTAATAAATGGTGCTGGGAAAACTGGCTAGCCATATGTACAAAGCTGAAACTGGATCCCTTCCTTACACCTTATACAAAAATTCATTCAAGATGGATTAAAGACTTACATGTTAGACCTAAAACCATAAAAACCCTGGAAGAAAACCTAGGCATTACCATTCAGGACATAGGCATGGGCAAGGACTTCATGTCTAAAACACCAAAAGCAATGGCAACAAAAGCCAAAATTGACAAATGGGATCTAATTAAACTAAAGAGCTTCTGCACAGCAGAAGAAACTACCATCAGAGTGAACAGGCAACCTACAAAATGGGAGAAAATTTTCACAACCTACTCATCTGACAAAGGGCTAACATCCAGAATCTACAATGAACTCCAACAAATTTACAAGAAAAAAACAAACAACTCCATCAAAAAGTGGACAAAGGATATCAAAAGAAGACATTTATGCAGCCAAAAAACACATGAAAAAATGCTCATCATCACTGGCCATCAGAGAAATGCAAATCAAAACCACAATGAGATACCATCTCACACCAGTTACAATGGTGATCATTAAAAAGTCAGGAAACAACAGGTGCTGGAGAGGATGTGGAGAAATAGGAACACTTTTACACTGTTGATGGGACTGTAAACTAGTTCAACCATTGTGGAAGTCAGTGTGGCGATTCCTTAGGGATCTAGGACTAGAAATACCATTTGACCCAGCCATCCCATTACTGGGTATATACCCAAAGGACTATAAATCATGCTGCTATAAAGACACATGCACATGTATGTTTATTGCAGCACTATTCACAATAGCAAAGACTTGGAACCAACCCAAATGTCCAACAACAATAGACTGGATTAAGAAAATGTGGCACATATATACCATGGAATACTATGCAGCCAGAAAAAAATGATGAGTTCATGTCCTTTGTAGGAACATGGATGAAACTGGAAATCATCATTCTCAGTAAACTATTGCAAGGACAAAAAACCAAACACCGCATGTTCTCACTCATAGGTAGGAATTGAACAATGAGAACACATGGACACAGGAGGGGGATCATCACACTCTGGGGACTGTCGTGGGGTGGGGGGAGTGGGGCGGGATAGCATTAGGAGATAAACCTAATGCTAAATGTCAAGTTAATTGGTGCAGCACACCAGCATGGCACATGTATACATATGTAACTAACCTGCACATTGTGCACATGTACCCTAAAACTTAAAGTATAATAATAATAAAATAAAATAAAATAAAATAAAATAAAATAAAATAAAATAAAATAAAATAAAATAAAGAAAAAAGAACATTTATTGGTTCACATAACTAAAAATTCCTGGGTTAGGTTTTTGTATTTGGTGGGTCCAGGCACTCAACCCATGTCATTGGGAATCTGTGTTCTCTTCATCCTCCTCCCGGCAGGACCTCCTTTGAATGGTTTCCTTTTCAGGTAGATTATCCTCATGCAGTAGAAAATGCCCATGAGCAGCTACAGACTTAGGGCTTAGCACAGGGATCCACAAACTGTAACACTCAGGCCAAATCCCACCAAAGCCTGTTTGTGTACAGCCTGTTAGCTAAGGAAAATATTTACATTTTTAAAGGGTTATAAAAAATGCAAAGAAGACTATGTGACAGAGACAGAGATGTATGGATACCAAGCTGAAAATGATTATTATCTGGCCTTTTCTAGAAAATGTTTACTGACATCGCAGCTCCAGTGCACAAAGAGCTCTTCTTGTCCATTTTTTTTTCTGGCAGAAGACCCAAGATTGCTTTCCTGGGAGCTTCTTATTGCTTCTCTGTGCTGCCTTCTGGAATTTTTCTCATTTCTATATGTCTCAGGCATCAGACAGAACGGGATTAATGGCTTTACTGATTCTCTCTTCAGCTGCCCTTGAATTTTTAATCTTAATTACTATATTGTTTATTCTCAAAGTTCTATTTAGTACAATACGCTTAGTGTTTTCTATGGCTTCTTTGTCTCTCATTATTTTTTTCCTACCTTAATCACTTTAAACGTTCTTATTTTATAGTCCCTAGCCAAAGCTGAGTTTTGGGAGGGTTTATATCTTCTGTTGATAGGCCTGCTGGCATTGGCTCATGTGTTTGGGGTTTTAAAAACTCTTGGATTGTGAATTCATCTTAACATGGCATTTAAACCGTGGGAATCCTGGATCTCCAAGTTTGAGGGCATCTCTCTGGTGCTACTTTTGCCAGGAATTTTAGGAATGTCTAAAAACTGTTTCTACACTAATTTACCACACAGAGGTCTCCAGTGCCATAGAGAGAGTACAACTTTGAACCCCAAAGCTGGTGAATGCAGGCCTGGAGTTTCAAAAATTTTCCCCCACTCAGAGCTCACTCCAAGGAATGCAAGCTTCTCTGTCATTTTCTTTGGTCTTTTAAGGGAGGGAGGCCTTTCCCTGCTTTTCCCCTTTCACTAAGGGTAGCAACTTCATGTGGGATATCAATTTTTCCTTCTGTCCCAGACTAACCATCAAATCCCAAACTCCTTGGTTTGTGAGATCATCAAATACCCCCAGATGGCCCCAACTTCAGTTCGCAGGTTATTCTCTGGTTTTAGTTGCCATTTCATTTTGGCCCCTGGGATTTTATTTTCTTTCTTTTGAGCTCAGTTGGGACATTTAAAGAGAAGCTGGTTCTAGTTTATACTGCTTTTCCAGGTGTTTCATAGCAGGAGGGTTTCATGTAATGCAATCCACCACATTGCCCCAAATGGAAATTCCATTAGGCCTGTGAGACTCCATGTAAGACTATGCCAGCACCATGTGCCACCCATAGAGAGCTTCCTCTACCACTTTTATCACCTAGAGTAGCACGCACCTTAAGAGGTGCTCACAGGATGTGTGTTGGAGATGACCATTTGGGTGAGTTTCCAGGAAAGCACAGCAAAGCCTGCTGATAATGTGTTTTATGTTAAGGTATCCAGTACAATCATATGTATATGGTGTAATGGCTCCTGCGACAACAGCATTGTATGGGGCTTAAGAGTACGTGCTCCAGAATCAGACTATCTAGATTTAAATTTGGTTTCTTCTGCTTCCTAGTTGGGTATCCTTGGGCTAGCCACTTAACTCTTCTTTTCCCAGTATGTGAAATCGGGGTGATGATGGAACCTATCTCAGGGAGTCACGGAAAAGGGTAGATGAGTTAATGTCTGCAAAGGGCCGAGTCTGCGGTGTGGTCTGGTAAATCTTAGCCTTCGTTTGTTTCAGGGAAAGGACCTGGGCTGGAGAATAGACCCATGCACGAGGTTGGGGTGGGGGCACAAAAGCCCATCCAGATAAACCTGCCCCTTTCCAGAAGTGAGAAAGGGAAGGAGGATGAGGAAAAGGCTGAGGTAACTGAAGAGAATACTGACCCAGTCCTCAGGAGGAAAAACAAAAATTAAGATTCTAAGAAAGGTTCTTCGGGCTGGGCACAATGGCTCACACCTGTAATCCTAGTATTTTGGGAGGCCAAGGAGGGAGGATCGCTTAAGCCCAGGAGTTCGAGACCAGCCCTGGCAACATAGAGAGACTCTGTCTCTACAAAATTAAAAAAAGAGCCAGACATTGTTGCGTGCGTCTGTAATCCCAGCTATTCGGGAGGCTGAGGTGGGGGAATCACTTGAGCCTGGTGGGCTGAGGCTGCAGTGAGCCGTGATTGCGACACTGCACTCCAGCCTGGATGACAGGCCAGGCCCTGTCAAAAAAATAAATAAATAAAATAAAATAAAATATAAAAAGGAAGGAAGGAAGGAAGGACAGAAAGAAGGAAGGAAAGAAAGGCTTTTTGAATTATAGAATTCAATGAGGATGACTTAAAGTTTGTGTGTGTTGGTCTAAAAATGAAACCCCACCGAATGGCATTACCGGCTTCCACAAGCACAGAAACGTCACTGTTTATTGTGGAGGCTGTGAGAAGAATGTGCAAAGCACATTGGCCTTCAATGGAGGTGAAGGTGGGACTAGGAGAGAGTCAGGGGTCCTTTAACATGGGTCTCCATGCTCCCCTTATGCTTCCATTATCTGCCTCTTACCTAATTCCTAAGTGGTCAGTATTGAAGTGCCATGCAATTGCCTTAGAAACTTCTGATGCCAGAAAATTCACTCTCAAAAGGAGAATAAAAGATTAATAGAAGTTCCTAAACATTTTCAAGGGAAACTTGAGCTGACACAAAATGCAAAAAGGTCTGCAGAATTTTAACACATTTCTGATACAGGTTAGAATTAGAATTCTTGAAAAGATTTGTTTAAAGTATGTTTAAAACATTTGGCTACGGGAACAGTTATTTGTGCAAACACTATTTCTAAATGGATTGTGTGGCCCCACCAAGCCAGAGTGTGCAGACTAGGAAGTGGTCCTTGGGCTGCTTCCTCCTAAGTGGTTTGAACACTGGGAAATGTGTTTCTCCCTCAACAAGTGCTTATTCAGCAGCTTGAGTGGCAAAGAAAGGTGATAATGGCCAGATATCAGCAACACTCCATTTAGTTTTTTAAATGGTTGACAACATTTCTAGGAGCAGCTATCTGTGAGTGTTGAGTAAGGATTTTGTGGGACTCAGTTAAATTCAGAGAAAAACTTGCTACAAAGTTAATCAGACATTTTCACTGTTAAAAACATTTTTTTTCTGCCGCATGTTTTTGGATACAAATAGAAAACAGTTCACACAAATTATTGTGATCTGTATGGTTCCTATACAAACACACTGAATCTTTTAGTTTTCATTTTTTCTCTTCAGGATGCCAGTGTCTCTACATCGTGACAACTTTGAATGTGACCATTGTATCACCTACTAAGTCCGGCAGAACTAGAAATTATGGCTGAAGTTCCAGAAAGTTCCAGAAAGCACATTTGGCCTTATAATAGATAATTACTAACTGCAAGAGCTGTGCATTTACTAAATGATATGCTCTGCCAAGGAGCGAGTTCCCCATCACAGAGAGCAGCAGAAGCCATCATCAGGAATGCTGCGTGTGGATTTCTGAGTTGAGTATGCGGTTAAAACACAAGACGCTAGGTTTAGTCCAATCTTAAAATTCTACGATTTTAATCTTTTAAAAATAGTGTTTGCATAGTATTTTTAAGTTTTTGATGAACCTCACATACATGATCTCATTGATTCTTTTTTAAAAAATGGAGGTCACTTTTTCTTGGCTTAAACAAATGAAAATAAATATAAACAATATAGACTTCTGAAGAAGGATGGCAGAATAAAGGCAAAATAAAGACTCTCCTCCTCCAACATCTAAAATATGAATAAAAATAATAAAAATCAGCAAAAAAAAAAAAACCCACAAAAAAACAGCAACAGCAAGAACACAAAGAAATGGGAGCAACCTAACGTCATAGACTTCAAAAAGGGGAGGACAAAGGAAGGAAGGAGAGATTTTAGAAAAGTAGTTTCTCTGTGCTCACTTTGGAAGACTTGGATTACCAAAATATTGAAAAATTGAATCAAAAGCTATTAATCTGAAAAGAAACAAATTAGCAGGGCATATTGTTTTCCTTGAATGCTTTAGGTTATAGAACAGGTTAATAACAATATGAATTCAACATAGTGGGTCCCAAAGAGGAAATGATGAAACAAGAGAATGATCTGGAAAAGTGATTTTCTACTGTCCTATAGAAACAAATTAAAGACCAAAACAATATTATTTTTTTTTAATGATACTTTAGTTCTAGGGTACATGTGCACAATGTGCAGGTTTGATACATAGGTATACATGTGCCACGTTGGTTTGCTGCACTCATCAACTCGTCATTTACATTAGGTATTTCTCCTAATGTTATCCCTTCCCCCGTCGCCCAACCCCACGACAGGCCCGGGTGTGTGATGTTCCCCGCCCTGTGTCCAAGTGTTTTCATTCAAAACGACATTATTATAGAACTGATAAATAGATAAAAATCATCAAAAAAAAAAAAGCTGAATAGGCACAACTCAAAATAAGCTTACAGACAGAAAAAAATCCTTAAGATAAAGATAGAAATTGCATGTGAAAAGCACAAAGCAATTTCAGCCTAGTTCTTAAGCCTGGTTGTAGACAATCTGCAAATAGGACAGACAAAATATTCAAAGCTATAAAACAAAAAAAATTGCTCTGACAAATGCAGAAACGAATCTGCAGATTGAAAGAGCACACCATGACCCAAGAAAAACAAATACTAAATGATCAGCACTGAGACATATCCTCATTAACTTATCAAACTTCAAGGACTTTTTTAAAAAGTATTTTGGCATAGGACATAAAAAGTAAAGGAAGCCAGTTAGGGTTGCCTTTGACACTAACAATCAATTTTGCATGCCAAGCTATAATAAAGCACTACCTAGGATTTCCAAGGGAAAGTGTGACTCAAGAGTATTTCACCCATCCAGAATGAGTTTCAGTATAAAAGTCACAGATAAATATTCTGACCCACGACAGAACTCAGGGAACACACACTCATGAGTCCTTCTTGAGAGGAATTATTCAGTGATGAACAGTCAATTTAGAGATGAATAGAAATAAAATATTTGGAAATATAGAGTCTGGGATAAAAAAGACTTCTTAGGAACACATAATTCATTTGAGTATGGAACTCATGGTATTAAACAATTACGGGATTAATGTTTCCACAACAGAATGTGAATATTATAAGCAAAGATATTGTAAAAATAATATTAGAGCCAAAATTGGGAAGTGAGGGGTAGGGAGATGGGAGGAAGTACAAGTCTAAAGATTTACTCATCTTTCCGATGTGTGAGTCATTCAATATTGTCTAAAACTGAAACATGTTGCTAAAAAAATAATGACTCCAACATTTTAACATTTTTCATAGTATCTTTTCTTAACCTTATTTCCCCAAGAGGGAATATTGAGCAAATAGTATCTCCTGTGGTAAAGAATATTTAATGAAAGGGCAACAAATTTTCAGTTTTATGTTAGTTTTACTTTTCTAATGTTCAATTCAAGTAACATTAAATCCATTAGTTTTTTGAAGAATGTGTATAATATGATCATCTTTATGTAAAAATATTTTTGCCTGTCTATGTCTGTTTCTCTTTCAATCTCTCTTTAGCATATGACATGGCTTGACTCTGTGTCCCCACTCAAATCTCACCTTGAATTTTAAAATCTCCATATGTCAAGGGAGGTACCAGGTGGAGATAATTGAATCATGGGGAGAATTTCCCCCATGCTGTTCTCATGATAGCGAGTGAGTTCTCAAAATATCTGATGGTTTTATCAGGGGCTTCCCCCTTCACTTGACACGCATTCTCTCTCCTGCCGCCCTGTGAAGAGGTGCCTTCTGCCATGATTGTAAGTTTCTTGAGGCCTCCCTAGCCATGTGGAACTGTGAGTTAATTAAACCTCTTTTCTTTATAAATTACCCAGTCTTGGGTATTTCTTCATAGCAGGGTGAGAATGGACTAATGCGGCATACATTTCTCTTTCCTCTCCTCTCCTTTCCAAATAGTAACTGGATTTTCATTCAGATTTCCATCTCTCTGCCAGGCAACCTAAGTACTTCAGGGGACTGTGAACCCAGCTCCAGGGCCAGGGTGGAATGATTGGGCTAAGGATAATTCCTTATCCCAGGGAACTCAGGTCAAAACCAACCAGGGTGTGGCATATTCCTGCAGTAGAATCTGGAATGGGCTTGTGACCCAGCTCAGGCCAGTGAAACATGAAGGAAGGCTTGGCGGAGAATTCTGAAGAAGGAGCTTCTCAGCTTTTAAGAGAAGCTCACCATAGGAAACTCCCTCTCTCCCTCTGGACTTGTTGGTTTAAAGACGCAAAACCTGGAGCTGCTACAGACATTTTTCACCACTGCAAGTGAAGACTTCTGCCCCATAGACAGCGACTGGAAGCTGGATCAGGCCAACCCTGAAGATCACTCTGTCTCTGGATGTCGGTTACACAAATCAATACATTTCCATGTGTTAAAGCAATTCGACTTGGATTTTACATATATTTTTGAAACTGAAAACATTGTAATCTATATATCTACTTAGAAAGATGTGAAATATCCACCTAATAATAATCATTTGGGGTTACTAATAAAAATTATTTTTACTTTTCTTCATTGCTTACTTTATAATGAGCTGTTTCATTTTTTAAAACACAAAAAGTTATTATTCTTGCATATTAAATTGTTAAACATAAAAGTAATATGTACTCATTGGAAAAAAATCCAGACACCTTCTCTTCCAGGTGACCTAAATAGAATTAGGGAGAGAGAAAAATAATGATCTCTGATCAGAAAATATAATAAAAATGATTTTAGAAAGAGTCAACATATTTACTCTGCTTAGAAGTTTACACATATAATCTCATTTAATTTTCACAACATATTATGCAGTAGGAAGCATCATTAGCTCCATTTTATAGACAAAAAAAATCTCTTGCATTCTGCAATTGTCTAAAATTACTTTGAAAAGAGACAGTTTTTAATAGCATAGTTAAAGATAAAAGATTTATAACATACACATGATAGAGAAAATTAATATAGTCATGCATTACTTCATGATGGAAATATGTTCTGAGAAATGTGTTGTTATATGATTTTGTTGCTGTGTAAACATCACAGAGTGAACCCACACATCCTCGAAGGTATAGCCTAATGCTCTTAGGTTACAAAGCTGTACAGCATGTAACTCTACTGAATACTGTGGTCATTATAACAAATTGGTATCTGTGTATCTAAACATTAAAAAGGTACACTACAAAGAGACTTAGACTCCCACACAATAATAATGGGAGACTTTAACACCCCACTGTCAACATTAGACAGATCAACGAAACAGAAAGTTAACAAGGATACCCAGGAATTGAACTCAGCTCTGCACCAAGCAGATCTAATAGACATCTACAGAACTCTCCACCCCAAATCAACAGAATATACATTTTTCTCAGCACCACACCACACCTGTTCCAAAATTGACCACATAGTTGGAAGTAAAGCTCTCCTCGGCAAATGTAAAAGATCAGACATTATAACAAACTGTCTCTCAGACCACGGTGCAATCAAACTAGAACTCAGGATTAAGAAACTCACTCAAAACCGCTCAACTACATGGAAACTGAACAACCTGCTCCTGAATGACTACTGGGTACATAACGAAATGAAGGCAGAAATAAAGATGTTCTTTGAAACCAATGAGAACAAAAACACAACATACCAGAATCTATGGGACACATTCAAAGCAGTGTGTAGAGGGAAATTTATAGCACTAAATGCCCACAACAGAAAGCAGGAAAGATCCAAAATTGACACCCTAACATCACAATTAAAAGAACTAGAAAAGCAAGAGCAAACGCATTCAAAAGCTAGCAGAAGACAAGAAATTACTAAAATCAGAGCAGAACTGAAGGAAATAGAGACACAAAAAACCCTTCAAAAAATTAATGAATTCAGGAGCTGGTTTTTTGAAAGGATCAACAAAATTGATAGACCGCTAGCAAGACTAATAAAGAAGAAAAGAGAGAAGAATCAAATAGACGCAATAAAAAATGATAAAGGGGATATCACCACCGATCCCACAGAAATACAAACTACCATCAGAGAATACTCCAAACACCACTATGCAAATAAACTAGAAAATCTAGAAGAAATGGATAAATTCCTCGACACATACACCTTCCCAAGACTAAACCAGGAAGAAGTTGAATCTCTGAATAGACCAATAACAGGCTCTGAAATTGTGGCAATAATCAATAGCTTACCAACCAAAAAGAGTCCAGGACCGGCTGGATTCACAGCCGAATTCTACCAGAGGTACAAGGAGGAACTGGTACCATTCCTTCTGAAACTATTCCAATCAATAGAAAAAGAGGGAATCCTCCCTAACTCATTTTATGAGGCCAGCAGCATCCTGATACCAAAGCCGGGCAGAGACACAACGAAAAAGGAGAATTTTAGACCAATATCCTTGATGAACATTGATGCAAAAATCCTCAATAAAATACTGGCAAACTGAATGCAGCAGCACATCAAAAAGCTTATCCACCATGATGAAGTGGGCTTCATCCCTGGGATGCAAGGCTGGTTCAATATATGAAAATCAATAAATGTAATCCAGCATACAAACAGAACCAAAGTCAAAAACCACATGATTATCTCAATAGATGCAGAAAATGCCTTTGACAAAATTCAACAACCTTCATGCTAAAAACTCTCAATAAATTAGGTATTGATGGGACGTATCTCAAAATAATAAGAGCTATCTATGACAAACCCACAGCCAATATCATACTGAATGGGCAAAAACTGGAAGCATTCCCTTTGAAAACTGGCACAAGACAGGGATGCGCTCTCTCACCACTCCTATTCAACATAGTGTTGGAAGTTCTGGCCAGGGCAATTAGGCAGGAGAAGGAAATAAAGGGTATTCAATTAGGAAAAGAGGAAGTCAAATTGTCCCTGTTTGCAGATGACATGATTGTATATCTAGAAAACCCCATCGTCTCAGCCCAAAATCTCCTTAAGCTGATAAGCAACTTCAGCAAAGTCTCAGGATACAAAATCAATGTGCAAAAATCACAAGCATTCTTATACACCAATAACAGACAAACAGAGAGCCAAATCATCAGTGAACTCCCATTCACAATTGCTTCAAAGAGAATAAAATACCTAGGAATCCAACTTACAAGGGACGTGAAGGACCTCTTCAAGGAGAACTACAAACCACTGCTCAATGAAATAAAAGAGGATACAAACAAGTGGAAGAACATTCCATGCTCATGGGTAGGAAGAATCAATATTGTGAAAATGGCCATTCTGCCCAAGGTATTTTATAGATTCAATGCCATCCCCATCAAGCTACCAATGACTTCCTTCACAGAATTTGAAAAAACTACTTTAAAGTTCATATGGAACCAAAAAAGAGCCCCCATTGCCAAGTCAATCCTAAGCCAAAAGAACAAAGCTGGAGGCATCACGCTACCTGACTTCAAACTACACTAAGAGGCTACAGTAACCAAAACAGCATGGTACTGGTACCAAAACAGAGATATAGATCAATGGAACAGAACAGAGCCCTCAGAAATAATGCCGCATATCTACAACTATCTGATCTTTGACAAACCTGAGAAAACAAGCAATGGGGAAAGGATTCCCTATTTAATAAATGGTGCTGGGAAAACTGGCTAGCCATATGTACAAAGCTGAAACTGGATCCCTTCCTTACACCTTATACAAAAATTCATTCAAGATGGATTAAAGACTTACATGTTAGACCTAAAACTATAAAAACCCTAGAAGAAAACCTAGGCATTACCATTCAGGACATAGGCATGGGCAAGGACTTCATGTCTAAAACACCAAAAGCAATGGCAACAAAAGCCAAAATTGACAAATGGGATCTAATTAAACTAAAGAGCTTCTGCACAGCAAAAGAAACTACCACCAGAGTGAACAGGCAACCTACAAAATGGGAGAAAATTTTTGCAACCTACTCATCTGACAAAGGGCTAATATCCAGAATCTAAAATGAACTGAAACAAATTTACAAGAAAGAAACAAACAACTCCATCAAAAAGTGGGCAAAGGACATGAACAGACACTTCTCAAAAGAAGACATTTATGCAGCCAAAAAACACATGAAAAAATGCTCACTATCACTGGCTATCAGAGAAATGCAAATCAAAACCACAATGAGATAGCATCTCACACCAGTTAGAATGGCGATCATTAAAAAGTCAGGAAACAACAGGTGCTGGAGAGGATGTGGAGAAATAGGAACACTTTTACACTGTTGGTGGGACTGTAAACTAGTTCAACCACTGTAGAAGTCAGTGTGGCGATTCCTCAGGGATCTAGAACTGGAAATACCATTTGACCCAGCCATCCCATTACTGGGTATATACCCAAAGGATTATGAATCATGCTGCTATAAAAACACATGCACACGTATGTTTATTTTGGCACTATTCACAATAGCAAAGACTTGGAACCAACCCAAATGTCCAACAATGATAGACTGGATTAAGAAAATGTGGCACATATATACCATGGAATACTATGCAGCCAGAAAAAATGATGAGTTCATGTCCTTCGTAGGGACATGGATGAAACTGGAAATCATCATTCTCAGTAAACTATCGCAAGAACAAAAAACCAAACACAGCATGTTCTCACTCATAGGTGGGAATTGAACAATGAGAACACATGGACACAGGAGGGGGAACATCACACTCTGGGGACTGTTGTGGGGTGGGGGAAAGCGGGGAGGGATAGCGTTAGGAGATATACCTAATACTAAATGTCGAGTTAATGGGTGCAGCACACCAGCATGGCACATGTATACATATGTAACTAACCTGCACGATGTGCACATGTACCCTAAAACTTAAAGTATAATAATAATAAGATAAAATAAAATAAAAAATAAAAAAGTACAGTAAAAATAAAGTATTACAATCTTATGGAGCCATTGTTATATATGTGGTTGAGCGTTGACTGGAATGTTGTTATATGGTGCATAACTGTGTATGCATGGGACTGTGTATGACACAAAATGGAAATGGAGGTAGCAGATCTTTTGCTACTTTGGTAGCCACTGGGACAGAAGACTGAAAGCCACTAGGTCTTAGTAGTTTGGCCTGGCTGAGTTTTCTAAATCTTATAAAGAGAAAAGCCCAGATCTTTCCCTAGAAGCTGCCACCATCTGAAATTGGACCTCTGGCATTTTAAGATAACTTACTGATGCAGCTTGGCTGTGTCCCCATCCAAATCTCATCTTGAATTGTAGCTCCCATAATTCCCATGTGTTGTGGGAGGGACCCAGTGGGAGATAATTGAATCATGGGGGTGGTTTCCCTCATACTGTTCTCATGGTCATCCATAAGTCTCACAAGATCTGATCATTTTATAAGGGGAACCCCTTTTGCTTGGTTCTCATTCTTTCTCTTGCTTACTGTGATGTAAGACGTGCCTATCAACTTCTGCCATGATTGTGAGGTCTCCCCTGCCAGGTGGAATTTTGAGTCCATTAAACCTCTTTTTCTGTATAAGTTACCCAGTCTCAGGTATGTCTTTATCAGCAGTGTGAAAACAGACTAATACACTTACGCAGAAGTATAAGCTCCAGTAAGGTATGGACTGAATCAGCCTTATTTAATGTTGTATTCCCAGCACTCAACATAGTACCTGGTATACAGTGAGTGCTCAATAAATGCTTGGAGAAAGAAAACGAGAGAGGGGAAGGAAGGATTATTTTTGATTTCTCTTCTGGTCCACCCACCTGCACCTTTCTCCAAGTTGATGATGCCTTTTATCTGTACACATCTTCCTCTTCCTCCCCTTTCCCTTTCAGCTGGCAGGAGGACACCTGATAGCAGGAACTTGAACTGCCCTCTTGGGCCATGAAAGAGAAGCTGCACTTTGAGGATGACAAAGTAACAAGATCGAATCCTTGTTAAGCCACAATTAAAGCCCTGTATTGCCTCCCAGATTTCTGCATGGGGGAAAGATGTCCATCTTCTTTAAGTTGTGGTATTTTGGGGTCTCTTTGAAACAGGAGCCTTATTCTTGACTAGTGTGTGTCAAGTACTGACACACTTTAAGAGAAACCATAGTTACCAGGATGGTAAAATAATTGACATTTCCCTAATTCATTTCTTAATTTTATTATTATTTTTAAACATTAGATTTTTCAGAAACTCATTTGGCTTAAGGGGGTTTATTGGGTCATATAACTTAAAAACTCCAAAGGATTTTGGGTCCCAGATATAGTTAAATGCAAGGGTTAAATAACATACATAGAACTCACACTTTATCTCCATCTCTGGCTTTGTTTTTTTCTGTATTGTGTTGACTCCTAGAAAGGATCTCTCTGTGAGGTGAACCCTAAATCTCTTGGCTTATACTGTCCTTAGAGATAGCAGTTCCAGTGGGAAAAAACTCCATATCCCCAGTGTTCCCATCAGAACTGGAGATTGGCCCTCGTTGGACTTTCACTGAATCATGTACCATCTCTGAACCAATCACGGTGGCCCGTGGCTCAGACCTGGGACATGCCTCTGCCTTGCAGCTGGGGATGAATCAGTTGTACCTAAACCATGTGCACTAAGGGTGAGAAAAGAGAGATTCCCCAAAGAAGGTTTAGGGTGCTCTTAGCAGAAAGATAGGAATGAATGCAGAAAGGCAACAACTACAAATGTCCACTATAATTTATTTATTAATTCAACAAATATTTATTGAACACCAAGAATGTGTCTGGCTTTTTCTTAGATGTTGGAGATGTAGAGTGAAGAAAATTCACAAAAATCCCTGCCCTCTATCTTAGTCCATTTGAGCTGCTATAACAAAATACCATAGACTGGTGGCTACTAAACAATAGAAATTTATTTTTCACGGCTCTGGAGACTGGATGTCCAAGATCAAGTTGCCAGCAATTTCAGGGTCTGGTGAGGACCCACTTCCTGGTTCATAGATGGCACCTTCTAGCTGTGTCCTTAACATGGCAGAAGGGGCTGGCTAGCTCTCTAAGGCCTCTTTTATAAGGGAAATAATTCCATTCATCAGGGTTCCACCTTCATGGGGAAGGCTTTCCACCTTCATCTAACAAAAGCCCCATCCCCTAATACCACCACCGTGGAGGTGCAGATTTCAACATAAGAATTTGAGGGGAAGACACACACATATTCCGTTCATTGCACCTTCCCAGAAAAGTTCTTCATATTCACTAATAATGAATTTCTTATTTCTTTTGTCCTCTTAAAAAGCTTATGTGTACCTTCTTCTGGGATATTACAAAACTAACCAAGGGCTCTAGAATAAACTTAAGGCTTACAAAGAAGTGATTTGGGGCTTTTATATTGTGGGGGAAGGTGCAAAGGCTTGGTGGAGTTTTGGTTGTGAGGATGAGAGAGGACTAACAAAGAATCAAGAAAAAGTCAACGTGATACCCAAACAGTTTAGAAATGGAGTCTGTATATTCTCATATGGCGTCATCTCACCCACAGGAGAGCTCAATTATTCTTTTTTCCCCCATCCTAATCTTGCAGCACACTTGAAAGGGCTGGAAGAAATCTTACAGTATGACATATGGGCACCAATTAGGCTTTTCTAGGTCTAGGAAATAAAATACTAACTTCTATAGTTGTTCCTAGTGAAAGATGCAAAGTAATTTGTCTCCTGGAGGAGTATAGAAGCATTTGCAATGGTTTCCTGTTTTGCACACTGCCCTTGTCTATGCCAGCTTGTTGTCTTGACAAATTTATTCTCAATAGCAGCAGGACATATGCTTATGATTTTCGGAATGGAGGCACTAGAGATAAGCTGGAACCTGTCGCTGAAAAATGAACCCCAGTGAAATTTTTTTGTAGCCCCATATTTCAAGATATGTTGGTTATCCTCCAGAAAGTGCCCAAATCAACAAAATTGATTCAGAGATTTGTGCAAACTTCTGACACATACACAGACCATATTTTAAATGACACATAAACATTGACTTTATACCTCGTCTCTTCGGTCTTGGCCCTCGTCTCCCCCACCCAACTGCCACAACTTGGCAAATACTGACAACTAGAAGGTTTTTATTTATTTAAACAAATATCTGGTGAAGAAAGAAAGTGGAATAGTCAAATTTTGTTTGTGGTTGGGCAGGTGGTGGGGAGCAGGATGGGGAAGAATCAAGAGAAGTCAGCAATGAACTTCATCCTAGTCCAGTAAACACTGCGGTGTCTTGGGTGACCTGTTATTTCCTTGCCAAAAGCAAAACAAGGGCACAGGCTTGATATAGATGGGGAAAGTTTGTGTATACCCTTTGACTCAACATCTCAAAACCAAACTGGTCTATTGTAAGTGAGTTTGCAAGTTGCTTTCTCTCTCTGAGTCTCAGTTTTCCCTATCTGTAAAATGGGGTTAATAATACATAGTTCTTAAGATTGTTAGAGGACTAGATGATGTATCCCACATAAAGCATTAAGTATTCTGGCAGGCACATAGGGAGTGCTTAGTAAAAGGTAGTGCATGCACACACACACACACACACACACGTGTTCACACAAACCCACACAATGTCCTGATTATGGAGTTTTGCATGTCATCTTTATATAGTTGAACATTGGGCCTGTGACTACAGTCCTTCCACAGATAGGTGTCCTAACCATCTGTAGGCTCAATGTAAGAGCCACCCAGGTGTTTGAGTGACAGAATTATTCAGAGAAACCCACTTCAAACCTAGACAGAGACAGCTCTCCTTAATGACTCAGAGCATCTGCTTTCTAGCCCCAAAGAGGCCATTTAGATAACAAAGGCAAATTTGAGATGTGAAATGGCTGATAGCAGCCCCCAAATAGAGCAGGTGTGGGGTGGAATAAAAGCCCTCTGTTGTCCATCAGTGTCAGCAGCACCTCTGTGTGAACGGTGGCGCTGCTGGAGCCTCCCATATAAGGCAGGAGATGGAGCTCAGGAGCCAGGGAGTGGGGCTGGAAAGCTGGTGAACAGAAGGTCACTGCTCAGCCACCAAGCTGATGAGACCTTGAGAGGAACGTTACCCTACAGCCTCATTTGCACAGGAAGAAACCGAGGTTAGCAGAGATTCAGTGAGTTGCTGGAGATCTACTGTGAGATGGAGGCAAAACTAAGAAAAGGAACTCAGTTCTCCTGCCTCTAGCCCAGTCAGTTACTTCTCCTGTACCTCCTGGGGTCATCCCACCTGGTCAGAGCTTGAGAGTATTTATTCTGAGCAATTCTCCAGAGCAAGGAGAAGAAAACTGCCAAGGAAGGAAGAGAAAGGAAAACTCTTTTTTAAAAAATGGGGGGACAAGTTATTTTTTAAATATAAAATTGAATCATACTTACTAAAGTTAAACAGTTCAGTACTATAAAAAATAAGAAGTATGAATCTCATGCTCTTCATCAAACACAGCCTCCCCCATCCCATTCACCAGAGGTAAAAACTGTTAACAATTTTTAGTATGTCTTCCAGACTTTTCCTAGAGATTTATATTTATATACTTTTTTAAAAACACAGATGAGATTACACAATACATACTCTTCAGAAGGTTGCTTTTTTACTTAATATGCTACAGCTACCTTTTGGTGTTTATACTCATTGTTAAAATGGATCTACTGTGTTTCATCATGTGGGTGTAACATGATTTATTTAACTGGTTCTCTAGAGATGGGCATTCAGCTTGTTTCCAGCATTTTTCTCACTAGTACAAACAGCAGTAAGCATCTTGTTCAAATACCCTTGTGCAAGTGTGTGAGCATATCTTTCCTAAATGTTTTAGAGTTAGGTCTAAAGGCATACACATTTTAAATTTTAATAGATTTGACTCACTATACTTTCAAAGACTGAATCAATTTGTGCTTTCACCCAAAGTTATCCTTTCCCTACCCTCATCAACACTTGGTGCCAGCCATCTTCATACAGTTTTCCTTATGTTGTTTTCATGGATGTTCCTGAATTCCAAGTAGAGTTGGGCATCCATTTGTATTGTGAATTGCCACTTGTACTTCCTTTATAATGAGCTGTCTTTTATTATGAGCTGCTTGCTTTTATCTTTGGTCCGTTTTTCTCCTTGGTTTTCACCTGTTTTTCTTTTTGGCTTTGTCAATCAAGAAAAATGACCTCGACAAGTCTCAATCATTTTAGGGGGCTTATTTGCCGAAGCTAAGGATGTGTGCCTGGGAGACAGGTCTATGC
This sequence comes from Homo sapiens, assembly GCF_000001405.40. NCBI lineage: Eukaryota > Metazoa > Chordata > Mammalia > Primates > Hominidae > Homo > Homo sapiens. Next base: position 53,746,087 of record NC_000004.12, read on the forward strand.
CTTTCTTCGAATATGATTTTGAGGGCTTCAAATTTAAAGGGGAAAAGAGGGGGATATTGAGATATACACAATTTGCATGCAAGAGGGGCAGTAGGGGAAAAAATAGTCACTTATGCCTTTGTCTGGCTCAGTGAATGTGAATTTTTACATATGATAGCATAGACAATAGGGCAGAGGAAACAATAAGATATGCGTTTGCGTCAGGTGGGCAGAGGGATGACTTTGAGTTCTGTCCTATGTCCCCACACCTGTGAAGATAAGCTATCAATTTATATTGCCATGGTGAATTTTAACAGAAATGCTTTAAGGTAAAGATCTTGGGGCCCACAAGGAATTTCCTTGTGGGCAAACTATGAGGGAGATGTGTAGCTTTTCATCGTGTAGCCATCTTATTTAGGAAAAAAAGTGGGAGGCAGGTTTGTGTGACCCAGTTCCCAGCTTGATTTTTCCCTTTGGCTTAGTGAGTTTGGGGTCCCAAGATTTATTTTCCTTTCATAGCTTATAGTAGTAAAATTAAATAAATCAGTCTTTGTCTACAATATGGGTGACAGTAACATTTCTCAGTTTATTGTTTTGTCTTTGGGCTTTGTTTTGCTCTGTTACATTTTATGTGATCAAATTTATAAATCTATTCTTCATAGCTTCTGGGTTTTATGTCACACTTTAAGAGATCTTTATTATTCCAAGAAAATAAAATACTGCCTTTATTCTAATGCTTTCATAATTTTTTTTATGTTGCAAAAATAGACCAAGATGAAATTTATTTTAGGTAAGAAATGATGTAAGGATTCAGCTTCCTTTTTTTCTCTCTCTCTCTCCTGTCTCTTTCTTTTATCCCCTCAGATCACTAGTCTATTGTCACACTATTTATTGATTTATTTATTATTTGACCCTTACCTGAAATGTCACCATTTTTACAAATCACATTCCCATTCATACTTAAGTATTTCTCTGGGCTCTATTTTGTTCCAGTAATCATTCTGTCTCTTCATGTACTAATATAATTTTGTCTCAAATACTGCAGGATCATAATACATTACTAGTTTCTATTAGGGCTATCCTCACATAGCTTCCATAAAATAAAGTTTGTTTGTTTGTTTATTCATTTTTAAAAAGGACCCTGGTTATGCCTCAAAGAAAAGACATAGTGATAATGATCTAGCATTATATTTTACAAAATCTACTCCACATATATTTTTTAGGTTTCTGCTCATATATATGAGCAAAATCATGCAGTGTATATAAGTCATTTCCTCCTGGGTCATCATATGTTCCTGATCTGGGGCACACTGTGATTTGAACCTAGTTATTGGTGTAGTGGCAACGGGGGCAGTTGTTGTAGTCTTGTGGAAAATGAGCATCCCCTCGGAACATTGCTATCCCAGCGGAGGTTACTGCAGGGCTTTCAACCAAAGAAAGCGTGGTCTCCCCAAACACAGAAGAACAAGCAAGGGAGGCTCAGAGTGACGTGGGTGTGTTTAGAATCAGTTCTAACCTGATGCCTCACTCCAAGTTTCAGTGTCTCATGCTTTCCCATTTGATTTCCTATCTTTTACATCAGAAATTTGGCAAGGCTGTGAATCCAACTGAAATTGTAATTCTGCAAGCCTCCCAATTAAATTTTATGTTTGATTTTTATCAATATCAGCCTGTGGCCATAATAAATAAAAGATTATTTTTGGGCTGCCCTAGAAATGTCTAGTTTGCCACTCATGACTTGAACTGAAAATTAAAGGAATTTTAGCCTGTCATTTGCTTTCTGTAAATGCTACAGTACACTCCAGAGGATCCATCCAACATCATAGTCCTTGCTTTAGTTTGCACTTCATCACAATTACCATAGTTTGATTAATTGCAAAGCTATTACCTGCCATGGATTATTAGTATCAATTTCCCACTGGCAAAGAAATTGTCTCTGCACTGAAGCCTAAAATCATGATCAAACTAGTACCAAATCTCATGTGTGAGGGTCTGTCTTTTAGGACCACTACTGGTATCAATTCTGTAAGGTCTAGTCAGGAGATAGCTACACACCAGTAATTTGAACAGAAAAAATGTAATATACAGAATTATGAGCTAGTAAAATGCAATTAACTACTAAAAGAGAACTAGAGAATATAGAGAAGAAGCTCCTACCTCTAGAATGGAGAGAACATAACATAAAGAATTAAGAACATGAAAGAAGGTCCCTCCTCCAAGGCTGAATTCAGCCCTCAGTGGGTATCTTGTGGCTGACACAGAAACATGTAGCCTCTCAGTGGTAAAGAAACTTGTCAGAAAGTTTGGCCAGAGCTGGTCTGTAGGAACAGCTTGCTAGGTGGTTGAGACACTCTAGAAGGTGCAGGCAAGCTGCAGCTGGTTTGCAGGAACTGAAACTGGGTGGCTAAGTTCACTGGAGCGAGCTGGTGGGCTGAGCTGGAGAGCAGGACATGGCCAGCTGGGGTACCAGGGGACTGGAGCTGACTTATAAGAAACAACCTGCAGGCAGCTGAGGGGTCACAGCTGGTCTACAGGAAGTGGTCTGCTGGGTGCAGGAGAAACTCACTAGAGAGTGAACGACTTGGGCCTCCTGTCTGCCTGTTTGCTGACAGCTGTACCATAAGAGAGTAAGAGCACCATAACTGAAGATAAGCCTCTTCCTCTGCTATGACCTTACAGCAACACCCCAGTACCCTCTATTGACAATTAGGCTAACACTTCGGCAGTTGGGAAAGGAGAAATGTTTACAGGGTCCAGTCCCGCTACCACCAATAGAGCAAAGATGGATGCATTTGGAGCTGAGAGGAAATGGGTTGATAACTGGCACAACTAGTATGGATTATGTTTGCCAGTTTCAGGATCTCTATTCTGATGGTCTGGAGATCTCTTATATTTGATGATCATCCACTGTTAATAAGGGAAACACCCAAACCCTTTAACCAACGTGGTGCTTCATTTTCTCGGGTTTCCTGTGCCTCTCCACGTAAGGGCCTTTAAAATCTACAATGTCAGCAGCTTCAGTGCTCAGACTCATGGTCCATTTGCAAGGACAGCTGGTGAAATAAATAACATCTTTGTGGAAAAAGACAGAAAATAATGAAATAATATAAATCAAAACAAAGAGATCACCATAACCAGAGAATGGGATGCTAAGTGAGAGTCCGTTTCCTTGAGTGCTAGCTGGAAGCCAGCATGTAAGGAAGACTGAACTGAACTCATAATGTCCCCAGGACACTGTGAGTGGAGTGATGAACATAAATTATTTTCTTCAGTTCCTGTGATGAGAAATATGACTCCTAGTTAAGATAGTTGGCAAAATTCAAGATATCAACTATGGATTGTGCCTGTTTTAACGGTAAAGCAGCACTTGCCATTAATACAGCGGATGTTGGCCAGGCACAATGGCTCACACCTGAAATCCCAGCGCTTTGGGAGGCTGAGGTGGGAGGATCACCTGAGGTCAGGAGTTAGAGGCCAGACTGGCCAACATGGTGAAATCCTGTCTCTACTAAAAATACAAAAATTAACCGGGCATGGTGGCACACACCTGTAGATTCAGCTACTTAGGAGTCTGAGGCACAAGAATCGCTTGAGCTTGGGAGGCTCAGTGAGTTGAGACCACACCACTGCACTCCAGCCTGGGTGACAGAGCGAGACTCCGTCTCAAAAAAAAAAAAAAAAATACAGTGGATCTCAGAATAGGAAACCCCGTCTCCCAGACTAGCAGTGTCAACGTCACCCAGGAACTTACCAGAAATGCAAATTCTCAGACCCCACCCACACTTACTGAATCAGAGACTCTGGAGCTGGAGTCCAGCAATCAGTGTTTTAATAAGCCCACCAGGTGATTCTGATGTGTATTAATATTTGAGAACCACCGGTTTAGAGAGATATAAATTTAAGACTTGGTTTTTGGCAAACCATTTAATCTGTGCCTCAGTTTCATCATCTGTGACGGCTGCACCTTAATGATAACTACCTTATAGGGTTGTAGTGAAAATTACATAATAAAATCAGAGTAAAGAGCATATAAAAGTGCCTTCCACAGAGCATTCAAAAACTTTTTTTCAATCACCTCTTAAGACTTAATACAAATTTAAGAGACCAGTGTTTTTAAAGAGTTTAGCATAGTAAATATCAGGCACATAATAAATAGTATGCCCTCAATAATGCTAGCTATGGTATCAGTGGTAGTGGTAGTAGTAATATAACATTTAACACCTATATTGTACTTACCTTGTACTACGCATCCTTATAAGCCCTTTTTATGTTATGTTTTAACACTTAAAACCACTCTATGAGATAGGTATAGAACAATTATCACCACTTTTGAGCTGAAGGAACCGAGGTACAGAAGGTTTATTTCCAAAGACTACTTAGCTATTCAGTGATAAAACAAGGATCCCAAATCAGATCATTTCATTTCAGAGTCTGTGTTTTTAGGCACTAATCTGGAAAGATACAGAAGACAGAGAGAGAGGGGAATAAAAAAAGGGAAGGGGAAAGAGACTATGCCATTTTATACTATAAATTTTAAAAAGAAGTCTTTTTTTCCAAAAATGGAAACCATAATATTGCAGAATTTGCAGCCAAAAAAATGATGAATGGTGTTGCCTCCAGCCCGAGGTTCCAGGGAGGGGGAGAAAAATATCCAGCCGAAGCCCCTGGGAGTAGTGGGGGTTGGGGGGTTGGCCTGTTCTGGGCTTACATCTTTTTCACTGGTAATGATCTGGGAGGCAGGAAAACATTACCTGTCAGTGTCATTGGAGTTGGTGCTGTTGCAAAATAGCAAGATATAGAAAAGAATCAAATACTGAGAACTTAGAAATCTTGGCAGACTTGGGCCAAAATGTGCAGTAACATAATGCCAAGGGGCCTTGAAGGAGGGGACAGGGGAGAACAGGTGAAAACTCAAAGTTCTTTCAGTCTGCTGTCACACTGTGGACAGAACAGCTGCTGCTCCCCCCAAGAGCCAAGGTCACCGTGGGTAGAAATTGGAGAGGCAATGCCCAAAACGTGGGGAAAGAGACAAGCCCCTTTTCCTTCTTCCCTCCCAGCCTGCAGGGGCACACCTGGAGTATGGCCTTTTGTAAGTTCAGGGAGACCTCAAATATAACTACATTTTCTAAATATGTCAGGGAAAAGAAACTACAAAAGATTGAAGTAGAGAAGAAGGAAATTCTTAGGTATGAGAATTATGTAGGCTGGGAATGACTGGAAGGCAGCGAGACCTATTGGTTAGTGTAGGATAAGGTGAGCAGGAGAGTTTCAATTCAGTTCATCTGTATACATTACATGCCTACTATGTGTTAATTACTCTTTAGGTTTTGGTAAAATAGAGATAAAGAAAACATGGTCCTGTCCTGAGATGTTGCCAGTCCAATGCAGGGGGAGAACTGTAGATAGATAATTACATACACCACAAAAAAAAATGGCCATAAGAGGATGTCCTGAGAATACAGAGCAGGGGTATGTAACCCAGTCTAGGTACAGAAGACAGCAGCTATCAGGGAAGCCTTCTTGGGAGAGGCAGTGCTTGAGCTGAGTCTTAAAAAGATCAGGCGTATATCAGTTAGAATGCTTTTGGCTGCATGTAGTAAAAACCTAAACTCAATAGCCTTACATGATAAAGGTACTTATTACATAACATAATATAGAGTCTAGAGATATTGCAGGCTCATTAATTCAACAGTTGGACAATGTTATAAAGCAGCAGCTCCCAATCTTTTTGGCACCAGAGACAGGTTTTGTGGAAAACAATCTTTCCACAGGCTAGGTTGCAGGATGGTTTCGGGATGAAACTGTTACACCTCAGATCATCAGGCATTAGTTAGATTCTCATAAGGAGCATGCAAACTAGATCCCTCACGTGCACAGTTCACAACAGGGTTCGTGCTCCTTTGAGAATCTAATACTGCCACTGACCTGAAAGGAGGTAGAGCTTAGGTGGTAATGCTTGCTCCCCCACTGCTCACTTCCTGCTGTGTGGCCCAGTCCGTAGCCCAGGGTTGGGGACTCCCGATATAAAGGACCCGGTTTCTTTCATCTCTGTTTTGCCTTCCTCCATGTATTAGCTATGTTCGCAAATTGCTATCCCTCGTGGTCATAAGATGGCTGCAAAAACTTCACACATCACATCTGGACACACCTATGTCAAGAGAAAGAAAAGGGTACTTCCCTTTCTGTTTCTTTCTTCTAAGGAAGTAAACATTTCTCAGAAGCCTCCTCATGACTTTCCCTCATATCTCATTGTCCAGAATGGTTATTTATGGCCACACCCAATCCATTCCCTGGGGAAACAAGGAATAAAACCACCCTAATTAACTTAGACTGTTGAGATCCACCACCCAGAAGAATGGTTATTTAAACAAAGGCAGTAAGGATCTAGATTGTGGAGGATGTTGTATGAGCTCTATTTAATAGGGTGGGTATTTACAAAAGTCCCCTTTTTTACTTTAATAGTTTTATTCAGATATAATCGACATATTAAAAAATCATACATTTAAAGTATACAATCTGATAAGTTTTGACATTTTATATATATATATATATTTGTGAAACTGTCATCACAATCAAGATATTATAATAAACACAGCCATCACCCTCAAAGGTTTTCTCCTGTCCTTTCATAATTTTTCCCTCATGCCCCTGCCCACCCATCCCACCCCACTGCTTCATTCCAAGGCAACCACTAATTAACTTTCAATCCCTTTAGGTTAGTTTGTGTTTTCCAGAATTTATATAAATGGAATAATTGTGTGTATGTACTTTTTTTGTTTGACTGCTTTCACTCAGCAACATTATTTAAAATTTACTTATGCTTTGTGTGTACCAATAGTTGATTCCTTTTTATTGCTTAGTAGAATTCCATTGTGTGGATATACTACAATTTTGTTTATCTATTTACCTGTTGATGGACATTTGGGTTGCTTCCAGTTTGGGCTATTACAAATAAAACTGCTATGAATATTCATGTAGATGTCATCAAACAAATGCTTTCGGTTCCCTTGAATAAGTCTCTAGGAAAAGAATGTCTCACTCATATAGTAGGTGTACGTGTAACTTTCAAAGAAATTGTCATACAGTTTTCTAAGGAGATGGTACCATTTTGCATTCCCGCTAGCAGTGTATGAGCATTCCAGTTGCTCCCCATGCTCACCAACATTTGGTATAGTCAGTATTTTCAATTTTAGATTTCTAGTAGGGGTAAACAATTCTTTTTTATAATAATGGCATCATACCACTGTATCTATTATCCTGAAATGAAATTTATTGCTTTTATACCTACATATATTACTTTTAAAAACCCAACACAATGTCCCAACTGTAAAGTAAAAGAGAAACAAAAATAAAACAACTTTCAATAAATAATGTGTGTTTTAGCATGCATCTTTAATAAAGTAAATAAGTAGGCATAAAATGGATGACATAATAAAATAGTCAATACTTCTCCCTGCATGTAGGATCACTGTGAATGCTTGAGAGACAGATTGATACAGGTGTGCTATTTGGCAACTCAAACACCAAAAGCAGCATTACCATTAGAGATGTGATTTTTCAAAATGGTGAACAACTTTACCTAAATTTCCAGACAAAACATACTAAATTTTCTCTTGATTTACCCATAATTGCATTTGTGTAAAATTTAATGATTGTTAATACTATGGAAAAGTTTCTTTGTGGTTACTTATTAAATAAATTTAAGTTCTAGGCTTGAACCAAAAGTTTATTTGTTTCTTTTTTACCTACTTTAACATCTAGTAGGACATTAGGAAGCCATATGGGCAAGTCTTTTGATTATATTCAGAACTTTTGAAAAAATCTAGAAAGGAAGTGAAATCAGCAAGATGGTAAAATAGGTGGTCCTATGCTTCACTCCCTCAATGGAAAGATCAAGTGGCAACTATCCACAGACAAAAACATCTAGGTAAAACCACCCAAACATGGAAATAAGCCAGAGTCAGCTATGTGTACCACAAAGCTGAATAAAAATCCATATTGAAAGGGTAGCAGAAACATTATTGCTTTGACTGCATTGCCCCTCGTCTTCCCCCAAGTAGGCACAGCACCAACAGAGAGGATTCCCTAGGGCCCATGATTTCTACAGTGGGAAAAGACACCCCCCAGTCTGGGGAAGCAGACATCCAGCTTCCCTAGCGTTGCAAAACCCTTCCCAGGAAACCCATTTATTGTCACCTCACAGAGAATGGGAAATGTAGGGGTAAACTGCACACCTCTCAGTGACACCTGAGATCAGGTAGAAACAAAGCAAGAAGGCAGAGCCCACAGAGATGAGAGCACAGATTTTTGTGATAGCTCAATGTACCTGCCAGCAGAGGTGCTTGATCAGTGGCATCAGCTAACAGCATAGCACATCTACCAAGCATAGTTAGTAGCTCCTAGAAGAATTAGGAAGTGCTACTTGGTTTAATCCGCAGATGACCAGCTTCAGACCCTATGCTAGGGCTTTGCCCGGGGAGGGAGAAGATCCCCCTACCTCAGCAAATTTTGACAAAAAGTCAGGCACTAGTTCTGCCACACCTGGGAGCTTAGTCAGTGCTCCTTGTGTCCTCAAAGCCCTCCTCATACCTTGCCCAGGGACGGAGGCAAATCTCAACCATGCATTTTTTACTGAACAGAGCAGCTGATCTATTTATCCTGATCCACTGAAACTTGGGGATCCTCAATTGCTGAACTCAAATAACAGCACCTCTGGCTAGGGAATTCATCCTGTGGCCCTGTCAGATTAGAGATGATTGCAGTGCCCATCCAGAAGCTCAGCCTAATTGCAGAGCTCAACCAGTGATCTTGCCAGGTAGCAGAGCCCAGCCAGGTGCCCCACCTGAATTCAGGGCAAAGGCAGCAACCCAGTCATCTAGATAACCTGAAAGTAATCCAGGGTTATTACCATCTGGCCCATCCAGAATTATAAGCTAGACTAAATAATGAAGTTCTAACCTTGCCAAGAAACACCTATAAAAGTTAGAAAAGGTGGCTGTCTCTGCAAACGTGCAAACACCAATGCAAGTACACAGGGATGACAAAGACTAGGAAAATCATGACATCTCAAAAAGAAACTAACAAAGCTCCAACAATAGACCCTAAAGAAAGGCAGATCTATGGAAATGACAGAAAAATAATTCAGAATAATCCTCTTTAAAAAGTTTGGTGAACCTCAACATACAAATTAAAAATTAAATAAAATTTGGAAAACAATACATGAACACAATGAGAAGTTAAACAAAGAAATAGAGATGATAAAAAAGTAGAAATTCCAGACATTAAGAATACAACAACTGAAATAAAAAATGCAATACAAAGCTTCAATGACTGGTTCAGTCAAATGAAGAATGAATTAATGAGCTTGAAGACAAAGTATCTGTAATTATTTCATCAAAGGAGCAAAGGAAATAATACAAAGAAAGCCTATGAAAATCATGGGACACCATCAAGAGATGTAACCTATGCATAATAGGAATTCAAGAAGGAAAAGAAAAACAAATGGGATCAGAAAGCATATTTAAAGGAATAATTGATGCAAATTTTCTTAATCTGAGGAAAGAAGCCAAAATCCAAGTACAGAGAGTGCAGAAGTCTCCCATCAAATTCATCCCAAAGAAGAGTTCACCAAGACACATAATAATCAACCTATCAAGCATCAAAAACAAAGAAAAAATTCTGAGAGAAGTTAGAGACAATAAATGTACCACATACAAAGGAGTCCCAATATAATTATCAGTATACTTTTCAGCAGAAACCCTACAGGCCAGGAGAGAGTGGGATGGTACATTCAAAATGTTGAAAGAAAAAAACTGCCAACCAAGAGTACTTTCCCCAGCAAAACTGTCTTTCAGAAATGAGAAATAAAAACTTTCCCACACAAACAGAAGCTAAGAGAGTTCATCACCACTAGGCCTTCTTTATAGGTATTGCTAAAATTTTTATTAATGGAAACGAAAATCTGCTAATTAATAACATAAAACTTATGAAAGTACAAAACTTAATGGTATAAGTAGTATAGAGAAATAGTCAGAATACTCTAGGATTATCATAGTAGTGTGTAAAGTAATTTTATCTCTAGTATAAGTGTTTATCTCTAGTGTAATTTTATCTCTAGTATAAGGACAAAATTATTAATAACAATGTTACCTAAGATAAATGGTCAAGGGATACATATTATAACATAATGTAAATTCAGACATCAAAAACATAAAATGTTGGAGGGGATAGTAAAATGTAGCGTTATTTTATACAATCAAAGTTAAGTTGTTATCAGCTTGAAATACAATGTTAAGTATAAGATATTCTATGTAAGCCTCATGGTAACCAAAATCAACATTTATAAGAAACACAATACAAAATGAAAAAGATTCATAAGACATCACTAAAGAAAACTATCAAACCACAAAAAAAGACAGCAAAAGATGAAGAAAGAAACAGTCTCTACAAAACAATCAGAAAATAATTAACAAAATGGCAGTAGCAAGTCCTTACCTGTCAATAATTACCTTGATTGTAAATGGGTTAAGTTATTCAATAAAAAGAAATGAAGTTTGGAAGGCCTCTAGTAACATTATACTTCAAATTTCATTCAAGTTTACAGAACCCAACATATGTGCTGCACATAAACTCTCTGGCAGGATTTCTTTGATGTTACTAACCATTTTTTTATTTTTGGTACTGGTCACTTCTCTAAAACAGATCTCAGCACTGCATTTACCAACAGGACACCCTTTTACCACTTTGACCCTGAAGATTTCTTTTACAAATCTTAGTGTCCTCAAGGAGAATTAGGAGCCTTGACTTTGGAGTGGGAAAGGCTAAGGTTTGAATCCTACGTCTGCTGTCTCTGACCTTAAGCAAGTTATTTAAATTTCGAATCTGTTTTTCCTAAAATGACAATAGTATCTATTTCTGAGGATTGAGGTGGGTGTAAATGAGTTTGTAGAGCACACATAAAAAGTGTTCAATAAATGATAACTATTGACTTTAAGAATAATTTTATTACTATAAAATACTATCCCTTATACTATGAAGAAATTATTCAAGCTAGAATTTTTAGCTTTGCTAATTTACAAAATAATCAGATAGTACAATTTCAGCTAAATCCTGAGGTTATATGTAGTTCTAAAGTTTGGAATTAAAAAATTGAATTATGATAGGAAGTAACTTTTTAAATGGTTGGAGGAAATCTGCCTGTAATGAGATACAATTACTACTTATTACACTGAATCCAGATGCAGAGTCAGTGTGTCATTTTCTTCTTTGTACTGAAAATCTTTTTATTTTAAAGGTGAAGCAACACATAGTCTTTTATCCATAACTTAGTGTAGCACAATCTTAGAAAGCCTAAGGCAAATGTGACTTTTCTATGCATGTATGTGTATTTTGAAGAATGTGTAAAACTTATGCTAATGTTTGCACGCGACAACGATATTAGAAAAATAGTCATGTCCTTTTTTTGTAGCCACTTTTCTTCCATACAGGTCCATAAACCTGATGTTACTTACAGAAGAAGCTTTAGATCTAGAATTACTTCCTTTTGAGAACTGATATGCTATGTGATATAGTCTGTGTTTATAAGCGGAAGGCACCTCTTTGGGTAAACATTTCTTTCCACATAATTGAGCTTTTTTTTGCTTATGTCAGTGAGGGGTGATATTTATATTAATAAAACATTATACTTTTAGTGTTTGTAGCACTAATTTGGAATTCCTGATTAAATGTGCCATGAATGTTGTCTTAATTTTTTTTTAAAAAAAGACATAGAGTGAATGAATGGGATTTAAAAACAAAACCCAACTCTATGCTGCCTATAGGAGACTCACTTCAATTTTAAGGACACACATTGTCTGAAAGTAAAGGAATAGAAAAATGTTTTATATAAATGAAACCAAAAAAGAGCAGGGATAGCAATAGTTAAATTAAACAAAATAGATTTTAAGTCAAAAACTGTAAAAACGAGACCAAGAAGGACATTTTATAATGGTAAAGGGGTCAATTCATCAACAGGATAAAATGATTGCAAATATATATGCATGATGGCTGGGTGCAGTGGCTCATGCCTGTAATCCCAGCACTTTGGGAGGCCGAGGTAGGCAAATCGCTTAAGCTGAGGTCAGGAGTTTGAGACCAGCCTGGCAACATGGCAAAACCCCACCTCTACCAAAAATACAAACACGTGTATGGTGGCGCATGTGTGGTCCCAGATACTCAGAGATTCACTTGAGCCCAAGAGGCAGAGGTTGCAGTGAGCCAAGATCAAGCCACTGCACTCCATTCTCGGTGACAGAGTGAGCCCCCATCTCAAAAAAAAAAAAAAAAATATATATATATATATATATATATATATGCATGCAATAATGGCACACCTAAATATATAAAGCAAATATTTAAAAATCTGAAGGAGATATAGACTGCAATAGAATAATAGTGTAGGGGACTTCAATATACCACTTTTGGTAATGGACAAATCATGCAGAGAGAAAATAAACAAGTAAACATCGGACTTAAACAGCATTCAAGAACAAATGGATCTAACAGACATATATAGAGCATTCCATCTAACATCAACAGAATACACATTCTTCTCAAGTACATAAAACATTCTCCAGAATAGATCATATGTTAGGCCACAAGACAAGTCTTAGTAAACTTAAGAAGACTGAAGTCATATCAAGTACTTTTTTGACCACAATGGTATGAAACTAGAAATCAATAGCAGAAGAAATTTTAGAAAATTCACAAATACATGGAAATTAAACAACATGCTCCTGAATAACCAATAGGTCAATAAAGAAATTAAAATGGAAATTTAAAATTATCTTGAGACAAATGAAAATAGAAACACAACATACCAAAACTTATGGGTTTAGCAAAAGCAGTTCTAAGAAAAAAATTTAAAGCAATAAATGCCTACGTCAAAAGAGAAGAAAGATTGCAGATAAACAACTTAGTGCTATGCCTCAAGGAAATAGAAAAGGAAGTACAAAGTAAGCCTAATGTTAGCAAAAAGAAATAAATAATAAAAATCAGAGCAGAAATAAATGAAACAGGGACTCATAAAACAATATAAAAGAACAATGAAACTAAGAGTTGTTTTTTTTAAAGATTAGCAAAACTGACAAACCTTAACAAAAGCTAGACTAATCAAGAAAAAAGAGAAAAGTTCCAAGTAAACAAAATTTCAAGTGAAAGCAGAGACATTACAACTGACACCACAGAAATACAAAGGATCATAAATGACTGCTGTGAATAATTACATGCCAAAAATTGGATAACCTAAAAAAAGGATAAATCCCTAGACACATGCAATCTACCAAGACTGAATCATGAAGAAATAGGAAATCTGTACAGACTAATAACAAGTGAGATCAAATCAGTAATAACTTTCCCATCAAAGAAAAGCCCTTGACCTGGGAGTTTTACTGCTGAATTCCACCAAACATTTAAAGAAGAACTAATACTAATTCGCTATAAACTTTTCAAAAAACTGAAAAGGAGGGAACACTATGAAGCTCTTTTTATGAAGCCAGCATTACCCTGATTTCAAAGCCAGACAAGGACCTCCCAAGACAGGAAAACTACAGGTTAATACCATTGATGAAGAGATGCAAAAATTCTCAACAAAATACTGGCAAACTGAATTCAACAATACATTAAGAGGATCATTCACCATGATCATGTAGGATTTATCCCTGGAATGCAGAATGATTTATGGTTTGCAAATCAATAAATGTGATATACCACGTTGACGGAACAAAAAGAGAAAAACCATATGATCATCTCATTAGATCCATGAAAGTATTTGACAAAATTCAACTTTCATGATAAAAATATTCAACAAATTAGGTATAGAAGGAATGTACTTCAGCATAATGAAGACCATATATAATAAGTCCATAGCTAAGATTATACTCAATGATAAAAAAATCAAAACTCTTTCCTCTAAGACTCAGAGAAAGATAAGGATATCTAATCTACACTTCTATTCGATGTAGTATTGGAACTCCAACAAAACAAGAAAAAGAAATAAAAGGCATCCTAATAGGAAAGGAAGTAAAACTGTTGCTGTCTGCTGATGTTATGGTCTTATATATAGAAAACCCTACAAATTCCACCAAAAAAAACCTGTTAGAGATGATAATCTAAGTAAAGTTGCAAGATACTAGATCAACATACAAAAATCTGTAGCATTTCTCTTTACTTACAACAAACTTTCCAGAAAGGAACTTAAGAGAACAATCCCACTTAAAATAGCTACAAAAAATAATGAAATAAAATACTTAGGAATAAGTTTAATCAAGGAAGTGAAAGATATGTACACTGAAAACTATAAAACATTGATAAAAGAAATTGAAAAAGACACAAATAGATGAAAAACTATCTTTTGTTCTTGGATTAAAATAATTAATATTATCAAAATGTCGATACTACCCAAAGTGTTGTACATATTAAATGCAATTTCTATCAAAAGTTCAATGCCATTTTTTATACATGTGAAAAAAATTATAAAATTTATATGGAACCACAAAAAAATTCTGAATAGCTACAGCAATCATAAGCAACAAGAACAAAGCTGGAGTCATCATACTACCTGATTTCAAACTATACTAGAAAATGATAGTAATTAAAACAGCGTGGTACAGGCATAAAACTAGACACGTTGACCAATGGAACAAAATAGAGAACTCAGAAATGCATCCACAGTCAAATGATTTTTGACAAAGGTGCTAGAAATATACAATGGGAAAAAATAGTCTCCTCAAGAAATGATGTTGGGAAATTGGCTATCCACATGCAAAAGAATGAAATTAGACCTTTACCTCACACCATATACAAAAATCAATTCAAAGTAGATTAAAGACTTAAACATAAGACCTGAAACTGTAAAACTACTAGAAGAAAACATGGGAAAAGCTATATTTCATTTATTTAGGCAATATGTTTTTAGATTATTTAGATGTTTTAGACCCCAAAAACTCAGGCAACAAAAGCAAAAATAGGCAATTGGGATTACATCAAATAAAAAGCATCTACACAACAAAGGAAACAATTAACAGAACCCGCAGATTGGGAAAAAATACTGGCATGCCATACATCTGATAAGAGATTAATATTCAAAATAAGCGACTCAAACAACTCTAAAAAAGAAAATAAATATCCAATTAAGAAACGGGCAAGGAACTTGAATAGACATTTCTCAAAAGAAGATATGAATCACTAACAGATATATAAAAAGATACTTGATATCACTAATTATTAGAAAGATGCAAATTAAATCCATACTGAGATATCATCTCATACCTGTTAGAGTGGCTACTATTCAAAAGACAAAAGATAACAAGTGCTGACAAAGATGCAGTAAAACAAGAACCCTTGTACACTGTTGGTGGGAACGTAAATTAGGACAGCCATTATGGAAAACAGTAGAGAGGTTCCACAAAAATTAACAATAGAATACCGTATTATCCAGCAATCTCACTTCTGGGTATTTACTGGAAGGAACTGAAATCAATTGAAAATACTTGAAGTCAATTGAAATAAATTGTGTGTTGAAGAGATATCTGTACTACAGTGTTGATGCAGCACTATTCATAATAGCCAAGAGATGGAATCAACATAAATGACCATCAACAAATCAATGGGTAAAGAAAATGTGGTATATTGACACAATGGAATACTATTCAGCCTTTAAAAGGAAGGAAATCCTGTCATTTGTGACACTGATGAAACTGAAGGACATTATGTTAAATGAAATAAGCCATGCACAAGAAGATAAATACTGCATATTCTCACTTACATGAGGAATAATAAAACAATCTCACTGATAAGAGCAGTGAGCAGAATGGTAGTTACCAGAGGCTGGGGGTTGGGAAAATGGGGAGTTGATGGTCAAAGGTTACAAAGCCTCAGTTAAATAGGAGGAGTAAGTTTGTTTTGTTTTGTTTTGTTTTGTTTTGTTTTGTTTTGTTGTGTTTGGAGATCTATTACACAGTGTGGTGAATATAGCTAACAATTTATTACTATAATTTTCAATATTGCTAAGATAGTAAATTTCAAATGTTCTGATCACAGAAAATGTTAAATATTTGATGTGATGGATATGTTAGTTAGCTTGATTTAATCATTCTACCTTTTATTTTTAAATCATAACATCACTTTGTATCCCACAAATATATACAACTATAATCTGTCAATATGTAATAAAGTGAATCTAGAAAGGATATTAAGAAAATGTGGCACATATACACCATGGAATACTATGCAGCCATAAAAAAGGATGAGTTCATGTCCTTTGTAGGGACATGGATGAAGCTGGAAACCATCATTCTCAGCAAACTATCACAAGGACAAAAAACCAAACACCGCATGTTCTCACTCATAGGTGGGAATTGAACAATGAGAACACATGGACACAGGAAGGGGAACATCACACACTGGGGCCTGTTGTGGGGTGGGGGGAGGGGGGAGGGATAGCATTAGGAGATATACCTAATGTTAAATGACGAGTTAATGGGTACAGCACACCAACATGGCACATGTATACATATGTAACTAACCTGCACGTTGTGCACATGTACCCTAAATCTTAAAGTATAATTTAAAAAAAGGACATTATTGGTTAATTTGGAAAATTTATAAGTATAGGCTGTAACTTATTAATGTAAAATAGAATTGCATTAATATTAAATTTCCTTCGTATCTGTAGTTATGTAAGAAAATGTCCGTGTTACTAGGAAAGATAAGCTGACATGTTTAAGAGTGAAGTATTATGATGTTTGTAATTAAATCTCAAATGATTCAGCCACAGAGAAAAAGAGAACTTTTGTATATATACACACAGAGAAAATGATAAAGCAAATGTGCCAAAATATCACCAATTGGAGAATAGAGGTGAAAAAACTGTGTCTGTTCCCTGAGCTCTTATAACTTTTCTGTAGTTATGAATATTTTCCAAAATAAAAGGTCAAAGAAGGGAGGGGGAAAAGATTTTTCTTAGCTACTGAGGTCAAAGAAAAGAATGGGGGAAAATTCTTTGCCATGTGGGTAGCATAGCTCCATGTTTCGTGGAACACCTATCCCTTCCTGGGCTTCAATCTGCAGTGCCAGCTTTGACCTAATCACCACAGCATCCCAAGTTGCCCCTATAAATTTCTAAACAGAGAGAAAGGGAGTGAGCACCAATGCTTAGTATCTCTACACTCCATTGAGAACCATCACTGGAGGGGAACCCATGTAGTGATGTGCCCTTGGTTAGGGTTGGAAAAATGTATAGAGATTAAGAGCTAAATAGAGTTTATTTCGCTTCTCCAAGAGTGTCCTGTGGACCAGCAGTGCCAGCATCCCCTGGAGGCTTAATAGAGATGCAGAATCTTATACCTCAGGCCCTGGCTCTCTCCTCAACTTCTGAATCAGAATCTGTGTTTTAACAAGATGTGGGTGATGTCGAAGCACATTGAAACTTGAGCAGCACTGTTTTAGGCTGCAGATTTTAAGCTATGCTCCCTGGGCAAGGCCCTTGGGTGGGTGGAGGGTGGGGAGTGGGGCCACCCTCATTCCTGCTCCTAACACAAGACTCAGCTCCTTGGGCTTCCACTTCAATTTTGGGTTGAAGAAAAGGTTTGGCAGCTGAAAACATTTGAAAAACTACTCTCCAGCTCTCCTTTTACCAATGAGTAAATGGAGGCCCACAAAAGTGGCGTGGCTGGCTGACATGCACAGGACGCATTCCTGATGAAGTCAGGACTCAAATTCAGCACTCTCAATCCTGAGAGCAGTGCTGTTCCCACAGTGCTCTGGGTTTTTTTGCTCAGTGACATAATGTGAGGCTGGGTTAGGGATCTGCTGCTGTCACTGTGCACCACAGGCCCACAGCCTGGCCCCCACTGCCCTGCTGGAAGCCATCAGTGGATCCCAGCAGCAGGCAGATCTTATCTGTCTCTGTGACTTATTTCTTTGAGAAACATCTCTCTGGCCCTTACAACGTGCCAGGCATATAGTAAGTATTTTATAAATATTACCCAATTAAAACTCCATAACAAACCCATGAGTAACCAAGGCACAAAAATGTTATGCATCTGTGATAAGCACAAGTCGACCTCAGGGAATGAGTAGCAATGAGTAGCTGTAAGAAAGCCACTGATGCTTGGGACCTGATATCAGAATGTGATTTTGTTTCTCTTTGGTGCATTTGGGGAAAACAGGCAAACTCAACCAGTGAAACGAGAGTCCCTCCAGGTCTCCTCCGGGTGGGATGAAGGCTCTCTGCAGCCTTACTGACCCAGCCACCAGCCTGGGAGCAGAGCCTGCTTGGCCAGGGTGAGGCTGCTGGGGGAGTATGGGTGCAGAGGGGATGCTCCCAGCTGTTGGATGAGCAGGGCCTGGGCTGCCCTGTAGACTCCAGGAGGCTGCAGACTCACTCCCCGGCTGCAAACTGCAGCATAACCCCTTCCTCCATCTCACAGACTCTGGCCTTGCTTTGTTTTCCTTAGTGCTTGCTTGCAGGCTTCTGAACCATCCACAAGTACTTAGAATGTTAGCTCAGACTACTCAGGCTTTTGTAGGAGCCCCTGCCCCCCATCTCCCCAACACCAAAACAAAATAGTCGCTGCCCCCCTCATCCTCCATCCCTGCCCAAACTCTGTGCTGGTCAAAAGAAAAGAGTCTTCTTTCTAATCGAACCTGGAATTAGCTCCAGGATCTGAGACTCATTTGTTAAATTTCTTACAGTAATAAGCAAAGGCTGTCTGTGGATGTTATTCCCAATTGTTTTCACCTCCCAAGGGCTGTCTGAGACATTTTGCCTGCAAAGCCCTTTACAAATTATCGTCTGCCTCTTAGGCAAGCCATCTTTGTTAGCTCTGAGGCATTATTAATTTATTACTTAGCTTTGTGTAGTGACTTGTCTTAAAAAGGCCAGCAATTAATCACATCTCCCTGCTCCAAGAGTCTTGATTTAGCTTCCTTTCATGTTTTTACACATATGCATGAGTTTGAAATAGGGAAATGACCCTAAAAGATATGTGAAACCCCAAATTGGTCTTTTACAAGTTTATAAAGTGCAGCAAACCCAATTTAAATGGAAATATTTTCCTCTCATTTGAAAAGATTATGGCCTAAGCTTTATTTATGTGGATGCAGTTGTTCCTCAGCAGGTCTGGAAGCATGCCCCTGAGGAAGGCATGTCCACCAACCACTCAAGCTTAATCAGTAAATACGTGGATTTTGTTTTCCAGTTCCAGCTGAGTGATGAAAACAAACTAAACAAAAGCATGAAAGTGAAAGTGCAGATTGTACTCCTATTTCTTAAGTTACATTTTAAATGCTATATCCTTCGAACTGGCTCTAGATACATCAATGATCAATCCTGAGATTATTTAAATTAGCTGATTTTAACCCTCTGCAGACTGACTTAGCTGCTACTGCCTTGTAATTGGCTCCAAAAATCTGGCTGTTAGTCCACACTATGTTCACTCACTGTGCCTGTCTCAGATTCATGCAGTGAGCCCAAAGGTAGGAACTTCAATATTTTGGCTTCACTTCTCACAGAAATCTTGGTTGCCAGTGTTATGGGCTGAAATGTGTCTCCCCACAATTCATATGTTGAAGCCCTAACCCCCAGTACCTCAAAATGAGACTTTATTCTAAGATAGGGTCTTTACACAGGTAATTAAGTTTGAATAAGGTATTTAGTGTGGTCTTTAATCCAATTCAACTGTTGTCCTTATAAGAAGAGGAAATTCAGACACAGGCAGGTACAGAGAGGAGATGATGTGAGAACAGGGAAATGATGGCCATCTATAAGCCAAGGATAGAGGCCTCAGAAGAAATCAACGCTGCTGACACCTTGAACTCAGACTTCTCGCCTCCAGAACTGTAAGAAAATTTATTTCTGTTGTTTAAGTCACCCATGTGTGGTACTTTGTTATGGAAACCCTAAGACATCAATACACCCAGCTTTCATTCAGGTCTTACATTTACTTTTAAGCAAAAGAATATTACATTTGACTGTGGAGACTTATATATGCTTCTGGGATGAAGGAATAATCTGAGGAGAGAATTTGGAAACCATGGCAGACACAGAGCAAGCTCATAACCATCAGGTAGTCAGATTCTTCCCAATGACTTGGTAACTAGCTGGCTTGAAGTAAGACCCTTAAAATAAGCTTTGCCTCTTACAGGTCAAGAGGAGACAAGTTATGCCTGAGCTATAAAGACTTCTTTGAATTTCCTACTCAGAGAAACTGTGAGTCAGCATCACGAAAATGGGCTTCTGGTAGAAAAACTGTGGTTTGTTGAGTTGCATGAAAATATATGTGTATCTCAATCACTAGGTGTACCAGGATAATTAATGTGAGCTATCACAACCAACAATCTGGAAAACTTCAGTGCCTTTACATGGAAAAGTTTGAAGTGCCTTTGTACAAACTATGATGTGGTTCAGCAGGAGGTTTCCTCCAGGCAGTAACTCTGGGATCCAGGATCCCTCTATCTTGTGATGCTGCCATCTCAACATGGGGCTTTCAAGGTCACTGTGGCAGAGGGAGAGAGAGAGGACATGCACCAGCTTTTAACTACCTCAGTCCAGATGTGACACATAGGCTTATAGTCCATTGGTTTCAACTAACATCAGGGGATTTGGGGAAGTGTAGGGGAGCACACAGAATATTGGCAAACTCAGAGGCTCTCTGCCATATTCTTGAACTCTCATTATGCGCTAGATATAGTGCTAAGAACTTCACATATAGTGTCTCGCTTTGTCCTATTTTTACACAGGTAGAAACTGAGGCTTAGAGAAGTTAAATTGATCAAGGTCATAGGAATATAAATGCTAGAGCTCATATGGAGATTCAGACATACCTATTTCCCGAAGTCCATAGCCACTAGGCTTGATGGGACATGTTTTACTAAAAACCTCAAAGTTCTTATCTTTATTTTTATTTGCCATCTTAATTATTCTGAAAACTGAGGGGGAGTTAGGCAGTCCAAATCCTGAAATGTTTAAAATAATTGTCTCCACTGTCAAAATTTTCTGGGTGATTCAAAGATATAGAGACCCAGTTTAAGACTCACAGATTTTATAAGTGTATCATGTGCAGCATTTTACTTTTAATGTTAAAAGGTTCATTGAGGTAGTATTTTCAAACAGCATGCTTTGCTTTATTTTAAAAGGAAGATGCTAGGACATTTCACTCACTTTTGACTGATTGCCCCCAGAATGCCAAAGAAACAAATAATAAAGTAGGGTGGTGGTCCACAGCTTACTTGTTGAATTTTCATAGATAGCCCCAGAAAAAGAGACATTGCCCTCAAGATAACCTGCAACTCATAAACTAAGAAGAGCTGTGAAATGTCGAATGATCAAAAAAAGTCTGAAAAAAATACTGGAGTGGGGAAAGGTCACTGGCTCCAAACAAATCAGACCCACCCAAACATTGATCAGAGCCATGCCCTTGCCTCGTGGCTGAAGTTAATTCTCTCTGCCCATTTGTAATGTGATAAATTATCATTTTTAAGTCATTGGTCATCTTCAAAATATGCTCTTTCCTCTTGGCCCAAGACCTACTCACCCATGGGTTTTAAATACTCAATAACTTCAGTCACAGAGTGATTTTACTTTTTAAAACTTATTTTGAGGCACATTCATATGGCTCAAAACACACTTCTGACCTGCAAGCCTTGCCCGTGATTTGACCTTGTCTCCAAGAACCTTACTGGAAACAATAGGGCAACCTCAAATATTCAGACTAATTGTGTAGTGGGGGAGGATAGAAACCAGATGAAGTTAGTGGAAAGTCTGAGTTATGAAAGAGTATAATAAATACCATCCTGTTTTTTTTTCCAGCTATATTTAAAGTCAAAGTGTTGATAATAAGATGTCAAAGGATAGGTGCTTCCAAATATTAGTTCTTGCATTGGTGCCTATTAATGGTTTGGGGCCCTGTTTTCACTGGTTTGAAGCAAAATGAGAAAAAGAAGAGCAATGTGGTGATTTGTTCAAGGGGTTAAATTTATTTAGCTTTTATATTTTGGTATGAATTCATATTTCTTTTGTTTTTTAAGTTAGTCTTCAATAAAATGAGGGTGAAATACATTTTTAAAAATGGTTTACTTTCCAAAGTAAAAGCTTGACAACATTGTCAATCTCCTACATATATTTAAAATTACATTCATCTATAAAATTTAGCAATGTTGGGCTCACTTACTTAGAGACCTACCTTTTTAGTGAAAGAGTAATAGGTTGGTAATTATGTGTATATCAATGTCTTTTACAATGGAGGCAGTAGACAGTAGTGTTTAAGAGCTTGGAGAGTGGTGTTTCATAGGCTTTGTGATCAGCCAGCCCTCAATTCCAACCTTGGTTGAACTGCTTACAGTGGTGAGATCTTGGGCAAGTCATGTGACATCTCTAGCTCTCTCTTTCCTCATCTGTAAAATTGGAATAATAACAGCACTGTATCTATTACTTATAATTAGTATGAGAAGCCAATGAGAAAGCAGATGTGAAGCAATTAGCACGTAGTAAATTCTCAGTGAATGTTAACGATTATCAACATTATTAATGAATTAATGGCTGCCTGCACTCTTAGCAGTTGTTTGCATTGCCCTCTTCTTTACATTATAAATTTACCAGGCAAACCCCGTCTTCTGGAATGTTTCCAAAATGAATTGATCTGGCCCTGTTAAATGAGCCCAGTTTTTAGAATGTGAAGTATTGAGACTTTGGTGCCTGATTTTCCCTTCTCCAGAAGCAGAAGGAAGAAATCCCTCTCTGCTCCCTCCACCCCATCTTTGACCCTAAACCAAATGCCTTTGCTGTCATCTTGCTGCTTTGCAGATGTTGCTCAGGTTCTGCAGATCCTCAGGACAACCGAAGACAAGCAGTGGCCACAGCCCTCTGGGTTCTTCCCATAGCTACGCACAGATTCTTGAGGGAGCTTAGAGACGTCGTTTTCCGGCCATCATTTTATACATGAGGCAGCAAAAGTCAAGACAATTGAAGCAACAGGTAGCAATGAAGTTAAGGAGGAAAACAGTCAAAGCTGAATGAATGCTGAAGTCATTACGGTCATGCGCTGCATAATGAGGTCTTGGTCAAAAACAAACCCCATATATGACAAAGTTTCTCCAGTAAGTTGAGGTTAATTTATTCTTGAAGAAAGAAAATCCTTTCTATAAGTTTAGTGTACAGTGTTTATAACTTCTACAGTAGTGTATGATAATGGCCTTCACATTCACTCACCACTTACTCACTGACTCACCCAGAGCAACTTCCAGTCCTGCAAGCTTCATTCATGGTAAATGCCCTATACCGGCCTACCATTTAAAAATCTTTATACCAAATTTTTACTGTGCCTTTTCTATGTTTAGATGCATAAATACCATTGTGTTACAATTGCCTACAGTATTCAGTACCATAACATGCTGTACAGGTTGACAGCCTGGGAGCAAGAGGCTGTTCCATATAGCCTGGGTATGTAGTAGGCTATATACCACCTAGGTTTGTGTCAGTATGCTCTATGTTGCTCGCACAGTGATGAAATCACCTGAAGACATGTTTCTCAGAACATACCCCTTCGTTAGGTGACGCATGACTATATTTTTTCACTTTTTCACTTCCAAATAACAGCAAGCTACGTGACCATAAAAACTTCATTCATGGGCCAAAGCCGTTTGCACATGTATGCACTGGTCCATCACCAAACATGGAGGAAGAGTTAAACTTGGGGATCCAGTTAAATTTTGTTCAGCATTCAGTACCATCTACCACACTAAGCGCCCTCCCTGCCTCTCTTTTGACATCTTTTTCTCCCCGCTCTCAATCACCCAGTGCCCTCAGATCACCCCATTCCAGCACCTTGTTACCTGTTCTCATAGCACCTTGTTCTTCTCTTTCTCAGACACTGTCATAGTTCAAATTTTATTTCTCTCCTACTAGACTCCCATCTCTCAGAGGGGCTGGCTCTGCTTTTGCTCAACACTGTATGCCAGTTTTTGGCATGATGTCTGGAACAACACAGACCTTCAATAAACATTTGTGGAATAAATGAATGGATGGGTGGATGGACAGATGAATGGATGGATGAGGTACATACACTACTATTGTCATCCCATGGAATTGTAGCATTAGAGTCTTTTGCTATTTTTCCACCATCAAAATTCATTGGTCTTATTTTCCATGTATGCTTCTCCCTGCTTTCTGAGTCTTTTTAATTTATTAAGCATATTTAAATAAATACTCTCCCAATTAACAATAGGAGACCTTGTCAAACAAAACGCCTGAGATTTAACTCTAATGGTAAGACTCCAGGCCTTACGGACCTGTGAAAAAATAATAGGTTGAGTCAGGAAGTCCCTTTGATAACTCCTCAATTCAGCAATGTATAAACCACTCAAGTAAATCAGGGAGACACTGTACTGAATACTTAAGAGCAAGGCTTCTGGAATCAGAGGTATCTGTGCAACATTGGGCACATTGTTTAAGGTACCTTCATTTAATGTTTTGACAATTTTGATATATAAAAAGTTAAATGTGGGCTGCTGTGAGGTTTATGAATTAAGAAGAAGAAGCCTCTGATCCTCATTCCCAGTCCCCAGCTCTCTTCGCATTTTAGAATGATAAAGATAAACACTGTAAAATAGCAGATTATTTTTCCCATTCTAGTCACTGGAGAGTGTTTATTTAATGTACCTTACCTCAGTTTCCTGATCTGTAAAGCAGAGGTGATACTAGCCAACTCACAGGGTTACTGTGAGAATTAAATAAGATAATCCATCCAGAACACTTAGAGTAGTACCTGGCCTGCCTCAATCAATATTAGCTATTGGTTATGCTAACTCGTGCCTTGTTTTTTCCATTCTAAACCCCATTACTAAGTGATCATATGCTTCATTTATCAAATCTAAGCATCTTTCTCAAAATTCAAGCCCAGGTTTGGCTTGCCACCATTCAGAAAGCTCACAAGACTTAACTTTTGCTTGCAGGCCTGTTCCCAAAGCAGCATTCCAGGTGCTCTGGTGGACAAGATGATGTCCCCGCTGGAGTGGTGACTTTGAAGAAGGCAACCTCGATGCTGAAGTGTAAATTCTGAAATACATGTTTTTTTAAAGAAAATTAGCTGTGAAAAGGAGGTGGACTTTGCTGAGAGGAGAGCCCACCTAGGAAGCCCAGATGCCTAGCAGATGAGGGACTTGCAGACCCCGTCTTCTTTTGGGATTTTGGGCAAGGAGGTCTATTCCTAAGGCAACACTAGCATTGCACCCACTTATTGGCCTCAGTGTAACCAACAATCTGTATCATTGCCTCTGCCCCTGCTAATAAGTCTCTCTCACAAGCATCTTTCCAATACTCTATTTTAGACTATGTTTATCCTTATGACAAAACGCACATCTCATTATTAATTGAGGCTCAGAGAGGACGAGCAGCTGTTGTTTCTCACTTTGCTTTACAAAACTTCAAAAGCCTCCATTAAACTCCCTGGACAAAAGTGTTCAAGGGGCCACGGCTCTCATGTCACTTAGCCCCATTTCCCCTAAAGGCTTTGTTTATGTGGAAACTGGAGAAAAAGGGAGAGCAGCAAAAAAGAAGGCAAAATTTGAGAAACCAGACACTGATGCTGTGAGCAGAAGCCAACAGAACTGTGGAATGGTATCTCCCACCCTTTAACTGAAGCCTGGGTGCCATTGAAAAGCTAGAGAGGACTTGCAACAAACTGGTGGGCCTGGGGGGTGGGAGGAGGTAGAATGTGGCCCAAACCCCAAACTTCCCAGGAAAATTATCTTGGACCTTTTCAAAAAAAGTTCTGCTTCTTGGAAAGCAGCTCACATTAAATCAGAGCCATGGGCATGAACTGCAGGAATGGCTTCTTTTCTAAGCTGTGTAGAAATATGTGACCAACTTAACTTCAGCTGAGGCCAGCTTGAGAAACAGATCACATTATAGCAGGCTCCAGGCTGCCCACACTGAGAAAGACTCAGGAAAACGTTGTGGAGTGAGTCTGTTGCAAAAATGTGAAGAAGGTGAGATTGGTCTTTCCCTCCTCTCCCATTTTTGGCATTTTTCCTATTTTTGACCAGCTTCCCTGCTCACTCTTCTGAATTTCTTCCATCATAGGTTTGACCAGCTGCTTGAAAATCAAACTGTCTTTTGGTCCTTGCACCTGGTAGGCACTTGGTAAATATTGGTTGAGTGAATAAACAATTTTCTACTGAGAATCCTGATGATTTGTAAAAACCCATTTATTCTTTCCAAACCTTTTTGATCTTGATGACCTCATATTATCCTCAAGACACCTGTCTCATGTTTGCCACCACTGGGAACTAGACATGAAGGGCATTAGTATTACCATTTATCGGTGAGATAAATTGAGGTGTGTTTGGTCAGGGTCACGTGGAAAGTATTTGGAGAAGCAGGCTCAGCATCAGGGCTCCTGGCTTGTTTCTCAATGCCCTTTCCACACAGCCATGATGCCTCACTCTCAGGATAGGAGCTGACATTTATTGAGCGTGTACTATATGCCAGACACCATGCTAAGAGCTATACATGTGTTATCTCCTATATCACAACCATCTTCTGATGTGACTATTATTATACCCATTTTACAGAGAAGGAAAATAAGGTACAGAGAGAGGGGGTTAAAGTAAGGAGAGAGGGAAAGACATGTAGCTCAGAAATGGTGCAGCCAGGGTTTGGCCCAGGATGTCTGGCACAAATCTATGCACTTAACCACTATCAAATTACCGTCTTGAGACAAAAGTGATATAATATTACCTGGCCAAAAAAAAATTTTTTTAAAAAGAAAATCAGAGAAAGAGGGAATGTTTACTCCAAAAGGATGGCCCCCTAAGGGAGAACTCTTGGGTATTTGAGGGCTAAGGGAGGCATCTGGGGGTAAATAGTACTCTATGGAATCTTCTCTGCTCCAGAGTCCTCAGTCTTTGAAATCTATGTGATTGGGACAAATTTTGTAAGGAACACTCAAATGTATTCCAGTTTACTGAAAATTGTGGCCTGTTGCCCTGGTTTTTACCGATCCTGTCTAATCTCTTGCCTAAGGGGGTCAACTGTAATAAATAATCTATTTTTATTCAAAGGTCCAGTGGATTTCAATAGTTGTTTCCAAATCATGTCTGCTCTCATTTGGCCCTGTTTTGATTACAATAGAGAGGATGATATTGATTTTTTAATTCATATTTCCTCTCTATTGATACATTTCCAAGACTCACCTACAAATAAAAGAGCAATATTCTCACTATGAGTAATTAAAGGATTATAATCAGTTTCCCTCATAATATTATACATGTAATGCTTCTTATTGTTAAAAGTGCATTTAGAGTGGACATAGTTTTAATAATTTTTAAAAAGGGAAAAATATTTCCTATATGTCAGTATTTTTAAGGTAACAAATGAAAGAAACTCGAATAAAACCACCACAGTAATGAAGAAAATGTATTAGTTCATATGACTAGGAAACTCAGGAGTTGAGTGGGCCTGAGAAACTCCTAAGACTCAATGATGTCATTTGCCCCCTCTCTCCCTCTTTCATTCTCTGTCCCCACCATCTGTTTCTGCTTCTCTGGCATTTGAGCCTCAGTTTCTTCCATTAAGTTTGAATCTCTGCCACGGGCAGGGGCAGAGGGAAGAGAAGCATGGCCTCAAACAGTTTCAAGCATAATCACTGCTAATGAAAGTTCCCAGAGGAAACCAAGTGTCCTAGTCTGTTTGCGTTGTCATAAAGGAATACATAAAACTGGGTAATTTATAAAGAAAAGAGGCTTATTTGGCTCACCATTCTGTGGGCTGTATATGGAGCATAAAGCCAGCATCTGCATCTGGTGAGGGCCTCAGGAAGCTTACAGTCCTGGCAGAAGCTAAAGGGGGCAGCTTGTCACATGATGAGAGAGGGAGCAAGAGACAGAGGAGAAGGTGCCAAGCTCCTTTTAAACAAGCAGCTCTTGTGTGAACTAATAGAGCAGGAACTCACTTATAACCAAAGAAATGGTGCTAAGCCATTCATGGGGGATCTGCCCCCATGATCAAACACCTTCCACCAGGCCCTATCTCTAATATTAGGGATCACATTTTAACATGCAATTTGGAGGGAACAAACATCCAAACCATACCACTGGGGTTTTCTCACTAAGCATAAAAATAAATTATCCCAAGGAAGGATCTACTTGGTTTCCATGGTTTAAGTGTTTAATGCTTGGCCAATCATCATGGTCACTGGGGAGGATTTCAATTGGCCAGGCATAAAACACAGGCTCACTCCTGTAGTCAAGGGGTGAGCACTGTGATTAACAGCCCTTCTAGAATGATGGGCAGTGAGAATAGGCACAGTATCCCGAAGAGAGTTGGAAGCTGTAAGGAGAAACTGTCTAGTGTCATATGGGGCATTCTGTGGCCTTTGCAGAAACATAAGCATCATGTCAGGTCATCTCTAATGCAGCCTTAATCATCTGAGCAAAATAGGAGATTTTGGCTAGAATCCGAATTCATGTTCTACTCTCCCAATTATACACCCCAAAAACTCACACACACACACACGCACGCACAAACACACACACACACCCCTTCCTATATACTTAGTGAGTGCCTACAATATATTAGAAAGATGCACAATGTTATGTTTCATGAAGCACAGACTCTACAAGTTACCAAGTGTGGGATTGCTATGGCTTGAATGTCCTCTTCATGTTGAAATTAATTGCCATTGTGATTATTTAAGAGGTGGGACTTAAATAATCCCACCTCTTAAAAGGTGGGACTGTTAAGAGGTGATTGGGCCTTGAGAGCTCTACCCTTATTAATGGATTAATGTCAATGTTGCAGGAGTGGGTTTATTATTTTGAGGGTCAGTTTTTATAAAAGCAAGTTCAGCCTTCTCTTGCTCTTGTGGGTTCTCTTGCCCTTCTACCTTCTGCTGTGGGATGATGCAGCAAGAAGGCCCTTGCCAGATGCCAGCAGCTTGGTATTGGACTTTCCGGCCTCCAGAACTGTGAGAAATAAGTTTCTTTTCTTTATAAATTACCAAATCTGTGGTGTTCTGTTACAGCAGCACAATATGGACTAAGACAGTGACCTTGAACAAGTTACTCTTCCTCTTCTTACTTCACTTTCCTCATCTCTAATGGGAATAATGGTATTCTGTACCTCATAAGATTTTTGAGAGGATACATGTGTTCATATATGTAAAGTAGTCAGTATAGTCCCTGGCACACAGCAAATACTAAATAGGTGTTTATTGTTATTAGCATTCATATTAGTATTGTGTGACCTTG
Source organism: Homo sapiens (assembly GCF_000001405.40). NCBI lineage: Eukaryota > Metazoa > Chordata > Mammalia > Primates > Hominidae > Homo > Homo sapiens. Next base: position 53,775,349 of record NC_000004.12, read on the forward strand.
GACAGGTTGTATCACATCTTCAGGTTGTACCTCTATAAAATGGGAACAATATACCCATTTCAAAGTGTGAAGTTTAGGTTAAAATTGCACATATAGAGCACGAAGTATATTGCAAATGAATAAGACTGGCCATTATAAAGTGGAAAATGTAATTGCTTTACAACTCCTGACCCCATTCCTGGGCCCTTACCATGGAGAGAGAGAAAAAAGATCTTGTGGTAGACCACAACCTTGCAGATGATTCCCTTCCCAGCGAATGTAATCCAGTGTTACTCCTGAATGTCCAGTCTCTACAAGTGCCCAATTGGTCTGTTCCTGTCTACAAATAGTTCCAACATTTTATCTAAGTAAATTAGCAAAACTCATGTACTTCTGATGGAAAGAAAAGACAATTTCTCACCATTTCGACGATATTTGACTCTTCTCTTTTCTTGCTTCATATTTCCTATTCCAATCCATAGAACCTTGTTTGAAATTTTAGCCTTAAAATTGACTAATAAATACTGCCTAAATCACAGGCCACAAAAACTGGTGACAAGTTAAGCATATGATAACAATTAAGATGGTACCCAAGCTAATCTTTAACATTTTAAAGTTTCTTTAAGAGTGAATTCACAGCTGTCTCCTGCATACACCTTTGTCTTAAATAATTTCTGGTAGAATTTTATCACTTTGTCATCTTTCTGATGTCAAATTACTCTTAAATCTCTTTTCCCAGAAACAGAATCTGGCTTTAAGTTCTTAGAGTCGGAAAGTAGGCCAAATAATTGGATAAAGCAAGACCCTGGGCCACTTTGCAAAGTTTTGCCTGAGCCAACATTATTTCCTTATGGAGCTTTTAAAACTTAAACACCTATATATTAGTAACAATGCTAGGCAGTAGACGGGACTCTTGGACTAGAAAGCGAAATGTTGGATATAGGCTTTTGTTTTGTTTTGTTTTGTTTTGTTTAAACAGCTTTATTGTGGTGTACCTGGCATATAATCAACTGTACACATTGAAAGGGTCAACTTTGCTAAGTTTTTATGGATTACATATACCTGTGAAATCACCACCACAATAAACAAAAAGAACACACAAATCACCCTCTAGAGGTTCTTTATGGCATTGTGATTTCTCTTTTCTCTACTCCTAAAATGTTATCAACTCTTTCCAAGTTAAAAAAAAAAAAAAACAAACAAACACTATTTCTTTATAATGAGAAGCAAAGATTTTAATACGTATTTGGGAAAGCTAGCGAGAATCTTAGAGTGGGGTGATAACTCTTTCACAAAACTGACTTCTAGATCTGGGAGAGGAATGATTATTCACCCCATTTTGTCAAGTGTCTGCTTTCCTAGCTGAAGCTCTGCCAACTATGAAAAGATGTTTGGGGCCAGGCATGGTGGCTCACACCTATAATCCCAACACTTTGGGAGGCCGAGGCAGGCAGATTACCTGAGGTCAGGAGTTCAAGACCAGCTTGGCCAACATGATGAAACTCTGTCTCTACTAAAAAATACAAAAATTAGCTGGGTGTGGTGGTGAGTGCCTGTAATTCCAGCTACTCGGGAGGCTAAGGCAGGAGAATTGCCTGAACCTGGGAGGCGGAGATTGCAGTGAGCCGAGATCGTGCCGTTGCACTCCAGCCTGGGCAGCAAGTGAGACTCCATCTCAAAAAAAAAAAAAAAAGAAGAAAGAAAAAAGAAAGAAAAAGAAAGAAGAAAGGACGTTTGGGGGGATGAATGACCTTGAAGCATTTCTGAACACTCCATAAACTAGGCTCATCCCACCTGATGGGTCTTTTTGAGGTCATATTATAAACAAATATGGGGGGTCATATTATAAACAAATATTTAAGAAGCAAAGTACATTGACTCTCGGTGACCTTTTTGGAGTCACAGAAAGTCACCAATGAGGTGGAGGGCTGTGAAGACAAAGTCCCCTGACTTCTGAAGCAGAATTTAACAAGATTTAACAGTCCCAGATAAAGGTCAAGACATGTACTTAGAAACTAAAAGAACAAAAAGATGATAAGACCAAAGGAAGCGTTCATCCTTTTCTGAGTCACTGCAGCTTCTGAGCTGGAGCCTCCTGTGAAGGACTGAAGAATTATGAAATGTTTTGGCTCAGAAGGAGGAAGGAGTGTTCACCAGATTGTCTTGCAATGTGCAAGGCAGGAAATTATCCATCAGGTGGGAGAGTATAACACTGCAATTCCATTCACATCAGACTCCATTAGAAAAACGAGGGGTCTAGGTGGAAAAATGAAACAAAACAAGATGAAATAAAATGAAATTGAATGAGATGAACTGAGGTTGGAGTGAGGGTTTCAGGAAGCTAGAAGCATTTGAAAATATGTCAATTCCATTTACTCCTGGACCTTAGAAATATTGGTTTTCTATTATTCCATCCCAGAGCTCTGATTCACATCTCTTAAATTCCTTGGAAGTCTAAGAGTGAGCTTAAGAGGATGGGGAAAGAGAGCACCCATTGATCAGGGGGCAGGACATAATATGTAATTTTCAAAATAAGTTCAATATGACTGAATCGAAATAAAATGCAGCTTTGTCAGTCAGACATGAAAGGACTTGAATCAGCACCAAGTGTCTTTCCCCGAAAAGCATAGAGATACCAAAAGGGAATCTTATAAAGAAGTTTTAAAATTCAGAAGGAGATTGGAAGTGGCAGTCTTAAAACATACACAAGATAGGGTCTGTAGACAAACTGGGCTTATTGAACTCTTTTTGTCTTCTCTTTTATTTTTCCTCTTTTTTCATAAAAGCTGATAAATATCTGTGTGCAAAGACAGTGGGGAATTCAAGAAACATTTTCTATCTAAAATAAACAGAAATCTTGCCTACTGCATGTGAAAAGCCTTTTTTCCTTAACATTGATATAGTGAGCCAGCCTTAGTTCAGCCTCAGAATTATTTGTCTAGGCATAAAGATGAAAAGCCTCCTTTTTGAGCAAGCTTGCTTATCACTGCTCAGAGACTCTCTCAAACTCAGGAGGAGCCAAGCACAGATCCCCGTCATTAAATCAGAATCCTCTCTGTGCAGAGCAAATGGATGTTTCAGTTCTGTCTTCCTGAGGGATTTGTAGAAGCATCCCAGAAAGGAGCAGAAGTACTATTCCTTTTCCCAGAAGAGGGAGAGAGAGATGCTAGAGAAAAGCCTCCATTAACCTAGGCAGTTTAACATTCCTTTTCTTTCTTTTTTATCGTTATATTTCCCATTTAAGTTCATTTGTGATAAACTAGAAACTACAAATGGGCAAAAAAGAAAATCACTGTTAACATTTCTTGAATATTCCTCAAAGCCTTTATATATAAAACCAAATGGGAGATTACACTAACCTCTTATTTATATTTTAAATTTTCTCACTTAATGATGCATGCAATGAAAGTGTCATAATATATTTAACTAATTCTCAATTGGACAGCTTGGTTATTTCCAGTATTTTCTTTTCTTTCTTTCTTTTTTTTTTTCTTGAGACAGAGTCTCATTCTGTCACCCAGGCTGGAGTGCAGTGGTGCGATCTTGGCTTACTGCAACCTCCGCCTCCCAGATTCAAGTGATTCCCCTGCCTCAGCTTCCCGAGTAGTTGGGACTACAGGCATGTGCCATCACACTCGGTTAATTTTTTGTATTTTTAGTAGAGACGAGGTTTCCCCATGTTGGCCACACTGGTCTTAAACTCCTGACCTCAATTGATCCGCCTGCCTCAGCCTCCCAAAGTGCTAGAATTACAGGCATGAGCCACCATGCCAAGCCTTATTTCCAGTATTTTCTTATCAAAAACTCCCCGTAGCTAAATATTTCCTAACTTATTTCTCTAGGATAAATTTTTAGAGGGGTTGAGTCAAAGATATGTATGTTATGTGGCTTCTTAGAATGATTGTTGCCAAATTACAACTTTCTCAACATTTAACCCCCACTCTAAGTTTTATCAGTCTATACTCCCTTCTCTTATACTCATGACTAACACTGGGTATTGTCTGTCTTTTGCTAATTCAGTATAGCAAAAGTTGTGTCTCGTTGTTTTAATTTTGTTTCTTTAATTACTAGTGAGGTCAAATAATTTTTCATATATGTATTGTCCATTTCTTTTTCTTTTATTAATTTGCTATTCATGCTTTTATCCCATTTTTCTGTTGTGGTATTCATCTATTTCTTTGTAAGAACCTTTTATGTATAAAATATATTCTTTTTAAAATAAATTTTTATTTTTAATTATTATGGGTACATCATAGTTATACATATTTATAGGGTGCATGTGATCTTTTGATACAAGCATACAGTGTATAATGATCAAATCAGGGTAATTGGGCTATCCATTGCCTCAAGCATTTAGGGAGAACAGTATGGAGGTTACTCAAAAACTAAAAACAGAACTACTGTATGATCCAGCAATCCCACAGCAATACACACCAAAAGGAAGAAATCAGTATATCGAAGAGATAAAAGGTATTCTTTATCAGATTTTAATACGTTATATAGTTCTTCAATTTTTGTCATTTTCCCTTTAACTTTTGAATTGTGCTTTTGCCATATGCATTCAAATTATTTTTTCAGATTAAAAAAATGGTTTCTGACCTTGTAAACATGCTTACAAAGTTCTCCACTTATCTCTGCTCTCCACGAAGAGATGGTAGCTTTTAAACAAGCCTATGAACAATGCTTTGTCAAACTTCCATGACTATTCTTGATACACTTTTGAACTAAAAGAGCAGAGGCAGAAAATAGAAGCAGTAAAGCTTAAATTACAATGGAACAACATCCTATATGTTTTTGCTTACTAAGATTGACTTGCTTTTGCTAATTTGTCACAGATTATGACAAGTCCAGTGAAGCCGCCAAATATACACTGATGCTGACATGCATGCTTATTCTTCTTCATTTCAATGCTCAGATTCATTTGGATCCCTGTTTCCTTTGGGAGAGCTCTGAACAGACAAACTCTCCTGACTTCAAGCTCCTTTCTCTGAGCTTCCCTGGGCATCTTGGATGCTTAATGCAGTTTATTTAACTAGAGTGGCTATAAAGCAGAGCTGAGGCAAGAACTTCTTTGTTAACAGAGTGTTTCTCAGAGAATTGTTTGGGATGCAACAGTCATGGATCCATAGCGGGTGGTGGAGGTATATTACCTCAACTCAGGATCATCATCTTTTCACAGGCTAAAAGTCGTGGAACGATTGGCTTCTCTCAATTTCATAGTGGAGCATGCACTTTGCACAAGAGAAGTCCATTTTACCCAAATGGGATTATTTCCTATAGCAAGATAATAGCCAATAGGAAAACCTCGCCAATGTTAGAAATCCACTGTACTAGACATAAGTCTCAGTGTCTGGAGTATATTTCAGTTGTTTGTGCCTGCCCAGCACCCATTTAACCTTTTTGCTTTGATGGAACTTTGATATTCCTTCAGGAAATCTTACCATCCTCACTTTCCAAATATATAATTCCAAAACAGAGAGTGGAGCCCATCCCCTGAAGCTAGCACAGACATAGGAGCCAGACCTAGCCAATCAGAGCCATCCATTCACTATGGCTCCAGTGATTGGTTCAAAAACGGACACACGGCCCAAACTAAACCAATAAAACTCAATACCTAGACTTTCACATTCTTGGAAAAGAAATACATCCTTTCCACTGAAGATACCAAGCTGATGAGTTGAGAGCCTGGGACATTTGGTTACAACCTTGCTCCATCCTGGCTGAGCATGACTGAATGAAAGCAGCCTAGAAAGTCTTCCAAGAAACAGCACATGGCTTAGTCCTGATGACAATAGTGACTCCCTAGACTGACTCATGCCTGAAATTGGTATCCCCTAAAACTATTTCCAGAGCCAATAAACTCCCTTTTCTGCGTAATTCCATGTGAGATGAATTTTTACCACCTGAGTAATATTGTTTTAAATGACAGCTTCTTATTAGCTCTGAACACCTTAGCAATAATGTCAAGAGTGGAAGGAGTACTGGTTTGGGAGTCTGGGTTGTAGTCCTACCTCCACTCACTACTTTCACATCCTTGGGCTAATCGCTTTATCTGTGTGGGCTCACTTTTCTCATCTGTGAAAGAGGTTATTGGAAGAGAGGAATTCTAAATGTCCCTTTGAAGGCCATAAGTCTTGTCTCTGTGATAACATTGTATCAACACTTCAAGTTAATCTGAGGTTCTGGCTCCAACTGCCACCTCCACAACCCAGTGACAAACAACACTGATTTATCTTAAAAGTTGAAAACTAAAAGGTCCATAATATACTTTTAGAAACTAGAAGATAGAACAAAAACTCTGTAAAACATTGCTAGGATGTAGATTTCTCCAGAAGTGTATTAATGAGGTGAGTAATATATTAATACATTAACTATGGTAACTATTGTATAGATTAGTCATAAATATTTTGTTTTAAAAAGGTCTGCCACTCCAGTTTTGCTGAGCTAAAGTAAACGAAGATCCGAGTTATGTCAACAGATGACACAAGTGTTCAGCAGTGAGGCTGTTTGTTCTGAGGAGGGAAACAGGAAGGGAAGCTGGTCCCACTCCCAGTTCTTCTTCATCAGACCTCCGTTATTTATTTGATGAATTAGCAATCCTCACAACTTCAGACACGATCACAAAATGATATTTTGGAAATGCTACTCGGACTGTATAATTCTTCCAACCCTTCGTTGATTCCCAAGTGCCTTCGGGACAAAGTGCAAACCCGTTGGCGTGGCACATGAGCCCTCTGTTATGTGAGCCTGGCTCTAATTCCACATCCCAGTGTCATCTCCTCCCACTCCTCTTTATGTGCCTTACCTAAACTAAGTAAAGAGGTTAATGCATAGAAAATGCTAAACATCTGGCATAATTTCTGGCATTTAGTAAAGGCTTATTATACATGTTGGCTGTCATTATGGCACACTAGTTATACTCACAGTTCCCTAAAGGTGCAGTACTGGTCCTGGATCTGTTTGCCCTGAATCCATCCTCCCTCTTTGCCTGCTGTGTTTTAGTTCACGATGGCTGATCCTTGCAGGCTGCAGTTCACAGGCTCTTGTGTCTCAGACTTCCAGCTGGTTGGGTTAGGCCAGGAAGACACACTGGCAAAAAATGGAGGGTAGAAAGGAGGGAGAAGCCAGGGTATTTCTCTCCTTGTTTCCTTGGGTGATTTCTGCAGCAGTGACTGTCTTCTCTGTAGTTCCAGCTCTTGCCAAAACAGGTCCACTGTGGTTCAGCTTCTGGTTCCTTCTTTTTTCCTTTAGCAGAGTCGGTAGTGGCTTCCTGCTTCTTGATGCTAATCTCTGCATTGCCTCATCACTCGTGTTAACTCTCAGCAGCTCTCTCTACCATATAGCCAATCCCCTGCTTTCCATTCCCTGTGCTGTACATCCTTAAAGAGGTGCCTGTTTTCCTGGAGACACCCTGACTGGTTTGCATAGCACACTCTCATACCTTGGACCTTTGGCTTTTGCCTTATTTCAGCCTCCTCATCCTTAAGACCAACTCCTAGCCATCCTTTCTTCTACCATCTTTGTTCTACCACCATCTCCTCTTGGAAGCTGTCTCAGTTTCTCCACCTGCCACTTCCTGAAGCGTGAGTTGGGTATTCCTCTTCTAAACGCCTCTCTCCTAACAAGTGGTTTGTTCTTGGAAAACTCCAGTACAGATTTAATTTTCTTAAGAGCAAGTGCACTGTCTTACACAACATGGTATCTCAAAACCATCCTATGGAAGATGTTTTCTGAAAGAACGACTAAATGCATAATTCAATAAACACTTTTCAAATCCAGATAAAAATCAATGCAAACTGTCCTTGTGGCAGACAAGGGACAGTTTACAATGATTCACTCAATATGATTATTGAGTTACTCATTCAATAATGATATCCACCCCTGCCTTTTTTTTTTTTTTTTTTTTTTTTTTTGGCCAATAGAGCTCTAGTTCTGTTTGGAACATCAATGTGCCCAGCTCTGAGAAGTACTTGTTTTCCCAGCCTCCCTTGCAGCTCAAGGTGGCCATGTGACAGTGCTGTTGATGGAACAAGTGGAAGACTGCAGGGGAGGATTCCAGGAGGGAAAAAGCCACTCTCTCTTTCCACCCTGGTTTTTCTGTGCCTTGAATGTTCATGTGATATCTGGAGCTATTGCAGCTAATATGAAACTATGAGACAATAAGTGTTGGGGGAAATCTGACACATTAAGATAGCAAAGCAAAAGATAGAAAGAGTATGGTTCTCTTATGGCCTCTTTATCTCTTTTTTCTTCTTCTTACGGTCTCTTATTGTTTCTTTATCTCTCTCTCTCTCTTTTTTTTTTCTTTTTGACAGGGTATTGCTCTGTCACCCCAGCTAGAGTGCAGTGGTGCAATCCTGGCTCACTACAGCCTCAATCTCCTGAGCTCCAGTGATCCATCTCAGCTTCCTGAGCAGCTGGTACTACAGGCTCATTTTGCCATGCCCAGCTAATTTTTATTATTTGAAGATGGGGTTCTGCCATGTTTCCCAGGCTGGTCTCAAACCCCTGGGCTCAAGCAGTCCTCTCTTCTTGGCCTGCCAAAGTGCTGGGATTACAGGTGTGAGCCACTGCACCTGTACTGGGTTCACTGGGTTTCTTGATATGAGAGAAAAATAAACTCTTCCCTTCAATTCATTGTTTTTGATTTTTGTCACTTACAGCCAAGTACATTTCTAACAGATAGGATATGCCATTTAGGGATAATCTATTGCTGTTCTTTTTGGTCATTCCAGTAAAGGATGACAGAGCCACAACTTTATTATCTAGTACCTGTGACTAATTTGAGGAGCCCAAAGAAAATAATAGGATGATGAGCATGATGGTTAATTTTACGTGTCAACTTAGCTAAGCCGTAGTAGTACCCAGGTATTTGATCAAACACCAGTCTAGATGTTGTTGCTATAAAAATAATTTTAGATGAGATTGACATTTAAATTAGTAGGCTTCAGGTAAGGCAGATCCATAATATGGGTGAGCCTCATCCAATCAGTTGAAGACTTTATGAGAAAAAGACTGGCATCCCCGAGAAAGAGAATTCTGCTTGCAGGCTGACTCTGGACTCAAGCTGCAATAGCAACTCTTTCCTGGGTTTCCAGCCTGCTGGCCTGACCTGTAGATTTTAGATTTGCCAGCCCACAATTGTGTGAGCATTTTTTTTTTTTTTTTTTGAGACAGGGTCTCACTCTGTCACAGAGGCTGGGGTGCAGTGGCATGAACATAGCTCATTGCAGCCTCAACCTCCTGGGCCCAAGCAGTTCTCCTGTCTCAGCCTTCCATGTAGCTGGGATCACAGACATTGGCCACCATGCCTGGCTACTTTTATTTTTATTTTCTGTAGAGATGAAGTTTCACCATCTTCCCCAGGCTGGTCTTGAATTCCTGGGCTCAAGTGATCCTTCTGCCTTCGCCTCCCAAAGTGCTGGGATTACAGGTATGAGCCTCCACACCCAGACTACTTTGTAAAACAAAACTCTGTCTGTCTTTATATATCCCTTTCTCTCTCTCTCTCTCTCTCCCTCCACACACACAAACACACACACAGACACACACACACATCACCAATAGAAAGTATAGATTTTCTTAAGAGCAACCACACTGTCTTATATATCCATCAATTGGTTCTGTTTTGCTGGATAAACCTGACTAATACATTGTATATAAAGAAACTTAGGGAAAGAATGAGCTTTGAGCAGGAAACAAGGAGCCCTTGGGATTTATGCCTTAGTATAATAGAAACCATGAAGGATTATCATTCCAAATTTTATTAAGCATGTTTATAATTTTTTTCTTTTCGATATTTTGGCCAAAGAAAAACCTGATCTATCATCTTCATCTCTTTTGATGAAGAAGTAGCCTACATTCCTTCCAGGCTCAATTTTATTAAACTTCAGCACTTTCCTTCTCTCCTCTGTGGAGTCGCATCTGTTAGGACCCAGTGGCAAGCATCTTCACAAGCCAGTTTTCTGCCAAATGCAGATGGGAGTCTCCTGGCCATGGGGTCTGCATTTACTGATCTGATTCTATCATCCAGGGGGGTTCTTCTTGTTGTCAGAGTGGAACTGTAGCCTCTTCTTCTGCTGCTTGGAATGAAAGGTTATGGTATGAAAAGAGTCTGTCAATGGGAATAAATTATTTGTGAAATCAGATTTTAGCATTTTAACTTCTGAGCATCTTGCTGGATTGGATTGCTGAAAAATGACAGCATCTCTGAGTCGTGGAATGAAAGGCATATCAAAGTGCAGATGTGAATCTAGTTCTCACTTGTTCTTCCCTAATGGTTGAATACTGTGAAAAAGGCTGGCTTCAGGCAGAATCAGACAGTGTGGAGATTTGATTCAGGCATCCAGGTCTATTTTATGTCTTTCAGCCATTTAGTCCCTTCAGTGGGTCCTCTCCTCTGTGACCATCACTGCCATCTCTCCTCTCCTGACAGAGACAGAGGCAGAGGCACAGAAGAGAGAAAACCCCTTCCCCCCTCAGAACCCTTCCCCTCCCAGAGCCTCCTTTATGCAGATGATAATTTAATCAGAAAACTGAGTCTCATTAAACGCAGGTTGGCAAATTGTCGTTCTTGAGCCCAATGTGGCCTGCTTACCCTCTCCAGTTAAAAAAAAAATGTGTTTCATATTTTTTAAATGTTATTATAAATTTTAAAAAGAAGGAGAAAAATATGTAAGGAAGACCACATGTAGCCTATAAAACCGAGAATATTTATTCTCTGGCCCTTTGCAGATAGTTTGCTTAGCGCCCTTGATTCTAGAGGGTGAAGCTTTTAGCAGTGGAATTGTAGGCATGAGTGAAGGCATGGAAGAATTTTGTGGTATGAGGCTTTGGCCAGCCCTGTTTAGTTTGTTTAAAAACAAACTAAAAAAAAAACATACACCGATAAGTTGTGGAAGTTTTTTAATAACTCGTCCACAGGAAACGGATGCGTTGTTGACAGATTTCTGTGGCTGGGGAAGAGCCTGCTGCCTTTATTATCATGGATTCTCCTGACTATTTCACAGTAGCTGTTTCTGTTAATATATACCTACCTTGAACCAGGTAGTGCCCAAGGTACTTTTCATACATTTAGCCTGCGTAATCCCCACAACACTCTAAGAGGTAGGTGTAGTTACTATCCCCATTTTGCAAATAAGTAAAACAGATCTTAGAGATTGAATTGGTCAAAGACACACAACTGGTTAGCAATTTGGGACCACTGGCACCAACATGTAACCACCACCCTATACTGCTTTTTAGCTCTGATGAAAGGAGCATGACAGGTTTTCTTTCTATAGCCCAGTGGAAGGTTCTTGATTCTTAAGCCTGCTTACCAGGCTCCTCTGTTTTCCATCCTCTGGCTCCAGCCCTCTGCAGCCCACCTTCTCTCCTAACATAGGTCCCAGTGTGGGGGTGGAGGGAGACGCAGGCAGTGCAATCATCGAGCTGTGTTGTGCAACCATATAATATATCCCAGTCCTTCAGGAAGTTTGACAAACTGGAATATGTGTTTAGATTTCTAAACTCGGAGGCATTTCAGAGCAAAGAGGATCTGGCTGTGTCCTCCAGATGGTTACAAATGGTTTTACTCTCCTGTGTTTGGTTGGCTTGCAGCTGCCACAGGAATACAGCTGTTTACAGAGTCTGCAAAAGGGAATATGCAGGGAATGTCAATGTCATCGGCCTGCTTCTTTCTCCCTCAGGAAGGGAGAACAGTCTGGCCTGAGAGTGTCTGATGTGAGAACACATCCAACAGGATCAGGAAGAATTTATTGAGCGGTCACAGAGGGTTTGAAGCCCCAACACAAGCCTGGAATGCAGTGTGCCAATGGGCATGCATTAGGCTCCTATGGTTGCCATCACAAATGATCACAAACTGGGTGGCTTACAACAACAGAAATGTATTCTCTCATAGTTCTGAAGGCCAGAAGCCTGAAATCAAGGTGTTGGCAGGGCCACACTCTCTCTGAGGGCTCTAGATAAGAAGCCAGTCTTTGTCTCTTCCAGCTTCTGGATCAGCTGCACCCTCCAATCTCTGTGACTATGGTCACATTGTCTCTTTATCTTCTGTCTGTCTTCTCTTCTTTGTGTCTTTTATAAGGATACTTGTAGTTGAACTTAAGATCCATTCAGATGATCCATGATGATCTCTGTATCTTATGATTCTTAACTAATTAAATACATATATTTTTTAGATGGAGTCTCGCTCTGTCGCCCAGGCTGAAGTGCAGTGGCACAATCTTGACTCACTGCAACCTCCACCTCCCGGGTTCAAGCAATTCTCCTGTCTCAGCCTCCCAAGTAGCTGGGATTACAGGTGCATGTCACGTTGTCACCAGGCCAATTTTTGTATTTTTTGTAGGGACGGGGTTTCACCATGTTGGCCAGGCGGGTCTCAAACTTTTGACCTCAGGTGATCCACCCACCTTGGCCTCCCAAAGTGCTGGGATTACAGGCATAAGCCACTGCTCCTGGCACCTAATTATATTTGCAAAGACTCTTTTCCCAAGTAAGGTAACATTCATAGGTTCCAGGGATCAAGACAAGGACATATCTTTTTGGGGCCACCATTCAGTCCACTGTAGGTGTGTATTAACATAGGAGAGAAAAAGAGAGGACAGGTCAGAGAAGGAACCAGTTGCCTACACAGAGATTCTACCATCAATCAGGCCAGCCTTTAATCATATTTTTTGGTCAAGGGGAAATGCATCATTTGCCATTAGTAGTGAGTATCAAAGATACAGTGACCTCAACAATGCAGGTGCTTATATTTACCATGTAATGAAAAGTTAAGAGATAGACAGCCTAAGACTATTATGCTGTCTCATCATCACCCGGGATTCAGGCACTGTCTATCCTTCTGCCCCTCATCTGTCAATTTGGCCGTAGTCCAAGGCTTCCATTCTTAATATGGCCACATGATTCAACTAGGGTGCTGGAGCTTCAGCCATCCTATCTCTATTTCAGGCAGGAAAAAAAGATGGGAAGGGTAAATGGCAAGTGCCTGCTGAACTAGCCTACTTACAGAGCTTCGGAGAGGGCATCCCAGTGCTTACATCTCACTGGCCAGAACACAATAACCCCTACCTGTAAGGCCAACTGGGAAAAATAGGGATGTGTGTGTGTGTGTGTGTGTGTGTGTGTGTGTGTGTGTGTGTGTGATATAGTTGTTAGATGTGCTGCTAAAGTGAATAAAATGAAGGGATAATTAGTAAGGATGTGGGTAGGCAACTAGCACTCTCTACCACGGGGGCTCTATAAGTCATAAAAGTTTTTGTACCCATGTGGCAAAGGCAGAGAACACTCCTTTATCTTATAATAAAAACAAAAATAGTTAACATTTACTTAGTGCTCAGCACATACCAGGCTCTGGGCTTGGTTCATTACAGATTCATTAAACCTCACAACAGCTCTTCGACCCTGGTTCTATGACAGCATTCCCATTTCCAAATGCAAACCTGAGGCTCAAGGGAGGTCAAGCAATTTTCCAAGGGTCACCAGGCTGGAAAGTTGCAGAACCAGAATTTGAACCAGATCTGTCCATTGGGAATCCAAGCTTCATAATTGCGGGACCACATGGCTATGCTGTGCTGGGGCCTTGAAGGGGCTTGAGGGGAGGACTCAGCTCCTTCTGTAAGCACAGTGACTACATGGCGGCAAGGGTGCCCTGTCTTCCTTTTTACATTTATTAGACATGCAGTATTGACTTGGCAAATCTCTGTGTTGTGTTTCACTCCTCCTTTAAAAATCCTTTCTTAATCTTTCCACCTCCTGCTTAGCTCACAGCCTCCCACATATATATAACCCCTTGGTTGTGCTTTACTGATTGCTGGCTGATTGACACATGGAGTGGCATATGGATTCTCCCAGACACAGCCCACTGGCCATGGTGCAGCTCTCAGCTTGGGAAACCTCTGCTCCTTCCCAGTGCCTGGGCGTTCTGCTTACTTCCTACCTGCATGCCTTTTTACCTACCAGTTCTTTTTTCTGGAATCCTCTCCCTTTTCTCTGCTTATCCTAAACTCAAGCTGCTTCCTCCAAGACCCAAATCAAGTGTCCTTTCATTAGGACGCCTTCTTTCTCAGACCACACTTGCTGGCAGTTCTCTCTCCTGTCTTCTCTCCCTCCCCTCTCCCTTTCAATCTCCCTCACTGCTTTAATTCTCAGCACCTCTTTTTGTACCACTCAGCCTTGGGTTGCCTCATGTTTTTGTCCTTATGGCCTACATTAGGCTGTACATATCTTGAAGGCCAGTAGTGCATCTCATGCTTCTTTATGTCCCTGGATTCTCCCCACACCCTCATCACCTTCATTCCCACCTCCCTCCTCCACCTGAAATGCAATCACAGTGCCTCTTAGCACCACCTCAGTGAGTTATGGACCCCCCCTAAAGAGCTCTAACACACAAATACACACATGTTCCATGAGCATGCACATGCTACAATCCAGCTCCCTTAGCCAGGATACCAATGATAAAGACGGGGTCATGCCAAACAGGAGCAGGTGCAACTCATCTTGACGTGGTTTATCCTTCCCTCCTGGGCCCCCTTCTGATGCACAGCTGCCGGCAGCCCTCCGTGCATATGGGGCCCTGCCAGAGTTGAGAAAATAGCACAGGACTTGTTTGGCCACTGTCCTTTTAGCCTTAGCTCACCCCAACCTACAGGAAAGACTTACACTACTAACAATCCACTTACTTCCATTTGTGGGACTGTTTACAAGCATCAGGCTCTCCTGGATTTGACCTGGACTTAGAAGCAGTGAGACCACACCCTCATCTGTGGTGGGAAATGATGAAGCCGTGCCCAGTATACCCTGTACAACATCTTTGTTCTCCAGTATCCCTGAAAGCCCATTTTTCCTGAACTTTACCAAGTGACTGACATTTCTGTGTCTCATTACTACCTAAGTGAGGCCTCCAACAGAGTGGAACTCAAAGAGTCTTAGCAAGGACATGAGGCCAACAGTACAGCATGACCAAGCAAACTGTGTTTTCCTGGACTCTTCTGATGATACCCAGGAAAGATGAAGCTCATGCCCAGGTGGGCTTGCTGCCTCTCCCTACCTTTGCTTTCTGCCCTGGGCTTCTGAGTTGGCTTCACAGATTAGTGTTGGGAGGAACAGGCTCTTTGTTATCCATTGTTAACATCCTTTGTTAATCCATTGTTAACAATACCCTTTGTTCATCCATTGAATAGTCCTCCTTCATCCACTCCATTGTGAGTGACTGCATTTAACTGGATGTGGGCTAGCCCAAATCCCATCCCATTCAGTCTTAATAGGAGTAAGATGGAGAGGATGTTAAACTAAGATATTCCCAGAGATATTGCTTTAATACCCTGAACACTCCTTGTGATTCACCTAGAGCCTGCAGCTGAATAAAGACTTAAACTGTCACGGACTGGACTGCATTTATTAGACATGTGCCTATGTTCCATAAATGGGATAAGCCCCTGATAGGTGAGTCAGCGACTGTCTAATGGATCTGATGCCATCTCAGGCACCTATTCAGGTCCTGGAGTCAGGAGCATCTTAGTCCACCTTCTTGTCTTTGGATACCCACCAACCCCTCCCTGGAGCCTCACACTCAGTTACCAAGTCCTGTAGATTACTCTTTTGCAAAGGCAAACTTTGCCTTCCTATCTGTCATCACCACCACTCCAGGTAAGGCATTTATCTCCTCACACATGGAGGGTGAAGGAGTCAGAAGCAACACTGCAATTTGCCTTCACTGTACCTCCCTCTACCTCCAAGTCCCTATGTATCTACACCTTCCTTCTCCTCCTCTCCTCCTCATCTTATCTACCTGTTTGCTCTGCCCCAGTTGTCCCCACTCTCTCTCTCCCTCACTCTATTGTCTCTCATTCTTTCTCTATTGAGGAATAAATTACAGATCTTATATGGGGAACTTGATGAGCTTTGACATAGGCATGCATCCTCATTACCACCACCCAGCCATGACATGGCATCCCTGGCACCTAGAAGGCTCCACTGTGGATTTTCCCAGCTAGTTGCCTCTTTGGGGGCGACCATTATTTTGGCCTCTATCATCATAGGTTATTTGTAGCTATTTTTAAACTTCGTATAAATGCAATCGTGCAATAGCAACTCTTTTGTGTTTAAACTATTTTAGTTTTGTACTTCTTTTACTCAGCATCATGTCTTTGTGATTCATCCATGTTATTCATAAAATATCATTATTTTGTTTTTTCTTTGCTGTGTAACATTTGTTGTATGAATGAATATGTCATAATTTATGTACTCATCCCTTTCTGGTAGATATTTCAGTTGTTTCTAGTGTGAGGCTATTACAAATAAAGCTGCTATGAGCATTCTTGTTCAAGTCTTTATGTGCTCTTAATGGCTTTCCCTACCAATTCTCCACTCTAGTTTTCAAACCCTCCCTTTCCCCCTTTTATCTTCCTTTCAGCCTACACACAGGGCTAGAGCTCTTCTAACTTAAAAGAAAAAAAAAATTCTTCATTCAACCATAGACTACCTATTTGCCATTCTTCCTGTCTCCTTCCCTTGTTCACCAAATTTCCTCTTGGAAGTACAGTAGAACCCTGTTGTCGCCATTTCTGCAGTGCCCACCTAAGGCCTAATCTCTTGTAAGGCTAGACCTGCCTTTCCTCCTGTCTCCCAGGCTACCGTATTAGCCCCGCTTCACCTCACACTCAAACATATGTACGTCTCCTCTACTGGAGCTAGTGGTACAATGACACCTGGGATGCTGTTTGTCCTCCCACCTCTCTTGTCCGCAGACCCAATCCTGCCCTCTGAAATTGACTACTAATATTATGACACGGACACACATGGAGTGGTTTTAAGGAGCGGAGAGTTTAATAGGCAAGAAAGAAGGAAGAAGCTCCCCCGTACAGAGACAGAGGAAGGGGTGCTTCAAGCGAAGAGAGGAAACATGTGGGAATTGCCATGTTTGGATGGACCCAGTTTCTAAAGGCCGGTATTTGCTTTTTTTTTGGAGGTGGGGAGGGGGACGGAGTCTTGCTCTGTCACCCAGGCTGGAGTGCAGAGGCGCGATCTCAGCTCACTGTAACCTCTGCCTCCTGGGTTCAAGCGATTCTCGTGCCTCAGCCTCTGGAGTAGCTGGGATTACAGCCAGGCACCACCACACCCAGCTAATTTTTGTATTTTTAGTAGAGACAGGGATTCACCATGTTGGCCAGGATGGTTTCCATCTCCTGACCTCGTGATCTGCCTGCCTCAGCCTCCCAAAATGCTGGGATTACAGGCACCGTGCCTGGCTGGCATTTGCATATTAAAGCTTGCTGGTCTGGCTTTAAGAGCCGGGCTTTTCTGTTAGACAAGAAACGTTTCTGGAGCTGCTTTAAAAGGAACAAAAACTTTCCAAGGACTCCTTTTACCCTTTTTATTTGCCTAAAATAATTTTTTATAACTTTTATACACTAATATTACCTCCTTTCTTCCCTCACCTGGGAATCATCCCACCCCCGCTGCTTGTCGTTCGAGCCTCTTACTGCATTTACCCCTCTCCACCTCCCATTATAGTTCCTTGGAAGTATGTCACACTTTGTACCTGGCCTGGAGTCTCTGACAGTGTAACCTGTGTCTAAGTTGTCCCTGATTTATCCCAGCACCTAGCACAGTGATGGCACTGAGAAGATGTTATTAAATGACCACTTCCTCACTTTATCTGTATTATGAAAATGTCACCTCTGAAGTTCATCTGAAAAGTGTAAAGCTAATGAACAAGATGAAGAAATCCCTTTTTTGACATGGTTGTCAGAATTAACAGACTCACATGGCCTTGGGGTTGGTGAGTATGTTAGTACCTGAGTGTGTGGGGCTATTTGAGACCACTCAGCGAGTCTCAGGGATTCAGGAAGTTGCAAAGGCCCACTTAGTCCTGATTCAACCCTACTGAGGATGACAATACTTACAGGAGAACAGAAGAGGGAAGCCCTGGGCAGGCGGCTGACTGCAGCTCATCCAGCCTCGCAGAATTTCCTTGTGATGTCTCATGGTCTATTTTTTTATCCTGATATTTTTACTATTTGCTGACAGCTGGTTTTTCTATTTGATTTCTGTCCATGCGCACCAGATTGGGATCAAAAGGAACCAAGTTTATCCTTCACTTTCTTCCTCATGGTCTTGAAATGCAAGCAACCTAACCAAACCCATGATTTACCAAAAGTTAGGTGGGTATGATGTCATTTTTGGATGCCAAACACTAAATTTTGTTACCATAGAATAACCCTGTAGAACTCTGCCCAGCAGCCATGGAAATCATGTCCTGTAGGGGAACACAGCCTTCTTTGTAACACCTATGTGAAGGCATTTTCATTCCCTCCGTGGGCCATCCTTAAGAGACTGGCTGTGAATTACCCTCTCCTTTCCAATGAACACTACCAAAAGGGCAACATTCTCAGTTTGTCCAGAACAAACATTTCGGAAGAAGGGTTAGTTTAACGACTTCTTAGTTTCACCTTTTAATCCAGAAATATTTTTTATTCCATGATCTGAATATCAACCTTGGTTTTTATCGTCAAGAGAGAAAAGAAAAGGTGATAAAAATCTGTTTGAGACACCTCCAAGATGAGACTTGTCATTAGGAATCCCTGACATTTCTGGGAGGAAAAATAAAGATGATTAAGCTTTTACAAATATAAAGAGACTTTATTTTTTAGAGTAGTTTTAGGTTCACAGCACTTTTGAGCAGAAAGTAGAGTTCCTACATATTCCCTAAACCCCTCACCACACACAGCCTCCCCTGCTATCAACATCCTGCAGCAGAGTGGTACATTGATTACAATAGATGAACCAACATTGGCATATCATTATCAACTAAAGTCTATAGTCTTTGTCATCCTTCATTCTTTGTGGTGCACAACCTATGAGTTTTGACAAATGTATAATAATAAGTATCCATTATTTTACTATCTCTCTTTTTTTTTTTTTTTTTTTTTGAAAGACAGAGTCTCACTCTGTTGCTCAGGCTGGAGTGCAGTGGCGAGATCTTTGTTCACTGTAACCTCCGCCTCCCAGGTCCAAGTGGTTATCCTGCCTCGGCCTCCCAAGTAGCTGGGATTACAGGCGTGTGCCCACATTCCTGGCTAATTTTGTAGTTTTAGCAGAGATAAGTTTTCACCACGCTGGCCAGGCTGGTCTCAAACTCCTTGGCCACCCGCCTCAGCCTCCCAAAGTGCTGGGATTACAGGCATGAGCCACTGCGCCTGGCCTATTTTACTATCTTCCTGAATAGTTTTATTGCCCTGAAAATCCTCCGCACTTCATCTATTCATTTCTTCCTTCCTCCTAACCTTTGGCTACCACTGATCTTTTTATTGTCTTCATAATCTTGCCTTTTCCAGAATGTCATTTAGTTAGAATTATACTCAATGTAGACCTTTCAGATTGGCTTCTTTCACTGAGTAATATGCTTTGAAGTTTCCCCTATGTCTTTTCATGACTTGATAGCTCATTTCTTTTCAGTGCTGAATAAAGTTCCACTGTCTGGATGTACCGAAGTTTGTGTGTCCATTCACCTGTTGAAAGACTTGGCTGCTTCCAAGTTTTGGCAATTATGAATAAAGCTGCTATAAATGAACATGTACAGGTTTTTTTGTGTGTAGACATGTTTTCAACTTTTTTGGGTAAATAAAAATGATTGTTTTTTGAAACAAACTTGACAGACACCATCTCTGATCCTCCACCATTATAAACAAAGCTTCAGCACAACAGCAGGATTAAATACTCTGAAGAGGATTGTTCTGTGTACTGTGGAGGAGGATACAGAGAAGAGGGATACAGAGGATAAGGTGTCTCTGACCTTCTTTCATTATATGGAAAAGAAAGTCAACATGTCAACTCACTGAGAAACACACCAACATGTAATATGTGGCAGCATGTACAAGAGAAATTCTAAAATGAAGAAGTGGAAGTTAAAAAGCTACAAAAAAAAATTAAAACACACACATAACAGAAGGAAAGAGTAAGAACAGGTGTGACCTACTTTGAAAGTTAACATGTGGGACATGGATGGAACTGGAAGCCATTATCCTCAGCAAACTAACGCAGAAACTGAAAACCAAACATAACATGTTCTCACTCATAAGTGGGAGCTGAACAATGAGAATATATAAACACAGGGAAGAGAGCAACACACAATGGGGCCTGTCGGGGGATGGGGTGGGGGGAGGGAGAGCATCAGGAAAAATAGCTAATGCATGCCGGGCTTAATAGCTAGGCGATGGGTTGATAGGTGCAGCAAACCACCATGGCACACGTTTACCATGTAACAAACCTGTACATCCTGCACATGTACCCTGCAACTTAAAATAAAAATTAAAATTAAAAAAAGAAACTTGGCGTCTATTCTCAAATACACTGATCAACAGTGTAAAGCTAAGGATGGTTGTCTTGGCTTCCTCTCACCCTGTCAGTGTCTCTCCCCATCCCTCAGTGTCCTAAGTCCAGGGGGACATACTGTCAGCCCCTGAGCATCACTGCCAAAGAGTAGAAATAGCCTGATAAACCAGCTCACCTGGAGGAGTTAATGAACCTGTATCTAAATGAATGTATTGTCCTCTGTACTAGGCTGAATGGTGGCCCCAAAAGACATGCTCCTGTCTTAACACCTGGAACCTATGAATGTTACCTTATTAGAAAAAAAAAAAAGGTCTTTGCAGATATAATTACATTGACAGTCCTGAGATGATATCATCTTGGATTATCTGGATGGCTCCTAAATCTAATGATAAATGTCCTTATAAGAGAAAAACAGAGGCCGCGGACGGTGGTTCATGCCTGCAATTCCAGCACTTTGGGAGGCCGAGGCGGGTGGATCACTTGAGGTCAGGAGTTCGAGACCAGCCTGGGCAACATGGTGAAACCCTGACTCTACTTAAAAAAATAACAAAACTTAGCTGGGTGTGGTGGCGTGCACCTGTAATTGCAGCTACTCAGGAGGCTGAGGCATGAGAATCGCTTGAACCCGGGAGGTGGAGGTTGCAGTGAGCCAAGATCGTGCCACTGCACTCCAGCCTGGGCGACAGAGCAAGACTCCATCTCAGGAAAAAAAAAAAAAAAAAAAGAGACAAACAAAGAAGACAGGCAGGAGAGGAAGAGACAATGTGACCACAGAGACAGAGGTTGGAGTGAAGTGGCAACAAGCCCAGCAAAGCTGACAGCCACCAGAATTTGGAAGAGGCAAAGACTGGCTTCTTTCCTAGAGCCTCCAGAGAGACAGAGGCCCTGCCGACACCTTGATCTCAGGCTTCTGGCCTTCAGAGCTGTGACAGAATACATTTCTGTTGTTTTAAGCCACCCAGCTTGTGATAATTTGTATCAGCAATCACAGGAAACTAATAAATCCTCCTAAAGACACTCTAACTTTACCAAACACAGTATATTAGTTGATAATAATTATGTTAGATATGGTCATTCTTTTTGGCTATCCAGAATCTGAGTACACTCCCTATGTTCAGGATTGAGGCATATACAACAGATATGATATAATTTCATTTAAGTACAATTATTCAGTCTATAAGGTTTAGCCTTTCACATTTGGTTGAAGACCTGGGTGAACTCGGAAGTTATACTCACTCTATTCTTTTTCATTATCCTTATGTCCTTCTATTCAACTGAAAGTTTTCTGAGTGCATAAACCTATTCCCCATAATGTTCAGGAGCACATAATAAAGAGTGGTTGTGCTGTTAATATTGTTTGACCAGAAAATAGAGAGTCTAAATGTCCTCTGTGAAGTAAGGAGGCCAGTGATACCCCTAGAAATAAAAATTTTTAATGACTCTCTCCTTCTGGTCTCTCCCTCTTCAATCTATACTTTCTACTGTAGCCAGACTGAATTTTCTAATGCGTAAATATAATGATTCTTAAATACTTTCATTGTTTTCCATACTATACAGGCCAGAGTTGAAAACACCTTCACAAGGAGTTTGGAAGGGACTTCATAATCTGGCTTCAAACTTCATTGTAGGCTAATCTGTTGCTTTTCCATTCTCAGCTCCTATCTCTCATTACATCCCTCCTATACCACAGCCACCCTCAAACTGTGCATGCCTCAAGAGCACCATGTTTTCTCAGGCCTCGGCTGAAATACTCAAAAACCCCCAACATGCTGGCCTCTTCACCTGCAACACACCATTTCTCCTCCCTCCAATGCTCATTGTGGCAGAGGTGATGCTTTGTATGTAACAAACCATTTCATTTCCTCCTGAGCACACCAGAAGACCACATTTTCTGATCTCTGTGCATCCAGCTGGTGTCATACATCTAGTTCTGGCCAGTGGTATCTGGGCGGATATGATGTGCATCGCCTCCTGATCTGGCCTCTAAAATGCCCCATGAGGATTCCCTATGCTGTCTCCCCCTGCTCACCATCTGGTGGCTGGTCATTGAAGACTTCAAGGTCCCAGTGGACTGTGGAGCCATGAGATGCAAGGACCTTGGGTCTCAAAATCAACCTATGGAAGACCACAGGCCTAACACTCAGTTAGAAGTGAGAAAGAAATATTTTATTTCGTTAATCACTAAAATGGTGTTGTTTGTTACATCAATATCCTACCCTGACTAATACATCCATCCTTGAACAGCAGCTGAGTATCAATTTCTGTGAATTGATCTCAACTCTCCTAGAAGTTAATCATTCCTTTCTTGGTACTTTCACAGCACATTGTTGTTGTTTAAATAAAAACTTTTAGAAGTACGGTTAATGATAGAATTAATAGAATAATATTATACTGCTTGGAAAACAGTTTTTAAAAAATCATTGATAAGGCTGTCATTAATAATAACTTTAATAATTTTTGCATAATTCCTTTCTCTGTTTAATAGTCACATGCTTTTATAGCATATTTTAATTAATGTACTTTTTATTTTTATATATTTTTTCTTTTTTTAGAGATGGGGGTCTCACTATGTTGGCCAGGCTGGTCTTGAACTCCTGGCCTCAAATGAACCTCCTGCCTTGGCCTCCCAGAGTGCTGGGATTACAGGCATGAGCTACTGTGCCCAAACATAGCATATTTTAAAATATAACCTTTATTTCTCTCTCATTTCAAAAATTATTTTAAAGTAGGATAAATTTTGTATAGTTTTGTATCTTACTTTTTCTCTTCATATAATGATATAAGCATTTTTCCACATTGGGAGAAATTACATAGCCATTATTCTTAATGACTTTATAATATTGCATTAAATGGATTGGCTGTAATTTAATTATCCCTCTGTTTGAGGGCAGTAGACTATTTTCATTTGTATTATAGAGAATACTGTTATGAATATCTTTACAAATAAACCTTTTCATATTTTGGTTCATTTTCCTAGGAAAGATTCTCAGAAATGAGTTCACTATTATATTTTTATAAGCCTTATATTATTTCCAAATTGCTCTCTAGAAAAGGTTATATTAATTAGAGTGCCAAGAGCAGAGTGTAAGAATGCTCACATTACTGCACTCCCTTTGATTATTTATACTTCCTTAATTTAATTAAAGATTGAAGTTAATTTACATTCCAATTTACTTTCATTTGATTACTCATTAAGTTAAACTTTTCTCCATATGATTGTTTACTCACATTTTTAATTTGGTTAATTATCTGTTTGGGTCTTTTATATCATTGTCTATTATTAAGCATCAATTTGTTTCTTTTGCCTTTGTTAATAACTTACTTAATAAAGGTATCAACCCTTTGTCATATAATCCCTAGCTGTTAAAATGTCCTCATTCAACAAATATTTATTGAGCACTGTTATGTGTCAGGCACTGTCTAGGTACTGTGTGTTCACATCAGTGAACAAATCAGATAGCAATGTTTCTGTCCTCATGTTTCATCTTTCTTATTAGATAGGAATTGTTGTTTGCCTCACTCCCAAGTACAGTGTGAGCATCCAGAGGTCAGGGATGAGATTGTAGCTTATTTATTTTTATTTTTCCATCACGCTTCATCACCTGCTTATTACATAGAAGATGCTCAATGCTGGTTTGTGTATAGAGAGGCCTGCAGTGCAAAATGTTCAAAATGACGTTTCCAGCTCCCTAACATCTGGGTATATTTTAGCTTAATGCTTTGCATCCACCATAATAAACACTGGCTTTTCTACTGCTGCCAACCCAAGAAGGATACTATCTCCATGATTATTCCACCTTGGCTGCCCACCAGGCTCACCTGGAGCATTAAAAACAACACAAAATAAAAACTTCATTTGTAGCACCTACCCTCAGACTAAGTAAGTCAAAATCTCCACTGTTTTTTAAAGCTCTTCCGTGATTTCAATGTGCAGCTGGAATTGAAAACCACTATGGTGTGTGACTCTGATGTTTGAAGGAGATTCAGGTGAGAGGAACTGGAAGGTGTTTCTTGTAGTTGGCAGGAAGCAGAGGTCCTTGCGTTCTTTGCCTCTGTTCCTCTCTCTTTACACGTAAATAGCACCCATTCATCTAGATCCTTCTCTCATGGAGAGTAACTTTAATGTGGACAAAGTCCAGAGCCAATATTTGATGGGAAGGATTTTTCATTATAGACACTTGGTATAATCCTGAAAACTACACACTAATGGAAGCCCATAAGGGCAGGAACTTTGTTCTGTTTCTATTGTATACCTAGAGCCTACTGCCGTGTGTAGGGATTCTTGCTACAGTACTTACCCCATCCTGACTAATCTACTTCTTGAATCTTCTGTGAAGTCTTCTCCGATTCTCCCAGAGATGAATGAAACTCATCGACAAGGTATTTTTAGCATCTGCCATTCACAGAGACAGAAAATGTTGTGATCCAAATGGCAGCCGTTAGTGAGGATTCTTCTTACTGGAGTTACTTGTGGCAGACTGGCATTATTGGGTGGCAGGGTATCAGTGGGTAGGTTCCTAAAGTCTGGCAGCAGATGCAAACATGGCAGCCCTGCCTCTTCTAGAAGGCTGACTTCACACCAGCTACTGCCAAAGAGGAAACGAGGGCTCTCTGTATGGTCTCACTTAATGCAAAATGGTTTCAAGTGCGGTCTATTTCACATGGACCATCTGGTTTGAATCCACGCACTAAAAAAGGATAAATAGCAAATCATCTCCCATCCTCCTCAGAACATCAAAGTCATCTTCATCTTTTCTTCTACCCCTAGATAATGTAAATACCAAAGCAAAGTTCTTTTGTTCTTCTTCCCCAGGAATGTTCAGGCCAGGAGGCCTCATTATAAGTCTGGAAAAAAAGCAACTGTTACATGAGACCTTGAAAAATATTATCTTTAGAAGTCAATCACTCTTGGGTTTTTTGTACATTGTGAGTACTTGTTTAGTTAACACTTACTGGAAATTAAAATTAAACCTGATAGCATAATTGTGATATATAAATCACAAACACTTTGGAATTCTCTGGTATTTGTATTTGGGATGAGTTTTTTGCAGCCTTGTTTATTTACCATGTAGTAAACAAGAAATGCTTCTTAAATTTTTTTTAACCTAAACATGTGAAAAATGGTCCACGGATGCATTTGGCAACCAAGAGGTTATTGTGTTGTTTGACCCTCAGAAAGAGATGTTTGTCACTCTTGGTATCTTTCCCTTGAGGAATCATCTCTTGCAATCAAGAAGAGACTCAGCTCTTGAAAAGGGCCAGGGAGAAATCAGATAGCATCTCATTCCATGCCGTAAGAACAAGGACTCATTCAATTGCTCAACAGCTTGCTCAAAACATTTAAGTTGCCATCTTAGTTTATCCAGGAGAAAGGATACCCAGACAAGCCACCATCCTTTCTTTCTACTTGTGTTTCAAGCATGTTCTACAATCCCTATAATGTGGCGGGTTAAGCCAGGAATGCATCCTTTACTTCCTGGTCAGACATAATGAGATTTATCCCTCAAATATTCATGTAAGAAGTTCTCCTCTTCCTCCAGCCTGAAAGTACCTTGCAGAACTTTGGACCATAAGGAAATTGAAGAATGTCTCTATTATATCCCGGTATTAGTTGATGTCTTCCAATACATCTCAGGAGAAGGTCGAGCTTTTCCTACTGAACCGAGTGACATTTAAAAGGGGGCATTTGGATGGAACATGGTAGAAAGTAGCAAACTGCTTTAGGGAAGAGGCAGGGTTATCTTGGTTTTATAGGTCTTGCAAATATTTATTCAAGGTGCTAAAAAGTAGCGTCTCTCCTTCTTAAAATTATTGGCCAAAGTGGTCTTATGCCATTAGTTTGTAAGTAAATATTGCTGCAACATTCTAAACAGATTTATTAGGCCTGTCACCAGCAGCCAAATATTTATGTAAGCTCCGTGGGTTGAAAAGGTAGTTTAAGGAGATTGTTTTAACCACAGCTTTGTAAATGTTTAAGGTAACATCCTGTCTCTTTGAAACCATCCCACCTAGCCATATCGTCATATTTATAATAAAAGGACAACATGTTCAAAGTGATGCATTATTTCCTGCTGTCCAAAGTTAGGCTTCTGTCCTTTTATCACAGCTAAACAGAAAAAAAAAATATTTCAGAGAGACCCTTTTATGTAATACCTGGGTAGAAGCCACTGAAAATGTTACTAGTGGGAGTTGAGAGAGAGGAAGAAAATATAATTCTTGTGGCAGATGTAATCAAGAGGGAATGATTTAAAATGGTGTGATAAGGCCTTACTTAGAACACACAGATATGTTTAATAGCTGTACTCATTTTCTATAATCAATCTATTTTGCCTTAGATGTACCTCAATAGCTACTAGTGAATTTTGGTACCCAAGTCCAGTCTGGTTGCCAGAATAAACTGTGTGTTGGGGGTGTGTCTGTGGTATGTGGGTGTGTATGCGTCTACCTCAGTGAATTCTGGGTTTTGCTCAGTTCTAATCAGTCTCACTTGCTAGTGGTCTTGTTGGTCTCTATATCCGACTATGATATATCAGTCAGGACCCTTTCAGTTGCAAGTAAAAGCAACCAATTTTTTTTTTTTTTTGAAGCAGACTCTTGCTCCGTTGCCAAGGCTGGAGTGCAGTGGCACAATCTCAGCTCACTGCAACCTCTGCCTCCCGAGTTCAAGCGATTCTCCTGCCTCCCAGGTAGCTGGCATTACAGGCTTGCGCCACCATGTTTCGCTAATTTTTGTGTTTTTTTAGTAGAGATGGGGTTTCGCCCGTTGACCAGGCTGGTCTTGAACTCCGGACCCTAGGTGATCCGCCTGCTTCAGCCTCCCAAAGTGCTAAGATTACAGTCCTGAGCCACTGTGCCTGGCCAAAAGAAACCAAATTTAAATTAATTTAAACAATAAGGGCCAGGCTTTGGCTTATCTAATGGAAAGAGCCAGGAGATACATCTTCAAGTACAGTTGGCTTCAGGCACTCAAAGGTGTTGCCAAAATCCTTTGCTCTACTTTCCTTTACTTTGGCTTCACTCCCAGGTGGCTTTAGCTTCTGTAGTGGCCACGATAAGCCCCAGAAGCTCCTGACTTTTATTCTACCAGCTTATCACACAACAGACAGAGGCTTGGTCTAGACGGAGAGACATAGTTCTTCTCAATAATTTAGTTCTTCTCAATAATTGTGATGACTTTATGTGGCTTAACCTAGAACCAGGGGCAGCATATGGTGGTTGGGGTCAGCTGTGATTTAACCCCATCAATTGGAAGAGGGGAACTTGGGATTACTCAGCAAAAAACTCTGAGTGAAGTAGCAAAAGAAGGATCTTAATGAATGGTGAAAATGGATTCATGCCTTCTACAGTTATGCACAGTCATAGGAGACCAACGTTCAGATTCTAAAGATGACGCTCAGATACATGTGTTGAAAGAAGACCAAGAGACCAGAAGCCAAATGCAAAGCTGGTGTAAGTGACACAGCCAGTACCTCATTTAATGCAAAATTGAAAAGGATGGGGGAGATAAGCAGTTACTCAGTTGTGTAGAAGTTTACAAAATACCCATCTCTAAGAATTTCACTGGATCTTCCCAAATTTGTTAGCATCTTGGTATTAATTAACTTAATGGCATAATTGACGACTAGTAAGTTTATCCAAAATGTGGGCCCTGTTTTAGCTGAAGTGCTTGTGAAAACGCAGATAACTGGGCCCTGGACCTCTTTGTCATGCTACCTGGAAATAGAGTATCTGTATTTGAATATTCTCCCTAGGAGATTTTTTTTATAAACTGGCATCTTGATAAAATTTAATAATTTTGGACTATGGGATATATGTTTCCATTTCATTCCAATTGGCATTTGCTCCACACTTGGTGGATGCTGAATGCATAAGAGACAATGGTCCCATGTTATAACTAGAATATAGATAAGTATCTTTAATAATAGGGTTAGTGTGGTGCATTGAATTATTAGCCTCAGCTTTGCACCTCTAGAGCCACATCCTTGCCTTTGACCTTATTTTGGCAGAGAGCACTACCCTGCCTCTTGACTTTGCATTCAGTCATGTGATTTGCTTTGGCCAATGGAATGTCGACAGATGTAGCAGTATACAATCTGAGCATAGACCCAAGAGATCTTCCATATATTCATGTGCCCTGTTTCTCTTCCCCCAAATCCCTGAGAGGAGCTTGCCCTAAACAGTGGCTGCATTTCGTTCTGGGTCCAAAGTGAACATATTTGGAACAATTCCCCACATAAGTTCAACTGGACCCATAGTTTGAAGCAGAGCCTCCCCAAGAAGCCAAACCTGGTTCAACCAACCCCAATGTCACTGACAGATTCATGAGAAGAAGCAGTTGTTTTAACTCACTAGGCTTGAGGGTAGTTTGTTGCACAAGGTCATTGTAGTAACAGCAGCTAACCAGTACAGTGAGGGGTTGGAAATATCTTTGGGGGATTGCTTTGGTTTGCTTGGGGGTTGATGCCTTGTCTTGGAGGTTAATGTTTGGTTTGTTTGGGGTTTGTATTGAGGAGGCAATTTGTAGAGTAAGCAGTTGCAACTTCGTTAGAAGGGATCTTTCTGGGTCCCTGGTATGTGGCCCTAGCTCTGTGGGAATCCAGAGGAGATGAAGAGGAAACTGGTGTTTATTGTCAGTATTATCAACAGCAGCAACAAATATTGGGTGCGCCTACCATGTGCCAAGTACTAGGTGGGGATTACGAGAGGAATAAGGAAAGACCCAAGCTCTAGAAAAACGTACAGTCTCTTTGCAGGACCATTCCTGGGTTTCATTAGAAATATCTGAATATATTGTCTCAGACTGGCCAGGTTTCTTGTAGGGCTTGCTAGTTGAGAAATTAGATCCTTAAAGGAAAAATATTCTCACTGATTCTACCCACCATTCTCATCTTTACACCCAACAAAACCTCACTAAGAGGTTTCTGAGGAGCCAGAAGTTGGATGGATTAACTTGGAGTTAGTGAACTGCAGAAATCTCTTCCCACTGGTGGTTCCTGTGGGTTTCAGAATAGCAAAGCTGAAAGTTCACTTGATGTATTAAGCACAATCAAAAATCCATTACCTCCCTGAGGCCACTACTCCTCCTTTTTGGTTGAGACTGCTACCCAGGACCAGCTACATAATTTGTGAGGCTCAGTGCGAAATGAAATTCAGGGCCCATTCAAAAATTACTCAGAATTTCAAGACAGCAAGCACAGAACATTAAACCAGGCGTGGACCCCTCTGAGCTTGGGGCCCATTGTGACTGCACAAGTCTCAAGCCAGGAAGCTGGCTCTGCTGCCACCTGCAGGTAGTGCAAATAGCTGATGTCTACACATATGTAAAAGGAAGCACCAGCAAAGTTTCCAGTCCTGAGTGGATTTGAGAAGATGGCCCTGCAGACATTCATTCAAAAAGCTCTCATGGTGCTGACCCATTCCAGACCTGCCCTGCCCCCTGCTCAGCCCACTCCAGTTGCTGAAGGACAAGGGTGGACACCAGTTACCAGGAACCATTCTGCAATTCCAGCAGCCCTCTGGCTGGACTTTTTCTCCAATCATTCAGAAAACATTTGTCTGTGAGCCCCTCGAAGTGCTTCAGATGCAATCCAGACTTGCCCATGGACTTGAGCAGTTACAGCTGTATTGTACAGGTTGCATAAAGGAACTGCAGGAGACTTTCTATTGCCATGAGGGCGACTGCCCAGGGCCCAGGGCTCAGGGCTCAGGACAGCATAGAAACACTAGTGCCAGATTCCACCATGGTGAGAGAATTGCCTCGATGCTGCAGAAACTCCAGGGCCTCCCAGATGCACTATCACTCTTATCACGTGCAGACATTTGGCAGACAGGCCTTCCTTTGAAGTCCCAGCAAAATGATGGCGAGTTCTCCTGCTAAGGAACATGTGGCTGGCAACAGGAGGAAGAGTAAAGTGGCGGTCCCTTCCTTTCCACAAAAGTTTAGGAGTTGGCATTTCTTTTTCCACAGTGTTAGAGCTTCTGCTATTGATGCAAAGGGCTAAAAGCTGACCTGCTCCTTTGTCATCTTGGAAAACCTCAGGACAATGCTTAAGACCAAGGTGAAATTACCTATTTTGTGTGCTCCTGATTTTCCTTAAAGAAATAAAAAAGGGAACGATTTGGCTAAGGATGGACATGGTCTAAATCAGGGGTTCTCAAAGTGTGGTTCTCAGATTGTAACCTCTTAAAAATATAGATTCTTTCACTTGAACCCGGAAAACAGAGGTTGTAGTGAGCTGGGATCGAGCCAGGGCACTCCAGCCTGGGCAACAGAGCAAGACTCCATCTCAAAATAGATAGATAGATGATAGATAGATAGATGATAGATAGATAGATAGATAGATAGATAGATAGATAGATACACAGATTCTAGACTCTGCTCAGATCTACTGAAGGAGATACCATGAGGGCAGGACCCAGCAATCCATGTTTAACAATCCTTCTAGGTGATTCTGATACACCATTGGCCTAAATAGCAGATCCTCATTGCCTGTATATTAGTTTGCTATGGCTGTCTTAACAGAGTACTGCAGACTGGTGGCTTAAACAACAGAAATTTACTTTCTCACAGTTCTGGAGGCTGGAAACCCAAATCAAGATGCTGGCAGGGTTGGTTTCTAGCGAGGTTTCCCTCCTTGGCTTGCAGACAGCCGCCTTCTCACTGTGTCTTCATGTGGCTTTTTCTCTGTGTGCAAGGACTCCTGGAGTCTCTTCCTCTTCTTACATAGACACCAGTCTTGTTGGATTAAGATCCCACTCTAACGACCTCATGTAAGCTTAATTACCTCCTTAACAATCCTGTCTCCGAATATAGTTACCCTGGGGGTTAGAGCTTCAACATATACATTTGGTGGGGAACACAATTTGGTCTATAATAGCCTGACACCATCAGACCACCAGTTTTCAACATTAAGCCTTCCAAGGACTATAACAGTAATAACGCACATTAAGTTGGCATTTCTACTTGCCGGATCTGTGCTAAGTGCTTTTACATGCATGATTACCTGTATTATTATCCCTACTTTGCCATTGGGAAACAAGCTCAGCATGTTATCTGCC
This sequence comes from Homo sapiens, assembly GCF_000001405.40. Taxonomy (NCBI): domain Eukaryota; kingdom Metazoa; phylum Chordata; class Mammalia; order Primates; family Hominidae; genus Homo; species Homo sapiens. The sequence continues at coordinate 53,806,720 of NC_000004.12, forward strand.
AAACCTCACAGCTGATGGCAAAACCAGGCTCTAAACACAGGAGGTCTGATGCCAAACTCAAAGTTCTTAATCACTACTGAGGTAGTAGCCGCAAGCCCCGGCTACCACTCTTGGTTTTTGTTGTTGTTGTTATCAGCATATACGTAGTTTTTATTCTTTTATGTAGCGGCATACCATTACATTTTATGAATGTGACATAATACAAATAGGCGTTGTCCCTCTATTGTTGGAAATTTAGATTGTTTCTAGGTTTTACTTTTCTATTGTGTATATTTAAGGTGTACAACATGATGTTTTGATATACTACATAGTAAAATGGTTATCATAGTTAAGCAAATTAGCATATCCTCATCTCATATAGTTACTTACTTTTTCTCGTGCTAAGAAGCACCTAAAATTTACTCTGTTAGCAAATTTTCAGTATACACTTCAATATTATTAACTACAGTCCTCATGCTTTGCATTAGATCTCTAGACTTTTTCATCCTACCTAACTTCAACTTTGTACCTCATGTCCTCCCCTTTACTCCTGGTAACCACCAATCTACTCTTTGTTACCATGTGTCCAACTCTTTTTTTAAAGATTCCACATATGAATGAGATCATACAGTATTTGTCTTTCTGTGTCTGGCTTATTTCACTTACCGTAATGTCGTCCAGGTTCATCCATGTCACAAATGGCAGGATCTCCTCTTTCAAGCCTTTTTCAAGACTGAATAATGTGTGTGTGTGTGTGTGTGTGTGTGTGTGTATTACAATTTATTTGTGTATTCACCTGTTGATGGACACTTCCATTATTTTTATGTCATAGCCATTGGGAATAATGCTGCAGTGAATGTGGGAGTGCAGATGTCTCTATTAGGTGCTGATTTCATTTGGGTTTCAACTCAGAAGAGGGATTGCTGTGTCATATGGTAGTCCTAGCTTTAATTGTTTTTAGGAACTTCCGTGTTGTTTTGCATAATGGTTCTATCAATTTACATTCCCACCAACAGTGTACAAGGGTTCCCTTTTCTTCACATCTTTAACAACATTTGATATCTCTTGCCTTTTTTATGATAGCCATCCTAATAGGCATGGAATGACATCTCTTTGTGGTTCTGATTTGTATTTCCCTGATGATTAGTGATGCTGAGCACCTTTTCATATACTTGTTGGCCATTTTTATGTGTTCTTTGGGGACATGTCTATTCAGGTCCTTTGCGCATTTTTTAATTAGGTCTTTTTTTTTTTTTTTTTTTTGCTATTGAGGTGCACGGGCTCCTTATATATTTTGGATATTAACCCCTGAACAGATAGATACATGATTTATAAATATTTTTTCCCAATTCATAGGTTGCTTTTTAATGTGGTTGTTTCATATGCTGTAAGAAACTTTTAGTTTGATGTAGCCCCACTTGTTTATTTTTGCTTTTGTTGTCTGAGTTTTTGGTATGATGTTCAAAAAACCATTGCTGAAGCCAATGTCAAGGAGCTTTTCCTTTATGTTTTCTTCTAGGACTTTTATGATATCAGGTCTTACATTTACATCTTCAATCCATTTTGAGCCGACTTTTGAGTATGCTATAAGACAAGGATCTAATTTCATTTCATTCTTTTGCATATGAAGATCCAGTTTTCCCAGCACCATTTATTGAAGAGACTATCCTGTCCCAAGGGGTCTTCTTGATGCCCTTGTCAAAAATTAGTTGACCATATTTGCCTGAATTTATTCTGAGCTCCCTATTCTGTTCCTAGCACCCTTGTTTTTTCGACCAACTACATATGGGCTTCCATGGTACTGCATCTCTTTGGCTTTTTTTTAAAGATGAAATAGAGATGGGAATTGAAAAAAATGGAGTAGAGTAGAGAGAGAAATGCAAGATTATATTCATAGATATTCATTGAGTGTTTACTAGATATAGTCCATGGCCTCTACTTCCAAACCTCTAGAAGCTTCTGCTGGAGGGAGTTCTGTTCTAATCATCATCAGGAAGATTTTGGAAATCAAAGAAGTTATTCTGAGATAGTTTCATAGTATCAGAACAGCCCTTCTATTCCATGAAAGACAGAGGGCTTGAGTGTCACTAATCACTGAATTCCCCATGCCGGGCACAGGGCCTGATTCATGTTGGCTCTCAGTAAATATGTAAGAAAGGAGTTCATGAATCAGGATACATGCCCTTTGGTGTTTCCTGGGTAGATAGAGCCTTCTTTCTTATGGTTTAGAGCAGGCATCCCCAACCCCCGGGTCACAGACCAGTACCAGTCCATGCCCTGTTAGGAACCTGGCCACACAGCAAGAGATGAGTGGCAGGCAAGCAAGTGTTATTGCCTGAGCTCTGCCTCCTGTTGGATCAGCAGTGGCATTAGATTCTCAAAGAAGCAAGAACCCTACTGTGAACTGCACACGTTCACGATCTGGGTTGCGTGCTCCTTATGAGAAGCTAATGCCTGATGATCTGAGGTGGAACAGTTTCATCCCAAAACAATTTTCCTCCACTCTGGTTTGTGGAAAAATGTCTTCCATGAAATTGGTCCCTGGTGCCAAAAAGGTTGGGGACTCCTGGTTTAGAACAACCATATATACCTTGTTGTTCGACCCTAAAGTTAAGAAAACCTTAATCCATTTGCCACCCGTTTAAGATGTCAGAGAAAATTTTGCTAAGATTACATTAGCTACTTATTGTTTTGGAAAACTTGGAGAAATTGGAGAAAATAAAACAAATTAAGGTTGGCAAGCTTAATCTATTAGCTTCCAAATCAAGTCTTTGTTTAAACAGGACATAATCACAAGATAGCCACATTCATTTTAACCACACCCTGAGTAAAGATAAATTACTTTTAGCTCTTCTACCATCTGGAACATAACGGGAAAAGGCAACACAAGTGAATTTTCAAAAGCAATGATTTTTTTAGCTGTAGAGAAACTAGTTGCAGAGAAATTAGAGTAGTACATATTCTGCAAAACAGTCAAATTTTGGTAAAGTTTTAAGACAGACATAAAGAATGCTGAGTCAAGCGGCTTCCTAGGTTTAAGAATTCAACCTTGCAGATTGGCAGAGACCATGGCTTGTGTCTCAGCTCCAGCAAATCCACCAAAGGGATGTGCTGAAGGGGCAAGAACTAGGTTTCCTCCAAAACAGGTTCCTACCTCCCTCCCACTGGGGACCCCTGAAACAATGCTTCTGGGTCTTTATGGGACATGTTTGGGCTGGAGTGTGATCATAGGATCAGTATCAGCTTAACATGTACTACTCACTTACAGCATTTCAGCAACATGCTGAGCTCTTGGCATCTTTGTCTTACCAAGTCCACCAGAACCACAACACAGTGTGACTCAGTTGAAAATAGGGCGTAACTGAGATATAAACCCTTCTCTTGCTTTGCAATGACAGCTAACATTTATTGAGAATTTCCCGTGTGCCAGGCCCTGTTCTGAACACATCACAGGTCACTATCCTAACTGAACAGTGGAGGACACGGGAATATGTGTTGGTTAATGTGTCTTATTTGTTCCAGGTTATGCAATTAGTAATAGATGGTACCAAAATTCATACTTGGGCAGTCTGGCTCTAGAGCCTGGGGTATTAGCCTCTGCACCTCTTCTCACCAATCTGAAATGGAACTTGGCTACATAGAGAAATATGCCCAGTGTCCTCCTCACCTTAACCAACAACAGAATCTGGGATCTGAAAGGAGCCACAGAAGTTCCCTTGGTTTTGCCCTTGGCCACAACCCAGAGAAGGTGTTATTATCCATAGTGAAATAGCCAAGGTTCTTGGGTTAAAAAAAAATTGGCCCAAGTTTATTTAACCAAGAAATGGTGACTGAATCAACAAGCATGTATTATGTGTGTGTTCAGCTTGGTGAGTCTGGCAGGCTGTAAGTCAGAAGAAGCCCCATGGCTTAAGGGGGCCTCCTCACTGGGCTCTGTGTGTACCACCCCAGGCTGAGGCCGCAGTTCTGTAGGAGCCTGGCTCTGTCGCGCAGGACTCCCAGGACCTTGCACACAGCTTGTTTGCTGGTGGTTATGCTAAAGCACTAGCCTGGGCCATTGGGAAGCTGGGAGGCTTCCCTGTACACAGGCCCAGCCCCTATCTGTGAGCTGAGCACAGGACTACTGCTAACATCCTCGCTGACAACCTGCTTCTAGAAAGTACATTAGGGAAATGGCCCTATGGGCCTGGCTGGGTTAGGAGGACCCCTACAGATAGGAGCCAGGTTAGAAATGACCAGGGAACCAATGGGTCAGCCCTCAACAGGACTTGGTGGGAAGGATGTCAGAGCCAAGTCTTGCTTTTGTTTGGCATGAAGTGAAAAGGCTAAAGGAGACTCCATTGTGGGGTACTGAAAGTGATCCACTAGGGAAACTGACTAGGTTCCCTGGAATTTGGGGAAACTGGTGTTCCCACCTGAAATGTTGAAAGGCATGTGTGGCATGGATTAGCAGTTTGCCTGAGAAAGGCGGGTGCTTGCAAAGTTTGGGATGGGCAGGTCAACCACGCATTTATGTTTCCCAGGCCAAATGTGGACTCTAAGGAAGGAAGCTGGTGGTGGATCATCTCTAGAGGGATCTTGCACAAGAAGGCCTCCTGGAAGAGTGAGGTGACCCCAACAGAGAATCAACAAGAAGCCAGAGACTGGGGCTTTGCCGGGGGCAATTGCAGCCAGGCGAAGGAGGCATTGCCTCAAAGGAATCTTAGGTGGGAAATCCTCAGTGCTGGGGGGCTTCCAAGGAACCCAGAAGGAGAATGAGCTTTCAGGCATGCAGCATAGAGAAGCCCCTAATGCTAAACTGTGATGACACATTTGCCCTTTTCCTCTAATTCCTTCAAATTCCTCACTCCCCACACCCCATCCGGCCCCGTAGGAGAAAACAGTACCTAGAAGTGGACAAAATATGGAGAGGAAGGGAGAAGAAAATGACCATGTCCTCCTCCACTGCAGGCCCCTTTGCTGGAGAAGGATTGGATTCTCATTGAAGGAGAGTTCAGAGTTTTAACACTGGATAGAAGTGGACCTTTTTATATCTGAAAGTGACTAAAAAATCTGCCTCAGGTTTTACCCAATGGAAAGTGAAAACAATTCAGGTCTTCAGAGTGACTGATGGATAATCATGAGAAGGAAAAGATGCTCTCCAGTTAGAATTTTTTTTTTTTTTTTTGAGAAGAGGCCTTGCTCTGTCACTCAGGCTGGAGTGCAGTGGCATGACGTCAGCTCACTGCAGCCTCCACCTCCCAGTTTCAAATGATTCTCCTGCCTCAGCCTCCCGAGTAGCTGGGATTATAGGCATCTGCCACCACACCCAGCTAATTTTTGTATTTTTAGTAGAGACAGGGTTTCACCATGTTGGCCAGGCTGGTCTCGAACTCCTGACCTGAGGTGATCTGCTGGCCTTGGCCTTCCAAAGTGCTGGAATTACAGATGTGAGCCACTGCACCCAGACTCCAGTTAGAATTTTTGATGTTGAATTCATTCCATTGCACATATACATATAACACACACACACACACACACACACACACAACACCCCTCTTTTTCCACAAGAACAAGGAAGTTCAAAAAGGCAGGTTGGTGCTACATGGTTCAAAAATGATGTCATATTATAATAGCTGTAGGAGAAAGGCAGGTCTACCCAGAATGAAGCAAATACTAAGATTACTTCTTGGGTTCTCTGGAGAAAGATCATGGCCATATGTCAAGAATCTGTCATTAAAGAGTCAACACATGACAAGTACACAGAAGATGGGGGGATGATACTTGGGAATAGAAACCCAGGCTGAAAACTCAGTGTGATCAATGTGGGGCCAAGTGTCCATTTTGTAATAGATGATCAATTATGTCATGATCTTTAGTGGACATTTTGTGGGTTCTCATGGTGTCCTTAGAACCATCAGAACATACAAGTAGTGTTTCAAATAATAAGCGTTTCCATCACCTGAGTGGAATTTCTTACACTCTCATAAAATATGATCAGGTTGCCTTCTCTTAAAAGATTATTCTCCACAGAATAGATATTTTTTGTAGTCACAGGGCCCAAATTTTCTAACAGAGCCTGTTTTCTAACAGAATCTCTATTTTGAGACTGTAGAAAGATGTGTGTAATGGAGCAGAATCAATGTCATCATCTATGACCTAGCTGATTAGTATTGGATGGTAGGTTGCCTTTCACTGTGCTTGGGGATGCCTTAGAGAACTTTTTGTAGCCAGCTCTTAAAATGCTTTGTACGTTTTAGGATTAAACATTTTTAGATTGCACACACAGTCCTAAAACAAAGGAAAACCTATTGCTTAAACAATGTCTGAAGTTTAGTATAATACTAGACCTTATGTATTAAGTACAAACTAAGAAATGTCAAATACAGAACCTCAAATAAGATGAAATTTTATTTCTTTCTTATGTGAAAGTCCAGACTGAAGCAGGTAGTCTTGGGTGGGCAGATGGTTCTGATCCACCAGCTCATCCAGGCACCCAGGCTTGGGATCTCTACCCTCCTCAATGTGTGGCTTCCCTTTCTGGGTGTAAAAATGCTGCCCCAAATGCCACTGCCACCAGTTCCCAGTGGTTAGGAGATGACCCAGATGTTGCATGCATCACTCCCTTTCACATTCTATTGGCCCAAATGTGATCACAAGGCCACACGAAGCTGCAAATAAGACTGTGCGATATGGTCTGTCACCGGGCACCCATGGACCCAGCTGAAACACATGACTTCTGTTACTAAATGAAAAATGAGGCCAGGTGTGGTGGCTCATACCTATAATCTCAGTACTGTGGGAGGCTGAGAAGGGCAGATCACTTGAGGTCAGGAGTTTGAGACAAGCCTGGCCAACATGGTGAAACCTGTCTCTACTAAAAATACAAAAATTAGCCAGTCATGGTCGTGGGCACCTGTAATCCCAGCTACTCAGGAGGCTGAGGAAGGAGAATAGCTTGAACCTGAGAGGTGGAAGTTGCAGAGAGCCGAGATCGCAGACTGCACTCCAGCCTGGGTGAAAGAGCAAGACTCTGTCTCAAAAAAAAAAAAAAAAAAAAAAAAGGAAAATGAGAGAATGGATACAGGGAGTAGTGGGGGGTAACAGAAGTCACTTTTATTTCTCAGTAATTATTGGAAAGAAATTGACTGTGTAATTTCTTTTAACAAGAATTTTTCCTGCTGGTTAGGGGCATAGCAAAAAAATAAAAATTAAAAAGAAACCAAGAACGTATTGAATGCTTCTTGAGTGCTAGTATCCTAGTTTTCCCCTGGAGAGATCCTCCTGAAAAAGAGGACTTTATTAGTAGGATACCTTTAAAAGGAAAATTCTAATGTATTTTAAAATAAGCTAACTTCACAGGACTGTCCCTAACATATTCATTTCTTTGCTGGAAATCATAGCAGAGAAAAACCCTTTCTCTTTTCACCTGGCATCAATTAAATGTAAATGTCTTGAACGCTCACAGATGATATGGCATAGGATGAGCTCATGGTGATGTATAAGCTGGCGTAATACTCACTAGGTGCTAGAAACCGAGCCATTTTGGTCTGGCAGGAAAAATATGCCAGGACTGCAAGTGATTGTCACGAGGCCCTTTGCTGTTTGTCATTCTCTCCTCATTTTCATACTGCACATTTAGTCCTACCCAAAATAAATACTTTACAGTTGTCCTTTAGAAGCAGAGGGAGCTCTGGGCTGGGAGGCAGAAGCCCCAGGGTTGATAATAAGCTCGGCTGCAAATAGTTGGTATGACCCTGAAGAAATAACAAACAGGGCCTGGGTTTCTGTTCACTAATTCATCCTGCGAACATGTATTTGTCACTTGCTGTGCAGATTCTGTACTAAGTCTATGGAGGTATCCTTCATCTCTCCCCTTCTTGGACTCTTTATGATGCTCTATGTATCCCAGTCTCCATGGGCCATAGAAATGTGGCTACAATCTCATCACATACACAAACCAAACAAACATCCGCAGCATTGCTGTTTGCAGCAGAGATTGCTGATTCTCTCCCACTACGCATTCTCCTGTTCCTCTATTGTAATAGAAGCCCTGATCTTCTGTTGGGCACAAGGCAAACTCTTCAATCCTACTTGTTAGCTACAGGTGTGCATGCATCAAGTTCTGGCCAATAAGATGTGAGTGGAAGCAATATGTGCAACTTCCACGTTATGTTCTGAAAAACAAGAGATGTGCCCTCCCATTCCTTTTCCTCCTTCCTGCTGGCTGGGAGGCAGGCATGGGCCAGGGTCATCTTGGACCAAGTAGAAGAGGGCAATATCCAAGGGTGGCAATGAAACAAGATGGAAGAAACCTTATACCCTGTATTAGTATTCTATTTCTCTGTAATAATCTATCCTAAAATGTAGCAACTTATAAAAACATTTATGATCTCACAGTTTCTTTTAGTCTGGAATCTGAGCACGGCTCTACTGGGTGCCCTGGCTCAGGGTTTCTCACCAGGATGCAATCAAGCCATTGGCCAGGGCTGCTGTAGGTCAATGCTCAAGTTGGGGAGGATCCACTTCCAAGGTCATTGGTGTGACTGCTGGGAGCCCTCGAACCCCAGCTGGACATTGATGTCTTATCACTTCTGCCACATAAAGTTGGTTAGAAGGTCCCACCCACATGTGAGGTGATTATGCAAGGCCATGAACACCAGGAAGAGAGGTCTGGGAAGCCACTGCAGAGGCTGTGCACTGTACATGCTCCCTCCCATAGCTGGTCTGCTTATGCCACAACTGTTAAAGGAAAGTGAAATAAACAACCGTCTTCTTTAAAGTAGGGTCTGCATTAGAGCAGCCAACGTTGTGTTCTAATTGATGCAGTGCCAGATTTGTTTAATTCTGTGAAACATTTGTCCAGTTATTGAGGCCCTTGTAATAGGCATTTTCTGGAATATCTGCCAAGCGAAATCACTTTCTCTGAAAACTGCCTCCCTTCCTCCTCCTATACCTCACCTCCCCTATCTGAGGACTTCTGTGGCATTTTTGTAATTTAACAAAACTGCTTGTCGCCATCTAATGAAAGAAAGGGTAAAATGCTGACTTCAGGTGGGCCAAATCTGTCACTCAGGAATCTGGAATTGGGATCCAGAAACCCTGGTCAGTGTCTCTCGTGAGAACTGGACATCGTGTGACATTAGGACGGGGTCTGCATGTGCGTGGGAAAGCGAGCAAGCCAGTATGCAGAGAGAAGGAAGAGACAGAGGTGCCGAGAAGCCTTCAGAGTGGGCTTGCTTCACAGCATCCCATTCCAGGCCCTGCTGAAGCCCAGCTCTGGCCCAGGTATGGAGATGCCTCTGCCCAACTCCACACATATGTCCTCATCGCCCCCTTGTTTTCATTTAAACCCGTCTAAGTGGGCTTTGGGTGTTTGAAATTAATCTCTAAGAAAGGCCTTTAGTGTTTTGAGTTTTCAACACCTAACCTCAACATCATCTCACCCAGCTCCTAGCATCCTGTGAGCTCTCCTACATCTCCTCCCCTGAAAAAAAAAAGTCACAAAATCTTGCTGGAAAACACGTGGGGCAGGATCAACAGGGCCTACTGAAAAGAAACGTGCAAGGGTGGACGCAGCATGGATAGATATCTGTGATCTGACATCAGTTTGTTGGAGGTCAGGAGGAGGAGATGCTTTGGTGCCATTAGGTGACAAAGATTCAAAAATGTCATCCCCTCTTGCCTCAATCCCCTGTGCACTCACATGCTACTTGTATGGCCCCAAAACAAGGAACTCCACAGCCTTGTTACTGAGCTGTTAGAAACAGCCCCCAACTCTGTGAGTTGACCCCTACCCCTTCCCTGGAGTGGCTTTGCTTTTGGGTTTTCTAATGTCACTCCAAGAGACAGAGTCTCTGCTCAGAGATAGCATCTTTCTCCACGCATGCCCTCCACGTGCTACTCTCCATCTGGATTGTTTACTTCGGAATCCAGGCCAGGGTGCTGGGGATGGTTGTATTTCTTGAGTGGAATTCTGCACTCCCCGTCTGGAGTCACACTCTGCATTCTTTCGATGCCTCCTCTGAGCTGGAAGGTCATTTTGCAGCAAAGCTATTGGCTGCACAAGCTCATGGAGGCCTCACACCAGACCTTGTCCCAGCAGCCGACCCTCTGGTATGGAGGGAGGTGGAGTGGGATGTGGTAAACAGGAAGACAGCAAACCCCGACTTGGACTGGGGAGCAGGAAACATCAGCCACCACGCTCAGCCCTGTGCCCCGATCACAACCTCCTGGGGTTGCAGTGCCTCCCGGGCTGGTGGAAGGATTGTTCTCAGCAGCTTGGGATTGTCAATGCAGCAGGAAGAATTTTATCCTAAGATGCCACCTCAAAAATGTCATGGCTTCTGAGTCTGGTGTGACAGATGGATAGACAGATGGAGGAAAATAGGACAAGGGAGAGTCAGAGGGAGAGAGCAGTTGAGTGCTGGGCCTGTACCCCCAACTCATATTCTAAACTGCTGCCTGTCCCCACCTTATCTCCAATCTCTCCCCACCCAGCTGCATTTTGCTATTTCTACAACTTCTAACATACTATACTTACTTTTATTATCAGACTCTCCATACTAGGATGTAAGCTCTTTGAGGGCAGGGAATCTTCGTTCACTGATAAGGAGCCTAACAGTACCTGGTACATGCAGCCATTCAACAAATATTTGTTGAATAAGTGGAAGGATGGATGGATGGATGGATGGATGGATGGATGGATGGATGGATTTCCCTAGGGATGCTTTTAGCAATTTCCCTACCATATTTCTTTTACTATTTTCCTGCTGTTTTTCAAACTGGGAATGCCCTCGCCCAACCCCACAAATCAGCCTGTTCATCTCTCAAATGCCAGCTCCAATGCCACTCCTGCAGTATGGCCTTGTGGTTAAGAGCCACCACTGCAGGGTTCAAATCCCCACTCCTCTGCTTGTTCACTGTGTAGGCTTCAGTTTACATACCTAATGGGATTATCACAAAGACAAAATAACATCATGTCCAAACCATGTTTAATTAACACATGCCCCCTAATGTTCCCAGTTAGGTACCATCTCTCCCTCCTTTGAGCATGCATGTTACATTGAGTCTCTCTTAGGAACTCTTCACATTTTCTTTTGTATCCTAGCTATTCTTGTACATGTAGTATTTTCCTTGACAGAAGGCTCCTTCTGATACAGTGCTTTTTTAAATACATATTCTTAAACACCCTCCTTGAGTATTTTTATCTGCAGCATTTTAACAAAGAAACATCAAAGCACAGGAGTGAATGTGCTGGGAAGAAGGAGTAGGGGAGAGATTACTATTCTGAGGATGAATGAGGCATTGGGAGGGCTTGGAGGATGGGATGCAGAAACACGCAATCAAAAAAACAGTCACCCAATACAGCATTTCATGTCATGAGCTGCAACTTCATAGAAGTTTTCAGAGCCCATGCATAGGAATCATCCGTCTCCTATGAATCAGAAGCCCCCAGTTCAAAGGAAGCTGGTGAAGAAGCAAGAGTCAGCCCCAGAACCGAGGCAGCAAAGAGTTGGCTTCTGAAGAAAAGGACCTGCCCCTTTCTGTTGCGGGAATCTCCTACAAAGTCATTCGTGATAAACACTGGTGTGTTTCTGCAATCTGGCTTTTATCCCTTCAAAGGTTCCTGAATGGGAGCAATTACCAGAGATGGGGAAGCCAAGAAAACACACTGTGAGTATAAACAGCTTGACAGGACATTTATACAGAGAATTCAGAACAGAGTCCTCATTCCCAAGCGTGGTACAGGCCAGAGGGGAGATTTTTAGAGCAAGAGACACCCATCTTTTGTCTTCTTTCTAGGAAGTGTTCTTCTGTCAGGTATGAAGAGTCTTGGTTGAGTTTCAGCAAAAGGATTGGGTGACTAATTGGGATCACAGGGTAGCAGTGCACCGAGGAACCTAACCACTGTCCTCACTCAGGACCACTGAAGCTCTTTTATAGGAAACAGAAAGGAAGAAGTCATAACTGTTTTCCCCAACTTCATTGAGATGTAATTGAAAAACCCCAGCCCCTGGTAGCCACCATTCTACTCTCTACTTCTATGAATTTGACTATTATTTAAATTTCACCTATGAGTGAGATTATGCAATATCTGTTTTACTGCATCTGGTTTATTTCACTTAGCATAAGGTCCTCCAGGTTCTTCCATGTTGTTACAAATGACAGGATTTTCTTCTTTTTAAAGGTTAAGTGATATTCCATTATGCACACACACACACACACACACACACACACACACACACTCCACATCACATTTTCTTTATTGAGAGGACAGATTAATCATCCAGGAAATGTAAACCAAAATCACAATGAGGGTTGGGGGTAGTGGCTCACACCTGTCATCCCGGCACTTTGGGAGGCTGAGACAGGGGCATTACTTGAGGCCAGGATTTCGAGACCAGCCTGGCCAATATGGTGAAACCCTACCTCTACTAAAAATAAAAAATATATACAAAAATTAGCCAGTCATGGTGGCACACACCTGTAGTCCCAGCTACTCGGGTGGCTGAAGCACAAGAATTGCTCGAATCTGGAAGACAGAGGCTTCAGTGAGCCTAGATCACGCCACTGCCCTCCAGCCTGGGTGACAGAGCAAGACTCCATCTCCAAAACACACACACACACACACACACACACACACAGTGAGATATCACCTTACAACTGTTAGAATGACTATTTCTAACAGAAAGACAAAAGATAACAAGTGTTGGCGAGGATGTGGAGAAAGGGGAACCCTTGTACACTGTTGATGGGAATGTACATTGATATGACCTAACCTTTGAAAGCTGAATGAGCCAACCTGACTTCACTGGATGATGCGTGGTCAGGATTCAATGATTATAGATCTAATCCTCAGTTTTCTCCTTCCTGTGTGCCAGGCAGGCAGGATCTTCTGTCCTAGAAAAGGTTTATAAAGGTCTCAGGGTTCATACGTAAGAGTTTATGCCTCAGAGGCAGGCTGACTTGAGATAGAACCACGGATCTGCTGTCTACTGTTAGACCTGGCAAGCACCCGGCCTTGTTAAGGCTTACTTTCTCTTTCTCTGAAATGGGAATAAAGTTAGTATGCACCTCGCTGGGATTATCTTTAGGAATAATAAAGAAATAAGCAGAATTCCAGGCTGCCAAATGCCCTCCGTGAAGTTTAGCTCTTATGATTATTATTAAAACATGAAATCTACATTCTGCGGAGGAAGAGGAAGGGGCTGTCATGTCAGAGAAGGGAGAGGAATTGGTTCTTAGAATCCAAGTAGAATGAGTCTCTTGAAGCCACATATCTAGCTTTGCTTTTTGAAAAGAATATTAGAACTTTTCAGGGGTGATAGATCTGTTCACTATATGGACTGTAGTAATTGTTTCAGAGTTGTATACATATGTCAAAACTTATCAAATTTGTACTATTTTATTTTATTTTTTGGAGACAAAGTCTCTCTATGTTGCCCAGGCTGGAGTACAATGGCACGATCACAGCTCACTACAGGCTTGACCTCCCAGACCCAAACAATCCTCCTACCTCAGCCTCCCCAGTAGCTGGGCCCATAGGTGTACACTAGCATGGCTGGCTAATTTTTAAAATTTTCATAGAGACAGGGTTTCCCTTTGTTACCCAGGCTGGTCTTGAACTCCTGGGCTCAAACTATCCTCCCATCTTGGCCTCCCAAGGTGCCTGGATTACATGTGTGAGCCACCATGCTGGGCCAAAACTTGTTAAATTATAGACTTTAAATGTGTGCAATTTATTGTATTTTGGTTACACTTAAATAAAGCTGTTTAAAAATTATCTTTTAGAACAGCAAGGAAATGGAGACCATAATGATAATGATTTTCAGGCAGGTGATTACAAGGGTCTGAGCACATGAATAAATGAACACTCACATATGAAGAAATACTGATCACACATGACCATTCCTTACAATTTTCTTAATATCCCTCCTTTCTCTCCCCCTTCATCTACCCAGAGTCTTCCACATGTAAGCCCCAGATCAAGTCCCACCTCCTCTCAAAAGCCTTCACTGACACCTTATTGCAATTGTACCTGTCTATGTCTTAACACATATACATTGTAATTTCTCAAATAATGCCTCCAGACTTCTGATGAGCTCTTGTTCTATTATTTAGATTGTTTAACTTGTCATATGTTTGTGGTGATGTTAAGTTTTGAAAAAAAATAGGAGACTCTTCTTTTGTGATTGAGCACATAGGACTTGATAAATACGTTCCCATTGAAAGACAAAATTTAGAGTTCTATGTCCTAGACTTGACTCTCATCACCACAAACTTCAAGGGATGATCCCCAACATTCTATTGGATAGAAACTTTGATGGTATCAAAGACTCCTTGACACGAGCAGGCCATCGGCTGAGGCTTGACTGTTTATCACTTGTTTAAATATGAAGATTTTGTTTTAATTGTATTTGTTGTTCATAATGGCTTTTCATCCACAACTGTACAACTAAAGGGTCTGACTTGAGAAACCCAAAAGCCTATTTTGAAAGCAGCAGAGTTTAAAACTCTTCTTCCAGTTCCTTCCACATTTGAACAGGATAGTTCTAAGTCCCAGCCAAGCTTGGGCCCTGGAACACAGGGTGCCTGGGAAAAGCTACCCAACACCATCGAGGTGGCCACCCTGATCTTATTCCATTATCCTAAGCCCTTTCGTTTTTGTTTGTTTGTTTTTAGCTCCCCTGGAAGTCTAATGGAGTCAGATATCACATCTCCTAGAAAAGGAATGACATTTATAACCCCCTTCTGCTCCTGCAAATGGAGGGGTTATCTTGGGATTTTGCCCATCAGCGGCTCTCCAGAATCTCAGGCGGCTTCTTAGCCTGGTGCACTCGGAGTCAGCTCCAAGCCTGGAGGTTTAGCATCCAGGTAGCCTCAGACCTGATCATAAGGCCCACAGTTGAGAGTTAGCAGGACAGCCCTAAGTATCCTCTTCCTGTTTCAGAGGGTTGCTGGCAAGTTTCTGAAAACCTGCAGCTTTTTTATGTCTTTAATGCTGGGCTCTTTGCCATCATTCATTTCAGGACTAGAGGTAGCCCTGTTTAATATTAGGCTGCTCCGCCCACCCCCGCCACCACCCGAATAAGAAAGGATGGGCTCCATCATGTTTAGTGCCTGCCAAGACAGTGGTGTCACTGGGGATGGTCACAGGGATGCACCCTGGGGAAGGAGCCAGCAAGGTTTTGCTTTTCTGGTGTCAGAGGGAAGACAAAGAGCAGCTTTTTGGGTAGGAACTGAAAAAAAAAACAGGAATATTTAGAATATTTAGGAGGGCATGCTCTTTTTCCAAAATGGTCTTTGTGGCTTTGTTTTTCTATTATTAAATAATTATTCTTGCTGAATGAATTGTTTACATTAGCATTTCTTAAACTGGGTTCCATTGTGTCAGTAGGTATTCCTTCAAAAAAAGATGTAGGCAGAGAATTCCATTATCAAAACAGTTCAGAAAATAAAGGTCTGGAGAGCAAGGGCTCTAAGGACCAGCTATAGGGATTGGTGAAAGCTTACAGTGGTCATAAGGAAGGTGGCATTGGAGCCAGGCCTGATTCAGACCAGGCAGGGAGAAGGTTGCAGGTAAAAGGACCTATAGATAGGAAAATGAAAATGCTTAGGGAGAGATGAGACACCTCTGGCTTGGAGAGTTTAGTGCAGCCTAATTTTTATTTATGTAATTCCAAGAAAATGCCCTCTCTTCTCATTGCTTTCCGGGGAGACACAGCCAGCAGCCTCCTTGGGGCAGACACTGTCATTTGCCTCTCCAAAGCTCATACTTGCACGTGCACACACACACTTCTTCGCTGCAAGTAGAGCCTCAGTGTTTGTCTAGATGTCCCTCCCTCAGGTGGCGGGGGGCAGAAAAAACCCTCCCTCTGCTCCAAAAAGGTGATATTGGTTAGTCTAAGCCAATTATATTAATTCCTCTATCCTTGCCATGGATTGATTTGGGCATGGTTATGTAACCCAGCCCTAACAAATGGAACCTGAGGGATAATCTTAGGAATTCTGGAAGAGTTTTTCTTCATAATAAGTAAAGACAGACACCTGGGAGGAAATGCAGTTTTCTTTGTTA
This sequence comes from Homo sapiens, assembly GCF_000001405.40. Classification (NCBI taxonomy): domain Eukaryota; kingdom Metazoa; phylum Chordata; class Mammalia; order Primates; family Hominidae; genus Homo; species Homo sapiens. Next base: position 53,822,756 of record NC_000004.12, read on the forward strand.
GGTGTGGAATTTCTGCATGAAATTCTAGAAACTACTACAACCATCCAGCAATTTGGCGATGGATGGTGGGAGAAAGGGCAGACATTCTGAGCATGGCAGAACAGAAGGATGTAAAACACCTGGGCCTTTGATGACATAGTCATGCAGTCTAATTAACCGTGGAATCACTCTCTCTCTGGACTTGCTGTTAAGTGAGAGTATAAACTCCATTCAGCTTAGGCCACTTTTCATTGAGCCTTGGGCTCCTTGCAACTAGATATTTCATGAGCAGAGTTTCTCCCTTGATAGAACACATCTAACAACTTAACCATCGTGCTGCCCACCCATTCCTTGGGTAGACTCTTCAATTAGCCCCTTTGGATCGTAGAGTTTGGCCTTTCAGGCTGCCTCTGGCCAATGCCTTCCTCTGCTTTTCCCTTGTCCTCTCCATTGTCCATGTCCTGGTTCCCAGATAAACTTACAGAAGATCCCATACTTCTCAACTGTAAAAACAGGAAAAGTATCTCATCTCATGGGTATATCTAAAGAATTAAATGAGATCCTGATGAAAAGAGGTTAAGAGTGTCTGGCATGCAGTAAGTGGTCTACAAATTATAGTTTTAACAATGATAACGATAATAATTTTTAATTAAAATTAATAATTACTTTGGATTGACTAAGCTTACCTAATTCAGATATGGTCATTCAAATTTCAGTGGGGTATTGTTGTTGTTACCAAATCTAGTATAGCAGCAAGAAAAAGCAATAATATGTAACATTGGTACATTGCCTTATAATTGGATCTTTTTTTTTGCGATTGGTTAAATGCATTTTATTTTATCCATAATTTCTATTCCATATTTTTCTTTTTATTTATTTTATTATTCTTTTTATTTTATTTTATTATTATTATACTTTAAATTTTAGGGTATATGTGCAAAATGTGCAGGTTAGTTACATATGTATACATGTGCCATACTGGTGTGCTGCACCCATTAACTTGTCATTTAGCATTAGGTATATCTCCTAATGCTATCCCGCCCCACTCCCCCCACCCCACAATAGTCCCCAGAGTGTGATGTTCCCCTTCCTGTGTCGATGTGTTCTCATTGTTCAATTCCCACCTATGAGTGAGAACATGCGGGGTTTGGTTTTTTGTCCTTGCAATAGTTTACTGAGAATGATGATTTCCAGTTTCATCCATGTCCCTACAAAGGACATGAACTCATCATTTTTTATGGCTGCATAGTATTCCATGGTGTATATGTGCCACATTTTCTTAATCCAGTCTATCATTGGTGGACATTTGGGTTGGTTCCAAGTCTTTGCTATTGTGAATAGTGCTGCAATAAACATACATGTGCATGTGTCTTTATAGCAGCATGATTTATAATCCTTTGGGTATATACCCAGTAATGGGATGGCTGGGTCAAATGGTATTTCCAGTTCTAGATCCCTGAGGAATCGCCACACTGACTTCCACAATGGTTGAACTAGTTTACAGTCCCACCAACAGTGTAAAAATGATCCTATTTCTCCACATCCTCTCCAGCACCTGTTGTTTCCTGACTTTTTAATGGTCGCCATTCTAACTGGTGTGAGATGGTATCTCCCTGTGGTTTTGATTTGCATTTCTCTGATGGCCAGTGATGGTGAGCATTTTTTCATGTGGTTTTTTGGCTGCATAAATGTCTTCTTTTGAGAAGTGTCTGTTCATATCTTTTGCCCACTTTTTGATGGGGTTGTTTGGTTTTTTCTTGTAAATTTGTTTGAGTTCATTGTAGATTCTGGATATTAGCCTTTTGTCAGATGAGTAGGTGGCAAAAATTTTCTCCCATTTTGTAGGTTGCCTGTTCACTCTGATGGTAGTTTCTCTTGCTGTGCAGAAGATCTTTAGTTTAATGAGATCCCATTTGTCAATTTTGGCTTTGGTTTCCATTGCTTTTGGTGTTTTAGACATGAAGTCCTTGCCCATGCCTATGTCCTGAATGGTAACACCTAGGTTTTCTTCTAGGGTTTTTATGGTTTTAGGTCTAACATGTAAGTCTTTAATCCATCTTGAATTAATTTTTGTATAAGGTGTAAGGAAGGGATCCAGTTTCAGCTTTGTACATATGGCTAGCCAGTTTTCCCAGCACCATTTATTAAATAAGAAATCCTTTCCCCATTGCTTGTTTTTCTCAGGTTTGTCAAAGATCAGATAGTTGTAGATATGCAGCATTATTTCTGAGGTCTCTGTTCTGTTCCATTGATCTATATCTCTGTTTTGGTACCAGTACCATGCTGTTTTGGTTACTGTAGCCTTCTAGTATAGTTGGAAGTCAGGTAGTGTGATGCCTCCAGCTTTGTTCTTTTGGCTTAGGATTGACTTGGTGATGCAGGCTCTTTATTGGTTCCATATGAACTTTAAAGTAGTTTTTTCCAATTCTGTGAAGAAAGTCATTGGTAGCTTTATGGGGATGGCATTGAATCTATAAATTACCTTTGGCAGTATGGCCATTTTCCCGATATTGATTCTTCCTACCCATGAGCATGGTATGTTCTTCCATTTGTTTGTATCCTCTTTTATTTCATTGAGCAGTGGTTTGTAGTTCTCCTTGAAGAGGTCCTTCACGTCCCTTGTAAGTTGGATTCCTAGGTATTTTATTATCTTTGAAGCAATTGTGAATGGGAGTTCACTCATGATTTGGCTCTCTGTTTGTCTGTTGTTGGTGTATAAGAATGCTTGTGATTTTTGTACATTGATTTTGTATCCTGAGACTTTGCTGAAGTTTCTTATCAGCTTAAGGAGATTTTGGGCTGAGACGATGGGGTTTTCTGGATATACAATCATGTCATCTGCAAACAGGGACAATTTGACTTCCTCTTTTCCTAATTGAATACCCTTTATTTCCTTCTCCTGCCTAATTGCCCTGGCCAGAACTTCCAACACTATGTTGAATAGGAGTGGTGAGAGAGCACATCCCTGTCTTGTGCCAGTTTTCAAAGGGAATGCTTCCAGTTTTTGCCCATTCAGTATGATATTGGCTGTGGGTTTGTCATAGATAGCTCTTATTATTTTGAGATATGTCCCATCAATACCTAATTTATTGAGAGTTTTTAGCATGAAGGGTTGTTGAATTTTGTCAAAGGCCATTTCTGCATCTATTGAGATAATCATGTGGTTTTTGTCTTTGGTTCTGTTTATATGCTGGATTACATTTATTGATTTGCATATATTGAACCAGCCTTGCATCCCAGGGATGAAGCCAAGTTGATCATGATGGATAAGCTTTTTGATGTGCTGCTGGATTTGGTTTGCCAGTATTTTATTGAGCATTTTTGCATCAATATTCATCAAGGATATTGGTCTAAAATTCTGTTTTTTGGTTGTGCCTCTGCCCAGCTTTGGTATCAGGATGATGCTGGCCTCATAAAATGAGTCAGGGAGGATTCCCTCTTTTTCTATTGATTGGAATAGTTTCAGAAGGAATGGTACCAGTTCCTCCTTGTACCTCTGGTAGAATTCAGCTGTAAATCCATCTGGTCCTGGACTCTTTTTGGTTGGTAAGCTATTGATTATTGCCACAATTTCAGAGCCTGTTATTGGTCTACTCAGAGATTCAACTGCTTCCTGGTTTAGTCTTGGGAGGTTGTATGTGTCGAGGAATTTGTCCATTTCTTCTAGATTTTCTAGTTTATTTGCGTAGAGGTGTTTGTAGTATTCTCTGATGGTAGTTTGTATTTCTGTGGGATCGGTGGTGATATTCTCTTTATCATTTTTTATTGCGTCTATTTGATTCTTCTCTGTTTTCTTCATTAGTCTTGCTAGCAGTCTATCAATTTTATTGATGCTTTCAAAAAATCAGCTCCTGGATTCATTAATTTTTGAAGGGTTTTTTGTGTCTCTATTTCCTTCAGTTCTGCTCTGATTTTAGTTATTCCTTGCCTTCTGCTAGCTTTTGAATGTGTTTGCTCTTGCTTTTCTAGTTATTTTCATTGTGATGTTAGGGTGTCAATTTTGGATATTTCCTGCTTTCTCTTGTGGGCATTTAGTGCTATAAATTTCCCTCTACACACTGCTTTGAATGTGTCCCAGAGATTCTGGTATTTTGTGTCTTTGTTCTTGTTGGTTTCAAAGAACATCTTTATTTCTGCCTTCATTTCGTTATGTACCCAGTAGTCATTCAGGAGCAGGTTGTTCAGTTTCCATGTAGCTGTGTGGTTTTGAGTGAGTTTCTTTATCCTGAGTTCTAGTTTGATTGCATTGTGGTCTGAGAGACAGTTTGTTATAATTTCTGTTATTTTACATTTGCTGAGGAGTGCTTTACTTCCAACTATGTAGTCAATTTTGGAATAGGTTGGTGTGGTGCTGAAAAAAATGTATATTCTGTTGATTTGGGGTGGAGAGTTCTGTAGATGTCTATTAGGTCTGCTTGGTGCAGAGCTGAGTTCAATTCCTGGGTATCCTTGTTAACGTTCGGTCTCATTGACCTGTCTAATGTTGACAGTGGGGTGTTAAAGTCTCCAATTATTATTGTGTGGGAGTCTAAGTCTCTTTGTAGGTCACTCAGGACTTGCTTTATGAATCTGGGTGCTCCTGTATTGGGTGCATATATATTTAGGATAGTTAGCTCTTCTTGTTGAATTGATCCCTTTACCATTATGTAATGGCCTTCTTTGTCTCTTTTGATCTTTGTTGGTTTAAAGTCTGTTTTATCAGAGACTAGGATTGCAACCCCTGTCTTTTTTTGTTTTCCATTTGCTTGGTAGATCTTCTTCCATCCCTTTATTTTGAGCCTATTTGTGTCTCTGCACGTGAGATGGGTTTCCTGAATATAGCACACTGATGGGTCTTGACTCTTTATCCAATTTGCCAGTCTGTGTCTTTTAATTTGGAGCATTTAGTCCATTTACATTTAAAGTTAATATTGTTATGTGTGAATTTGATCCTGTCATTATGATGTTAGCTGGTTATTTTGCTCATTAGTTGATGCAGTTTCTCCCTAGCCTCGATGTTCTTTACAATTTGGCATGATTTTGCAGTGGCTGGTACCGGTTGTTCCTTTCCATGTTTAGTGCTTCCTTCAGGAGCTCTTTTAGGGCAGGTCTGGTGGTGACAAAATCTCTCAGTATTTGCTTGTCTGTAAAGTATTTTATTTCTCCTTCACTTATGAAGCTTATTTTGGCTGGATATGAAATTCTGGGTTGAAAATTCTTTCCTTCAAGAATGTCGGATATTGGCCCCCACTCTCTTCTGGCTTGTAGAGTTTCTGCTGAGAGATCTGCTGTTAGTCTGATGGGCTTCTCTTCGTCGGTAACCCGACTTTTCTCTCTGGCTCCCCTTAACATTTTTTCCTTCATTTCAACCTTGGTGAATCTGACAATTATGTGTCTTGGATCTGCTCTTCTCGAGGAGCATCTTTGTGGTGTTCTCTGTATTTCCTGAATCTGAATGTTGGTCTGTCTTGCTAGATTGGGGAAGTTTTCCTGGATAATATCCTGCAGAGTGTTTTCCAACTTGGTTCCATTCTCCCCGTCACCTTCAGGTACACCAATCAGATGCAGATTTGGTCTTTTCACATAGTCCCATATTTCTTGGAGGCTTTGCTCATTTCTTTTTATTCTTTTTTCTCTAAACTTCCCTTCTCGCTTCATTTCATTCATTTCATCTTCCATCACTGATACCCTTTCTTCCAGTTGATCCCATCGGCTCCTGAGGCTTCTGCATTCTTCACGTAGTTCTCAAGCCTTGGCTTTCAGCTCCATCAGCTCCTTTAAGCACTTCTCTTTATTGGTTATTCTAGTTATACATTCATCTAAATTTTTTTCAAAGTTTTTAACTTCTTTGCCTTTGGTTTGTATTTCTTCCTGTAGCTCGGAGTAGTTTGATCGTCTGAGGCCTTCTTCTCTCAACTCATCAAAGTCATTCTCCGTCCAGCTTTGTTCCATTGCTGGTGAGGAACTGCGTTCCTTTGGAGGAGGAGAGGCGCTCTGCATTTTAGAGTTTCCAGTTTTTCTGATCTGTTTTTTTCTGCATCTTTGTGGTTGTATCTACTTTTGGTCTTTGATGATGGTGATGTACATTTGGGTTTTTGGTGTGGATGTCCTTTCTGTTTGTTAGTTTTCCGTCTAACAGACAGGACCCTCAGCTGCAGGTCTGTTGGAGTTTGCTAGAGGTCCACTCCAGACTCTGTTTGCCTGGGTATCAGCAGCGGTGGCTGCAGAACAGCAGATTTTCGTGAACCGCGAATGCTGCTGTCTGATCGTTCCTCTGGAAGTTTTGTCTCAGAGGAGTACCCGGCTGTGTGAGATGTCAGTCTGCCCCTACTAGGGGGTGCCTCCCAGTTAGGCTGCTTGGGGGTCAGGGGTCAGGGACCCACTTGAGGAGGCAGTCTGCCTGTTCTCAGATCTCCAGCTGTGTGCTGGGAGAACCGCTGCTCTCTTCAAAGCTGTCAGAGGGGGACATTTAAGTTTGCAGAGGTTACTGCTGTCTTTTTGTTTGTCTGTGCCCTGCCCCCAGAGGTGGAGCCTACAGAGGCAGGCAGGCCTCCTGGAGCTGTGGTGGGCTCCACCCAGTTGGAGCTTCCCAGCTGCTTTGTTTACCTAAGCAAGCCTGGGCAATGGTAGGCATCCCTCCCCCAGTCTCGCTGCCACTTTGCAATTTGATCTCAGACTGCTGTGCTAGCAATCAGCGAGACTCCGTGGGCGTAGGACCCTCCAAGCCAGGTGCGGGATATAATCCCCTGGTGCGCCGTTTTTTAAGCCAGTCCGAAAAGCTCAGTATTAGGGTGGGAGTGACCTGATTTTCCAGGTGCCGTCTGTCACCCCTTTCTTTGACTAGGAAAGGGAACTCCCTGACCCCTTGTGCTTCCCGAGGGAGGCAATGCCTCGCCTTGCTTCGGCTCACACACTTTGCATTGCACCCACTGTCCTGCGCCCACTGTCTGGCACTCCCTAGTGAGATGAACCCAGTACCTCAGATGGAAATGCAGAAATCACCCGTCTTCTGCGTCGCTCATGCTGGGAGCTGTAGACCAGAGCTTTTCCTATTCGGCCATCTTGGCTCTCTATAATTGGATCCTTTACTAAGCGTATTTACGTGTTTACCTTGTTTACTCCCAAAATTATATATATATAATATATACATATATATATATATATTTTTTTTTTTGAGATGGAGTCTGTCACTGTCACCTGGACTGGAGTGCAGTGGTGCCATCTAGGCTTACTGTAACCTCTGCCTCCTGGATTCAAGTGATTCTCCTCCCTCAGCCTCCTGAGTAGCTGGGATTACAGGCGCCTGCCACCACACCTGGCTAATTTTTTTGTATTTTTAGTAGAGATGGGGTTTGACTATGTTGGCCAGGCTGGTCTCAAACTCCTGACCTCATGATCCACCTGCTTCAGCCTCCCAAAATGCTGGGATTACAGGTGTGAGCCACTGTGCCAGGTCAAGAATCTTTTAAATGTCAGTATCATTTCCATTTTACTGAAGCTACTGAAGTTAAAAGAGCCTAACTAAATGCCTCAGCTCACATACCTGGTGATTGAAATTCAAATCTTAACAGACTCCAAAATACATGTTCTTTCTATCACATCACCTCTCTCAATCACATGCATACAGCTCACTGCAGTTGACTGCTCTCAGCTTCTAAAGTTTTGTGGCTGGCCTCTGTGACTAACTAGATTTGTTAGTTTCTCTCCATTTAATAACTTTCACGTTAATATCCCTTGAAAATGTTCATGGTTCTGAGAGTAGTACAGGGCAGGGGAGAAGAGAAGAATGGCAAACAGACCAGTGTTCTAGCATCCTCTATGAAAGGCTGGGTTTGCTGCTGTAATTTGTATAAGCAGCTCCTGTTTTTGGCAATAAGTTGAGTATTCACACTACTTCTTAGCCTTTCTTTGTTTATCCAGGGGGTGAGACTCTGTGATAAGGAGTTGCTAATGAGGTTTATGTGACTGGGAGTGGACATGTGCTGTGAAAACTGTTTACCTTTCACTGAGTGTCAACAGGGTCCACTGGATGGCTGCCAAGAGATGCTCATTCAGAGAAACAGAGAGAGAGACAGAGAGACAGAGAGAGAGAGAGAAAGAGAGAGAGATTTCCTATTTAGGAAAAATGTGGGTGAGTTAGAAACTAGAGAAGAAAATCTTTTGGAATTCAATGCCAAAGAAACAGATGAGTTTAACAACTGGCTTAATGGCTTGGGAATGTTTATCAATGTCAGTTCTTACTGGTATTCTAGTATATGACTGTCTAAATTGTTCTCTCCCAATAACCACCCATGCTTTTAGGAAATATTTTGTTCTCTTTCTTCTTTCCAGCATCTACCACAGTCAACCCAAAACAGCACCTAAACATGAAGAGTTTGGTTTCTTTGGGTATTCTGTTGCATTTCATGGTATCTGAACAGGGGCTTGAGCTAATCACTGGTCAGGATCTTTAGAATGAGTGACTAATTCTGAATGGGAGGTTGAACTGAATTATAAAAGGTTTCTCAAACTTTTGAACTTTCTTTCTCCTGATTAGGCGCTAGTCTTTTCCATGGTCTTCAGGGGATGGAGAAGGAAGAGATAAAGGCAGGAAATAGCTTTGCTTCCCACCACTACAGTTGTTTCTGATGCTAGAGCTTCAATCAGATCTTTGACATTGAAGCATACCTGACATGGTTTGGATCTGTGTCCCCACCCAAATCTCATGTCAAATTGTAATCCCCAATGTTGGAGGTGGAGCTTGGTGGGAGAAGATTGGATAATGGGGGCAGTTTGTCATGGTTTAACACCATCCCCTTTTGCATTGTCATGGTGAGAGTGAGTTATCATGATATCTGCTGTTTAAAAGTGTGTAGCACCTCTCCCAACTCTGTCTTCCTCCTCTTATGGCCATGTGAAGACATGCCTGCTTCCCCTTCACCTTCTGACATGATTTTGAGTTTCCTGAGGCCTCCTTAGCCATGCTTCCTGTACAACCTGCAGAACCATGAGCCAATTAAACCTGTTTTCTTTATACATTACCGAGTCTCAGGTATTTATTTATAGCAGTGCAAAAACAGACTAGTACAGAAAACTGGTACCAGAAGTAGGGTATTGATATAAAGGTACCCGAAAATGTGGAAACAGCTTTGGAACTGGATAATGGTGCAACAGTTTGGAGGGCTCAGAAGAAGATAGGAAGATGAGGGAAAGTTTGAAACTTCCTAGAGACTTGTTGAATGGCTGTGACCAAAATACTGATAGTGATATGGACAGTGAAATCCAGGCTGAGGAGGTCACAGATGGAAATGATGAACTTATTGGGAACTGGAGTAAAAGTCACTCTTGTTATGTGTCAGCAAAGAAACTGGCAGCATTGTGCCCCTGCTCTAGGGATCTGTGGAACTTTGAACTTGAGAGAGACGATTTAGGGTATCTGGCAGAAGAAATTTCTAAACATCAAAGCATTCAAGATGTTACCTGGCTGCTTCTGAAAGCCTGTGCTCATATGTGTGTGCAAATAAGTGACTTGAAACTTGAACTTATCTTTAAAAGGAAAGCAGAGCACACTAGTTTGGAAAACTTTTAGCCTGGGCATATGGTAGAAAAGGAAAACCCATTTTCAGGGTTGGAATTCAAGCAGGCTGCAGCAGTTTCCATAAGTAAAGAGGAGTCAATTGCTAATAGCCAAGACAATGGGAAAAAGGCCTCAGAGGGATTTCAGAGGTGTCCTAGGCAGCCCCCCAACCATCACAGGCCTTGAGGCCTAGGAGAGAATAATGGTTTTGTGGGCCAGGTCTAGGGCCCTTCTGCTCTGTGCAGCATTGGGACATGGCACTCTGCATCTTGGCAGCTCTAGCACTAGCCCTGGCTCAAAGGGCCCCAGATACTTCTTGAGGTGCTGCTCCAGATGGTGCAAACCATAAGCCTTGATAGCTTCCATGTGGTTTTAAGCCTGCAGGTGCACAGAGTACAAGGGTTGAGGTTTGGGAGCCTCCATCTACACTGCAGAAGATGTATAAAAAAATGAGGATGTCCAGGCAGAAGCCTGCTGTAGCGTTGGAGCCCTCATGGAGAACTTCTACTAGGGCAGTGTGGAGAAGAAATGTGGGTTGGAGCCCTTGCACAAAATCCCCACTGGGGCACTATCTAGTGGAGCTGTGAGAAGAGGGACATCAACCTCCAGACCCTAGAATTGTAGATCCACCAACAGCTTGCACTTTGCACATGGAAAAGCTGCAGGCAGTCAGTGCCAGCCTATGAAAGCAGCCAAAAGAGCTGTACCCTGCAGAACCTCAGAGGCAAAGTTGTCTGAGGCCTTGGGAGCCCACCCTTTTCACCAGTGTGCCCTGGATGTAAGCCATGGAGTAAAAGGAAATTATTTTGGATCTTGAAGATTTAATGACTCCCCTGCTGGGTTTTGGGCTTGCATGAGACCTGTAGACCCTTTCTTCTGGCCATTTTCTTTCTTTTTGTAACAGGAGTATTTACTCAATGCCTATACCCCCATTCTATCTTAGAAGTAACTAACTGGTATTGATTTTACAAGTTCATAGTTTCATAGACAAGGCTTATATAGCCTTATCTCAGATGAGACTTTGGAGGGTGGACTTTTCAGTTGATGCTGGAATGAGTTAAGACTTTGGGGGAATGTTGAGGTCCGTTCCAAGATGGCCGAATAGGAACAGCTCCGGTCTGCAGCTCCCAGTGTAATTGACACAGAAGACAGGTGATTTCTGCATTTTCAACTGAGGTACCCAGTTCATCTCAATGGGACTGGTTGGACAGTGTCCAGCCCATGGAGAGTGAGCCAAAGCAGGGCAGAGCATTGCCTCACTCAGGAAGCACAAGGGGTCAGGGGATTTCCCTTTCCTAGCCAAGGGAAGCTGTGACAGACTGTACCTGGAAAAATGGGACACTCCTGCCCAAATACTGCACTTTTCCCAAGGTCTTAGCAACCAGCAGACAAGGAGATTCTCTCCCATGCCTAGTTCACCAGGTCCCATGCCCATGGAGCCTTGCTCACTGCTAGTGCAGCAGTCTGAAATCGAACTGCACGGTAGTAGTCTGGCTGGGGGAGGGGCATCCACCATTGCTGAGGCTTGAGTAGGTAAACAAAGCAGCCAGGAAGCTTGAACTGGGTGGAGCCCACAGCAGCTCAGCAAGGCCTATTGCCTCTATAAACTCCACGTCTTTGGGCAGGGCATAGCTGAACAAAAGGCAGCAGACAACTTCTGCAGACTTAAACGTCCCTGTCTGACAGCTCTGAAAAGAGCAGTTGTTCTCCCAGCACAGTGTTTGAGCTCTGAGAATGGACAGACTGCCTCCTCCAGTGGGCCCCTGACCTCCATGTAGCCTAACTGGGAGACATCTCCCAGTAGGGGCCGATAGACACCTCATATAGGCAGGTGCTCCACTGGGAAGAAGTTTCCAGAGGAAGGATCAGGCAGCAATGTTTGCTGTTCTGTAATATTTGCTGTTCTGCAGCATCTGCTGGTGATACCCAAGCAAACAAAGTCTGGAGTGGACCTTCAGCAAACTCCAACAGACCTGCAGCTGAGGGACCTGACTGTTAGAAGGTAAACTAACAAACAGAAAGGAATAGAATCAACGTCAAAAAAAGGACATCTACACCAAAACCCCATCTGTAGGTCACGAACATCAAAGGCCAAAGGTAGATAAAACCACAAAGATGGGGAGAAACCAGAGCAGTAAAGCTGAAAATTCTAAAAACCGACCACCTCTTCTCCAAAGGATCACAGCTCCTTGCCAGCAATGGAACAAAGCTGGATGGAGAATGACTTTGATGAGTTAACAGAAGTAGGCTTCAGAAGGTTGGTAATAATAAACTTCTCCAAGCTAAAGGAGCATGTTCGAATCCATTGCAAGGAAGCTAAAAACCTTGAAAAAAGTTAGACGAATGGCTAACTAGAATAAGCAGTGTAGAAAAGACCTTAAATGACCTGAAGAAGCTAAAAACCATGGCACAAGAACTTCTTGATGCATGCACAAGCTTCAATAGCAGATTCGATCAAGTGGAAGAAAGGATATCAGTGATTGAAGATCAAATTAATGAAATAAAGTGAGAAGACAAGTTTAGAGAAAAAAGAGTAAAAAGAAACAAACAAAGCCTACAAGAAATATGTGACTATGTGAAAAGGTCAAATCTACATTTGATTGGTGTAACTGAAAGTAATGGGGAGAATGGAACCAAGTTGGAAAACACTCTGCAGGATATTATCCAGGAGAACTTCCCCAACCTAGCAAGGCAGGTGAACATTCAAATTCAGGAAATACAGAGACCACCACAAAGATACTCCTCGAGAAGAGCAACTCCAAGACACATAATTGTCAGATTCACCAAGGTTGAAATGAAGGAAAAAATGTTAAGGGCAGCCAGAGAGAAAGGTCAGGTTACCCACAAAGGGAAGCCCATCAGACTAACAGCAGATCTCTTGGCAGAAACTCTACAAGCCAGAAGAGATTGGGGGCCAATATTCAACATTCTTAAAGAAAAGAATTTTCAACCCAGAATTTCATATCCAGCCAAACTAATCTTCATAATTGAAAGAGAAATAAAATACTTTACAGACAAGCAAATGCTGAGAGATTTTGTCACCACCAGGCCTGCCTTACAAGAGCTCCTGAAGGAAGCACTAAACATGGAAAGAAACAACCGGTACAAGTCACTAGAAAAACATGCCAAATTGTAAAGACCATCGATGCTAGGAAGTAACTGCATCAACTAATGAGCAAAATAACCAGCTAACATGATAGTGACAGGATCAAATTCACACATAACAGTATTAACCTTAAATGTAAATGGGCTAAATGCCCCAATTAAAAGACACAGACTGGCAAACGGGATAGAGCCAACACCCATCAGTGTGCTGTATTCAGGAGACCCATCTCACGTGCAAAGATGCACACAGGCTCAAAATAAAGAGATGGAGGAAGAGCTACCGAGGAAGTGAAAAGCAAAAAAAAGCAGGGGTTGCAATTCTAGTCTCTGAGAAAAGAGACTTTAAGCCAACAAAGATCAAAAGTGACAAAGAAGGCTATTACATAATGGTAAAGGGATCAATTCAACAAGAAGAGCTAGTTATCCTAAATATATAAGCACCCAATACAGGAGCACCCAGATTCATAAAGAAAGTCCTTAGAGACCTAAAAGAGACTTAGACTCCCACACAATAACAATGGGAGACTTTAACAGCCCACTGTCAATATTAGACAGATTAATGAGACAGAAGGTTAACAGGGATATCCAGGACTTGAGCTCATCTCTCCACCAAGTAGACCTCATAGACATCTACAGAACTCTACACCCCAAATCAAAAGAATATACATTCTTCTCAGCACCAAATCACACTTATCTAAAGTTTAGCACATAATTGGAAGTAAAGCACTCCTCAGCAAATGTAAAAGAACAGAAATCACAACAAACTGTCTCTCAGACCACAGTGCAATGAAATTATAACTCAGGATTAAGAAAGTCACTCAAAACAGCACAACTACATGGAAATTGAACAACCTGATCCTGAATGACTACTGGGTAAATAATGAAATGAAGGCAGAAATAAAGGTGCTCTTTGAAACCAATGACAACAAAGACACAACGTACCAGAATCTTTAGGACAAATTTAAAGCAATGTGTAAAGGGAAATTTATAGCACTAAATGCCCACAAGAGAAAGCAGGAAAGATCTAAAATCGACACCTTAACATCACAATTAAAAGAACTAGAGAAGCAAGAGCAAACAAATTCAAAAGCTAGCAGAAGACAAGAAATAACTAAGATCAGAGCAAAACTGAAGGAGATAGAGACAAAAAAAAACCCTTCAAAAAATCAATGAATCCAGGACCTGGTTTTTTGAAAAGATCAACAAAATTGATAGACTGCTAGCAAGACTAATATAGAAGAAAAGAGAGAAGAATCAAATAGATGCAATAAAAAATGATAAGGGGGATATCATCACCGATCCCACAGAAATTCAAACTACCATCAGAGAATACTGTCAACACCTCTATGCAAATAAACAAGAAAATCAAGAAGAAACAGATAAATTCCTGGACACATACACCCTCCCAAGACTAAACCAGGAAGAAGTTGAATCTCTGAGTAGACCAAGAACAGGTTCTGAAATTGAGGCAATAATTAATAGCCTACCAACCAAAAAGAGTCCAGGACCAGATGGATTCACAGCCGAATTCTACCAGAGGTAAAAAGAGGGCTGGTACCATTCCTTCTGAAACTATTCCAATCAACAGAAAAAGAGGGAATCCTCCCTAACTCATTTTATGAGGCAGCATCATCCTGACACCAAAGCCTAGCAGAGACACAACAAAAAAAAAGAGAATTTTAGACTAATATCCCTAATGAATATCAATGTAAAAATCCTCAATAAAATACTGGCAAACTGAATCCAGCAGCATATCAAAAAGCTTATCCAGCACAATCAGGTCAGCTTCATCCCTGGGTTGGAAGTCTGGTTCAATATATGCAAATCAATAAATGTAATCCATCACATAAACAGAACCAATGACAAAAACCACATGATTATCTCAATAGATGCAGTAAAGGACTTCGACAACTTTCAACAGCCCTTCATGCTAAAAACCCCCAATAAACTAGATACTGATGGAACGTATCTTAAAATAATAAGAGCTATTTATGACAAACCCACAGCCAATATCATACTGAATGGCCAAAACCTGGAACCATTCCCTTTGAAAACCAGCACAAGATAAGGATGCCCTCTCTCTCCACTCCTATTCAACATAGTGTTGGAAGTTCTGGCGAGGGCAATCAGGCAAGAGAAAGAAATAAAGGGTATTCAGTTAGGAAAAGAGGATGTCGAATTGTCCCTGTTTGCAGATGACATGATTGTATATTGAGAAAACCCCATCGTCTCAGCCCAAAATCTCCTTAAGCTGATAAGAAACTTCAGCAAACTCTCAGGATACAAAATCAATGTGCAAAAATCACAAGCATTCCTATACACCAATAACAGAAAAACAGAGAACTAAATCATGAGTGAACTCCCATTCACAATTGCTTCAAAGAGAATAAAATACCTAGGAATCCAACTTACAAGGGACGTGAAGGACCTCTTCAAGGAGAACTACAAACCACTGCTCAATGAAATAAAAGAGGACACAAACAAATGGAAGAACATTCCATGCTCATGGATAGGAAGAATCAATATTGTGAAAATGGCCATACTGCCCAAAGTAATTTATAGATTCAATGCCATGCCCATCAAGCTACCAATGACTTTCTTCACAGAATTAGAAAAAAGCTAAAGTTCATATGGAACCAAAAAAGAGCCCACATTGCCAAGACAATCCTAAGCAAAAACCACAAAGCTGGAGGCATCACACTACCTGACTTCTAACTATACTACAAGGCTACAGTAACCAAAACAGCATGGCACTGGTACCAAAACAGAGATATAGAGCAATGAAACAGAACAGAGGCCTCAGAAATAACACCACACATCTACAACCATCTGATCTTTGACAAAACTGACAAAAACAAGAAATGGGGAAATGATTCCCTATTTAATAAATGGTGCTGGGAAAACTGGCTAGCCATATATATAAAGCTAAAACTGGTTCCCTTCCTTACACCTCATACAAAAAATAATTCAAGATGGATTAAAGACTTAAATGTTAGACCTAAAAACCATAAAACCCTAGAAGAAAACCTACGCAATACTATTCAGGACATAGGCATGGGCAAGGACTTCATGACTAAAACACCAAAAGCAATGGCAACAAAAGCCAAAACAGACAAATGGGATCTATTGAAACTAAAGTGCTTCTGCATGGCAAAAGAAACTATTATCAGAGTGAACAGACAACCTACAGAATGGGAGAAAATTTTTGCAATCTACCCATCTGACAAAGGGCTAATATTCAGAATCTACAAAGAACTTAAACAAATTTACAAGAAAAAAACAAACAGCCCCATCAAAAAGTGGGCAAAGGATATGAACAGACACTTCTCAAAAGAAGACATTTATGCAGCCAACAGACACAAGAGAAAATGCTCATCATCACTGGTCATTAGAAAAATGCAAATCAAAACCACAATGAGATACCATATCATGCCAGTTAGAATGGCAATTATTAAAAAGTCAGGAAACAACAGATGCTGGAGAGGATGTGGAGAAATAAGAATGCTTTTACACTGTTGGTGGGAGTGTAAACTACTTCAACCATTGTGGAAGACAGTGTGGCGTTTCCTCAAGGATCTAGATCTAGAAATACCATTTGACCCAGCAATCCCATTACTGGGTATATACCCAAAGGATTATAAATCGTTCTACTATAAAGACACATGCACACATATTGTTTATTGTGGCACTATTCACAATAGCAAAGACTTGGAACCAACCCAAATGTCCAACAATGATAGATTGGATTAAGAAAATGTGGCACATATACACCATGGAATATTATGCAGCCATAAAAAAGGATGAGTTCATGTCCTTTTCAGGGACATGGATGAAGCTGGAAACCATCATTCTCAGCAAACTATCACAAGGACAGAAAACCAAACACCACATGTTCTCACTCATAGGTGGGAATTGAACAATGAGAACACTTGAACACAGGGAGGGGAACATCACACACCAGGGCCTGTCAGGGATTGTGGTGCTGGGGGTCAGATAGCATTAGGATAAATACCTAATGTAAATGACGAGTTGATGGGTGCAGCAAACCAACATGACATAAGTATACCTATGTATCAAACCTGCACGTTGTGCACATGTACCCTAGAACTTAAAGTATAATTAAAAAGAAAAAATAAAGACTTTGGGGAAATGTTGAAAAGGCATGATTGTATTTTGCAATGTGAGAAGGACATGAGATTTGGAAGGGGCCAGGGGCAAAATGATATGGTTTGGCCCTGGGTCCCCACCCAAATCTCATGACTAATTATAATCCTCAATGTTGGAGGTTGTGCCTGGTGGGAGGTGATTGAATCATGGGGGTAGTTTCTCATGGGTTAACACCACCCCCCTTGGAATTGTCATGGCAAGCGTGAGTTATCACAAGATCTGGTTGTTTAAAAGTGTGTAGTACCTCTCCCAGTCTGTCTTCCTCCTGCTCTGGCCATGTGAAAATATGCGTGCTTCCCCTTTGCTTTCTGCCATGATTATAAGTTTCCTGAGGCCTCCTCAGCCATACTTCCTATAGAGTATGCAGAGCTGTGAGCCAATTAAACCTCTTCTCTTTATAAATTACCCAGTCTCAGGTTTTCTTTACAGCAGTGTGAGAACAGGCTGACCCAATACCTTAGAAACATATAGTGAAAACACCTCTCATAAAATGTTTGTGGATTGAGGGAACTTTAAGAATGTGAATTAGTAAAATATTAATGTGGAGTTTGAATACACTATTCAAAAATTG
Source organism: Homo sapiens (assembly GCF_000001405.40). NCBI lineage: Eukaryota > Metazoa > Chordata > Mammalia > Primates > Hominidae > Homo > Homo sapiens. Next base: position 53,840,113 of record NC_000004.12, read on the forward strand.
GGGGTACTACGAATCTGTGAGTTTTTTATTCTTTAACACATTGGAATAACCCTTTGTTGTGCTGTGTGTTTTTTCTCCTCCAACTAGATATGCTCTTTGAGGATCAAATACAATGTTGAGTGAATAATGTTGTGTAAATGTTTAGCAAAGAAATTATTGCTAGATACCCAGTGGGAGGTACATACTAGAAAGAGCATGTAGGTGATGAGGGCAGTCCTTACCAATGAGCAAGGCAGACCCAGCCCAGTAAAAATGAGTAATAAGAGGCTGAGAATTTTTTAAGGAGCTTAGAAGATTCTATTGAGGATTTTTATTAAAGATATCAGACTAAACACATGCCTCAATGTTTACTGCCTCCTTAAATTCCACTGAAATAATAGTAAAAGGATGAAAAAAGGCATAAACATATAAAAATAAAGAATTTTCAAGAGGAGATAATAGCAACAAAATTTTGGAAGTTGGAAAATACACGGATGAATAGTTACTGATTAGTAGGCCCAAGAAAGCTGAATTTTAAATGGGAGGAATGGAGACACAATTTACAGTAAAGAATTCACAACAATCTCAAAAATTTGAGGCATCAGGCACTTCTAGAAGTTGGGAGAGAGTAGAGCTAAAACAAGCAGTATTTATTGAAAGTCTGTTTAAGAAGCAGTTAGACCACTCATATCCCTTCTCTTATCCCATGGAGCCAGGTGACAGGCTCTCTCTAACCCTAAAGAAGACAGAGGGTTGGTCTTTGAAAAGGTGAGTCATAGTCTCTAGATTAGAGAACGTCAGTCACAGCTGAGGATGGAGATGATGTAATAAAAATACGGAGATAAAATGAATGTTTACTGAATGTTGAAACTCAACCAGTCATCTCCCCCTACTTGGCTCTCAAAACATTGAAAATCAGATTTATATCCTGCATGCAAAACACTAGTAAAGGCTTCTCTGTAGACCCTGATCAATTCCCAAGAAAAGACCTAACACTCTTAGAGTTCCCCCAGAAAATAGCCTATCCAGCTCACCCCACCATGAAGTTCACAGTCAATGACCCCACCGGCCAGAGTTTCCAATCTGTGTTCCAGTGTCCCACTATCAAATATGATCATGCAGTGAAATAGACATAGTAGGGGAACGCCTCAATATAAAAAAATAGAGACAAAGCAAGTTAGAGGAAACACAGACTATGAAAGGAGAAGAAACACTAGGGGTAGGGGGGAACTACTATTATCAGAAAAGAAGAAATTGCAACCATGAAATGGGCAGAAAACTATTAACATAAAGAATATTCAGAGCAAAGAAGAGGTCTTAGAAATTAGAAATAAGATCTCAGAAATTTAAAAAGACTCAAAAGAAAGACACAGAAAGAACAAAATGAAAAAGAGAAGAGACATAGGAGAGAACAGATAAGAAAATACTAGAGGACAAGTCAAAGAGCTTCAACATCTGAATAAAAGGAGTTCTGGAGAAGATGTTTTCATCCACAAAATAATTGAAGAAGATGTCCCAAAACTGAATGAAGTACAGAGTTTCCAGAGTGAAAGGCAATCATTGTGAAATTTCAGATACATGTCTAGAAGACATTGTTAGTACCTTGACCGGGTCCCCTTTACTAAGCCAATGCGTGCAACTGCTCTGCGTGTTGGCTGCTAATAACCTACAGACCTCTTCTCTGGAGAATTGCCTTCAGCAAAGCAGAAGCTGTGTCATCTGGGAGGTTCCAACAACCACTCAACTCCTACACGGGAGAACTCACAACCAATGACTAACTGACTTGAAGGTTCCAAAGGTCAGTCACCTTGTCTCAAAAAGGGTACGAATTCTGTGGTTCAACTCTTGCTCCAGGGCATTCCACTGGATCAGATGGAAGCTCCAGTGGAGACCGCATCCTTAGCTCATTCCCTAGACCCAGGGTGCTTCCTTAGCTTATCTTCTCTCCCAAGATTAATGCCTCAATTAATCACATGCACTCAAATTTCTGTCTCAGATTATTTCTAGAAAACCCAACCTAAGGCAATAGGAGAGAAAAGATTCTAAAAGTTTCCAAACAGAAAAAAAGATGTTATACAAAGGATCAAGAATCAGAATGGCATCAGCCTTCTCAACACTGGAAGCTAGAAGGCATGGGAGCAATTCCTTAAAAATTCTGAAGAAAAATAAATTTCAACGTAGGATTCTATGTTGAATATCTGAGATAAATGGAATCCCCTTTGGGTAAATCAAAGACATTTTCAGAATCCAAATTCTCAAAAAACTTACCTCCTATGTACTTCCTTCTCAAAGGTACTTCATCAAAACAAAGGAATAAACCAAGAAAGAGGCAGATATAGATCAACTGAAAAAGCATGCGATTCATAAATTTGGAAAGGAGAGCTGTATTTCTCCTAAAGGGTTGCAGCCTAGAGGCTGGCCATCCCGCAGGCTGGGAAGCATAGCCTCTGGAAGAAGCTTCTCCAAGAACAAGCACTTGGAGGAAAGGAAGGAAGGATGAGACAGGAATGTATGCTGAATGGGTTGGCTAAGTATACATATTCAACAGGTTATAGGAAGAGCTTTGAACATTTATGAAGGGGAGGCACACACATGCATAGAAGAATAGCATGTATGTAACATGCATCCCATGTTCAACTGGGGGTGGAGGCTTAATATTTAAATGTATTACAATGAAGCCATATACATCAAAAGGTGAAGCAGAGGGTGCAAAGGCCTTCATTGTGCAGCCCTCCATAGACTGGCCAGAACCATTCCATGGTCGGTGGTCTCTTATTAGGAAGGAATGCTGGTCACTTGCTGTGTCGAAACCACAAAAGGGAGGGGCAGCATCAGGTGGTTGGTTAAAATCAGTGGTGATTTCTCTTCAGTCCTTAGGGAAGAAAGCCTAATGGCCGTTAGTGAAGGAGGAGGTATAATGAGGTATGTACCACTTCCCATCCTGTCATGGCTGAGAATTCAGTTTTTAAAGGTTTCTCTGGAGTCCTCTTGGCCAAGAGGGGGAGTTCATTCAGTTGGTTGGGGGACTTAGGATTTTATTTTTATTTCTCACATAGAATGCATGAAATAAAAGATCTAAGAGAAGGGAAACGTGACACCTCTTCAAGCATAAGCAATTAATAGAATTATCTCATGTATGTAAAAGTACTGAGAGTTACACAAGTTGGGGAGACCTTAGAAATATAGTAGACATAGTTGCATAGAAAACTGGGCAAATGGGCTGGGTGCAGTGGCTCATGCCTGTAATCCCAGCAATTTGGGAGGCTGAGGCAGGTGGATCACTTGAGGCCAGGAGTTCGAGACCAGCCTGGCCACATAGAGAAACCCCGTCTCTACTAAAAATACAAAAATTAGACAGATGTGGCAGCATGCACCTGTAATCTCAGCTACTCAGAAGACTGAAGCAGGAGAATCACTTGAACCCAAGAAGTAGAGATTGCAGTGAGCTGAGATCACACCACTGCCTGGGCGACAGAGAGAGACTGTTTCAAAAAAAAAAAAAAGAAAAAAAAGAGAATTATTTATTAAATTCAAGGAAAACAAAACTTTGCTAGGAAAGTAATATACACGACTCAGCTACAGAGTTTACAGAGACATTATTATATAAGGACTACTTATCAATCAAATTACAATTATAATATATTGAGAAAAGGGGGTCAGAAATGTCTGTGTGTGGCTGAATTGAGTGGAGGTGGGAAAGAGGGATAAATGCTCATTTCCCATGGTTGGAATGGTTGGAAATCAATAGACAATGCTTAAAACTGAAAATTCCTGAGTTTCAGTAGAAGCATATGATTTAAGAATTTGGAGATAAAGACCAAAAGAAAGGGCCAGCAGATTTGAAAGCAAGAGTCATTTGGGAGTGATGAGCAGATGCAGAGAGGCTGCTGTGTTTTTCTAAATGTCTTATAGATGTATTTGATTCTTTAAATCATGTGCAGTATAATCCTGATTTAAAAAAAAAAACAAATAAAACGTTAAAATGCCTCCAGGAGCAGAGGATACTGACTCTGTTTTTGGACAAAATGCTGTGAGGAAGTGATTTTGATCAGGTCCTGGTTTAGAGTTCAGGGTGGGGAAAATTTTTTCTCAAGGGACCTAAGCTGCTGAGAGGAAAAAGCTGACTGTAGATCCCAGAGGTGGAAGTTGAGTGCCAAAGCACAATGAGCATAAAAGCACTCTGACCCCAAGGTCAGAGCGGACCCTGCTGCTGGTTGGGAGAAGAGTGACAGGAGGCCAGCGTTTTATGGGCTTCACAACTTGTGAACTCAAGTGTGGTCACACATTCCAAGTCTAGACATCTTTTAGTTCAAATTATCCACCCCATAAAGTGAAGCAATCATAGCAAAGATTTAAAGATGCATATATTCCCACATATTCCTAAATCTGTTATCATACTTCTTATGGAAGCTGACAGCCATAGATTACTCGGTTCAGACATCAGAAGCTGATATAAACCGGCAACTGAGTGCCTTAAAAGTGTTCTACCCCAAGTAGAAGGAAGTGTTTCAGCATGCAGGAGCAGTACCAACAAAAAACAATGGAATCAACAGTTTGTCTTGCTTTGCACACAAAGAGCAAATGAGCTCTAGTCAGAGAGCTTAAATGTGACCTCTCCAGCTAGGGCAGCTCATCAAAATTGATGGCCAGTGGATTCCACAGCCAGCATTAAATTACCAACCAACATCTAAGAGGTCCAAACTCCTCTCTCCCTTCAAATAACCCTAACAGCCTCCCTCGAAACTTTCTAACCTCTTGTACCCACCCACATTTAAGTGAGGCCACCTCCCCGATGGCAGCCCTGTCTCACTTCTCACTGCACTAATCTAACAGGAGATCAAGGATGTCAAATATCTCCCATTTCTTTTCGCCCCTGGTTACTTTGGAAGCATCCCTCTTAAACACCTCTCCCAGTCAGGCTAGTCCTGGGCAAAGGAAAGCTGTCAGACTTCATAAGAAGGCAATCTGCCCTTCACTTTGCCAATCGCTAAATGGGATCAAGAACGGCTCTTGGGCATTGGATCCAAGGTTACAAGGGAGATGTCAACCATAATAGTGGGGTTAAAAGCAAGCCTTAGACCCACCCATGAAGCCCCTCTTTGGGAAAATAACTGAGTCTTGCAACCATATAAGGGTTAGTCCCAATAAGCCCCTTTTCTCCAATGCCCTTAGACTAATTAGTGATAACAATACATCACACGGTTGAGAAAATGAGAGGGAAATGAATGTTTCTAGACCTGTACGGAAGCGATTTGAGAGTTGTTAGGGAAACCACCTCCCTTATTAAAACAAAATGCAGAACCTCCAAGGTTTAGCAATAGAAGCAAAAGCCACAGGAGTTGAAGCTGAAATAATCTAGTGGCCACCACTTAGTGCCACTAAGTACAGTATCAAGGTTAGAATTCATGTTCTAGGATCTGGCTGATTTAGATTCAAATCCTAACTCCTTTACTTCAGAGCTGTGTAGGGTTATTAAAGAAAGTATCTAAGTCCCCTGAGCCCCAATTCCTCATTAGTAAAATAGGTTAATAATGTATTCTTTAGGGTGCGACAGCAGGAGGCCTGAAGCTAGTGTATTGAAGTGTAGACACATGCAGGGTGTAACAAGTGCTCATTGAATGTCAGCTGCTGTTGTTAGGATGGGATTATCTTCTCCCTAGGGTTTGATCACTATTACAGATGCCATCTCCACCTTGATTCCCAGAAGGGTAATGCTCCCTCCTTTAATGATTTACAGTGTTTTTTTTTCCTGTGCACCTATATCTATATACAGAAATATATTTACAAAGTTACAATCTTACTAATAAGTGACAGAGCCAGCATTTGACCCTGTGTTTGTCTGACTCCTGAGCTGCAATGAAGAAGACTCGAATGAGTCCCCAAACCACAGGGATGCTATGCTTAGGATAGAATCTTGGTGACAGACCAAGACACTGATTAAGAGGCACAATTGGTGTGCCATTTTTCTCTCATTCATTTTCTTGCTTCCTCTTTCTCTCTACAAGCAATTGGGTGGATGAGTTGAGGTAGAGCCCACTCTACTTCCTTTAAGGTCCTTACTCCACCGGTCTAGATAGAGGGTAGAAGGATTCGGAGTGGCTGAAGATGTAAGCTGAGAAAGTGAGTTTTCCACTGTCACTTATTGATCAACCGTGGTTATGATCAGGCAAAGTCTACTGATGGCAGATTTGTCCTGGCTATTTCTGATGTCCTATCAGCTACTATATAGGCTGATGTGCAATCAGTCCAGTTAACACAGAATTTTTGATAAGGCCTAAAATTCCAAATCAACATTCCAGCCCTCCTGATTGTGCCATAAATTCTGGGACTCTGGTTCTAGTAACAACTGAGGCAAACAGAAATATTTATCCTGAATTGTCCTTCTACCTGAAGTACCTGTCTGACCTTTAATTTGTCTAAAAGCTACTCAAGAGCAGAAACTGCATCCTCTACTTATTTCATCTCTTTAAAGCCTGGGACACAGTGTTGAATAATGTCTTTTGCATAGACTTCCTTTATTGACCTTTATAGATTTCTGTAATAGGGCAATATGTGCAAATATTATTAGAATTATAAAGTATTACATAGGTAAAGACAAAGGATGTTACCCAGTGAATAAAACCAATTCCAGATGATCAGAAATTCAATATAAAAAATTCAAACCACCTATCAATGAAGAAAATGTAGTATTTATCAAACCTCTAAAATAGAGATAATTTTCTAAGCATAGAAGTAATAAAATAAATAATGAAGGAAGAGATTGACTGGTTTCAGTACATTTTAAAATTTAAAGCTTAAGTAAAAAACAATCTTAAAGACTAGAATAAGTAAGTCTTGAAAATATGTTTGAAAAAGAGTTCAAATTTTTATTCAATAAGGAGCTCATAAAAATTTTAAAAAAACAAAAATCTTCATCTCCCAGTAAAGAAAATTACATGGACAAAAATTCCAAAAGAAGATGAGTATTCTCATAAAAACCTGTTTGCAAATATTTATAGCCACTTTATGCATAATCACTAAAACTGGGAGACAAATGTCCCAGCTGTCTGCCAACTGGTGAATGGATAAACAAATTGTGGCACATTCAGACAATCAAGTACCCCTCAGCTAGAAAAGGAACAGACTACTGATACATGCAACAACGTGGCTGATCTCAAAATCATTATGCTAAATAACAGAAGCCAGACACAAAATCATACGAACTGTATGGTTCTATTTGTATGACATTCTGGAAAAAGTAGGAGTAAAAATCATGAGAAAACAGATTAGAGGTTGCCAGGGGTGGGGGATTGACTGCAAAGAGGCCTAAGAGAACTTAGAGAGTGATGGAAATATTTTATATCTTGACTGAGGTGGTAGTTATATGATTATAAATACTTGCCAAAATCATATGCCTAAAAATGATTAATTTTACCGTGCATAGATTGTATTGTAATAAACCTGGCTTCAAAATAAGATTATTAAAAAGTGTTTCACATTATTAGTAATCAAATGAAAATTAATATGAGGGGGTCATTTTTTAATCCATTAAATTTAAAAATATAATTTATAATATCCAATTCTAGCAAGGCTTCAATGAATCTTGTATTTTCATATAGTAATGTTGGTGATGTGAATTAGAATGACTCTTTTGGAAATCATTGTTGAAATATGTAGCAAGATCATAAAAATGTGTACCCCTTGACCCAGCAATACCAATGATGGGAATCTATATCAAGGAAATTTTACAAAATGGCTTGAAAATAATCATATTTATGGAATTATGTGTTATAGATTGTTAATAATTTTAATCAACTAGAGGAACTCAGTTTCCAGTAGTGGGGGAAGGGTTAAATTATCATGGAAAATTATATGAAAACATTTTGCAACAATTAAAATGGTCATGATAAAGTCCATATAGTCACATACACATTTGGAAGTATGTATATAATATAATGTTACTGAAGAAAGCCAACAGGGATTAGCCAACATGCATTCTGGAAAGGCAGTAAGTATGGTGGTGAAGAGCATAGCTTCCAGAGCTGAACTGCCTGGGTTAATATTCAACCCCTGCAACCTTCTAGCTCTGACTTTGGGCAGCTTACTTAACCTCTCTCACACTCACTTTCTTATTTGAAAATAGAAAACAAAATAGTAGCTTCCTCATTGCTTTTTTCCAAGGGTTTGATGAGTTCATAAATCACATAAAACACAAAACTACTTGGCACAAAGTAAGCACTGTATGTAATCATGTGCTATGCTGTTTTATCTCTGAAGATGTAAAAGGACTGGACAAACAGTATTATTTTGGTGTATGTGGCTGTGGAATTATTACATTCAGATGATTAAGATTGCTGGCAATTTCGGCCACTTTTTCAATTTTTGCATTTTGAAAAAGTCAATTTGATTTTTAAAGACTTGCATAGATCCCACCACAGTTTTACTTTCAGATTTCATTGAATGAACATTTTCTTAATCCTTTTTTTTCCCCTTTCGCTTGCTTGCTAGTGGATTTTCAAGTGATGGTGTGACAAAAGGGCCAAAGGGCTGTGTACACCAATGATTCCTGTAAATCCCATTGAAAGAGACACTCTGGATGACAGGAAACACTGCGTAATGACTGAAGTATCAATGAATGATTGATGCTATAATTAGTATTAATATTAATTATAGATTTTTTTATATTAAATAATCAAAAGGGCCTCAATTTCTGATAGCAGGGGAACAGTGAATTATATTATAAAATAGTTACTTAAGGGATAATTATCAAAAATTAAAATTATGATTATAAAGATTACATGGTCATACGTATGTATGGAAATGTGTAGAATACAGTGTTAGTGAAGAAAGCTAACTATTTCTGTGTCTTGAACCATGGCTTAAGATGCATGGGTGAGGAGTGAATTCCTTTATTGAAGATAGGGAGAGTCTGTCCCAAAGCAGTCAAAGCATGGCTCTGCCTTCTCTCTTGAGAGCTGGCTTCGAGAATGAGCTATGTGCTGGGTAGGACATAAGTGGAGCCCTTTCTCACGGGGAAGGTTGGCCACTACTGTGGCGCCTTCTTGTGTGTTCCCTCCAGCACTGCTAGACAAGCCCGTCCTCGAAACAAATCTGGGGAAATTTATGCTGACACTTGGTTCCACATCTGGAAATGCTGAGGGTCAGTTATGATTCTTAGCATTGTGTTCATTCTCTTCTTAAGCAAAACTTCAACTTACCTTGCAGGCCAGTGCTCTTTTTTCCAGACACCCAAGGCATTCCAGCAATCTCCTTTCCCAAAACTCAATGGGTTTAAATGTTCAGGCCAGAAGACCTGCAATTTCCAGTGTTTTCCATTGCAGAACTTTAGACCTGGATCTGCTACCTGTTAGGTTCTGGCCTTAAGGAGATGTATTTTAAATAGTACTCCCTGGATGAATGATACCATTTACATTTTTTTCTTCAAAGAACTTCATGTGTCTTTTAGGAACTGATTAAACTTGGCAATTAAGATCCCATGCCTTAGGCCTTTCTGACGGGAAAATGTTAAAAAGAAACAAATGAAAATTTTTATCAAGTTAGAAAACCAATGAAAAATAAAAGTGAATTAAAGGAAGTTTTTCTTGTTTTATTTTACATAAAAGAAAATGGGCCAGGAATGGTGGCTCACCCCTGTAATCCCAGCACTTTAGGAGGCTGAGGTGAGAGTATCACTTGTGCCCAGGAGTTGGAGACCACCCTGGGCTACATGGTGAAACCCCAGCTCTACCAAAAATACAAAAACTAGCCAGTCTCATAACCCAGTCTCAAAAAAAGATAAAGAAAATGATCAGCTAAAGGAAATGGAAGAATCATCTACTTCACAATTAAGAGAGTTTTATCTTTATTTTTCCTATCTTTTGCTTCATGGTTTGTATAATTCATCTTTCAGTGGAGGGAAAAAATTGTTTATGTGTACTTTGACCTAGTTAGAGAAAAGGGGGGAGAGCAATTAAACATCAAGAAGTACTTTGTTCATCAATAAACTGCTATTCAAAAGGGCTGCACTAGCTCTCCACCCCCACCTCTTGTTTTCAATGTCATAATTATTTATAGGGCCAGTTGGAGTCTCAACTCTGCTAAAACAATTTATTCGAGGGCCTCAGCCCTTATCCCAAGCACAACACTGCCCCATTAGGCTTCTGGGCAAATGTTTGTTCATATGGGTCCTAACTCAGCTGTCAGTTATGTGAGAGAGAGTGTGTGTGTGTGTGTGTGTGTGTGTGTGAGAGAGAGAGAGAGAGAAAGAGAGAGACAGAGAGAGAGAAAGAGAGAGAAAGAGAGAGCGAGAGCACGCACACACGTGAGAGAGAGGTGGCGAGGGTTACTCTTAATCTGGGTTTTTCTGGAACATCTGAGCACATATTGTGGCTGAGCACTATGAATGATACAGTAACACAAGGTGAGAATCTCTTCCTTTTTCTGTGCCAATAAGTTAGTCCTGACACTGCCAGAGAGACAAATCCTCCACCCACTGTCCACCAAAATGGGAAGGCCGTAGGCATTTGATTTGCCATGGCCAATGAAACAAGACCACCTCTGAGAAGAGCACATGTGTGTTGGGTGGGGTCAAGATATCCTCACTGGATATAGACATCCAGGCCTCATGTTCCTTGACATGGTAGTATTCAGGAAAGCTTTGAAAATCTGTTTTGGCCTAAAGTGCATCTGACACTAGGCAAGTAAACACACTATAAAAACTGAACGCCAGACCCAGCACCCTGGTGTGGTATTTCCTTAGACCTCAAAAGTCTGATCAAAGAAGGAACATATTAGCTTAGTGAAAAAGTAATTGTGGTTTTTACCATTACTTTCAATAGCATAGAGGTTAAAAATATGGACTCTGGAGCCTGACTTCCTGCATGTGGGTCCCTGCCCTGCCACTGATTAGCTGGGTAACCTTAGGTAAGTGACTTAACCTCTCTGTTTATTTTTCTGTAAACAGGAGATGCTAATTGTACTTACCTCATAAGGCTGTTAGGAGGATCCACATTAGCAAAATGTTTAAGCCAGTGCCTGGAAAGTGCTATGTGAGTGTTTGCCGAGTAAAATTAATAGATTTGTGAAACAATTTCATTCCCAGTCCCATCTGTTTTCACCCAGGGATTCTGTTTGATTTAAAAACAGTTATTAAAAGTTTCTTGGCTGGGCACCGTGGCTCACGCCTGTAATCCCAGCACTTTGGTAGAACAAGGTGGGCAGATCACCTGAGGTCAGGAGTTCAAGACCAGCCTGGCCAACAAGGTAAAACCTCATCTCTACTAAAAATACAAAAATCAGCTGCGTGTGGTGGTGGGAGCCTATAATCCCATCTACTTGGGAGGCTGGAGAATCGCTTGAACCCAGGAGGTAGAGGTTGCAGTGAACTGAGATTGCACCATTGCACTCCAGCCTGGGTGATGAGAGCAAAACTCTGTCTCCAAAATAAAAAAGTTTATTGCTTGCCCAAGATCTTTTATTCTTGACTTTCAAATTAAATGTATTTGGGTGAGAACAACTTTGTCATTGGAAGTAGGAGCATTGAAGAGATGAGCATGATGAATCAGGGTTAAAATGTTAATTCCACACTCAATAACTATAGGGACTTGAGAAAGTTTCTTCACTTCTTTGAACTCAACTTATACATCAGTAAATTGGGAATAATGTGAACCTCTCAGGGATATCATGAAGATGAAACTTATGTGTGAAAAGTACTCGGCACTTAATCCAGTGGAAAAAATGGTTATCTTCTTGATAAGTTCCAGGCTGTATCTTTTTGCTTTAACCTCCTTGCATTCAACTCTTACAATCTTCTAAAGCCTGCCTGGCTCACTGATTCATAGTAGATTTCATAGTCTTCTTCTGATACAAACAGTTGAAACTTTATCTTCTTTGGGTTGTTTTGCTATTATACACGTACTGGTGAGATCCAAAGAGTGGGCAAAAATTATATTGACTGCTAAGAATATTTTGAGAACAATACATTTCAGGAAAATCCTCGAGACCTGGGTTGCTCCTCTTTAAGATCAATCAGCAATGCGCCCTAGGGATTCTCTCACATTTCTGCCGTTTGCAAAACTCTATACCATTAGGCAGATGTCACCCAGAGCTGCTTGTCTTTTTTCAACAGAATTTTTTTTGAAAGGTGAGCTTTTTAAAGAGAGTTTTTCTATATTATTTTTTCATTGAAAATTATAATTAAAAATGTGTCAAAATTATCCATGATTTTCAGCTGCCTGACATTTGTCTCACATATGTTTCTTTTTAACACAAATTTTTTTTTCTCCTCAAAGTCAAGTTTAAGACCTCAAATCCTTCTTTAAAAAGTATTTAAAAGATTGAGCAAGTTGCTCTCCATGGGGTTTGCTGACGCAGGGGCTCCTGTGTTTGTTTTTACTAAAGAATGGCTGTTTCCCTGGTCTGGTTACTTTACTCTCTGTATTTTCCTTGGAAAAGTCACCAAACTGACCAACTGTCTCTCCTGGAGAGAAGAATCCTGTAGCTGTTAGTGTGCGAGCCACGATGTGCTTCTGTCACAGATAGACAAGCAAATCGCAAGCCCTGGAAGACCCTGGGCCGTTCCACTCCTCCTGGAATGCACTCTAAGCCTCAGAGACACCAATGTCCTCTCCAAAATGCCTTACTATCTGCCCTGTGTTGCTCCATGAAAAAATTAAGTTTCTGTGCTCAAGCAGGCTAGGAGAATCTTTGAGTTAACTTATGATGCAAATTATGCTTCTTTTCTCAACGTTACAATGCAACATTAACATATGAAAGTTGCCATCAGTTTCTTAGTCAAGAAATTTAACGTTGCCTCATGCTAACTAGAATTGTTTAACCTGGAAGCCCACTTTTCAATGTTATCTATTGCAAGCCTGGGAACTTGGGGTTCTACAGAAGATACCTTGGGAACCTGTGTTATATTAAAGAGTGCTATGACTTGGAAAGTCAGCTGGACTCAAGCTAATGTGCCAAGAATGGTTCAGAGTGACAATTTGTCCATCTTCATCAAAGCTCCTCTCCCTCTCACCAACTCTGGCTTGGAGAATCCTACTCCTTTAAGCCCACACCAGCATGGTTCAAGAGTGGAGATGCAACAATGGAATACCATTCGGCCCTAAAAAAGAAGCCAATCCTGCCATTTGCAGGATGCTATGCTGATGGAAATAAGTCAGTCCCAGAAGGACAAAGACAACATGCTTCCACTTACAGGAGGTAAATAAAATCATCTAATTCATAGAAGCAGATAGTAGAATGGTGGTTGCCAGAGGCTACAGGAGGGGGATATGGGGAAACATTGTTTAGCGATAAAAGTTTCAGTTATGCAAGATGGATACGATCTTCTGCTGAACATGGTGGCTGTAGTCCATAATACTGTATTGTGCACTTAAAAATTTGTTAAGAGGTAGATCTCCATCCCATGTTAAGTATTCTTTTGTTTGTTTGTTTGATTGTTTTGAGACAGAGTCTCACTCTGTTGCCCAGGCGGGAGTGCAGTGGCGCAATCTCAGCTCACTGCAAGCTCCACCTCCCAGGTTCAAGGGAGTCTCCTGTCTCAGCCTCCCGAGTAGCTGGGATTACAAGCGCCTGCCACCACACTCAGCTAATTTTTTTTGCATTTTTATTAGAGACGGGGTTTCACCGTCTTGGCCAGGCTGGTCTTGAACTCCTGACCTCAGGTGTTCCACCTGCCTTGGCCTCTCAAAGTGCTGTGATTACAGGTGTGAGCCACCATGCCCAGCCCCATGTTAAGCATTCTTATGACAAGAACAAAGAGACACAAGGAAACTTTTAGAGGCGGTAGATATGTTCATTACCTTAATTGTGGTGGTGTTTTCATCGCTGTATGCATATGTCCAGGCTCATCAAATTGTATATAGTCAGCCCTCTGTATCTGCAGGTTCCACATCTGTAGATTCAACCAACCTCAATTGGAAAATATTCAGAAAAAAAAACAATGAAAAATAGCCATCCAACAATAAAATAATACACATATTAAAAATACAATTCACATAGCATTTACACTATATTAGGTATTATAAGTGATCTAGAGATGATTTAACATTTATGGGAGGATGTGCATAGGTTATATGTAAACACTTCGCCATTTTACATAAGGGACATGAGCATTATGGATTTTGGTATCCTCAGAGGTCCTGGAACCAATCTCCTGGTGTTTGTTTGTTAAATATCTGCAGTTTGTTGCACATCATTTATGCCTCAATAAAGCTGTTTTTTTCAAAAAAGTGTGAGTATGCCAGTGAGTATGAGTATGTGCACTGTGCCCATTTATGTGGTCACATTCCAAAATCAGATGTATGATTTAGGTTATTTATCACTTTGCAGTACTTACTCCTCATTTTCACCTTGTTTGCACTGATAATTTAGATTGAGTTAGATATCTGGAGAGAATATCTGTAAGAAAATAGAACAAAATTAGTGTTATAGCAGAAGGTGAAAGCAACGCCATCGCAGCACACCAGCCATGAGGATCCATAAGTTCTGCAGCTGTCCTGCTGAAACTGCCACCACCACCAAACTGCCCACTGTGTGAATTTGGTCTGGTTTCCTGACATGTATTTACCTCCTCTTCCTGCACCCCCAATCCCTGCAAAAATAGGACCGATTAAGATCAAGATATATTTTGGCTTGTTCAATAACTTCTATTTATCTTGAAATAAAGTTCAGCCTTTCTAAATGTTCCGCAAATCTCTGCAAGATCTGACCCCTGCCTTCACTCTTTTCCTGCTTCATGTGTTAGAATCTAGGCGTTTGTTATTTTCTCCCAGTTCCTACAATACACCATGCTTTCTGCAATTCCCTCTGCTTGAAGGTCTGTAGCTCATTCCCTTCCCTCACCAAATTCTCCCTGGCCCCCACCACAGCCTTGTGCCTAGCTGATTGCCCCTCATCTTTTATGTCATTGTCTAGACATCATTTCTTCCAAGAAGCCTTTCCTGACCCTTCCACAGAACTGGGTTGGCTGACCCTTCCCTGGCCTCCCTTAGCAACTACACTACCCATTTCATTGCATTCCCAGCCCTCCACTATAACTGAGTCTGCTTATTGACCTGTATTCGCCACGGGACTATAAACTCCACAGGGGCAGAAACTCACTCTGCATTATTTGCCATTATACCCCCAGGGCCTAGCCCAGAACCTCTAACGCAGCAGCTGTACAATAAACACATGTTGAATGAATGAATCAGTCAGTAAGTGGATCAATCTTACCCTTGTTGCAACATATAATAGTATGATTCTATCATCAGAGTCCCAAACCTCAGATTCTCATTTCCCAATTTTTTAGATGAATGGTATAATACAGTCCAACTACACAGTCTTTCTGAAGTTATCTTCCTCAAACACATAGGTGTGTGTAGCTGGGAGGGCTCCCTGTAATTGACAAAAACAAAGTATAGCCTCATGTTTCCTGCCTGCCTGTGTTGAGTCAACCAGCTAGGGCTATGCTTTACTTTACCATAGATTTTATATCTAAATCATACTTCATCAGACGTTATATCTAAATCATCAGATTCAAAACAATTTAACTGGACCTACACTCAGTCTTGCCAGAAAATCTGCTTCCCGTTTTCATGACAAGTCATGCATGCTCTGGGGCTTTCAGAATCTTGCTTCTATTTTTTTAGTCTCATTGCATAATAAAACACAGATACACATAGTCACACACAAGCTCAACGACACAAATACACATAGTCACACACAAGCTCAACGAGACCCATGTTTTTCACTGTTCTTTTACAAACTGAAATGCAATCTTATCCAGCTGCCAAATGCATATTCTAATAAGATGACAAGAAATTATTTCCCTAATTCAATAATGAATCAGTCTGTGTCAGACAGGACTGTTCACCACAACTCCCTTCCTGGTTGGAAAGCAAAGCTTGTAAGCTGGATGGTTTCAGAGAAACAAATTGCTCCTGGCTGCAAAATGCGATGACTGTGTAGTTGACCAAGAAAAACACAAAAACACCCCTAGGAGATGAATTACTTGAAATTAGGAAGGCTGCATTCCTAGAGCCAGATAGCAGAACTATTTCGCCCCCATAAGACATGATGCTGGAGTTAGTCAGGCATTTCCAGGATTCATGCTTTGTGGGGAAACATGTTGACCCCATTGCAGAAAAGTGTTCTGAGAGGGACACGTTGTAAGCATAACCACTGCATACTGAAGGTTTTGAATAGTATTAAGGGAAGGCTTTCTCCAAAAACTCTGCCACCACTTCAATGACTGGAATTATGGAAAGTTTTATGGCAGTGGGAGATGGCTCAGGAATAGGATTGTAAAAGGACTCTCCACCCAAAACTGTAGATTGGCCACTGACCATATGCTTTACCCTTTCAGTTCTCTGGGTTGTCCAAAACCCAGGAAGATAATCTTCCTTTGTTACTGTACTGCAGGTTGCTCAGCTCTCAAAGCTCATTCTTCGCTCTTTGTATTACTATAGGTACGTACCATCAGTTAGAAGGTGTCAAAGAATGTAGGGAATGACTTGTAGGGAGGGCTGGCATATGAATTAGAGTAATAGTAGATGCTAAAACAGGTAAACTCCAAAGTCCCTGTGGCTTAACACAGTGAAAAATGTTAGAGGCTAACCAGCTGGAGATGGGAGCATAGCAGGAGGCCATATCCAGAGACCCAGACTGATGGGGGCTCTGCCTTCAATATATGGCTTCCAAAGTCACCCTGGGCATGGACATCCAGTCAGCCTATGGATGAACATGGAACATGGAAGACTGTATGTGAGCTTTCTATGGACCTGGACTGGAAGTGGTGTAACCCACTTTTACCCACAAAACTCAAGCACTTGGCTCCACACAGCTGCAAGGAAAGCTAGGCAAGTGGTCTGGCTTTGGGTCCAGGAGGTAGAGGAAACAGGTTTTTGGTGAACATATACCATTCTTGGCCACTGTTCAACACTTTAGTCACCAAATATCTATTTCACATGTTCTCCCACATCAACAACAAACTTTCCCCTTCCCCAAGAGAGATAACCCAAAGTCCCACCCAATCACTTCAAAGGACAGCACCTTGAAGGGGTACTAACTCCTTTCTGTCTATCATATCCAGATGCAGCTCCTTGTGATCCAGTCACCTTTGAACTAAATATCACATACACACACACACACACACACACACACACACACACACACACACACTATACAGTGGGAAACAGAATAACCACAATGAATACTCCCATTCACAGATAGGAAGGATGGCGAATACTCAGCAGTCACTGGGATATAAGCAATGACAGAATCTTGGTGGGCAAGTATTAGAAAAACTTCTACTCTGACGCTAGGAGAGCTTTCTTGATTAGACCCTGGTTCTGCTCTCTGAGAAGAACATTAGACAGAGGTCTACTTTTCTCCATGACCCATGGCTCTACCCTCTGGGACATTCCTGCTTGTTCCTCATGACCTCCTTGGCTACATTTGAAGTGGATGTTGGAAAGTATGCCATCTTTAGAGGTCAAAACTTGTTCCCGTGGGTTCAAATTTGGGGTCCCAAATGTTATTTTAAGTCTTAATTGAGAAAATGATTTTTTAGTCCAGGTTTATATTTCTTTGTTCATATTTCTTTGGCAATAAAATTTCCTCAAAACATAGTATGTTTCCTATGTATCTGTTTCCAATTACCTGCCTATGTCAGTTCTTAAAAATAATTCTCAAGTCGGATACAGTTCTTTGCTTCTTTGGCCTTATTTGACTCTCTCTCAATTTAATGTCAACCAGCTTGAGGCCATGCAGCTTGGATAGAAAAGCCATATACCTAATCTGATCTTTGCTATAAATCTGAATCTCAGTGAGCCATTATTGCTTTAAAAGTTTCTCAATATTAGTTCCTACTGTTTGAGGCCTAGAAGCAGATGAGTTTTTAAATCTTTCAATACCCAAATATCTGGACTCCATAGATTCATTTTTATTTATGATTTCAAATCAGCAAATCTTTGTCTGAACTAATCCCTTTCTTTGATAAGGAAAGGGATTACTTTGATATTTGATAAATGCATCCAGTCACAACAAACACACACTGTTAACATTCTACTTTCCAATCTTTGTTCTTAAAGTAATGTTGATAGGTACTTGGTCTTCCTGCCAAATGAGCTCAAGTACAGTTTTAATAAATGCTTTGCCACTACAGGTCATGGATCTTAGACTATCTTTCCAACCTCCAATAACACTACCTACCACCTGACTACTAAAAATGTTACTTAATTTAATCGGAATATTTACTCCATTGATATTTAGTGTAGTTAATGATATACTAGGGTTTTATTTACATCTTACTATTTATTATAGGTGACTCATTTATTCCTTTTTATCTCTTTTCTTGCCTTCTTTGATTAATCAACTCTGTGATTATTCTACTTTTTTCTTAATTTAATAGTTAAACACACTTAGTTATTCATTTAGTGGTCACTTAGACATGAAAAATGTGTCCTTCACTTATTACGCTGTAGTACAAATTACTATTTTTACCAATTCCTACATAATGTGAAAGCTTTAGAAAACTTTAACTCCAGTTATACCATTTCCAACTTATGTATTAATGTTGCCCTGAATATTCTATCCATATATTATACAATTAATATTTAATCAGTATTTGTTTATATGTATCAGCATACAGATAGCAATATTTCTGTTGCTCTTTAATTTCTTCTTACAATTCTGGGTTCTCCCTGGGATCACTTTCCTTCTCTCTCAAGAATTCATTTTAGAATTTCTCTTATTGAGGGCTTGCTGGCAACTAAATCTCTTATTTTTGTTCATCTGAAAATGTCTCTTTTCCCTTGATTTTTGAAGGCAATTTTCTTGGGTTATGGAATTGTGGATTAATGTCTTTCAGCGTTTCAAAAATGTCATTTCCTTGTTTTGAAGTTAGTTGTCAGACTTGTTTTTGCTTCTTTGAAAGTAATGTGTTTTTCTCTAGCTGTTTTTGAGACTTTTCTCTTTGCCCTTAATTTTTAGCAGTCTTACTATGATATATCTAGATGTGACTTTTTATTTATTTATTTAGAGGCAGGGTCTTGCTCTGTTGCCTAGGCTGGAGTGCAGAGGTGCAGTCATGGCTCACTACATCCTTGACATCCTGGGCACAAGTGATCCTCCCGGAAGCTCAGACTCCCAAGTAGCTGGGACTATAGGCATGTGCCACCATGTCTGGCTATCTGTTAAATTATTATTATTTTGTAGAGATGGGGTCTCTCTATGTTTCCCAGGCTGGTCTCAAACTCCTGGGCTTAATCAATCCTCCTGCCTCAGCCTCCCAAAGTGCTGGGATTACAGACATGAGCCAACATGCCCAGCCTAGATATGACTTTCTTTGCATTTATTCTGTTTGGGATTTGCAAAACTTCTTAAATCTGTGGGTAAATATCTTTCATCAGTTTTGAAAAATTCTCAATTACTATCTCTTCAAATACTGTTTTGTTCTATTCTCTCTCTGACCCACTATTTCTCTCTGCTCTCCTACTGCTACTCCAGCCACACATATGCCCCACATATTTCAATGATCTTTCTTGTAGTCTCATTCTTTTTTTCTCTGTGTGCTTCAGTTTGGTTATTTTTCAGTTGACCTATCTTGTGTTTCACAAATCCCATCTTCTGCTGTGTTTATCTGCTGTTAAATACATCTAATGAGCTCTTAATTTCAGGTATTGTGCTATTCTTCTAGAATTTGATTTTATTAGATTGTTTCTTGTAGATGCCAATTCTCTGTGAAATTCTATTTTATCATCTGTTTTTCCTACCTTTTCCTCTATTTTTATAAATATAGGTGTCATAGTTATTTTTAAGTTCTTATCAGGTAATTCCATTATGGATCTGTTTTGATGGTCTGGTTTTTTTTTATTCTTATCATCCTGTCTTTTGACATAACCAGCAATTTTTTTAGTCCAATGAAGGACACTGAATATAAAAGGTATAGAGACTCCAGATGATGCTATCATCTTTCAAAGAGCATGTATTCTACCTTCCATTAGACCAATAGATGCTGTTATATCAAAGTTCTGTTGCAGCTCCCACAGCTTTAATACACCTCTTATTTGCCCCTGAACTTTAAGGTTTTTAACTGAGAACCTAATACATTTTACCCAGCCCTCCTCCAGGCAGATCTTGAGCCAAAATTCTGCTCTGATTTTCAAAGGCTGTCCGCTAATATCTGTGATCTCCCATTTAGTACAGACCTCCAATTATGCAAAAATCCTCAAGGGATAGGAAGTCTTGTGCTTGAGGCCTTCAATTCTCTTCTGAAACATGCAGCTCTTGCTCTTCTGAAAGGTACAAACCTGAGATTTTTAAGCTTTCAGCCAGAGCCCAAATATGGCAAATACTCCTAGGATTATATTGGATGTCGAAGTCAGTTCAATTCTCTGAGGTCACTCCTCTCTGAAGTCTTATCCCTAAAGTTGTTAAAGCTGATGAGCTTGTCTCATCAGCTCTCCAGACCTCTGAATCTCCCAGGGAAGATCTTTCTGTGTGTATGAGATTTATGTTTAAAATCAATTTATTTATTTTAATTGACAAATAAAAATTGTATATATTTGTCATGTACAACGTGATGTTTCAAAATATGTATACATGGTAGAATGCCTAAATCAAGCTATTTATCATATCATATTCATTGGCTTACATACTTACCATTTTTTGTGGTAAGAATACTTAAAATCCACTCTCTTAGCAATTCTCACTAATACATGTTGTTAACTATAGTCACATGTACAATAGATCTCTTAAATTTTTCCTCCTATGTAACTGAAATTTTGTAACCTTGATAAATATCTCTCCAACTCCAAATCCCTTCCAGCCCCTGGTAACCACTATTTCACTTTATACTTCTGTGAGTTTGATTTTTTAGATGTCACATATGAGTGAGATCGTGTGGTATTTGTCTTTCTGTGCCTGGCTTATTTCACTTAACATAATGTCCTCAAGATTCATTGATTTTGTCACAAGTGACAGAATTTCTTTCTTAAGGCAGAATAGTATTCCACTGTGCATATATACCACATTTTTTGTCCACTCATCCATTTATAGACACTTAGGTTGATCCCACATTTTGGCTATTGTGCATAATGCTGCAATGAACTTGGGAGTGCTCTTAGACATACTGATTTTCTTTCCTTTGGATATATAGCCAGTAGTAGAATTTCTGGATCTGGGAGATCTGGATTAAACTTCAGGTTCTCAGGCCATGTACTCAGGCCATCTCAGGGGATTTTGAGAATGCGGGGCTTGTGGGACAGAGTCTAGAAATCTTCCCAGATGATTTGATGCAGCTAGACCAGGGATTATGTGCTGAGAATACTGGCCCACATCCTTGGCCCTTGTGGTACCATCTCTCTCAGGATCCCCATGTACAGAATTTACTTTATACATGGTGTAATTAATTATGTAAATACAGGTGCTAATCTGTCTGCCAGAGCACCTTCTGACACTGCCCCCAGGACTCCTCTCCAGGAGGGGTCTGACACCATGTACCAGCTACTGCTCCAGATATCAGGGCCTTGAACCACCCAACACAGCATGTTACTACATCCTTACTTATACAGTTGCCATCCCACTGCCATTCCAGCCAGAAATCTCAGATGATGCCTGCTGCATCACACAAGCTCATGAATCCTCCCTCCTTAGATTGGATGGAATGTCATTTCTTAACGTGGCTTTTCTTCTCAGACCCATGGTGGAAAGAAATGTTTGAGTGAGGTGCCAATGGGGTTCATCCATGAATTATCAACTATTTCTTAACACACAATTTTATCTGTGGCATAGAACAGAACTTTAGTGTTAGAGTATTTTTTCTGTGTCTCTCTATGAGTGTCCCTGGAAAATATAGGTTAACCATCTGCAAAAACTTGAGCCTTGTGGGTTGGTAAGAATTGAACCCACCACCAAACTTCTTGATGAGTAAGATTTTTTTTAAATGCCTATATCTGTCTGTTATTTGCAGCCAAAAGCATTCTAACTCATGCAAATTTTGGCACACCACAGCATTATAAACAGCAACATCCTGGAGGCATATACTCAGAAGCACAGAGCTCTCTCTAATCAGGGAATAATGTGGGGAAAGTAATTAACGGCTGGTGATCTTCTTAGTGTGAACCTGATTCCAATGAAACCAACCTATCCCTTATATCTAAGTTTTGTCCTGTAGACATGATGACTTGTAACTCTACATCAAGTTGTACCAGGCATCGTTGCCTCTGGATTTTCATGCCTGGGAGGAACTATAAGAGGAATTACAAAATAAGAAAGGCAAACAGTGCGTCTGCTAAAAGGCAAGGGCTTGAGGCCACCTGTGTCTCGTTATGGGTCATGACTCATTAGACCAACTGCTGTTCTCACTTGCCTCATTTTTTCCACAAGAGAATAGAGAAATAGCATCCAGGGAGCTGCTGGAGAAAATTTTCACATGGTCTCTTCCTAGGAGAGCTCTTTCTTCCCTGGTATATTTTTATTCTTAGCTAGATGCATCTCTAGCTAGCCCAGTACTAATTTACCCTGAAGTGATAAGGTACTCAGTGCCTCCTAAATTCTCACCATAGAAGGTAAGAAATTTGAAATCAGTGTTCTCAAAGAAATCCTTCAAACTCCAGAATCCATGCTTTGGAATATTGTTGGACCTCAGATGAGTCTTCATAGACAAAGGAAGGCAGAACTTTTTCTAACATGTCAATTTGAACAATTTAGCTTCAAAACCAACAAGAGACCACCAAATTGCTATTACTTAGTGCGAGGCCTAAATTCATGTGTGCAATAAGAATAATTGCTACCATTTACTGAACACTTTTTATGTATGAGGCACTGTGCTAACTAAGCATTTTACTTAGGGATATCTCTTGTAAACATCACAACAATCCTTTTAGGTTGGTTTTGGTATCCCCATTTGACTAATGAAAACTCATTTTCCTGATTCAAAGAATTGGAATAGCTCAGCAAAACATGCATGAAGCAGAACAGGAATAAATAAAACAAGAGCTCAATGACAGTGATAAATTGCAACAGACACACAGTATCATTTGGGGGAGACAACAGACACAGGCCTTGTCTCAGGTAAGGGTAGCGACCCCTCTTCAGTTTCAGCTTCTTTTACTGTGAGGGAACACAAGCTCAGTGAGTCCAGATCTTCAGTTTTTCAAGAGAAAGCAGAAATCCAAAATTGTATGTGAAATTAAAATCTTATTGTTAAACTTTGGCAACTATTAAAAAGATTTTCAGCTGTCTGCAGCCAAACAAAATACAGCTGTGGACCGGATTCAGCTTGGAGGCTGCCTGCTTGCAAACTCTGTCCTCTGTCCTGCGCAATTGGGAATCACTCGGGGTTCTTTTGTTCTCTTAAAGAAACATGGCTCCTTCAACCAGAGGCCAGAGTGCTTTCAAATATCACTAATGGTTCAATAGTGTGGCTTAACCATTACCCACCCACCATCCCTTAGGAATACAGATATCTATGACTCCTGGTGACATTCATGCATAATTTGTAAATACATTATCCTGTGAGACTTGAGGGATCCAAGCAGTACTTGAGGGGGTACACAAGAAAGAAGAAGATATGAGAGAGAAAAGGAAAAATGAGAAAGATGATAGGGGCACCCTGCTGAGGACTGCCACCTCCTAACAGTCTCTGGCCCCTGCCTGTTTTCACCATTCAGACCCCTGAAGCCCAGTGTTCAGAGCCTGGGCCCACCATCCTTCATTTCTGATTTCTCTCCTCCAAGGAGATAAGGACGAGCCAGGGCCTCTCGGTGTGTTTTACATCAAAGGCCACTGAAGGGTCTTGACAGGCTGGATGTCAGTGCTGTAAATAAACCATTAATCACTCTGCCATTTCATGGACACACTCTTCCCAGAGGGCATGAACTTTCTCCAGGGCACTAATATAAACCACATCTTTCCTGAGCCAATGGGGGAGGCAGAGTGGGGCGTCAGAGCTCAGAGAGCAGGCTCCCTCATTGACACAACCATTACTCTCCTCTTAAAACCACAGGTCCCTGTAGCTTGGAAATGGTTAATGAAAAGAGATACAGTTGAAACGGATTCAACAAATGAAGTCACAGCTTTGGGGAATGTGTACACCCCAAGGCAGCTCCTTCTATCCCTTCTAAACTCTCCACCTCTAAAGAAGGTACCAAGAGAAAGGCCACAGAGACACAACAAGATATTAATGATTTCACCACTGACCCAAAGCAACACTCCTTTGGCAGTTCTCTATAGTCTGATTTCTAAGAATTAGAGCCCAGAAAAAAAAAGGTATAAAATGCTTTTCCAGAATAGTTCCCCTCTATGTGTGGAAGTTGGAGTCACTGGACCAATGGTCCTAACTTGGCCAAGGCTCCCTACCGTAGGCCCCATCTTTAGTACAGATGCTCCTTGAGCTTCTGCTATGGGGAGACACTGCTTGAGGTTCAGTAAAAAGACAGATGAGGCCTTTGCTTTCATGGCCTCTTCATTCCTGTTGGGGCAGGCAGCTGCTGAACAAACTGGATCAATTTAGATAGTGATAAACCTATAGAGAACACAAAACCAGAAGGCAGTATCAACGGTGATAGGGGAATGGCTACTTAAGTTTGAGTAGGAAGATGAAGGCATTCATTCACTCAGCAACTAAACATGGTAGCAGACACTAGGGGGTTACCCAAGAGGTAGGAGTGATGTCAATGTTTGAAGGACCTTATTTTTAGCTGGAGAGATGAGATGAGCATGCAACAGTCCTCAAGAAATTATACATATGCAAAACCTCCATGTAAACCTATAAGATTGAAGGCTGACATTCAAGAAACAAGGAAGGGATCTGGATCAGGACAAGTTAAAGACAGGACATGCTTCTCAAAGATAAGTCTGAGCCATTAGGAATACAAATTGTGGATCTAGGTTGTGTCAGGGGAGAGAGCCTTCAGGCCTTCTCACTGAGTCACCGGGAACTAGAATTAGGATTTGAAGTCCAGCGCTGAGGTCCCCACACTGAATCGACAGGCAGGGAAAATAACGAGGCACCATTCTGAGGTCCAATTTGGAAGGAAGGGCAGAAAGAGAAATAATACTGCACTTCACATAAATTCCAGATGCCTTCCCCTGGCTTCCCAAGCATTGCCTTCCTCCCTACCATGGTCTTTCACCCCTCCCTCTTGCTGCGGCCACACTGGCCTTCTCACCAACACTCACCCGGGCTCACACTTGTGCATGGGGACTTTGCATTTGCAAATTCCTCTGCTCAGGAAGTGCCTCTTTTACATCTTTGCAAGTCTGATTCCTTCTTATATGTTAGGTCTTGGCTCAGCTATATCTCCTCGGTGAGGCCTCCCTGCACCTTCCCAGTTCCTCTCCATCACTTCTGTCTGACATATTTTCTTCAGAGCACTTGACTATCTGACATCTCTTGTTCCTTTATTTGTTTGCTTCCCTGTGGTCTGTTTCCCACCTCTAGGAAGTAAGTTTGAT
This sequence comes from Homo sapiens, assembly GCF_000001405.40. NCBI lineage: Eukaryota > Metazoa > Chordata > Mammalia > Primates > Hominidae > Homo > Homo sapiens. Next base: position 53,865,526 of record NC_000004.12, read on the forward strand.
TTGACATGGAAGCTGTGTGCTTTGTCTCCTGCTGTATTGCCTTTGCTAAAATGCCACCTGGCAAAGCTTAACAGAGACTTGTTGAAGTGATTAGTTAGCTAAGTGCCTACTTGGCACCAAGCATTATGCTATGCTCTTTCCATAATAATATGACATTGTGTGCAATCCTCATAACAGTGCATTGCCCCAGGTGTTGTCATGTTCGCTGTATAGATGAGGAAACTGAAACCCAGAAAAACCTAATTAATGTAATCAACATCATGTAGCTAGTGAGAAGCTACTGAACCCAAGTCTGTCTAACCCTAAAGTCCACATGTTTTCCACTTTACCACTTTCTTCCTGGGGGAAAATAAGAAGTAAAATGAGGAATGTTAAAGACCCAAATCAGGTTAAGATTCATGTGTCACAATTAGGGACCCAGGAAAGTCAATGCAGTTGTCCAGTGAAGTCTAAGAACACCAGGGGTCAAGATCAGTGTGTGTAAGAGCGGCGTCCCTGTTCACATTCAGCTGCTGGAACAGGGCACGGGTGGGGAAGGAGGTCATCAACAGGAGAAGAGTGATGGCCACTTATATACCTACCGCTTATATATATCTTCCCTGCCTGTCGATTCAGCGTGGGGACCTCAGCGCTGGACTTCAAATCCTGATTCTAGCTCCCGGTGACTCAGCAAGAAGGCCTGAAGGCTCTCTACCCTGACACAACCTACATCCACTTATACGGCAAGACGCTGAGTAACGCCAAGCACACCTCTAAGTATGCCTGGGCTGGGTGCCATCCTAATGCCACTTACTCCCAGAGCTTCATCATATAGAGAAGGCAAAAGCAAAGAGGAGGAGAATGATACATTCAACACATGAAGATGGGCTCATCACAGCAATGATGCCTTGCCTCAAGGGCAGATAAAGAGAATTAAAATTGTGCATATGATATATAACCCTGTAAAGTAAGGTTGACCTGGGCTGGCCTTGCCCAGAATGTCCAAACAAGAAATGGGAAGTAAGCCTCACCACTGGCAGAGCACCAATCTGTGAAAATGCTTGTTGAGAAAGACTCTGAGGGTCAGGCAGTGCAGGTAGCAGACCACTGTATGATCACTAAGCATGTCTGCTAAGGTGAAGGTGGTGGTGGCAGAGATGCCCCATACACTGTGTATTTGCTACTCTTGGTGCAGAATTACACTGGCTTCCACATGAATGAATCTGCTGCCATGAAATGACACCACCAGCACCCACCCTCAGCATTCAGACATTAGGCCAGCCACCTTCATCACCTGCATTACACAGAAATAAATGTACTAGCTACCTTGACTCCTTGGAAAGATAGTGTGACAATAGCCACCATGTGCTGTTTATCATGTGCCCTGGTGTTGCAAGGGAATTTATATTATCTGGAATCCATAAGCAAATATTATTATCTTCACTTGAGGAACTGAGGCTCAAAGAGGTTAAGAAAATTGTCCAAGCTGGGTGTGGTGGCTCATGTCTATAAGCCCAGCATTTTGGGAGGACAAGGCAGGAGGATCCTTTGAGGCCAGGAGTTTAAGACCAGCCTCGGCAACAGAGCAAGACTCTGTCTTTACAAAAATTAAGATAAAAAAAATTAGCCAGACATTGTGGTATGCACTTGTAGTCTCAGCTACTCAGGAATCTGAGGCAGGACAATCACTTGAACCCAGGAGTTCCAGGCTCAGGTGAGCCACGATTATGCCACTGCACTTCAGCCTGGGTGACAGAGTAAGACCCTGTGTCTTGAAAGAAGGAAACAAAGAAAGAAAGAAAGAGAGAGAGAAAGAGAGAGAGAGAGAAAGAGAGGAAGAAGAAAGAAAGAAAGAAAGAAAGAAAGAAAGAAAGAAAGAAAGAAAGAAAGAAAGAAAGAAAGAAAGAAAAGAAAGAAAGAAAGAAAAGAGAGAAACTAAAAATTCTGAAGTCACAAAGAGTGAAGCCAGGATTAAAACACAGCCTATCTGATTGCAAAACCAAGGTTCTTTCAATGTTCTTGCTACCATACCAGCAGTTTTCAGATACCAGTCTACACACGTGTGAGGAATCATTTCACCACTACATGACAAAATGAGAAAAATAAAGACAATGTCATAATTTCCTTAATTCTACATTATCTATTGTAAGACAAATGATTATTTAATAAATGTATCAGGGGAGGAAAAAACACTATAGTAAATGTTCATGTTGATTAAAGAAAGTAAGATAGACGGTGATTTCAAAATTGTTAGTAAATGACAAAAGTGTGTCTTGCAATTGAAGAAACAAGGAATATGTTGGGTAAGATTCCATCATAACTTAAGAACTGTACATTTATTCTGAGTTTATGTCATTCCTGGTTTCGAGTATTTAACTTTTACAAAAATTGTAAGATTATAGATGATAGCTGCTTTTAAAAAAATCATTAGTTGGCAAAAACTAAAACTAAAAGTCCTCTCTGATCTCTTTTACTATTTGAAAAGTTCAAATGGTTGAGAACCAATACACCATACTCCATGGTGTCTCACTCCCATTAAAGATGTCACAGTCTCAGGGCTCCTAAGTCATATTCAGACCACAGAAGTACTTCGGTTTGGCCACATGGATTTTTAAATTTTGTGTTAACTGACAATATTTTAAATGGGAGAATTTGCATACAACTCTCGATTTCTGGCTTTTCTTTACAATTCAAAATCTGGCCACACTCAGAACGTAGAGCTGGGTGGTTGCTACTACTTGTAGAAGAGGCAACTCTCTACTTGATGATATTATCTGTTGTTTCCTGTTGTGCAGTATCTGGATAGACTGAGGCAGGAACAGCCACAGGGTGTCCACAATTCTTTGCACCCATGCCCTTGGGTTGTCCTCTTCCACACTCCCATGACTCGGATCTTGCCCACATTACTCACTTTGTTCAATGGGACCATAACAAATGGAAACACAAGCAGAAGTTTAAAAAGGGCTTGCATGTGGTGGCTTGTCTTCTCTGGCTGCAGAGAGCCCTGAGACCACCTTGTAAGCAAACCTGCTGGAGGCCATGCAGGGAGGAACTGAAGTACTCTGGCCAACAACCTAGTGTGACCCCAGGTGGTGAGCCCATTCTACATTATCCAGCTCCAGTTCAGCCACCAACTGACTTACAACTTCCTTAATGAGCCCAAGTGAGACCAGCAGAAGAACTACCAAGCTGAGCCCAACCCAAATTGCACTATTACATGATTGTTGTTTTAAGCCACTAAATTTGAGGTGTTTCGTTATTAAAAAAAAAAAAAAAAGGTTAACTATAACATAACCACAACGTCACTCAGCATTCAGACATCTTAACTCTTGAATTAAAAAGTTATTTAAGTCTGTGACTCCTGCTTTAGGATATCAAAGACTCTTTCCACATACACATAGTTTCTATGCACACACACACACACACACACACACACACACACAAACATTTGATTATTAAATAAGAGCAGGGAATTTAAATTGTTCACTCTTTCCCCCAGGACAGCACCTGGCACACAGTTGGCACTTAATAAATATCTTTTGAATGAATAAATGAATTCACAGATGTTTCACAAAGTAATTTAAGAAGTAGCCTAGAGGTGGTCGCCACCCCCAGGACTTAAACACTAGAAGAATCTCCAAGAAAATCTCCAGGTGGTGTTGAGCATCACTAAACACCCATTCCAGTCTGGCACACTGGCTTTCCAGACACCCCACTGTATCTGCTAAACTAGTTTTGGAAAGTCAGCACATGCGAGCCAACTCAAAGGGGACTAAGGTTTGACAAGACTGGTAATAACAACCTATTTGTCATTTGTGCTTAGCTTTCCACTGGTGTTGACAGAGGTCTCAATGGCAAAGAGACTGTGCTACGAAGGCTGAAGGAAATATGATGTGGCTGTGCATGTTGGCTGAAGAACAGCCAAAATGAGAGCTAGATCCCATTTACCTACTGAGTGAATTGTGACTGTTATGTTTCAAGGGATTAAAAAAGGAATGCCATGTGAAGGAAAACACTAGATACTCCAAACACCCTGAAATGAACACATATCAATCTTGTTTCACTGTAAGAAATATTCAGCGAAGTGCCTCCCATCTTTTACCATTTTCCTGTTCATTCTCTTTCCTTTCTTAAAATCAAGGGAATGTTCATTAAATTAATCAAAGACACCATTCTGGGGAGTTGCACAGCAACCTGGAAACCATAACAATTGGAGAAGTGGGAAGCAACTTGGAATTGCAAAATTGGAAGTCCTATATTTTAGTACAATCATCTGCTTCTTGGTGACTTTGTGGCTGAGGCAGCCAGTCTGTCTAAACTCTAGCTCATCTCTAAGATGAGCTGGGTGGGGTGGCTCCTGCCTGTTATCCTAGCACTTTGGGAGGCCGAGGTGGGTGGATTGCCTGAGCTCAGGAGTTCAAGACCAGCCTAGGCAACACGGTGAAACCCCATCTCTACTAAAATACAGAAAACTAGTCGGGCGTGGTGACGTGCGCCTGTGATCCCAGCAACTCAGGAGGCTGAGACAGGGGAATCGCTTGAACCTGGGAGGTGGAGTTTGCAGTGAGCCACGACAGCGCCATTGCACTCCAGCCTGGGTGACAGAGTGAGACTCTGTCTCAAAAACAATAAAAAATAAAAAAGGTTAAAAATAATATCTGCTCTGCTTACTTTATAGCATTTTTGAGAAAATTAAAAGACATGACATAAGTGAAAATGTCATTCAAATGTTAGTGACCATAGAATAAAGTAGTAATGGCCAATAGGAACAAATACAGGAAATGAAATAAAATTCATTCAAGGCCCTCCGACAATGGCTGTATGGCAGACAGCAGGAGAACCAACACCAAACTATCAAGGTAGGAAGCGGAGAAGAATAAGGATCAGATTAACAGAGTGGAATCCGAAACAGAAAGATGTGGATCTGGCTGGTGTGTTAAACAGGGATGGGACAGCCATGCTGGGGATCTGCTGCAGAAGACACTGGGTATCGAGTGGGCAGCTGCCGTTCTTGCCTGCCCAGTATCCATTTCTCTTTCTTGCCTTTTCTTTTAGGATTGCTTCATTCCTTCATCCCACGTGCCACACCTATAGCCTGAGCAAGATCTTCCCCTGTGACCGGACCTATTCCAATCAGATTATCTTTCCTGGGGATGGAAATTTTTATTGGGGTGACACAAGAATGGAAAATGTTTGCAGTGAATATATTCCTTAGAAGCATCCTAAAGAGACCATTCATGAGTCCTGCTACTGAAATCTCCATGGCTGCCTTCTTTGCAGTCCTTTCAGAGGCCTCATTTGTTAAACTAGTCAGCCGTTCTTTGATTTCATGAGCCACTTAGAATCCCTCCAATATCTTCTTTTCTTCCATCTCACTTTATTTATTTATTTATTTTTGGTTAAGTTAACCAGAGTCTTCTGCTGCTTATAACTAAACAAACAAATGCAAATAATGAAGGAACTCACTTAAGTTCTAGATTCACAGCACTGGGGCAACTGATTTACACACCTTATTGCTCCTGGTAGTGTTGACCTTCTCCTTGTCCTAACCTGCTTGCTTCTATGAATTTTCTGACACCAACTGGGCAAATTGGTGAATCTCTAAACAGGGAGATATGGGAAAGATAGGTGTGTATGGGAAACCCAAGGCTGCCTTAGAGTAGCAGCTTAAAGCAAAGTTGCTTCTGGAATACAAGAACAGAAATGGCAATGAGCAAAGCCTCTCCCTCATATCTGGTAAGATCAGGTCATCATTAGAACATCGTGGCTAATTTTACTTTCCACAACCTTTCAAGTGTCTGAGGAAAGCCACGGTGGAGGCAGCACAGAAAGGACCAAGATCATAGCCTGACTGGGCTTAAAGCCACTGGTATGCTGTGTGACCTTGGAAAATTGCTTAACTTCTCTCTTCCTCTTTTACCCCTTCTGTAAAACAGAGATGCCTATGTCATAGGTGCCTATCTCATAGTGTTGTTATGAGGGTCAAATAGTTTGGTATTTGCAAATGCTCCTAGAATCATGCTTGGCACATAGCAAGAGCTATATAAGAGTATATTAAAACAAATTGTAAGCATTTCCCATAAGAAAGGGTTGGGAAGCTGAGATGGCTTAGCCTGGAGAGAAAATGTCTTTTTTAAAAAAATAAACAACAACAAAATCTCTTCGTAACCAATATGAACTTTGCCGCGCTAACCACATGCCCTTTGATACTGAAAAGATGATCAAAGGAAATCAGCAAACAGGGCTCTTGTGTCATGGCTTTTGGTATCAGTTGTAACAATTGACATTTTTTTTAATTTTTTCTGAGAAGAGGAGGATAAGGGTCCCCCAGAGAGTAATGAGGCATTGGTCCTGGGGTCCATGTAATGACAAGTAATTGTAACACAGACAGGGAGGATGGTTCCGCCGCCTTGGTTTGGGGTCCCAGTATGTTGGCAATATTTTTGTGTTACTTCAAAGAGTCAGGCAAACATAGGGGCCTCCATCCTTCTGACTCATTGCCATTTGCTATGGTTTGAATAATTTTGTCCCCTCCAAAAATTCACGTTGAAGCTCAATTCCCAATGCAACAGTATTGGGAGGTGTGGCTTTCGAGAGGTGATTGAGTCATGAGGTCTCCACTCTCAGGAATGTCATTATGTGCCCTTATAAAAGGGCTTTATGAGGGAGTTTCTCCCTTTTGCCCCAACCCTTTTTTCATGTGGAGACACAGTGTTACTCCCCTCTGGAGGATGCAGTATTCAAGGTACCATCTTGGAAGCAGAGGGCAGCCCTCCCTAGCACCCAAACCTGCCAGCACTTTGATCTTGGACTTCCTGGCCTCCAGAACTGTGAGAAATAAATTTCTGTTCTTTATAAATTACCCAGTCTGTGGTATTTTATTATAGCAACACAAACAGACTAAGACACCTCTCAGCCACTGACCTCCTGCTTCACTCAATGGTGGAATGCCCTTTTCCCTTCCCCTCAGTGATGGGCACACAGTTGGCAAGTGTGAGGTGTAGGCAGCTGCCATCCTCCTGCACCACTGCTAGGGAAATCTCTCTGGCTTAGGGTTGACACCCCCTTTCCCAAGAAGCACCATGTTCCAAACATCACCCAAGGGTGGTGATATGGTTTGGCTCTATGTCCCCACCCAAATCCCATCTCAAATTGTAATCCCCATGTGTCGAGGGAGGGGCCTGGTGGGAGGTGATTGGATTACAGGGGTGGTTTCCCCCATGCTGTTATCATGGTAGTGAGGGAGTTCTCACGAGATCTGGTTGTTTGATAAGTTTCTGGCATTTACCCTGCTTGCTCTCTCTCTCTCTCTCTCTCTTTCCTGCCACCCTGTGAAGAAGGTAGCTGCTTCTCCTTCATTTTCCACCCTGATTGCAAGTTTCCTGAGGCCTCAGCAGCCATGCAGAACTGTGAGTCAATTAAACCTCTTTTGTTTATAAACTACCCAGTCTCAGGTAGTATCTTTATAGCAGTGTAAAAAAAAAGACTAATATGGTGAAAATCCCTGCCAATTCAGATTCTCTGGGTTTTTTTTTTTTTTTGTCATATTCCGGCCCTCTGCCCACAGAAAATAGACTGTAGCACAAGGGCAAGAAAAAGGAATAAAACAGGGAAATATCCATGGTAATCTGAGAGAGGACAAGTGAATTACTAGAGCTAGAATTGCTCTTGGCATCAGCTCCAATTTAATTGTTCCTATTTAGCTAGAAGTATTTGTGATTCAGGCTGTCAGCAGTTACTTCTTGTTTCTCTATCTGATGGTGATCAGATCCCTGAACTATTAGTTGAAAGATGCTTGGGCAGAGAAACTTTCTCTCCACTGACTTAGATGCTACAGAATCTGATGGTAGTAGGACCACCAGGGGGTTTCCATGACTCCCCATTTGTCAACACTGTGTCTCCAGAATTTTCCAGATCCCAGCACTTGGTAGGATCACCAGCCATGGCCTTGCACACCAGTTTGTCTTCAATTTTCCCCATATTCCCCTCTCAAAACGTTTTCCATATGCTTTCCATCCCTGGCCGATGCATATACTCATTCTCTGATAGGGTTACTGTAAGACCTTCATAGACCCTAAGCCTTTGGAGGCCTCACCCCACATCAAAGCAGACATCCTAAAACTACATCCACACCCATCACCAAATATAACTTCCATATAACAATAGGTGAGTTGAGTTGCAGTTGACTAGTTGATTGCAATTACTTTTTTGTAGATACTTAATTAACATTTTAATTGTAATTTTGTAGCATTCTTTTTATATTTTGGACTTTTTTCACAAATGAAACACTTTCACTGGCCTTTGAAAATCTCATATGCCCTAGATATTGTTGCCTGTAGTGGATAAAGTGGTCTTGTCTTTCAACCAAGGGAAGTGGCCAGAAAGCCATCCAAAGCTCTGAAGTTTGGGAAACTAAAGAGTGCATTTGGAAATGGTAAAGTCAAGCTTACTATTGGATTGTGCTGACCTAAGATAAGTTAAACTGTAATGGGGGAAAAAAAGGCTGATGAGGTTAAGGTCACAGATCAGATTTTATTAGCATCATCATAGATTATTATAATTAATCATAATTGTCACCTTTTATTGAATATTTATGGTTATTGGATGCTTTGTATATATTTGTATATACATATATAAAATATTTGAAGTAGTGTTTGAATAGCAAGGGTTCCAACTCCTACTCCTTTCTCTTTTTAGGAAAAAATGAGGCATTAACCACCATATTATTATTTTAGTTTTATGTAAAAGAACAATGAGAGATGCTCAACCCAGATTATGGCTGTCAGGATTAGAAGACTTTCTACCTAACCCAGCAGAAGTGTGACAAACCAGGGTAGCAAGGGGCAGGGGGGGTGGTAATTGTGTCTCTTATCTTGGGGTCTGTGTCCGTTTTGAGACTTGTTATTACATTTGTTGTTGAGAGGATAGGATCCTACTGGAAATTATAGGCAGGGCAGAATGTCCTTCTGAGACAGAATTTCTTTGCAGACATTATAAACTGCACCAATATGCATCCTCAAACATAATTTATATGTAATTATGTAATAAATGAGTTGAGTTGTAGTTGACTAGTTGACATATTATTCTTTTTTATATATGTAATTAAATATATTTAATTGTAGCTGTTAGTTCCTCTAGTCAGAGGACAGGTGCATAGCTTAGAGTAGAAGGAACTAGCTCTGTATTTTTGTAGTGCAGAGGCCTAGACTTGGCAACTTCACACTTCATCTCAGAAGCAGCAAGTGGCGGAGTCCCCTTTCCTACCGGGGTGGATGTATGCTCCACTGGGGAGTGAGGATTCTGGTCTTCGTTCCCAGCAGACAGCTTCGGTTTACCACCTAAAGTGGTAATGGCTTAGGCTAGTAAGAGGGATTATGCTCTTAGTTTTTCTACCCTGAGATTTAAAAAGCTAAAGTCAAAGAAAAAAGAAGGCAGCTGCCCAAAGTCATCCAAGTGAAAATGATGATGAAGAGGAGGAGCAAAAATGCCATTTTTACCAACTTTGCTAATGTGAGGAAACTGATGTGCAAATACTATTCCTAATCCTCATAACCAACCTATGAAGTACATGTTATCACTCTTCTATGGTTGAGAAAACTGAGTCTCAGAAAAATTGATTGATTTGATCCTAGTCACACAGACAAAGTTTCTAGTGGTTGAGATCAGACTTGAACTCATATCTATTTAATTCCAAAGTCTTCAGGCCTCCCATTTTGGAATATTTTTTCTCCCCACCCTGTTCCCCTGCCTTTATAATAATAAGCAAGATAGCTAAGCCAATCTGATTGTGCAGCAGCCAGTCTCTCTTCCATGGAGCTCCAGACTACATTATCCCTATGTTCCTTACTAGTTAGTGCAGCATTTTTTATAAGCTTCTGTTTTTGTTGACTCTGAATGTCATGGTAGTTACTCAAGGCTGATATAAGGCAGCTCTTGTTGGTTTAATTGTTGGGAGCCTTGAAGTACCTTCCATTCCTCTCCAACCCCATGTGCCATGGCCTCCAAATTGAAGATTGGGCTGCTCCAACTCCTACTTAACGTCTTTCCAGCATGGACCGCTCCATTTCTGAGCCAGGGAAGGCTATGTTTGTAAACACACTTTTGCCCTCTAACTGCCTCTATCTTTCCCTGTCTGATCAGGCCAAGCTATGGCCACAGTTGTGTATAATTAGCTAACTTCACTCACTGTCTCCTATGTTTATGCTTCCCTGCCCAATTCCAAGTGACAAATAGCTATCCAAAGCCATGGGCTTGACCCCAGATGACCTCATGCTTGAGTGCCTTCATCCCAGTGCATGGGTCAGCACTCAGAGACTGCCATAGCCCTTGCTCAGCTGGTAATTGATTTCCATGTGAATTCATGGGCCAGTTGGTGGAACTGAGGCATTGGGTGCATTGATTAATAACATAGGCATGGGGGAAGCCTATGGTAGCCACCATTTTGGAGCATGTCCATCAGAATATTCATTTCAAATAAAGTCTTGTATTTAAGCAACCTTGTCTACCCAGTGCCAGGAAGGTGTAATGACCTCTGTAAAGGATTCCTACCCCAAGGCTCCCAGACTTCCGACAACAGGAATTCAATGAGTAATTCTCAAGCCACAGTTTCCCCAATAACCATTTTCTTTTCAACCATTTGTTTAGTTTCTGTGCTGGCTGATGCCAATCAGTTATCAACAAATGAGGAATAGTGTCTAGGTCACACTTCTGTTTTCCATCTAGTGATCTGTTTATTTATGCATCATTAATACCTTCACTTTAAGAGTTGTTAATACATCAAAACAATGTTTGTTCAAGCTCAGTGAAGTGCTGTGAAGAGGGAAGGATCCCAGATAAGAAGTTTGAAGTCCTGCTTTTCACTGGTTGTGTATGTCTGCAATTATCTCACCTATCTGGCCTTGGTTCCTTCATTTGTGAAAAAAAAAAAAAAGAAGAAGAAGAAGAAAGAGGAAGACACAAAAGAAAGAAAGAGAGAGGAAGAAAGGAGAGAGGGACAGAAGGAATAAAAAGAGAGAAAAAGAGGTTAGACTGGATAAACTATTCCTAAATTCCCCTCCAGCTCCTTGTTTTACGTATTTTGAAGCTATATTATTAGGCAAATAAACCCTGATAATTGTTATGTCCTTTTGATGAAGTGACTCCACTATCATTATGAAATGACTTCCTTTATCATTAGGAATATTCTTTGCTGTGAAATCTACTGCCAGTTGGTGCAACGATTCCAGCTTTCTTTTGACTCATGTTAGCATGGTATATCTTTTCAACTTTTACTTTGAACCTATTTGTACCTTATATTTAAACTGCATTTTTTGTAGGGAGTGTATAGTTGGGTCTTGCTTTTTCCCCCTCTGCCTTTTAATTGGACTACTTAAACCATTTAAGCCATTAACATTTAATGTGATTGTTGATATGGTTAAATTTAACTCTATCATCTTACTACATAGTTTCCATTTTTACTATCTGCTCTTTGTTTTCTTTTTGCCCCTTTTTTACTTCTTTTAAATTGGGTCAATGTTATATTTTTAGCTATAACTCCTTGTTTTAGCTATAACTCCTTGTTGTGTTATTGTAATCATTGCATTAGTGGTTACAGTGAATGTCTTTAACTTACTGGGGGAGGAGCCAAGATGGCTGAATAGGAACAGCTCCAGTCTACAGCTCCCAGCGTGAGCGAGGCAGAAGACGGGTGATTTCTGCATTTCCATCTGAGGTACAGGGTTCTTCTCACTAGGGAGTGCCAGACAGTGGGCGCAGGTCAGTGGGTGTGCGCACCGTGCGCAAGCCAAAGCAGGGCAAGGCATTGCCTCACTTGGGAAGCGCAAGGGGTCAGGGAGTTCCCTTTCCGGGTCAAACAAAGGGGTGACGGACAGCACCTGGAAAATCGGGTCACTTCCACCAGAATACTGCGCTTTTCCGACGGGCTTAAAAAACGGCGCACCACGAGATTATATCCCACACCTGGCTCAGAGGGTGCTATGCCCACGGAGTCTCACTGATTGCTAGCACAGCAGTCTGAGATCAAACTGCAAGGCAGCAGCGAGGCTGGGGGAGGGGCGCCCACCATTGCCCAGGCTTGATTAGGTAAACAAAGCAGCCAGGAAGCTCGAACTGGGTGGAGCCCACCACAGCTCAAGGAGGCCTGCCTGCCTCTGTAGGCTCCACCTCTGGGGGCAGGGCAAAGACAAAAAAAAGACAGCAGTAACCTCTGCAGACTTAAATGTCCCTGTCTGACAGCTTTGAAGAGAGCAGTGGTTCTCCCAGCACGCAGCTGGAGATCTCAGAATGGGCAGACTGCCTCCTCAAGTGGGTTCCTGACCCCTGACCCCCGAGCAGCCGAACTGGGAGGCACCCCCCAGCAGGGGCACACTGACACCTCACACGGCAGGGTATTCCAACAGACCTGCAGCTGAGGGTCCTGTCTGTTAGAAGGAAAACTAACAAACAGAAAGGACATCCACACCAAAAACCCATCTGTACATCACCATCATCAAAGACCAAAAGTAGATAAAACCACAAAGATGGGGAAAAAACAGAACAGAAAAACTGGAAACTCTAAAAAGCAGAGTGCCTCTCCTCCTCCAAAGGAATGCAGTTCCTCACCAGCAATGGAACAAAGCTGGATGGAGAATGACTTTGACGAGCTGAGAGAAGAAGGCTTCAGATGATCAAATTACTCTGAGCTACGGGAGGACATTCAAACCAAAGGCAAAGAAGTTGAAAACTTTGAAAAAATTTAGAAGAATGTATAACTAGAATAACCAATACAGAGAAGTGTTTAAAGGAGCTGATGGAGCTGAAAACCAAGGCTCGAGAACTATGTGAAGAATGCAGAAGCCTCAGGAGCCGATGCGATCAACTGGAAGAAAGGGTATCAGTGATGGAAGATGAAATGAATGAAATGAAGCGAGAAGGGAAGTTTAGAGAAAAAAGAATAAAAAGAAATGAGCAAAGCCTCCAAGAAATATGGGACTATGTGAAAAGACCAAATCTACGTCTGGTTGGTGTACCTGAAAGTGACGGGGAGAATGGAACCAAGTTGGAAAACACGCTGCAGGATATTATCCAGGAGAACTTCCCCAATCTAGCAAGGCAGGTCAACGTTCAGATTCAGGAAATACAGAGAACGGCACAAAGATACTCCTCGAGAAGAGCAACTCCAAGACACATAACTGTCAGATTCACCAAAGTTGAAATGAAGGAAAAAATGTTAAGGGGAGCCAGAGAGAAAGGTCGGGTTACCCTCAAAGGGAAGCCCATCAGACTAACAGCGGATCTCTCGGCAGAAACTCCACAAGCCAGAAGAGAGTGGGGGCCAATATTCAACATTCTTAAAGAAAAGAATTTTCAACCCAGAATTTCACTTCCAGCCAAACTAAGCTTCATAAGCGAAGGAGAAATAAAATACTTTACAGACAAGCAAATGCTGAGAGATTTTGTCACCACCAGGCCTGCCCTAAAAGAGCTCCTGAAGGAAGCACTAAATATGGAAAGGAACAACCGGTACCAGCCGCTGCAAAATCATGCCAAAATGTAAAGACCATCAAGACTAGGAAGAAACTGCATCAACTAACGAGCAAAATCACCAGCTAACATCATAATGACAGGATCAAATTCACACATAACAATATTAACGTTAAATGTAAATGGACTAAATGCTCCAATTAAAAGACACAGACTCGCAAATTAGATAAAGAGTCAAGACCCATCAGTGTGCTATATTCAGGAAACCCATCTCACGTGCAGAGACACACATAGGCTCAAAATAAAAGGATGGAGGAAGATCTACCAAGCAAATGGAAAACAAAAAAAGGCAGGGGTTGCAATCCTAGTCTCAGATAAAACAGACTTTAAACCAACAAAGATCAAAAGAGACAAAGAAGGCCACTACATAATGGTAAAGGGATCAATTCAACAAGAAGAGCTAACTATCCTAAATATATATGCACCCAATACAGGAGCACCAAGATTCATAAAGCAAGTCCTGAGTGACCTACAAAGAGACTTAGACTCCCACACATTAATAATGGGAGATTTTAACACCCCACTGTCAACATTAGACAGATCAACGAGACAGAAAGTCAACAAGGATACCCAGGAATTGAACTCAGCTCTGCACCAAGCGGACCTAATAGACATCTACAGAACTCTCCACCCCAAATCAACAGAATATACATTTTTTTCAGCACCACACCACACCTATTCCAAAATTGACCACATACTGGGAAGTAAAGCTCTCCTCAGCAAATATAAAAGAACAGAAATTATAACAAACTATCTCTCAGACCACAGTGCAATCAAACTAGAACTAAGGATTAGGAATCTCACTCAAAACTGCTCAACTACATGGAAACTGAACAACCTGCTCCTGAATGACTACTAGGTACATAACGAAATGAAAGCAGAAATAAAGATGTTCTTTGAAACCGACGAGAACAAAGACACAACATACCAGAATCTCTGGGACACATTCAAAGCAGTGTGTAGAGGGAAATTTATAGCACTAAATGCCCACAAGAGAAAGCAGGAAAGATCCAAAATTGACACCCTAACATCACAATTAAAAGAACTAGAAAAGCAAGAGCAACACATTCAAAAGCTAGCAGAAGGCAAGAAATAACTAAAATCAGAGCAGAACTGAAGGAAATAGAGACACAAAAAACCTTCAAAAAATTAATGAATCCAGGAGCTGGTTTTTTGAAAGGATCAACAAAATTGATAGACCGCTAGCAAGACTAATAAAGAAAAAAAGAAGAATCAAATAGACGCAATAAAAAATGATAAAGGGGATATCACCACCAATCCCACAGAAACACAAACTACCATCAGAGAATACTACAAACACCTCTATGCAAATAAACTAGAAAATCTAGAAGAAATGGATAAATTCCTCGACACATACACTCTCCCAAGACTAAACCAGGAAGAAGTTCAATCTCTGAATAGACCAATAACAGGCTCTGAAATTGTGGCAATAATCAATAGCTTACCAACCAAAAAGAGTCCAGGACCAGATGGATTCACAGCCGAATTCTACCAGAGGTACAAGGAGGAACTGGTACCATTCCTTCTGAAACTATTCCAATCAATAGAAAAGAGGGAATCCTCCCTAACTCATTTTATGAGGCCAGCATCATTCTGATACCAAAGCCAGGCAGAGACACAACAAAAAAAGAGAATTTTAGACCAATATCCTTGATGAACATTGATGCAAAAATTCTCAATAAAATACTGGCAAAACGAATCCAGCAGCACATCAAAAAGCTTATCCACCATGATCAAGTGGGCTTCATCCCTGGGATGAAAGGCTGGTTCAATATACGAAAATCAATAAATGTAATCCAGCATATAAACAGAACCAAAGACAAAAACCACATGATTATCTCAATAGATGCAGAAAAAGCCTTTGACAAAATTCAACAACCCTTCATGCTAAAAACTCTCAATAAATTAGGTATTGATGGGTGTATTTCAAAATAATAAGAGCTATCTATGACAAACCCACAGCCAATATCATACTGAATGGGCAAAAACTGGAAGCATTCCCTTTGAAAACTGGCACAAGACAGGGATGCGCTCTCTCACCATTCCTATTCAACATAGTTTTGGAAGTTCTGGCCAGGGCAATTAGGCAGGAGAAGGAAATAAAGGGTATTCAATTAGGAAAAGAGGAAGTCAAATTGTCCCTGTTTGCAGACGACATGATTGTATATCTAGAAAACCCCATTGTCTCAGCCCAAAATCTCCTTAAGCTGATAAGCAACTTCAGCAAAGTCTCAGGATACAAAATCAAGGTGCAAAAATCACAAGCATTCTTATACATCAACAACAGACAAACAGAGAGCCAAATCATGAGTGAACTCCCATTCACAATTGCTTCAAAGAGAATAAAATACCTAGGAATCCAACTTACAAGGGACGTGAAGGACCTCTTCAAGGAGAACTACAAACCACTGCTCAATGAAATAAAAGAGGATACAAACAAATGGAAGAACATTCCATGCTCATTGGTAGGAAGAATCAATATGAAAATGGCCATACTGCCCAAGGTAATTTATAGATTCAATGCCATCCCCATCAAGCTACCAATGACTTTCTTCACAGAATTGGAAAAAACTACTTTAAAGTTCATATGGAACCAAAAAAGAGCCCGCATCGCCAAGTCATTCCTAAGCCAAAAGAACAAAGCTGGAGGCATCACACTACCTGACTTCAAACTATACTACAAGTCTACAGTAACCAAAACAGCATGGTACTGGTACCAAAACAGAGTTATAGATCAATCTAATAGAACAGAGCCCTCAGAAATAACACCGCATATCTACAACTATCTGATCTTTGACAAACCTGAGAAAAAAAAGCAATGGGGAAATGATTCCCTATTTAATAAATGGTGCTGGGAAAACTGGCTAGCCATATGTAGAAAGCTGAAACTGGATCCCTTCCTTACATCTTATACAAAAATCAATTCAAGATGGATTAAAGACTTAAACATTAGACCTAAAACCATAAAAACCCTAGAAGAAAACCTAGGCATTACTATTCAGGACATAGGCATGGGCAAGGACTTCATGGCTAAAACACCAAAAGCAATGGCAACAAAAGCCAAAATTGACAAATGGGATCTAATTAAACTAAAGAGCTTCTGCACAGCAAAAGAAACTACCATCAGAGTGAACAGGCAACCTACAAAATGGGAGAAAATTTTCGCAACCTACTCATCTGACAAAGGGCTAATATCCAGAATCTACAATGAACTCAAACAAATTTACAAGAAAAAAACAAACAGCCCCATCAAAAAGTGGGCGAAGGACATGAACAGACACTTCTCAAAAGAAGACATTTATGCAGCCAAAAAACACATGAAAAAATGCTCATCATCACTGACCATCAGAGAAATGCAAATCAAAACCACAGTGAGACAGCATCTCACACCAGTTAGAATGGCAATCATTAAAAAGTCAGGAAACAACAGGTGCTGGAGAGGATGTGGAGAAATAAGAACACTTTTACACTGTTGGTGGGACTGTAAACTAGTTCAACCATTGTGGAAGTCAGTGTGGCGATTCCTCAGGGATCTAGAACTAGAAATACCATTTGACCCAGCCATCCCATTACTGGGTATATACCCAAAGGACTATAAATCATGCTGCTATAAACACACATGCTCACATATGTTTATTGCGGCATTATTCACGATAGCAAAGACTTGGAACCAACCCAAATGTCCAACAATGATAGACTGGATTAAGAAAATGTGGCACATATACACCATGGAATACTATGCAGCCATAAAAAATGATGAGTTCATGTCCTTTGTAGGGACATGGATGAAATTGGAAATCATCATTCTCAGTAAACTATCGCAAGAACAAAAAACCAAACACCGCATATTCTCACTCATAGGTGGGAATTGAACAGTGAGATCACATGGACACAGGAAGGGGAATATCACACTCTGGGGACTGTTGTGGGGTGGGGGGAGGGGGGAGGGATAGCATTGGGAGATATACCTAATGCTAGATGACGAGTTAGTGGGTGCAGCGCACCAGCATGGCACATGTATACATATGTAACTAACCTGCGCAATGTGCACATGTACCCTAAAACTTAAAGTATAATAAAAAAAAAAGATTTATATAAAAAGACAAAACTTAAAAAAATAAAAACTTACTATAGTATACTTTCAAGTGATATTACTCCACTTCATATAGAGTGTAAAAACCTTGCAATAGTATACATCCATTTGTTTCGTCCTAACTTTTATGCTTTTATACTAAATTTTATGCTGTCATGCAGTATGCTTTTAATTAGGTTATAACTCTCATCTACATTACTATTATTTTTTGAACAATTGTCTTTTAAAGAAATTTAAGCAAGACAAAATTTCTATATTTACCCACATAGTTATCATTTCCCATGTTCTTCTTTCTTTATATATATCCTTTTTCCAGCTGGTCCCATCTTCCTTCCGCCTGAAGGACTTCCTGTAATATTTCTTGTAGTGCAGGTCTGCAGCTGATGAATTCTTTCAGCTTTTATAATTCTTAAATAGTCTATATTCTACCTTTGTTTTTGTTTTTTGTTTTGCTGGATATAGAATTCTGGTTTAGCAGGATTTTTTTTACTTCTTCTTTTCTTTCTTAATTTAAAGCTGCTGCTGGTCCACTATCTTCTCACTTGCATTTTTTTCTGAAAGGACAGCTGCTGTCATTCTTTGTTCCTCAGTACATAACGTTTCCTTTTTCTCTGGCTGCTTTGGTATTTCCTGTTTAACATTGGTTTTGAATATTTTGATTATAATGTCTCTGTATAGTTTTCTTTACGTTTTTTGTGCTTAGGTTCCATTGATCTTAGATGTATCAGTTTATAGTTTTCATCTAATTTGGAAATTTTCAGACATTATTTCTTTAAATATCTTTTTTCGTCACCCTTCTTTTTAGGGGGATTTCACTTACACACATATTTAGCCACTTGAAGTTTTCTGATAGCTCATTGATGCTTATTTCCATTTTTTACTTTTTTTTTTATCTTTCAGTGTTTCATTTTGGTTAGTTTTTATTGCTATGTCTCCAAGTTTACAAATATTTTCTTCTGGAACATCCAATCTATTAATGTGATGGGGACGCTTCTTCACAAAAATGACAACCACCAAATGCAGAAGGAATGATAGAATTAGAAAATCACTGATTATCGACTCTCAACTGATTAATGGACTCAGGCAAGGATGAACAATAGATGCTAAAATATCGGGTGAAAACAGTTCTGTAAATATTTATCTACTCATCAAGACAAGATAAATTACACTCAACATATATCATTTTTAGAATCTGAAAAGTATGTATTACTTTAGGAAGATTGCTATCAAAATGATTTTAAAAGTAGGGAGCAGAGAGCAGTGAAGCTCTGGTACAGAGATCAACCATAGAGAGTTCTAGGCGTTTGGAAAAGTCATTACATGGAACGTAATTCCCTGACCCTGCCAGTAAATAATAATAATAATTAAATTTTGTGTGTCCAACTGCCCCCTGAAAGTCTGTGGATAATGGCTTCCAAGGGTGTCAAGAGAGAAGGTACAGGTGACTGGTAGCTGAAAGTCACCTGAAATATACTGTGTTGGGCAAGGACAGCATCTGCAATAAGTGTCCCTCAAACAATTCATCGCAGATTTGTTTCTATTGTTATTTGATTAATGGCTGAATTCCCCAACTAGACTGTAAGTACAAGGAAAGGACCTGGTCTTTTTTTGTACGCCAGCATTTAACAGGGTAACTGGCACACAGAAGGAACTTGATAACTACTTCTCAAATGAATGAGTGAGTGAGTGAATGAGTACATAAATGAATGAAGACAGCACTGTGGCTCATGCCTGTAATCCCACCACTTTGGGATGCCAAAGTGGAAGGATCATTTGAGGCTGGGAGTTCAAGACCAGCCTGGGCAACATAATGAGACCCTATCACTACAAAAAATAAGAAAATCAGCCAGGTGTGGTGGTGCATGCCTGTAGTCCCAGCTACTAGAGAGTCTGAGGTGAGAGGATTGTTGGAGCCCAGGAGTTTGAGGCTGCACTGAGCTATGATTGTGCCACTGCACTCCAACCTGAGCAGCAGAGCAAGACCCTCTCGAGGAAGAAGAAGAAGAAGAAGAAGAAGAAGAAGAAGAAGAAGAAGAAGAAGAAGAAGAAGAAGAAGAAGGAGGAGGAGGAGGAGGAGGAGGAGGAGGAGGAGGAGGAGGAGGAGGAGGAGGAGGAGGAGGAGGAGGAGATACTTTACAGTCACTTTTTTTAATGGAACTGTCCTGTGTTAACACTAGCTATGAGGTGTACTAACTTCTAAGTGCCCTGAAGCAGAAACGTAGCCTGTTCCCTTCACTATTTTAATCCTAACACCAAGAGTGCCTGGCATATAGTAGGCATTCAATAAATATTTGCTGAACCCATAAATTAGAATAGCGGTCTCCACCAGACTTCATGAGGGCAAAGGCAATCTTTGTAATAGCTCTGGTATCAAGCACAGAGCCCTGCACATAGTAATGGTTCAATAAACAAGGAGCAAATTAATGACTGATGAGTACATGAATCGCATCTACACTTCCTTATTAAACTGAGTGAAGGCTGCAAATGTTCCAAAGAGAAGCACCTCAGAGAAGTCCACAGGGCTCTAGCAGAATGTGCACAGGAGGCCAGGTTGGTAGGAGGCTGGCCTGCCTGGTGAGGCCTCGCCTTCTATGGTCCCCACCTCCCTGGAGCCCTGGAGCTGGACTCATTCTGACTTTGCCAGGAAAGGGCTAGCTATGAACTCTGACTTCCCCCTCCAGAGAGTGTCCATGTCAATGTTTTCCTGTTCAGTGGCCAGGCTGGCTTAGCCCTGGGCCAAAAGGCTCCCTGAGGAGGGCTCTCTGGAGTCTGGACTGGCAGTGGGTGTTGCCTCCACTGAGCCTGAGAGGAAATGGTCCAGAAGAAGTAGGACCATCATCCAGAAAGAGACGTCAACAATTCAGTATTATTTTTGGAGCTCTGAACCTGAAAGTAGAAGTTTTGTTAAAGCACCAACCAAATTTTAAAAAATAAAATTAAGCAAATAAAATAAAGCAGAGAAAGCTAGACTAACCTTCCTGCTAATAAACTCAGAATTTAAGAGAGTATTGCACTCTGAAACCAGGACTTTTCTCAGAGACTCATGGAGCTGTATTGTTCATATGGTCTGTGATTTGTTTCTGACCTCTTAGTATACCTGCCACGTATGCCTCAAATCCTATGACAGCAGGTGCCACCAAGACAAAGCTTTCTCTATACAGGACAAAGCTCCAGACAAAGGCTCATTCATTCATGCTACAGTGTAGGAAACTGCATTCCAGTATGTTGAAAGCATCCACTACCTCCCGGATTTTGTAGCACATCCAGTGCTACAAATTGATCCAAACTCTTAAATTCAAATCTTCCAAAAGAAAAAAGGAAAGGAAAAGCAGCTCACCCCCACCTGGTAGAGCCCTGACAGGCTAAGGAAAACTCCAATTTGATTCAGATTGGATCAGAGTCAATTACTAGCCATGTGAAGAGAGGAGCTTCTCCTACTTCATCAGGTCCCTGAAAAGAAAATAATTGCTTTAGCTCCTTGCTACTCAACCTGTGGATCCTGAATCAACAGCATCACATCATCTGGGAACTTTCAGAACTAAAAATCCTTATGACCTTGGTTTAGGCAAGATTTCTTGGATATGACACCAAAAGTAAAAACAACAAAAGGAAAAAAATACATAAATTGGACATCATCAAGTTTGTGCTTCAAAGCACACTGTCAAGAAAGAGAACAGACATCCCACAAATGGGAGAAAATATTTTCAAATTAAATATCTGACCATGATCTAGTATCCAGGATATCCAAGGAGCACTTACAACTCAGTAATAAAAAGACAAAAAAAAAGATTTTAAAATGAGCAAGGGATTTGAATAGACATTTCTCTAAAGAAGATAGGCAAATGGCCAATAATCACATGAAAAGATGCTCAACATCCTAATCATTAGGGAAATCCAAGTCAAAACCATACCCACTTCACATCCACTTGGATGGCTGTAATAAAAAAATCAGACAATTCATGCTACAACACAGATAAACCTTGAAGACGTTATGCTTAGTGAAAGAAGCCAGACACAGAAGGCCCTATATTATATGATTCCATTTGTAGGAAATGTTCAGAATAGGCAAATCCATAGAGACAGTAGGGAAAGTAGATTTGGGGTTGCCAGGGGCTGTGAGGAGAGAAAAACAGGGAGTACTTTCAATAAGTATGAGATTTCTCGGGTAATGAAGATCGTCTAGATGGTGGTGATGGGGTCACAACCTTGTAAATATACTAAAAGTCACTGAATCTTATACTTTAAAAGGTTGAATTTTATGATAGGTGAATTATATCACAATAAACAATGAAGAAAAAGAAAAAAGATCTCAGGCCCCACCCCAGACCCCTCTATCAACATCTGTGTTATAACAAGATCCTCAGATCACAGAAGTGCACATTAAAGTCTGAGGAGCACCAATGTGACACTGGTTGGCATACGTGGCTGCAAATTGGAATCACTTGAGGAGTTTTCACAGCCACTCCCTGATGTGCTGAGCTGTCTTTCTGTGTCTCATCTGCTCAACTCACCTGGAAGCTCCTGGGGTGTCTAGGATGGGCCTCATACTTCATGATGGTTACCAGCCCTTGCAAGGCCCCTTTTGGTGCTCAAAAACACATATTGCTTGAATTAAGAGCAGGAACTCTGGGCCAGACTGTCTCATTCAACTTGTAGCAGTGCCACTGACTAGCTATGAGAAATTGGACAAATCACTTAATATCTCATGCCTCAGTTTATTGGGGATAATAATACCTACTTCATAGGGTTGCAGAAGGGAATAAACTACTTAATATATATAAAGTACTTAGAATAACACCTGGCCTGCGGTAAGCATTATATATATGTATTAGATATTATTATTATATATGCAAATATTGTTTCTTAATAATATTCTGTCCAGGCGCAATGGCTCATGTCCATAATCCCAATGCTTTGGGAGGCTGAGGCAGGCAGATCACTTGAAGCCAGGAGTTAAAGACCAGTCTAGTTAACATGGTGAAACCCCATCTCTACTAAAAATATAAATTAGCCTGGTGTGGTGGCACACGCCTGTAACCCCAGCTGCTCAGGAAGCTGAGGCACAAGAATCACTTGAAGCTGGAAGGCGGAGGTTGCAGATCCCGCCACTGCACTCCAGCCAGGTTGACAGAGTGAGACTGTCTCTGTCTCAAATAATAATAATAATAATATTCTTATATACTCCACTATTATACATTATATATTATTATGTTAATAGTAGCAACTATTGAACTCTGACCATGTACCAGGCACTGAGCTGGTGTTTCATATTATTTTATGTAATTTTTGCAATCATTCTATGAGATGGGAATTCATTCAGCAAATATTTAGTAAGGACCTGTCAACAATGTACCTGACCCAGATGAGAAATTGAAGTCCAGGGAAGGTAAGGGACCTACCCACAGTCACAGAGCTAATGGCAAAGGCTCCAGTCTGACTACAGAATCTAGGCTCTTGCCCTCACCTTCCGTGGTCTTTCTTCAAAAGGGTGCAAACTGGCAGGAGAAATGCAAAAGCAAGATGCCAGTTGGGTCCAGGTGTGTGGTGGGGGAGTCCAGGAATTCCAAGCAAGGGCATTTGGAGTGGCCCTTGGGATCAAGGCATTTGGTCACCTTAGAGGTGGATGTGTGGGCAGCCCCTGCCCAGTGGAGGTTGGGTGCCAGGGGATGGAGGGCAGAGGGTCACTGTGATTGCGCTGGGCTTTCAGGACCCTTAATCCCTGCTACAGCAGGAAACACTCCTGGGAACACAAAGGCATCTCTCTCCTGGAGCCCCAGCAGCCACCCAGGCTGGGAAGCTTCACCTCTCAAACAGGACAGCAGCAGCCCAGTGGCCAGGCTCAGCTGACAGATTCACTCATACAAAACTTATCACTCGGTCATTTAACCCCTTAGCCTCCAAAGCAGAAATCCACAAATCCCCTGCACTTATTGACCTGTCTCTTTTCTTAGCAACTTTATGCTCTAAAGCTGCTGAATGCAGAAGACAGAAATTGAAGCAGATCTCCAAATGACCATCAAGAGTTGTGCAATCACACCATGTCCCATGTCCACATAAGGCCCCCACCCTCAACTCCAAATTGCCTCAAACTGTCAGAAGTTCTCTACCTCCACCTCTAAAGGCCTGAAAAAGAAAGTCCCTTATGGGCTCTAACTCTTTCCATTATTCAAACACAAACGATGTTTAAATAAGCATTGTTATTGTATATTCGGATTTCAAAGTGGGCTTTTCCCCATCCAGATGTTATTGCTTACATGACTGTCTACATCCAGAGAAACACTGCTGAGGACGCCGCCTCTGAGACACTGTTCTATAACTCACCACTTGGCTGTTCTCTTTCCAAAAAAAAAGACTGTTTTTGATGTAAAACACTAGTTGATTTCAGAATGTGGCTTTCTCCCTGCTAAACTTTCTCCTCACTTACCCTACCCAACAAGAAGTCTCTCTCCTAATGGAATTGCTGGAACCACTTACCCTCCATTAAGACGCTAACCTATTTCAGAGAGGAGGGAAGAAAAAGAGATATCTAAGTGAGTAAATTGACTCAGACGGAATGAAAGATTGTGGAGACATTCCCGTTTTGTGAGTGTTTTTTGGGGTTAGGGAATGGTAGGCAGGGAGGAGAGAGGGGGATTAGACCCCCAGAATCATATTTTGACCCTGTTCTCCCAAAGCAAGGAATAATTAGGCTAGCTGCTTAGTGAAATTAGAATCACATTTGGTTTTAATTTAATCTTTACTTTCACACTTGGATGGATGCCAAGATTGAAAGTCACTGTAACATGAATCCACATTTTTTTTAAGTTTTAAGTTTTGATATGATTAAGTCCATTTTAGACTTTTATAAAAATTAAAAGTTTTAAGTGAAGTGCAAATGATCTCACCACCTCAATATAGCAACTCATCTGATGTCCTTGCTTCTGTGTGTGTATGTGTTTAAGCATATTACCTAAATATGGGTATCTGGTCTGATTCTGGAACAGAGTTGGGCCTAGATGATTCTACAAGGGATGGAGAGGTGGAGAGTGGGGTGGGGGACACTGATAGCAGATGCCAAGGAGTTCAGTCTTGTATTAAGGGAGGCGGTGTGGTGGAAATATTGTGGATTTTGGAGTCAAAAGACCTGGCTCCTAGCCTGACTCAATCATTTACCA
Organism: Homo sapiens; assembly: GCF_000001405.40. NCBI lineage: Eukaryota > Metazoa > Chordata > Mammalia > Primates > Hominidae > Homo > Homo sapiens. The sequence goes on from NC_000004.12 coordinate 53,890,294, forward strand.
ACCTGACTTTATCATTTGGATAAGTCAAGTAACTACTGTAAACTTAGGCCTTCTCTTCTCTCAAGGGGACAAAAGACAACTAATTTGCAGAGAGGGTTAGTGGTAATGTGTAAAAAGCATATTAGCTATTATTATAACATATAATTTTCCCATAGTTAGCGTTCAATTGAACTATGTAGCCAATTTGCTGTCTTTCTTGTGTCACCTAGCTGTATTGTTAAATGTACACTGCACCATTTTCCGTCAATTTTTGTGCCTTTGAGTAGCATTCTGGTATCTCAGATCAAGAGGCTAAAATAAATTTTATTTCTAAAAGTAGTAGGAAGCACATTCTTTGCCCTGACAGGGAGCAGCTGCATAGAAGAATGAGAGCAACAGCAATGACATTTCTTTCCACATAGTTAAGCACTTTCCCTGCCTTAGAGCAGAGTTTCTCAGCTTCGGCGCTAATGGCACATTAGACCAGTTAATTCTGTTGTGTGGGGTTGTCCTGTGCTTTGTGGGATCTGTAGCAGCATCCCTGGCCTTTCCCCACTGGATGCCGGTTGCAGCCTCTCTATCCTAACCCGCTCACATTGGGACACCAAAAATGTCTCCAGACATTGCCAAATGTCTTCTGGCAGGTAAAATCAACCCCTAATGACAACAACTGCCTAATAGCATTTAACCCTCACAGCAAACAAATAAGGTTGGAATAAGCATTATTCCCATTTACAAAAGAGGAGACTGAGGGTGCAAGCAGGTACGTGACATAATGGAATAGGACTCAGACCCGCCTATGATCGTTCCACCTACAAAGGGCTCTGAGAACTGAAGAGTTACTGGACCATCTCCCGTTTCATCTATAGAGCCCTGAGCAGAGGCAAGGAGGGCAAGTTGGCTGCTTCCAGAGAAAGGTGTAGCTGCTTCCAAGATCACTGCCTTCCCATGTTCAGCAGTGGAACCGGACTCTTTCGAGCTGGCATGGGGCAGCCAGGAATGAGAGGGACAGACCAAGAGAGTGGTGCTCCTAACCCTAGAGAAGAAAAGACTCCAAGGAGAGAGTTACCAACTGTGTCGGCTGCTGCTAATCACCTGCAAGAGGTCAGCTCAGCAGGGGAAAGCCGGCCGGTGGGGAGGTCCTAGAGGACCCTGAAGAGAGTTGGTCAAGTGGCTTAAACTAGTAATTTACACTAATGTATTATGAAATCCATGTTATATGCTATTATTTTTTAGATTAAAAATTGCATATGAGGGCCATGTTTACACTATTAAATGCATTTCTAATTAAAAATATGATAGCATCTTATGAGGACTGTTCTACAAAGAGGATCATGGGCTTCAGGCCCTCCTCTTTTGGAACAAGTTTGAAAGCCTCAGAACTGTGACTTAGTTGATGAAGAAGATCGATAGTTGCCTGAGGGAAGGGGCTCAGATGAAATGGTCTCTCCTTTCCACGCAAAAAGGGGCACAGCCATCACTATCAAATCTTCAGAACCAAAAATCAGGATGCGAAGTCCTAATGTAAACCAATGTCCATAAGTGATCCACCAGAACAGAAGATTGAAAACCAGAACTGCCCTGGAAAATTCAAAATGTGAGAGGGCTGAGGCCCACATTTCATAAATGAAGGGGCAGGATTGTTAACTCGGGCCCATTATAAAATACTATGTGATGGTAAAATGCTTGTTTCTGCCTTTCTAAATCGTGAGGCAACTTCCTTTCTGATCGCATGAATAAACTTGAAACTGCAACTGTATGAGCTTTGTGATACAAACTTTCCCTTGCAATAAATGATATTATAAAGTGGGTTTAGGATAGAAATTCAGAAGAAAAACCCTTGACCTTGGGTCTGCTGCAGAATGCTATCAGGAGCAGAGTTCATCCACAGTAACACTGTCGCCATTACAGTTAGTAATTTCACAGGGTCCTAAATGATTCCCTGGGAGTATTTCACTGCCTTTGCTATTTTGTCCCAAAATTTTGACTCTGAAAATTTCGTTCACTCAAAAGCCTGGAAAGTAATGTTCTGTCTGGGGAAAGAAGGACATTTAAAATGTTTATCTGTTGCTAACACTTCACCAACTCTTCCAGTTGGAATAGCTTAAAGTAAACAACACTAGGGAGCCTGTCCCTCAGAATCTTCCTGTCTTCTCTCCATCATCACCCCTCCTTCCCCATTTTGTTTCCAGCATTTTCAGAGTGGTATACAGTTTACGACATGCGTTGGCATTCAGGGTTTCCTGCAGGTCAGGAGACCTAGGCCACCTCCTTCGGCTAAGGCTGCCGGTATCCTCAAAGTGAAGCAGGGAAAGGCCAAAAGAAGGTTACAAAAATTACGATACAGTTAAAACATTTGGCCGGGTGTGGTGGCTCACACCTGTAATCCCAACATTTTGGGTTCACTTGAGGTCAGGAGTTCAAGACCAGCCTGGCCAACATGGTGAAACCCCATCTCTACTAAAAATACAAAAATAAGCTGGGAATGGTGGTACACACCTGTACTGCCAGTCCCTCAGGAGGTTCAGGGAGGAGAATGACTTGAACCCAGGAGGTGGAGGTTGCAGTGAGCCAAGATTGCACCACTGCACTCCAGCCAGGGCAACAGAGTAAGACTCCATCTCAAAAAGTATATATACTTAACAAATTATTACCTTTAACATACATATACTAATGCAATACAATGCAATTATATTACATAGATATTATATGAACATGCTTGTGTGTGTATAATTTTTTAAAATTTAAATTTGAGACAATTTGTGAATATGAGGTCAAAAGACCTCCTTCTCTCTCCCCAACTACTCTTGTACCACCTTACCTTACTCACATCTATAGAACTTGGCTTTTCACAACAACTCTGCATGCATAAAAATAATGTATAGAATTAGTATATTTTCACTTGATAAAGAAGGAAACCAAGGCCTAGAAGGTTGTATGAATTGCCTAAGATCACAAAGCTGAGTGCTGAGCAAGTGAATCAAACTTAACCTTTGTATTACAAATTCAGAGTTCTTTCCACTATGGGGCCTTGTCTTAGTCCATTTTGTGCTGCTATAACAGAATATCATGGACTGGGTAACTTACAGAGAAAATTTTACAGTTCTAGAGGCAGGAAAGTTCAAGGTTAAGGGGATGCATCTGATGAGAGTCTTCATGCTGCATCATACCGTGGTGGAAGGCAGAAGTTGAGAGAGGACCAGAAAAAGAGAGGGAGAGAGCCGACCTTATCTTTTTATCAGGAACCCACTCCCACAACAACTAATCCACTCCATTAATCCATTCATGAGAGCAGAGCCCTGATGACCTAATCACCTCTTGAAGGTCCTACCTGTCAGCACTGTTGCACTGGGGATTAAGTTCCCAACATATGAACTTTGGTGAACACATCAAAACCGTATCAGACCTCATGTCACCTCTTCCAAAATGCTTTCCCCAAATAATGAGAATTAACTATGATCCTCATGGTCAGAAAGATGCACACACCCACTAGTCCGTAATTTAAAAGTAAACATGTGCTAAACTGCATGGTACTCGGGGAAAATCAAACAGGGTTGGGGGGTGGAGAACAGACTTAATTTCAACCCCAGAACCCTCAAGGTAAGTAACCCCATTTCTATTCTACACTTCATAAACTCTATACTATAGAGGATAGGGTCTCCCAGGTAATCCGAGCTCTGTAAGAATTCATTGGCTGGGCACGGTGGCTCATGCCTATAATCCCAGCACTTTGGGAGACCAAGGCAGGTGGATCATGAGGTCAGGAGTTCGAGACCAGCGTGACCAACATGGTGAAACCCTGTCTCTACTAAAAATACAAAAATTAGCTGGGCATGGTGGCATGCACCTGTAATCCCAGCTACTCCAGAGATTGAGGCAGGAGAATCGCTTGAACCCAGGACGCAGGGGTTGCAGTGAGCCGAGATAGTGCCACTGCACTCCAGCCTGGGTGACAGAGCAAGACTCCATCTCAAAAAAAATTTTAAAAAGGATTTATTTATCCAGCTAATATTTATAGTGCTGATGGTACGTTAAGTGCTGGACAACAGGCTGGAGATCTAAAAGCAACTCAGGAATCCTCTCTGGCCTAAAGGTACTCCTGGCTCAAAGTAGAGACAAAGCAGAAGACAGCAAGTACTATCAAGACACATTGAGCCATTGGGTAGCAATTTAAAGGCAAGGCCAGCAATAAAATAAGATTAAGTGTCCAACAATAAGAAACTGTTTAAAAATAAAATCATCCATAAGAGGGAATTCTATGTACATATTTGTAGAATGCCATGTCTTTATTTTAAAATATGAACCAACATATTTTTAAACATAGCACAGGTTGAAAATGGTATATAGAATATGCTGTCTATGTAGATCTATAACACAGATAATCTAAATACAGGAAGAAATGAACCAAAACATTAGCAGAGGTTGTCTCTGAGTAGTGAAATTATGCATGGTTTTAGTGGATTTCTTATTTGAGCTTTTCTAATGTTAATAAATAATATGTTTCATATTTGAAATAAGAGAAAACCCACGAAAGGTCATTTTACCTATATCTACAAAAAGATCTCAGAAATCATGGAGGAATGCTTGTTATAGTGTCCAGCAAAAAGAAGCAGTAAAGAAACTGTGGAAAGAGTATGCTGTCTACTTTGTATTAAGAAAGGGGAATAAAATCTTAACGACCAGAAGACAACCCACTGAAATGTGACGGGTGTTTTCTTAGGGGAGTGATTTTTTATCTCTTATTTTTCTTGCATTTTTTCGTTTTCTGCAGCAGTACTGGAAATTAAACATTAAGTGATTAAGCAGAAACAACCTGAACTATAGGAGTAAGGAAAAGGTTACAATGGATGTTTGTGTTTCTGAGAAGAGAAATGAACCACCCAAGGGTGGAGAATATTTTTGCCTTGACTCCCACAAAAAGTGAATTTTTGCACCCCCACAAAAAGTTAAATGCCCTCCCTATTGCAAGAAAACACCAAAAATGCTATTTTTAAATGATCTTGGCAAAGTCGAGTGGCTTAAGAATGCACAGGTACAGAACAAGTCAGGCAGGGCAGAGAGACAGCTGTATAAACAGTCATTGGTATTCAACAGCCAAGGGAAGAAGGTGCATTTAGAAAAGTATGGTAAATGAATCCATGCCTTCCAAATAAAACATTGGTTAAAACTTAGCAGTTGAGACCAGCCTGCGCAACGAAGCAAGTTCCCTGTCTCTAAAAATAAATAAATAAATAAATAAACCTTAGTACTTAAAGATTGTATGTTTAACAAACCTAAACTCAAAGTCTAAGAACTTTCTGGAATCAGTATTTAAAACCGATATTAGGCAAAGACATCCTAATGATACATGGCCTGAGACAAAGTGGGATCTGCCAGCATGTCCCCCAAACTGGCAATCCAGGCTGTCCTAGAACCAGTTTTTGGAGGGGTTGTTTGTTCCTTGGTGAGGGGCAAGTGGAGACGGTGCATCTTTTAAACATTAACAATTTTCAACAAAATTTTTGTCAGCTTCATAACGTCCTTAAATTAAAGAACCACTTCAGGGATAGTTATAGTTGCTTTACTTAGGTGGACTTTGCCTCACAATTATTGCCCAAATTCTAATGCCAAAGTGAGCAAAGCCAAATAATGATAAGAGCTACAATCTATTAAGTTTTTACTTTGTGCCAATCCCTCTACACACAAGATCTCATTTTATTCCCAAAGCAATTCAATGAGGAAGGTAAAATTATAACTCTTGTTTTATAAACTGAGGCTTTAAAGATTATATAATTTTCTCAAAGTTACTCAACTAATAAGTGAGAAAACTAGAACTTTAATCCAAATCTCTGTGAGGCCAACACCCACATTTAACCACAAAACTATGCTATCAGACATTTTTAAAAATCTTTAACGCCCTACAGGATTTAGTTTTAAAATTACTTCTGTCTGAATATACTATGTTTAATGTGATTTATTTCTATCATTGGGAAAAATTTTAAATCAATACAGAAAAATGTGATCTATCACACTATGGGCATATATTAATGTTTAAGGCACATTCTAAGCACTTTAAAAAATTAGCTCATTTAATCATCACAATAATCATAAAATCCTACTGTTATCCCTATTTACAGATGAGAAAACTGAGGCCACAGAAGTTAAATAACATCGAAATTGTTTAGAAAAAGGCAGAGTCAGGATTTGACTCTAGGTCTATTTGATTCCAGAGTTTATGCTCTTAAATATTCTATAGCTGTATTTATATAGCAATATAGATATAAACAAGGATGTAAGCAAAGATAATACCCACTGAATGAGTTGTGAAAATATTTTCTCACCCCACTATTAAATTAACTTACTGGGTATATACCCAAAGGACTATAAATCATGCTGCTATAAAGACACATGCACACGTATGTTTATTGCAGCACTATTCACAATAGCAAAGACTTGGAACCAATCCAAATGTCCAACAATGCTAGACTGGATTAAGAAAATGTGGCACATATACACCATGGAATATTATGCAGCCATAAAAAATGATGAGTTCATGTCCTTTGTAGGGACATGGATGAAATTGGAAATCGTCATTCTCAGCAAACTATCGCAAGAACAAAAAACCAAACACCACATATTCTCACTCATAGGTGGGAAATGAACAATGAGAACACATGGACACAGGAAGGGGAACATCACACTCTGGGGACTGTTGTGGGGTGGGGGTAGGGGGGAGGGATAGCTTTAGGAGATATACCTAATGCTAAATGACGAGTTGATGGGTGCAGCACACCAGCATGGCACATGTATACATATGTAACTAACCTGCACATTGTGCACATGTACCCTAAAACTTAAAGTATAATAATAATAAAATAATAAAATAAAATAAAATAAATGTTTTATAGGGAACACGTCAATGGTTCACTAATATCCATCCATCTTTCCAAGACATAATATAGGTGGAAGGCCCATGCACAAGGAACTGTTGTGTTTCTGTGGCTTTTTTTTCATTAGTTTACTCAAGCTCGAATCATTAGCAGTATACTAATAAACACATGGTGGACATTTCTTTGGATCAATAGATGTGGATCTAACATTCTTTCTAAATTGCTGCGTAACATGCCGTAGTATAGATGTTACACACATATTTTTATATAATGGCATTTTTATGTCTAGAAGATCAATTTCCAGAAGTGGAAATTTACAGCATACTATCACCAAATCCCAATACATGAACTTTGGGTACACATTCAAACAATAGCTGACTTCCTGAGTGAATTTTCTCTCAAAAAACTGTGTTCATCTATTCATCCCACTAAAAACTTTTGTTTTTTTTGGCCTTGCATTGTAGATGTTGACAGAAAGATAAAAAATTTTAAAATAAATGAAAATAAGAAATCCCATGTTTCACTTTATTAAAGTGAAAAAACAAAATTACATCAACCTTAGGGAGTCATTTCAGATAGCAAGAGATCCCTCAGTAGGAAAAAAGCCCCAGCGGGGCATGGCAGCGCGCACCTGGAATCCCAGCTACTCAGGCTGAAGCAGGAGGATCTCTTGAGCTCAGGAGTTCAAGACCAGCTTGGGAAGCATAGGAAGATCTAAAAAGAAGTCTCTAAAAACAAAATAAAGGAAAAAGCCCTGAGCCACACCACAGGAGCTAATGAGCTCTGAGAAACAGAAATCTGCTCACTCAGATCTTTCTACACTTGTGTAAGCATTTTGGAGGTCTAGGCCAAACATCAATGGTTCTGTCTCTTCAGCTTCCTGCACGTGCCATGAAAACTTCTTCAAATTACTCTTTAAATTTCTGTTATTTTGGGAGCTCTATCACACCATGAGAAGTCTTAAGCCTCTGTGATTAAAAATAAATAAAAATTGTAACACCATAATATTTTAAAGCTAAAAGCAAATTTAAACTGTCATCTCTATACCATTTCACCCATCAGAATATCAAAACTCTGAAATACGAATAATACACACTTCTGGCAAAGATGCAGGGAAATGCACACTCAGATGTTACTGGCAGGAATGTAAATTGTTGCACCATTTTGAAAATGAATCTGGTGATATCTTTTAAAATTAAAAATACCCATTCTCTTTCATCCAGCATTTCCACTTCTGGAAATTGATCTTCTAGACATGAAAATGCTATTATGTAAGAATATACGTGTGACTATGGCATGTTAAGCAGCAATTTAGAAAGAATGTTAGATTCACATCCATTGAGCCAAAGAAATGTTCACAATGTATTTATTAGGTGAGAAAAACTAGATATAGGCCGGGCGCAGTGGCTCATGCCTGTAATCCCAGCACTTTGGGAGGCAGAGGCGGGCAGATCAGGAGGTCAAGAGATTGAGATCATCCTGGCCAACATGGTGAAACCCCGTCTCTACTAAAAATACAAAAATTAGCTAGGCGTGGTGGTGTGTGTGCCTGTAGTCCCAGCTACTCGGGAGGCTGAGGCAGGAGAATCGCTTGAACCCAGGAGGCGGAGGTTGCAGTGAGCCAAGATTGCGCCACTGCACTCCAGCCTGGTGACAGAGCAAAACTCCGTCAAAAAAAAAAAAAAAAAGATATAAAAAAGTAGACATAGTATGAGGAGGGGAAGGAGAGGAAAATAAGGGGAAAAGAAGACTGCAAAATGAAAATTTGAGAAAGATAATATAATCTAAACTAAAATATGGACTGGATAATAGAAATATTACCTCAGTTTCCTCATGTGTGAAATGACTATAAGCCTCAGAGGGTTACTGTGAAAATTAAATGAATGAATACTTTTAAAGGGCTTAGGAAAAAGCCTGGCACACAGTAGTACTAAATGGGTATTATTGTTTTAAAATTCTATCTATAATATTTTTGCAAAGGTACACATATTAAATATGCATAGAGCAATAAATGATAGAAGATATCATCAGCACATAAAACATTGCTTTGATTCGATGATGGTATTCTCAGCCACCCTTGAATGGCAATTTTTTTTAATGTTGCTTTTGCTATAAATTAATGTTGGGCTGGGGTGGGTAATTTCATCTCTAAGCCTCCTCCGCTGAAGGCAGGACTACATCTCCCCTATGAAGGTGAAGGGTATGTTTTCCTGTCCTACGTTTTGAAAACATTTATGCTTATCAGCATCAAATAACTGCCTTTTGTATTGAATTCAAAAGTGTAATTCACCTTAGAATGCTTCCATTCGACTGTAGTGACCATGAATTTAGAATCTAACACGAAGATACATTATATGACTAAGGATTTTTGAAAACTTGCAAAAACGGCATAAAAGTTAAAACACACTTATTCATACATGTGATAAATAAATGACTTTTATTGAAAAGAAAAACTTAACAGGACTGTGCCAGACAGCTGGGATGAAGAATGACCATCTGGGCAAATCCTCCTTGGAACGCAGATCCTCTTGTTACGGTCTCAGTGGAGGAAGTCAGTACCATCTCTTTCATAAATCTCAATCTATTTGAGGACATCCTTCAACTTTATCTTTAGAGAGAATGGCCACATTCTGCTGGCTGTGACCCAGTCTCTCCAGAGCCCAGCCGTGGACATAAAATTTGGAAAAGGGCCTGGCGAATGCCACGTCTAGAGAAGGATCATTTCCTGGGGCTTTTGGGTTATGTTCCTATTAATATAAATCATCGTCTCCATTTCAGAAGAAGAACCAAAACACATCTGATCTGCTCTTAAAGGAAACTCAATTGTGACAAGCAGAGGAAACTAAAGAGGTAAGAGTATTTCCTTGCTAGTGGTAGAATTGGCTCTAGAACCAGAAAGGTTAAATTATAAATCTTTGGCAAAACACAGCTTTCTTTACGTCATTTTCCTCTGGGACTAGATGAGAAACAGCTGGGTATTTGGCTAGAGAAACCGCTGGAAAAACTCACGTTGGTTAACAACACTTCTCCCAGACCTTCACATGGTGATTGCAGTTCATCTCAGCTCTAATGCCACCTCCTCAGAGTCTCTTTCTCTGACACTCAACCCCATGCCCTCTTCTTAAACATATCACCCTCTTCCTTTAGGGCACTTATCACAATCGGGAATGATCTTATTTATTTGTTAATAGTCTCTCTTCTCACAAAACATAAGCAGGATGAGAGCAGAGCCCTTGTCTGGCACCCTCGCTGTTGTGTCCTGGTCCTAGACCAGTGGTGGCACAGAGTAGGTGCCCAACACATATTTGCTGAATGAATGTAACATGACTGCATGATCATGTGCTTTTCTACTTCTTTCTTCCAGTGTTTCTTTAATGAGCATGGATGTAGTGTGCGATAATCATTACAGTTTTTCTTTGAAAAAAAAAACATCAGCCAAGCTGATTTCAAACTCCACTTGAAATACCTAGAAAACCTAGTTAGTGTAGGTTCCCATGGGTCCTGAAAGGCCAGGATTTTTGCCTTACTCATTTTCATATCCCTGGCATCCAACACAGAGCTTGGCACATCATGGACATTCAACAAATGGATGGGTCGGCCTGGTGTGGTGGCTCACACCTGTAATTCCAGCACTTTGGGAGGCCGAGGCAGGAGGATCATGTGAGGTCAGGAGTTCAAGACCAGCCTGGCCAACATGGTGAAACCACGTCTCTACTAAAAATACAAAAATTAGCTGGGTGTGGTGGCGCTTGCCTGTAATCCCAGCTACTCAAGAGGCTGAGGCAGGAGAATGGCTTGAACCTGGGAGGCAGAAGTTGCAGTGAGCCAAGAACATGCCACTGCATTCCAGCCAAGGTGACAGAGTAAGACTGTGTCTCAAAAATAAGAATCAGAAACAAAAACAAAACAAATGGATGGGTCTATAGCAACATGTGCCTGTGCTATGCTAATCACTTTATTTTTCATGACCTATCTCATTTAATCACCACAACAATCCTATGACGTTGGATTGTAATCCACATTTTACAGATGAAAAAAAAGGAGGCTTTTAACTTCCTTAAGTTAAAAAAAAAACAGCAACAACAAAAACTTTCCAGTAAGAGACAGAGATAGTATTTGGATGCAGGTCTGTCAGACTCAAAGTCACCTAATTGCTGCATCTTATGGTCTTTCTAACTTCCATAAGACAAAGTCACTCAGCAAAAGTTTTTTTTTTTTTTTTTTAAGGGCGGAGGCAGTGAAACCAATGATGCCCCCATGCTAAAGTCTGCATACTCTGATTGTAGCTAGATAACTGTTATCCAGAACAGGGCAAAGCACAGTGCAGGTGTTCAATAAATAACTGTTGGTTCGAAGAAAGGAAGGAGGAGAAGGAAGGAAGGAAGGGAGAAAAGGAAGGAGGGAGTAAGAGGGAAGGAAGGAAGAAGGGAGGGAGGGAGGGAGGGAGGGAGGGAGGGGGAAGGGAAGGGGAGGGGAGAAAGGGAAGGGAAGGGAATGGGAGGGGAGAAAGGGAAGGGAAGGAAATGGGAGGGGAGGAGAGAAGAAGGGAGGGTAGGGAAGACAATGGCAGAGAGAGAGGGAAGGACAAAGGGAAGGAAGGAAGAAGGAAGGAAGGGGAAGGGAAGGTAAAAGGGAAGGAAGGAGGAAGGCAGGAAGGAAGAAGGGAAGGGAAAGGAAAAGAAAGAAGGGAGGGAGGGAGGAAGGAAGGGAGGGAGGGACAAAGGGAAGGGAAGGGAGGGAGGGGTTGAGGGAGGGAGGGGAAAGGAAGGGAGGAAAGAAGGAAGGAGAAGGGAGATAAAGAGGAAGGGAGGGAGGGAGGGAGGGACGGAGAGAGGGAGGGGATAGTAAAGGAGGGCTTCTCTGAAGATCGTCAGAGAAAGACCAAGAGTCTTTGGCCAATGAGAGAATCAGCTTCCTGCTCTGTGACTGATGCTGCTGACATCCAGGGAGCCCCAAATGCCTTCCTTGACAGGGGGTACTTCTGCAACACCTGCCCCAGTTCTAGGCACATCAGCATCTCCAGCTTGCATTAGTGGTCACTGGGCCCTGGCTGGATTGACACTATGACCTACTGGAGAGGGAAGAAACAGAAACACCAGAGTCTTGAGTGAAAACTCCCTGTCTCCCTCCCACCTCTGGTTCCTCGGCCACACTGAGAAATATACTTTAAGATCAGACTCCAAAGCCCACGACTGACTTTACTTGGAGTGGAGATGGGATCAGTGTGTGTGTGTGGCATGCGGGCGGGCGGGAGGTGGTTAATAAACTTCTTTCTTTGATGATTGTGAAGACACAGGCTCTCTCTCCTTAGCAAGGGCTTCTCATTTGAAGCAGCGCGTGATAACTCATTGTGTGACCGCCTGTTTTCTCTGCAGATCTGAGCTGAAAAGGATCATACCAGATTTATTTCATTGCTGTAGAGCCAGTCCCACCACACTGCCTGGGCACATAGAAGGCATGTTTTGTTAATTTATGCAGTCAATACAAACTAATTGATTGCAGATCTTCAATCCTTTGTAATTCCAAACTCCCAAAATGCTCTGAAAACCAAAAGATTTTCTGTAAGCTGGCAGCAAGCTCATTGAACTCACCGGAACGGATGCATGGCAGTCCCCAGTCTTTATGATCTGCCTTAATTGTGACTACAGTCTTCTCCCCTCATCCATAGTTTCTTTTTCCGAGGCTTCTGTTACCAATGGTCAACAACAGTCCAAAAATATTAAATGGAAAAATCCAGAACTAAAAAATTTATGTTTTTAATTGCTTGCCATTCTGAGAGAAGTGTGATGAAATCTCACGCTGTCCCAGTCTGTTCCACCTGGGAAATGAATCATCCTTTTGTTTAGTATATCCATGTTGTATGTGCTGCCTTCCCCATACAGTGTGGTTATATAAGAAAAAACACAATGAGGCCAGGTGTAGTGGGTCACACCTGTAATCCAGCACTTTGGGAGGCCAAGGCAGGAAGACTGCTTAAGTCCAGAAATTCAAGACCAGCCTAGGCAACATATGAAGATCCTGTCTCTACAAAAAATTAACAAAATTAGCCTGATGTGGCAGTACACACCTGTAGTCTCAGCTACTCAGAAGGCTGAAGTAGGAGGATCGCTTGAGTCCGGGAGGTTGAGGCTACAATGAGTTGCGATAGTGCCACTGTACTCCAACCTGGGTAACAGAGCGAGACTCTATCTTAAACAGAAGGAGGGAAGGAAGGAAGAAAGGAAGGAGGGAGGGAAGGAGGGGGGGGAAGGGAGGGGAGGGGAGAGAGAGAGAAAGAGAGAAAGAAAGAAAAAAGAAAAGAAAGAAAGGAAAGAGAAAGAAAGAAAGAAAGAAAGAAAGAAAGAAAGAAAAAAGAAAAGAAAGAAAGAAAGGAAAGAAAGAGGGAGAAAGAAAGAGTTTACATAGGGTTTGGTCTTGCCCAAGCTTGCAGGCATCCACTGGTGGTCTTGGACTGGATCCCCCATGGATAAGAGGGCACTACTGTATTGATACATTTTGCATGTTTCACAGCAGAAAAGCAAATGTGTTTGATTATGGGATGCAGCCCCAAACTCTGTGGGGGTGTTATATAACTTAGTGATACTCACCATTTGAGATTCCTAAATTCTGAATTGTCAAAACACTTGGCCCCGATGGGCTTCAGATAAGGTGTTTGGGATGTGTATCTGTTTGTATCAGGCATTGAGGTGCTGAGAATACTGTAGTTGAATAAAACCATCAAGGCCTTTACTGTCTTGGAATTGACTTTTCAGCTAACAAGACAATAACAAGGAAGCAAATACGATAATTTCTGAAAGAGATAAGTGTTCTGAAGAAATGAAATCAGGAGAATGGAATAGAGATATGATGGATATTAGAGAAATCCTTGCTAAGAAGACATAAATAAAGAAAACGTAACAACCTGGTGAAGAGATTATTTCAAGGCACTTTCACTCATTCATTCATGCCCATTCCATTCCTACCTCAGGACCTTTATACCTGCTGTCTCTTTTACCTGGAAGAAGCAAATTATGTAACCTTCTCGAAACTCATTTTGCTTAAGATTGCTCATGTCTGTAAAGTGTCAGGGCTGGAACAAAAATCAAAGCTCTATGACACAAAGTTAGATTTGTGGGGTCATGAGGGAAACACCCACCTTAAGAGCAGGTTTGGAGGATTAGATAGAAGTTCTCTATGAACTTGACCACAATAGCTGATATCACAGCACAGTTTCTCCTCTCTCAGTAATAAAGACTCAGATCAAGGCAGCATCTCTCTGAGCAAGGAATGAGGATCCTTCTATAGAAAAGCTGGGACCTGGCTAGTGTGTCTACTGAACTGCTCTTTCAAAGTTCTGCACTCCCTCCACACGGGGCTTGAGTTTCCATAGACAAAAAAACATAACATGGTCACCAAAGAGAACCTTCAGCATTGTTTCTCCAGCAACTGAGACTCCAGTGAAAAGTACACCTTCCTGGGAACCAGCACCCAACCTATCCTGGACCAGGTCTCCCAGCCAATGGTGCTGCTCGTGAGTGTCCAGTCCTCAATTGTTTTGTTATTATTGTTGCTATTGTTGTTGGGTTTCCCTTGGTCTTCTTATTTAAGAGAAGGTAGAGGCTGCTCTAGGGGCAATGCTTATGCCTGGAACGAATGAGCCTTTATTGTGGACAAGCTCTGTGAGTGAAGGCCCTCCTTGAGTCTGGTGATAAAAATAGGCTATGGCCAGGCAGGATACAGAAGAGCATGACCAATCACCAAATAAAGGTTTATTGGCTTATACATTTTATTGTACCGTGACATCCCTCCTTTCAGCTTTAGATGTCAGCAGCTGGTGGCAAGCTTAATGACTGATGCATAGGGGAACAGCCATGGACACCACAGTTTGGCTCCCCCTAAAACAGTGATGCTTCATCCTTACTTGGCCAGCTTCTGGAATCCTAGTGAACACACTACAGAACATCAGGTTTGCCTGGGCAGTAACATCCAAGGGGAGCTTCCAGGTTCCTCTTGGCTGAGCAAGACTATTTTTTTCCTTATTTCAAAGAGCTGTTGTTCTGACTAAAGGAAGAGAGGATGTATATGGTAATGAGAACTGTATACATTTCTCCTAAAGTCTCCTACTTTATCTTCTTTAATTCTGCATCTGACTCTGCCTGGGTAGAAATCGTATTCAAAATTATCCCAGCCTCTTCAATCTCCTTAATAAGATCTCTCAAAATGGAACACACTGTCTCGTGTGCCTATAAGGGATGTGCAATGCCTCTTTTGTGCTTTTGTTCACTCTTATCTGATGTTCTAACACATTTTCACTTTGAGGAGTTTGGAAATGTATCTGCATAGTCATTGCCGTTTAAGTACTCCACTGATTACAAAATGCTTTCATACACATTGTCTTGAGGAAATGCTCTGAAAAATAAACTGCTAACACTCTGGTAAAGAGCCTTCTGCAGTTAGCAAAATAGTCACCAGGACCTTCTTTTTAAATGACTACACTTTCCACACTTTTTCTATCTTTGTTGACTTAAGTTCAAAGTCAAACTAGAAAATCTGTTTTGTCAGATGGAAGTTCGCTACTCACCGTTCTGAGAGGCTCCATGCACAGCTCATTGTGTTACCCCACTGCACAGAATCTACTCTTCTAGAGAGACACTGGCAGCTTTGTGCTTTGCATTTATTTATTCAATGCTGCAGTGGCTTAAGCCAGTTTATGGAAAATATCTCTAAACACTGAGACCTCAGGGCTAGGAGGAATTCCTAGACGAGCTCTAAATCAGTAGTTATGTTTGGCAGATTCTATATTCCCACGGAAAGGCCAACTAAACAGTCATTACGCTTTATAGGCGTGCCTGTGTGTCCTTCGTTATTTTGGAAGTATCAAGCAGGGCCTAGAAGCATGGTATAGTTAGTGCCAGCACATAGTGGTGGCCTGCAGTCCAACCATGCTGATTGATTTGATGTTTAGGGAGGCAGTTTCAGAGGAAATACGGTAACTCGCTTGTCTATCACCGTGCTTCCTGGATGAGCCCCAGAAATGCAGCGTTTGGGATACCATTAGCAAGCGTGTGGCAGCCTTGCCCTGCTGAGACTGCTGGTGATTGAAAAGTGCTCAAACTGTGGTCAGAGAAGAAGTGTGCAGATGAAAAGAAGGGAGATAAGTCTTCGATCACGACGCCTGCCCTTCTTCACCTAAATATCCCCCAGGACAGTTTGCCAAACACCAGCCTGTTGCTCAAATGAGAGAAAATAAGCCTTTAGTTTCTGTTTCCACTCTGCTTCATAAATTAACACCATCAACTGACTTTTCCCCGGCCTTTCTCCCACAGCTTATCTTTACTGCCAATAATCCTACCCATGAGAAAGATCTTTGACAAGTCAAGTACTACATAAATTCAAGAAATTCATATGTGGTATTTCATGCACATTTCAAATAAAGAAACTTACAAGGATACCGTTTAAAAAAAAAAAAGAACATCCCCATAGTTTTGAAGCAAATGTGCATTTTCTCGTTAGTAAAGAGACGTTTCCTTCCCTCTAACTTCCCAGTGTTGGACAAAGGACTAAAATTTCATGTTATAAGGAAAGCATGTAAACTCCGCACTGCTTTTCTCTGAAATAGCAGTCATTTCAATGATGTGCTCTATCATCAATCCCCGGAGACTGTAGGCTTTTCTGTAACTGGTTCCTTTTCGTTTTCCTCATTGGATAATAATTTTTCAGAATAAAATCTTTTGGTATCAGTATTTTCAAAATATTTCAAGACACCAGCCATTCTTAATCAGGCCACTGTGGAGCTCTATGCAATTAAGTTGCTAAAGTTAGGACAGAGCCCTTAGTTTCAGATTTCAGCTCCATATATCTGAATGGAAGCTCTTGAATGGATGAGCATTCTGACTACTGCCTGGCTAATAATTTTCCACTTGCATTTGGCCGATCCTACACACATGAGCATAAGCCAGTGTAAATGCTCCATCAGAGGCTCTTAGCAGGAAGAAAACAACTAAACAGATTCATTTCTTGACTTTCTTCTTTGATAGATATTTTCTTACTCTTAAATATACTTTACTCCTGATAATTTAGAGATCTATCGTTGGTGAGAGGATATCATGAATTATGAGTCCTTGCATTCTTTTTATAAAGGTAATATCCCCGGTTTGATGAGACAGAAATTTGCAATAGCATCTTTGCAGGGCTTTTCAAAGAGTAGTGGGAATGGAAAAGTTCCCTGGGACCCATTTCCTGACTGTTCCATTCGTGCTGATCACGACTTTAACCATGTTTTTCAAGCTGCCAATCAAAGCACACGTTCTATAAAATACAATTCCCTGGTAGGCACAGTGGAGCTAAATATTTGTCCCTAGAACTGTCCTGGGAGAGAAAGGACATAAAGTTGCTGCCACTAGGTTAAAATTTAAGAACAAAATTATAGGAAGCAGACTCCAAACTATTTTCTTAAATTAATTCTTCCTTTTCCAACCAGAACACAATCTCCCCTATTGTCATGTACGCCCTGATGCCTAGTTGGGTACACAGCAAATGTACACACATATCTGATGATTTACTGATGGACTGAATCCTCACAAATATTACATTTAAAGCTTTCAGATCAAATTAAATAATTTGCATTTGGGCAAACAGCCAACAGCACTCTAAACTGTACTCCTAACTAACGTTATTCCCTCCTCTACCTCTTCATCCCTGGTGTTCTCTGCAGACCTTCCAAATACAAACTCACTTTCACAAGAAAAAAAATAACTGCAAAGTATGATTCAGGTCAGCCAAGAAAGGAGGTCATATTAATTTTATTTTTCTTGCTCTGTTTCCCAGGCTGGCATGCAGTGGCATGATCTCGGCTCACCGCAACCTCTGCCTCCCAGGTGCAACTGATTATCCTGCCTCAGCCTCCTGAGTAGCTGGATTACAGGTACCTGCCACTACGACTGGCTAATTTTTGTAGTTTTAGTAAAGATGGGGTTTCACCATGTTGGCCAGGCTGGTCTCAAACTCCTGACCATAGATGATCCACCGCCTTGTCCTCCCAAAGTGCTGGGATTACAGGCATGAGCCACTGCACCCAGCCCATATTAATTTTTAATTTCTGTTTATGCCTATGAAAAATGTATAAGTTGTTCTACAAACAGAAATGCACTTCTCTTGCTAGGGTTGCCTCAATAAATTTAAGCAACGTGGCACTATATTTCCTTTATAAAGCTCCTTCCTACATATCTCACACAACACACAAGAAAGTCATAACCAAATTATTTAAGAAGAATTTCTCAAAACACTAAGACAAAAGCCGTCTCTTCTAAATGAGTAACGTGGAAGGTAATCTTGTTCCCTTACTGCTGACATGTAGCTTTCTGCCTGGGGTTTTATCTTTAACTCCCTGGTAATCCAAACGGAGCAGGAAAACCTCAGACAATAGAGCCTCTTTTTTGCTTTACATCCACTTTTTTGGGGTCGGCACCGAACAACCATCATTAAATGGTTTCTGGCGCAAAGTGGCAGGCTTGGGTAAGCTGAAATGTTTATGACACCAAAATAAAGATGTTCCACACTGCTGAAACCGGGGAGTCACGCAGAGAACAACTGAAATGGAATTACACACCAAGGTTTACTTAACTAGCACGACTTTAACTCGTGTCTGCCTGATACACTTACCAAAGAGAAGTGGCAGAAACCCAGGGTGGACAAAAGAGGGCAGTGTTCACTATGTCTTTCATCTCAGCTCTTCGCTCTTTATCAAATTGCCACTGAGCCAAGAGAAAACTATGTCCAGCATTTCATAACACAGGAAGTGGGGAAGCAGATTAGATATTGGGCTCTGCAGTCACCACAAAATAAGCAGTGTGCTCGTAAAAGTCACTTTTTTCCCTAGACGAAAGCTTAACCATTGGTGAGTTTTGGGGTTTGGTTTCTGTTTTTCAGTATGATCGGCTAAACCTCTCCAGGAAAATAATGGAATATGTAATATTTCTCAAACTATAACAGGTTATAAGGTTTATTTAGTTCAAAGCACTCATTTTTGCAGATGAGGACCAGGTTTCTACATTTGTCAGTGGCTTCTCCTTGTGCTCAGATATCATCAGTATGTGGGGAGGGGAAGACAGACTTCCCTCTTGGAGCTATTTAGAGAATTTTTAGTCATTTCAGAATAGAATCCATGTACGCCCTGTACACAAAAAAATTTAGGTCCCAGAAAGGGAATCTTGTCCCCTGCCCTGGATGTCATCATATTGGGTCGAACTTCATTCACATTCTTTGGGAAAAGCTTATGTGGACATGTCATTGTACCCAATAAAGGATTGCAGCCTCAGCACTCAAAAAGTGCACATTTTGCCCAGGTATCTGTCTATTCTTAGTTATAGATATCTAGTGTCATCTTTTAATAGGGAAAGACTCTTTAATTCTTTTGTAATTCCTGTTGTCCTATACATATTTTTGAGCTCCTGCGATGTATAAGCCTCTGTTGTTAGACATGCAGAAGTGAAAAGGACACAGTTCTAGCCTTTAATAAACTAAGCATCAAATAAGAATCAGATGGCCGGGCGGATCGCTTGAGGTCAGGAGTTCGAGACCAACCTGACCAACATGGAGAAACCCCATCTCTACTAAAAATACAAAATTAGCCGGGCGTGGTGGTACATGCCTGTAATCCCAGCTACTGGGGAGGCTGAGGCGGGAGAATCGCTTGAACCTTGGAGGCGGAGGTTGTGGTGAGCTGAGATCACGCCATTGCACTCCAGCCTGGGCAACAACAGTGAAACTCCGTCTCAGAAAAAAAAAAAAGAATCAGACAAGGCAGAACCAACCTTGTCAGTAACCGTAATACATCAACAACCATAATACAAGGCAGAATGGGGTTGGCTTAGAAGAAAAATACAAATTGCCAAAGAAGAGATTGTATTCATCAGGAGTGGAGAACTGAGGGAAACTTCACAAAAGAGAGAGCTGTGGAGTCGGGTTCATAGAATAGGTGGGCTTCCAGCGGGGTGTGGTGGCTCATAGCTGTAATCCCAGCACTTTGGGAGGCCAAGGTAGGCAGATCACCTGAGGTCGGGAGTTCGAGACCAGCCTGACCAACATGGAGAAACCCCGTCTCTACTAAAAATACAAAATTAGCTGGGTATGGTGGCACATGCCTGTAATCCCAGCTACTCAGGAGGCTGAGGCAAGAGAATCCCTTGAACCCAGGAGGCAGAGGTTGCAGTGAGCCAAGATTGCGCCATTGCACTCCAGCCTGGGCAACAAGAATGAAACTCCGTCTCAAAAAAAAAAAAAAAAAAAAAAAGGTGGGTTTCCAGAGGCACAGGGATGGTGAAGCTGAACAAAGGCAAAGAGGTAGGAGAGTGTGGGCCCAGTGAGCAGCCACGCACTTACACTCGCAAAGGGAAGAGATCAAATAAATGGCTTGAAATGCCAGTGAAAGCCTGCAGAGAGCTTCAACGTCAGGCTGGTGGACTTGATTCCCAAGGCAACCACAGGAAAGCACCAAAGGTTTTTGATGCAAGCAGGAACATGATGGGAGCTAATTTTAGGAAAATTGGTCTGCCATGAAGATGTGGAGCAGATTCAAAGGGAAAGCAGAGACAAGGAGGCCAAGGAAGGCACTGTTAGTGCTTAAACAGATGTAACGAAGTTTTGTGGTAGACACAACCCAAAAGGAAAGACAGGTACAAGTGTAAGACGCACAGTGTTTCAAAGTGTTTTGCCAACAAAGTAAATGTTGAAAAGCGAAGTTATAGCGAGGGAAGACTGAAAAAGTAATTCATAAAAGCACTAAGGGAAGGCTGAAATGCTGGGTGGGGTAAGAAACTCAGGAGTTTGGCCTTGAGTGTGTTGACTTGGATACTTCTACAAAATATAGATGGGGAGATGTCCAAGGAATCGCTGAAAACCAGGACTGGTGCTCAGAGAAAGGTTAGAAGAAGGTCACATTCCAAATCAAGGTATACCTGGCTGATGCTTGAAGACCATCATGCTTGAAGACCATCATTCTGGAAGACCATCTTGACATCCCAAATCACAGTTTGACACCATTTGCCATCTCTCTTCCAGGTGCTGTGCTGTTGGTTTAGGAATGCGGTTTTCTTGGATCTTGTATGGTTTCCACTTGTCTTGATATTGATATACAATGGCTTTTAAATGCCCAATATAAAAACAAGCATTGGGCCAGGTGTGGTAGCTCATGGCTGTGATCCCAGCACTTTGGGAGGCTGAGGCAGGTGGATCACTTGAGGTCAGGAGTTTGAGACCAGCCTGGGCCACACTATTAAACCCCATCTCCACTAAAAAGACAAAAATTAGCTGGATGTGGTAGCACACACCTGTAGTCCCAGCCACTTGGGAGGCTGAAACAGGAGAATTGCTTGAACCTGGGAGGCAGAGGTTGCAGTGAGCCAAGATTGCACTGCTGCACTCCAGCCTGGGTGACAGAGTGAGACCTTGTCTCAAAAAAAAAGCAAGGATTGCCATGAAACCTGAATTAGTCCCAGAGGGAGGGAAAGAGAATTCTTATTTGCTTTACAAATGGATAATTCCTATAGAAAATGCTAGTGCTCTGAAGACATTTTTTAAAACATGATCTGGTTTATATACAAGTAATTACAACAGCTTTCTAGGCAAACCTTCATTTAAAAAGTAAGGTATGGCAGGGCACAATGGCTCACGCCTGTAATCCCAGCACTTTGGGAGGCCAAGGCAGGTGGATCACGAGGTCAGGAGTTTGAGACCAGCCTGGCCAGCACGGTGAAACGCAGTCTCTACTAAAAATACAAAAAATTAGCTGGGCATGGTGGCACATGCCTGTAGTCCAGCTATTTGGGAGGCTGAGGCAGGAGAATCACTTGAACCTGGGAGGTGGAGGTTGCAGTGAGCTGAGATCATGCCACTTCACCCCAGCCTGGTAGACAAAGCGAGACTCCGTCTCACAAAATAAAAATAAAAATAAAAAGTAAGGTATATTCCAACATTTTGGACAGACTTACAACTTTGTTCTTGGGGAAAATGAAAGCAATGTTACTGGAAGGAAGATAGGACGTTAGGCGGCAGTATGGTGTATTGAAAAGACCTGGAATCAGGTTTAAATCCAGAGGTGCCCCTTATTAGGTATATGAGCATGAATACATTGCTTCACTGCTCTGAGACACAATTTCCACATCTCTACAAGAAAATAATAGAATGTTCTGTCCAAAGTTACTGTATTGCATAAGGTAATGTATATGAAATTGCTTTGCACAGGACTTGGCACAAAGTAGCTGCTTAATAAAAAGCTTAGAGTTCCTTGTGGTGGTCCAGTTGGAATCCCTTCTGGCCCCAAAATGAATGTCTCCCCCTTGACTCCTTCCCTGGGGTGCACCATGCCCCCTAGCCGTAATTCTTATTCAGAGCTTTGCTCTCTTGGAGATGTTTCTCTTTATCCATAACACATTGGGGCATTCAGGAATGCTGGTCCTGCCCTTTAGCTGGAGGACAATCATTTCAGACCCAAACCAGGCACTACGTGAAGGAGGTTCCAAACTCCAAACAGTGCCAGGTCCTTCTCTCCTCCACTTCAGGACCAGATGAAGACATCCTTCTTGGCTCTTTATTCTCTCAGCCTCCAGGAAAGAGTCAGACAACCCTTATAATCATGACTTCTTATTAAGCATTTACAGAATCATGCTATATGGCATCATTCTGGGTCCTTGGTTATGAAATCTTATACTTTAAGTATGCATTACTTTTAAATGACAAAAACCACAATTACTTTTGCACCAACCTAATACTTTTGTGAACAGTATTTTCTTTGATCTCTACAATAAGTCTATGGGAAAATAATGAGGTAGTTAAGAGCACAGACTGAGTGGGTTCGAACTGGAGCTCTACGACTCACTAGCTGTGTATACCCGGGCAGTTACTCATTCTCTCCATGCCTCAGTTGCCTCCTCTGCAAAATGGGGATAATAAGAGCACTTATCTCATGTGAGTTACTGTAGAGCTTAAATAATATATCTGTGAAAGCTCCTAGAACAGTGCCTGACACACAGCAAGTACGTTCAATTGCATTGTAGCCCATACTCTTCCAATGAGAAAACTAAGGCTTAAAAAGGTGAGGCAACTGCCTCAAAGTCACATGCCTTAAATGACAGTGCTATATGAAAAAAATCTCAATATCATTAATCATTAGAGAAATGTGAATCAAAACCACAATGAGATACCATCTCACACCAGTCAGAATGGCTATTACTAAAAGTCAAGAAATAACAGATGCTGGCAAGGTTGCAGAGAAAAGGGAACACTTATACACTGTTGGTACGAGTGTAAATTAGTTCAACCATTCTGGAAAGCAGTGTTGTGATTCCTTAAAGAACTAAAAACAGAACTACCAATCAAACCAGCAATCCCATTACTGAGTATATACCCCCAAAAATATAAATCATTCTACCCTAAAGACACATGCATGTATATGTTCATTGCAGCACTATTCACAATAGCAAAGACCTGGAATCAACCTAAATGGCCATCAATGATAGACTGGATAAAGAAAATGTAGTATATATACACCATGGAATACTGTGCAGCCACAAAAAAAGAACAAGATCATGTCCTTTGCAGAAACATGGATGAGGCTGGAGACCATCATCCTTAGCAAAGTAACATGGGAACAGAAAACCAAATACCACATGTTCTCACTTATAAGTGGGAGCTAAATGATGAGAACACATGGGCACAAAGAGGGGAACAACAGATACCGGGGCCTACTTGAGGGTGGAGGATGGGAGGAGGGAGAGGATCAGAAAAAATAACTGTTAGGTACTAGGCTTAGTACCTTGGTGATGAAATAATCTGTGCGCCAAACTCCCATGACACAGGCTTACCTATGTAACAAGCTTGCGCATGTATCCCTGAACCTAAAATAAAAGTTAAAAAACAAAAATAAATGATAGTGCTAGAACTTAAACTAAGAACTCTCTTGACAACCAGGACCACACATAATTTGATTAAAAGAAAGCAAAATAAAAGTCTCTTTTATTCCCTCTTTTTTAGAGAGTTTCTTCATCAGAGCTACCTGTGTCTTGCTCATTCCTCTCCCTTCCTTCTTTCTCCCCTCAAAAGATTAAAGGTTACATTGTGAAAAAAAAAAAAAAAAGTTTTGTATTGGGATCACATCTAAGGTTGACTGCTTGCTCTCTCATTCCTCAGCTAGTCCATTCTGTGGGTCTTCCTCATCTTGAATCAGATTCTCTGATAAGCTCATTACTCCATTTATCTGTTTAGCAAATACTAATTGAGTCAGCATCCTCCTAGGTACTAGATGCAACGATACAGTCCCACCCCCCGGGTGACAGTGTAGTTAGTCAAGTCATTGTTTACTAGAAGTAACTGAGTTACCAAAGGAAATTATGAAATGTTCTTCTCTTTAAAAATAGGATAGCTTCTTAGTCAGCTGCCTGTCTGGCTAACTTATCTAGAAGACAAGAGAGCAAAGGCCTGGGAGAGATTCATATCAAACAGAGGGGAGGCTAGTTCTTTGTAATTTGACTAACAGCCCAGAACAGAGCTGAGAAGACCCAGGCAACGTATATTTTGTATGCCATTGCTTTTAATGGCTGCAATTACTTTTACACCAACCTAATATAGCAAGGCAGTGAAGAGCCAGGTCTTGGTAAGAATAATGTGATTTTTGCATCACAGCCCTGCCATTTACAAATGGTACAATATCATGCAACTTCCTGAGCTCTTTCTCAGCTTCCTTATGATATTCCTCATGCAGTTGGGCAAGATGTTAAGAAAATGGGTATGCAAAATGCTTGGCACTGAGCCTGCCACATAGTGGGTGTTCAATAAGTGGTGACTTACAATGTTATAATAGGGCAAATTATAACGGGCTGGGGAAGGGCATGATGCATAGGGCAAGCTCACCTAGATTGTGCTTCTAAAAGGGGCTGCCATCTGCTACAACAGGCTTCCAGAAAAGTCTAAGCCAGGTTTGCTGCCATTGAGTACTGGACCAAGCTGTCAACCTCTAGAATGGAAATGCCTTCAAGCTACTAATGTCATCAAGTAGCCAAGTCACCGTCTTATGTAAAAGCTTCGACTTTGTTTCTCTGATTTCATCTTTGCCCTCTATTGTCTAATCTTAACACAGTTTCCAAAGAATAAGTAAGTCAGATATGCCATTCCTCTGCCTCAAGTCTCCCAGTGGACATCTTTTTCTTGCAGAATAGGCCATTGGTATTAAAAAGAGCTTGGCCAGGCGCAGTGGCTGATGCCTGTAATCCCAACACTTTGGGAGGCTGAGGCAGGCAAATAACTTGAGCCCAAGAGTTCAAGACCAGCCTGGAAAACATGGTGAAACCCCATCTCTACAAAAAAAATACAAAAAAAATTAGCCAGGCATGGTGGTGTGTGCCTGTAGTCCAGCTGCTCTGGAGGCTGAGCGGGGAGGATTGATTGAGCCCGGGAGGTGGAGGTTGCAGTGAGCTGAGATTGTGCCATGACACTCCAGCCTGGGCAACAGAGCTAGACCATCTCAAAGAGAGAGCGAGAGAGAGAGAGCTTGTTGTTAGTCCAAAAACATGCTTCTTCCTCCAGGCAGACACAATCCTGCATCAAGGCACAAGGCTTGGTGAGCTCAGGCATTACGGTGCAGTGAACAGATCTGCACAATGCTAGGCTTCCTGGCCACTTCCTCTCTCACTTCATCTCCTGTTACTCTTCTCCTCACCCTCTCTGATCCAACTGCACTTGAGTTCTTTGAACAGCCCATGCATGCTTCTGCCTGGGTTCCTTTGCACTTATCATCCCCTCTGTCTGGAAGCCTCATCCCCTAGACAGTCTCTGTCTTGCTCCTGATCACCTCATTTCCTTCTCTGTTTGCAAATCATCTTTGAGTGAGGTTTTCATCTACCTCCATATTTCAAATTGCAATACTTCTTCCCCTGGGAAATATGGCCATATTCCCCACCCCTGCTTCAAAGTCTCCACAGCACTCATCACCATTTAGCATATTATACTATTTATAATATATATTGATTTTACACTCTCTCCTCCCATTAGAATATAAGTTGCACGAAGGCAGGGAAATTTTACTGTTTTTCACTGCTCTATCTCCAGGGCCTGGCCCATGGCAGGAGCTCAGGAAATGTCAGATAAATGATTGAATTTACAAGAACAAGCCCAACAGTTAAGAAAACTTCAGCTCCTGCCTCCTGCCCATGCAGCCCAGAAGGGCCAGTTTCATGCCATGTTTGATTGCCGCTCCGGTCCCAGGAGGGATGGAATCTGCTGTCTCACCAAGACTTGGGCATGAGGCTGGCCTTCTCCAGAAGCTCCAGGCCCAGAGAAACAATACATCTAACCAAAGTCCCCCAGGGAGTCTTGGCACACAGTTGGTGCTCAGTGGACATTGGAATGTTTCAACAGCCATGTCTCCTTGTTGCTGAACTGAGCAACATCCATGGACATCCATGGGACAGATGGTTCTCTCTCCAGCATGGAATCAGAAGGCCTGGTTTCAAGTTCCAGGACTGTGCCTCATTCATTGTGTGTTGCTGGCTGAGTCACTTAACCTGCCTGAGCAAAGAACAGAGAAGCAGTCAGATTTGGAATCCACTGGGGAGGCAGGGTTTGTAAAACTTGTTGATTAAATGAACAAGAGTATGTGGGAATGAGAAGAATCAAAATCTAAGCCAAGCATCTGGCCTGAACAGCTGGGTGGTCAGTGAACCCATTTCCTGGAATGAAGAAGATGGGAATGCAGGGGTGTTTTTGGAGTGGAGTTTGGGTCAAGAGTTTGGATTTCTATGTAATGGAAGTTGTGGGCAGCCATTGGAAGGATATTGACTTTCCTTCCAAGGAGCTGGAGAGCTTCTTAGAGGCCTTTGTCACACCTACCTGGTTCTCCCAGCTCTCTCCAGCTAACAGCCCAAGTCCTTCTCTCCGGCTACATGACCCTACACAGTATGGTCCCCACTGCCTCTCTGCCCACTGCCCATAGGACTCCTTCTTGCTCTCTGTTGGCCCCTGCTCTAGGATGTGTCCCTTACTTTCTCAGCAGGACCTTCTCATCTCCCAGATACCCACCTGGCTCTCCCATCACCTCCTTCAATCTTTGTCTAAATGTCACCTTCTCAAGAAAACCAAGCCTGGCCACTCCACTCTCTGCAAAAATAGCAAAACTCTACCCTTCCTCTCTCTAGTATCCCCTGTCCCTCTCACTGGGTTTATTTTTCTTCAAAGTACTTACCACATTCTAATTCACTCACACCTAGAATCTCTGCTTCCTCTCACTTGAATATAAACTTCAGGACGGCAGGGATTTTTGTTTGCTTTGTTCACTGCTGTATCCCCACAGCCGAGAATGGTGCCCAGCATGTAGTAGGGCAGGGATTTTTGTTTGCTTTGTTCACTGCTATATTCCCACAGCCGAGAATGGTGCCTAGCATGTAGTAGGTGCTCAATAAATATATGTTAAATTCATTGAAATGCATTATGTTATCTTTCTTTCATATGAAAATCATTGTTCAAATATTGATTTGTTTTTAATAGGAAGTAAGAAAGAGGAAATTCATGTCTGAAGTTCTTTGCTGTCTTGATGACTCACTTCCCAGGTAAACTAAGACAGTTGGTCACTCCTCCTATCACTCCATTTCACAGTTGAGAAAACTGAGGCTTAATGAAATTCTGAGGCTCAGTGAGGCTTAGTGACATTATAATTTTTCTAGTGCCTTCAAAAAACTAACCTTGCATGGACCTGGGTAGGTCATCCAGCCAAACAAGTATAGGTGAGCAAGACCCAGCATGTTTTTCTCATACTCACACCCACTCCTGATGTGTCAGTGTGTGAGGATTAGATCTTAGATTAGCACAGATTTGAAAAGCCCTGTCATTCATGAAAAATAAAGCTATGAGTAATCTTTTCGTGGGATCCTGCGGAGGCAAGGACTCTTCTAGTCATCAGCACAGGACCCTGGATCTTGGCTTCCCTCTTTGATATTTATTAAGCACTACAGCCTTTAAGAAAGGCACATACACTTGAATATTCATAGCAGCACTATTCACAATAGCCCAAAGGTAGAAACAACCCAAACGCCCATCAAAAGATGAATGGGTAAACAAATTGTGGTGCTTACACACAATGGAATATTAATTCAGCCGGTAAAGAAGAACGAAGTAATGATACATACAACAATAAGTAGAGCCTCAAAACGGTATGCCAAGTGAAAGAAGCCAGACACAGAAGGACAAATATCATGTGATTCTACTTATAGGAAATGTCCAGAATAAGTAAATCTGTAGAGACAGAATGCAGATTGCTGGTTGCCAGGATGGTGGGAAGAAGAGTGGAGAGTGGCTGCATAATGAGTGCAGATGGGTTTTTATTTTGGAGTGAGGAAAACAGATAGAAATGGTGGGTTGCACAACATTGCAAATGTACTTAGTGCCACTTAATTGTTCACTTTAAAGTGGTTAATTTTATACTATGTGAATTTCATTTCAATTTTTTTAAATGCACACGCATACATTTGTCAAGTAATCCTTACATAAACCCTGTAAGGTAGATATTGCTACCATTATTCCCATGAGAAAACTGAGCCCAGAGCTGGAAAGGGACCTGACCAAGGTTCCACAGGTGCTAGACTTGAAGCCAAGGTCAGGTTGGCTCCAAAGCCTTGGCCCTTCTGAGCCACCAACCACTGATCCTCTCAGAGCTGGGCATGACCTCAGGAGAACCAAGGGTGGCTGGAGGCTGTGCTCAGGAGAGAAGAGGAAGGGTCAAAGTCGGGAAAAGCTTTGAGGTCTCTTTGCGGTTCCAACTTAGCATCAGCAAAACTCAGTGTTTCTACCTTTTTGCTCCTGGTACTTTGGTTCCATCGTATGACTGAGTTACACAGGCTTGATCTTTGTTCCTCTTGACTCCTTTTTTCTTCCTTCATTTCTTTCTTTCTTTTTTCTTTTTTCTTGAGACAAAGTCTTGCTCTTTCACCCAAGATGGAGTGCAGTGGTGCCATCATAGCTCACTGCAGCCTCAAATGTCTGGGCTCAAGCAATCCTCCCATCTCAGCCTCCCAAGTAGCTGGGACTACAGGCATGCACCACCAATCCAGGCTCTTGCCTCCTTACATCAAAGAACAGCCAAAGACGGCTGGGCGTCGTGGCTCATGCCTATAATCCCAACACTTTGGGAGGCTGAGGTGGACGAATCACCTGAGGTCAGGAGTTCGAGACCAACCTGGCCAACATGGTGAAACCTCATCTCTACTAGAGATACAAACTTAGCCAGGCATGAAGGCACAGTCCTGTAATACCAGCCACTTGGGAGGCTGAGGAGAAGAATCACTTGAATCCAGGAGGCAGAGGTTGCAGTGAGCCAAGATCATGCCATTGCACTCTAGTCTGGGCAACAAGCACAAAACTCAAAAAAAAAAACCCAAAAAAAACAAAAAAACAGAACAGCCAAAGACCATAGATAAGGGGTGAGATTGGGGACTGGGAGAAGAGGATAAAGAGTTAGAATACTACAGAACACTAGACCACAGGCCCTAGTCTCCTATTTCTCTATCCTTCCTTAAAATGTCTGAAGTCTTTGACTCAGCAATGTAGCACTTGAGTGACTTGAATGTAAACATATTTTGAAAAAAGAGCATATTTTAGGGAGTTCCATTGCAGAAGATTTGAATGTGGTGTAATTCAGCTTGCTGGGAGAGGCGGGGTGGCTGGTGGGTGGATAGAAATGGAAAGATGGAAGTGAATGTGGCAGACTGACACAATAATAGGGCTAATGATTTCAACATTTTAAAAGTTTCACAGTTCCGAGGGAACACAGGAGACGAGCTCCAGTGGGAGGCTTTTAAAATATCCACTTTGACAGTTTCTGTACTTTTTGAGCTTCTTCTGTTTGTTTCTTCCCCAAAGCTTATTAGCACCTCTGTTCTATTTAGGAGACTCTCCGCCACCTTAGTATAGGGAGGAGAACTGGCTCCAGGGGGCTGAGCCCCCCACCGCCAGTGATAGATCTCTCAGGAATAGAAGATTTGAGTCCTGGGAGCCTGTCAAGGACTTTTCCTCTTGAAAAATCATGAAGCTTTGGTCCGCAACATTGTTAAAGGGCTTTAGAGGAAGCAGAGTGTCTCCTTCCACACTCCAAGTAGCCCAAAGCAACTGTGCCCAGATGGTAAGGACTTCCTTCCTAGCTGGGGCGGGCGGCAGCTGGGATAAACACTCATTTAAGCCACTCAGTGCTGTCCTCACTGCTTGCCCCAGGAAAGGGCCAACCCGGTATTTCTGGCTGAGTCAGTTGGGCCTCTCCCACCCATTCTTCTGAACCTCATTCACATCCAGAAAGAGGAGGCTGGAAAATTTGAATATGCAAAAGACCCAATGACATTGCCCTCAATCAGCTCAATTAGTGTGGTTGTGAATGAAGATATGAAGATCAAACAGGTCAAAGGGAATGTTTACAAATGTATCAGCTACCTGGTTTGCAGATCCCTTTGAACAGCTCAGATTTTGGTGCAGTTTCTATAGGTATTAAAACAGGAAAGATTAATTTAATAAGTGACTAGAGTAACATCTGGGGGAAAATTATATTCAGCTGTATGAGATAAAGACCATTGTAGAAGCATTTTCTTCAGGCACGCTCTGCTTTTTCTTTTGAAGGGCTCTCTTGTGCCTGATGTTTTATATATAGTATTAAAATATAATGGTAAAATATTTCTTGGAAAAAAAAAGATAAAAAGAATTGAAATTAAAGGGGATACCAACGATGTGTGTGTGAAAGAAAATAAGATGGGGAATGTGGACAAGTGAATAATAAATGGAGAAGTGCTTGTCTGGACGTTGTTAATGTCTCCAGAAGTTTTCCCTTCAATCTTCCTGTGAGCTACATACAGTGCCGTGGTTAAAAGTTCAGGCTTTAGGGGCAGAATGTTTAGGTTCAAATTCCTACTCTGCCACATAGCTGTGTGACTTTGGGCAAGTACCCAACCTCTCTGTGCCTCATTTTCCTCCTTGGTGAAAAGAGAATAATACAACTATGCACTCAGCTGGTTTTTTTGTTTTGTTTTGTTTTTGAGACAGGGTCTTGCTCTGTTGCCCAGGCTGGAGTGCAGTGCTGCGATCTCAGCTTACTGCAACCTCTGACTCCTGGATTCACGTGATTTTCCTGCCTCAGCCTCCCAAGTAAATGGGATTAAAGGTGCGCGTCACCACGCCAGCTTTGTATTTTTTAGTAGAGACGGGGTTTCACCATGTTGGCCAGGCTTGTCTCTAACTCCTGACCTCAAGTGATCCGCACACCTTGGCCTCCCAAAGTGCTGAGATTACAGGCATGAGCCACCACGCCTGGCCTCAACTGGTTGTTTTGAAGGCTGTATGGAAATGATGCACATGAAACAGTGGCTGGTCTGGGACATAGCCAACCAAGGGCTGCTCCATGACATTTTCATTGTTTAAAATATATAAAAAATAATAAATGAAACATTTTTATACAGAAATGTTGCTTTTCCCCCCTGAAGACGTAAAATATCTACCTAGGTGGATGCTTTCTTTCAGCTGTTAAAGACATGTTGAGTGTTCCCTGCCAGGAATCGGATACCACTTTGAGTACATTTGGGCTGAAACATAAAAATATCTACAGTATTATTCTAACTGTTTCTGTGACAGTTTAAATGGCAATTGCTTTCTAGACAATTGCATTTTTCGTTCAAATACTACCACAGGAAGGCTTGCATAGATTTCAATTAGGATGATAGACCCAAAAAGGCTTTATAGGTGGCCTACTGTTAGTTCCTGAGCTCCCAGCAGGAAAGTGCCAACATAAAACCTGATATTAGGAATAGTGACAGCAATTACTAATATTTTCTAGTGCCCTGCTTCATGGCAGGTGCCAGTCTCAATAGCTTATATACATATCTCTAATCTCTATGCATATCTCTAATCTTATCAGCTCCAGGAGGCAGATGCTATTAGCCACATTTGACAGATGAGGAAATGGGCCCAGAGCTGTTAAGTGATGCTAAGTGTCTGAACCAGGGCTCCAGGCCAGGCCCATCTGGCTCCCTCCAGTTCACAGGGTATCCAACTAGCTCTTGGTCCTTGTCCCTATAACTTCTGAGACCAAAAGCAATGCATTTCAGAATGTTACCATTTGCCAGAAAGTTCTTGATATCGACTATAACGTTCATCTGCTGCAATTTATGCCTCTCTCAGGCCTCTCTCCTGCATACTGGACACTCCCCTTCCCCACTCCCACCCTTATTCTCCCACTCCCATTGGCGATCTCACAGGGTCTTCACCTTAATCCCATGGTTGTCAACCTGGGGAGTTTGGCCCCACCAAGGACATTCAGCCATATCTGGAGATACGTTTGAAGCCACCTGCGGGTGGTGGGGAGGTGTGCTACAGGCATCTAGTGGGTAGAGGCCAGGGAAGCTGCTGCACATCCTGCAGTGCACAGGACAGTCCCCGAAAGAATTATCTGGCCCAAAATGTCAATAGAGCTTAGACTGAGAAACCCTGAAAACAGAACTCTTGATTTCTGTGCCCCAAATCCGTTCTTACTCAAGTCTGTTTTCTCAGTACAAGTCACCATGACTCAAAGTTGTTTCTCAGGCCTCAAATCAAAGAGTTTGCCTAATTTGTCCCTTTCACTCATCCCTTTTTTTCACATTTAATCTCTAACTGTCACACTAAAGAAAAAGAGTTTGGCCAGGTGCAGTGACTCACACCTGTAATCCCAGCATTTTGGGAGGCTGAGGCGGGCAGATCACCTGAGGTCAGGAGTTCGAGATCAGCCTGGCCAACATGGTGAAACCCTGTCTCTACTAAAAATACAAAAATTAGCTGGGCATGGTGGTGCACGCCTATAATCCCAGCTACTTTGGAGGCTGAGGCAGGAGAATTGCATGCCATTGCACTCCAGTCTGGGTGACAGAGTAAGGATCTGTCTCCAAAAAAAAAAAAAAAAAGAAAAAGAGTTTAATTCAATGATATTTGACTCATGTTCCCCTTCTCCAACGTGGCGGTTCAGCTAACTCATTACAGTATCTACTTATTCATCCAATCAACAAATGTTTATTGAGAGACCTCTAAATGCTCAACGTCCATATCAGCTTCACTGGAACCCTGTAAAGCCTCCTAACTTTTTCAGTTTTCATGAAAATACAGTTAAGTACCAATGGGTAGTTTATTTGATCGTGTTCAAAAGATTTTGCTAAAACACTAAAATAGGCTGGGCGTGGTGGCTCACACCTGTAATCCCAGCACTTTGGGAGGCCAAGATGGGTGGGTTACTTGAGGTCAGGAGTTCGTGACCAGCCTGGCCAACATGGTGAAACCCTGTCTCTACTGAAAATACAAATATTAGCCAGGCATGGTGGTGCATGCCTGTAATCCCAGCTACTTGGGAGGCTGAAGAAGGAGAATCGCTTGAACCTGGGAGATGGAGGTTGCAGTGAGTCAAGATAGTGCCAGTGCACTCCAGCCTGGGCGACAAAGTGGGACTCTGTCTCAAAAAGAAAACACACACACTAAAATAAAGAAAAGTTTAGGCTGGGCGTGATGGCTCACGCCTGTAATCCCAACACTTAGGGAGGCCGAGGCAGGTGGATCACAAGGTCAAGAGATAGAGACCATCCTGGCCAACATGGTGAAACCCTGTCTCTACTAAAAATACAAAAATTAGCTGGGCATGGTGGCATACTTCTAAGATATTTATCCTAAGGAGACAAACTATTACAAGAAATCTTTTTTTAAATTTTTATTTCCATAGGTTTTTGGGGAACAGGTGGTATTTGGTTACAGAGATAAGTTTTTTTGTGGTGATTAGTGAGATTTTGGTGCACCCATCACCCGAGCAGTGCACACTGCACCTAATTTGTAGTCTTTTATCTCTCACCCTTTTTTTTTCTTTTCAAACTTTTGCAAAAGGTGTCCTAGTTCTTGGCAATGTTTCCCCTGGGCTCTGGTTACATCATTAACAGTTGAATCACAACTATACCCAGACAGTCACCTGGGAGAGAACTGGGAACTTCATCTGGTTTGGCGACCACTCCCTCCTCCGGCGGCAGGTATCTAGCAGCAGGATAACTGATATCGTAAAGGTGGGTTTTGATAAAGGTGGGAGTGTGCACTAGACTTGCAGAGGATCACACTTGGATTTCAACAGGATGGGGTAGAAAGATAAGAGCAATGAATTGTACTCCTTGTTTTTTTAAAAACGAACCAAAGATAGAGAGAGACACATGACAGTGTCAAAAAAAAAAACTCTCCTTTTTTATTCTAAAATCCTGTTTTCTTATTGAGTCAATTGCAGAGGTCCCTCTGTGACACTCCAGAATATAACCCCTCCCTGCCTGGAGGCCTTGCTCAGGATAACTTTTCCCGTCTGCCTGTGGCTCAGAGGTGGTTGGAGCCAGGCTGAATGGAGGGCAGGCAGGCAGCTCTGCTGATTCTTTTCCACTTGAAAGGGGGCTTGGGGACTGAGACAGCCATCATCCCTTGCCACCTCCACTGAGCCAGTCTGTTGCGGGTGGAGACTGAACTTGGACTGGCTGAGGACCTGGGTCTCCCTACACTGGCCAAACCCCACAAGCCTCTCACAGCCTGCAGCCATCCCAGCGTGTCTCTGAGCACTCTCATTCCCTCCACCCTGCCCCACACCTCCATCTTTCAGTGTCTTTGTCCTGCCATGCACCGTTCCCTCTGCTAGAAATGTCCTTCTCATCCTTTAACCCGTAATATCTGCGTATCCTTCCAGACAAAACTTCAGCCTTATCTTCTCCCAGCCATCTCTCCGAATGCCCCAGGGCAGAAGTAGCACACTTTTGTACTTCCCTCTCAGAGTGCTCAGGACACAGTCCAGTATTAAGTAATGCACACAGTGCTTCTCCCAGTAAAGTTTGAGTTCCTGGAGGGCTGGAGACATGTTTGATTTATCTTTGTCATTTCTAGGACATGAGAGGCTCTCAATAAATGTGGAATGAATTGATAACTGACTAAATAAATGACACCAGTCTGAAATTCCTAACTAAAGTTACTTAGAGATCATTTTTCCCAACCTGGTTCTCCCCTTCACTTGCTGTGTGGCCTTTGGCAAGTTACTTAACCTCTCTGTGCCTCCATTTCTTCATCTGTAAAATGCAGCTAATAGTAGAAGGATATATCTACTTTATAGGGTGGCATGAGCATCATCTGTTAGTGTAGGTAAAGTACTTAGATAAGTACCTGGCAAATAATAAGCACTCGGTAAATGTCAGAGTTTACATGCACATGCCCAGAGATGCATCTGACTCACCCCACCTCTGTCCCCACCCACACTGCTGTGAGGGTTGGCTGCTGATGGCTCTACCTGCAGCCTTTCTTTGGAGAATTACTCTCAGCCAAAGGGAGCAGCCTCACCTAAAGGGTTACTCTGTGCAGCTCATGGTCAATGACTGATGACCTACGGTACAAAAGGTTGCCCCCCTGCATCAACTTGATGACCTGGGATACAAAAGGCTGGCCCTCTGTATGGACTTGATGTCCTGGAGTACAAAAGCCTGCCCCCTGCCTTAAAGTAGCACCAACTTCTTAGGGCGAGCTGTGCTCCCAAGGTCCTCTTTGCAGCAGGCTGAAGCTAGTCTCCAACCCAGCATCCCTTCACCCTTCCCTGTCCTGCTGCCTCACTTCCTAACCCCTGAGGGCACCTCACTCAGTCGCTTGAACAGGAATACCTGTCTCAGGCTCTGACTGTAGGTAGCTTGGTTGAGACAACCACTGTCACCGTCACTATCATCAGACAGGAGGAAATGAGACCCAGAGCTGTTAACTGGTTTCTCCAAGACCCAAGGTTAGGAACACGAGTTGGAGGTAGTCAGGCATTAACTAGAAGTTCATTTGTTATTTTAGAGTAGTGCTGGTTTTTATGAGTCTCCAATGAGCCTTTTCTAAGAAACACCGACTGAATAAATTAACCAACAATCAGCTTGAAAAACACAAACTAAGTTACCTTAGGTAGGTACAGAAGGTCACGACAAAAAGGAATCAATGGGAAAGGAAAACATGACGATTACATGCCTTCGTGGGTGGTGAGGACAGCGAGGACAGCCTTTGCTGAGTCCTGATCCCCTGAGATGAGACCGAGGTCCAGGCCAAGCGGGGGACCCCTCAGGCCTGCGGCATAGGTAAGGGGTGGCAAAACGGATCACAACCATGTCCCTGCTTGCCTTTGCCTTACCATGATCCCACCTATCTAGACACACCACCCCTCAGAACTCACATCCCATGTGCCTCCACTGAGTACTCTTCAGCAATTCCCCACCACCCCCAGGACCCCCAGCTCAAAGCCATCTCCATTTGATAATCCCATGAAGGTCATCAAATGCCATCCTTGCTTAGGTCAGCCCATTACACTGGACTATGAGGGCTTTGAGGACAGGAGCTGGGACTTGGATCTTTGCCTTACCCCAGAGGGGAGGGAAATGAAGGGAAAGAGAATCTGACACACACTTGTGTTTGGTAGTTGTGAGGTAGGAATCAAGACCATGCTTCTCCTTGAGAGTGACAGCTGGGAGAAGTCCATCAACTTCAGGTTCTCCCAGCCACTGAAACTGATGAAGCCAGATTCTAATCCAAGTCAGTCCAAGCTGAAACAGACCAGGAAAAGGAAAATCAACTTCAGCAAGGCACTTAAAGACATTTGCTGTAATTAGATGGACATTTTGATGGGAAAAGAGGCTGATGGGAATGCTTTGCAGGGCTTAATGCAGGAGTTCTTGTTCTTTCTCAGTGTAAAAGTGTTTTTTTCCTTCCCTGGTTACAACACTAGCATATACTTGTGAAAAATCTGAATAACACAGAAGCGTATAAAACAGAAGATATTAGTGCCTGATATTCTCTCTCATCCTCTGCAATACCTACTGTTAAGAGTTTAAATATACTGGCTGGGCGTGGTGGCTTACCCTTGTAATCCCAGCACTTTGGGAGGTTCTTTATTTGTTAAGGACTTCAAATCCTTTGTTGTGTACAGTGCAAATATTTTTCTTCAACTTGAATATCTTTCAGTCTTCTTTATGGTATCCTCTCTTGAACAGAAGTTTAAAAAATTTTTTTCAGAGTGGTAACATTTATTAGGAAGGAGAGATTTTAGTGAGATCCCCATGTGACACACAGAAGAAACAGAAGGTAACTGTCATTTCTAAACAGGAAGGAGAGGAGGGTCTGGACTCCCAGGGGACAGGTAGTTCAGCTGGACAATGGGGGAGTATGAGATTAGGGTGGATGAAGCCACTGTTCACCACCCCTCCACTGAAGTTCAGTGGCTAAAATATTGTGACACCAGCCAGCCAGTGGAAAGCTGTCCTGCTCTCCGGCAAACATGGGATGTTGTTGGTGGCAGGAAGGAAGAATGTCACGCTATATCTTGCTGCTCCTCCGGGCTACTTTGCCGTTACTAACAGGGCTGAAGGGTCAGGTGGGCCTGCAGGTGTGTGGTTGGCCTGGCTTCGAGGGGTTCTGGTACTGGGGGGGTGGGACGGACTATGAGGGGGATGTGGGCCACTACCAGGACCCTGGTGGGTTACTAGATCCATTCCCATTCTGGCTTTCAGAGGCTGGAGAAGCAGCAGGGGGACGAGTGGTAGGCTGGGAAGCTGTAGGGTTGCTGTTGTTCTGCAGGGTTGCTGTCTTTCTGCACCACCTTGTTGGGCGCCTGCTGGTTGCTATACTCTGAGTTTGGCTCATTGAAGTTAGGAAATCAGAATAAACCATACAGAATTCTCCAGTCTTCTGTAGATCACCCCCATGGCCAGTATACTGTGTCAGACAACCTTTGAAAACTGAAGCGCACCCTTTGTTGAGCCAGACAACGTCCCCAGGCTGGATCAGATTGCCGATGTCATCACAGACGGAGATATTGAGGCTGCCCATTTTGTCTGCCACTTTGCAGGTCTGAACCTTGTGCCCCTCCTTTGTCTTGGCCTGTCTCCAGCACAATAACGATAAGCTTCAGACTCCTGAGCCTGGGCTTGATATCCTTCACAAAGGTCTCCGTCATGCAGGCAGAGCCAACCAAACCATGTTTTTGTTTGTTAGCTTGTTTCTTTTTTTTTTTTTTTTTTTTTTTTTTTTTTTTTGAGATGGTGTCCTCTCTGTCGCCCAGGCTGGAGTACAGTGGCACAATCTCGGCTCACTGCAACCTCCGCCTCCCGAGTTCAAGTGATTCTCCTGCCTCAGCCTCCCAAGTAGCTGGGATTACAAGCGTGCACCACCACACTCCACTAATTTTTGTATTTTTAGTAGAGACGGGGTTTCACCATGATGGCCAGGCTGGTCTCGAACTCCTGACCTCAAGTGATCTGCTTGCCTCGGCCTCCCAAAGTGTAATCTCAAAGTGCTTAGATTAGAGGTGTGAGCCACCACTCCCGGCCTTAAATTTTTATAATGTCAAATTTATCTAGCTTTTATGTGTTTGGGTTTTCATGTTATGCTGGAAAGACTTCTTGTTCATAAATTAACAAGATCAAGAGTTTTGGAATGGAAATTGATTCTAGCATGTGTGGACCATTATGCTGAATTTTGGTGGACACATAAATACCTTTATCAGGCAAGCTATTTTTAAACTCTGTAATTACAATTTAATAGTAGGCCAAATAATGAAAAAAAAGTATTATAGAACTAAGAGCTACATTTAATTAAAAGTGAATATCTTTTTAGGCTGAGGCGGGAGGTTGGATCACTTGAGCCCAGGAGATTGAGGCCAGCCTGGGCAACAGAGCAAGACCTGGTCTCTATAAAAAATTTTAAAATTAGCCAGGTGTGGTGTCACAGGCCTATAGTCCCAGCTACTTAGTAAGCTGAGGCAGGAGGATTGCTTGCTTCCAGGAGTTCAAACTTGTAGTGAACTATGATTGCATCATTGCACTCCAGCCTGTGTGACAGAGCAAGATCCTGTTTCAATAAATAAATAAAGGGGGGATTACATAATAGCACAAGTAACAAAAATTTCCCCCCATAATTGCATTCTTCTGAATAACCACAGTTTATATTTTACTATTTTTCTTTCCAGTCTTTTTTCTAGTCTTGTGTACTTACATATATTTTTTAAACAAAATTTGGTTCATATTCATCTGGAATGGTCTTTTTTCACTGAATATCAGATTGTGAATTTGTGGGAGGACTGAGTAACTGTTGTATACTCCATTACAAAGTCTATGATTGAAATCTAGTAGTATTTGTTAACTAGAGAAAGTCTTTTAAGATGATAAGATATATACCAAACAACCTTCTTTCTTCTTTCTAAAATGGCTCCATCCTTTGATCTTTTATCATCCACACTTATTTTGTTTTAGCGGCTTCTGTACGTAACTGTTGAGCTGTGTTATCTTGGAAAGGTTTCATGTCTACCCACTCCCTTTTCACATTTTTACCATGCCTTTCTTGAAAATCACATTTTAGTGACGCTTCTTAGTGATTTTTTTCTTCTCTCTTTTTTCTTCTTCTCTTTTTTTTTTTTTTTTTTTTTT
The DNA here is from genome assembly GCF_000001405.40 of Homo sapiens. Taxonomy (NCBI): domain Eukaryota; kingdom Metazoa; phylum Chordata; class Mammalia; order Primates; family Hominidae; genus Homo; species Homo sapiens. The sequence continues at coordinate 53,929,607 of NC_000004.12, forward strand.
TTGAGACAAGGTCTTGCTCTGTCACCCAGGCTGGAGTGCAGTGGCACAACCAGAGCTCACTGAAGCCTCAGACTCGTGGGCTCAAGTGATCCTCTTCCCTCAGCCTCCCAAGTAGCTGGGACTACAGGCATACACCAACAATGCCCGGCTAATTTTTCTGTTTTTTTGTAGAGACAGGGTATCACTATGTTGGCCAGGCTGGTCTCAAACTCCTGGCCTCAAGCGATCCTCCTGCTTTGGCCTCCCAAAGTACTGGGATTACAGGCATGAGACACCACGCCTGGCCCTGAGTGCCTTTGCAATGGGACACGGAGACAGCTTTTGCTTTGTGCGGCTTCAAGTTTTGTATAAATCTCAAACTATTCTATGTTCCGTGGATGTGGCCTTCCATCTCATCCCATTTCAGAGATACTCTTCATTCCACTGGATCGCTAACTTCTCCTGAGTGCCTCCTGATATGCTGGTCACACCACTGTCATCCTCCATTTCCTGACAAATCCAACAACTGCTGAGCCAGAACAGCCACGTGAGCTGAATTGTGCCTGGTGGTCACAGTAGAACCACAGATAATGCAGCTAGATGGCGCTCACATCCACACATTTCTGAGGAATTAGGCGGCAATGTTCAAGATGTTTTACATTAGTTCCCAGCCTTGAGTTTACAGTCTTGGGAGAGGAGGACCAGTATACTTAGGCACATGAAATATCTGCAAAGTAATGCTAATATATGCATTTTCCAAATGAAACTAACATAAAATGAGTACAGCATGTTGGTTGCTCCTCTAAGCCCTAAACTGTCCTCCCAGCACCCCTACGACACAGGTACAGTACAATTACATCTTTCCTTTAAGAGGAGGCACTAATAGATTTAGTAGTTTTCCCAAGGCCACAGGGGCAGAGGCATAAGTCAACCCAGGTAGCTCGCTCCAAAGCCACACTTAATCACAATGAACTGGCTCAAGAAAAAGGAGAATAGAATGACATCAAACCAACAGTGGTGACCTGCGGGGAGTCAGGTGTGCTGGGAGACTACACTATTTACTTTCCACACAAAGCTCTGTATTGTTGAAAATTCTGTCCCCAGGCATAAACTGTCATGCTTTTAAATTCAATACTTTTTATAAGAATAATATAAGAGCATAAAATACTACTCAACTGTGGTCAAAGGCTAATTCAGGAATTGTGGGTTTTGAAGCTTGTTTATGGAGGAAGGAGACTCTAAGGATAAGAATTCAAAATAGAAATACAAAATTACATATAAAAGTAAATATTTATGGCCAGGTGCACTGGTTCACACCTGTAATCCCAGCACTTTGGGAGGCCGATGCAGGAGGCTTGCTTGAGCTCAGGAGTTCAAGACCAGTCTGTGCAACATAGTGATACCCCATCTCTACAAAAAAGTTAGAAAAACTAGCTGGGTGTGGGATAGTCCTAGCTAGCTGGGAGGCTGAGGTGGGAGGATCACTTGAGCCCAGGTGTTGGAGGCTACAGTGGGCTATGATTGCACCACTGCTCTCCAGCCTGGGCTGCAGGGGGAGACCCTGTCTCAGAAAAAGAGTGAAAGTTTATTTAGATTGAAATATGAAATCGTAACAAATTACACATTTTTGCTCTTTTTTTTTTTTTTTTTTTTTGAGATAAGATCTCACTGTGTCACCCAGGCTGGAGCACAGTGGCACTATCATGGCTCAATGCAACCTCCACCTCCCAGGCTCAAGTGATCCTCCCACCTCAGCTTCCCAAGTAGCTGGGACCACAGGCACCCACCACCATAACTGGCTGATTTTTGTATTTTTTGTAGAGGCAGGGTTTTGCCATGTTGCCCAGGCTGGTCTCAAACTCCTGAGCTGAAGAGATCCACCCACCTCTGCTTCCATAAGGGCTGAGATTACAGGCGTGAGCCACCGTGCCCGGCCACACATTTTTGAAAAGTGACAAACACCACAAATATAACAAAATCCTGAAAAATGACATAACCTCTACAATATTTTTTCCTATTCTTTGGCTGCATACTTTTCATATGATCATCTCGTCACATAACAACTGTGCAATATCATTTTCATGTAAAGAAGACAAAGCAATTCAAATGCATTTTAAAATGCCATTATGTTGGATAGAGCTACATAATTGTTTAATTGAATTCTCCCTCTGCTGTGTACAATAACTTATGGATGAATATGCTTGGGAGCTTTGTGACAAGAACACTTAGGGTGCTTTGCTGTGATTTTAGTGCTTTTGAATGTTTTTTTGTCTGGTGTTGCCAGGTTTCATCAGGACAAGTTATATCAGATATGCTAAGACTGACTCAATATGTTGGTAGACATAAAATGCAGTTTGGCATGCATAAAAATGATACTTCACAGTTTATAGTATTGCTACAGCTTTGTGCTCTACAAACACGAGAATTCTAATCAATTCTATTTTGCATTGATTTCTACTTTAAAAGTATGATAGTATGGTGCATTATAATTGTATATACCACATTTCTGAGTATTTTCCTGAAGATAATTTCTGTCTTGACTAGACATCAATGAGAACCAAATATTTCACTCATAATTGTGTACAGCTGATGATTGAAAGAACATTCCACAGATTAGCTTCTCATTCTGCACATTTTAACTCTTGCTTCTTCTTCACTCCCACATGCTTCCAGTGTCAGGCATCATAGGAAACATTTAAATCATAATAAGACCCATGATGCCACAGAGCATGCACTGAGCAAGAGGGTTCCTGGAAGCCTAGAATACCCAAGAATAACCAACAATTTCTCGACTCTACATGGAAGTGTGAACCATATATATAGATCCCACTCGACCAAAACAAATAAATCTCCAACTCAACTTCTCCTTAGCTGGATTCCCCAAAATGCTCATGCCTCTCCATCACCACACAACTCCTCAAGGGAAAAGTGACGCAGGGGCAAACAGAGTCAACAGCATCCTTAGCTTATGACAGTTAAAATCTTACTTTTACATTTTTACCAAAAGCATGTGACCATGTGAACCCAAGCAAAGGTGCTTCTGGGATCTTGGAAGTCATTCTTATAACTAGCAGGTCCTAAAGCTTAAGCTCCTTTCTAGAAAATCTACTCTGATTGTGGTGAAGACGACCATTGCAACAAGAGCCACGCTCACGGAGAAAGCAGTGCGTACTGGAGTTGTCAAGAAAAACTTCTTGTAGGAGACAGGCACTGAGCAAGGCCTTAAGTCATTGGTAGGATCCAACAAACAGAGGAATAGGATGGGAGTCTAAGCCACAAAGTTTCTGCATCTGCCAAAAAGTAGATATGCATGTATGTGGATGTAAAACGTGTTTTCCTGCCAATGAAAACATTTTTCCGTCACTGGCTTAGAGCTACCTAATAAGAGCCAATGGCAATACATTTACACATCACTAAAGAATGAGAAGTGAACTTTCTTCCCGGTCCCCTCTCCCCATCACCATCAGCAAATAATCACTCCCAAGCCAAGATTAACCAGAGCTGCAGGCATTTGGCACACATGTGGTCCCCATCCACCTCTTCCAACCTGGGATCCAAAAACCCTGGATTTACACCCCAGGCAAAAGAGAGACTGGCCTGAGACTAAGTCTTCGGTGGTAGATGCAGGAAGCAAAGCCTGGTGGATGCCAGTCCAATCAGCGTGAGGAAGGAAGATTCATGCCCAGTTCTCACCCCTCTTTCGCTTGAATATATTTTGTGCCATTACCTGCAGGAAAGGGGGAAGGGAAGGAATGTTTCCCGCCAGAGGCAGCAGCTGTCCCCTCATTTGGAAGACTCTGAGTTGATTTTGGCCATGTCCTTCTGCCTGTTTCTTTAACATGCTGCATTAAGCCTCAGCTTTGCTCCTCTTGCTCCTGAATTCTGTTTTGAAATATCAGAGAAATGCTCCCAGGAGGACTTTGAATGTGAGCACTCTTTATAGGCTATTTTAAGGAGCTCCCAGCTCAGGCCAGGGTCAGGCAACAACAGCTAAACCCAAACTCATCAGCACCATGGTCTACCCAGGAAAGCACAAAGACTCAAATGTCACTGAGTTCACCACCATTCGTTTAGCACCTACTGTATGCCGGGAGTGCTCTTAGAAATTAGGGTGATAATCCTAAACCAAAAGAACAAAGCTGGAGGCATCATGCTACCTGACTTCAAACTATACTACAAGGTTACAGTAACCAAAACAGCATGGTACTGGTACCAAAACAGAGATATAGACCAATGGAACAGAACAGAGCCCTCAGAAATAATGCTGCATATCTACAACTATCTGATCTTTGACAAACCTGACAAAAACAAGAAATGGGGAAAGGATTCCCCATTTAATAAGTGGTGCTGGGAAAACTGGCTAGCCATATGTAGAAAGCTGAAATTGGATCCCTTCCTTATGCCGTATACAAAAATTAATTGAAGATGGATTAAAGACTTAAATGTTAGACCTAAAACCATAAAAACCCTAGAAGAAAACCTAGGCAATACCATTCAGGACATAGGCATGGACAAGGACTTCATGGCTAAAATACCAAAAGCAATGGCAACAAAAGCCAAAATTGACAAATGGGATCTAATTAAACTAAAGAGCTTCTGCACAGCAAAAGAAACTACCATCAGAGTGAACAGGCAACCTACAGAATGGGAGAAAATTTTTGCAATCTACTCATCTGACAAAGGGCTAATATCCAGAATCTACAATGAACTCAAACACATTTACAAGAAAAAAACAAACAACCCCATCAAAAAGTGGGCAAAGGATATGAACAGACACTTCTCAAAAGAAGACATTTATGCAGGCAACAGACACGTGAACAAATGCTTATCATCACTGGCCATCAGAGAAATGCAAATCAAAACCACAGGGAGATACCATCTCACACCAGTTAGAATGGCGACCATTAAAAAGTCAGGAAACAACAGGTGCTGGAGAGGATGTGGAGAAATAGGAACAATTTTACACTGTTGGTGGGACTGTAAACTAGTTCAACCATTGTGGAAGTTATTGTGGCAATTCCTCTGGGATCTAGAACTAGAAATACCATTTGACCCAGCCATCCCATTACTGGGTATATACCCAAAGGATTATAAATCATGCTGGTATAAAGACACACGCACACGTATGTTTATTGCGGCACTATTCACAATAGCAAAGACTTGGAACCAACCCAAATGTCCAACAATGATAGACTGGATTAAGAAAATGTGGCAGATATACACCATGGAATACTATGCAGCCATAAAAAATGATGAGTTCATGTCCTTTGTAGGGACATGGATGAAGCTGGAAACCATCATTCTCAGCTAACTGTCGTGAGGACAAAAAACCAAACCCACATGTTCTCACTCAAAGGTGGGAATTGAACAATGAGAACACATGGACACAGGAAGGGGAACATCACACACCGGGGCCTGTTGTGGGGTGGGGGGAGGGGGGAGGGATAGCATTAGGAGATATACCTAATGTTAAATTATGAGTTAATGGGTGCAGCACACCAACATTGCACGTGTGTGCATATGTAACAAACCTGCAGGTTGTGCACATGTACCCTAAAACTTAAAGTATAATAATAAAAAAAGAAATTAGGGTGATGGAGTAGCTTAGGGTTCCCCAACTCCTCCTTTCTTTGCAGATCATAAATGTGATTACCCTCTTTTGGTTTCCCCTAAGTTTATGTTTAATAAGCTTGTAATTTGTCTTTTTCCCACATTCCCCATCAACTCTAGAATTCAGCCGGCTTAGTTCCCAGGTCATCCTCAGCTGGGTGGGGGTGGTGATTGCTCACTTGTGACAAAGCATCCTGGCGCTGATTGACTGGCTCAGTGTGGGGTGTGAATGGGGTCCTGAACACGGGCAAACGGAAAGAGATGGTTAAGAAACCATTAACAAGTGCCAAGTCAAATTCATTTCAGAATATAGTTAAAGTAGGAATCTAAAGTGCTATCTTTGCAGACAGACAAAACCCTTGATTGAATAATTCTTGCCTTCCCCTCCCTTTGCAATGATCACATAATCCATATTGAATTATTGTGTACCTTTAGATCCACGTCCAGCTCTCTAGCCAGTCTCACGGTCTTCATCTTTATTGTGCCAAAATCACATGGCTTTAACTTGCAGGGTTGGATAATTTCTTCTAAATTCCACCTGCTTCCCTATACCCCCTTACCCACTCCCTTGACCTTTTCTGGAAGATAAGAACAAGTTGAGGAACTTGCATTTTACATAGGAAAGCAATGTTTATGGCCCTGAAATAAGGGGCATGCTCACAGCCAGTATTCAAAATGTCTTGTTGAAATAAGCTCAAATACAATATAAAGATATTACCAACCAGCTTCTCTATGAATTACTCACTGCTCTACAAAAATGTTTCCAACTTTCCCAACACACACACACACAAATCTCTACTGTTGCACAATCCTGCTTGTATTTTTCAGATTGGCTTGATTAAAACTGTGTGAAGTAAAATTCAACCTGTTGACCTCACTCAAGATACCTGGAAATGAAAAGTTGGCCATCTGAGTCATTGGTTTTATTTTATTTTGGGGGGGAAAATAAGGTGGGAGTGTAAATATCATTAGATAAAGTTTCCAGAAATTTAAAGCCATGAAGGAGAGAGATCAACTGGGATTTAGGGATTATTTATTTATTTATTTATTTTGAGACAGAGTCTTGTTCTGTCACCCAGGCTGGAGTGCAGTGGTGCGATCTCGGCTCATTGCAACCTCCATCTCCCAGGTTCAAGTGATTGTCCTGCCTCAGCCTTCTGAGTAGCTGGGACTACAGATGTGTAGCACCAGACCAGGCTAATTTTTGTATTTTTAGTAGAGGGGTTTCGCCATGTTGACCAGGCTGGTCTCAAACTCCTGACCTCAGGTGATCCACCCGCCTCGGCCTCCCAAAGTGCTGGGATTAAAGGCATGAGCCACCAAGCCCGATCTTTTTTTTTAATTAAAATTAAAATTTTTTAAATTCTAAATTTTTGAGTTTAGAAGCACAAAAATATATTCTGTATAATAAGCTCACTTATGAACTTATTATATTTGGCATTTCCACAGATGTGAAAGTTTAACTTAAGAGGACAAGGCTTCTCCCATCCTTATGTGGGTTGAGAGCCAAGAAAACCCCTAAAACTCAGTCTTTTCTAATCAAACTTTTCTGATTAAAAAAAAAACTCTAAAATTAAGATGATTCCCAATGATCCAATTTAATTCTGGATCTTTTTCACAATAGGGGACCCTTTGTCAGCTGTGACATAAACCAGTCTATTTCCAGCCTGAGCCATCTATGCTGCCTCCTTAAGAGTGAAGCCTGCCTACACTTTGAGAAGCTGAATACAAACTGAAGGTAACTGAGGGATCTCTGGGACCTCTGAAATCCTGGATAACTTTCTCTAAGGCTGGTTTGTGATTGGAGAAAGGGTACAAATGGTGCTTGCCCCAGCAGTGTGTCTCAAACATTGAGATGCAGTAGAATCGTCTATTGAATTAGACTGACCTGGAGTGGAGCCCAAGTGAGGAACTTTTTTTTTTTTGAGACAGAGCCTTGCTCTGTCACCCAGGCTGGAGGGTAGTGGCAAGATCTTGGCTCACTGCAACCTCTGCCTCCTGGGTTCAAGTGATTCTCCTGCCTCAGTCTACTGAGTAACTGGGATTACAGGTGCACCACCATACCTGGCTAATTTTTTATATTTTTAGTAGAGGTGGAGTTTCACCATGTTGAACAGGCTGGTCTTGAACTTGTGACCTCAAGTGATCCACCTGCCTCAGCCTCCCAATGTGCTGGTATTACAGGTGTGAGACAGTGTGCCCAGCCCCAGGTGGGGGAATTCTAACAGATTCCCTGGATGCCCCCAAGTCTAAGAAGCCCCTACTACATTACAGCCTCCTCCAAGGCAGAGAGGAGCCTTGTTTCATTCATTTTTGTATCATGGGGCTTGGCAACGTGCCAGGCACATAATAAGCTCTTAAGAAATACATCCTAAATTCATCAGAACTGGTACTAAACTCCAGGTAGAATAAAAAATTTTAACATTTTTTTTTACCAGAAAATATGTAATCGGAATAGCTTCTAAATACTGGCAAACAACAACAAAAGGATACTCTTACTTTGATTTCAAAGAAAAAAAAATAAGAAAAAATTCACAATTGGCATTGCTACAAACTCAATTGCTGTTAGGAATCACTAAAAACAAGATACTTTCATCCTGGCTAAAGCAAAAACACATCAATCGCTCTGTTTCACAAAAGTCAGAGCAGGGGGAAACATCAGACAATAAATAGACTTTCTGATATATAATATTTAAAAAAGAAAAAAGTCCCCCTTGAGACTGCAGCCATGCCTCAGTTCTTTCCCGCCTCGTCACCTTCCTTTCTTCTCCCCTGCTCTTTCTCCTGCTTACTCACTTGCCGTGCTCCCTGCCAGTATCTCTCTCCTCATCCTCAGTTGTCACACTTTTCTTATCTTCTCAGGAGCCATTAATGACTGACTCCAATGGTATGAGTGGGCGGTGGAAAAGATGAGGCCAGGACTGCTGAGAGAGCGGAGGAAACAGAGCCATGGGGGTTCCTGAAGGAGCCAGAACTTGAGTGTGAATAAGCTTTAGTTTTGCAGAACGCAGAGGGGGAGACATGCTAACCTAGAACAGCAATTTGTAAACACGTCCATGCCTTTAGGAAACTTACTGTTTAAACAGGCCTTGTCTATCAGATTTAATTCAGTTAAACAAAATTTCATGAATATAGCAGTGATGGTTAAGAACATTGCCTCCCTAGAAAAAACTATTTTAGGCTGGGCATGGTGGCTTACACCTGTAATCCCAGTACTTTAGGAGGCCGAGGTGGGTGGGTCACCTGAGGTCAGGAGTTCAAGACCAGCCTGGCAAACATGGTGAAAACCCGTCTCTACTAAAAATATAAAAATTAGTTGGGCATGGTGGTGGGAGCCTGCAATCCAAGCTACTTGGGAGGCTGAGGCAGGAGAATCACTTGAACCTGGGTGGCGGAGGTTGCAGTAAGCCGAGATCATGCCATTGCACTCCAGCCTGGGCAACAAGAGTGAAACTCCATCTCAAACAGAGAGCCAAATCATGACTGAACTCCCATTCACAACTGCTACAATGAGAATAAAATACCTAGGAATACAACTTACAAGGGATGTGAAGGACCTCTTCAAGGAGAACTACAAACTACTCCTCAACGAAATAAAAGAGGACACAAACAAATGGAAGAACATTCCATGGTCACAGATAGGAAGAATCAATATCATGAAAATGGCCATACTGCCGAAAGTAATTTATGGATTCAATGCTATCCCCATCAAGCTACCATTGACTTTCTTCACAGAATTAGAAAAAACTACTTTAAAATTCATATGGAACCAAAAAAGAGCCCATATAGCCAAGCAATCCTAAGCAAAAAGAACAAAGCTGGAGGTATCACCCTACCTGCCTTCAAGCTATACTACAAGGCTACAGTAACCAAAACAGCATGGTACTGGTACCAAAACAGATATATAGACGAATGGAACAGAACAGAGGCCTCAGAAATAACACCACACATCTACAACCATCTGATCTTTGACAAACCTGACAAAAACAAGCAACAGGGGAAAGATTCCCTATTTAATAGATGGGAAAACTGGCTAGCCATATGCAGAAAACTGAAAGTGGACCCCTTCCTTACACCTTATATAAAAATTAGCTCGAGATGGATTAAAGACTTAAATGTAAGACCATAAAAACCCTAGAAGAAAACCTAGGCAATACCATTCAGGACATAGGCATGGGCAATGACTTCATGGCTGAAACACCAAAAGCAATGGCAATAAAAGCCAAAATTGATAAATGGGATCTAATGAAACTAAAAAGCTTCTGCACAGCAAAAGAAACTATCATCAGAGTGAACAGGCAACCTACAGAATGGTAGAAAATTTTTGCAATCTATCCATCTGACAAAGGGCTAATATCCAGAGTCTACAAGGAACTTAAACAAATTTACAAGAAAAAACAAACAACCCCATCAAAAAGTGGGCAAAGGAAATGAACAGACACTTCTCAAAAGAAGACATTTATGCGGCCAACAAACATATGAAAAAAAGCTCATCATCACTGGTCATTAGAAAAATGCAAATCAAAACCACAATGAGATACCATCTTACGCCAGTTAGAATGGCAGTTATTAAAAAGTCAGGAAACAGCAGATGCTGGAGAGGATGTGGAGAAATAGGAATGCTTTTACACTGTTGGTGGGAGTGTAAATTAGTTCAACCATTGAGGAAGACAGTGTGGTGATTCCTCAAGGATCTCGAACCAGAAATACCATTTGACCCAGCAATCTCATTACTGGGTATATGCCCAAAGGATTACAAATCATTCTACTATAAAGACACATGCACATGTATGTTTATTGCTGCACTATTCACAATAGCAAAGACTTGGAATGACCCAAATGTCCATCGAAGATAGACTGGATAAAGAAAATGTGGCATATATATGCCATGGAATACTATGCAGCCATAAAAAAGGATGAGTTCATGTCCTTTGCAGGGACATGGATGAAGCTGGAAACCATCATTCTCAGCAAACTAACACAGGAACAGAAAACCAAACACCACATGTTCTTACTCATAAGTGGGAGTTGAACAATGAAAACACATGGACACAGGAAGCGGAACATCACACACCAGGGTCTGTGGGGAGGTGGGGGATAGGGGAGGGATGGCATTAGGAGAAATACTTAATGTAGATGACAGGTTGATGGGTGCAGCAAACCACCATGGCACGTGTATACCTATGTAACAAACCTGCACGTTCTGCACATGTATCCCAGAACTTAAAATATAATTTAAAAAAGAAAAAAAACTATTTTAAAATTCATATGGAACCAAAAAAGAGCCCAAATAGCCAAGGCAATTCTAAGCAAAAAGAACAAACCTAATGGCATCAAGTTACCTGATTTCAAACTATACTACAGAGCTACAGTAACCAAAACAGTATGGTACTGGTACAAAACCAGACCCATAGACCAATGGAACAGAATAAAAGGCCCAGAAATAAGGCCACATCTACAACTATCTGATCTTTGACAAAGCTGACAGAAAGCAATGGTAAAGGACTCCTTATTGAATAAATGTGCTGGAATTACTGGCTAGCCATATGCAGAAGATTGAAACTAGACCCCTTCCTTATACCATATACAAAAATCAACTCAAGATGGATTAAAGACTTAAATGTAAAACCCAAAACTATAAAAACCCTGGAAGACAACCTAGGCAATACCATTCTAGACATAGAAACTGGCAAAGATTTCATGGCAAAGATACCAAAAGCAATCTCAACAAAAGCAAAAGTTGACAATAGGGATCTAACTAAAGTTAAGAGCTTCTGCACAGCAAAAGAATCTACCAACAGAGTAAATGGATAATATACAAAATAGAAGAAAATTTTTACAAACTATGCATCTGACAAAAAGGTCTAATATCCAGCATCTATAAGGAACTTAAATTTACACGGACAAAGAAAAAAAAAAAATTAAAAAGTGGGCAAAGGACATGAATAGACACTTTTCAAAAGAAGACATAGCTGGGCGTGGTGGTTCAAACCTGTAATCCCAGCACTTTGGGAGGCCAAGCAGGGTGGAGCACTTGAGCCCAGGAGTTCAAGACCAGCTTGGCCGACATGGCAAAATCCCATCTCTACTAAAAATGCAAAAAGTAGCAGGGTGTGGTGGCACACATCTGTAATCCCAGCTACGCAGGAGGCTGAGGCATAAGAATTGCTTGAACCTGGGAGGTGAAGGTTGCGGTGAGCTGAGATCGCAGCCTGGGTGACAGAGTGAACTCTGTCTCGAAGAAAAAAAAAAGACATACAGGCAGCCAAAAAGCATATGAAAAAAACTCAGTATCACTGCTCATTAGAGAAATGCAAATCACAGTGAGATACCATCTCAGACCAGTCAGAATGGCTATTACTAAAGTCAAAAATGCTGGCAAGGTTGCAGGGAAAAGGGAATGCTTATACACTGTTGGTGGCAGTGTAAATTAGTTAAACCATTGTGGAAGACAGTGTGGTGATTCCTTAAAAAGCTAAAAACAGAACTACCATCTGATCTAGCAATCCAATTACTGAGTATATACCCATGGAATATAAATCTTTCTACCATAAAGACACATGTACCCATATGTTCATTGCAGCGCTATTCACAATAATAAAGACATGGAATCAACCTAAATGCCCATCAGCGGTAGACTAGATGAAGAAAACGTGGTACACATACACCATGGAATACTATGCAGCCACAAAAAACAACAAGATCATGTCCTTTGCAGGAACATGGATGGAGCTGGAGGCCATTATCCTTAGCAAACTAACACACGAACAGAAAACCAAATGCTGCATGTTCTCACTTATAAGTGGGAGCTAAATGATGGGAACACATAGACACATAGAGGGGAACAACGCACACCGGGGTCTACTGGAGGGTGGAGGGTGGGAGAATGTAGAGAAGCAAAAAAAATAACCCTTGGGTACTAGGCTTAGCACCTGAGTGACAAAATCATCTGTGCACCAAACCCCGTAACACAAGTTTACCTATGTAACAGACCTACACATATACCTCTGAACCTAAAATAGAAGTTAAACATAAAAGAACACCAACTCTGGAGGCAGACTAGTTTTCAATCCCAGCTCCAAAATTGACTGTCTCTGTAACCTTGGGCAACTTACTTCTCTGTGCCTCAGTTTTCTCAGCTGGAATATGGGGATAATAATACAGTTGATGTGAGAATTAAACCAGCATCTGGCAGTATATAAGTGTTACTTATTATTTCACCATCACTGCTTTTCTTTTAAAAGTAAATAAAAACAGGAACTTACAATTTAGTTGGGGGTGGTGGGCAGGATAATATGGACAACTCATACTAATGTCTCTTCTATAAATCTGATTATTTTTGCTTTTGTTTTTTAAGCAAGACATAGCTTACACAGAACATATAAAAGAAGAAATATTTATTGAAGCACTCTGCCAAGTGCTTTACTTAATTATATTAATTAATCCTCCAAAAACTCAATGAGATAGATATCATTATCCCTAATTTGCAGATGAGGAAACTAAGGCTGGGAGGCCTTAATTAACTTGCCCACAGTTCCACAGCTAGTAAGTTGCAGGGCAATGATTTGAGCTCGAGTCTCATTCTAATTCTTAAGTCCTTTTGCCACACCATCAAGCACCCAAAGAGTTTCAAAAGCAGTTACTCACTGTTTTTAACCCACAATTAAAACTGTTGATGTGCAGAGTAAACCATTCCTCTGCCAGGCGTCCTCAAAACCCCATCCAGCTGACTTACTAAGAAACTGAAAGGTAGTGTCATTAGAGAAGGTCACAGAGGCTGGGCATAGTGGCTCACACCTATAATCCCAGCACTTTGGGAGACCAAAGTGCGTGGATCACCTGAGGTCAGGAGTTTGAGACCAGCCTGGCCAACATGGTGAAACCCCATCTCTACTAAAAATACAAAAGTTAGCATGGTGGCGGGTGCCTGTAATCCCAGCTACTCAGGAGGCTGAGGCAGAAGAATCACTAGAACCCACGAGGCGGAGGTTGCAGTGAGCTGAGATCGCACCACTGCACTCCAGCCTGGTGACAGAGCTGCACTCCAGCCTGGTGACAGAGTGAGACTCCATCTCAAAAAAAAGAAAGAAAGAAAAAAGAGAAGATTACAGAAACACTAGGAAAATCTTGGTTGACAGCAACTATCTTTTTAAATCTCCCAGGCTGTGCCCAAGCTCTGGGGGATTTCATAAATCCTTAGCTAACTTGGGACACCTGGCTACAGGGATTCACAGGAATATGTCAGATTCCGATGTGTTTATTATACACTTACTGGGCTCCCAAAGACACTCTCCTGGAGCTCCTATTCACTAACCAGACAAGTATGAGTTTGGGACTAATCCATTTATCAAATAGAATAGCCTAAATTTGTACCAGGCAGATGCTGTGTAGATTTCTTTCTTTTCATTGGGTATTCAGCAATGGGCAAGAATTTTGAGGTCTTGGTCCACAGTTGCTCAGAAGTTCCCATTCCCCAGAAGCATGACAGAGTCTTGGGGAAGAGTGACTGCTCTGTGACTTAAAGAAAGTTGTAGCCAGATTTGGATAATGTCCAAGTCTTTACAACTAATCTCCTCCTCTTCTCTTCTAGATGCCATCAACCAAAGGGTGTTTAGAAATGTGTTAATAATTCCCAGGAGAAATTGGCCAGGATTACCTAGTCATGACTAATGAAGCTGTCATCTGCCTTTCCTTCCTGCTGTTTAATAATGCCTTCTAAAGAGTGCTTTATGAAGATGGATAGTATTATAATGCTGCACTCAAGAAACTGGCACAATGTCAATGAAAACAGAGGCCAGCTTATTTTGCATGCCACTCTATTTTTCATTACGCTCCACAATAACTTGTTATTAAATGAAAATGAATTTGCCATTAGGGACTAGGTACTATTTAATAACTGTTCAGCAATGTTTCATGATTTAATTTTTTTTTTTGTAACTAGTGCAGCAGCCATGTAAGTAAATGTCATTCGGGATTAAATGAGGTTGAATTTTCTAGAACAATCTTAAAGGTTTCATGGAACTTAGTCATTAAAACTGGATGTGGTTTGAAGCTTGGTTTACTAAATCCTAACTTTGAATTGACCATCTTCAAAACAGGAAGAGTGAGGAAGACTCTCTCCATGAGTACTCTCAGAAAATGACATAGAAAGTAAGCATCGTGCCTTATAGAGAATTCCTAGAAGGGGTAGGGGACTTACCGGACAGCAGTCTCCTCAGTAGCCTCCCCAAAGAGTATGTCTCAATCAAGATAGTCAATGCTATTTTGGAATAACAAATAAACCCCAAATTTTAGTGGCTTCAAATGATAAAGGTTTGTTTCTTGCTTGTGCCACACATCCACTGCAGGGCTGTATGTCTGTCATGGGTTATCTTGAAAGCCAGGATGATCAAGCACCCACTATCTGGAATGATGACAGAGGGCAAAAAGAGCTCTGGAGGGTCTCAAATCAGCCATTAAAAGCTTGATCTTGAACTGGTCCCATGACCCCAACCCAAGAAGTGGGAGAGGGCCAAGAATTATAATTTTACTGTGTACTCAAAAGGCAGAAATAGCATATCTAGTGATCAGTCCTAGTGGGTACTAATGTGAGATCAAAATGAGGATTTCATTACAAGTCTAAAGATTCAAAAGTGCCTCTTGCATTCTGAGAGAAACCTCTACTTTCCCAGACTCACCTTTTCGCTGTGGTCACAGACATCCAGGCAGCCTCGCTTCTTTCCTGAAAGTCGGACGTTCCCATGGTCCCTCCTCTTCAAGGAATCAGCCATCCCAGGACTCGTTAACACCAAGTGATCTGTAACTTTAATTCATGTCAATCTGGTTATGTACTTGAAAATTGCCAGGATATTTTTGAATTATCAGTATCATTAAAGCTCAGACACATGTGGATAATGAACAATCCTTCCCCTTCACCTATAAAAATCCAAAGCTGACATTGAATTTATGCTATTTAACATAAAATTTCTTGGCATTTTTTAAACAAACTGTATAAGGACTGAATTACTGCACAAAGTATTGCCTGCTTTTCGAAGACTGAGACCACATGATTTAAATGTAACAATTTTTTTTTTTTTGAGATGGAGTCTTACTCTGTCGCCCATGCTGGAGTGCAGTGGTGTGATCTCAGCTCACTGCAACCTTGGCCTCCAGGGTTCAAGCAATTCTTCTGCCTCAGACTCCTGAGTAGCTGGGATTACAGGTGCACACCACTATACCCAGCTAATTTTTGTATTTTTAGTAGAGACTAGGTTTCACCAAGTTGGCCACACTGGTCTCGAACTCCCAACTTCAAGTGATCCACCTGCCTCAGCCTCCCAAAATGCTGGGAATACAGGCGTGAGACACCATGCCCGCCTATAACAATTTTCTACACAGCCATGGTGTGTGTGTGTGTGTGTGTGTGTGTGTGTGTGTGTATAGGTTTTCATCCATGGTTTCTGGATCATAACCCCCATAGTCTTTTGTTATAATGTTGGGGTGCTGTAGGCCTCAGCAGCAGGTCTCAGGAAACAGAATCTCTCTCTCTGACCTTCCCCTGTCCTCCTTTCATCTGCCTAAGGCAGGACTCGAAACTGATTGTAGGTCAGAAGCCCCTCATTCCAGAGGGGTCCAGCCCCATACCCTAGAGGAAGGAAGGCTGCACAGAGAGGCCAAGAAAAGCCTAAACACACAGGCCTTGCTGGGTTTAGATTATGTGCTTTTTGTCCAATCACATTTCTACATGGTTGTCTATCATGCCTATGTAATGCAGTCTCCATAAAGACCCAGGAGGACAGGGTTTGGAAAGCTTCAGGATAGTGGAACTCAGGAGGTTCCTGGAGGGTGGGGGCCTCTGGTGGGGGGTGAAAGCTCTGTGGCCCTTTCCCCATACCTTACCCTATGCATCTCTTCATCTGTATCCTTTGTAATATTCATTATAATAAACCAGTAAACATGTTTCCCTGGGTTCTGTGAGCCACTCCAGCAAATTAATCAAACCCAAAGAGGGAATCGTGAGAACCTCAACTTGAAGCCAGTCAGTCAGAAGTTCTGGAGGCCTGGACTTGTGACTGGGGTCTGGAGGTGGCAGAGTGGGGGCAGTTTTGGGGACTGAGCTCTCACTCTGTGGGATCTGATGCTACTTCCAGCATCAATGTCTGCTGCTTGGTGTGTGGGGAAAACCCCCCATGCCTTTGGTCACAGCTTTCTTCTGTGTTGATGGTTGTGGTGGTGGTGTGAGAGCAGAGGAGAAACAGTTTGAAGAGTTTTCCCCAAATAACTGAGGATGGTGAATACAAAAGAACTTGTATAATTTAAGGAGCCTCTCAAATGGCCTATTAAGTATTCTGTGTGATACTTTGTATTAAGAGCGATCCTCACTGAATCGTGAAATTAAAGCCTAAGTGTATCCTTAGAGAAGAACAACTATTTCCGAACCATATTATTAACGGTTTCCTTATTATATTAGTCTGGGTTCCCCTAGAAGCACATCCCAAGACAGAATGAGTACAAGTGATTGATTCAGGAAGTGATCCCAGGAAGTCAGGGAGGGGAATGGGACAGTGAGCCAGGAAAGAGCATAAGCCCAATATGGTGCACATTCATGAGAAGGAGACCACTGTGGGCAGCTGGAGTGCAGGCTAATTGGCAACTGATAACTGCTGGGTGGGTGGAGGTATCCTACCAGAGGGGTGAGGCAGCCAGTTGTATGTACTGCAATCCTCATTTGTCATTGGTGAGGACTGTCCCCTCAGTCAAAGGGGATCATGGGAATCATGGAAGAGTTGCTCCCAAAATCTACATGGAGAAGTACGTCTGTGTAGCAAAGGAGTGGACCGTGGTGGCCATGAGAAAGCTCCTCACAAACCTCCAACCTCAGAGAATATCATTGATTAAGGGCCCCAGCAGCTGCTCCCTGAAATTGATGTGCTAAGGCAGACCCTTTCCTGGAAAATGCAGGGCTCCTCTTACAGCAAATTGTGCTCAAAGCCTCTCCAGGTACCTTTACCAAACTGCCCTTAGACTGGACAGGGGTCTAGAATGCTTCTGCCCACCCTCTCTCCTTCACTGGAAGATTAGATTTGCATTGCAGTCAATGGCTCTCTCTGCCTTTTCCAGATCCCTCCTCACTTTCTCTTACATGAGCATTTTCCCTAATAAAATATTGCATATTTAATTCCATCTTGGTGTCTGCCTGTAGAGGACTCAGATTAACAAAGACAGTAAGTGTAGTGACACAGCAGCACTTTGTACATAGTATTGAATACAAATACATTAGATGGATGGATGGTGTGATGGTTAATTTTATGTGTCAATTTGACTGGGCCATGGGGTGCCCACATACTTGGTCAAATATTGCCCTGGGTGTGTCTGCGAGGGTGTTTTGGGTGAGATTAACATTTAAATCGGTAGACTGTGTAGATTACGCTCTCTAATGTGGGTGGGCCTCATCCATTCAGTTGAAGGCCTGAATAGAACAGAAAGGCTAAGAGCGAATTCTTCAGCCTGACTGCCTTCAAACTGGGACATCACCATTTTTACTGTCCTCAGACTCAAACTGAGCTATTTGCTCCTCCTTGTTCTCAAGGCTGTCAACTCACCCTGCAGGTCTTGGGACTTGGCTGCCTCCATAACCACCTGAGCCAATTCCTTATAATCTCCCTCTCTCTCTCTCTCTCATATATAATATATATTATATTATATACTAAATTATATAATGTAATATAAAGAGATTTATGAGGATGTTTATTATAATTTATACACGTAGGTGTGTGTGTATATATATATGTAAGGGCTCAATAGGCTCAGAAATCTCACTTCTTATATTCTACAAAAAAAGGGTTTGGAATCTGTTGAATCAAAACTCAGGTCCCATTTTGTGATATGAAACAGCTCATCACAAAACATTTTCACAGCTTGTTTCTAGATTTTGGGGCTTGATATTCATATGTTTGTGTAAGGGCTCAATACTTTTATATAGGCTTAGAACATAAAATATATGTTCTGTTTCTTTGGAGAACACTGACTAACATAGATGGGTAGATGGATGGATGGAAAGTTGGATGGATGGATGCATGGGTTGATGGTTGGGTGGGTTGGTGTGTGGATGGATAAATATGAGGTCATGAAGGAGGATATCTCTGTGGTTCAGGGTCATCAGGGAAAGCTTCCCTGTGGAGGAAGGACTTGAACTTGAAGAAGGACAGGAGAGAAGGAGGAGAACACTGGGGAGTGGGAGGTAGAGGAAAGAAATCATGGCCAGCAAACGCTAAGAGGAGGCAGACTCAGAGCATTTGGGGGTCAGTGAACAAACCAGTATGGTTGGATCCAAGAGTCTGTAAATAGGAAGAGTGTGAGTTATATTTAATGAGATAATGAGGCTGAGATTCGAAACCAGTTTGCTTCCCCATAGAGTATGCTTTCACACCATTCCCTTAACTTCCAGGTGAATACCTTTGGTCAAAGAAAAAGATGTGATATGTTTACTCTTTTCCAAAAATATTTTAAAGTGCAGTTCCTTCAAGAGGCATGGAGGTCACCTCCTCAGGAAAGAATTCCCTGTGTAACCCTGTGTAACATAGGAACTCTCATCATGTTCTATCTTAGCACCCAACTTCCTTCTTTCCCAACGTTGATCATAATTTGCACATATTTATTTGCATGCTCATTAACTGACTGTTTTTCCCACTCATCTGTCAGTTCCATCAAGATAGAGACCTGCACTATTCACCCCAGCACAGTGCCAGGTTGACTGGATAAAACATGGCAGTTAGAAATGTGAGATTTAGGACTGGGCACGATAGCTCACACCTGTAATTCCAGCACTTTTGGAGGCCGAGATGAGTGGATCACTTGAGGTCAGGAGTTGAAGACCAGCCTGGCCAACATGGTGAAACCCCATCTCTACTAAAAATACAAAAATCAGGCGGGTGTGGTGGTGGGCATCTGTATTCACAGCTGCTTGCGGGGCTGAGGCAGGAGAATCACTTGATCCTGGGAGGTGGAGGTTGCAGTGAGCCAAGATTGTGCCACTGCACTCCAGCCTGGGCAACAGAGTGAGATTTCATCTCAAAGAAAAAAAAAAAAGGAAAAAGATATGTGAGATTTAGGCTTATTATATCCTAGCTCCATTAATGACTCTAACAGCTTGACCTTGGGCAAGTAACTTCGGCTTCAGTGTCTTCATCTACAAAATGAATGATAATACCTCACAGCACTATCATGAAGATTAAATAGGATAGTTTATATAAAGCACAGTGCCCCGTACATGGTAAGCATTCAATAAAAGGTTGCTATTGTTTGTTATTACACCTCAAGACTTCTTGGTGTCATTTTTCTGCTGGGTGAAATTGCCTCTGATCAATTAATTATGACAGACATTGAGAAAGAAGCTTTAATCATTTGAATCATGACATCTAGATCAATGACTCCTTGAACTTTTTCGTGACAGTAAATAGCCCTTAATTACTTCAAAAAATTGTTAGATCCCTCCAACATGATAATAATTGTGTATTTTTAAAACTTTGATTGAAATACATATAAGACCAAAAAACTCTCTAAATTCAATAATGCTTTAAATGTATTTTATTGGCCTTAACAGCATTGATACGTGTCTTAAAAATAGCTGGAAGGGATGGGCACAGTGGCTCAACGTTTATAATCTCAGTGTTTTGGGAGGTCAGGGCAGAAGGATTGTTTGAGGCTAGGAGTTCTCGACCAGCCTGGGCAAAATAGGAAGACCCTATCTCTCTAAAAAGTTTTTTTTTAAAAAAATAGCCAGGTATGTTAGAATGTGCCTGTAGTCCTAGCTTCTCCAGAGGCTGAGGTGGGAGGATCACTCGAGCCCTGGAGTTTAAGTTAGTCCGCTTTCACACTGCTGATAAAGACATACCTGAGACTGGGCAATTTACAAAAGAAAGAGGTTTATTGGACTTATACAGTTCCACATGGCTGGGGATGCCTCACAATCGTGGAGGAAAGCAAAGAGAAGCAAGTCACATCTTACGTGGATTGCTGCAGGCAAAGAGAGAGCTTGTGCAGAGAAGCTCCCATTTTTAAAGCCATCAGATCTTGTGAAACTTATTCACTATCATGAGAACAGCACAGGAAAGGCCTGCCCCCATGATTCAATTATCTCCCACTGGGTTCCTCCCATGATACATGGGAATTGCGGGAGTTACAATTCAGATGAGATTTGGGTGGGGACACAGCCAGATGTGTGTGTGTGTGAGACAGAGCATTTATTCAACCAGAGACAATGTTTGGTGGGCATCTGGGTTTAAGACCCCATAGGCTTACCTCCAGGGCCATCCCGGGATCTGAGACCCAGTGGGGTGGAAACACTGATTTTGTTGGGTAACTGTGCAAGTCGGAAAAAAACCTCACCTTTTCCTCCTTGTGGGCTTGAAGTAAGTGTTCTTCCCTCTCATCCTTCCAACAAGGCAGCCCTGCTCAGACAGGTGTGTGCCCATCTCAGACTTCCCTCAGCCATCTCCTTTAGAGGGGCTGCCTGTTCACGCACATCAGTCATTTGCTCTTTTATATACCCCATCATGAATATGTGACTATGACTATGACTTCACATCACTTCATTCTCAGAACCGTATTTCTGAGTGCATTGGCCAGAAAGATGAAAACCCTGAGGTGACCACACATGAGCATAATGTCCAGCTAATTTTTGTATTTTTAATAAAGACGGGGTTTCACCATGTGGGCCAGGCTGTTCTCGAGCTCCTGACCTCAAGTGATCCACCCGTCTCAGCCTCCCAAAGTGCTGGGATTACAGGTGTGAGCCACCACGCCCAGCTGAGATGATGGCAATTTGAACTTCTATGGTGATGTGGATGATGTGAGAGATATCTGGCAGGTAAAATTAGTGGGTGATAGAATGGACGTGCAGGCTGGGGACGGGAGGTAATGAGATTGTCTCCTAGATCCCTGGCTTGCACAGCTGAATGCATGGTAGGGCGATGCACTAACATAGGAAGCACATGGACAACAACATCAAAAGGGAAAACCTTTGTCATCCAGTCACATGCTTTGTCTACATGCCACTCATTTTGTCAGTTTATTGGACTAATTCCCCAGCCCATTCACTAAATTGATAGATGCTGGAGCAACAATCATTTGACCAGCTGCCATGGTACCACAGAAAGGGTCCCCTGGATGCCATGTGATGAAAAGTAAGGAACACAGATGGTGAAGTCAGAGAGTTATGGTTGCAAAGCTCAGCATCCTGGTTACTAGGAGATTACAGTTCGTGCTTTGCTAAATCTCAGGTTCCTCATCTGTAAAGTAAACTTACCTTGCATGAGTACTTTTAGGATTATAGGAGTTACTGCACATAAACTGCTAAGTGCAGGTGCTGTTCGGGCACTGCTGAAAAATCCAAGAGAAATTGCTCTGCTCGCTGTGTGAGTGCAATAATTCTCCATGAAGGCAGTGAATCATCGATGTGTTGGATGGCAAGGAGACACACTTTGGTGAAGAATGCCTTTTGCAGAGTGCTGTAGGTCTGAAAATCAGGAATGAAGGGTGGGAGGCAGGAGGCTACAGGTATCTGAGAGGAGTCTGAATATATTAAAGAATCCCAAAGGAGTTTTCTCAACCATGGCCATAACCCCAAAGAGGTGAACTTAGTTTATTAATTAGCATTTGCAATTGTAGCCTAAAGTCTAAGAAATTTTTTAGTTAATTAACACTTGTATGAGATTGGATATGATCTACTTAAGAAAAAACACACACATATTTTTATGACAGAAAATGTAAAAAATTCATAAAATCATATAGAAGAACATTTAAAAATAATCCATAATCCCACCAACTAGAAATAATTACTATTAATATTATGTCATGTAGCTTTTCAGACTAAAAATACTATAAACACTTTAAAAACAAAATTGTGATCACACAGAAAAACAAATTTGTAATCTATATTTTAATTATATCAATGTCATGAACATTTTTGCATACTATTTTTGCAAATTGTTCTACAACATGACTTTTAATTAATTAATGTTTTTTCTGAGATAGAATCCCCTATGCCCAGGCTGGAGTGCTGTGGCAAAATCACCTCTCACTGCAGCCTCAACCTCCCAGGCTCGAGTGATCCTCCCACCTCAGCCTCCTGAGTATCTGGGACTACAGGTGTGTGCCACCACCCCCAGCTAATTTTTTGTAATCTTGTAGAGACAGGGTTTCACCATGTTTCCCAGACCGGTCTCAAACTTCTGGGCTCAAGTGATCTGCCCGCCTTGGCTTCCCAAATACTGGGATTATAGGTGTGAGCCACCACGTACGGCCTTACAACATGACTTTTTAAGGCACAAAGTAGTATAACCTAAGTGCCATAATTTGTTTAGCCAGTTTCTTAGTGTTGGTCAGTTAGCTTGTTTTTTCAGTATCTGTTATTGTATATAACTCTGTATTTTAAGTTATATACAGGCAAAGATCTTACACATAACATTTTGTGTACATCTCGGATTACTACTTTAAGAAAAATTACTAATGGAATTATTAGGCCAAGGCATATTAACATTAAAGATATTAAAATATTAATCCCCCCAAAAGATTATACAAAATTCACTCTTGCTCACAAAGTTCAAATGTACCTGTTTCTGGTCCTACTTCAAGGATGTGATAGCCTGTTTGTTAAAGAGTATATTTGGGTTCAGAGATTTTGACCTTCTCTACCTGAAATCCGATAAATATATAGTGATATTTTCTTCTTGCTCAATTTTATTTTCTGTTTTTTAAACTCTCTGGAAAAAAAATTGATGTATGATGATGTGAACATCATTTGTTCATTCCCTCACTGATTTAGAATAACTCCTCCCCCTCGATCTGTTTCTAGTTTGTTTTGTTTGTTTGTTTTTTAGTGTCATTGACTTATTTGTGTGCAAAAACTACTATATTCATCATGGAGAAGTCAAAATATCTGGCAGTGTAGCTGCCTCATCCCCCTCAGTCTTCTTTTTGGAAAGAATAAAATAAAAACAGAAAATTACAGCAAATACTTTGATACCACCTACCGCATATTATTAAATGTTAGTATTTTAACATAGTTGCTTCAAACATGTTTCTTAGAAAAGAAATAAAATATGACAGATTGATTCAAAGTCCCTTAGGCTTGGTTTTCCCACTCACTCCCCTTCCTCCCACCCTAGAAGTAACCACCAACATGAACTTGGCATGGAAACTTCCAGGCCATGTGTTAAAACTTTAACTTCATATATATCTGCCCATAAATAAAATATTGTATTGTTTTGTGAGTTTTCAGTTACATAAACAATCTTCTAGATGAATTTTAGAATCATGCCGAAATCCCTGTAGACTCTTCTTTTGGATTTTTATTGGAGAGGCATTAAAGGAATATATTACTTTGGGGAGAATTGACATCTTTACATTATTAGTTTTTTCCTCTAAGGACTAAAGTATGTTTTTCATTTATTCAAGTCTCTACTCTGTCCCTTAGCAAAACACTGTTATTTTCTTCTTGTATGTCCAGCACATTTCTTGCTAAGCGATATCTTTTTTTGTTTGTTTGTTTCCAGGGCCCAGTGTTTATTGCTAACTTACTTCTAGGTATTTTATGATTTGTGTTGATACTGAGAATAGGATTTTATTTTTGTATTATAATTTCTAACTCATTATTACTGAGATGAAAGAAAGCAGTTAACTTTAAATGTTTATTTTGTAACTGGCCATATAACTGGATTCTTACTATGTGTATCTAATACTATAATTTTTCAATTGATTCTTTTGGGTTTTCCTGGTAGAAAATTATACATTATGTATAACACTAAAGATTTGCAAATAATGATAATTTGGTCTGCTTCTTACTGACAGTTACACTTAATTTCTTTTTCTTATCTCTATGAATTAGCTTGGACTTCTATAACAACAAATTACAATGATGATAGAAGGTGTCCTCATCTAATTTTTTATGTTAAAAGGAGTTCCTCTAACATTTAATACTTACATAGAATGTTGACTGTTGCTTAAGACAGCCTTTATTATGTTTTTTCTTTTAGTATAATGAACATTTTTCCCAATCTGTATATAATTGCAAAAACAGATTGATTTTTGAAAATTGGAACTCAACTACAATTTTTGGTAGTATTTGTAAAATTGAAGATTCAACCCTCAACATTAGTATTTTTGGTTAATCATATGAGAAGGGGTGTTAGACTATTCCTAATCCTGGCTTTAAAATGAGTTAATGATTTTATTTTGATCAAGTCCTCTCACCTCTCTGGGCCTCAGTTTTCTCCTTGTAAAATGAAGAGTTAAGATAATTGCTGAAAGTTTATTTCAATTGGGTAAGAATCCAAGCCCTATTTTAACAAAAACTTATTTTTTTTTAGTCAAACAATTTTACAAAGTCAGCCACACCTAATAAATTCACAAGGCTGAAGAAGATTGAAAGTGGCCAGGTGCTGTGGCTCACGTCTGTGATCCCAGAATTCTGGGAGGCAGAGGCAGGTGGATCACTTGAGTTCAGGAGTTCAAGACCAGCCTGAGCAACATGATGAAACCCCATCTCTACCAAAAATACAAAAATTAGCTATGGTGGCATGCACCTGTAGTCCCAGCTACTCAGGAAGATGAGGCGGGAAGATCTCTTGAGCCTGAGAGGTGGAGGTTGCAGCGAGCTGAGGTTGCAGCGAGCTGAGGTTGCAGCGAGCTGAGGTTGCACCACTGCACACTGTGGGTGACAGTGAAATTCTGTCTAAAAAAAAAAAAAAAGATTGAAAGCTTAGGTTTAGTACACAGAAAAATGAACTCAAAACAAGTTCAATATAAGTGGACTGTGAAACCTGCATAAAGTTCATAGCTGAAGTTCTAAAAATAATAACTACTACCTATTGAGTATTCATGATGTCCCAGGAATAGTGTTTTACTTACAATATAAACTACTAACTGTTTATAACAATGAAGTAGGCAAAATCAGTTTTCCTATTAGAGACAAGGAAACTGAGGTATTGTGGGGTAAGAACGCTGTAGAGTCACTCACTCAAAGTCCATTCCAGCCTCCTTCTGGTGTGTTTCCTTCCTATGTTGGATTACCCAAAAAGCTCAAGTCCAGATATCCCAGACTTTCATGTAGATAGCATTCCTGATATGATTTAGGTTGCATCAATAAGCTTCATTGGCCAGAGACTTGATTTTGAGACAGATCTAGGCAGAGAGAAGTGGCATGCAAGACTCTGCTTTGCAGATTGTTGTAGTGCAGTCTGGGGCCTACAGTTCTGGGAGTGGCTTTCTAATCTCCAGATCACAGTCAAGGCAGGGTACCTGGACCCAGTGGCTGGAATAGCAGCTCTCTGAGTCCTCAGAATGAGATGGAGAAGGCAGTCCCCTACACAGGCCAATTCTAATGTGTCTTTCTGGAAGCCATTCACAGATGGCCTGTTTTTCCAGCCCTTCCAGCAATGTTGTAAGCACCTAGAGTCCTTCTGAAATCCCTTTCTCCTTGAAGTATCTAAAGTGGTTTCTATTATCTGCACTTGAACTCAGATAATTATAAGAGGTGCAATCTTGCTTTTCTTATGTGCCCCATTCAGCTAAAATGACCCACCACACAGTATAATGGACCCGGGATTAGATTTGGATCAGGTACCCTGGCTTCTTAGTCCCAGTTGTTATTTAATAGCTGCCTGACTTTGGGCAAATTTCTTCAACTCTTCCGGGACTCAGTTTTCTATCTTTGACATGAAGAAATTGTCTTTTCTGGTGTTAACAATGTATGATTATCATTGACACAGAAGAAAATGTGACACCCTCGATGCAGATTTCCTGCTCAGCAGTTCCTAGTAAGCCAATGACAGACCTGAAAATAGCAAGCATGGCTATTTCCCAAGTCTTGGCTCTTCCTTGATTTAACGCATCTGGCAGAATGCCCTGTGGTGGGCGCAGAATCCAGACCCCTTCCCAGGTAGGGACTTGAACCACTGCAGCATCACCCTGGGGGGCAGGGTATGACACCAGCAGGACTTAGCATCATTAGGAAGTCACTGAGCAGGCAAGCTGAGAGTTACAAAGCCTGTGGCCGCTACAGATCAACCCAAGCAAGAGGTCAGGAAACTGGAAAATGAAGACAGGACCACGGAGAATTCTGGGGGCAGAGGTCAGTCACAAGTCAGCGATAGAAGTCAGGAAGTCTAGCCTGAGGCCAAGGAATCTACAGTTCATAAAATTCTGGTCAAACAAGCAGACAGGGATGTGGACAGGCACTCAGGCCTCATTAGTGAGGACACAGAATTCACAGTGCAGTTTACCAGGTAAGATGAGGTCCCTCATCCACTCTCTCCCTGTCCACTCAGATTCAGCTAACTCAGCACTGGGGCCATAGGTTTTTGCCTGGTGTGAAAGGAAACTCAGAAATGATTATTGCATCAAATTGACTTGAATGAGTTAAGATCTCAGGGATCATTACACAGAGTAAACCTGGTCCCAGAACAGATGTTTCCAGCCCCCATGATAAGCAGGAAGTGTTTTCAGAAGTGAGCAAATCAGTGGCATTTGGTTAGAATGTCTGGCTGACTGAGGACAAGATAATGAAGTGCAATTGAATTCTGGCAATTGTCTGGGGGTGGGGAAGGGGAGGAAGGGAACTGGATGGGGTGGTGGGTGCTCTGGCCATAGGAAGGTGGTCTTCTAGTGTCCCACCATCTTTCAGGAGGAATGAAGATACATTCTAACATTAATAATGCCTTCTTAGTTTCCTATCTTCATGTGTACAGTTCTCTATCAACTCTAGCCCACAACTCCAAACACTACCCTTTTCTATACCTGCCTTCAGATACAGAGAGGGTATATCTTTCTATATACCCTTTAGAAAGATTTAGATTTAGAAAGACTTAGATTTAGAAAGGGTATATATCAGCCTCTTTCCTTCTCAGCAAAGAGGCTGATAAATAAATCCATAATAAGATACCAATGATTAAAATAACATAATTTGTTTCCCTTCCTAGAGGTTGTTGCCTTTCTATAGGCAAGGTAACAATGATGAATTTAGAACTGTCAGGGAAATATTACGGAACAAGAACAGGGCTGATAGACTCTTACCCTGTCAATCTTCATTATTCACAGATTTCATATTTATGAATTTGCCTCCTTGCTCAAATGTATTGGTAACTGCAAAACCAATATTTGGCAGGGATTTTTTCATCATTCATGGACATGCATTGTGGCAAAAAAAGTGAGTTGCCCAATGGGAATGTTCCCAGATGAGGTTGAACAAGGCAACACTTTGCCTTCTTGTTTCAGCTCCTATTCTAACAAGTGTCCTTTTCTAGGTCTACATAGTGTCACATTTTTCCCATATTTGTGCTTCTTGTTAGTTTCACTGTATAAAATGGCCCACACTACAGTGTATGGCTGCAACGCTGTCTGGCCTTTTAGAGGACATACAAAGTATGTGTGTTAGAGAAGCTTAGGTCAAGCATGAGTTATAGTGCTACTGGCCATGAGTTCAACATTAATGAATCAACAATATATATTAAATAAGGTGGGCCGGGCGCAGTAGCTCACTCCTGTAATCCCAGCACTTTGGAAGGCCGAGGGGGGCAGATCACCTGAAGTCAGGAGTTCATGACCAGCCTGGCCAAAATGTATTTTTAGTCTCTACTAAAAATAAAAAAATTAGACGGGCGTGGTGGCGGGCGCCTATAATCCCAGCTACTCAGGAGGCTGATGCAGGAGAATCTCTTGAACCCAGGAGGTGGAGGTTGCCATTGATTGTGCCATTGCACTCCAGCATGGGGTGCAAGAGCGAAACTCTGTTTCAAAAAAAAAATAAATAATGTGTCTGTAAACAGAAACACACACAAAACAAGGTTACGTATTGATCCATTGATGAAAATGTTGTGACCAGAGGCTTGAAGAACCTAACCCTGTATTTCCCCAGAAGTAATAGTTCCCTACTTTCTAATTCAGCATTCGCAGAGACTCTACAGAACCTAACTACCTGAATAACAAGAACAGACTGTGCTCGGTCTCCACAGAGCGACTTGCTCAGCCTAACGCCATTCCTAAGAAATGCTCACAGGGGCCCCTTGCATGACTGCTGCAAAGAATTACGATGAAAATACTTGGAAACATTTTTCAAAATCTTTACTTCTTAACCTTTTTACAGGCATGGTCCAAAATCGTCACTGACAAGCCATGAATGGGATGGCCCGTTTAGGATTGGATGTGCTGTTCCGGAAACTGAGATAAAAGCAGCTCTGTAGTAATTCTGTCTGAACTGCTTTTTCTGTCCGAAATGATTTTTATGTCCTCTTCAACAGATTCCGGATGTGAATGCAACACTCTTAAAAGAGGCACCTAAGTAAGGAATAATTTCACTAAAACGTTTCCACATAGACCTCCCAGGTGGAATCCTCAGCAGGAGGTTTGGCTCAGGGCAGAAATGCGTTGATGGAGGTTTCCAGAGGGCGCTGTTCATCCTACTCTGGCAAATTGGAGGGGGTTTATTGATTTATTTATTTATTTTGAGATAGAGTCTCGCTCTGTCGCCCAGGCTGGAGTGCATTGGCGCGATCTGGGCTCACTGCAACCTCCGCCTCCCAGGTTCAAGCGATTCTCCTGCCTCAGCCTCCCGAGTTGCTGGGATTACGGGCACTCCCCACCATGCCTGGCTAATTTTTGTATTTTTAGTAGAGACGGGGTTTCGCCATGTTGCTCAGGCTGGTCTTGAACTCCTGACCTCAAGTGATCCACCAGCCTCGGCCTCCCAAAGTGCTGGGATTATAGGTGTGAGCCACCATGCCTGGCCAAGAGAGTTTAATTTGGTCACCAACAGAGGGAAATCTTTCTTTGGCATTTAGTACGAACTGTTTCTGTCCCTTGAAAAACTATTCTGACTGGAATTGCAACCTGACAATGGCCTGGCAAGAATCAATCCAATGACACCAGGACACAACTGCCCCTATAGAAGCCTGGTAAAGCTTCATTATCCTTAGAAGACACAGCCTACAACAGGAATCCTGTGTTTATTTTTAAGCAGTAGTACCAGATAGGTCACTTCTCAAAATTGTTAGTGCAAATGTCAGCTAAAAGTTTTGTTTTTCTGGAAGGAAAGCATTTCAAGGTGACACAGAGTCCCTTTCTCCTGTATTTTTCTTTTCAGCTAAGTGTTGCGAATTTCTTTTCTTTGCATTTAAATTCATGAGATAAAAAGAAGGCTCCCTCCCCATCATTCACTGCTCCCTAGACTCGTAAATGCCACATATTCTGAACACCACATCTCGGACACAAATTTCTCACAGAAAAGAGCTGAAAGGCCTCTCAGTGAGGCCTCCGCCAGCTGAGGGGCCCTCTCAGCCCGGCCTCCCTCAGGGCCTTCCCAGCGCCTCTGCAGCTCCAAGCACAGCGGTTTGTGTGGCTGAGCCTAGGGAGGAATTTGTAGCTGGGGACTGGGGTCACGGGCCTTCCGGTTTTCTACTTAGTGACACGCTTTCTCACACAGGGGTCAAGAGTTAGGGCCTCACCAGTGCATCCTTCAAGATGAGCTGCTAGAAATGTTTTCTTAATAAGAGTCCTTTTCTTTCCCTTGAGACAGGAGGGTTTGAACCCTAGGCCTTTCAATCCCTCGACAGAAGCTATAAACCACAAATGTGCTTCATGTTGAAAGGACATGCAAGTGACCAGCACTCTCTTCTGCTTTCTGCCCCTACACCCCCCGCCTGTCATATGTGCCGACAACACTCTCTTCTCTTCCTCAGCCGACTGCTCGGGCAGTCTGCCCATTCTGGTGGGGAAAGAAGAGGGGGAAAGCTTCCTCTGCCCCCAGGGGGCCATCAGGACCACATCAGCTCTGGCGGGTGGTCTCTAGCAGGCCTTTTCTCAGCCCCTGCCCCTGGCACCAGACATGTGCACCATTCTCCGCTTGCTTGTGGATGACCTGCCTGTTTAACACATCTTCTAAGAGTTCTGTCTGAGAAGTCACATTTGCCCCGTTGCTGTGAGGCAGAAAAACCCAGCCGCTGCTCTACGGGGAGAACAGGAGAACCAGCCCAGCTCTGGAGGGACGGCTGAACCGGAGCACACCCACACTTGTGCTTGCCCCTAAAGCCAGCCGATGGAGATGAATTTGGAATGTTGGAACATATCACAGTGCAGATTTTCTTCTTCTTCTTTTTAAAAAATTTTTTTGCAAATATTTTTAGCAAGTGTTAAAATGTGTGTGTGTGTGTGTGTGTGTGTGTGTGTGTATTGGGATTTTCTTTTTTTTTTTAATTAATTTATTTTTTTGAGACAGAGTCTCACTCTGTCTCCCAGGCTGGAGTCCAGTGGCACAGTGGTGTGATCTTAGCTCACTGCAACTTCTACCTCTTGGGTTCAAGCAATTCTCCTGCCTTAGCCTCCAGAGTAGCTGGGATTACAGGCACATGTCACCACACTCGGCTAATTTTTATCTTTTTAGTAGAGACAGGGTTTCACCATGTTGGCCAGGCCAGTCTCGAACTCCTGGCCTCAAGTGATCCGCCTGCCTCAGCCTCCCAAAGTGCTGGGATTACAGGCATGAGCCACTGCACCTAGCTGGGATATTCTTTATTTAAAAAAAAAAAAAAAAAAGCCTGAAGAAAATGCAGGAGGGTAGAGACAAGAAGAGGCCAGGTACTCAGCTAAGCAAGTGAGGGCAATTCTTGACCTCCAATGCTCAGTCCCCCTGCTGTCTTGATTGGCACAGGATGTGAAGGGATGATGAGAGGATGGCTAAGAGCAGTGAGGGCCTGAGCAGGAGCCACGAGCTCTGTGTTGCTGGATCTGAAGTCCCGAGCCTGGGCCTTCACCCCATACCCCGCCCCTGCACTGACTCTACCCCAATCTGCCTCTCACTCTCCCAGCTCTTTGCACCTTGTACTTCCCAGTACAAGCTGAAAGAGCCTCTGATGGCTGTCCCGGATGTCACAGGGACACACAGGTGTGGCTGGATCAGGGAGGACAGAGCGGCAGTCTCTGTGGTAGCATCTCAGGCATGAGGAAGGTTCCCAGTTCTCTCCTGGGTCCTGCTCAGGTTCCTGCCACCTGAAATTCTCTCCTCACAACTTCTGTCTTGTGACTTAAGCTTATAAGAATTTGTCTTCTCGAAAAATGCAAATGTTCTCAGGATGGGATAGCACTTTAAAAATTATGACTACGGAGATCTTATCATCCAAACACCAAATCAGAATATTTTACAAAGCACATTTCTTATCTTTTTTCACTGGATGAATTTTATTTTCTAGATTTTTTCCTATATCAAAGCAAGTCATAAATGTTATTTAAAAATTTAAACAAACATAAAAGGAAATCTACTCCTAGCTACACATCATTTCCCTGGCATCTACTTCACGAGAAGTATAACCATGGTTAACAATGTGTGGTTGTCCTTCTAGATGTTTCTCTGTGTGTGCATGTGTGTGAGTGTGTGTGTTGTTGTTGTTTTTAACAAAAATGTTATTCCACATTACATACTGCTGTGGTATTTGGGTTTTTTTTCCCCCATTGGATACACTAGAAACATCTTTCCAGGAAGAACTTTTTTTCAGTCTATAAATATTGCTTGAAAAATCTTCAAAAGTTACATTTCATTACTATACTTTTAGAAGATCACAGGTTTTTATTGTTTGTTTTTGTTATCATTCTTGGCCTTTATTAAACAGAGTAAAATTATAAGAAGTCAGGGATTGTCTAGGGCAGTGTTGCCCATTCAGGCTTTGTGTGATGCTGGAGATGTTCTTTACCTGTGCTGTCCAATACAGTAGCTGGCAGCCACTTGTGGTTGCTGGATACTTGAAATGTGATCAGTGTGACTGAGCAACTGACTGTACAATTTGCTTAATTTTAATTAATTTAGATGTGACTTTCAATAGCTGCATGTGACTCGTGACTACTGTATTGGATAGCATTTTTTTTTGGACAAATCGATCATCCACTCCCAAAGGACTTATAGAAAGAAACTTTGAATCCAAATGTCCTGGATTTGAACCCTAATTCCTTCTACTTGCCAGCTGTGTGACTTTGGATAACAATAGAAACACTTTATTGGGTTGTTATAAGGATTCAATGAGTTAATACTTGCAAAGCAATTGAACCAGTGCTTGAACATGCCATTAGAGCTCAACAAATATTAGGTATAGAATTCTTTCCTGAGAACAGGAACAGAGAGGAAAGAAAACTTTGGGTGGGGAAGGGGAGAAGGATGGAGAAAGGAAGTAGTGAGTGAATAAAAGGGTGCTTTATTCCCACAGTAAGGGTAGGGCAGAGTGCTACCAAACCACAATAGCCTCTCAATATTGCATAGAGCTTACCTTGACTGCAGTCTTAAAAAGATGAGGGAGGCAAAAGTATTGCCTGGAAAGTCGATTTTTTCAACCCTTTATAAAATTCCTCTTTTCTCTTCAGCTCTTTATTAAATTATGATAGGGTTGTGAGCAGCTCTGCAGGGCACCTCCCCTGCAGACCTGCCTGAACCCTGCCCAGGGCCAGGCCAGACAAAGCTCTGCTCAGGACAGCCACTGATTCACTCTCTAAGCCCAGGTGGCTGCACAGGCCTCCCAGAGCCTGTGGCAAACAGCAGGCACAGTGTCTCCAGCCCCCAGGGCAGTCCTTGTCCTGCATCTGTTTTTAAGGCTAATCCCAGCAAAGGGTGAGAAAGAAGAATCTAACTTTGTCACAGAAGCAGGATCCTCCTTCCCAAGGAAAAGTGGAGTCTGTATAGTTAGACTAAGTTGATGAAGTGAAGCAAGTATTTTTCTCGTGGGCTGTTTAAGAGGAGTTTACTGATTCAGACTGCAGGCCCCTCCTGCTACACACACACACCACCCCCGTGTCTAGGCTGTCTGGAATGTGTTTCTCTGGTTATCACCACCTCCTGAGACACTACTCTGAGCAGCAAAATCAATTGACTTATTTGTCTCTCTAACCCCTGCCCACTGAGTGATTCATGAATGATTTTTGAATGAGTCCTTAAAAATCCATTTCTATCACGTATGTTCTCTGAACACTAAGCATCTTTAACATTAGGAACAGGATTTAAAGCAGGGGGTATCTATTGTGTTATCAGTCTTGAGTTAGCACAGATTGTAAAATGCACCCCTTTCTTAGGGAAAGGCATCAACACTAAACCGGTCATTGGGATGCCTGGGTTCAAGCCAAGATTGCCCTCCGGCATGAATCTCAACTTCCTTTTTTTGGTAAAATGTGGCAGAGACACAGGTGACCTTCAAGATCCCTCAAACTTACACACATTGTACACTGCCCCAAGCTCTCAGGGTTGAGAAGATCCTCCCCACCTGGCGCCATTTTCCCAGCCAGGCAGCCCTTTTTCAAGACTTGCCGGATATTGTTGCTCTTACTGCAGCTTCTGAAAAAAGGGCCAGTTATTCCAGTGGCACAACAGAAAGGTCCACAACGGTTGTCTTCTATGGGAGCCAAACCCATCCCTCCAGGCCCTAGCTACAGTTCCGAT
This sequence comes from Homo sapiens, assembly GCF_000001405.40. Classification (NCBI taxonomy): domain Eukaryota; kingdom Metazoa; phylum Chordata; class Mammalia; order Primates; family Hominidae; genus Homo; species Homo sapiens. The sequence goes on from NC_000004.12 coordinate 53,963,637, forward strand.
CACCTCAGTTGCTTTTGAGGGGGGATTTTCATTTACAAACCCTATTCAGAGGCTTTTTGGATGCCTTCTGTCCTGGTGCAATGAAGCAGGCTGCCTTTTTTTCCACCAAATGTCCCAAAGGGAAATGACATTCACCAAGAATTTGGACAAACTTTTTGAGAAGAAGAAACAGTGTGAAAATTGCACAGATCCTTGTTACTTAAAGCATTTGAGAAGAAAACTGCAGGAAGTAGTAGATTCGGGACATAAAGGACATCATTTGCCTGCCTTATTATCTCATTTTTCAGTGAAGCTGACAGGACAGCTGCCTGTTATTACAGGGCACACCAGGAAATGTTTAGCTGCCAAACAGAAAAGAACGAGTGAGGGATTAACAGCCCTGTTCATGCCACACAAATAGAATTCTTGCACCTGGTAGTCACGCAGTTAGATTTATTATTTCATAGGGTATGTTACTTAAATCCCATTTACAAAGAAACAAAAACAACCCAAAAAGGCACCTTAATGATACTGTAATTATGAGAAGTATTAGTAACCATTTTGCAGTTTTTAGTCTAGATTAAATTAATTGGTGGTGGTTTTCATTTAATCACACTAATCTTTTATTTGGTTTCTATAATGTCGCAAACTTACTATTCTATGTTGCAAATCTAAAGCGTTCTTAAAAATGAAAGATCGATAACAGTTTAATCCTCCACAAGGCTGCTCTCATTAATGATGTTGTGTAACAATAGAGAGCTCTTTGCAAGGTGGCAGATCACCTACAGAAGTGAGATTTCAAAAAAGGAAATAATTTCCATCTCAGCTTCATTTCTAATATTAGGAGGTAGAGGGGACAGTTGGGGGCAGCCAACTCCTTGAGCTGCTATCAGAGATCAGAGAGGCTGCAGGGGGGATGGCAGGGCTCCTAAATGGCTTTTTTGTTCCCACCCAGAGTGAATTCACTTCCCTCGTGCCAAACTCCAGTAAGGAACCTGACGAGAGAAAAAGTTTAAGATCCTGTGAAAACCACCCTTTACTATCACTGATCATGTACTTTATCAGATGATTCTTTGAATTAATTAAAAACAAAACTCCTCTTGGAGCCTTGCTGCTTAAATCCTTAAAGCATTAGGGTAGAAGCTTGAGACTGTTAACTCTTCATTTTCCTGTAGCATCTGTTATGGACTGATTGTGTGTATCCATAAGATTCATAGGTTGAAATCTTAACTCCCAATGCTATGGTATTAGGAGGTGGGGACTTTGGAGGTGATTAGGTTAGAGCCCTCTTGAATAGGATTAGTGCTCTTAAAAGAAGAGACACACGAGGGTTCTCTCTCTCTCTTTTCCTTTCTCTCTCATTCTCTCCTCTCCACTATGTGAGGATACAAAGAGAAATAGCCATCTGCAAACCATGAAGGAGGCCCTCACCAGACCCCGGATCAGTCTGTCCCTTGATCTTGGACCTCTTGAGGCTGGGAAGGATCCAGATTCAGATCCTTCCAAGCATCCAAAACTGTAGAGTGAGAAACAAGTGTTTGCTGTTTCAGCCAGCCAGTCTGTGGTAATTTGTCATAGCAGCTCAAACTAAGACAACATCTACTAAGGCCTCTCTGTACCAACCCTAGATATTAAAAAATGAGTCCAAGTCTGACCCTGTAGGGGCTCCTCACAGTCGGAGATCACCAACTCTTCTTGGAGATGTCAGGAATGTCTTAGTTTTCAAGGGCAGTATTAGTTTTTCAGGTGGGCAGGAGTCAAGGACATCCCAGCCAGAAAGAACCACAAAAAGGGCACGCAAAAGGCTTGAGAGGGGAACTGTTAAGTAGTCGGGTGTGACTAGAACTTGGGTGGCTATGGGTGAATGAAGGGAGGGGAGGCTGAGCCAGCACCCAGGGCCTTAAATGTCCTTTTAAGGGGTGTGGTCTTTGCCCCCAATGTGATGGAGCATCATAAGCAGCAGAGTAATATAGCTTCGTGATGACTGGGAAATTTACTCCTACGGCACAGGGGAAGATGAATTTGAAGGAAAAGATGCAGACGATGGGAAGATATAGGAGACTCAGGATAGTCCAAGTAGGAGATGCTCAGGTGGGTTAGCAGTAAGAGTGGAGAAGAAAGAACAGTTCCCAGAGAGCTTTGAGACATAGCTTTAACAAGACGCCAAAGGGATATAGAGAAGAGGTTCTAGATTTTTCTCCTTGGACATATGGGTGAAGAATGGCACCACTAATATAGATGAGGAACTCAGTAGAAATTTAGATTAAGGAATGAGGGAAGAGTGGATCTGCTCCATTTGAGCATGATAAGTTTGAGGAACTGTGGCCTGTGTAGGTGGAGATGTCTGGTCCGGTAGCTCAGAAAACAGTATGAGCATTCAGGCACCAGAGACCTGGTGCATAAAGGGAGTTCAGGAAGCACAGATTTGGGAGTCCTTGTTAGAGCTCTCTTGTACTTATCTGAACAGAGATAGTGGTTGAGTCCACCAGATTCAGTAAATTCACTCGAGGACTGAGTGTGCACTGAGACTAAACACAGGCTGAATACCAAGGTTAGAGACACCACTCTAAACTTGTACATAGAAAGAGCCAGCGAAGGACAGCAAGCTGGAGGCCAGAAGCTGAGGAGAATCAGGTTTTCATGAAAAAGAATGTGAGCAGCCACGTCACCTGCCAGCCAGGCCGTGTCCGTGACCATGGGAGTTGGCAATGAGGAGGTCATCGATCATCCTGGCAAGCGGTTCTCTCTCTTGAGGTGCACGAGGTGGGAGGTGGGGTGCCCGGTAGGGTACAGTAAGGGCACTGAGTAAAAGAGCTGAATTTCATTGGGATGAGGAGAGAATAGAGGATAAGAGCATGGAGACCACAAACAGAGACTTGCTTTTGAAGACTGTGATAGAAAAAAACAAATATCCACAAGGAGATACAAAATTATGGAAGGAATTTTTTTTTTTTAGATGGAGAAAACCTGAACATGTGTATGAACTACTGGGAGAGAACCAGGAGACAGAGAGAGATCAGAGATGGAGGAAAAGACAAATCAGTGTGTAGGTGTGGCAGCTGGCCTTATACTCCTGCTGTAAAACCTGTCTGTGGGGTCAGAAGTGGCGGTGCTGGGAAGAGAGTGGCTGAAGCGCTGGGTGACTGTGTCAGGCTGGCTTTGCACATGCTGATGCTCTTCTCCCTGTCACAAGGGCTCCCCTTCATCCTCTGCCCCTATCACCTCCAAACCAGATTCTGCATACTCCAAGGCCCCTTACGTGCCCTTTTCTCTGAAGACCCCCTCATTCCTCCAACTGTAAGTGATATTTCCCTTATCAGAACCTGGACACTTCATCTGTTTTCTTCCTCATGGGCCAACATGCTCTATCTTGTATTATTATTATTTGAAATCAGGGCATAACCCCATTATTAGATGTTTAGCTCTTTGCGGGAAGGAACCTTGTCCTAAATAATTTCATGCCTCCCATATCCACCCACATAACCCAGAACAGTGTGTTACACATGCTAAGTATTCAATAACATTCTCTAAAAAGACAAATGCATAACTTGAAGCTAATTTTAATTTCCTACTGGCTGCAACCACTTCTGGGCCACTTCTTGCCATCATCAATTTCTATTTTCTAAAAATGTAAATGATTTTCATTTTAGCTTGGATGAAATTTATTGGAAAGATAAATCTACTGTAATCAAAGTCAGATATACAAATATTTAAATTATCTCTGCCACCCAAGGTAAGTTATATAATATCATGGGGTATTTTTTTATCAGTAAAGTAGAATAATAATACTATCTATTGTATGAGGTTGTTTCCATCATTAAATGAAATAATGTATATACAGTGCTTAGCACAAGACCTGGGATATAGTAAATGCTTAAAAACAATAGACATTAATAATAATAGTTATTTGCCAGTTAGATAATTTCTAAGACCTATTCCAATTATGTTTGTAATTCTCTCTCCATTAGTGCAGACAATTAAGAATAGATTTTAAACATAAAATATGCACATATTTAATAATACACCATAGTCATGATGGTATGGTTAATCCTACATTTAATGTTTGTGTTTTGTTTGTTTGTTTGTTTGTTTTGAGATAGGGTTTTGCTCTGTCACCCAGAGGTGGAGTGCAGTGGCACAATCACAGCTCCCTGCAGCCTCAAACTCCCGGGCTCAAGCAATTCTCCCACCTCAGCCTCTTGGGTAGCTGGGACCACACACACATTCCACCATACCCAGCTAATTTTTGCATTTTTTGTAGAGATGGGTTTTCTCCATGTTGCCCAGGCTGGTCTCTAACTCCTGGGCTCAAGTAATCCTCCCACCTTGGCCCCCAAAGTGTTGGGATGACAGGCAGGAGCCACTGCGCCTGGTCCCTACATTTAAAATTTAAAGTAGGGGAAAGAAAAACCAACTCAGAACTTGAAGCAAACTGAGAACATAGCACTTCCATGTTCTTCTCTGTAAACCTTCCTGTGTGATCAGTGGCTATGACAGCTCATTCATTTGTTCATTCCACAAATATGTTTTGAGTACTTATGACATGCAAGTTTCTCTGGAAGAAGCCACAGGGGAAAACAAGGATGAACACAACCCAGGCTTTGCTCTGAAGCATTCTGAGGTGGGAGGAAGATAAATAAGCACACACAAAGCCCAGTATTTTGCGATATGACAAGATACTGAAGAAGACAAACTGCAGGAAGGAAAGTCATCAGAAAGAAGGGGAGGGGACCACAACATAACCTTGCACCAGGCACATTGATTTAGAAGCAAAAGCCTTAAGATCTTGCCTTTCAGAAGAAGCATGCTCTTTGTATGAGCCTCCTTCTCTCTTTTTTTAAATTTATTTATTATACTTTAAGTTCTAGGGTACATGGGCACAACGTGCAGGTTTGTTACGTATATATACATGTGCCATATTTGTGTGCTGCATCCATTAACTCGTCATTTACATTAGGTATATCTCCTAATGCTGTCCCACCCCACTCCCCCAACCCCACAACAGGCCCCGGTGTGTGATATTCCCCTTCCTGTGTCCAAGTGTTCTCATTGTTCAATTCCTACCCATGAGTGAGAACATGCAGTGTTCGGTTTTTGTCCTTGTGATAGTTTGCTGAGAATAATGGTTTCCAGTTTCATCCATGTCCCTACAAAAGACATGAACTCATCCTTTTTTATGGCTGCATAGTATTCCATGGTGTATATGTGCCACATTTTCTTAATCCAGTCTATCATTGATGGACATTTGGGTTGGTTCCAAATCTTTGCTATTGTGAATAGTGCTGCAATAAACATACGTGTGCATGTGTCTTTACAGCAGCATTATTTATAATCCTTTGGGTATACACCCAGTAATGGGATGGCTGGGTCAAATGGTATTTCTAGTTCTAGATCCCTGAGGAATCGCCACACTGTCTTCCACAATGCTTGAACTAGTTTGCAGTCCCACCAACAGTGTAGAAGTGTTCCCATTTCTCCACATCCTCTCCAGCACCTGTTGTTTCCTGACTTTTTAATGATCACCATTCTAACTGGTGTGAGATGGTATCTCATTGTGGTTTTGATTTGCATTTCTCTGATGGCCAGTGATGATGAGCATTTTTTCATGTGTCTGTTGGCTGCATAAATGTCTTCTTTTGAGAAGTGTCTATTCATATCCTTTGCCCAATTTTTGATGGGGTTGTTTTTTTCTTGTAAATGTGTTTGAGTTCTTTGTAGATTCTGGAATTAGCCCTTTGTCAGATGAGTAGATTGCAAAAATTTTCTCCCATTCTGTAGGTTGCCTGTTCACTCTGATCATAGTTTCTTTTGCTGTGCAAAAGCTCTTTAGTTTAATTAGATCCCATTTGTCAATTTTGGCTTCTGTTGCCATTGATTTTGGTGTTTCAGACATGAAGTCCTTGCCCATGCCTATGTCCTGAATGGTATTGCCTAGGTTTTCTTCTAGGGTTTTTATGGTTTTAGCTCTAACATGTAAGTCTTTAATCCATCTTGAATTAATTTTTGTATAAGGTGTTAAGGAAGGGATCCAGTTTCAGCTTTGTACATATGGCTAGCCAGTTTTCCCAGCACCATTTATTAAATAGGGAATCATTTCCCCATTTCTTGTTTTTGTCAGGTTTGTCAAAGATCAGGTAGTTGTAGATGTGTGGTATTATTTCTGAGGGCTCTGTTCTGTTCCATTGGTCTATATCTCTGTTTTGGTACCAGTACCATGCTGTTTTGGTTACTGTAGCCTTGTAGTATAGTATGAAGTCAGGTAGCGTGATGCCTCCAACTTTGTTCTTTTGGCTTAGGATTGACTTGGCGATGCGGGCTCTTTTTTGGTTCCATATGAGCTTTAAAGTAGTTTTTTCCAATTCTGTGAAGAAAGTCATTGGTAGCTTGATGGGGATGGCATTGAATCTATAAATTACCTTGGGCAGTATGGCCATTTTCACAATACTGATTCTTGCTATCCATGAGCATGGAATGTTCTTCCATTTGTTTGTGTCCTCTTTTATTTCGTTGAGCAGTGGTTTGTATTTCCCCTTAAGAGGTCCTTCACATCCCTTGTAAGTTGTATTCCTAGGTCTTTTATTCTCTTTGAAGCAATTGTGAATGGGAGTTCACTCATGATTTGGCTCTCTGTTTGTCTGTTATTGGTGTATAAGAATGCTTGTGATTTTTGCACCTTGATTTTGTATCCTGAGACTTTGCTGAATTTGTTTATCATCTTAAGGAGATTTTGGGTGGAGATGATGGGGTTTTCTAGATATACAATCATGTCATCTGCAAACAGGGACAATTTGGCTTCCTCTTTTCCCAATTGAATACCCTTTATTTCCTTCTCCTGCCTCATTGCCCTGGCCAGAACTTCCAACACTATGTTGAACAGGAGTGGTGAGAGAGGGCATCCCTGTCTTGTGCCAGTTTTCAAAGGGAATGCTTCCAGTTTTTGCCCATTCAGTAGCTGGTTTTTTGAAAAGATCAACAAAATTGATAGATCGCTAGCAGGACTAATAAAGAAGAAAAGAGAGAAGAATCAAATAGATGCAATAAAAAATGATAAAGGGGGGGGGGAGAGATAGCATTGGGAGATATACCTAATGCTAGATGACGAGTTAGTGGGTGCAGCACACCAGCATGGCACATGTATACATATGTAACTAACCTGCACATTGTGCACATGTACCCTAAAACTTAAAGTATAATAATAAAAAAAAATGATAAAGGGGATATCACCACCGATCCCACAGAAATACAAACTACCATCAGAGAATACTATAAACACCTCTATGCAAATAAACTAGAAAATCTAGAAGAAATGGATAAATTCCTGGACACATACACCCTCCCAAGACTAAACCAGGAAGAAGTTGAATCTCTGAATAGACCAATAACAGGCTCTGAAATTGAGGCAATAATTAATAGCTTACCAACCAAAAGAGTCCAGGACCAGACGGATTCACAGCCGAATTCTACCAGAGGTACAAGGAGGAGCTGTTACCATTCCTTCTGAAATTATTCCAATCAATAGAAAAACAAGGAATCCTCCCTAACTCATTTTATGAGGCCAGCATCATCCTGATACCAAAGGCTGGCAGAGATACAACAAAAAAAGAGAATTTTAGACCAATATCCCTGATGAACATCAATGCAAAAATCCTCAGTAAAAGACTGGCAAACTGAATCCAGCAGCACATCAAAAAGCTTATCCACCATGATCAAGTGGGCTTCATCCCTGGGATGCAAGGCTGGTTCAACATACACAAATCAATAAACGTAATCCAGCATATAAACAGAACCAAAGACAAAAACCACATGATTATCTCAAAGATGCAGAAAAGGCCTTTGACAAAATTCAACAACCCTTCATGCTAAAAACTCTCAATAAATTAGGTATTGATGGGACATATCTCAAAATAATAAGAGCTGTTTATGACAAACCCACAACCTCCTTCTCTCCTTAGCTCAAATTCTTCACAAAGGTGAGGAAAGAGGCCGACTTGTCAGCATTAAGTACCCAGTGGGGCATCAGTAGACTAGTTCCACAGGGACTTCTATTATTAAGCCAGCTGGATTATCCTGCTCTCAGGGGCAAAGCAATTTCTATAGGAAGGGTTGGTGGTGAATCTTTTTTTCTCCTTTTAGGACCCCAGAAGAGCTAAGAGAAGCAAAATCCTCCGTCTGAAAGAGAGGTAGTTTTTGGCAGCCTATGGAAGCCTGAGTCTTCCTTCTATTCAGGTGTCTGGCTGGCTCCCCATCATCAGGAAAGAAGCCTCATGCTTCAAAGAAAATAAATCCTCAGAAAACTGAGCATCTTTTTAAAAATAGAATTTCCAGACCATTTGCAATTTGTAATATAGACTTGGGCTCTTTTGGAGAGGGGAAAGTGAACAAATTGTTGGGACTCTAATTGATACATGGATCGGCAGACATCCTGGAGGAACTTCAGCCTGTTGGTTTATCAGGTGGCTTGTCCCTTCTGCCTGTGATGGGTTTCTGGGAGGTAAGCAGGTGGTGGTAGTGACTGCGAGGCCACTTGTGGAGACTGTTGGCCAGTTATTTACAGATCATATGCAGGAGTATTTCAGGAATAACCTGAAGATTATGCCTTTGAAAATGTTAGCACAAGAGGTGTGTCCCACACTTAAAAAAATGTTCTTTGCTTTAAAATCTCTCTAAACTTGCTAGATACTGATAACAATTTGAATTGTTTATGTCAATATCAATTTTTGGTGGCCTTAATGGAAACTTCAGGGCATAATGAAGACTATTTGCAGATACATTGGGTTTTTTAATTAATATAAAATTAATTAAAGGAACACATTTTAATTCTAAAACCTAGTTTTCTTAAACCTTGAAGTTCAACATAGAAACCTTATTACTCCATTTATAAATTGAGTAGAGTTTAACCATCAGTTTCAAGGAAATTAAAGCTCTGTCAACTAAAGCTGCAGGAACTAACTTTCCCAAACACTTTCATTTACATATTGAGTTAATTAAATCCTGTTAAAAATTTCAAACTGCATTTACATACTTAATATACAGACCTTTTTTAGCACTTCAAATGCTTCTATCAAACAAAATGTTCTCAAATATATGACTCTAGCAAAATGTAACTATAGTAATGGTTTAGAGCCTTAGTAAAAAGGTTTTTAAAGGCCTCCTTATGCCTTTCAATTAAAAATTACAAATTAGACTCTTTAAATTGGGATAATTCCCTAAAAGGTGAAAACCTCCCTTACTAATATTTGAAATACCAAACAAATACATATTATCCTCAAAATCATAAAAATCTCTTCCTGACTTTACACAAAAATGCTAACCCTATAGATTTGATTTACTTCTCTACCGCTCTACTTTAAACCTTAACAAAATTAAAAGACAGATTAAGAAAATAGCTACACCACCCCAAACAAAAGGAAGTCACTACTTTAGTGGAACAAGCATTCATATTGGCCAGAGGTTTTTAGCTGAGGCATAAGATTTGATTCTCTCCATGGTAATGACCTGCAACACAGTGAACTCTTTTTATAGTTGCCATAGCAAAAGTGACTCCAAGTCCATGCCCTTTAGACATCACTGGTTTTACCTGGTTTCAAGATACAACCTTACCAGTCTATCGGCAACCCAGACCCTGCACCAGTTTGCTTACCACTTTATTCGCTAGGATAAAGAATATTTATGCTTGATTCCATCCTGAATGTTTTTCTTATTCTTGCATTCTGACTCACAAATATCTAAATGATACCCTATAAAATTCTGCATATCTCTCATCATTGCTGTAACTGATGGCCTCAAACCAAGCTGGTCCCCTTCACATGACCCAGCCAGTCTCACAACATGAGAGACGGTTGACACATGTTCTCTTCCTTTTCCCATTAGGTCCATCTCACACGTAAGTCTCTTTGATTGTTCCCAAAGGGATTGACCCAAGTTCAGACACAATAGATCAAGTGAGGTGTGGAAAGGGGCTCTCCTTTAAAGACTGCCTCTCAAACTGTAATGTACATATGTACCACTGAGATTTCATTCAAGTGCAGAATCTGATGCAGTAGGTCTGACCTGGGGCCCAAGACTCTTCCTTATGAACAATCCTGTGGCAACCCTGATCTGTTGGTCCTCAGACCACACATTGAATAGCAAGACTGCATAGTTGATGGTACGTGAACTGTAGGGTCAACTTGGCACCTCGATTCTATGAATTATGCAAGCAAACATCTTGTTTCCCTTCACTAAAGTCCTTCTGTCTCTTTTGTCAATCATTGGTCCTCAGCTTATATTTTTAATTTAAAAAAATTATTGGTGTAAAATTCACATAACATGAAATTAACCGTTTTATTTATTTATTTTGTAATTTCACCTTTTAGATACAGGGGGTGTAAGTGCAGTTTATTAAATGGGTACATTGCATGATGTTGTGGTTTGCGGTACAGATCCCATCACCCAGGTACTAAGTGTAGTACCCAATAGGTAGTTTTCAAACACACACTCCCCTCCCTCCCTTCCCTCCAGTAGTCCACAGTGCCTATTGTTCCCATCTTTATGTCCATGAGTACCCAGTATTTAGCTCCCAGTTATAAGTGAGAACAGGAGGTATTTGGTTTTCTGTTCCTGAATTAATTTACTTGAGATTATGGCCTCCAGCTGCATCCATGTTCCTTCAGAGGACATTATTTTTCCTTCTTAAAGGCTGCATAGTATTCCCCGGTGTATATGTACCACATTTTCTTTATCTAGTCCACTTCTGATGGGCACCTAGGTTGATTCCATGTCTTTACTGTTGTGAATAGAGCTGTAATAACATACAAGTGCATGTGTCTTTTTGGTAGAATGATTTGTTTTCTTTGGGGTATATTCCCAGTAATGGGATTGCTGGGTTGAATTGTAGCTCTGTTTCAAGTTCTTTGTGAAATCTTCAAACTTCTTTCCACAGTGGTTGAATTAATTTACATTCCCACTAACAACGTATAAGTGTTCCCTTTTCTTCACAGCCTTACCAGCATCTGTTATTATCTGACTTTTTAATAATAGCTATTCTCTGCAGTGAGCCCAGATTGCGCCACTGCACTCCAGCCTGTGTGAGAGAGTAAGACCCTGACTCAGAAAAATAATAATAAAAATAGTAATAGCCATTCTGATGCTGTGAGATGGTATCTTATTGTGGTTTTGATTTCTCAGCTCATTTTTTCACAAGTATTCTCTCTCTCTCTGAGACACACACACACACACACACACACACACCAGGTCCTTTTCCTAATCCTTTTCAAACCTGCCAGTGAGAATCTAATGCTTTAGTCACTTGAAAAGTACTCTGTATGCAGATTTGAAAAGAAGGCTATATAGAGAGAACACTGGGATAGTGCTACAGTTTGGCTGTGTCCCCATTCAAACCTCATCTTAAATTGTGGTTCCCATAATCCCCATGTGTTGTGGGAGGGACCAGTGTGAGGTAATTGAATCATGGGGGCAGTTATCTCCATGCAGTTCTCGTGATAGCGAGTGAGTTCTCATGAGATCTGATGTTTTTATAAGGGGCTTTTCCCCACCCTCACTCGGCACTTCTCCTGCTGCCATCATGTGAAGAAGGTTATGTTTGTTTCCCCTTCCGCCATGATTGTAAGCTTCTTGAGGCCTCCCCAGCCCTGGGGAACTGTGAGTCAATTAAATTTATTTTCTTTATAAATTGCCAGTCTCAGACACATTTTTACTAGCAGCATGAGAACAGACTAATACATATAGTAAACACAAACTTCAGCTATGTGTTAATAATAATGACCATTTATTATGTGCTGATTACATGTTTGTCACTAGAAGTATTTATCTCATATAATCCTACGAAAAAGGTATCATTGTCACATGTTAAAGGAAGAGAAAACTGAGGTTCAGAAAGGTTAAGTAACTTGTTTCAGGTCAAAGCATTAGTACATGACAGAGTGGCAGATGTCCACACTTCTTTGAAGCTCATCCCACCAGGCTGGCCTTGTGAGTAGCTTTAACTGATAGAATGTAGCAGAAAAGACTTCCAAACTTTGACCTCAAGAAGGCTGGTAGCTTCTGCTCTTGCCTTTTGAACACTGCTATCTCATGAACAAAATTAGGCTCACCTCCTTGAGGAAGAGAGACTTTACAGAGATAGAGGCCCAGTTATCCCACTGTGGCAGCCAAACCAGACATATGAGGCAAGTGAAGCTATGTGGGACCAACCATCCTTCAGCCTATTTGCAAGCTAACTGTGGACATATGAGTGAGCCCAGGTGAGCCATCCTAGGCTGAGCCCTGCCTAAATTGCCTACACATTATGGAAAATAAAGAGTTATTGTTTTGACCCAGTAAGTTACAGGATGGTTTATTATGGAACAATATACAACTGAGCTAAGATTTGAATTATAAGGAAGTCTAGCTCTAAAACTCTTCTGAGCCCAAAGCCATGATCCATCATACACTAACTCGTGGTCCATAACTGATTTTGGTCCTGCTTGTTCCTTTCAGAGTTCTAGCTCTAGACCTGGTATAATCCATATGTCACTTCTGATTTTTCTGTGCCTCCAACACCTTCACCACCCTTGGGCTGACTATCTTACCTTTCTTATCTTTGGGCTCCAGTCCTCCTTCAAGATTGCCCTAGGTGTCCTTTTTTGAGCTGTCTGCCTGGTAATCTGTATGTGGGGGTTCATGTTCTGATCCTGCTTGGGGTCTCTAGGAGACTGTTTCTTAAATTGTACTGTGCTTACACATCTAACGATTTTGTTAAAATGCACATTCTGCTTTAGGTGGTCTGGGGTAGGACCTGAGATGCTTCATTTCAAATAGGCTCCCAAGGTGATACTGACGCTACTTGCCAAAGGATCACACTTTGAGTAGCAAGGCTGTAGGCTACTCTGCAAAGAAACTATTTCACTGCTTCCTCATTCACATAAATAATAGTCATAGCTGATGGGGATCATGGCTGGATTCTTCAGCCAAAGAGGGAGTCTCAGCTGTGCATTTATCAGTGACCTGCATACTTGCCAGTTTAACCCAGGGAACAATGTTAAATGGAGGAAAAGATAAAAGATAAAGATTCAATTTTCAAAGTATTCATTCAATAATACAACAAATATTTACCAAGCATCAATGCCAAACCACTATGTGGTAGCATCTAGGTAGGAAACCTCAGGACATCCTCTTCTGAGGGCTTGGATCACGTAAGAAAATACCATTTTATAATGGGATGTCCTTTCTCTAGTCACCTCACAGCCCCCTGAACTAATTAGCTGAACTCTTTGAGCTTCATATATAACGCTGACTGAAACAATTTGTTTGTAATGCAGCAGTTTGAGTTTGGGAACCAGTGTTACGTTTGCAATGTAACAGTATGGTTAGTGTTTAGTTATCTGTACATAGGTGAATGATCAATCTTGAAAAGTATATGCCTTGGCAGCCCAACCCCTTTCCTAAGAATCAGAGATACATTGGTGGGGCGCAGTGGCTCATGCCTGTAATCCCAGCATTTTGGGAGGCCAAGGCGGGCAGATTGCCTGAGGTCAGGAGTTCAAGACCAGCCTGGCTAACATGGTGAAACCCCGTCTCTACTAAAAATACAAAAATTAACCAGGTGTGGTGGAACACACCTGTAGTCCCAGCTACTTGGGAGGCTGAGGCAAGAGAATTGCTTGAAGCTGGGAGGCGGAGATTGCAGTGAGCTGAGATCGTGCCACTGCATTCCAGCCTGGGTGACAGAGCAAGATTCTGTCTCAAAAAAAAAAGGATCAGGGATACACATGATACTTGTAGGTAACTCTGTAAATAGGGCTAGATAGGTGACTTATTTGATCTGAATCCCTACATTCTTTGCTTCAGGAGTCCCCCCTCGAAAGAGAATGTCCTGGAGCTCTCCAGATAGATACCACCACATACTGTTTGGCATAGGTGTCTTGTGAATATTTATTGTATTATCGAATGAATGCCTTGAAAACAGAATCTTTATCTTTTATCCCTTTTCTCCTTTTACCTGGTAAGTCCTTCTAAGACAAGTGCTGTCTCAGCCCTGACTAGATGAAGGACTCAGTTTCCCTAGGGACCAATCAGCTACAAGAACCACTCCACCTTCCTCTACATCAACACACGTGCCTGTACCTGGAATGGTGAGAAACTGTCATTCTTTTTTTTTTTTTTTTTTGAGACAGAGTTTTGCTCTTGTTGCCCAGGCTGGAGTGCAATGGCGCGATCTCAGCTCAAAACCTCCACCACAAGGGTTCAAGTGATTCTCCTGCTTCAGTCTCCTGAGTAGCTGGAATTACAGGTGCCAACCATCACACCTGGCTAATTTTTGTATTTTCAGTAGAGACGAGGTTTCACCATGTTGCCCAGGCTGGTCTCAAACTCCTGACTGACCTTAGGTGATCTGCCTGCCTCGGCCTCCCAAAGTGCTGGGATTACAGGTGTGAGCCACCACACCCGGTCCGAGAAACTATCATTCTTAACTTCTCTCTCCTGCCAAGAATCTACCTTTTTCCTTTTCTTCTAGACCTCACAAGGAGAGGGATGAGAGCTTGCTTTGTTTTACCCAGTCCTGGGTTTGCAGTGCAAAGGCCTACTTCTGGAATGATAAACTTCATCTTTAATTAGTCTAACACAGATAGGATCCAGAGAAGCAATGTGGTGTGAGACAGACAGGGTCCCTCCCCTCGAGATGGCCCAGTGAGAGATGGAGACAAGCTGTTGGGCACTACAGGTATGGCTACTACAATGGGGGAACACAGTATTCCTCTGAGCATTTAGGAAGGCACCCACTCTTGTTTTGGGAATGGGATTGGGGTGGGAACAGGAAAGGCTTCCCTAAGAAGTTATCACCTAAGGTGGATATTAAAGAATAAATAACAGTTAGCCAGGCAAAAAGGAAGGAAAGGGTGGTAAGAGAACATCCTGAAAGAGAAAAGCCATTGTGTAAAATAATTTGAAGAACAAGTCATTAATTCAAGTGGCAATGGTAATTTGAGATATGCAAAACATCCTATTTCTTAGTATTTGAGATTTTGCTCCATCTTTTACAATTGTGCTTACTTTTAGAAAGTGAATTCCATAGTGGAAAGCTTCCCTGAGGAATATGTGATAATTGGACAAAGCTTTGCTGACATTTACCTTTGCTGCATCTACAAAGAAATAATTTGCTGAGATAACTAATAGAGCAACCAAAAGCAGATGTACCTAATCTACTTCAAGGACACTTTTTTTTCAGCATTTTGTAAGCACACTAAATGCAAATTATATTATGCATAAAATTAAAAATCAACCTCATCTAGTCATCAAAACAAGTTGTGGCTTAACATCTACCAGGAAACAGCCACTATAAAAATAAATTTGAATTTAATTACACAATGCAGCTTTTTAAAAGCCCTTTCCTTTTAACTTTGTATTAAGTTGTATTAAGTTAGCCTGACCTTCTTGTAATTTATCTCACCTCCAAGGTTTCACCAAATTTGATAGATGCTGAATTACCTGTGACTGACTTATGTTTTTTGTTAGCTTTGAATATGAAAAAGGAAGTTTCCAAATTCTTTTGTTAGTATCGGTTTAAACAGGACTATAATAATCAATCAAAATAAGCTCATTTATTAACACAATTTGAGTATCCCTTTTCCTAAATACATAGGATCAGAAGAGTTTTGGATTTGGGATTTTGGGGGATTTTGAAACATTTGCATATACATAATGAGATATGAGACCCAAGACTAAACACAAAGTGCACTTATGTTTTGTATATACCTTATTCACACAGCCTGAAGCTCATTTAATACACTATTTTAATAATGCGCATGAAACAAAGTTGTGTACACTGAATCGTCAGATGGCAAAGGTGTCATTATCTCAGCCACTCATGTGGACAATCTGTGGTTGTTTGACATCATCCTCATTCCTGACTTTGAATTTATATGCTACAAATTAACAATCATTTTCACTTATTCACACATAAGTACTTAACAGTAAAAAAACAACATCCCATTAATACAGTTAAAAAATAGTATGTTCAGGATAACTCAGCAGCACAGTAGCTTCACTAGAACACCTGCATCAGCTGCTAAACAACGGTAGCAACGAATAACAGCAGGCTTTCAGCCTCCACCTATGATGCTGTGTTGTGATTAAAAGGTTACTGTCCACTGTGTTTTATATTTTTAGGTGAGAAGAAACATCAGAAGAAGTCGAAGGACCAGGAAGTGGGTCTTCTAGGGACTAGGAGGCATTCTGCTGAATGGCTTTTAAAAATGTTTCCTCTAGACTCTTCTGCCTCATTAACAACGGTTGCTGTCTCAGAAGTCTCTTTGATTTTGTAAACTGTCATGATTTCTCGTTCTTGAATGAATGCACACTGCTCTAGTCCTTCAATAAGCCCATCACACATTTTCACCATGTTGTCTATAGGCACTTTTTCTGTAGTGTTAACAAAATCAAATTTATGACTATTATGACAATTACCTTGATTCAGAACCATTTTGGTTATTCTACCATCAGGTGGTGAATGAACAACTGGAGCCTCATTATCGATGTCAAAAATTTCTTCAGGCTGGGCATGGTGGTTCACGCCTGTCTTCTCAGCACTTCGGGAGGCTGAGGCAGGCGGATTGCTTGAGCCTAGGACTTCGAGACCAGCCTGGGCAATATGGAGAAACCCCATCTTTGCCAAAAATACAAAAATTACCTAGGTGTAGTGGCGCGCACCTGTAGTCCCAGATACTTGGGAGGCTCAGGTGGGAGAATCCCTTGAGCCCAGGAGGTTGCTGCTGTTGTGAGCCATGATCACACCACTGCACTGCAGCC
Organism: Homo sapiens; assembly: GCF_000001405.40. Classification (NCBI taxonomy): domain Eukaryota; kingdom Metazoa; phylum Chordata; class Mammalia; order Primates; family Hominidae; genus Homo; species Homo sapiens. Next base: position 53,980,401 of record NC_000004.12, read on the forward strand.
TGGGCAACAGAGTGTGACCCTGTGTCAAAAACAAAACAAAACTTCTTCAATAGGCCGGGCATGGTGGCTCACACCTGTAATCCCAGCACTTTGGGAAGCCGAGGTGGGAGGATCACTTGAGGTCAGGAGTTTGAGACCAGCCTGGCCAACATGGTGAAACCCCATATCTATTAAAAACACACACAAAAAAATTAACCGGGCATGGTGGCATGCACCTGTAGTCCCAGCTACTTGGGAGGCTGAGCCACGAGAATGGCTTGAGCCAGAGAGGCAGAGGTTGCAGTGAGCCAAGATCAGCCTGGGCAACTGAGCAAGACTCCATCTCAAAAACCCCAAAAATGGCAGGGCGTGGTGGCTCATGCCTGTAATCCCAGCACTTTGAGATGCTGAGGCGGGCAGATCACAAGGTCAGGAGTTTGAGACCAGCCTGGCCAATACTGTGAAACCCCATCTCTACTAAAAACACAAAAAATAGCCAGGCATGGTGGCGGGTGCCTGCAGTCCCAGCTACTTGGGAGGCTGAGGCAGGGGGAGTCCCTTGAACCTGGGAGGTGGAGTTTGCAATGAGCTGAGATCGAGCCACTGCACTCCAGCCTGGGAGACAGAGCAAGACTCTGTCTCAAAATAAATAAATAAATAAATAAATAAACCCCCAAAACGAAAAAACTTCTTTAATATAAGAAGAAAGTAAAAAAACTTCTTCCAGCTTCACTAATGGACTCCAAAGGTATATTTTTTGCATATGTAAGAAGGCCAGACATCATTTTTTTTCTCACTTGACATACAGAATCATTCAAACTTGTCACCTTGCTCGTCATCATCACTGAACACAGTTGCAGGCCAGAAGTTGTGCCAGACATGCCCAACCATGTGTTTAGTCATTGTGTTCCAAGCACTGGCAATAGCATATATAGTATCCTTCAGGCTAAACTCCTTTTGAAAACTTTCCACAGCCACGCCTCTGTTCACTATTGCTAGCATGCTGTTCAAAAAGTTTATTGATCTAAGGATAGCATGGTCATATGGCTAAATTAATAAAGTTATCTTTGTGAGAAAGTATATGACATAAACATTTCTGCTGAGGATCTCAGGTGAAGGATGAGCAGAACAGTTGTCAAGGAATAACAAGATCTTGGAGTGGACATCCGGTTCAGCTTTTCTGCAGTGTGCATGAACCACTGGTACAAAATATTTGAGAAACTGCCAGAAAAAAATGTCCTTGGTGATCCATGCCTTTTTGTTGGCATAATAATGGACTAGTTAAGAAATTCACTCCTTGTAAACATCAAGTATGCATGCTTTTGCCTATCACAGCAAGTTTACACTCTGTGTGGCTGTTGCATTAGCACATCCCAGCACAGTTATTCTATCCTTAGTATCCTGAATTCCTACAGGAGCTGCCTCATCAGCTGTAGTCAGAGTCTTTCTGGGGTAATAATGCCAAAACAGAGATGTTTCATCAGCATTATAGACTTTTTCTGGGATAAGACTCATCAGCAATGACCTTGTCAAACTGATACACTTTTATGTGTTTTATTTTATTTTGTTTTTTATTTTTTAAGAGACAGGGTCTCACTCTGTCATCCAGGTAGGAGTGCAGTGCAGTGGCATGATCAGAGCCCACCGTAGCCTCAAATTCCTGGGCTCAAGTGGTCCTTCAGCCTCAGCTTCTGGAGTATCTAGGACTACAGGCATGAACCACCACCCAGCTAATTTTTTTTAAAAAGATTTGTAGCAATTGGGTCACCCTATTTTGCCCAGGCTGGTCTCAAACTCCTGGGCTCAAGCAATCCTCCTGCCTCACCCTCCCAAAGAGGTGGGATTACAGGCATGCGCCACTGCATCCAGCTGATGCTGGCAAACTCATCAATGAATTGCTCCGCTGCTTCACGATCAGCAGAAGTTTTATCACCACAAATCTTTAAAAATTTAATGCCATATCTATTCCTAAATTTCTGCAACCAGCCTATTGACTAATCATAGTTCTCTTCACTTTTCAATTCATCGTGACAGATCTTTGCTTGTTTCATGATCTACATACTATGAAGTGGCATGTGTTTGTTCACTGCAACACTGACAACCCACTCTTTCAATACATGATTGAGGTCTTTATTTTTAGCTTTATGCAGTGTTTTTCTATTTTTAATTAACTTCTATTCATCACTTTCAGCATAGAACTTCAACAGTCCTGTTTCTTCATGTCATACAGGGTGGTCATTCTAACACCACACTGCTGTAAGATGATTCACACTTATACCACTGTCCAGTTTGTCCAATAGCTTGACTCTCTGTGCTATAGATAAATATTCTTCCTCTTTCTCTTACCACTGTTACCCATAGGGGTATCTGTAGGGCTTTTTGGTATTTTCAACAATATCTTTACAGAGAGTAAGCAAAAATAAAGTAAGTAATGCACGTGGGTCTTGGTCCCATGTAGGGCATCATGGGGAACCTGCTGTTTGCATATCTGGCCTGCACACATGCCATGTTATTACCTTTTGTGGGTGTGCTTGCATGAAGGAATCTGGGCATGCCTAGAAAATATACATCACAATTAAAGGGCCTGGGAGGGTGTTTCTTTGCTCGGGGACACTGAAGGAATTGTGTGTTGTGCATCTGTGTTTTGACTTCGACTCATCACGTGAGGTCAGCTGTGAAGTTTTCCACTTGTGGTGTCATGTCAGCACTCAAAAAGTTTCAGATTTTCAAGCATTTTGGATTTGGGGTTTTCATATTAAGGATGCCCAACCTCTTTATTCAGTTGTCTTATGGGGAATTGAGTCCAGTGAAGGGTATCAAGGAATCATAAAATGTTGAGCAGGGAAGTAGTTCAGAAATTTCCAAACTCAAAGTCCTCTAGAGAGATGAAGTATTTCCCCTAAGTTCACGATGCTTAGTGAAAATGTCAGTACAGGTTCATCTTTTTTTGTTGCAATTCTGAAATCTCAAAGTCGAAATCTTAAAATCCAAAGTTTTGTTTTTTAAAAATTTAGTGCCTAACTTATACAGCAAAACGTGCCCTACACCAACATGAGGCTATCCATCCTACTTAATATGAATATTCATACATTTTCCTGAAGACACGCTGATGTGCTGGATTACAGAAAACTTTCCAGGACCTCCATGGAGGTGTATATACACCATGAAGCTTTTCTACAGTCTGAAGAATTCTAAGTTACAAAACAAATCTGGTCTCAAGGGTTCTGGATAACAAGTTTTATGAATCCCTAATAATAGTCATTAATTACTGGGCATTTGCTTTGCACCACATATTGTCCTACAATTTTAGATGCATTTTCATAACTTTGATTTGACACATTCCACTCTGACCTCACCTGCTATCTTTCCAGCTCACTAATTCTATTACCCCAATTCCAAACCTTTTAAACCAAGGGTCTCTCCACCATTGGTCCTTCTCCCACTTCACACTTGAGGTCCTATCTTCTCTTTATAATTACCTGACTTAAATGCTTTGGTCAATTATTATGCTGTAAATACTCACTTCAGAATCCCTCAAATCCCTTGCCCTTCTCTGGCTTTGACTTATTTGTTTAGCAAAACACAACCCTAGTGAAACCCACCTCTTTCCCTGCACTGGAATGGTTGAATATGTCTGGTGAAAACCATGCTGACTGATCTCGTTTTGAGTTCATAGTCATTAACCCTTAACTGGGCCCTTAATGCTGCCTGGCATTCATAGCCAGGCATGAGGTTCACAGCAGGATGAGGTTCCCCTCATCCATTCACTCTCCTGTTCTCCTAGAGAACAAGCTCATACTTCCTTCTTCCCCTCAAGAATACTCCTTTCCCCACTTACTCTTAGGTGATTACTATGCTACCTATTTCTCTAAGAAAAGTGAGAGAAGCAGAAGAAAACCTCCACAGACTCCCACAACCACATACTCTCCTACCAGTCACTGTACCCACACTCTCAGCCTTCCTGCCTAGTCCCTATGAAAACTCCCCATGAGTCCCTGGCACCAACCCCTCTCATACTCAAGCACATTCTCCTCTTTCCTGCATCGTCAATTTTCACCCAATCATTCACAGAGTTAGATCAACAACACAAACCTCCCATAGCCACCCACCCACATCAGCAATCTGTTAAATGATTAGTTAGACGGGCTCCCCCATTTCACACCAAGCTCTGACAATAGCCTCAAGGTCCTATACAACCTGATCTGCAGTTACTTCACTTCTGCCTCTCCAACCACTCTGTCTTCTTTGATCTTTGCTGTCAAACATGCCTGACATACTCCTGTCCTCTGGCCTTTGTAATGGCTCTTCCCTTTGCCTTGAATCTGCTGCCTCTAGATATCCACATGGCTTACTCCCTCACCAGCTTCACATCTTTGCTCATGTTATCTTCTCAATGGAGGCTACCCTGTCTCCCCTATACAAAATTGTAACCCACTACCAGCCTCCCATATCCCCCAACCCTGTCTTTGGAACCCTTACCCTGCACTGCTATTTTCTTAGCACACAGAACTTCTAACATATTAATATATTTTCTTATGGTTATGGTGTTTTATTTGCTTCCCATCCCCCTCCCCTCACTAGACTGTACATGCCACAAAGGATCTGTATTCTGTTCACTGACATATCCCAAACACCTGGAACAATGCCTGACACATAGTAGGCATTCAGTCCATGCAGAATGAATGTCATAGTTTAAATTTCACAAAAATCTAATGTGTTAGGTTTTATATTATCTTTATTTTATATATGAAGAAACAGACTAAGTTTTAAAAATAGGCCCATGGTCAAGTTACAAGAAAGGGAGACAGCCAGGAGCCCAGTCTTCCTGATTCCACAGTCTACTTGCTAAATGGCCAGGCCATGTGGCCTCCCTACAGTGCGCTTGCCTCAAGGTTTGGAATAAACATGTTGAACTGCATCTACCGTCAATAAACCATCATCAAATGCCACAGAAGTTTATTGTGTCCTCTTGGGGTACATGACAGCTTGGTAGTTTTGATCTAACATCAAATTCTACTCAATTTACTTCCTGACTCCAGAAGATAACAGGTCCAAAAGCTCATCTATTCTAGGCCAAAGAGGTTGGTTTCATTCATGTATCTTTTTTTTTTTTTTTTTTTTGAGACAGAGTCTCACTCTGTTGCCCAGGCTGTGTGCAGTGGCACGACCTCAGCTCACTGCAACCTCTGCCTCAGTCTCCTGAGTAGCTGGGATTACAGCAGTGCACCATCATGCCTGGCTAATTTTTGTATTTTTAGTAGAGACGGATTTTCACTATGTTGGCCAGGCTTGTCTCAAACTCTTGACCTCAAGTGATCCACCCCTGCCTCAGCCTCCTAAAGTGCTGGCCAGGCTGGTCTAGAACTCCTGACCTCAAGTGATCCGCCTTGAGGTCACTTGGCCTCCCAAAGTGCTGGGATTACAGGGGTGAGCCACTGCGCCTGGCCATTTATCCACTGATTCATTCATTTATTGAGCACCGACATGCTGAGGGTATCCTGTAGATGGTTGATTTGGATGCAGTCAGTAAACCAAATTTCTCTTCTTGAAACTACCATGAAGGAAAAAATGCCCACATCATTTTTGGAACTAAATCCACAGATGAAAAATCATCTTTTCTCTAACTGCATCAGAACTAATGCTACTCCCTCCAGCTCAGGAAGAGCCTCCTATCCCAGCCCCTGTGCTAGGGCCTCCATTCCAGTGGAAGTAAATGTGAGCTACATGACTGATAGTTTACTACTTCTGAATAGCTTTGTACTGGAATTTGGAAGGAATGTGTATAGTGCTCAATATGAAGCTCAGTTTGGCTTCAGGGACCATTTTAATTAAATTAATTATCTCTAAAAGAAACACTTAGAGTTGTTTAAGCCTAAACAATAGGTACTTGTTCTCATTTCTAATAGGAGTCACATTGTTCAGAGAGTTCTCTTGGTGAGCTGAGGACAATGTTACCACCAGCTATTTAAGGAAGACCTTCCCCTTCTTGCCCCATGCCTTCCCTCTCACACACAGGAGAGAGGCTTTCAGAGAAGTGGGATGGAGGGCCTGGCACATTAATGTACCAAATCTACAAATGCACTCCACTGCTTTCTTTTTTGTTGTTTTTTGATTTTTTTGTTTTGTTTTGTTTTACAGCCAGAGGTCTTTTATTTTATTTTATTTTATTTTATTTTATTTTATTTTATTTTATTTTATTAACACCTATGATGCCATGAATTCACAGGGAATAGGTTCCAGCAGCTCAGGCTCCTTCCCACAAGCTTTCACAAAGTGCGCTTCTCTGGGTGGAGCAGGCTGGTGCTTCACTTGAACCCAGGTACCTTCCTCTTTGGCTTCTTTCTTTTTCTGATCATTTTCCTTCACACATTTCAGGAAGCTATCTCGGCTCTTACAGTGCTTAATGTGCTCAATATGCACATTAATTCTCTTGGCAAGAATCTTACCCTTGTTTACAACAATGCCAACAGCATGCTGGGGAACACTGTAGACTTTCAGTTTTGCCATGGTAACACTTGTGGGGCATTCCTTTTTGAACAGTATCCATTCCGTTGATGTGTACCATATCACCTTTCTTATAGATTCGCATATTTGTAACCAAAGGAACAAGTCCATGTTTTCTAAAAGGCCTAGAGAATGTATACCGGTGCCTCTCCTCTTCCCCCTTTGTGTTCATCATTGTGGCAAATTACTGGAAGGTGGCAGTTTTGGCCGAAAGGAAGGACTGCTTCCTTAACTTTCCTAACTCATATGTGTCTTGTGTTTGTTTCTGTTGTGGATTCTTAGTCACATGGCCTTGTTCTGTATGGTCTGCATTTTCAGGAAAAGCATCCCAGCCTAAGTGGCCCTTGTACCCGTGAAGAAATAGGCAGTGTCACTTTTACTTTGTGTTCTCCTTTCCTCCACCATTTCCTCCTAGTGTGTCCTTGTTTTCAGAAACACTAGACTGATTTTTAAAAATAATATTGTATACTCCGCCTCATTGCAAGAAGACTCAATCTGGCTTCTTCGCTCCATTCTTTTTTTTTTTTTTTTTTTTTGAGACAGAGTTCACTTTCTCGCCCAGGCTGGAGTGAAGTGGCGCAATCTTGGCTCACTGCGACCTCCGCCCCACAAGTTCAAGTGATTCTCCTGCCTCAACCTCCCGGGTAGCTGTGATTATAGGTGCCCACCACCACGCCTGGCTAATTTTTGTATTCTTAATAGAGACGGAGTTTCTCCATGTTGGCCAGGCTGGTCTCGAACTCCTGACCTCAGGTGATCCACCTGCCTCAGCCTCCCAAAGTGCTGGGATTACAGGTATGAGCCACTGCCCCTGGCCTCTTCCTTCCATTCTATCTGTTCTTTTTATTATTGCAGTACAAAGAAGTAAAATGATATCTCCCTCTCATCTTCTGCTCCTCACAGTCAGCCATGCCCCCACAACCTTGTCATCACTAGGAAAAGGAGTGTAGGAGGGCTCTCTTCACCCCCGACATTCACTTTTCAGAGCTGTGTGTTATTTTTAAGGATGCATCATGGCTTTGTGGGAAAGCCTTAGTGTGTGTGTGTGTATGTGTGTGTGTGTATGTATGTGTGTGTGTGTGTGTGTGTGTGTAATTCCAGTCAAAGGTAAGAGTGTTTAAAGCTTTTCTGTGTTGTGCTAAGCCCTTCTCCCTGAGTCTTCTCTCTTAGATACAGTGTGATTCATCTAACTCCAGTGACTAATGGCCATGCCAAGTACAGGGTGTTGGTCTCTGTTCTTTGGTCTCTCTCTCAGTGACTGAAGAGTGGACAAGGCACACAAAAGAGAGCTCTAAAGGCAGTCAATCAATACTGCAGACTGACTGACAATGGCAGTATTAAGTGCCATAGTGGTTGGGTTTACTGGAATGAGTGCAAAATAAGGACCAGAGCTGGCCAAATTAGCTTTACATAATAACACTAGGCAATTGGTATTGGAAGAGATGGCTAAAGCCCAGGCCACAGGATAAGCAGGTCCCTTCCAGCTTTGACTATAGTTTTGGTGTTTGTTTTTTTGTTTTGTTTTGTTTTTGTTTTTTTGTGAGACAGGGTCTCTATCTCCCAGGCTGGAGTGCAGTGGTATGATCCTGGCTCACTGCAGCCTTGACTTCCTGGGCTCAAGCAATCCTCCCACTCAGCATCCCAAATAGCTGGGACTACAAGCAGGCCACCACGGCTGGCTAATTTTTGTATTTTCTGTAGAGACAGGGTTTTGTCATGTTTTCCAGGCTGGTCTCGAACTCCTGAGCTCAAGTGATTTGCCTGCCTCAGCCTCCCAAAGTGCTGAGATTACAGGTGTGAGCCACCGTGCTCAGCCTTCACCTTTAACTATCTGTAGTTATTTAGCAAGTAGGACTTGGTCTGCAGCACAGCGGTAATTCCACTACTCTTTAACTAAAGTAAGAAGTAACAATGACACTCAGAATTATTTTTAATTTACTTTTGGTATATTCTAATTCATTAATGAGCAAACAACTGAAAAAAGAAGAAAAACATGTTAATCTTCCATCGTTATTGGAAAAAAACAGCTTTGTTGTAACTAAAATTTCATGTATTATTAATTTGAGACAAGGTCTCACTTTGTCACTGAGGCTGGAGTGCATGGAGTGCAGTGGTGTGATCATGGCTCACTGCAGCCTCAAACTCTTGGGTTCAAGCAATCCTCCCGCTTCAGCCTCTAAAATAACTAGAACTACAGGTATGCACCGCCATGCCAGGCTAATTTTTTAAATTATTTTTTGTAGAGACAGGGTCTTCCTATGTTGCCCAGGCTGGTCTCAAACTCCTGGCCTCAAATGATCCTCCCACGTCAGCCTTCCAACATGCTGGAATTATACTCAGCCTCATGACTAATTGTTAATGTCTGTTTTTTTTCTTTCTTTCTCTAGAATGACCCAACCCATTTGACAAAAACATTGTTTTGAATGCATAGTCAAATTCCAAATCATATCAACATCGTTTACAGATAACAATCAAGTGGGTAGGCCAAATCCAAATAACCAATTTTTAAAGTTTTTCTAGTATGCCTTGGTACCATGTATTTTGTATCTTAACAATATTGACCTCTACAGGTACGGAAGCAGAGACCTAGTAAAAATTAATGGCAAAAGTCAGTGTGTTAACAGATTAGATTGCGGCAACCCTTAATCATGAACTGCTAAACTTTAGACCATGAGCTACCTGTTTCCTAAGATCATTTTAGTGTACAGAAGAATTTCCATATTTGAAAACAAATTTTGAAAATGGGGGAAAAAGTGAGGTAAACGAGGGTATTAATCATACTCTGCTTTCCATGTTCTAATGCTTAGTAAATTTACTTGGCACACACACATTCTTACATTAGGAAATACATTTAAGTGAGTCTAAGTTTCATCGTTTCACTCACTGAAAAAAAAAAATCTACTTTATACAATTTGGAGAAAGGAAAAGATTATTCTGTAGTTGGAAAGGCAAGTATTATACTCTTAGGCTACCCTCTTAACTCTGCTTTGGACAAACACAATAAAGGATAAAAATGTTTATGCTGCTTTTCTTCCCTGTGTTTTCCCCATAGGACAGTCTGTATGTGGTCTAAAATCATGACCTATCAGAGACTTACATATTTTTAAAGTAGACTGGAGCCTCAGTGTCATCTCTCTTCATCATGATACTGTATTATTACCTTTTATCAGCCACATCAGGGAAGTATACTTGTTCATTTAAATCAAGGGTCAAACCAAATACTCACATGTGTGGGAGGAGTTCTTTTCATAACATGACAATGTCTCTATCTTTTGTTTTGGCCTGTATTGATGATTTAATGATGAACTTCCTCCCTGATGTTTATTCAAAGACATTGTTATCCTTCTTTTCATTCTAAGGGATTTGGGGGCTATTATTTTTTAGCAGTGGCTGGTATAGGTGAAAGCAGTGACAAAGCTTCTCAAAGCAAGGAATAAGGCAGTGAAGCCACGGACACATAGAGCCATGGGAGAAACAAGGCCATGGGAGAAACATGACTTTCCTCAGGTTAAAGTCGTGGGGTTAAAACCCTTTTATATTAAAACAAGTATGATTATAAAATGTACTTATTGAACAAACATTTATGGTGCATTTATCATGTGTCAGGCAATATTCTTGATTCTGGAAATATACTGGTGAAAGTTAAGGTGGCCAGACACGGCACCCAATTTCATGGAGCTGGTATTCTAACAGAGAATGACAAAAATATGAATAAGAAATTCAGATAGTGAAAAGTGTAATGAAGAAAATATACAATGTCACAGTGACAGCGCAGAAGAGCTCATTCAGACTGGCAGGTTGGGAAAAGTTTCACTGAAGAAGGGACATTTGAGCTGAGACCTGAAATCCTAAGAGGAGGGGGTCATTCTAGGCAGAGACAACAATGAATAAACAACCCCACGGGAAAACTAACTTTGCCTTTCTGAGTAACCGAAAAAGACAATGCAGTCAGACTGGAGTGGGTGGAACACTGATGATAAGAAATGATGTCAAAAGGCAGGCAATGGCCAGACTGTGTAGAACACTGGAAGAACAGCTAAAGAGGCAATTGCAATTCAGGTAAGAACTGATAGAAGATAATGGAAACTTAGAAAAAAGGAAAAGCGATGGATATGAAGGAAAAATTAATGTACTGCAGGTGTATTTTTGAAGTAGATTATGAGATTATGGGAAATGGAGGAGAAATGACAGCTCCTGGGTTTTTGTCTGAGTGAAATATATGAGTGAGAGGAGAAGGACCATATAGTGAGATGAGGAAGAATGAAAAAAAGAACCAATTTCACAGGGAGAAAGTCAAGAGTACTGTTTTAGCCATTTTAAGTATGAAACACCTTTTTATTATTCAAGTAGCGAATGGTCAAGTGGGCGTTTAGGTATCTAAAGTTATAGCTCAGTGGAAAGGTCAGAACTGGCAATATAAATCTGTACATAAGATGGTATCTAAACCATGCAATTAGATGAGATCAGTAGAAAAACAGAAAAGTCTTGGGCCTGAGCCTGGAGCACACCAACACTTAAGGCTTAAGAGGAAGACCTACAGCCAATGGATAGAGCAAGAAGCAAGAAACTGGGAGAGCATGCTGTTAAAGAAGCCAAGAAAAGACAGATAGTGCATGAAGAGGACTTAATAAATGCGGCAGGAGTTAAGAGAGAGATGACTGATTTGGCAAAGTGGAGGTGTTTGTAATCTTGACAAGAGCAGTTTCAGGGAATGGTGGGATCCAAAACCTAGTTTTAGGGTCCATAGAGGTAAGCTGGAAATGTGAGGAAATTTTTGAGCAGGTTTCTGTGAAGGTGTGAGAGAAGTGGCAAAAGAAGATGTGAGGTCAAGGGAAGGTGTCGTTTTGTTTACAAATGGGAGGCAGAAGAAAATGTTTGTATGCTGATGGAATGGTCCAGTAGTCAGAGGCTGGTGTTGGAAAAAGTTGAAGAGGGAAGTTATGACACAGTAATTTTGGAGAGTAAGAGAACAAACATGTTTGTGAAGCACAGTAAGATCTTTGGGTAGTACCTATTTGAAATTTGTGGTAATGGATTTAAAATGAAATTAGTCAGCATTGGCTTCAGATTTTTCTCCAGCCCCATTCAGCTGTTAGGTGTAAGCGCAGAGTAAAGAGATGGAGCAGTGCTTAAAACAAGTTGGGACTCGCAGGTAGGAGACTATGACAGAGAGTAGACGAAGTTGATACGATTACAGAAAAGCAATTGCTAATGATAGGCTATGATAAATTCCCAAGATATGTGTTTATTAAATGTTTGATGAATGACACAGACCTGGAATCAGACTTTACCCATTCCTAGAAGGGTAAGTCGCTGAACTTAAGTCAATAATTCCTTTACAGAATTTCTGAGAGGACTTAATTATAATTTTTGTATAGTGCCTAAAATAGGACCTGGCATTGAACAGTCACTCAATACATGTTAGTTTTCAACTCCACTTTCCAAGTACAATTTCTCTTCCTCGTTCAGTTACTCAACAATCATTTCTTCAAAACAGTCTGTGCCAGGCACATACTGGGCGCTAAGATATAATAGCAAGGCTGATAAGAACCTGCTTTCATGGTATAGCAGGAGAAACAGATATTTTACAAATAACTAAACTTAATATTTATGTTCAGTTGTGATAAACACTGTGAAGACTGACCTAGGGAGATGTTGAAAACAGATTTTTAAAACTTTTAAACTTTTGTAAAAATGTTCAAAGAGAATCTGTTGTTAGAAGTTTAACATTCTGATTTAACTGTTTTGAATACGAAAAATACAAACTCAAAGTAAACATCTAAAATATAAGGCAAATCTATCCATATAGAAAAGGAATAAGAAGGTACTGACCAATGAAGTTGAAACAACACTGTCATATTAATCTCAAAAATGGACCAAACTGGCCTTTATTTTAGGGTCAGAATGCATGTGAGAGTTGGGCTCAATTCTTTTAGAATTGTTCCTTAGGATACTTCTTAAGCTTTAACTTTATGCCAGGCATTGTGCTAAGTGACAGAAAGAGAAAAGCAGCCCTTGGCATCCAGGACTTGGCTTGTTATTACCAGCTAGGCCTTGGTGTTCTCCTGTTGAACATAAACAATCTCACAGAAGACCATCAGTCAAGGTTACTCTGTGACCATGATGAAACAGAAAAGACCTCTTCACATCTTGTGTAATAAGACAAAAACAAAGTCGCAGTGCAAAGCACAAAATACTAAATATGAGTGACTGCTGCTTCTTTACAAATTACGGCTTTCACTTAGCTTCGTGTCTCCCACCTCCTAAATGAGATCTATTCAGACCAATCATAAAATTACCCCACTTCCTTACAGAATCGAAATCCAGTGCAAACTCTTGCTTGAATCCTTCCCAAATCACTCATCACAAGCCCAAATCCTGAAAGAAGGCCTTTCCAGCACTCAGGAATCCCTACAATGTATCTCTAGTTTCAACAAACAAAAAAACCCAACTTTGTTCAACTCCTTGTGTGTTCCTAGTGGTCTCCTGTGTTGAGTGGCATTACCAGTGGAATATATGCATTATATTGTGTAATCCTCATAAGTACTTCTTGAAACAGGTACTATTAACAAATCCATTTTACAAATGAGGAAATGGAGGCACAGAGCTGTTAAGTAACATTTCCAAAGCCACACAGCTGGAGAGTGGCAGAACCAGAATTAGATTCCAGTCTGACCCCAGTGAGATTCCCTGATAATGTTCCAGATAATTATTTAGAATTGTTAGTAGGCTAGTCTTTCAGTTTAACAAAGGGCAAAACAGTCTTTCTATACCTCTATTCCTTCGATCTTACATACTCTTTGGTCTCATTGCTAAACAGTGAAACAGTTGAGTTCTTTATTTAAGGAATTTTTACTTGCTAGCTTTACAGGTTAAAACAAATTAACATTGGAGCTTGCTAATTTTGGCTTATTTCAGGGTCAGAATGAGCTTCATCAATGACAGATTTGACCAGGTCCACTCACATTCTCAAAATCTTTCAATAGCTTCAGGCTAGAGTCAAAAAAATTTCAGCATGATACACTTGTCCCTTCTCCCTTTCCTGACCTTATCTCTTGATGCTTCTGCACAATTCATTAAACAGGTATTTTGTACCAGACCATCTCCCCATATTTTCCAATCATACAGAAATCATCAGTACTTTTTTAACACAGCCTTTTCATGTGTTAAGCTTCAACCCATGCAACCTATGACCTTTCCACCCCAAATATATTGCTCCTTTGAAGATCCACCCTATCACTTACTTTCCTTGATTATTAGCACTTTTCATACCATGTTACATGCTTATTCCTCCAGCCTCAACTCTTTAGAAACCAAAAGGCATTATTCTCTTTGCTATCCTTTATACTTGGCATGATGCCCGAGGTTGGGCCAAGCTTAGACCTTAGACCATTTCTTCACCAAATTCAAATGTCTCCCATTTCTTTAGTAATTGGTATGGTTTGGGTCTGTGTTCCCCCACAAATCTCGTGTTGAACTGTAATCCCCAATGTTAGAAGAGGGGCTTTGTGGGAGGTGACTGGATCATGGGGGCAGATTTTTCCCTTGCTATTCTGGTAATAGTGAGTTCTCACAAGATCTGGTTGTTTATAAAAATGTGTAGTACCTCCCCCTTCATTCTCTCTTCCTCCTGCTCTCGCCATGTAGGAAGTGCCTGCTTCCCCTTTGCCTTCTGCCATAAGTTTCCTGAGGCCTCCCCAAAAGCCAAGCAGAAGCCGTCATGCTTCCCGTACAGCCTGTGGAACTATGAGTCAATTAAACCTCTTTTCTTTATGAATTACCCAGTCTCAGGTACTTCTTTATAGCAGTACAAGAACAGAGTAACACAGCAACACATTTCTAGTTCTGTTACTGCACTCAAAAAATCTAAGTTTAATAAATTGTGCATTAGTCATAATGGAGGACAATTGGTTTTCAGATTATTTTCCAAAAATTTATTGTGGATCAGAAGATAACTGGATTTTTTGGATGTGTGCTTCTCAACCAGCAATGTAAGTTCAATAGGTCTTTGGGTTACAGCAGTGTCAACTCTTAAAGTAAACTACGATTTTTTTTTTTTTTTTTTTTTTTTTGAGGAAGTCGTCTTCTGCTTTGCCAGGCCACTGGTTATACATGATTAGGGGACACAGTGTAATAATGAGTCTCCTTGATAACTAGTAATAATGAATCCTAATACCAAAATGCCAATACCAAAAACAAAACACCTCACAGTAGAATGATTACTTGGGGAAGCAGACTGAAGAGCATAGGAACTAGTTACTACTCTCTTTTGTATATTGAAACTTGAAATTGATGCAAAAGCAATAAAAATATTCTTTAAAGCTAAAAATGTAGTTGCTGGGGATAACAGAAATAAAGTCATACAGCTAGTGTGAAATAACTGAGACAATTTATCTATTTAAATATAATGGGCTGTCCTATGAAGAAAAACATATCAAAAGAGTGGCTTTTAAGCATAGATTAAAAAAATTGGTCCAGATTCCTTTCAGTTTCAGGAAAAAAGGTTAATCATGTATTTTAAAACTGTTAAAACTAGGGACAAAGAAAACACACTTGGCATTAAAATGTCAGTAAGTTTTTGAAAAAGATTACCTTGGAAAAGCAATTTTTGTGAGTAAATAAATTTGCTGTAATAGTATGTTCTATCTTCTTCATATTAGCAGTCTCCTATTTCTATAGGATTTGTTTAAAAAACTTCAACAATTATATCAAAGTTTCAAAAAGTTCAAAGCCTTAAACCTCTTGTTGAAGAAAGCAAAAGAACCATTTTGTCAAAACAAACATAAAAACTCAAATTCTGAAATCTAAATGTTATTCCAAGACTATGATTGACTTCCTCTATCTCGCCAACACTTTTAACTATTTAAAAATTGTCTTTTTCGTTGTATTCCGTTTTAAGCTGTTATGATTTTATATATCACCCCAAAATACTCTAAATAATTTTTTTTTTTTTTTGGCAGGGGGACTGGGTCTCATTGCTGCCCAGGCTGGAGAACAGTGGCGTGACCACGGCTCACTGCAGCCTCAACCATCCTGGCAGCTGGGACCACAGGTATGCACCATCATTCCCAGCTTTTTTACATGTTATTTTTATTTGTAGAAATGGGTTCTCCCTATGTTGCCCAGGCTGCTCTCAAACTCCTGGGCTCAAGGGATCCTCCCACCTTAGCCTCCCAAGTAGCTGGGACTACAGGCGCATACCACCATGCCTGGCTAATTTTTAAAAGTTTTTTTAGAGATGGGGTCTCACTGTGTTGCCCAGGCTGGTCTTGTGGGCTCAAGCGATCCTTCTGTCTCAGCCTCTCAAAGGGCAGGGATTACAGGCGTGAATCACTGCAGCCAGCTCTTTAAACAAATTTTAACATACTATTAAATTATCAGTAAATAGGTTTTAACAATGTCAGCTCCTTTACTTCATCTTTCTGTTCAATTAATTAAAACCATTCTCTAATTGATTTTGAATGATTTAATGTCATTTGATCCTGATACAAATTTATTCCAAAAATGCAATTTTGATGAGAACATTAGAATTTTAATTAACATGGACTTACTAAAAAAAGTAGTTCAATAGGGGAAACAAAGGAAAGAACCAAAACACTGTTCATGTCTATCCACTCATGTGTGAAAATGTAGCATTCAAAAATGACAGCACATTTGAAGCATAATTATAGGGACACCATAGTGGTGGAAGAAGACAGTGTAAGAAAGACAACTGTCAGAGTGCGGTACTCTGGAACATCAAAAGGCTATATTCGTCATTGATGGCTGTTTCTTTGAGAACTCCCAAACTATGTAAGTTTCTGAAACTGCTCCAGGCATTCAATAAAGCAAAAAGTACACTTATAAAAGTGTTTAAAACTTTGTGATTTTTCAAGTATATTTTATAGTTTTATCAAAAATATATCTAAAGTTTTTTTTTAAGTAGCTAAATTTTCAAACTGCACAATGACAAGCTCTTAAATGGGGGATTCTGGTCAAAAGGCATTTGGTCAGCAAAAACAATTTTAGATACTGTAGTTTTCTGCTACTAGTTAACACACTTGAAATTTATATGATACACAATTGTGCTCACAGAAAATATATTCCTCAATCATGGTCTAAAGCCAGAAGGTTATTAGTACTGATGCCAACGACCAAAAGTAGGGCCTTTCCTGTCATTTCTCAGGCACCTGCTTGTCATTTACCCTCAAATGACAGCCTGCGGACAGCCAGGTCCCTTGGGCACAGAGTTCTTGATTCCAACGTTTCAATTCATTACACTAGTCAGCCACTATTTCCCGCAACACACTTTCAAACTTTTTCTAACTTCACAGAACTTCCCAAAATGTAACTTCTTTCAAAGAATGGCAAACTGAAGTTGAATAATTCAGTCTTAATTTCTAGTTAATATTAATCATAAAATATTACATTTTTATATTGCTAATTCATTTTCAAGTAGATTAATTTCTACCCATGTAGCTGCAGAATTAGAAAGGCAAGTCTCTGTAGAGCTGGTTTACTAAACAGCTGAGGAATGATGCTCGAAGTACCCTTCATTATCCCAAAGCATTTATTACATAAGAAAACATTATGTAGACTTTATGTGCATATTATCTATAGAGAACGTAAAGTAGGTTTTACTAAAATTAATGTCACTACACATCACAGCTTACGTTTTACAATAAAAAGAGAAATCAAAAATAAAAAAACAAAGGATACAGTTAGCACATTATTCACTTGTTTGCTTGGAAAATGCAATGAGCACACACACACACACAAACACACAAATCGGTATTTGTAGACCTGCCTTTGTAATTTAAAATGTTAATGAAATGTAAATTTTTTCAGTACAAAATTCATGACTGTTCATCCCTAGGCTGCATTGTGTCCAACCTTGTAGGAGTCCTTTTTTAAATTTTATTAGTCCCAAAAGTCCCTCATTGTCCCTTTCCCTTCCATCCTACCAGCACCAAAGAAAATACATTTGACAACCACAATTGGATCGGTGGCAGTAAAACATAAAATAATTTTAATTTAGAAAACAACACACCCCTTGCACTTTTTGTAACGAAATTAAGTTTTTAGGTTCCAAGCTATTCATCATGAAGAGAATGTGTTTAATCTGATGTGAAGTTGGCTACCCAACAGTCTAGTCAGGCTGTAGAATGTTTAACTCGGGGTCTGGTAGGCTGCCAGCCATTCTAAATGTTTTCACACGGACAAGCAATAAATAATTAAATGTCTAAGTCACAGTTCTCAGATTGGGCAGTAGATAGAACTAAAACTTAACCACTTACAGAGACAGATAAACAATTTTTGAGTGGCTGGAATCCAACAATTTACCTTTCAGTTCCCCAGGCATAGGCGATGCTCTTTCAGTTACAGTGAGCCAGTTGTGGTCATGCTTTCTTACAAGGATTCTAAATGATCACTTTTGGGATTTTTAAAAATCACTAACAACCTGCAATGGAAGATAAGTGATAAACTTCCTAAGCCTTATTGTCATTATAAAATTAGGTTAGAGAGGTAAGGGAAGACATCTTTTTTTAAAATTTTAAAAATAAGAATAGAGACAGGTTCTTGCTATGTTGCCCAGGCTGGTCTTGAACTCCTGGGTTCAAGTAATCCTCCCACCTCGGCTTCCCAAAGTGCTAAGATTACAGGTGTGAGCCACCACATCCAGCCGGAAGATATAATTGATAAAAATATTGAAAATATACATGGTCTTCTTTCCTTCCTCCCAATTCTAACGTGGAGGGTAGAGCCAAGTGTAGTTTTAAAACCAAACTACTGGGCTGGGCACAGTGGCTCACGCCTGTGATCCTAGCACTTTGGGAAGCTGAGGTGGGTGGATCATCTGAGGTCAGGAGTTCGAGACCAGCCTGGGCAAGATGGTGAAACCCCATCTCTACTAAAAATAAAAAAATTAGCCAGGCGTGGTAGCAGGCGCCTGTAATCCCAGTTACTCGGGAGGCTGAGGCAGGAGAATTGCTTGAACCCGGGAGGCAGGGGTTGTAGTGAGCCAAGATCACACCACTGCACTCCAGCCTGGGTGACAAACTGAGACACCGTCGCAAAAAAAACAATTAAGCCCATATTAAAATTCTAATTTACTCATCAAAATTACAGTTTTGGAATGCATTTGTATCAAGATCAAAATGACATTCATTAAATCATTCAAAATCAACTGGAGAATGGTTTTAACTGAAGAGGAAGATAAAACAAAGGAGCTGACCCTGTTAAAACCTAGATACTTGAATAGTATGTTACAATTTGTTTAAAGGGCCAGCAAAGGACTCACGCAGGTAAATCCAAACACTTTGAGAGGCCAAGGCAGGAGGATCGCTTGAGCCCAGGAGTTCAAGACCAGCCTGGGCAACATAGTGAGACTCTGTCTCTTAAATCTTTAAAAATTAGCCAGGCATGGTGTGCTCATCTGTAGTCCCCGCTACTTGGGAGGCTGAGGTGGGATAATTGCTTGAGACTGGGATATGGAGGCCTCAGTGAGCCTTGATCACACCACTGCACTATAACCTGGGCAACAGAGCAAGACTCTCATAAATAAATAAACAAACAAACAAACAAAAAACTTCCCAGCTGATTTTATGCACATCTCCACTAGATACTTCCAAGGTTTCTTCCAGCTCTGAGACTCCACCTTCTTTTAAATGGATGTGGCCTATAGCTTAGAAGCAAGACCCAATGCTAACAGAATTTGGGAAACAAACTAACAAAAAATGCCTCTCCCATCCTCCTCCCCCACGCTTTCTTCAGAGCTCTTTCTTGACACACCTGTCAACAGTTTTGATAGACAGATTTAAAACATGTAATGCATTTGTTTATAGATGACCTAGTTCATCTTTGCTCTAAAATGCATATAGAAGAAACACTGGTCAGATGATCATGGCAGAAATTACCATCCAGCAGATATGTTACAAACAGAAGACTATAAAAAGCTGGCTTTGCAGGACTAATAAATCCAGAGTATCTCTAGTAAAACTTATGTATCTTCAGAGAATAACTTAGAGTTTTTGTAACATGCTTGATGTGCACAATACTACACTGCTAACATCTTATGTAGACAAACGGGTTTATCTACCTGTCAGGGTTTCTCAGCATAAGAGTTTTAAAATTTAAAGTCAGTTCTCAATATATTGATTCCAACTTGAAAAATACAAAGCTCTCAATATTTAGTATAGAAATATGTGTTTTTTCTATCTTTCACTTATAATTTATTCATAGCTGTTTTTCTCATTCTTAGAATTTTTAACTTTAGGATTACACAATGGAACAATGCTATCGTTAATATAGAAACCATTGACAAATACAGTCAGAACTACAAGGCTGGAAACAGAAATTCATACTTATATTGTCTTTAAGCTGAAGTTAATTTTAAAAGCTTTAAAAATATTACAGGGAGAAAAAACCTCTTAAGTACAAGTAAATCAAGATGTAAGACCAAAAAAAGTTACATTTGGCCTGGAAATTGAGATTTTATCCATTAAAGCAAAGTAACTGACAAGCACCCTTTGCAGGAAAAACCTACTGAAAAAGGCACTGTAAATACAGGAATTAAGAATTTCCTTTTCAGAGTTTTTTTTTTTTTTTTTCCTGTTCCATAGAAATAACAGGGCTATCCCCCTAGGCAGTGGCCCAGTCTCACACTTTTTCAGATGTTTTTATAGATTTCTATTTCCCAGTGATTGCAGAAACTCTCTGCAATTATTTCTTGCAAAGACTATCAGATCATCCAACATTAGACTGACAGACTTCTATTTTGCTGAAATAACAAATCGTGTCAATAGAAAGTCATTTTTCATCTCCAAATACTGCAATAAAAACCTGAGATGCTTCCCTTATGATCGATTTTTAATTTCCTAACTTCTATAGAAATTTTTCTTCATGGTTTTTATATTTTTGGCATTTCTAACTTAAAATATCTAAAACTCTTTAAGTTATATGCATGAAGCATTTGTGCTTTGATTTTAAAAAAAAGTTAATATCATGCTGTTTGAACAATGTGAGCCATTAAAGGGTATGACTGTGCTACCATGGTATTCTTTTTTTTTTTTTTTTTTTTGACACAGAGTCTTGCTCTGTTGCCCATGCTGGAGTGCAGTGGCGTGATCTCGACTCACCGCAAGCTCCGCCTCCCAGGTTCACACCATTCTCCTGCCTCAGCCTCCCAAGTAGCTGGGACTACAGGCGCCCGCCACCACGCCCGGCTAATTTTTTGTTTTTTAGTACAGACGGGGTTTCACCATGTTAGCCAGGATGGTCTCAATCTCCTGACCTTGCGATCCACCTGCCTCGGCCTCCCAAAGTGCAAGGATTACAGGAGCCACTGCGCCCGGCCCATGCTATTCTTTAGCACCTCCACGCACTGCAACCTGAGCAAACCACTTCGCTGGTTAAAGACACATCTAGTTGGTCTCTTTCCACTCACAGATGGAATACTTGGGTTTTTTTGGTAGGAAGACAGTTTTTGGAGTCTAAAATATGACACAAAGTAAGAAGCATATAACTAAAACCAATTTAATCTAGTTAATAGCCTCCTCACCTAGGAATACATTCCAACATTTGAAATACACTAGTCCTCAGAACCAAAAGAACTGGTCCATCCATAGGTTATCCTTTACAACTTCAGGTCATAAGGCACAGGAAGTGTGGCCTCAGTCATGCTCTAGGAAGGACTCAAAAAAGAGATTTAGAAGTGATTTTGCCACCTCAGAAATTTTCAAGCCCTGTATTAATCAATGAGGTAATCTTTGGTGTGCCAGCCTAGGCTCCAAAAGTGGGTGGTCTTTGCAGAGGGAGGTGCTCACTCACTCTACCTCTGGCCAGAGCCAGTTCCTGCAGCTGGACCAAGGGCAGCCCACAGACTGCACTCGGCACATTTCTTCATTTCTCACTTGAGTGCCCTTCTTTAGTCTCCTTTCAACTGCCCACTTTATATCGGCTTCATTACACCACCGCTCCATTTGTAATGTAAATTGGGAAACTCGGGGAAGTTTTTCTTTTGGCCTTGTCTACGAAAGAATACCGAGAGGTATTCAAAACGTATTAACACAAATCAATGGCAGCAATAAAAGCAAAATCTCCTTAGCAACATAATCTTGATTGCAAAAGGAGAACTGAGAGCATTTAGCAGAACAGTGGCCCACATGGAATACGCATTTGTCTGGAAGAATCCAGCACAAAGCCTAAAAGAGAGATTTTGAAGAAATCCAAAATTAACTCACAGGGAACAGTTACTCTTTTTTTCAAAAGTACACAATTGGCTACATTAAATCTATCGTGTGCTTTTGGCTCAGCAACATTGTATCACACCGCTTTGCAAACTGAAATTACAACACCCTGCATGCTTCACATGAGTTAGAGGGTGTTTTTTGTTTGTTTTGTTTTTTGGATTTTTTTTCCCTTGGTTGATTTCTTTAGTAGAGCAAACAAAAAAGTCTCAAGAAATATTCATCTCATACACAATGCAAACAAAACTGAATGGCTATCTAACAATATCTAAGACTGTAGGTACAAAAGGTTGTGCTATCTTTTGGGCTTTCTGTGATGGATTCTAAGATAGTAACTAGTGCAAGCAGCAATGGCATTTTTTGCATAGGTCTCTCTTTGTGAAAAAAGAAACAAGTCACTTCTGAGAATGCTCACGTTTTTCTGGTCAGGATGAAAAATGTGAATAAAATAATAAAAATTCAGAAAATAAGTTATCAATTCTTTAAAAACTACAGTATGATGACTCAAGGAAACAAGACTAACTCACAAAACTTCCCTTTAGTTTTTATGTTTCATATAGAATCAACTGTCATTTTGTATTTTAACTGAAACAATCCAGGTGATGGAGTTACCTTTACTGTCTACTGCAAAGAGATGTCTTAGTGTACTGAGATTCTGCGTGTGTATGTGTATGTGTATTTCCATATATGGATCTATATTAGTAAAGGTTTAGACTGGAATCTGGGTCAATTGAGTAAAATGAAAAATTTGTATTACAAATAGTCACTTGATACAATGCCACAGATAAGCTATTTCAAATAGTGCTAAACGTCTATTTACAGAAGTGGCAACTGGAATTATTTCTGCCTCTTACTGAAAGTTTAAAAACTGAAACGGGATAATTGAGAATCCTATTTACAAGCTGCATTAATTTTAAACTTAAGGGATAACTAAAACACCACTGTGGGGAAAAAAAAGGTAATATTATATTATATAAGCTACATTTTTCCCCTATTCTTTTTTCCAACTATGATGTAAGTCCATGAACATATAACATAAAACTTTATTTAAATTCATTGTACACAGTTTCTAAACTCATATTCATAATGACGTCAATTTAATTAGTTTTTCCCCACACATTGTACAGGTCAAATCTACAGAAGCAGGTGTGTGTGCGTGTACGCATTCATTCATATGGTCATTTTAACAGACATTATTAGTTTGGCCAATTTCCTTTAAAGTGATTTGATCTAAGTTCCAGATTCCCTTTTCCAATTCCAAATACACTGGCTTACGATCTTATTTAATATATTATATTCTTTAAAGACAAAATGCTGTGAATTAGCCCATATTTTAGTTTTGAATATGGAATGGTGTGTTGAAATGACATGTTGTAGTAGACTCACTTAAAAGCAACAAAACTCAACTAGCCAAAGCAAGCCAAAACTGGGGAAAAAAAAAAATCCCTAGCTCAAATTAGTCTCCATTTGTTTACTAAAAAAAGAACAATCAATACAATCAATGAAGACTTAATTTTACAAGACTAAATATACTACAACCAACACAGGACCAAAAACTAAGCCACCTTAAATATAACCCATTATGTATTTCTTCATAATTATGAAGGCCAACAAGTTTTTATCTAACAAAACAATCTCATTTTAAGAAAAATAGGCAGGGTGTGGTGGCTCACACCTGTAACCCCATCAGTTTGGGAGGCTGAGGTGGGCGGATCACCTGAGGTCAGGAGTTTGAGACCAGTCTGGCCAACATGACAAAATGCTCTCTACTAAAAATGCAAAAATTAGCTGGGCTTGGTGGCTCACGCCTGTAATCCCAGACACTTGCGAGGCTGAGGCAGGAGAATTGCTTGAACCTGGGAGGCAGAGGCTGCAGTGAGCCAAAATCATGCCACTGCACTCCAGCCTGGGCGACAGAGTGAGACTCTGTCTCAAAAAAAGAAAAAAAACCGTGTTTATTTGGCAGTGGGATTAATATCTTAATAATGAAAGTAAAAACATAATACATAACTTTTACATTCAACTTTATATTTTACCAGTTATCTTCATTTTCTAATGTTACTAGACTTACCTGAATGCTGTATAATTATCTGAAAGCATATTTTTAGGGACCCTGCTCTTAGTTCTACATAAGTGCTCACCATCAGAAATTTCTGATTATCTTATATGAAAACTATTCCATGTTCATTTAAGGATATAAATTACATTAGTGGCAAAAAAAAAAAAAAAAGATGAAGGAACAAATTCCTGGAACCCTTTTTTTTTTTTAATGGTCACATTTATATTATAAAAAATAAATCTAAGTATATTTGTTTCAAGGTAGCCTCCCATTATCTTCTCAAAAGACATGATGATAAAGGAAAATTCTATCTAGAATAATATTTTTTCTTTTTCTTTAAAAATAATTTCCATTGTAATATATAAAGAATGTATAAAGAAAGCAAAAAGCTGTGTGCAATTCCTGACCAATGCATAACATTCACCCTTGTAAACCAAAGAGTAGGATAATAATGCAGTTATTTCTCTCAGCCAGTAGATTTCAGCATTTTGCCTTCCAATCATGTTTGCCTTGCTTCTACTGCCACAACCGGTAAGTTTCACAATACTTTACCCTTCTGAGAGGGCATAATGCTAATAACCTCAACAAACATAAAAAGAAATACAGAATTTAAAAGTGCTTTGATACTTGCGTTAAACAAGCTCCTGTTTATAAAGACTTGGTGGCCATGTAATGAGATTGTTCTAATTACCTAATTAAATAGCTGCTACTAAAGGAAGAGGAGTTCTTTAATTTAGAGCAAAAGGTTTCTTGAGGAAATACTCTTTCCTTCTACAATATTTTAAATCTATACAGAATTTATGCCAAGAAAAAGAAATGGAACCAGTTATACTACATCAAGAACCAGTAGAAGACACAATAGGATAGAAACTCTGCAGTCTGAGGGTACGTTATGTCTCAATAAAGTAGAGTAGACAAAACACTGACCCATCACTTATGTCTCTTGAAGGCTGCTTAACACTATGTTTCTTTAAATAAACAACAACAGAGCAATATACAGCTTATTTGCCAAAATTAAGGATACCGGGTATGGTCACTTCATCAAAATACTTTCTAAGATAAAGAGCTAGGAAAGCAATATACTGGTTTTCATAAAGAGAAAAAAGTAATCAACTCAATATCAGAGCACCATGTCTATGAAATAGAGGGGATATAAAAAAAGGCATGATTTTGTTTAAGTATCTCAGACGTAACTATATTTTTAAAAATCTTATTAGAAACTTTCTTCAAAGTACTATATTTAATGTTTCCCTGATTTTTAAACATGCAAAGCATTATAAGTATATATAGGGAATACCCAATCTCTTCCACTTTAAATGCAAAACCTGACAATAATTCAAGTTTGCGCTGACTTTGTAAATAAATTGAAAAACCTATTCAATCATTATTATTAAACATCTAACTACTTACTTTTATATAGGACTTAATAACAGGAAAATAAACTATCGAAAAATATTGCTTCACAAGATAACACCATGAGGTAGTCATAGTATCTCCCTGCTTGGGAAATGAAAATGAAACCAAAAAGGCCAAGTAGCTGGATGATCTTGTAGAATACCAGAAATGAGTTCCAAATCAGGATCAACATCCTGAATTTCTGTTTTCAGTACTACCTATTAAGATTATAAACAACCTCTGTTACTTCAATATGCCATTGGGGTGGGGGAGATAATGCTCCATATTACAGAAACAGATAGAATTATGATTAATAATACCAATAATATTTAGGCTTCTCTTAATTATTATCTAAAGATCTCCATAGAAGTGCAGAACAAGATACCTCAAGATTTAAAGACATTCTTCAAATCTCAAGATATATTCCTAAAAACAACATAAAGTTGGCCATGATATCAAGGAAAAATTAAGAGTTACTTTATTTAAGAAAAGGTTAAATAAACACAAACGGCTATGGGATAATTAATAGTTTGGTTTAAAATTAGCCTATTCTTTCCTCCCAAAAACTAATTATTAATCACCTTCTTTCAAAAACAGGTTTGAGAAGCAACCCCATGTCCAACCATCCTATTGTTCCCTCCCTAGAAAGCGTGGACCATTAGGGTCTTTTCAGAAGGAAACATCAATTGCACCACTGCATCAATTAAGAAATCTCTTTTTAAAATGCATTTTTAAAATGCAAGTACCACCTTAGCAGAACTGAGGGTGTCAGCCATTCATCACTTAATGCGACTTACTTTAATTGGTCTTCTAAACACCTACCTAAGAATACAAAAGAATTACTGTTCTTATTTTGGGAGGCCGAGGTGGGCAGATTGCTTGAGCACAGGAGTTCGAGACCAGCCTGGGCAACACGGTGAAACCTCGTCTCTACTAAAATACAAAAAAAATAGCCGGGCGTGGTGGCGGGCGTCTGTAATACCAGTTACTCGGGAGGCTGAGGCAGAGAATTGCTTGAACCTAGGAGGTGGAGGTTGCAGTCAGCCAAGATGGTGCCACTGCACTCCAGCCTGGACAACAGAGTGAGACTGTCTCAAAAAAAAAAAAAAAAAATTACTGTTCTTACTGGGAGCTTTGAGGAAGAAAGATAAAAATGCAATTCTGAACTATGTTCAGGCCTAGGTAAAGACTCTGGACATCAGGAGGACAGCAAAAGAATCCATGGTGTCCAAAAGGATAAAAAGAAAGAGGGTGCAGGACTAGATGCTGGAGTTCAGTCCAAGACAGCTTTAACACACTATAGTTTTGATTTAGTACTACTGATTAACAGCAAGTCAAAGCAAATATTTACAGTGAAACATCAAGCATGCAGTTAAAGGTTATAATTGTGAAGCTAAATACCACAAAAGTTGAAACAGTCTGACTATGTACACAGTGTTATACAAAACTAGTAGTTTGAACTCATGCAACTGTGGGTCCAACTGTACGTATTACTATTTAATGTCCTTTTACATCCAAAGATAGAGACAGAATATTGTCAAAGATTTTTATGGTTGGCCTGCGTCTATTAATATAAAGAAACAACCAGAAGCTCTCTAACACTGAAAAAATAACACTAAAGACAAAACCTTGGGGAAAGCTGGATTCTTCCTGATTTAAAATTATTCAATTACAAAACTAGTTTTTCTCATAAGAAAAAATAATCATTGTTTACTATTATTCAAGGCTTTGTTGAATTTATTTTGTTGAATTTAGGGCAAAATGACATGTTTATATTTTAAATAAATGAAATCTAGTCATTAAAGAGTCTTAATAAAGCATCTGATGATCATTTTAGATAGGTAAGGTGATCTCCATGTAAGGGAGGGCCAACATCTACCTTAGAAGCTAAATGTGTCACATCAGTTTTACTATAGTCATTAGGCTTTGGAGTATCATTTTAACCCAGATAGCCAGAGTTATATATTAAAATATAACAGGGTTGTCAACGTACATTTGTTGAGAAAAGAATGTTTCTATACAGAAATGGTGACTGATTGTAAAATGCCAGTAATGTATTTTAAAAAGACCATAAGTTATTTACCTTAGCCTATGTAGAATCCATATACCAAACTTTCTGCCAATAATATTTTTTCTTGGCCAGTTTAAAAAGCTCTACAGTTTATGTCCCACAAACTTTAAGTCAGAAAACAGAAGCTGAAGAAAAATCATCACTTTAAATATTTCCTTAGACTGATGTTTACTTAATATGGGCATCTCTACTATCCAGTAATGTGGGCACTTAAATTCATGGTTCAAGAAAGGATACAGTTATACTACAGGTTACTAATGAAAATCCAAGCATGAAAATCTAAATGCCCAAGGCATAACTGGCTTATAATACCACATATTAAGTATTCACAGTTATTTTCTATATATACATTGAAGTGTATGTTTCTAGGGAATCTTTAAGCAAATGGCACATGGCTGAATAAAATCAGAAAAGCTTTTAAAGATTCTATACTTAATATAATCAACTATGAAAATTATCTTACAGTTAAAATATCCCTAAGGGAATATAGTAATTTTAAAATTATTATCCACAGTAGACTAATAACAGGAGAATAAATTATGTAAATAGATAAGTTCTTCTCATAAAGCTTATCAATATGGTGCTCTATGGATTTATACAATTTTATACAGGGAACACTGTGTTGCATAGTTTACACAGTCATTATATTTTTCTGATCTTTCTGAATCCTGAGGCAGATTTAGCGTTGTATGAAGATACAATTATTTTTCACACTGAAACCACAGAGGAATACTGAAGTTTCTAGATGGCATTATTTTTAATTGCACTACTTTAAGGTGGTAGGACACACCCTAGATACAAGTTAAATAAAATAAGTATTTGAGTTCTTTGTACTTTGAACTCTTCACAGGAAAAGTGTTCTACAAATTCAAGTTGTTACTTGGGGGGCAAGGAAAACATATAATTCTCAAGCAAAAAAAAATCTTAAATCCTAGTTTTTAAGATAGCTCCTAATATCCAAGACAGGATATAGGACATGAGATACTGGCATTTGACTATTCAAATTTATATAGGATTACAGTACTTTGGCAAGTACAAAGAAATACTTTTAAAAATACAGGTATATAAATTAATGAAACTGGTATTTAAAAGATTTAATACAGGAAAAAAGTATTGTATAGTGGTACCAATTCTCAATACAAATTATTAAGCATAGTTTATATAATTCCAAAAGTTATTAACATTATTGCTCGATACCACAGTTGTATGGAACAAGTTCTTGACACACATTAAAACTTGTATAATTTCTGGTTTATAAAAACAAAAATTTACACATAGGTCATTCACAAATCTAAAAGTTTAAAAATGCATAGAGATATGCACAACAAAAAGGAGAAAAAATTATATGTATTTGTGTATATGTATATTTAAAAGAAACAAGCTAATCTGATTTAACATGTATGTCACACTCTCAATCAAAACAAGTATACATAACTGTACTGAAAGTGAACTAGTGGATAAAAATAGTACTAAATGCATCCTCCATTTCTTATTAACAATCTTTTCTAAATATCAACGGGATATTAAATACCAGCTTACTTTTAGTTCTAGAACTTTTGCTTTCTTTCAAAAACTTTTCAGAAACATATATCCATTCTATAATTGTGATAGATTGGAAGAAATATTTTCCTTAGAAATTTTGTAAAGGAATACTTCCACTCTTTTGTATGTAAGATTTGATAAACGATAAAAACCCAAGTAAGGCCATTATTATCATCTTGATCAAAAATATACACAGATCGTGATGCTACTATATTGTGTGATCCTGAGTTCTAGTAACCACTAGATACATGCATACCATTCACTGATTTGTCTATTCTAATAAAAATTTAATCCTGTCTTACTACCTTTGAAGACAGAAATACTTTTAAAACTTTTTGATAGGTCTTCATAACATTACAGATTATCTGCCATAAACAGAGCATTAGGAATTGTATGAGAAAGGGTATGTTAGGTCCCAAAAGACTATTAAAGAAAACTTACTATTTTAAAATAATGACAATATCAAATTTGAAAAGAAAGAAAAAATGACAGAAAAAGTGTGCTTGCTGGAATAGGTAAGTTGAGCCTTACAAAGGTGTTTTTCTCTGTTAAGGAATTTATAAATAAAGGACTGTGTGTACCTTGGTGACAAAATAAAAAAGGCTGGCCACTTTTTATGCTAAGTTCAAATGTATTTTTTTGATAATACAAAAAAGTAATCCTTGAAAATCAGAATACATAACAGAAAAGAGCACAATAACTTAAGTATTAAACATCTGTATGAAATAACTGTTGCAAAGATTGACAAAAATGCACACTTAGAACATGCGGTTATTTAAAAAAAAAACAAAAACAAAAACAAAAAAAACACCACACGATTCTGTAGAACCAATGTTATGTCACCACCAGGAGAGCACCAAGCAAGGCACCATTGGAAAGACAACATACTTGGAAAGTCTCTATAAATAAAGTAAATGCTAATCTGGTCGAAAAATC
This sequence comes from Homo sapiens, assembly GCF_000001405.40. Classification (NCBI taxonomy): domain Eukaryota; kingdom Metazoa; phylum Chordata; class Mammalia; order Primates; family Hominidae; genus Homo; species Homo sapiens. The sequence goes on from NC_000004.12 coordinate 54,010,114, forward strand.
GGTGTCTTTGGTAAAAATTCTATGAGGATGACCTGTAAAAGGAGAAGAAAAAGGTTTTAAAAGATTTAAACAAAATTTTTTCTTAAAACTTCAATTATATGCTTTCACAATTTTTTTGAAAATCCATTCACATTTTAAAACGCAACTTTGCATTACTAAAACAGATCTTTATCTGATAATGCAGAGTTCCATCACTGAGAATTTTTCTTTTTATTTCTGGACCTTTACCAAATACACGAAATACCTTGGCTCTATGAAAAGGAAGACAAATAAGCAAGTAAAATCACCAAAGTCTGAGAAGGGTGATATAGATAGTGCCCCTGATACACTGGAGGAGCAAACATGCATACATGCACGCTCCCCTGCACTCATGAGAAAAGAGGCTAGTATTTACTTAGAACTAACTGTATACCAGGTGTTCCATACTACATTGGGTCTCTTTAAACCCAACAACTTTTCTATGAGGCAAGTATTATAATCCTTATTTCACAGATGAGGAAACTGATGATCCAGAGAAGTTGTATCACAATTGAATGTGGAGTCACTGTTTGAATAAAAGACTGTCTTAACTCCAAAGCCTTGCCCTTTATACCACCCTACGTGACTGCAGCTCACCCAACATTTTTCTTTAGACTTTCTCCTTTTTAATCAACCCAACTACATGAGTCTTCTCTAAGTTCTAGAGTTGCTCTCATTTTACTCTACCAGAATATGTAATCTTTAGATAAAAGGTCCTTTATCTCTTAATTTTTTAAAAAGTCCATTTCTTCTTAGGTTAGCAAAATTAAAGGCTAAAATTTGTTCCAAAAGGCCTTTTAATAGGAAACTAAAGGAAAACCAACAAAAACAAAATATGGTAACACAGAATTACACAAAGTGACCAGAGCTAATTTTTCCAAATTTGAATTTTCTTAAATTACAGTCAACTCTTTCTTTTGCTCCAAATTTGTATTAAATAGATGGTGATTTAAAAATTATTTGATTTTAAAAGTTTCTAAGTCTAGTGAACTCATCATTCTTTTTCAGAAACTGTGTCTTGCTTGATATGACCTCCAGATTTCAATACTTCTACAAATTAGCTGTCTGGGCCAGGAATCTTCATTTTCACTCTTCAGTTCTCCTGGCTTTTGATCTGCCTCAATAAAGAAGATACACTTCTATACCTGGCTCAAAAATATTCCTGTCCTACTCTAGGTATCCTGCACTAAGGCTTAGCTGTCACATTTGCCACTCTCCTGACCTGTGATTTGCCTACAAAATATTCACTAGCTCCCTGTTAAAATACTTTCTCCCAACTAGCTTCTTCATTTGAGCTAGATTTTCCTGTTTCTCAGGTTTCTTATCTATAAAATAAAAGCATTGAACTAGATAACAAGATTCTTTGCAGCTTTAAAATTTGACAATTAAATGTTTAAACTACTTAGGAGTCAACATTAAATAAATAATTTTGTATTTCAAGTATGTCCTCAATCAGTCTTTATAATTTTAGTCCCCAGGTATGGGCATCCCCACACTTTATAATATACACTTTTAATACATAACATAAAATAAAGGCTATCTTTGCCTACATTTGAACTATTAGTTTTTAAATAATATATTCTACAAATTTTTCCTTCAGAAGCCACACATAGAGACTGGCCACTTGTCTCATTTATTCTAAATCATCCATCTCTACCATATCTGAACAAAGAAAAGTTAGTGCCAAGGTGGAATATATATATATATATTTTTTAGTATCTCCAATGTTCAAATTATAATCAAGGATAATTATTTTCTTTTAACAAAATTAAATTCCTGTAAGTTAAAGAAAAGTTGAAGAAAAGAGGGACACATGGTTAAAAAGGCCCAAATTCATTAGATAAAATGAATTTTATTTGCTAGTTTAACTTTTAAAATTCATTTTTATAAATTTTTTAAGCTACATTATTCTCACTTTCAACTATCACAAATATATATATATACTCTAAGAAAATCCAGCAGAACACATTTTTTCTCCCCAGCTTATTATTATTTTTTTTAAAGAGAGGTGGGTATTGCTATGTTACCCAAACTGTCTTTGTACTCCTAGACGCAAGTGATCCTGCTGCCTCAGCCTCCCCAGCTAGACTACTGGCATGCCCACTACACCCAGCTTTTTCCTGGCAATTGAAATATTTATTTTATCTTTACTACTCTTCTGGGTATCTTCTATGATGGAGTGAAAATAATATAATGGCTTTAGCAGAAGTGCTTAATTATCTAAAAATTCAAGGAAACTTATTTGACAAACAAAGCATATAGTTCAGAATGTTTTGGAAGGTTATAAATTATTTTATGAATAAATTATAGTCATATAGTTCTATCTGGAATTCATAGCATTGGGATAACTTTTATGTTTTCCTTTCCAAAGTAAATTTAGAAATGCATGAAAAAATTAATACCTCAGTTTTAAGCTTAGTGTTTGTGTTATAAATGTAGTAAATATTTTTTTCACTAAATTCTTTACATCTCCTATCCATCCCTCTCCCCAAAATATATACATAAACCCTCTATCTAAGATGAAAATACAAGAGTAGTCTCCTCACCTCAAAATGAGTTACTCAAATGTGTTATGATTATAAAGAAGTATCAAGTGTCTTTCTCATCATCATACATTAACATGTTTGATGTAGTAAAGATAAAATCTACATTATTTGGTTCATTGAATAAAGCTAGTCTAAGACATTTTAAAAATATTTTTTATGTTCAAGGCTAGAAATAGGATTTGACTGTGGGATAATGAAAGAACAGGAAAATGCTAACAGACAAAAATGATTTTATGATAATTTACAACTAAACACTGTTTTAATCAATATTTTACACATACACACGCACACATCTATGATGGCTATATTGTTTTAAAGAATAGACAAAATTCCTCAGAAATGTTGTAACAGGTACTTCACAAAGGCTCTGAGTTTTATTTTCAACTATTAACTTTTCCTTAGATCTTTTCTTTTAAAGTAATAACCTGGCCATATTTAAAATAAAATATCCAAGCTCAAAAGAGAATTAAAATTCTTAATTTTCTAGAGTATTCTGAAATTTTCAAAAGGAGAAAAACTGTTCAAGTAAATCATGGAGTCAGTAAATTAAATCCCATGCTGAGTAAGTTCTAAAATTCATTGTATATATATGCCAAATTAGATATTTTTTAACAAGTAAACACAAGATGATCAACATCTCATCTCCTGCTTACTTTTAATTTTTACAAAGCAGTATTCTAATAACACTTTAAAAGAGATTCTTTAAAGGGCACTGAGGTACGGGCAGTTAAAATCTATAAAGGGTAAAGGTTTCTTAAGCTCCAATGGCTTGGCTGAAAGGTTTTCTTCCATACTTGGAAACTTGATTAGCATTATATAAAAAAGCCATATCTGACTTGCTGCGTAACCAAAGTTGTGGTTATTCTTTATACAGCATCTAAAATTTCACACTCCATCAACACATGTTCAGGCTATTTTATCTTGGCAATTAATTTATTATTTTTCAGAACACAGTGAAGCCTTGTTTTCAAGTCATTCATAACTTTATAAATCAGTCTTGCACATGAAACCATGCATCTGTGAACCGTAGAAAATCCTTGCACTCAGGAGATTAAGCTCCTGACACCTTTGCTGATTAATAATCATGGAAAGAATAAGATCAGAAGCAAAATAAATGATCATTTAATAGAGAAACTCACAAAACAGCCCTTTAACTTACATATTCCATCATGTTATTCGTTTCACATTTCCTTTTGCTCAGTCTCCAATGCAAGCACAGCTAGACAAGTAGGAAAGTAAAAGAAGAAAAATGAGCTCTATTTTATTGCAGCACACAGACTAACCCATTTGTCCACCTTTCATATTTTTAGTTCAACAAAAGCATCTGTTTCCATACTGTGCAATTCAGACCCCAACAGTACGAAGCTGCTCCCTGTGGTACTCACCTTGTGGTATAACCTATTGTTTTCCCATTCTAATAACTTCTCAATCGATCTTCGTGTCTGGAAGACAAATGAGAAAAAAGTTTACTCTTGACTGGTTTTAGAAAACTTTGTTTTGCAGCTGCTTTTTCTGTGAAAAGGGGAGAGGTATAAGACAGTGACTGAGTATAGTGTGGTGTGCATCACTATCGATGTTCTAAGCACTAAATGGTAACCTGAACACAAAAGAGTACTCTTTCTTAAAAAAGATATGCCTTTATTTTTATCATACGAATCTTTTTTTACTAGCCTCTGATTTAAAACTATCAAGGTTTAAAAAGCTAATGTCATCTGCCAAATAAAATTAAATTCCCACTTCTTTCAAAAATGTTTCCAATACTTAAATAGTAACGGAAGTTCCTTAATACATATTTTAAAACAAAAGTAAATATTAGTTAACAAAATGCAAATGGCCTTTCAGTAAGTTCCAAAACAAAAAATTGGAATATTAAAAAAATCAATGAGTTATAAAATCAAATTAATTTTCACATCATGCTTAAAATAATGCCCATATTTAAAAGCCAGCTTACTGATTATTCTACCAATAGATTTTTTGAACAGAGCCAAAATTTTATTTAAACCAACATAAAAGTGTCATCTGATAGTAAAATCAAACTCTTAATTCAATACTACTGTTTCAGGAATCAACTGAGAATTTACTTCAGTTGATTTTTGCAAGATATGCTATGCTGCATGAAATGTTTCTTGCTTGAGAATATGAATAAAAGAGGGTAATTCATGGTGCCAGGTGTTAGGATGAGACTGACACAGCTGCAGGTGCAAAAATGACAGTGTTGCCACCAGGATCAACTTGCAACTTGGTTCAGCTGCACTTTTCTTGCAAGAGAAAGAAAAAAACATCTTACCACTATTAATGTGGTATAAAGAAGTACTAGTAATCAAATATGAAAATTTGCGTGTCAAGCAAGGATTAGCTAGGTGAAAAACTGTTAGGATCAAGCTGGGTTTGAACAGTTTAATGTTACATAATAAAATTTTAATATGTATTTAAAGTATCTACTTTAAATAGTTACATTACCTTTTAGCATATTAAACATGCTAAAGACACACCAAAGTCACATAGATGCCAATTATAATTCATAACTACCAATGAATTACGACTACTGCCTTACATTTTCCAAGCTTATGTCATAAAAATCGGAAAATCAACTACTTCCCTGGGTAATAATATGCCAATGACTAATTTATTACATTACTTTTTCTGAAGAGTCTTTTTGGCAAGAATTTTAAAGAAAAAAAAGTGCCCTTGTTAACAATGATCAGCAGACCTCACTTGTTTCTTTGTAAAGATAGCCTTTTAGAGGCAGCTCTCCTTTTAAATGAAAATAGGGCAGCAGTTATGGTCACACTTTTTGTTAATTTAGTTGCCAGTCAGCCCCAAATCAAAAGAAAATAAGGCTGCAGAGTGTAATTAACATTCAGTTCGGTCGTTTTGTCCCTTGTCTAGCCCCCAAGCTTTGTTAAAATTGCCATCTGAATGCTGAAGGCTGTAGGGAAATCGATTTGATTCTAATCGCACCATGAAAAGAACATGATCTAACTGCTTTCAGCCCTCCGTAAATCTGTACTAGGTCTTTAGCACAATGCAACTTCCAATTTAAAAAGCACTGAATGTCTCGTCAATGACTTTGTGAAGAAAAAAGAACAAGGAGCAGACATAAAAATTCCAATAGTTGTTTAAGCATTAAAGTTCATTTGCATCACAGCGAACCTGAAAAGGGCTGACCTCTCAAACCGCCTCTCAGGTCTATGAAGTTGTAGCCTTGACAAGCTCACATTGACAGAGCTCATTGACTCTGAAAGGCTACTCTATCAATGGTGAAAAATGGCAATAGGTTCTACTCTGAGCAGGCATCTGCCTGCCCACCCGCTGCTAAACCAATGGCAAAACCGATTCAAAACCTGAATCTACCTTGTAATCTTTCTTTCTAGGGCCTTTTAATAATAGATTAAGATTACTATACAATTTGAGGTTTTACTTTTACTGATGATTTTGGGGGTGGGTGGATGATGAAAGAACTAGAGCAGAACAAGTTTTCCAAGCCCACTGTTTTATATTAATGTATAAAATAGTACCCAAAAGCTTAATACTACATTCTGCAAATACTTATTACTTAAAGAAAAAAATGTAGTTACCACCATCATTTCATCAGAAGTTTAAACCCATGCTATAATAAGAATAGATCTCATTATGATATATAGACACATACATACACACAATTTTAAAACTTAAAAATATTTACTTTAACTTAAATCAACTACTAGTATTTGAATAAAAGATAATTACAAAGTATAAATCTTGAATTCCAAAATATTTAAGTAGGAATTCTGAATTTCTTCTCTGTTTATAATTAGGAGTTTAATGATAGGGCTTGGTATAATAATTGTATCTTACAATATTTAAGAATTATAAAACAAACAAGCCCTGATATGCCACATTCTGAATAAGCATATAAATATAAAATATTTCTACACACTTCACAGTCTGAAGTAAAAGCTGTGAATTAGCACCATCTAATTTTGCTATAAGACTTCTTTCCTGCTTGACAGGTGAAAAAAAAAGCACTTGCACGTGCAGCTTAATTAATCATTGCACTTGACATCTCAATGATTTACAGTGAGGAGCAGGTGAGAACATACAAAACCAGAAAGGAACCCTTGATTTGAGTGGAACATTTCTAGCACACTAAGGTGACAAGTATATAGATTCTAGCAGTCATTTAAAAAAAAAAGGAAAGAAACTGTGCCACAAATTATTTGTTAGTAACAACAAAAGCTCAAATTAAATAGAAAAAAAAAAGGTTGAGCTACTGAGAATGTTTAATACTATGCAATTATTGTTAGTTAAGAAAATCAAAATATATTTTCAAGATTAAATACAATACCAATTTGGCAGATACTAAAAAAAATGACACTTCAGCATTTATAAAAGCTACTTAAAAGCTTTTAAAAGAAAGCACTTTATAATTGTAGTCATCTAGATAAAAGTTAAAGAGTTTATGTCCACAAGGCTGTCAGGTAGCTATTTCTAATGAAATGTAAGATTCAACAGTGTCGAACTCTACACTTGCTAACTGTGGACAAGCAAATCTAATCATATAACAACCTGTCCTTGGTTTTTAAATGTTTATTTCAACTCCAAATTCAAAACAAGCTGAAGCAAATTAACATGCATCAGAAAAAAATATGTATGGGATCTGTCAACATGAAACAAAGTACCAAAAAACACCATCTTTCAGTATTCCAGGCCAGTTTCTAAAAAAATAAGTCATCTTTAATTTTCTTTAAGAGAATTTAGTGCTTGTGAAAAGCACCAGATTGATAGTCATGGGAACTAAAAATCTATTTAGCTGAAAGAACAGGGGAAGGGGCAGTGCAGGCTTTAGTGTAAGCTTCCCTACAGTGGGCCTTAATCCTTTTCACTGCTCACACCCTGGGGGTGAGGGGACAGGTTAGCGGTTCTTTACCAATGTAATTCTCCGTCTTTCTGCAAAAGATGATCAACAAGAAATGTAATTTTATCAAGTATTCTTATCTTTAATTAAAAGGACCAAGACCACCAACTCACAATATGCAGGAAAAACAACTTTTTTGTGTGAATGGCGTCATGTTACTAACCTGGTCTGGAAGTAGACAGCTCCAAGCATCTGGATCCCACCCATCTCCCTCAGCTCACTTTAAATAACCCTTTTTCTTTAAAAAAACAAAAACAAAAACAAAAACAAAACACACATTTCTTCATTTCCACACCTTAGTGGTTATATTTTTCTCATTGGTGAACTAGTTTTAATACAGCCATTCAGCTTTGTGAAAGTAAAAATTAACAGGAGATTTAAAAAATATCATTTCAATTACTGAATAGGTATTAAACAGACTTAAGTTGAGCAACAAGTAGTAGTAACATAAGAATAGAAATTTTGGCTTCTATTTATATTGCCTTTGGTCCCTTTTAGATTTTTGGTAGAATTGTGAAAATAGGAAAAACATGAAAACGGAAAGAGAACTAAAAGGGCCTCAGTAATTCATAAAATGGCTAATATGGTAATGATTAATCAGCAATATTAGATAAGACATACCCAAATAAGACATACCTTCCAAAGAAGCATCTAAAGTAAGCTTATAACAGCAAAGCACACATACACCTAGACAAACTCAATTACTGCAATAGAAAACTAAGATTTCCTGAAAATTCAAATTTGAATTATTATGTATTTTTGTAATTTTTCCTAAATACTGTAACTTTCTTAGGAATAAATTATTAATATTATTCCCTATAAACAAATTAAATGCCATTAGATATAAATTAGTCTTCCAGGACAGCAAAGAGCCATTTAGAAAATCTTTAAGGTATTAATCTCCTACTTTGCCACCACTGGTTACTTAAGAGTTTCCTAATTCCCAATGACTCATTTAATCACAATCAATTGTTTGAAAACATGGTTTTACAAAGAAGTGGTTTTCTAGACATTACTAATAAAACCAATGGAAATCTCATAAATTTTAGAGTATTGAGAGCTAAAGAAAAAAAATGTTAAGTGTAGAAACTGTAACAAAGTTTATCTTAATATTTCCCAATAAAATAGTATTATCAGTCTTTAGAACAAAAATATGCTATGATATGCTAATAAAATGTACAGAATACTCACTAATAACTATTTATAAAAGTTCACCTATTTAAACCTATAATTAAAATGTATTTGAATTGGATTTATTCATACCATCACAAAATGGGAAAGCAAAATTTCAAATGTTCAATTCCCTACTTAAATTTTAAACTCTTAAATCTATAATGCATTAATTAACCTTTAACTAAAATGTTTTGAATATATTCATAATCTTGTTTTTAACTTATATTTTTCAAATAAGAATGCTATTCATCTTTAGACATCTGTGTAAATTGAATTTGTTAAGTAAAACAATGTCTTTAGCTGTAAGTTATTAGGGAGAAACCATATATAATTTAAAATGAATTATTTTAACATAAGAGAACTTAAGAGGAAATTATATTATTCACTTCTGCTCATTCTGGATTAATATGAAATTTTATATTCCAGTGATGTGCAGAAAATTAAATAATTATATCACAGTATTATGCTACGTGAAAAGCCTAGATTCACCAAAAAACAAAAAAAAACTAGAATATGATTTCTCAAAAGGATTTTTAAACAAATTCCTTTCCTGTACATTAAAGCACCTTTTAAAATTTTAATATGAACATTAACTTTTAAATAATCTAGATATATTAAAACACCCACTGAAGTATCATGTGCTATTTGTTAAAAGTAATATTTTTAGATAGAAATACGCTAAAAAAAATTGCTAAAATTTTGTGAATCAAAAATATCCTCTAGTACTGAGCAGTGTCTTAATAGGTGCTAATCTTAAACAGAATTTCATCAAGTTTACGATCTAGGCTAGTGAGAGAATATTAACTTGTTTAGGTTATACTGGTTATGAATTATGAAAGATAGGGATTCTCTCTCTGCAGAAAAAAAGAAACATGTACACAAACATGCACAATTTAAAGGGGGTTATCTACTAACTCTGAGTACCATTTCAGAAAATACTAACATTTTAAAAAACTAAAATTAAGTTTTGAGGTCCCCATCTGACCCATCTTCTGCCTGACCTATTTCCACTAAGCAATCATCCCACTCGGTCTCAAAGGGTTCTTTTGGTTTCAATAATCTAGTCAAATAAAAATGCGCTTGGGTTGGGGCAGGGTGCAGGAAGGGTCTCCTTGAATTTGGGCAGCAAATATGTCACTATTATTGTTAAAAAAAAATTATCCAAAAAATTAAGAGATAAAAATTAATAAATATAGTTTCAACTGACCACAGAATATTAGAAAAACTGTTCATAAGACAAAGGAATTTCACTATGCAAATAAAATAAAAAGTACGGCTATCAGGAATTTTTAAAAATATATGTAATTACAAAAGAAAGAATCAGTGCTTACTGTCAGGCCTCTGAGCCCAAGCTAAGCCATCATATCCCCTGTGACCTGCACGTATACATCCAGATGGCCTGAAGCAACTGAAGATCCACAAAAGAAGTGAAAATAACCTTAACTGATGATACTCCACCACTGTGATTTGTTTCTGCCCCACCTTAACTGATCAACGTGCTTTGTAATCGCCCCCACCCTTAAGAAGGTTCTTTGTATTTCTCCCCACCCTTGAGAATGTACTTTGTTAGATCCACCCCCTGCCACAAAACACCACTCCTAACTCCACCGCCTATCCCAAAACCTGTAAGAACTAATGATAATCCCACCACCTTTTGCTGACTCTCTTTTTGGACTCAGCCCGCCTGCACCCAGGTGAAATAAACAGCCTTCTTGCTCACACAAAGTTTGTTTGGTGGTCTCTTCACACTGACGCGTGAGACATTTGGTGCTGAAGACCCGGGTCAGAGGGACTCCTTCGGAAGACCAGTCCCCTGTCCTCGCCTCACTCCATGAGGAGATCCACCTACAACCTCGGGTCCTCAGACCAACCAGCCCAAGGAACATCTCACCAATTTCAAATCGGGTAAGCGGTCTTTTCACTCTCTTCTCCAGCCTCTCTCGCTACCCTTCAATCTCCCTGCCCTTCCAATTCCAGTTCTTTTTCCTCTCTAGTAGAGACAAAGGAGACACATTTTATCCATGGACCCAAAACTCTGGCGCCAGTCACAGACTCGGGAAGACAGCCTTCCCTTGGTGTTTAATCATTGCAGAGACGCCTGCCTGATTATTCACCCACAATTCACTGGTGTCTGATCACTGCAGGGACGCCTGCCTTGGTCATTCACCCACATTCCCATGGTGGCAAGTCAATTGCGGGGATGCCTGCTTTGGCTCCTCACCCACACTGCAGCCCAGGGCTGCTCCCCACCACCCCGCTTCTCCGTGTCTCTACCTTTCTCTTTAAACTTACCTTCTTCACTATGGGCAACCTTCCACCCTCCATTCCCCCTTCTTCTCCCTTAGCCTGTGTTCTCAAGAACTTAAAACCCCTTCAACTCACACCTGACCTAAAACCTAAATGCCTTATTTTCTTCTGCAATACCGCTTGACCCCAATACAAACTCGATAATGGTTCTAAATAGCCAGAAAATCCATTTTACAAGATCTAGATAATTTTTGTCGAAAAATGGGCAAATGGTCTGAGGTGCCTGACATCCAGGCATTCTTTTACACATTGGTCCCTCCCTAGTCTCTGCTCCCAATGCGACTCATCCCAAATCTTTCTTCTTTCTCTCCTGTCTGTTCCTTCAGTCTCCACACCAAGCTCTGAGTCCTTTGAATCCTCCTTTTCTACAGACCCATATGACCTCTCCTCCCCAGGCTGCTCCTCAACAGGCTGAGCCAGGTCCCAATTCTTCCTCAGCCTCTGCTCCCCGACCCTATAATCTTTTTATCAACTCCCCTCACACCCATTCTGGCTTACAGTTTCATTCCGCGACTAGCCCTCCCCCACCTGCCCAACAATTTCCTCTTAAAAAGGTGACTGGAGCTGAAGGCATAGTCAAGGTTAATGTTCCTTTTTCTTTATCCGACCTCTCCCAAATCAGTTAGCGTTTAGGCTCTTTTTCATCAAATATAAAAACGCAGCCCAGTCCATGGCCCGTTTGGCAACAACCCTTTGACGTTTTACTGCCCTAGACCCACAGGGGCCAGAAGGCTGTCTTATTCTCAATATACATTTTATTAACCAGCCCACTCCCAACATTAAAAAAAGCTCCAGAAATTAGATTCTGGCCCTCAAACCCCACAAGAGGACTTAATTAACCTCGCCTTCAAGGTGTACAATAATAGAGTAGAGGCAGCCAAGTAGCAATGTATTTCTAAGTTCCAGTTCCTTGCCTCCACTGTGAGACAAACCCCAGCTACATTGCCAGCACACAAGAACTCCAAACACCTGAAGTGCAGCTGCCAGGGGTTCCTCCAGAACCTCTTCCCCAGGAGCTTGCTTCAAGTGCCAGAAATCTGGCCACTGAGCCAAGGAATGCCCTGCAGCCCGGGATTCCTCCTTAGCCGTGTCCCATTTGTACAGGACCCTACTGGATATCAGACTGTCCAACTCGCCCGGCAGCCACTCCCAGAGCCCCTGGAACTCTGGCCCAAGGCTCTCTGACTGACTTCTTCCCAGATCTTCTCAGCTTAGTGGCTGAAGACCGACGCTGCCCGATCGCCTCAGAAGCTTCCTGGACCATCACAGACGCTCTGGGTAACTCTTACAGTGGAGGGTAAGTCCGTCTCCTTCTAAATTAATATGGAGGCTACCCACTCCACATTACCTTATTTTCAACGACCTGTTTCCCTTGCCCCCATAACTGTTGTGGGTATTGATGGCCAGGCTTCTAAACCTCTTAAAACTCCCCAACTCTGATGCCAGCTTGGACAACATTCTTTTATGCACTCCTTTTTAGTTATCCCCACCTGCCCAGCTCCCTTATTAGATCAAGACATTTTAACTAAATTATCTGCTTCCCTGACTATTCCTAAGCTACAGCCACACCTCATTGCCACCCTTCTTCCCAACCCAAAGCCTCCTTCACATCTTCCTCTTGTATCCCTCCACCTTAACGCACAGGTACGGGACACCTCTACTCCCTCCCTAGCAACCGATCACATGCCCCTTACCATCCCATTAAAACCTAATCACCCTTACCCCGCTCAATGCCAATATCCCATCCCACAGCACGATTTAAAAGGATTAAAGCCTGTTATCACTTGCCTGTTACAGCATGGCCTTTTAAAGCCTATAAACTCTCCTTACAATTCCCCCATTTTACCTTGTCAAAAACCTGACAAGTCTTATAGGTTAGTTCAGGATCTGTGCCTTAGCAACCAAATTGTCTTGCCTAGCCACCCTGTGGTGCCAAACCCATATACTCTATCCTCAATACCTCCCTCCACAACCCATTATTCTGTCCTAGCAAACCTAGCTGACCCCATAGATCCTAATTCCTTTCGCCACTCCTCTTTCCATTCCTTAAAAACAGCCCTAGAAGCTGCCACCACGCTAGCTCTCCCTAACTCATCCCAACCCTTTTCATTACACACAGCCAAAGTACTGGGCTCTGCGGTCAAAATTCTTACACAAGAGCCGGAACCGTGCCCTGTAGCCTTTCTGTCCAAACAACTTGACCTTACTATTTTAGGCTGGCCATCATGTCTCCGTGCAGAGGCTGCCGCCGCTCTAATACTTTTAGAGGCCCTAAAAATCACAAACTATGCTCAACTCACTCTCTACAGTTCTCATAACTTCCAAAATCTATTTTCTTCCTCCCACCTGATGCATATACTTTCTGCTCCCCGGCTCCTTCAGCTATACTCACTCTTTGGGTCTCCCACAATTACCACTGTTTCTGGCCTGGACTTCAATCTGGCCTCCCACATTATTCTGGATACCACACCTGACCCCCATGACTGTATCTCTCTGATCCACTTGACATTCACTCCATTTCCCCATATTTCCTTCTTTCCTCTTCCCCATCCTGATCACACTCAGTTTATTGATGGCAGTTCCACCAGGCCTAATCGCCACTCACCAACAAAGGCAGGCTATGCTATAGTATCTTCCACATCTATCATTGAGGCTACCGCTCTGCCCCTCTCCACTACCTCTCAGCAAGGCGAACTCATGCCTTAACCTGAGCCCTCACTCTTGCAAAAGGACTACGCATCAATATCTATACTGACTCGAAATATGCCTTCCATATCCTGCACCACCGTGCTGTTATATGGGCTGAAAGAGGTTTCCTCACCGTGCAAGGGTCCTCCATCATTAATTCCTCTTTAATAAAAACTCTTCTCAAGGCCGCTTTACTTCCAAAGGAAGCTGGAGTCATTCACTGCAAGCAAGGGCCATCAAAAGGTGTCAGATCTCATCGTTCAGGGCAACGCTTATGCTGATAAGGTAGCTAAACAAGCAGCTAGCGTTCCAACTTCTGCCCCTCATGGCCAGTTTTTCTCCTTCTCGTCAGTCACTCCCACCTACTCTGCCACTAAAACTTCCACCTATCAATGTCTTCCTACACAAGGCAAATGGTTCTTGGACCAAGGAAAATATCTCCTTCCAGCCTCACAGGCCCATTCTATTCTGTCGTCATTTCATAACCTCTTCCATGTAGGTTACAAGCCGCTAGCCCATCTCTTAAAACCTCTCATTTCCTTTCCATCGTGAAAATCTATCCCCAATCCACCACTCTTGCCTCCCTCTTGGAGTGGATAGATGATCTTTGCTGACAGAACACACTCCAATACTTTCACCCTGATGAAGTCTTATTCTTTACTTTTATACTCATTCTTATTCTTGTTCCCGTTCTTATGCCACCCACTACCTCTCCCCAGCTATCTCTATCACACTATCAATCGCACTCACTCTCTCCTAGCCATTTCTAATCCTTCTTTAACAAACAATTGCTGGCTTTGCATTTCTTTTTTCTCCAAAATCACCGAGGCCCTGACTTACTCACTGCTAAAAAAAGGGGACTCCGTATATTTTTAAATAAAGAGTGTTGTTTTTCTGTAAATCAATCTGGCCTGGTATATGACAACATAATAAAACTCAAGGATAGAGCCCAAAAATTCGCCAACCAAGCAAGTAATTATGCTGAACCCCCTTAGGCACTCTCTAATTGGATGTCCTGGGTCCTCCCAACTCTCAGTCCTTTAATACCTGTTTTTCTCCTTCTTTTATTCAGACCTTCTAACTTCTGTTTAGTTTCTCAATTCATACAAAACTGTATCCAGGCCATCACCAATCATTCTATATGACAAATGTTTCTTCTAACAACCCCACAATATCACCCCTTACCACAAAATCTTCCTTCAACTTAACCTCTCCCACTCTAGGTTCCCACGCCGCCCCTAATCCCGTTCAAAGCAGCCCTGAGAAACATCGTCCATTATGTCTCCATACCACCCGCCCCCCCAAAATTTTTGCTGCCCCAACACTTCAACACTATTTTATGTTATTTTTCTTATTAATATAAGAAGACAGGAATGTCAGGCCTCTGAGCCCAAGCTAAGACATCATATCCCCTGTGACCTGCACATATACATCCAGATGGCCTGAAGCAACTGAAGATCCACAAAAGAAGTGAAAATAGCCTTAACTGATGACATTCCACCACTGTGATGTTTCTGCCCCACCTTAACTGATCAATGTACTTTGTAATCTCCCCCACCCTTAAGAAGGTTCTTTGTAATTCTCCCCACCCTTGAGAATGTACTTTGTGAGATCCACCCCCGCCCACAAAACATTGCTCCTAACTCCACTGCCTATCCCAAAATCTGTAAGAACTAATGATAATCTCACCACCCTTTGCTGACTCTCTTTTCAGACTCAGCCCGCCTGCACCCAGGTGAAATAAACAGCCTTGTCGCTCACACAAAGCCTGTTTGGTGGTCTCTTCGCACGGATGCATGAGACACTTAGGACCAACAGGTAGAAAAGGGGTAAAGGCCGGGCGCAATAGCTCACGCCTGTGATCCCAGCACTTTGGGATACCGAGAAGGGCGGATCACTTGAGCCTAGAAGTTCGAGACCAGCCTGAGCAACATGGTGAAAACCCATGTCTACAAAAATTACAAAAATCAGCCAGGTGTGATGGTGCTGCACACATGTGGTCCCAGCTACTTGGGAAGCTGAGGTGGGAGGATCACTCGAGCCTGGGAGGTCAAGGCTGCAGTGAACGTGTCACTGCACTCCACCCTGGGCAACAGAGTAAGACCCTGTCTCAAAAAAAAAAAAAAAATAGGAATTGTTTTAAAAAACAAGAAGAAAGGGGTAAAAGAAAATCACCTGCTGATGGATGATAACACAACTGGAGAAACAAGAAGAGATAAGGAACCAGCATTTGTGGATCCTCACTTTGGGTCTGATCCCATGTTGTGTCTTGCTTTTATTACCTTACTTAATCTGCACAACAAGCCTATATGGCGGCTTGGACTACTTTCTTTTTACATATGAAAACTAAAGCTTACAGAGGTGAAGAAATGTAAATCTATACTAGGAAATGATGGAGCTCGGATCTGAAACCAGGATTAAATGGCCTTCAATTTCCTGTTCTTTTCATCATGCTATAGAACTATTATAATACTATCACAAAAAAACAATTTTTTTGTTTTTTTTTGTTTGGCTCACACCTGTAATCACAACACTGGGAGGTGGAGGTGGATGGATCACTTGAGGTCAGGAATTTGAGACCAGCCTGGCCAACATGGTGAAACCCCAACTCTACTAAAAATACAAAAATTAGCCAGGCATGGTGGTGTGCACCTGTAGCCCCAGCTACTTGGGAGACTGAGGTAGGAAAACTGCTTGAACCCGGGAGGTGGAGGTTGCAGTGAGCCAAGAGTGTGCCACTGCACTCCAGCCTGGGTGACAGAATGAGACTCTGTCTCAAAAAAAAAGAATTTTTGTCAAGAACTTTTCTTTTTTACAGATATGTTATGGATATTTTACAGATATTATTCTGAGATGAATAAAGGAATGGCCCTAGTATCCATCTACTAAACAAAGCTGGAAAACAGAGATAATAAATCTTTATACACCTCCTCCTCTGCCCTTCACCTTTTTTATTTCCTAGTATGCCAAACTCTGACAGTTTTTGTCTTTTAAGTTTCATTTTAATCTGTTTACTTCTCTTTCTTGTCTACTTTTATGCCTTTCTCTTCTTGACTAATGCAGTCACTTCACTAAATCCACCCTTCTTCCTTTCACTTTAAAATCTTAATGGTTTCATTTCAATTATATTTTACATACATTTGTTGTTAATTTCAAGGCCATTCATGATTTTATAATGAAAAATTTTTGTAAATCGAACTTTTTTACAGATATTATCCTGAGACAAATAACATATGTATGACATGCAAGTTTTCTTAGCCACTAACAAGGCTATCGGCCTTGAATAATCAACTTACTCTAAAACTATGATTAATGTGTTCAAGAAAAGAAAGTAGAAAGCTGGATGAAAAAACGAAGAATTTCAAAAGAAAACTGGAATCTATTTTAAAAAACAGCAAATGGACACCCTAGAATTGAAAAATACAGTATCTCATATTAAAAACTCAGGTCACAGAAGATAGGTGCAAATCCTTCTATAAACCACCACACCAATACTATGTTCTAAATATTTACAGAGAAATGAATGTCAGCCAGCTGTTGACAAAACACATTTTCTAAGCATTCTAGCATATCTTTACAGTGCTACCTCTGCATTTTTAAGGCTCAAAGTTTACATTTTTATGAGTATCCTCTTTTATGATGAAAACTTAGTAATGCGGTTTAATTTTAATTAAAAACAAATTGTCACTAGTGTTCATAATAATGGCAGTAATTTACATAAGAATCTGTTTAAGTTTCAAGGCCAAAGCATTCTTTAAAATGGAACTGCAGTAAATGTATTCATCTAGTTATGAGAAATCTTTTATGCAGGACCCCTTTTGTAAAGGGACTGAAATAAGATTTCAAAAAGGTCAAACCTATTTCATTATTCTGTATCTTATAATGGGGAAGATAGTGAAGAAGGGGCAAGAAACCACAAATTAAATGCCTAGGGCTAGATAAAGAAAACCCAGTTCTTTCATTCAGAGTTCCTGTCCCATCTTTACTGCATGGGACATGCACTCATTACATGTCATTCTCAATCTCTCTAAAAGTAAATACACAAGTTTCAAGAAAGGATCTAATACTAGAAGAAAAATAACTTTACCAGAAGTCATGTAAACTTATTTGCTAGGGAGTAGGAACCTAATAAATAACTTTTCAAAGACAGGATGTTGATTTTCATTTGTTTTTATAAAAGCAAAACAGAAGCAAAGGCAATATATCAACTCTTGGTTGTCCAACTATAACTTTGTATAAAATCTGCTTAAAATGTATATTTTTCTCCTATACCCACTTTACCTGCTTTACAGTTTCTTTCCTTTACTGTTTGTGTCTTCAAGAAATACAAACTTATTTAAATATTAAGAAAAAATACTTACAAAGAAAAATCTGCTAAACAACTAAAGTACTGCAAAAGTTAATATAATAATGCTTGGATATTGTTACCATTTATCAATCAACTGGACAAATTAGGTAAATTATAACCCATAGGCCTGAATTTCCTAACTCATGAAATCTTTTAAATTCCTTCCAAAGCTCTAAAACCTCTCTCTCTGCTGGTAGGTATAAAGTCAAATTTTAATAATAAAAAATAGCTTGATTTTTGTAGCTCTTTAAAATAGCAGGAAAAGCATGAAATTTTGAGCTGTAAGATTGGAATTCTAGTTTGGCTTAACTTTATAAACTGGGAGATCTCAAATAGGTTACTTGACTTCTGAGCCTCAGTTTTCTCATCCTTAAAATAATCTGAATATCTGATTTGTAATTTTGTAAGAATACAGTACATGTAAATTGATTAACTCCATCACTGGTAAAGAGTGAGTAAGGACTCAACTTTCTGATGTTACCATGATATTTTCCACATAGGGTGTTATGAAGATTAAATTAAAAGAGAATGTATGTAATGTGCCTTGCTAATAGCCGGTATACAATAATTATCTTTCTCTTCATTTGTTCCTTGTAGTCTATTATTTCATTGCATATCAACACATATTTTCCATTTTATAGCAAAATCTTTCAAGTTAAACATCAGGAATTTAGCCATTTGGAATAACTGGTATTATAAACTAAGTGTTTCTATCTTAAATTACATTTAAGTAGGTGCAAAAGTCAAACATCGACTGGGCGCAGCGGCTCACGCCTGTAATCCCAGCACTTTGGGGGGCCGAGGTGGGCAGATCATGAGGTCAGAAGATTAAGACCATCCTGGCCAACATGGTGAAACCCCGTCTCTACTAAAATACAAAAAATTAGCCAGGCGTGGTGGTGTGCACCTATAGCCCCAGCTACTCTGGAGGCTGAGGCAGGACAATCACTCGAACTGGGGAGGTGGAGATTGCAGTGAGCCAACATCGCGCCACCGCACTCCAGCCTGCTGACAGAGCGAGACTCCATCTCAAAGAAAAAAAAAAAAAAACAAAAGTCAAATATCAAATATGATGTGAAAGGTTTTATTAAGTGTAAAAGAAAGATGTTTCTGATTTAAATACAAACCATAACTCAAGTTTGTTTCTCTAAATTTACTGGACAGAAATTTCTCTATGTTCTATTTTATATTGCTAAGTCTATCACTGTACATTAGAACAGTATAAACATCCTCTGCACAAGAAAGATCAGGTTCCTGAAAAACCTCTGGAATAAAATCATATGAAAGACAAGAAATATAGGGTAATGAAGATTAAGACCATTATTGACCACATGAATATTTGTTATATTTACCAAAATAAGGCAAATTGAATAGCATTCTAAAAAAATAGCATTGATTTTCCACATCTTCAATCAATAACAACAGCAGTTATAAGACTACATTTCATTCATCATTCCTTGTTCACTAGAAATTACTTTGGATTCTCACTTCACTAGAATTTCAATATAATTTCAAATTTGTTCTGCCTTGTTGCAATATCTGTATTATGTTGTTAGAGGTATTTTTCTTTATCTGATTCTTCATCTAAATGTTTCTTTCTCATTTTATGACTCAGAGTTACTGACTATAAATGGTCAATCCCAAACACAGAGTAAATCAGTTCTGAAAGTTTTGGATAATTTTTAATACATCGGTATAACTGAATAAGGATATTTTATATTCCTCCCATATACCAATATTCTTAGCTTTCTGCTTATGATTCCCCCAGGTTCACTTTCCTTTGAATTTCTTTAAGTCTTACAAAGTTGCATTCTAACTTAAAAACAAAACTTTACTATTCACTTCTCCCATTTAGATTCTCAACACTACTATACCCCTAACCAGAGTAAGTCACAATTATTGGATAACTAAACTTGAACTTGAGAGCAAAGATATTCAGAAGAAACATAAGTAAACTAGAATCTCAACTAAAAAAAAATACAGTGAACTGGATTACCATTTATTTGTATGCATACAAAATACTTTACATGAGAGAAATACAGGCATCTTAGCAAAGGTTTCAAAAACTAAATAGCAATTATCTTTAAAAAAATTCAGAAAAGAAAAAACCTAAGAAACCTATATTAAAATATTTATTACAATGATGGCCAGGTGCGGTGGCTCATGCCTGTAATCCCAGCACTTTGGGAGGCCGAGGCTGGAGGATTGCTTGAACCCAGGAGTTAAAGACCAGCTGGGGTAACCCAGAGAGACCTCATTTCTACAAAAATGTTTTGTTTTAAATTGGCCAGGCATGGTGGTGTGTGCCTACAGTCCCGCCTACTTGGGAGGGTGAGGTGGGAGAATCACTTGAGCCCAGGAGGTCCAGGCTGCAGTGAGCCATGATCATGCCACTGCACTCCACTCTGGGCAAGAGAGTCCCTATCTCAAAAGAAAAAAAAAAAAAAATATATATATATATGTATACACACACACACACACACATATACAATATATAAATGTATAAATCTATATTTATAAAATATATAAATATATATACACACATATATATATGTTTATATTTACTAAAATGCTAATTTTTTTTTTTTTTTTTTGAGATGAGGTTTTGCTCTTGTTGCCCAGGCTGGAGTGCAATGGCACGATCTCGGCTCACTGTAACCTCTGCCTACCAGGTTCAAGTGATTCTCCTGCCTCAGCCTCCCAAAGTGCTGGGATTACAGGAATGAGCCACCGCACCTGGCCTAAAATGCTAATTCTTAGGCTTTAAAATAAAAATTAACATTGAGAATTTTTTTTTTTTTTTGAGACGGAGTCTCACTGTCGTCTAGGCTGGAGTGCAGTGGCGCAATCTTGGCTCACTGCAACCTTTGCCTCCGCCTCCCAGGTTAAAGCAATTCTCCTGCCTCAGCCTCTTGTGTAGCTGGGATTACAGGTGCATGCCACCACTCCTGGATTCTTTTTAAAGCATGGAAATAGAAATAGTTTATAGACCTACAAAGCTCAATTTTCAGACGATTACACATTTTTGGAACTGGAAAATATGTGAAAAATCAGCTGGCCTGTCCTTTGCTCAGATTAAAAGGAAAGGAAAAAAAAAAAACCTAACGCTGAGAGAGGTTTTAAGCAACTCTCTCAAGGTCACCCAGCTTCAAACATTGGTTTACTATCCTTTATACTGTATCACACTGCTCCTACAGCAGTAGGAGCTCCTATTACTTATTCTAAAAGGCAAGATGCTTCTATTTATCAGGGAATCTTCTTCTTATTAGTAAGCACCATATCTTATGCAACATTATGATCTTACTAATGCCAGGATTTTAAAGGCCAGATGAATACATTTATTCAACAAATATTTATTGAACACCAAGTAGATGCTAGGCACTGTGACAGCACTGAGGATACAGTAGTTAAGAAGACAAACACTGAGAATAATAATACTAAAATGATAATAACAGTAACTACATTGAACTAAGCACCTACTATGGGCAAAATACTATATTAAGTAGCCTAGATGTACTTGCTTTTTTTTTTTTTTTTTTTTTTTGTGAGACAGAGTCTCACTATGTAGCCTTAGGCTGGAGTACAGTGGTGCCATCTCGGCTCACTGCAACCTCCACCTCCTGGGTTCAAGCGATTCTGCTGTCTCAGCCTTCTGAGTAGCTGGGATTACAGGCACGTGTCACCACGCCCAGCTAATTTTTGTATTTTTAGTAGAGACGGGGTTTCACCATGTTGGCCAGGCTGGTCTTGAACGCCTGGTCTCAAGCAATCCACTTGCCTCGGCCTCTCAAAGTGCTGGGATTACAGGAGTGAGCCACAGTGCCCAGCCCACTTGCTCTAATTCTTAAAACAACACTACAAAGAAGGGTTTAGAGTGAGTGGTTTGATAAGTGTCACAGTCCAATCCAGCTAGTTCTAGCACCAAAATGCAAGTTCTAGCCACCACATGTTACAGGCCACTTCCCTATTCCTAAATGAATGATTTCCTGATACAATTTTAAATATAAATAAAAGCACAAAGGAAATGAAAATATGCAATATTTTTAATAAATCCATATAGGGACCACTTTTAGAAAGTGGCATAATTCTGGTTAGCATATCTAAAAGAGTAAAGCATTTTTATAAAGGAGATAAGACAACTAACAAGGTTAAGAAGTTGGTGTATCCTCTCCCTCCCCCTCCCCCTCCCCCTCCCTCTCCCTCTACGGTCTCCCTCTGATGCCGAGCCGAAGCTGGACTGTACTGCTGCCATCTCGGCTCACTGCAACCTCCCTGCCTGATTCTCCTGCCTCAGCCTGCCGAGTGCCTGCGATTGCAGGTGCGCGCCGCCACGCCTGACTGGTTTTCGTATTTTTTTGGTGGAGACGGGGTTTCGCTGTGTTGGCCGGGCCGGTCTCCAGCTCCTAACCGCGAGTGATCCGCCAGCCTCGGCCTCCCGAGGTGCCGGGATTGCAGACGGAGTCTTGTTCAAAGTAAATTTCAGAGAAAAATACAGGTCAATTTTATAATGATAAAGAGGTCAATCACAAAAATCCTGAAAATTTATATACCTAATTACAGAGTGCCAAAATACATACAGCATAAGCTGCATGAATAAATACACAAACCCAAAATTATAGTCAATCCATAGAAATGCATTTAAGGAACTGAGAAACTGCCAAAAGTGGAAGTACTATTATTTTATGATCTCACACTACTGTAGGATAGATTCTGCTCTGCTACATACTTGTCAACATTTAGTATAGTCTTTTAAAGAGCTGGGGTATGTGTCCCCTCTAAATCTCATGTTGAAATGTAATCCCCAGTGTTGGAGGTGGGGCCTCGTGGAAGGTGATTGGATCATGGGGGCAGATAACTTCACAGGTTGGTGCTGAGTTCTCTCAAGATCCGGTTTTTTAAAAGTGTGTGGCACCTCTCCCAACCCCCTTGCTCCTGCTCTGCCATATGAGATGCCTGCTCCTTTTCATCGTCCACCATGATTATAAGCTGAGTCCTCCCCAGAAGCTGAGCAGATGCCAGTGCCATGCTTCTTGTACAGCCTGTAGAACCATGAGCCAATTAAACCTCTTCATTATAAATTATCCAGTCTCAGGTATTTCCTTATAGCAATGCAAGAACAGACTAACATAGTCTTTTTAATTTCAGTCCTTCTAATAAGTATGTAATGTTATCATTATGGTTTTAATCTGCATTTTTCCTAATGGTTAGTGATGTTGAGCATCTGAAAAAATGCTAATTTTTCATTTACATATCTTTTTTGGTGAGGTGTCTGTTCTAAATTTTTGCTCAATGTTTCTTGAATTGTTTTCTTATTGTTGAGTTTTGAGAATTCTTTATATATTCTGGACAAAAGTATCTGCTTTGCAAAGATTTCTCCCAGTCAGTAGTTTGTCTTTAAATCCTCCAATAGTTTTCAAAAACGGAAATTTTTAACTTTTATGGAGTCCAATTTGTCTGGTGTTCTTTTAGGGATTGTGCTGCTAATGTTATACCTAGTAATTCTTCCTAAGCCCAGGTCACAAGGATTTTTCTCCTATGTTTTCTTCTAGAGTTTTATAGGTTTAGGTTTTACATTTTGAGTTAAACTTTCTATTAATATACGGTTTAATGTACAGATTGAAGGATTTTAAAAATATATATAGGCATTTAATTTTACCAATTACATCTCTTTAAAAGACTGTTCTTTCTTTACTGAATTGCCTTTCCACCTTTGGTGGAAATCAGTTCATAAAGGGGTCTATTTTTTGGCTCTGTCTCTTCTGTTTATCTGTTTGTCTATCTTGATGCGAGTACCACACTACTTTGAGTATTGTAGCTTTATAATTATGTCTTGAAATTGGGTAGCGTTGGTTCTCCAACTTTGTATTCCCTTTTCAGAGTTGTTTTGCTTTTGTAGGTTGTCTGTATTCCATATGAATTTTAGAATCAGTCTGTCAATTTCTAAAAAAAAAAAGTCCTGCTGGGAATTTAGTTTGGATTGCACTAAATCTATGGATCAGTTTGGAGAAATTGGCCACTTAAAAGTATTTCCTCGCCAGACGCGGTGGCTCATGCCTGTAATCCCAACACTTTGGGAGGCTGAGGTGGACAGATCACCTCAGGTCGGGGGTTCGAGACCAGCCTGACCAATATCAAGAAACCCTATCTCTACTAAAAATGCAAAATTAGCCAGGCATGGTGGTGCATACCTGTAATTCCAGCTACTCGGGAGGCTAAGGCAGGAGAATCGCTTGAACCTGGGAGGCAGAAGTTGTGGTGAGCTGAGATCACACCAATCCAGTTCAGCCTGGGCAACAAGAGCAAAACTCTGTCTCAAAAAAAAAAAAGTATTTCCTCTTCTGACACAAGAACCAATATTTTCCCCCACTTACTTAAGTCTTTTAAGTTTTTTTCTGAGTGGTATTTTGTAGATTTTAGTGTGTCTTATATATGTTTTTTTCAGCTTTCTCTGTAAGTACCTAGCATTTTTATGCTACTTAAAAATTGTTTTTCATTTTAATTTTTTATTTTTTGTTGATAGGGTATAGCTTTGCTAAACTCACCTGTTAGTTTCAAGAGTTTCTTTAAAGATTCTATTGAATTTTCTTCATAGACAAACATGTCATCTGCCCATCAAGACAGTATTATTACTATACTTGTTGCTTTTTCTTGCCTTACTGCCCTGGCTAGAATCTCCAGAATAACATTGATTAGTAGTAGTGAGAACATACTCTTGGCTTGTTCTTGATCTTAGAAGAAATGCATTCAGACCTTCATTATTAAGTGTCATGTTAATTGTAGGGTTTTTGTAGATGTCCTTTATCAGCTTGAGGAAGTTTTATTCTATTAGGCTGTGAGAGTGTTAATCAAGTATACATGCTGGATTTTGTCAAATGCTTTTTCTGCCACTTTAGAGATTGTTGTGTGGTTTTTCTTTTTAGTTTAGAAATATGTTGAGTTACATTCATTGCATTTTTGGATGTTAAACCAACCTTACTTACCTTCCTGGGAAGGACAATGTACTTGGCCATGTGTGTCTTTCTTTTCATGTTTTTGTTGGACTTGATAGGCTAAACGTCTGTTTAGAAGTTTTATATCTATGTTCATGAGGAACATTTTTCTGTAGACTTTTCTTTTAGAATATCTCTGTCTGGTTTTGGCCTCAGGGTAACGATGGCCTCATAAAGTGAGCTGGGAAGGGTTCTTTTCTCTTGATTTTCTAGAAGAGTTTGTGTAGAATAGGCATTACTTCTTCCTTAAATTTTGTAAGAATACACCAGTAAAGGCATCTGGGCCTGGAATTTTCTTTGTTGGAAGTTTTTAAATTACAAATTCAATTTACTTAATTGATATGGGACTTTTCAAGTCATCTATTTTATCTTGGTTAAGCTTTACAGTTTTTGTTTTTCAAGGAATTTGTCCACTTTAAGGTGTTGAATTACAGGCATACAGTTTATAGTATTCATTAATCATTCTTTTACTATCTTTAAAACCTCTTAGTCTCATCACCTGTTTCATTCCTGAAACTTAATTTATCTCTTTCTTTCTCTTTTCCCCACTCTGGCTAGAGATTTATTAATTTTATTGATCTTCTCAAAGGTTTGATTATTTCTATTGATTTTATGCTTTATATTTCATAGGTTTCAGTCTGACCATTATTTTTTTCCCCCTCCTTACTTTGGATTTAATTTGCTCTTGTTTTTCTAATTTCTTAAGATGAAAACAGAGGTCATGGATTTGAGGCTTTCTAGTGTAGACTTTCAGTGGTATAAATTTCCTTCCTTGAACACTGCTTTAGTAGTATGACACAAATTTTGACATTTTGTGTTTTAATCTTCATTTAATTCATTCTGCTTTTAAATTTCCCTTTTGATTTCTTTGACCAATGAGTTATTTAGAAGCATTTTATTTAGCTTTCAAATATTTGGGAATTTTCTAGCGATTTTTCATTTACTGATTTTTAATTTAATTTTATTGTGGTCAGATAACCCACTTTGTATGTTTTGAATCCCTTTAAATTTATTAAGACTTGTTTAATTACTTTGAATAAGAACTATCTCAGTGATCTGTATGTACTTGAAAAGAATGTGTATTTGCCTATTGTTGGTTAGAGTGTTTTATAAATGTCAATTAGGTTAAGTTGGCTGACATCTGTAGGGATTTTCTGTCTACTAGTTCTATCAGTTATCAAGACAGTGGTACTAAAATCTCGTTAGGCTGTTCTTGCATTGCTATAAAGAAATTCCTGAGACTAGATAATTTATAATGAAGAGGTTTTATTGGACAAGCTGTACAAGAAGCATGGCACTGGCATCTGCTCAGCTTCTGGGGAGTACTCAGGGAGCTTATAATAATGGTGGAAGATGAAAGGCAGCAGGCATCTCATATGGCAGAGCAGGAGCAACGGGGTTGGGGGAGGTGCCACACACTTTTAAAAAACCGGATCTTGAGAGAACTCAGCACCAACCTGTGAAGTTATCTGCCCCCATGATCCAATCACCTTCCACGAGGCCCTACCTCCAACACTGGGGATTACATTTCAACATGAGATTTAGAGGGGACACATACCCCAACTCTTTAAAAGACTATACTAAATGTTGACAAGTATGTAGCAGAACAGAATCTATCCTACAGTACCATGAGATCATAAAATAATAGTACCTCCACTTTTGGCAGTTTCTCAGTTCCTTAAATGCATTTCCATGGATTGTCCCACAACCACAAAAAAAAAGAAAGGAAAGGAAGCTAAACATACACTGACATATGACCAAGGCATTCCACTCAGGAATTTTTACTCAAAAAAAAAAAAAGTGTATGTCCCCAAAAAGACCTGAACAAGAATATTCACAGCAGCTTTATTTATACAGACCAAAATGTCCATCAGCAGGTAAATAGATAAACAAATGTGGCATATCCATATAATAAACATTATTCAGCAATAAAAGGGAATGAACTACTGATGCAACAACATTGTTGAATCTCAAAATCATAGTAAGTAAAAGAAAAAGGGGCTGGCCAAGCACGGAGGCTCACACCTGTAATCCCAGCACTTTGGGAGGCTGAGGCGGGTGGACTGCTTGAGCTCAGGAGTTTGAGAGATGAAACCCTGTCTCTACCAAAAATACAAAAATTAGCCAGGAGTGGTGATGCGCACCTGTGGCCCAAGCTACTTGGGAGGCCGAGGTAGGAGGATGAGTGGAGCCTGGGAAGTCTGGGAAGGCTGTAGTGAGCCATGATCATGCCACTGAACTCCAGCCTCAGTGACAGAATGAGACCCTATCTCAAAAATAAATAAATAAAAAATAAAACAAGAAGACAAAAAAGAATGCACATTGTATGATTTCATTTAGATAAAACTCTAGAAAAAGCAAATTAATCTATAGTGCCAGAAAGCAGATCAGCACTTGCACAGGGAAGTTTCTGGAAATGATGAGTATGTTCACTATCTTGATGCACACAAGTGTATCAAAACTCATCAAATAATATACTTTAAGTATGTGTAGTTTATTGTATGTCACTGACACTTCAATAAAGCTAGTAAAATATAAATAAAAGTTTTGAACATGCCATTACCAAAATACACTGTATTCAAGGCTGTAAAATAAAACACATTTAAAAGAACTGATATCACACCAAGTATATGCTTTAACAGTAATAAAATTAAACTAGAAATCAGTAACAGAAGAGTTTCTGGTAAATCTCCAAATATTTGGAGGTTAAACAAACTTCTTGATAATCCATGACTCAGAGAGAAAATCACAAATACTTTGAACCAAAAGAAAACAAAAATACTATATAAAAATGTGTAGGATATAGTCAAAACAGTGCTTTAGAGGGAAAGAGCATTAAATGCTTATACAAGAAAAAAAGAAAAGACAAATCAATGACTTCTACCTTAAGAAACTAAAAAACAAGAGTAAATTATATCCAAAGCAAGGAGAAGAAATAATAAAAACAAAAAATCAATGGAAGTGAAAACAGAAAAACAACACAGAAAATCAAGAATAAAGCAAGGAGTTTGCTCTCATCACTCCTATTCAGCATTTTATTAGAACTCCTACACTGTGAAAAAGAGAAGGAAAAGAAAAAGTACACAGATTGGGAATAAAACTGTCATTATTTTCTGACAACATAGTTATCTCTGTAGAAAATCCCAAGGAATCTACAAAAAAGTTCCTGGAATTTAATAAGTGAATTTGGCAAGGTTGAAGGACATGACGTTAATATGCAAAAATCAACTGTATTTTATGTACTAGCAGTGAACAACTGGAAATCAAAATTTAAAAAACAATACCATTTACAATAGCGCCAAACCCAAAGAAATACTTATGTATAAAGCTAATAAAACATGAGCATAATCTATATGCTACGCAAAAAACTACAAAGCTCTAACAAAAAAAACGTCAAAGACCTAAATACATGGAGACTATGTCATGTTCTTGGTTTAGAGGACTTAATATTGTTAAGATGTCAATTCTCTCCAATTCATCTGTAAATTGAATGTAATTCCAATCAAATACCAGTGTTTCTTATAGATATTTGACAAGCTAATTCTAAAATTTATAAAGAAAGGTAAAGAAATTAGAACAGCCAAAACAATCTTGAAAAATAAGAAAAAAATTGAAAGGCTCAATATACCTGATTTCAAAACTTACTATAAAGCTACAGTAGGCTGGACACAGTGGCTCACATCTGTAATTCCAGCACTTTGGGAGGCCGAGATGAGAGAATCGCTTGAGCCCAGGAGTTCGAGACCAACCTGGGCAACACAGCAAGACCCTGTCTCCTTTTTAATTAAAAAAGAAAAAAAAGCTACAGTAAACTAGACATTATGATATTTAATCAAGATAGACATACAAATCAATAGAACAGAATAGAGTATGGAAAGAGACCTACACAGGTATTGTTGACTGATTTTTGACAATGTACAATGGCAATTCAAGGGAAAAAGGATAGTCTTCTCAACAAATGGTACTGGAAAACCTAGAAAGTGATATGCAAAAAAAAAAAATTTCACCCATACCTCACACTCATATAAAAACCTGAGTCAAAATGGGTCACACACCTAAAAGTAAAGAGATCACAGGAGAAAATTTTCATGACCTTGGTTTAGGCAAATTCTTAGATACAGCACAAAAGTACAATCTATTTTTTTTTAAAGCGATGAATTCATCAAAAGCAAAAGCTTTTGTTCCGCCGAAGACATTGTTGGAGAATGAAAAGACAGCTACAGACTGCAAATATATATTAGCACGTATCTGCCAGGGGACTTATTTTCAGAATTATATGAAGAACTCTCAAAACTCAACAAGAAATAACAATTTTTAAATAGGCAAAATATTTCAATGAACACTTTAACAAAGAGGTACAAATGGCAAATAAGCACATGAAAAGGTGCTCAATATCATTACTCATGAGGGTAATGCAAATTAAAACCACAATGAGATGCTACTATGTATCTTTTAGAATGACTATAATTTCTATAACTAACCATATCAAGTCCTGCAAGGATGCTAAGCAACTGGATCTCTCATGCATTGCTGGCTGGAATGCAAAATGGTTCACCCACTTTGGAAAACAGTTTGGAGATTTTTTATAAATTAAACATTCACTTACCATATAACCCGGCAATCCCCTTCCTAAAAATGAAAACTTGTGTTCACACAAAAACATGCATGTGAATGTTTATGGCAAGCTTTATTCAAAAACTGGAAAGTCAGTGTCTTCAACTGATAAATGGATAAACAAACTGTGATACATCCATACAATGGAATACTACTCAACAATAAAAAAGAATAAACTATTAATACATAAAAGAAAATAGATGAATCTCAAATGCACTAAGCTACATGAAAGAAGCCAGACTCAAAAAGTTATATACACTATTTTACTCCATTTATATAATATTCTAGAAAAGACAGTATTGTAGGGATAGACAACAGATCACTGGTTGCCAGGGTTTAAGAGTTGACGAGGGTTCAACTACAGAGGTAGTAAGTAAAAAACTTACTACAGCACAAGTAAGTTTTTTATGGAAAACTGTTATGTATCTTGATTCTGGTGGTGGTTACAAAACTCTATGCGTTTATCAAAAATCACAGAACTGTTTATAAAAATTTTACTGTATATTAAAAAACAATTTTCAAAAATAGGCAAAGGTAGTTAAGAAAAAAGGCAATTTGGAAGGTCTAAAAAATAATCAAAATAACAGAACATGCTGGGCGCAGTGGCTCACGCCTGTAATCCCAGCACTTTGGGAGGCCGAGGCAGGCAGATCACCAGAGGTCAGGAGCTCAAGATCAGCCTGGCCAAAATGGTGAAACCCCGTCTCTACCAAAAATATAAAAATTAGCCGAGCACGGTGGCTCACACCTGAATCTCAGCACTTTGGGAGGCCGAAGCGGGCAGATCACCTGAGGTCAGGAGTTCAAGACCAGCCTGGCAAACATGGTGAA
The DNA here is from genome assembly GCF_000001405.40 of Homo sapiens. Taxonomy (NCBI): domain Eukaryota; kingdom Metazoa; phylum Chordata; class Mammalia; order Primates; family Hominidae; genus Homo; species Homo sapiens. Next base: position 54,040,525 of record NC_000004.12, read on the forward strand.
ACCCCGTCTCTACTAAAAATACAAAAATTAGCTGGGCATAGTGTCAGGAGCCTGTAATTCCAGCTACTCCGGAGGCTGAGGCAAGAGAATCACTTGAACCGGGGAGGTGTAGGTTGTGATGAGCTGAGAGACCACACCACTGCACTCCAGCCTGGGTGATAAAAGTGAAACTCTGTCTCAAAAAAAAAAAAAAAAAAAAAAAAATTAGCTGGGTGTGGCTGCAGGTGCCTGTAATCCCAGCTACTCAGGAGGCTGAGGCAGGAGAATTGCTTGAACCTGGGAGGAGGAGGTTGCTGTGAGTAGAGATCATGCCATTGCACTCCAGCCTGGATGACAAGAGTAAAACACCGTCTCAATCATAATAAGAATAATAATAATAGAACAGAATAAAAACAAGGTCTTGGGAATAATATCAGGTCATAAAAAGAGGGCACTAAGTTGGGGATAGATTTTTTTTTTTTTTTGAGACGGAACCTCCAACTCCCTGGTTCAAGCGATTCTTCTGCCTCAGCCTCCCGAGTAGCTGGGATTACAGGCACGTGCCACCATGCCAGCTAATTTTTATATTTTTAGTAGAGATGGGGTTTCACCATGTTGGCCAGGATGGTCTCGATCTCCTGACCTCGTGAGGGGATGGATTTTGAAGGCAAGACAGAACTGCAGTTTTCCAAATCAGTGAATAATGTGAAGAAAGTAAAAGCACTGAGCTGCATATCAAGTATGCCTTTGGTCCTGATTTGTCTTAGAGTCTGAGACCATTCTAACCACATAAGAGGATTTCACATCACAAGAAAGAAAACAGAAGTTCACAGGCTGGCAATTTTTTATACTCATGCCTCTCGATCGAGGGTTCTTAACATACAGTACCTAGACAGAATTCTGGGAATCTGTGAAAGTGAGTGAAATGAAAATACATCTTTTTAACCACTAACTGAAATGTATTACATTTCCTTAGGTTATGAATGTATGCAACTAACTGCAATAGACTGAACAGGACCTGCACCTTCATCACTTAAAGAAATCACAGATTCTTCCTATCATATCATTATTATCATGGATTTGTTGCTATCTCATTTTGTATGCATTAATAAACATATTTATAAACCACATTAAAGTTTTCTAGTATTTTGATAACTATATTTTATATAATTGGTTTCCTCTGTAATCCATGTATTTTTACCTTATGCATTTAGAATACATTAAATATTTTTAAATATATGTAAAGCATCTAAGAAAGCATTCATAGGCTTCCCTAAACCATCAAAAGGATTTATGGCAAATAAAACGTTAAAAATCCCTGCTCTAGAGGGGAACATCACACACTGGGACCTGTCAGGGGTTGGGGGCTAGGGGAGGGATAGCATTAGGAGAAATGCCTAATGTAGATGATGGGCTGATGTGTGCAGCAAACCACCATGGCACGTGTATACCTATGTAACAAACCTGCACATTCTGCACATGTATCCCAGAACTTAAAGTATAATTTAAAAAAAAAAAAAAGGAAAAAAAAATCCAAATTATTTTGCCTCCATCTTACAAAGCACCTCTTTCTCCAGGGCCGGTAATATCCTTCACACATGCATGAAGTGTCACTCTTACCATGGTTATGTAATAGTTTACACCCAAGGACAGATATGTATGGCTTTTTTAAAAAGCAAGTCATGTTTGTTTATGCTCCCTAGATAGTACTCCATATAAAATTAAATGCATCAAATAAATATTCCATCTAGTCATATAAAATACAAAGAGAGAACTTAAGACTGAACACTACAATGCTAAATGAAATGTACTTTCAGAAACTACAGATTAAACTAGCTTAAAAAGTCAATCTTACATCTCACATAAGAAGGAATTTAATGAAGGCATTTCAAAAAGGATCTCAAGTTGATATGAATGCAAAGTTTAACTCATTTACCTTTGTTTTCTAAATACACCGTACACACTGCAACATCTTATTACTCATTTAAAGGTTTAAAAAAAGGGTATCAAAACAAAACCAACACAAACAAACAAGCCAGATCTCAAAGGTATCTACAGTATTAAAACTCTTAGGATTTTCTGGGTTACATGATGGCAATTCCCAACCAAGAGAGACATAGCAGGCATTGAAACAATGGAAATGCCCACATAGCAGAAGGGAGTGAGGGGATCCAAACTACAAGAGCGACAAAATCAACTGTGGATCCAGAGACGAAAAAATGTTCTGTAGTGCAAAGGTAATCTGGTGAGAATGATGAAAAAAAAAGAACCATTTTTAGAAAAAAGGAATATTAGAAATATTGAAGTAAATATCATAAGTCATTCTATTACAAAGGCATTAACTCCTTCCTATCAATAGAATGTACCAGTTTAAAAATTTTTAGTAGGAATATATCTTTTATTTTATAACAGAAATCAAGGGACAAAGAGAATTTGATCATCCATACTTCCTACTCTTATTGGTTGTCAAAATGTAGCCACATAAAACTGTTCATTCATTTTCAACTTAACAAAATTTCATTTTTGGCTGGGTGCAGTGGCTCACACCTGTAATCCCAGCACTTAGAGAGGCCAAGGAGGGCAGACTGCTTGAGTCCAGAAGTTTGAGACCACCCTGGGCATAGAAACCCTGTCTCGGCCAGGCGCGGTGGCTCACGCCTGTAATCCCAGCACTTTGGGAGGCCGAGGCGGATGGATCACGAGGTCAGGAGATTGAGACCATCCTGCCTAACACAGTGAAAACCTGTCTCTACTAAAAATACAAAAACTTAGCCAGGTGTGGTGGTGGGCACCTGCAGTCCCAGCTACTCAGGAGGCTGACACAGGAGAATGGCGTGAACACGGGAGGTGGAGCTTGCAGTGAGCAGAGATCATGCCACTGCACTCCAGCCTGGGCAACAGAGTGAGACTCCATTTCAAAAAAAAAAAAAAAAAAAGAAACACTTGATCACTTGGCAGAAACTCTACAAGCCAGAAGAGAGTGGGGGCCAATATTCAACATTCTTAAAGAAAAGAATTTTCAACCCACAATTTCATATCCAGCCAAACTAAGCTTCATAAGTGAAGGAGAAATAAAATACTTTACAGACAAGCAAATGCTGAGAGATTCTGTCAGCACCAGGCCTGCCCTAAAAGAGCTCCCGAAGGAAGCACTAAACATGGAAAGGAACAACTGGTACCAGCCACTGCAAAAACATGCCAAATTGTAAAGACCATCAAAGCTAGGAAGAAACTGCATCAACTAACGAGCAAAATAACCAGCTAACATCATAATGACAGGATCAAATTCACACATAACAATAATAACCTTAAATGTAAATGGGCTAAATGCTCCAATTAAAAGGCACAGACTGGCAAACTGGATGAAGAGTCAAGACCCATCAGTGTGCTGTATTCAGGAAACACATCTCACGTGCAGAGACACATATAGGCTCAAAATAAAGGGATGGAGGAAGATCTACTAAGCAAATGGAAAACAAAAAAAGGCAGGGGTTGCAATCCTAGTCTCGGATAAAACAGACTTTAAACCAACAAAGATCAAAAGAGACAAAGAAGGCCATTACATAATGGTAAAGGGATCAATTCAACAAGAAGAACTAACTATCCTAAATATACATGCACCCAATACAGGAGCACCCAGACTCATAAAGCAAGTCCTTAGTGACCTACAAAGAGACTTACACTCCCACACAATAATGGGAGACTTTAACACCCCACTGTCAACATTAGACAGATCAACAAGACAGAAAGTTAACAAGGATATCCAGGAATTGAACTCAGCTCTGCACCAAGCAGACCTAATAGACATCTACAGAACTCTCCACCCCAAATCAACAGAATATACATTCCTTTCGGCACCACACCACACCTATTCCAAAACTGACCACATAGTTGGCAGTAAAGCACTCCTCAGCAAATGTAAAAGAACAGAAATTATAACAGTCTCTCAGACCACAGTGCAATCAAACTAGAACTCAGGATTAAGAAACTCACTCAAAACTGCTCAACTACATGGAAACTGAACAACCTGCTCCTGAATGACTACTGGGTACATAATGAAATGAAGGCAGAAATAAAGATGTCCTTTGAAACCAATGAGAACAAAGACACAACATACCAGAATCTCTGGGACACATTCAAAGCAGTGTGTAGAGGGAAATTTATAGCACTAAATACCCACAAGAGAAAGCAGGAAAGATCTAAAATTGACACCCTAACATCACAATTAAAAGAACTAGAGAAGCAAGAGCAAACACATTCAAAAGCTAGCAGAAGGCAAGAAATAACTAAGATCAGAGCAGAACTGAAGGAAATAGAGACACAAAAAACCCTTCAAAAAAATCAATGAATCCAGGAGCTGGTTTTTTGAAAAGATCAACAAAATTGATAGACCGCTAGCAAGACTAATAAAGAAGAAAAGAGAGAAGAATCAAATAGATGCAATAAAAAATGATAAAGGGGATATCACCACCGATCCCACAGAAATACAAACTACCATCAGAGAATACTGTAAACACCTCTACGCAAATAAACTACAAAATCCAGAAGAAATGGATAAATTCCTCGACACATACACTCTCCCAAGACTAAACCAGGAAGAAGTTGAATGTCTGAATAGACCAATAACAGGCTCTGAAATTGAGGCAATAATTAGTAGCTTACCAATCAAAAAAAGTCCAGGACCAGATGGATTCACAGCCGAATTCTACCAGAGGTACAAGGAGGAACTGGTACCATTCCTTCTGAAATTATTCCAATCAATAGAAAAACAAGGAATCCTCCCTAACTCATTTTATGAGGCCAGCATCATCCTGATACCAAAGCCGGGCAGAGACACAACAAAAAAAGAGAATTTTAGACCAATATCCTTGATGAACAGTGATGCAAAAATTCTCAATAAAATACTGGCAAACCAAATCCAGCAACACATCAAAAAGCTTATCCACCATGATCAAGTGGGCTTCATCCCTGGGATGCAAGGCTGGTTCAACATACGAAAATCAATAAACGTAATCCAGCATATAAACAGAACCAAAGACAAAAACCACATGATTATCTCAATAGATGCAGAAAAGGCCTTTGACAAAATTCAACAACCCTTCATGCTAAAAACTCTCAATAAATTAGGTATTGATGGGACATATCTCAAAATAATAAGAGCTATCTATGACAAACCCACAGCCAATATCATACTGAATGGGCAAAAACTGGAAGCATTCCCTTTGAAAACTGGCACAAGACAGGGATGCCCTCTCTCACCACTCATATTCAACATAGTGTTGGAAGTTCTGGCCAGGGCAATCAGGCAGGAGAAGGAAATAAAGGGCATTCAATTAGGAAAAGAGGAAGTCAAATTGTCCCTGTTTGCAGATGACATGATTGTATATCTAGAAAACCCCATCGTCTCAGCCCAAAATCTCCTTAAGCTGATAAGCAACTTCAGCAAAGTCTCAGGATACAAAATCAAGGTGCAAAAATCACAAGCATTCTTATACACCAATAACAGACAAACAGAGAGCCAAATCATGAGTGAACTCCCATTCACAATTGCTTCAAAGAGAATAAAATACCTAGGAATCCAACTTACAAGGGATGTGAAGGACCTCTTCAAGGAGAACTACAAACCACTGCTCAAGGAAATAAAAAAGGATACAAACAAATGGAAGAACATTCCATGCTCATGGATAGCAAGAATCAATATTGTGAAAATGGACACACTGCCCACGGTAATTTATAGATTCAATGCCATCCCCATCAAGCTACCAATGACTTTCTTCACAGAATTGGAAAAAACTACTTTAAAGCTCATATGGAACCAAAAAAGAGCCCGCATCGCCAAGTCAATCCTAAGCCAAAAGAACAAAGCTGGAGGCATCACGCTACCTGACTTCAAACTATACTACAAGGATACAGTAACCAAAACAGCATGGTACTGGTACCAAAACAGATATAGACCAATGGAACAGAACAGAGCCCTCAGAAAAAATGCCACATATCTACAACTATCTGATCTTTGACAAACCTGACAAAAACAAGAAATGGGGAAAGGATTCCCTATTTAATAAAGGGTGCTGGGAAAACTGGCTAGCCATATGTACAAAGCTGAAACTGGATCCCTTCCTTACACCTTATACAAAAATTGATTCAAGATGGATTAAAGACTTACATGTTAGACCTAAAACCATAAAAACCCTAGAAGAAAACCTAGGCATTACCATTCAGGACATAGGCATGGGCAAGGACTTCATGTCTAAAACACCAAAAGCAATGGCAACAAAAGTCAAAACTGACAAATGGGATCTAATTAAACTAAAGAGCTTCTGCACAGCAAAAGAAACTACCATCAGAGTGAACAGGCAACCTACAGAATGGGAGAAAATTTTTGCAACCTGCTCATCTGACAAAGGGCTAATATCCAGAATCTACAATGAACTCAAACACATTTACAAGAAAAAGCAAACAACCCCATCAAAAAGTGGGCAAAGGATATGAACAGACACTTCTCAAAAGAAGACATTTATGCAGCCAAAAAACACATGAAAAAATGCTCATCATCACTGGCCATCAGAGAAATGCAAATCAAAACCACAAAGAGATACCATCTCACACCAGTTAGAATGGCGATCATTAAAAAGTCAGGAAACAACAGGTGCTGGAGAGGATGTGGAGAAATAGGAACACTTTTACACTGTTGGTGGGACTATAAACCAGTTCAACCATTGTGGAAGTCAGTGTGGCGATTCCTCAGGGATCTAGAACTTGAAATACCATTTGACCCAGCAATCCCATTACTGGGTATATACCCAAAGGATTATAAATCATGCTGCTATAAAGACACATGCACACGTATGGTTATTGCAGCACTATTCACAATAGCAAAGACTTGGAACCAACCCAAATGTCCAACAATGGTAGACTGGATTAAGAAAATGTGGCACATATACACCATGGAATACTATGCAGCCATAAAAAAGGATGAGTTCATGTCCTTTGTAAGGACATGGATGAAGCTGGAAACCATCATTCTCAGCAAACTATCGCAAGGACAAAAAACCAAACACCGCATATTCTCACTCATAGGTGGGAATTGAACAATGAGAACACATGGACACAGGAAGGGGAACACCACACACCGGGGACTGTTGTGGGGTGGGGGGAGGGGGGAGGGATAGCATTAGGAGATATACCTAATGTTAAATGACGAGTTAATGGGTGCAGCACACCAACATGGCACATGTATACATATGTAACTAACCTGCACGTTGTGCACATGTACCCTAGAATTTAACGTATAATAATTAAAAAAAAGAAACCCTGTCTCTATTTTTTTAAATACATTTTTAAAAAATAAAATTTATTTATTTAAAAAAATTTTTTTAAAGTATCATTTTTATACATATAAATACAATTTTTGAAAATTTTAACAAGAATATAATACATTCAATCTATAATAATTTGTCATATCTCTACCAACATCTTAAAATTTTGTTTATTTGTTTGTTGAGACAGAGTTTCACTATTGTTGCCCAGGCTGGAGTGCAATGGCACGATCTCAGCTCACTGCAACCTTCGCCCTCCAGGTTCAAGCGATTCTCCTGCCTCAGCCTCCTGACTAACTGGGATTACAGGCACCCGCCACCACGCCTGGCTAATTTTTTGTATTTTTAGTAGAGACAGGGTTTTACCATGTACGCCAGACTGGTCTTGAACTTCTGACCTCAAGTGATCCGCCCGCCTTGGCCTCCCAAAGTGTTAAAATTGCAGGCATGAGCCACTGTGCCTGGCCAGAATTTTTTATTATAAGCAGTCAAAATAATGAGTCTTTGAAATTATTTTTTCTGATTACAGAATCACTTTGTGCTCACTACAGGAAACTTGTAAAATATAAAAAGCAGAAAAGAATGTCCCATAATCTTACCAACAAGAAACAACCATTGTAACCATTTTATTTCTTGTATGGGTACCATCTTACAGTCAGTAAGAATACTATTAATTAATACTTATTAACCACTTCCTTTGAGATATTCAGCTAAGAGTTTTCCAAACATTTTCATTTTACCTTTATATTCAAGTAGTAGGTGAACATTTTACAGTTGTGTCAAGTAGGGTTTAAAGAGGTTAGGAAACGTGCCTAAGGTCACAGAGAAAAGTGGTAGAGCTGAAGCCAGCATCCTTGATCACTATACCACACCACTGTCAATGTACAGATACAGACAATGCCATACACTACTCCTTGCTTCTAAAATTATAAATATAATTTTTAGATGGCTATTTAATAACAGCACTTGGATATATAGTAACTTTACTGACTCACTCCTCTCCTGGATCAGATTATTTTCATATTTTATTCAGGATAGTGTGATTCATTCAATACAAAAAATAAAAACTAGATAAATGCAAGACTTGCTTGTCCACTTCTAAATTTAAATTAAAATATATAATTCAACTTACTCTTTTACTGAGGCAAATAACTGGCCACATACTGCAACCTAATGTGCAGCAGCAACAAAGGCAGCCACAAAGTAGCCAACGTACATTAACAGGAAGGTTCTTCTTAAGACAACTGTTAACTCTGTTGATGCTGGCTTTAAATTCTTCAGGAGCTACCTAAAGAAAAATTTTAAGAAATAATAACAATGCAATATTAATGTCAAAAAACATGACTGATGAGCATACTTTTTTCTAATTTTCTCAGAAAAAAACTTTCATTTTGAGGCATACAAATAGTACATAAATGAGACACTCACTTTTCCAGTTAATGAAGAAGGGAATTCAGATTCAAATTTGTTGCTCAGTCCAAATCTATTTTAAAAAATAAGAAGAATATGTTATTACATGTTATTGTTGCCAAAAATGTAGACCATTTAATTTAAAGGTCAAGTCAATAGAAAGCATTTTCACATATGGAGGAAGTTTTAGACATAAAATGGAAGTTTGAGATAAAATAACTGTAACAAGCAATTTATGAAATGTAACAATTATTTTAGCAGTTAAATGGAAACTTTTGCATAATGATAAGGGGCTGAATGTTAATTAACCAGCAGTATGTAAACAAAAATATAAATGGTTCATTTAATTTGAGCTACCAACTTTATATCTTAAAAAGTAACTACAAAGCATATTATTTTAATGGGTGGGATAGCGATTTTTTCCAGCTTTTAATGTTATTGGTGGAAACAAACAATACCTGTGAATTTTAGCAGGTGTCCTACACAAGCAATAAGATGAGAAGGAAAAATGCAGGAAAAAGAGTGAGGAGGGGAAGAATAAGGAAAAAGGGAGAGAAAAAATAAAAAAGTAGGAATGGACAAAGTGCTACCAAGAACCGTCTTAGGTTCCATTGAACACCTATTTGTCAGTGCATTAGATGGTATGAAAGAAAATGTAGACGTGTACTATACCTATATCTATTCCTATTACCTAAAAGACCTTTTCTTGAATCATGGTTAAAATATTCCATGGCTTTAGAATTGATAAAAGATTTAAACTATTTTCAAAGAATGGTAAATATAACAAGAAGATAAAAGACATAATAAAAACAACCTATCTTGCTTTTATCTATCAGAAGTCTACCAGTACTTGGAGAACAGAGAATTCATTCAAATCACAACTACTGAGCACATTCCATGCAACACTTCAGTGCAGGCTTTTATGGCTTTTACAGCTTCCTTTGTTTCCTTAAGAAATCACACACGAGACCAATTTTACTTTTATATAATTTGAGATAATTTTGAAAGTTCATGTAATACACTGTAAAGTTTTGAAGGGGGGACTCCAACTTTACACCTAAATCTAAATGGAATCTTGAAACAGGCTTGTTTTACTCATATCCCACATACATCCATTTCACTATCTCTACATTCCTCCAGTCTATAGTCATAACTCTGCAAACCACTCCAATCTGTTATCCTGCTTTCTCATGATCATCATATTCAAGTTTATCTTTCCTGATAGACCTTGAAACCCTCAATCTGTTGATCTGCAGCTATCAGGATACCTCCTTATATCTTATCTTAAAAAACAAAACAAACCTTAAATACATACAGTCATGTGCCACATAACAACGTTTCAGTCAGGACATACTAGAAGGTGGTCCCACAAGATTTTAATACTGTATTTTTACTGTACCTTTTCTATGTTTAGATACACAAAAACTTACCACTGTGTTATAACTGCCTACAATACACAGTACAGTAACATACTGTACAGGTTTGTAGCCTAAGGGCTATGGGCTATACCATATAGCCTAGATGTGTAGTAGGCTACACCATTTTAAGTTTGTATACACACACTCTGTGATGTCTGCACAATGATGAAATTGCCTACTGACCCATTTATCAGAGTAGTCCCCATAGTTAAGCACCACATACTTGTATATATCTTCACTTTAACCAAAAACCCTGTTGAAATGCCACTCTTTCCTTAGAAATCCTCAACTACAGTTCACTCCTGACCTTATCTATTCTAAAGAACTTTACCTCCTGCACCTCCATCTAATTCAGCAACCTACTCACTGTGATATATTCTGCATATTGTCATCACTTGGGACTGTATCACCTCTGAAATTCTGAACTGTAAAATTCTTCTCTTACCACTGCCATCAATCATTTCATTTCTCCCATCCTTACTAAATTTGTTTTTTGGCCTCTGGTTGTAATATATTGCTTCCCACCCCTCCATAGCTCCCTATGACTCCATTTCCTTCCTTATTTGCCAGAACTACATAGTCAATCATTTTGAACATACTCCAACAAACACCTTTAATCATCTCTACAGTGTCCCTTGCCAACCCAGGTTCAATTAAATTGTTTACCTTCTTCACACTGCCTGGAGCTACTGGAGAAAAATCACATTTATAAATGTATCACCAATAATAAATATATATATAACATACATATCTTATTTCTAATCTCATGAGTATTATTGTAACAATCTTTATTCATCCCCAGTAAGTTCTCTTTTCCATGCTCCGTAGTTGTTGTGCCTGTCTTTAGGTACTCCACTTTATCCTCACAACCAACATTTTTTTGCAAATAACCACAGTTGTCAACTCTGAGAGAAAAAAATGTCATGGAATATAAACTGCTTTACCTTCCCTCCCTTTTATTTTTGGATTTACTTATATATCTTCAGTATTTTTACCATCTCTCAATGGAGGAAAGCTTCCAAAAACTAACCATTTACTTCTGAGTGCATCTCCTCCAGTCTCCTCTGCAATTCACTGTATTTCTACCTCGCTTCAGGCTCCTTAAACATAGCCTACAAACCTGAATTAGTCTATCCACCTGAGGATGTGAATCCTTATTTCTTCTTCTCTCTCAATGTCTGATGGCATCTATTTCTTTCCTTCCTCAACTAATGTTTTGAAAGACTCCTTTACATTAACTATCTTTACGTTACCTCCCATTCATTATTCAAACTACCACAATCCAGGCTTTCCTACACACTTCTTTACTAATAAGACTGTTCTCATCAGAGTAGTTGAAAACAACTCTTTTCAGCAAGTCTTCTTTCATATAGCATGCTTTCTCCTGGCAAAGAGCTTGAATGTCAGAATTTCTTATTTGGCACAGGCCACAGCAAATATCTCCTTTGCTATGTTTTTCATCCCTGCCAAAACCTTTTTTTTTAATCCAAATCTAGACCAACCAAAACAATAGTAGCAGGTAGAATTTTAGCAAGACGGTCTTATTTTATTAAATGGATAGGAAAAGTCACACTTCTTGTTTGATAATATAACTGTAAAATATCACCTCTAATGATTTATTTTTGACATAAACCACTTAATTTTGACAATACCTTAGTTCTGGCTTCTTTTTTAAGTTCAGCAGGAGGCAGAGACTGTTAGAATGAAAATGGCATCTATGTTTTGTTTTCAATTGACAGCATTATAAATGTACCTACAAGTTTACATAAAACTTTTTATATATGGTAAAAATAATTTCCTTTATTCTAAGACAAAGTACAACTGGTTCAGCACAGTATTAGAAAGGCCAAGTTTCATCCCATAAAATAATAATTTGATGTACTTGAAAGAAGAGCAATGATTCCTGCATTGAGTAGGAAGCTGAACCCCCTTCAGACTCTAATAACCAAACATTCTACTAATCCAAAAAGCCAGAAGTAACACTTGGATAATTTTTAAAAATATGATTTAAAGTAGGTGGCATCTTAATTCAGTTATCTACAAGACTAATTAAATTTTAAAAAATATTTTATGTTGGCAAGAAGGTCAAGATGGAAAAATATCACACACTGTCAATGGAACTATAAATTGTTACAACCATTTCAGATTAATTTGGCATTGAAAATATTTATACCTTTGTCATACTGTTTTCTCTTTAGAAATGTAATATTACCTAAAAAATAACTTGAAATGTGGATTAAATTTATGCATAAACAAGTTCATTGAATCTTTATTCACAAATATAAATATGTATCTATTTACAACATTTTAGGAATGGTTAAGAAAATTATCTTATCTCAATATAACAGAATATTAAACAACCATTAAAAATGAAATTTGCAAACTAAAAACACAGAAATACCATTGAACATAAACTTATTTACCTTCCCTCCCTTTCATTTTTAGATTTATTTATGTATCTTCAGTATTTTTACCATCTTTCTCAATGGAGGAAAATGTTGAAGAAGAAAATTCAATATACCATGATATTAACTGAAAAGAACAAAAATCTTGCAAGTTGATAGAATTTTCAGGAGTGCCATCTGGTAGTATGTAAAACGGGTCTTAAAAAATATTCCTACCCTGGCTGGGTGTGGTGGCTCACACCTGTGATCCCAGCACTTTGGGAGGCCAAGGCAGGTGGATCACCTGAGGTCAGGAGTTCGAGACCAACCTGGCCAACATGGTGAAACCCCATCACTACTAAAAATGCAAAAATAGCTGGATGTGGTGGTGGGCACCTGTAATCTCAGCTACTCAGGAGGCTGAGGTAGGAGAATTGCTGGAACCCGGAGGCGGAGGTTGCAGTGAGCCAAGATTGCGTCACTGCACTCCAGCCCGGGCTGACAACAGTGAGACTCAGTCTCAAAAAAAAAAAAAAAAAAAAAAAATTCCTACCCTTTGACCCAGTAATTCTACTTCCAGAAATGTATCAAGAGAAAATAGCTGCAGTGGCACAGATATGTTAATGAATAATCAAGTATTCTGCAGTGTTATTTTAGGGAGGGGGTATTAAAGACATTTTGTGTCATTTGTTTTTTTTTAAATAAGAGCTATTTTTCAGAAATGTATAGTTCCTGCTAACTAAATAATTGACGAGTATTTTATTTTATTTTTTTGAGACAGAGTCTCGCTTTGTTGTTCAGGCTGGAGTGCGGTGGCGTGGTCTCATCTCACTGTAACCTCTGCCTCCCGGGTTCAAGCGATTCTCGTGCCTCAGCTTCCCAAGTACCTGGGATTACAGGTGCTCGCCACCATGCTGGGCTAATTTTTGTATTTTTAGTAGAGACGGGGTTTCACCATGTTGGCCAGGCTGGTCACAAACACCTGACAAGTGATCCGCCCACCTTGGCCTCCCAAAGTATTGGGATTACAGGCGTGAGCCACTACACCCGGCAGACAAATATTTTATAATGTACAATACCACCCTAATTTTGTTTTCTTATTTGAATATTTTATTTGGTATTAACTAGGTATTTTAAGATAAGTAAACAAGGAAATTTAGGTTCACTAATCAATAGTTTTCTTGAATGCATTTCAATGTTTTCCATAGTTCAAGTCCATCTAATCCTCTGTCCTTCTTACTTCAGTTTTAACTTCTTCTATGTTCCTTGTATCTCCTCATATTAACAATGTCTCTTGGCATTCACTACTGAGCTATCATTTTAAATTAAGACATGTTTTGAACTCATAACGAATTTTGCTTTTTAAATGCAGAAATGCAAGAATCCACTGCTTCAACTTGTTTTGCCCTTAATCAAAAATATATGTTCAATGTTTCTTTTCTTCTGAGTTACAGTGATATTTTTAACAGTGAAATTTTTAAAACAGAAATATCTTATAATTAAATTAATTATAATACAACAATCTGAAAAGATGCTACACAGCTCAAAACCATGTATACTAGAGAGAGTAGTCTGTTACTCCGCATGCCTAACTAGGAACTCCCTATACTTTGGCTAATTAGATCACAAGTGGGCATCTGCTTTAAGAACAGCTAATCCCTGGGCTGGGTAGCAGCACATGGAATGGCAAGGCCAAACAGTCCTGCCTAACTTAGATAACATTAACTAACTCAATCAGCTCTCTCTTGAGGTATCTGAACATAAGACAAATAGATGGTAACATGCAGAGCTGACAGAGAGAGGGCTTAAATTGAAGTCAAGATGTAGTAAAGCCATCGATAATTAGAAATCAAAATAAACTGAAGCCAATAGTAAGCAGAAACTGAGATCACCAGACAAGTAATGATGGGCCAGATCAGGGAGGGTCTGGTAGAACATTAAAAGGACTCTGAAGGAGATGGGGAACCTTTGAGGGGCCTGATACAGAGAAAAGACTTGAACTGACTTATGTTTTAAAAGGATCACTATAGCAGATGTACCAAAATGGTTGTATAAGAGGAGAGGCAAAGGTGGAAAGGTGGAGACAGGGGGAAGAAAAAAATATATATATATTTTTTGTAATTTAGATGGATTCTTGCTATGTTGCCCAGTGTAGTCTCAAACTCCTGGGCTCAAGTGATCTTTCTGCCTCAGCCTCCCGTGTAGCTGGGATTATAGGTACATGCCACCATAACTGACTTAAGAAATACATTAAGCGTAAGGCAGAAGGGAGACTGGCAATTCACTCCAGTCGTGTAGGTGGCAAAATAGGGCCAAATTTTGAAGACAGAGCCAAGATGTCAAGACAGAATGGATGTAGTGAAAGAGAAAGAGGAAAATCAAGAATACATCAAAAAGTTTTTGATCTAAACAAACAGGGTCCTCGATCTGCCATCAACTGAGAATGGAAGGCTGCCGTTGAAGCTGATTTGGGGTGTAGATTATGAATTCCATTTTGGATATTCTGGATTCTGAGACATTCCACCTGTACAAATCTATAGATACAGAGAATTTTTATGTTCCTACAGATATGACAAGACCTATGAGCATATGAACTAGAAATTTCAAACTGAACATATTGGTTATGCAGATGGCACATGAAGAGAGTGCTTATTTCCTAATGTTGAACTTTGAGCTCAATGAACTCAAATTTTTAGCTAGTTTTGGAGATAAAGTCATAACTATGGAAAAAAATTAACAGGCTTTGATGCATATAAATCATGCTTTAAGTTTATCTGGTTGATTCAACATACGTCTGAATATCAATGTAGCTCAAGGAGGATGGGATCTAATTGAAAGTATACTCTATTTATACAAAAGATACAGAGACCCTGGAGTTGGAGACGTATATTTGGGTTTCAGAATAATTCTAAAAATCTTAACTCTGTAACCACATTCTGAACAATATTTGAGTTCATCTGGTTTTATGAAAGTTTAATCTCATTCAGGAAACTAGTGAAATCAAAGACTTAATTCTCCAAAGCATGTGTTAAATTTACTCTATCATAAACCTCACCATTATACATAGTCTTATAATAATCTAGCATTAGCATTTTATCAATTTTTAATTATTAAGGTTATAATTTCCATTATTAACAGATTAAATATGTTGTTAAGCAGTGAAAGCTATATAAGTGTATACTGATGAAAATGCACAGTATAACTAACTTCTGGCGATATAGGGATGCAGCTGATCTAACTTAACAACTTTTAAATTTTCTGAACTACAGAAAAAAGATTTTTGTATATCTGATTTATACATATTTTAGAATATTCTTCATACTTCTATAAATCTTAAGAGCAAAATAATGATGCTAAATTATGTTCATTTAAGCAAAATATATGGTTGAATTGATTTACAATATAGACTAACAAAAATACTCATTTCAAGTAACATTTATAATTGAGCAGTTTAGAAAAGACCAAGAAAGGAGACTGGGTACATAGGAACTCCACCACTGAACTAACCAAGGCCCACATTATGACTACAATGCAAGATCAAAGAGAATAAAACAAGAAGTTCTTGCAGGAAGCTCACTATATATAGTACATTCACTTTTTTTATCAATCAAAATAACAAAGTTAGGTTACCTTCAAGTCCAACCAACTCTATCCTAAGTAGATAGTGGGAGAGAAAAAAAGCTTAAGAACAAAAAAATTATTCTTCAGGGACACTGTGAGAACATTTCAGCTCCTACGGATGCAACTGAGTTTTAAATGTAAGATATAAAAAACACAATTTTTTTCCTCAAATCTAATGAATCATGTACTGAGGGCTGTCACATACTACACACCTTACAGCTAAAGGATATCACATTTACGAGGGTTCCCACTTCAAAATCTATGATCTTGTGGGAAACACTCTCTACTTCTGGCATGTGCTATTCTCTTGGCATACTAGCTGCCCCAGCAGCAGAACAGAAAGTGCAGGTATGCCATCAAAATCACTCCCAGTGAACAGTAAGGGTAGCCAGTTATTTAACCTCAGCCTACACAAAGCTAAAATTAAAAAATAAACAGACCAAAACAAACATAAGAACTGAGGAATTAGACAGCAAAAGTGGCCACTGCTATGTATTTCCATACCTCATAGGAAAAGCTGTGAAATTTGATGGTTTACACACAGAACTGTAATAACTCCTTTAATCTAGAGATCAACACCCTAGCTGGGGCCACTATCATGTCTTATGGAAGCTGCTTCTATAACCTTCTAAATTTCATTCTAATTCCTTTACAATCCTTTCTGGCCCCTACTGAACCCTCCAACCTCATTTCAAGACATTATCCCCTTTGTTCACTATATTCTAGCCATAATATAGAGGTATCCTTTCAGTTCCTCAGGCAAGTCAAGCTTGTTTTGGCTTGGAGTCTTGGCACCTGCTGTTCTCCAGATCCAGGGGCTCCTGACAGGACTCTCATCCTTCCTAAATGTTAGCTTCCTCAGAGAGGTTCTTCCTAATCACATTATTTTCAATCACAGGATCTCATCCATTTCCTTCAGTGCAACTTTATCAGATAAAATTTGTCTATTAGCTGTAAACTCCATGAGGGCAGAAACTATGTGTGTTTCATTTTGGGTTTCATTATATACCCAGAGCTTTGTGCAATACCTGGCAGAAAAATGGGCATTTAACAAATACTCATTAAATTACTTATCAGGAAACCTCAACAAGACAGCTGATAATCAAAGATTAAGCAAAAAATACTCTGAGAAAACAAAATAAATATTGTAAAACCCAAGCATCAAAACCCAAGCATCTACATTCAACAATCAGGATGAACTTCTCTTACTTTATATGCAGTTCTAATAAGGCTGGTTGGTTGTTTTGCTTCCAAGAACAGCTGACCAATTACAAAGACAGAAGAAAGCAAACCAAAAAGAACAGCCCACATATGAAATTTAAATGAAAGTGCCATTTAGAGAAGGTTCTCAAACTCCAACATACCTCAGGGCCACTAAGGCATCACTGTGTATCAATCTGATAGCCGCTTTTGATTAAATGATTCCTCTAGTCAATTAGATAATTCTGAGCTATGCTCAGAATCTTGTTTTAAAGCAGAAAAGCATACTTCACATTTTAGACTGACTTCCCACAAAATGGTAAAGAATAACCAAAAAAATGTGCATGCAGGGTTAAACATCAAAATATGTCATAAGTAATAATTTATTGAATGCCTATTAATTAGATAAATTCTGACTCTCACACGTAACCTCTAAGGTGGATATTATCTCTTTCGCAGATGAAAAAACTGAAGTTCGGAAAGGTTAATCTGCTTATGGTTACTGTCAGGAAGTGACTGAGAATTGAAACCAATCTGCCTCATATCAAAGACCACACTTTTTCCACAGTACCATCTATTACTTTCCAAATATGTCTGATAGAATCACATAACACTCCTACCAAAAATAAAAATCCCTAGACTCTTCCCTTCCAGACCCAATATTCTGATTGGGTCAAAAGTCACATACACACATACACACACATACACACACACACACACACACACACACACACACACACAATCTTACACAGAAGATACCTGAAGGATACTTAAGAGCATCTGTTGCTACATGTTATATTTAAAGCTTAATTTTATTAATAAAATCTAAATAGCTTTATAGCAGATTAGAAACCTAAGCCAGACACAGCTATTAGAGATTTGAAAGATTTCTTTCTGAGTATACAGCTGGCCTAATATCCTGGGCCTTTAACCTGTTGACAGTATAAACTCCAGCTGGAATTCTGCTTTAGAGTAATATTATTTATTTAAATTATTTAGAATAGTATTTGATTAGTATCATAATAATTACATATAATTTACTTTTCACCATTTAATCCCTCTTTTCCACTTAGCTAGTCATATAAAATTTTAAGTACTAATCAATTTCATATCCCTTGGTAGGCAAAAATCCAACACTGAACTCTTTGGACCAAATGTCATATAAATTCTCAAATTCAAATACAGTAAAAACTTTGAAACCTCAGTTAATTATCATATTTCTCATTTCTTCAAGAAAATCTGTGCATTAAGAAGTTTTAGTAGTTGGTCCAAATAAAATGCATAGAATTTTTTCTTCACATTACCAAAGATATGTATTATATCAAATTACCAAATTATAATCAAATTAATTTCCTCTCAAACTATATGGAATAAGAAAAATCTCTGGGAAGCCACGCATGGTGGTTTATACATACAATCCCAGCATTTGTGGGGGCTGAGGCAGGAGGAACACTTGAAGCCAGGAGTTCAAAACCAGCCTGGCAATACAGTGAAGCCCCATCTCTACAAAAACCAAAAAACTAATTTTTTTAAAAAATTAGCTAGGCATAGCAGCGTGTACCTGTAGTTCTAGCTACTTCAGAGACTGAGAAAGGAGGATCACTAGAGCCAGGAGGTCAAGGCCACAGTAGGCTGTGATCAGGCCCCTGCCCACCAGCTTAGGTGACAGGGAAAGATTCTGTCTCTAAAAAAAGAAAACAAAAATCTCTGGAGAAAAAAAAAAAAGTTATAAAAAAAAAATCTACCTTAATTTGATAATTTCCTCACAATTACCAGATTTCATTTTTTAAAACAGAGGAGCTATTTATCTTTTCAGTGTGATAAGTATTCTATTATAGAACATTGTTTGCCTTTGTTCGGAGGTGCAGAGAAGAAAACAGTGATTCATTTGGCAATTCTGACAAAATCCAAAGATGTATACAATTACTTCATTCATTTAGAAAATATTATAGGAACTATAATATTCTGGACACTATATTAAATAGTAAAGAAAGATCAATAGACACAACCTCTGCCCTCAAGAACTTATAGCCTGTGGAGATACATCAATGAAGCCTTCAAAAATTTCAAAACAGAAAGCTTAATCTTTAGAAATAAATAGAATGTGTCTTAAATATTATGCTGGGTGGGAGAAAGAAGTAGGAATTATAAAGTTTAACAAAATTGTTTTATTGACATGATTCTGTAATTTGGCAACTCACATTCAGGTCTCTTACTGCTAACCACAGCATCTAGCAGCAGTCCTGAAATACTGACACATTTCAAGACAATTTTTTACTAACTCTACCATTTGAAAGATCAATAAACACTAAGGTGTTCTTGTGATGTCTCTTATTCAAAAGTCATATTCCATCCCAGTGTAGTTCCCAAACATTTTCAAGTCACATTTCTAAATCTTTAATCTTCCATAACATATCTGGAATGAAAACAAGCAAAAAGTGGTTTCCGACAGCCATTGATAAAAACTGGTGTTGAAGGATAAGGAATTATTTGTGGAGATGGTAAGATTACACCTCAGAAGAGAGTACATGAAGACACGGTAAAATTACAAGAGAATAACATTAGAAACAAACCTCAGCAAAATAACTTGGCTCTATGATAGGGCTTGAGTTAGAAGTCAAAGATTATACATACTCTAGGAAAGCCCCAAGTTTGATTCTGATACAAGAAGGGTAGAAAGTGGAGATGGGAGCAAATAATGTCTGTTATAATGACAGATTACCTAGGAAATATTGGCCTAAAACTACTTTTAAATTCTAACTTTTAGACTGACACATCCTTTAGAGTTACCACTGTGAAAAACGAAACTCTTCAATAAATGATCAACATATTTTGCAAATATATTTTGAAGCATAAGGAACTCCATAATTTTAAAATATTAACCAATCTGGTCAAGACTACCTAATAGTCTTTTTACAGTATTACTGTTTATTTTAGAAACTATTTTTCCTCATCGTCAATTATATGAGAAGTCACCATGAAAGCAAAAAGGAAATCTACTTTTAATTGAATGGTGACTGTAAGCCTTTTAGGTTACATGTACCTAAATACTATGCAATAACAGGAATTTATCATTTATTTTCCTTCCTTCCAATACCACTTTCCTCAAAATATGCTTCTGCACAAGATTTCCCCATATTGCTACCTAGAAATCTAACAATGAAGGGAAATATTATACTTAAACAGAAGAATGTCAGAAAAGAATACTGATCATGAGAGAAGTATAAAAAGTAAGTCTGATTTGGGGGTCACGATGAAAACATTTGTATTTAAAAAAAGGAAAATATTTGCATTAAAAGCCACTTTAAAGCAGACTTTAGGCAAATTAAACATGTTGCATCCTATGTCACAAAAATCTGATTATGCCTAGAGACTAACCTAGAGAATGGAAGGTAACTTTCTTTCTCACATCACCACAATGACATGCCAATCACGTCACGTGAGAATACCAGTTTCTAAAATAAACAGTAATACTGTAATATATTAAAGTAGAAAAAAAGAGCAGAAATAGTCAATTGTAAAGGGCTACTCAAAAGTTACATCTGTGAAAAACATATGGATTGATCTATATCCTTCTAGACTGATCTAGACTACAGATGATTCAGTTTACATGGTCAATTACTTTCAAATTGGTAAGGGAAGACTGCTCTGATCAGCACCTAATAAAAAAAAAAGGTGGAGGAGGGGGTGTTAAATTTAGCCAGTCTTACTACAACTGTTCTAATAGCTCTTCCCATTTATATTTAAAGCAAGAAAAATTGAATGTGCTCAACAGTTATAGTAATACATATGCACCAATTCTAAAAACCTTTATAGATGTTAACTGGGCTACCCACTGGCATGGTGTGCTAGTGTGCCTGGGAATTATGCATGACAGAGCCATGTTAAAAAAAAAAGTTTTCTATTATTACCTATGTCGCCACAAAACAGGTTAAGTTTTCAATGCAGAAAGATCCTTATTGTCATCAAAATACTTCAAACACAGTAATTTAAGCACATACACATTGCTTAGAAATGGAAAAATAAGACTAAGGTGAATCATTGTTATGTTTGATAATGGCAGTTCTAATTTTTTAGTACTTTGTTTTACACCTGTTTCTCAAAGTGGAAAACTATATCTGAGGAGGAGAATAATAAAAACTAGTATCTATTGAACATAGTACCACACAGTGCAATAAATTCTTTTCATGTACTATCTCATTTAATCCTTAATAATCTTAAAAGGTATCGACTATAACTATCCCCATCTCAACTAAAGGTCATGAATAAACAATTTATCCAGGAAGTAGCTGAGATAGATTTTAACCCAGAGCCTAGAACCAAGATAAATGGGAGAAGAAGGAAGTTGCTGAGGAAAATCAGAGATTTAACTCACAATGTAGAAAGGCATACTGTTTATTGATGATAGATAGTCCCTCCCTATAACCTGGAATAGTTTTCAATCTTGGCTACACATTAGAATCACCTGTGAGATTTTATTTATTTATTTATTTATTTATTTATTATTTTAACTGTCCACTCCTAGGACCCTCACTTAGTATTTGGCCTTCAACTGGCCTGGGGTGGAGCAAAGACAATGGTCTTTTTTTAAAGACACCCAGGATTCTAATGGACAGCTAAGTTTGAAAACCACTAATAATTATTTTCTACCCTATTAACCTCTCCACGTAGCCAACTACAATCAAGTTTACTGATTACCTAGGTTCTGAGCACTTTGCCCACTATTGCATTTTCCACTTGCCCAACAAAGTGCTTAGCTTTTCTTCTCCTTAACAGAGGAAACATTACAACTACAGCGTCGCCTTTTTAAATGACAAAATTCTCTAGCTTTTCTTTGACATGAGGAATGTAGAAGGAGGGATAGATGGCATGACAAAGTTTGGAAATCACTTCTTTAAGCATCCACATACTCCTTAGGCTTAAAACAGTGCAAAAAGGTCCTAAAAGTCAAAATAAAATCAAATGGCAGGTTATGAATTCTGTGATATATGTTAAAAGTTTAATATCCATGATATTTGGTTATACTTCTTAAGCTGGTGACAACACTTAGAAAGTATTATTGTGGTGAATTAAATTCCACTGTCTTGTCATGGTGCTGTGATGGCAATTATGCAGTGTTTTTACCCTGTTAAGTCACCTGAACATAAACTAACAGGTACTAAAGAAATTAAAGCATTACATAAGCATACTCAAACAACAATATGGCTGGTCATACGAGAAATGCAATTATTTTGCTGACAAACTTATATGAGAAGTCTTACTGTTTCCCTAAGTTATTCACAGCACATCCCACTCACTCTTCACCAAAATATAATGAAGACTATTCCAGACATTCTCAGACTTGCTGGCTCTTTTGTTTCACTGAAAAGGTGAAGAAGTACAGAGATACCTGACAAGTATGGAAGTCTGATCTATTATTTGAACAAGAGATCTAAAATGAGAGAGTATCAATGTAATACATCAAGTGGTACAAAACTGTGGACTTCATAGTGAAACATTACAAAACTTCCTGCTTCCGGACAGCTCATTATTTGGTTCAAGGCTTCACATTCCTTTGTCATGGTCTTTCCGAAAGCTTTCATTCCTTATTAATATCAGACTTTTAATGTTACTAGTGGGACTTTCCAAATTAACAAGCCCCAAGTTCGTGCCCCAAGGAGGAGCTTCAGGACTACAATTTTCCCTCAGTAACCTGAGCAGAGTGTATGTCCCTCACGTAGTTGTTGTTGTTGTTGTTGTAAACATATTTCTTTCTGTATATCTTAAATTTGTGTTCAACTATATATTTTTATCACGTACAATTACAAGAACTTGCATTAGTTCTGCGGAAATTAGTGGAAAAACTGGGAGACCTGTGGGTATGTGTGAAATAGACACGAAACGGAGCTTCGCTGCCAATTGTCACTGGGGTCTCACACGGCCCAGATCTGGCCTCTGAGCCATGTCACTGGGTGCAAAGGCACAGACAACCACAGGGTAACTGGGCGAGAAAACAAGGAGGCTCCCTGTCAATACACGTACTTCCACCCTGAAGAGGAAGGGTGGCCCGCAGGGCAGACCCTAATGAAAACCCGTGCCTACTGGGATCGTCACATCGCCCGGGCCTGTAGGGCCTGCTAAAGGGGTGTGTGGAGGAGGAAGGACAGCGTCCGTCCCCACTTCGGAGACCCAAACAAATGAAAATAAGCCAAGTTCTCACTTCCTGGTTGCCTACTCTTTCGGAAGGCCCCCGACACCAGACGGACACAGGGGAAACGGGGCTCCCGTGGAGTAACGGGGCCCACCCCAGCCCGCACCTCCCGCCCTCGCCCTCCTCCGGGCCTTACACGGTGACGTGACCGGAGCCGCGGACGACCACCGGGTCCGGCGAGTACTTGAGCAGCTGCTCCTCCAGGGCCCGCTCCTCGTCCTCCTCTTCCTCATAGATTTCGTCGAAATCCGCCATCCTGAGCCTCCGAGCTCCCCTGCCCAAAGGGCCTGACTCCCGGGGTTGGCGCCGGGGTACCGGCGGGCGAGGCGGCGGAGGCTGAGGGGAGTCGCCGCTGCCGCCGGCTCCGAGGCCGCGGAGTTCGCTGTCGGCTGTCTCGGCTCCGGCTACAGAGGGGATGGGGTCTGGACCGTCGCCGCCACCGCCGCCGCCATTACCATCAGCAATAACAACAACACAATGTCAACATCCGCCCAGAGGCCGACACCTCCACAAGCACAGACGCCGCTGCCGCCGCCGCAGCAGCAGCAACTCAGGAAACCACAGCAACAGCCCGAGCCACCCGCAGCGGGAGCAGCCGGCTACGGCATCGCGAGACTTCCCGGGCCAACGGGCGGGCGGGCGCGTGCGTGGGCGCGTGGGCGAGCGGACTGGCTGGCGGGCGGGCGGGCGCGCGCACGTGCGGCCTCGCGCGCTCCCAGGCCACCGTCTTTCCTCTGCTTCTACCCGCAGACGGCGACCGGGGCGCGCGCTCCCGCCGGCGGGCCCCCCTCCGCCGACTTCTGGGTGGCGGACCCTGGGGGCGGCGGCTCCGCTGACTGGAGGCCGCGACCCGCGACTCCGACAACGCAGCTTGGAATGTCCAGTGGGACATGCAGTTCCCCAAAGTCATCTCTAACCAAAACAAACAACTGAAAAGAAAAGCCCTGGCTGGAATAGACACATTTTTGTGCGTGTCATTGCCAGTTTATCTAATAATCGCATCTCGCTTTTCCTCAGGTTTTGAGTCTATGATGAGAACCAGAGTCTCTTTTTTCCCAATTTGAGGAGTCCAGCAGAGACACTGCAAACATTTGTGCTCACCACAGGATTTTTCAAGACATCTCCAAATTCAAACATCTTATCCCTTGATCCCCTTAAGTATAATCCAATATATGAGGCCAGCGATGCTGGTATTTTTTTTTTTTTCTTACAAGAAATCTCACCGTAGTCATGCTATGAAAAAAAACTGATAAATTACCTGGATTCCATATTAGAAGATGCAGTTTCTTGCCCCAACTCTCTCACCAAACATAACCTGGTTTTTGTTGTTGTTTCCTTAAAATCTTAGGGAATTCCTTTCCTTTTCTTACCAGTTCCTACCACAAAAAAGACCTGAAAGAAAGGGCAGAGGAGAGGAAGAAAAGGAGGCAGGAAGGAAGAAAGGATAGAAGGAAGGACGAGAAGAATGAAAGAAGAATGGGAGAGAAAGAAAGAAGGGGAGGAAGGAAGGAAAAGGTTTAATGGAGTCTACTTAGCTGCCTAGTAACAGTTGAACGGTCACTTTGGGTACTTGGTTTCATTAAGCATATAAACAGCACAGGGGAAGGAGTGGGCTTCTGAGAAGAGAGTCCTGGACAGTGAGGATACACCATGGGAGAAGAAAGGATAGTTCTACTGAGCCCAGCGCTGGTCAGGCTCTTCAAGTGCAGTGTTCATGTCACAGTAGTCGGCTTTAGATGGGTCACTGTTGACGTGGAGAAAGTGCAAAGGAGGTCAATGAGGACAGTGAGAGATGCCAACCTCCTTTTGGAAACAACTGAAGGAAATGAGTGTGGTTAGCCAAGAAAAAATGAAGGAAAAATACAGTAGTTGTATCAGACTTATTGTATCCCTCCCTGGAGGGTATTTGTTCATTCAACAAATATCTACTGAACTCTAGCTATGTGGCAGGCACTGTGGACGTGTGTGAATGAGGCACAGGCCCTGACTTCTGGTAGCTTATCTATTGTTAAGGCAAGCAATTGTCATCTCTGCCAGGGGCTCATGGAGGAGGACACAGGAAGTGTCAGTGGGGCACACAGGAGGCAGCTTGGTCTGGTGTTTAACAATGTGTGTTCTGGAACCTGACTACCTGGCCTTGAATGTCAGCTCTGCCACTTACTGTGTGACCCTAGACAAGCCACTTAACTTCCCTGTTCAGTACCTGCCCCATTGGGATGCTCAGCAGATTCAAGGGCTTAAGATCGGTGAAGTGCCTAGAAGAAGGCCCAGTACACAATAAATACGGGGTAATAGGTGATGCTTAAGGCTCCCTAGCTTATCAACCCTGTGAGGGTTACCACAGCATTATGTAATATTTTACTGCTTATAAAGCACGTACATAATATATCATTTAATATTCCCCCAAGAACCTGTGAGGTAAGCAAAGAGGGTGTATTTATTTTCAGATATGCTATGTTTCAGAGATGCTATGATATGCTATATTTCAGAGATGCTATGTGGCTTTCTCAAGGCCATGTGACGATTTAAGATTTAATGGTCTAATTGAGTATACTGGTGGTCCAAGCTTTCCTGAATGTCTTTTTTTTTTTTTTTTTTAAGACAGAGTCTCACTCTCTCACCTAGGCTGGTGTGCAGTGGCACCATCATAGCTCACTGCAGCCTTGAACTCCTCAGCTCAAGCGATCCTCCCTCCTCAGCCTCTGAATTTCCTCCTTGGCAGGAACCAGGAGACTAGTGGCTGCACTCAGTTAAAGGAACAGCTGCAAATGGGAAGATAAGAAAGAGAATAAGAGGAAATAAGGTCAGTATGTCCTGGCACAGCCCACACCTGGCTGTGGCTGAGAATTCACCCTTATGTAGAAACAGTGGCCAAGATAAGGGGCTAGTGCCCCAAAGTATCTAAATCATCACATAGCTGACAACTTCCCAAAGACGGAGGAAGCCACACAGAGCTCCTTAGAACTCCAGCACCTTCCACAGTTCCTGCTTCAGAAAAGGAGCTTAATAAATGTTATCTGAATTGAGATACAGTGTTACTAGTGCTCTTTCCAGAACACTGTGACTTAATTAGGCTTCAGAGGACTGTGAGAACCTCACTCTTATCTTCACACTGGCTGGATGTGGGAGAAATGTTCTTATTCTAAGATCTATTCAACAGAGAGATCTTTGTAACTCCCACGGCCTGGGTATACGGTAGAGGCAGGGAATTGCCTTTTCTTTTTCTTTTTTCCTTTCTGTGTGTGTGTGTCTGTGTGTGTGTGTGTGTGTGTGTGTGTTTTCTTCTTTTTCCTGTTCTGAAAAACCTGTCAGAGCCAGCAAAAGGGTGTGGGACCTAGGAAGAAGGCCAAAGGGGTGAGCGAACATGAGTCAAACATTTTCCTGATGAGAGTTGACATCGTAATTCCAACCCTCCACCTCCGCCCTGCCAACCTTCCAAGATCCAGTTTCCTGTAAAACTCCTCCCCCAATTTCTTCCTGGAGATAAGCCACTTTTCCAGGATCCTCTCCCTCTGTGTCCAGGTACTCACTTGCACCCTGCTAAGTGCCCATCCCTCCATAGCCTCCTCTTCATTGGAGTTTCTCTTTATATTCTTGCCTCACATATTTTCATATTTACCTTTAGACCAAATGGCTCAAAACCAAACTGGATAATGTCAGGCCTCAGGAGTCAGCAAGACTTGTTTTTAAGGCAAATATTGCTTAGTTAATTCCTTAGACTTGAAAACTTCCCAGTTCCATTTCTACCTAGCAGAGTGGCCATTGGCAGCTTCACCTTTCTAAGCTTCCTTTTCTTCATCTTCAAATGGAAACTATGTCATGGGGTTCTGGAAGATCAAATGAGATCGTGCATGTACTATGGACTGAATTTTGTCCCCCCCCCCAAATTCATATGTTGAAGCCCTAACCCTCAATGTAATGGTATTTGGAAATGGAGCCTTTGGAGGTAATTAGGTTGAGATGAGGTCAAGAGGCTGGGGCCCTCATGATGGAATTTGTGCCCTTACAAGAAGAAATACTAGATAGTTTTCGATCTCTCTGTGCCATGGGGACACAGCAAGAAGACAGTCATCTGCAAGCCAGGAAGAGAACTCTCACCAGGAACCAAATCATCAGGAACTGTGAGCTAAATTTCTGTTGTTTAAGCCACCCAGGCTACGATGTACTGAATGTTTACATCCCCCCAAATTTGTATGTTGATATCCTAGCCCTCAAGGTGATGGTATTAGGAAATATTAGGGCCTTTGGGAGGTGATTAGGTTATGAAGGCTGAGCCCTCATGAATGGGATTAGTGCCCTCATAAAAGAGGCCCCAGAGAGCTGGTTTGCCCCTTCCACTATCTTAGAACACAGCAAGAAGACAACCATATACAAGGACGAAGCCCCTCACCAGAAACCAAAGCTACCAGCCGTTTGATCTTGAACTTCCAAGTTTCCAAAGCTATGAGAAATAAATGTTTGTTTATAAGTCACATAGTTTATGATATTTGATTATAGCAGCCCAAAGGGACTAAGACACAGTCTATGGTATTTTGTGTGGCAGCCTATTTGTGTGGAAAATACACTCAATGTGCTTTTTCCTATTCTCCTGCTTAACAACAACAACCAACACAGAAGACTCTCTGTGACCAGATGTGTTGGGGGGTTTTCTCCACCAACAAGCAAGCAATCAGTTCTGCAGTGGGCACCAGCTGTATGTCCTAATTCAATTCCAGCACTCTCTACCTGGAGATAGCATCAAATCCCACAGGTTGAGGGCTCAGTCCGCAAGACTGCACCCTCCACTTCAAACACCAGTCACAAGTCCAGGTCTCCAGAACTTCTGACTGACCAGCTATAAATTGGGGTTCCCACAACACCCTCGTCAAGTTCAACTAATTTGTTAGAGCGGCTCACAGAACTCGGGGAAACAGGTTTACCAGTTTATTAAGAAGGATATTTCATTTCATTTCATTTCACTTATTTATTGAGACAGAGGTACAATCACCATTCACTGCAGTCCAATAGTTATTTATTTATTATTTATTTATTGAGACAGAGGTACAATCACCATTCACTGCAGCCTCAACCTCCCTGGGCTCAAGCAATGCTCCCACTTCAGCTTCCCGAGTAGCTGGGAATGCAGGCATGCACCACCACATCCAGCTAATTTTTATATTTTTTGTAGAGATGGGGTTTCACCATGTTGCCCAGGCTAGTCTCCAACTCCTGGGCTCAAGTAATCTACCCACCTTGGTCTCCAAAAAGTACTGAGATTATAGGCATGAGCCACCACACCCAGCCAAGAAGGATCTTTTAAGGGTTACAAATAAACAGCCAGATGAAGAGACACAGAGGGTGAGGTCTGGAAGGGTCTTGGGTGCAGGAGCTTCTGTCCCCGCGGAGTCGGGGTGCTCTGCTTTCCCAGCACACGGATGAGTTCTTGTTCATCTCCCTGTAATCCTCCACGTGTTCAGCTGTCTGGCAGCTCTCAGAACCCTGTTCCTTCAGGGTTTTATGGGGCTTCATTACGTAGGCATGATTGATTACACCGCTGGCCATTGACTTAATCTTCAGCCCCTTCTGGTGATCAGCTCTCATCCTGAAGCTAACTAGGAGCTGCCAGCCTACAGTCAACTCACTAGAATACAGAAAGACATTGCTTTGGAGTTTCTAAGCATTTTAGGTGTTGTATGCCAGGAAACAGGGTCAAAAACCAAATATGTATTTCCTGATATCACACAGCCCAAGCTGACTTGAGAAAGCATATAAACCCTCATTTGTTCACTCATTCATTCATTCAACAAATTTGCATTGAATGCTTCTCATGTGTCACATACTGTGCCAGGAACTAGGGATTTAGCAGTAAACCAAACACAGCCCCTGCCTTTGTGAGCATGAAGTCCACTGGGGAGGACTGACAGATAATTATAAAAATAAATAACTATTAGAATTGTGATCAGTTCTGTGGAGAAGCACAGGGGTCCATGGGAGTAGTAAACCCACCTAACTCACTCCAAGAAATCAGGATTTATTCTCTGGGAAAATGACATGTAAGCTGATGAGCTAAGCAAAGGTATGGAGGTAGGGAAGTAGAGAGAAGAGAGGAGAAAGCTCCAGACAGTGGGAATAGCATGTTTAAAGACCTTGAAGTAGAAAAGAGCACAGCTCAAATGAGGTAAAAAACAAAGCCAGTGTGGGTGGATCATAGTGAGGAAGGCAGAGCCAGATTGGAGTTGAGGTCAAAGAGGCTGGTGGAAACTTGATGGCCTTTGTAAGAAATCTTAAATGCATGCCAAAAGTAAAGGAGCGGAGGATGTGAAGCCAGGCAGTGACATTATCAGATGTGCATTTTTATTATTTATTTATTTATTTATTTATTTATGTATTTATGTATTTATTTATTTATTTATTTTGAGACGGAGTTTACTCTTGTCGCCCAGGCTGGAGTGCAATGGCACAATCTCGGCTCACTACAACCTCCACCTCCCGGATTCAAGCGATTCTCCTGCCTCAGCCTCCTGAGTAGTTGGGATTACAGGCATGCACCAGCACGCCTGGCTGATTTTTGTATTTTTAGTAGAGACGGGGTTTCACCGTGTTGGCCAGGCTGGTCTTGAACTCCTGACCTCAGGTGATCTGCCCAACTCGGCCTCCCAAAGTGCTGAGGTTACAGGAGTGAGCCACCAGGCCTGGCCAGATGTGTATTTTTAAATCCCCAAGTGGGAGACCAGTAGTCCAGCCTAGCCTGCCTGCACCACTTCCCAGCCTGTTATTCTGTAAATGGCACACATTCTGTAACAACACTCTCAGGATTTTTAGTAAATCATATCCCCTCCATCCTCAGTACATGTGATTAGGTTAAGCTGACCATATCTCCAGTTCCAAGAGTGGGCATCTGACCTAAAATGTTCAGGTTGTGCCCCAACCTTAGAGTTTTTGGTGCCCGCAGTATAAGTAATAGAAAATAGCACTTCTGCTCCAATGCTTTAGGATTGATGTATGTGCAATACAACTATGCAAAAGGCCTTTAGAGAGCAACAGAGATCCTCTTCGCCTTCCATACAACTGTGGCCACTAAAGGAGAGGGAAGGAAGATGATCTAAACTAGGCTGGGAGCTTCCTGAGAGCAGAACCAATTATGCTTGGAGAAAAAGCTAAATGTGTATATAGATTAAGCATCCTTAATCTGAAAATCCAAAGCTTGAAATGTTCCAATGAGCTTTTCCTTTGAGTGTCATGTCAGCACTTAAAAAGTTTCAGGTTTTGAAGCATTTTGGATTTTGGATTTTTAGATTAGGGATACACAACCTGTATAACACATATAGTATTCCAAGCACTATTCTAAGCACTTTGTACAAATCAACCCACTTAGCCTTATAAGCCTTGTAAACATTCCTATAACATAGGTACCGTTTTCATCCCTGTTTTAGACATTATAAAACTGAAGTACAAGGAAGTTAGGTAACTTGGCCAAGGCCACACAACTAGGAAGTGGTAGAGCCAGAACTTGAACTCAAATAGGATCTTTCCTCATCCCATAATCTTACCACTATGCTACACTGGTCTTAAACACCACTAGAGAAATATTTGGGTTCCTTACATCAGTCTTCCTAACACCTACAACAGTACCTGCCATATAATTAGTGCTTAATAAATATTAAATGGGGTCAAGCACAATGGCTCACGCCTGTAATCCCAGCACTTTGGGAGGCCGAGGCAGGCAGATCACGAGGTCAGGAGTTCGAGACCAGCCTGGCCAGCATGGTGAAACCCTGTCTCTACTAAAAATAAATACTAAATGGATGGCTACATGTATAAAATCATATTTTCCAGATCATTTCATACCATGTGTACACATTTGGTTCAAAATTTGTCCCTAAAATGTTGTTATAATAAATCTATGAAATCCATGTTGTTTCTCTTAGATTCTCCTGGAGTAATATCTAAATCTAAATAATAATAATACCTATAAAGTATCTAATTTAGGCTGGGTGCGGTGGCTCACGTCTGTAATCCCAGCACTTTGGGAGGCCAAGGCGGGCGAATCACGAGGTCAGGAGTTCTAGACCATCCTGGCCAACATGGTGAAACTCCATCTCCACTAAAAATACAAAAATTATCTGGGTGTCATGGCGCGTGGTGGTGAGCACCTATAGTCCCAGCTATTCGGGAGGCTGAGGCAGGAGAATGGCGTGAACCTGGAAGGGGAGCTTGCAGTGAGCCGAGATTGCGCCACTGCACTCCAGCCTGGGCGACAGAGCAAGACTCCATCTCAAAAAAAAAAAAAAGTATCTTTTAAATCAACACCATAAATATAAAATACTTAGTTTATGTACTTAGCTCTCTTCACTACCATCTTTTAAGTTCACGACAATCTGGAGATTACTACTAGAATCATAGGTTCATAAAACCAGAATGAACCCAAAAGTCATCTGGCCCACACTGGCCTTCAAAACCATGTACCAGTCTGCATCACACGGTACTTCCTTCTTTAGCTGAACAACTACAATAATTGTATTAAATATCTATAGTATATTGAGCATATACAAAAATATTATGTTCTTCCACATAAAAGACTAGATTCTTTAAGGTCTAGAACTATGACTTAGTTATTCTTGTAATCTAAGCCCTTGACTATTGCCTGGAATCCAAGAGTCATTCAATACGTCTTCATCTGTTAGTTCTGGTTCTTGTCTCTGAGGACACACAAAACAAGTCTACTTCTTCTATATGATGGTCCTTCAAATATGTTAAGATGTGCGCGTCTGGGCGTGGTGGCTCATGCCGGTAATCCCAGCACTTTGGGAGGCCAAGGCGGATGGATCACAAAGTCAGGAGATCAAGACCACCCTGGCTAACACAGTGAAACCCCGTGTCTACTAAAACTACAAAAAATCAGCCAGGCATGGTGGCGGGCGCCTATAGTCCTACTTGGGAAGCTGAGACAGGAGAATGGCATGAACCCAGGAGGCCGAGCTTGCAGTGAGCCGAGATCGTGCCACTGCACTCCAGCCTGGGTGACAGAGCGAGACTCCGTCTAAAAAAAAAAAAAGATGTTCACATCCCAAATCTTTTTTGTTTGTGAGCTAAACATGCCCATTTACTTCAACCATATTTCCTCCTGGAAGGGAGTTTCTAGTCCCTGCCTCTTTGCAGAGGCAGTCTCTCACTCCCATCAGCCTTGGTTTGGTCAACAGCCTTCTTAACATTTGGGGCTCTGACTAGATGGTGTGACTTAACTATTGTGATAGCCAGCCTTCAGGATGGTCCCTGAGAGACTCATCAACTTGTGTGCAAGCCATTCTATAGTTCCCTCCCACACTGAATAGAGGTGACCTGTGTGACCAATAGGATTTGTGAAAGTGACAGTATATGACTTCCAAAGCTAAGTTATAAAAGACATGACACATTTTATCTTATTCCCTTAAATAACTCATTCTGGAGGAAGCCACTCACCATGTCATGAGGACACTCAAACAGACCTATGGAGAGACTCACATGAACAGGAACTGAGGCTTTCTGCCACTCATGGGAGTGAGCCACCCTAAAATTGGATCCTCCAGCTCCAGCCAAGCAGCCCCAACTAACATCTTGACTGCAACCCCAGACCACCCAGCCATTCACCAATTCCTAACCTCCAGAAACTGTCAGAAATGACAAATGTTTATTGTTGTTTTAAGCTACCAAGTTTTGGGGCAATTGGTTATGTAGCAATAGATGACTAATACAGCAAGGCTAGAAGAAAGAGGGACTTAGCCCTTTCTTCCTGACCCTGGATATCATAAGAAACAGTAGAAAGACAAAGAAAAATAGATCAAACTATTAATTTTTAAAGTCGTAGGTTTTAGACCGGGCGCAGTGGCTCATGTCTGTAATCCCAGCACTTTGGGAGGCTGAGATGGGCAGATCACAAGGTCAAGAGATGGAGACCATCCTGGCCAACTTGGTGAAACCCTGTCTCTACTAAAAAAAATTCAAAAATTAGCCGGGCATGGTGGTGCACACCTGTAGTCCCAGTTACTCAGGAGGCTGAGGCAGGAGAATCGCTTGAACCCGGGAGGCGGAGGTTGCAGTGAGCCTAGATGGCACCACTGCACTCCAGTCCGGGTGACAGTGAGAGATTCCATCTCAAAAAAAAAAAGTCATAGGTTTTTTTCTCTTCTGTGTCTGTGTGTAAAATTTAAGGGATATTTTTAATTAAGTTGTGTTATGTCTCTGTTAAGTGCCATACTTAACTTAGACACTTAAAACATGGCTTTTAAGACACTGGTTTTCACTTTTAAGATCTGAGAGGCACAAGCACTTTCTTTTGGCCCCTGAATGCATGCTGAGAAAATCTACTCTTTATCCTTTGGAACTCTCACTTGAAGTCAATGGCCTTCTTACACACCAGTGTTAAGATTTTCTGTAGTTCTTTGCACATGGTACAGGGAAAAGTTGGATTTAATAGTTATAATCATGTTGGCCTTCTCACTTAATTGAGATTAGGAAGTACCCAGCTTCATCTGGGAACTCAAAAGAGAAGTTGTTTCTATGTTCTCCCACTGCCATCTCCACCTACAACACACAAACACACACACACACACACACACACACACACACACTGGCCTTACTATGGTGTTTCTTCCCTATTTTTAATTTTTTCTTATATTTATGTGATTTTTTTTCTGAATATGTCTACTTTTTGAATTCATACTTTTCAAATTTCTTTCTTTTCTACTTTATTGGCTAGTATATCTCAACCTCTTCTTAACCTGAGTGACTCTTAGGTAGAACTAAAATGTTTTTAAAAATTCTCAGCTGGGCACAGTGACTCATGCCTAAAATCCCAACACTTTGTGAGGCCAAGGCAAGAGAATTGTTTGAGCCCAGGAGTTCAAGACCAGCCTGGGCAACATGGTGAGACCCTGTCTCTACAAAAATACATTTTTAAATTAACCAGGTATGGTGGCATGCACCTGTAGTCCCAGCTACTCAGGAGGCTGAGGTGGGAGGATCACTTGAGCCAGGGAGATCAAGGCTGCAGTGAGCTGTGATTGTGCCACTGCACTCACCTGGGCAACAGAGTGAGACCCAGTCTCCAAAAATGAATAAAAATAAAATAAAATAAATTCTCTCAAGTCAGTTAACTTTAAGGTGTCAATATCCAGGGTATAACCTTGCTCTCAGTGACATTAAGCACATAAAGAGATACCTGAATTTGAGCTTTGAGGATCATCTGGTGACTCTGCACTTGATATATTTAAAGATATCAATGTGTCCTTTGAAGCTATAATGGACTATGAGGTAATCTGAAGGTCCAGAAAACTAAATACACGTTAGTTACTGGACGAATAACTTAGTCTTGGAGAAACAAAATAGTTTTAAGTGAACGTCTTCAGAAATCTTGCTATTATCTTTTTATGCTGTAGTTAATCACACCATTGGAGGATATTTGGATATGAACATGTAAAGGAATGCAATATCTTTATTCAGAAAAATAAGGGGAAAAATCAGGCAAAGAAAAAAGTAGAAAAAATATTTATTTATTTTTATTGTTATTTTGAGACTGAGTCTCACTCTATTACCCAAACTGGAATGCAGTGGCTCCATCTCAGCTCACTGCAACCTCTGCCTCCTGGTTTCAAGCAATTCTCGTGCCTCAGCCTCCTGAGTAGCTGGGATTACAGGCACCTGCCACCATGGCTGGCTAATTTTTGTATTTTTAGTAGAGATGAGGTTTCACCATTTTGGCCAGGCTGGCCTTGAACTCCTGACCTCAAGGCCCGCCTCGGCCTCCCAAAATGCTGGGATTACAGATGTGAGCCACTGTGCCGGCCATATTTATATCAGTATTTACATACTGCTTAATATTTTATAAAACATGTTCATTTGCAATGTCACATCTGACCCTCACCATACCCCAGTGCTGTAAACAGAGAGATATTCATCCCATTCTATAAACTTCAGAGAAAACTTAAGTTAAATGACTTACTCAGGCTGGGCATGGTGGCTCACACCTGTAATCCTAGCACTTTGGGCAGCTGAGGCAGGAGGTTTGCTTGAGCTCAGGAGTTCAAGAACAGCCTATGCAACATAGCGAGATCTTGTCTCTACTAAAAATTCAAATAAATTAGGTAGGCGTGGTAAGGCACAGCTGTAGTCCCAGTTATTTGGGGGGCTCAGGCAGAATTGCTTGAGCCAGGAAAGCCAAGACTACAGTGAGCCATGATCATGCCACTGTAGTCCAGCCTGGGCAATAGAGTGAAAATCTGTCTCAAAAAAAAAATTAATTAATTAATTAAATTAATTTTTAAAAATGACTTACTCAGCTCAGATGGCCCCTAAAAGCTGAAATACAACTAAGGTCTAAGACTTCTGCTGTAGGTAAATGTTTCTACTGCAAGGGAGAAAAGATAAATAAGAAGGAAAAAATATAAGCAATGAGAAAATAAAGCTAACTGGTTTTACTCAGTATAATTAGCAATTGTTGAGTGGTTATTTTAAAAGTCTATATGCTTCCCCAAAGATTTTACAATCCCATGATGATATTTAAGAAACTGGGCATTTCTCCATCAGCCAGGAAGGACATTGGTGTTGAGGACAATAACTACCACGGCTTCCAGTGTTTTGAAGAAATTTCAGATGCATAGCCTTTTGGCCAGGTGTCTGTGATTTCATATTGTCAGAGCATTTCTTGTAATGCTGGGGGTTGCAGCTCTCTTAAAGTTTACATTGCTGAACCAAGAAAGCAGATATATGTAGATTTCTACAGAAACTATGATTCCATGAAAGATTTTGAGGAGGTGAAGAGGGCTGGTACCTTTCAGAGTGCAAAGTGATTTTGGAATGTTAAGAATGTTTTGGGATTGAGTTCCTCAGAAGTTTGTCACTGACCTATGTTCCTGAACTATGAAACATGAATATGTGGGCTAAGGAATCATTTGTACTGATAAATAAACAATTAAAAATTTAAAAAAAGAAACTGAGGAAACTGGGTTAACTCAACAATTGTCATCCTTGTTATCATCTGTGTAATGCAGCTAATTATAGTACTCATTCATAAAGTTGTTGGGAGGATTAAAATGATACAATATATGACAAGTACTCAACGTTAGTTGTTATTGAGGGTGTTGTTATTTTAATCAGGATGGACAAAATTCTAGATAAAGAGTAGAAGATATGCGTTTTCATGCTGTTATAATCAGCCAACTATAAATTCTCTTCCTTCAGTTCTTTTTTTCTAGAGAATGAAGACAATATTCCTTTCTAGTTGCCTCCTTCACAGAAAAAATTCACCAGAATGGATTATGTTCTCAGCACCGTCAAAGCCTTGTAGAAACACAAGAAGATCCTGCAACCATTTTTCTCTTCCAGTCTTTCTCCTTGCCATTCTGAGCAGAGCCATATTGCAGTGCAGTGGAAAGGGTATATGAATGGTCATTCATTCAGACTTACATGGCTGTCTGGCAATTTAAGAGTTCAATGGCTGAACTGGAAAGAACAGCCAGCATGATTTTATTGTTTTCTGAGAATCAAATGAATAGTTCACACTATCTATGCACCTATCATCTAAGGAACAGACAGGTTATTTTGCTGAGGATGAGCATAGTCACTAGCCTGTAAGAGGTTTCTCCACAAGAATATGCTTCCTCAAAATGTACTTGCAAGGCTGTTGAGGCTACTACTCACCTTAGACATGATCCCACTTTGGCTCAAAGATCCCACTCTGCCAGTGGTTCTGTTAGGTCTCTATAACTTCATTTCTATAGCAGCCCTCCTGCCACCCGGCTGCCAACTGTGAGGACCTGTTGTTCAAGGGCGTATCACTTGAGCAGGTGAGCATTCTTATTAGTATCACAGAGCAGCTATCATTCACAATTACAGCATGAATGTTGACTAAATCAGAGACCATTCAAACCCACCTACACCCTGTGACATCAGCATGTGGTTCTATTCTGCCCTGCCTGATTTTAGATGCTTTAGGAATGATGTAACTTGGCAAAGAAATCCTAAGTCAAAATTTTTTTGATGATAATCTCAGATCAACTGAGAATGATGCCAATCAACCCATGAATGTAATGTGTCTCACATGTGGGATTCTATAATTAGTGCTTACTAATAGAGGTTTCTTCAAGTTACTGAAATGAGTTTACAAACTTTAGGTAGCTCAGGACCCTACCCTCATGTATATGTGAGATTTCATTTTTATAAATGCCACTGTCAAAGGGTCAGATGTTGCTTTTTATTCTCGTTGCTAGGATGGTCAAAATCAACATTTTGATGGTTGTGTTGAACAGAGCAGTCCAGTCAGATTTAATCCAGTCATATTAGGATCATGCCATTAGAGAACAGTTCCACAATCTTTTCTAATTCCTCTTTTGTTTCTGGATCATAATTAAAATAATATAGGAACAACCTTATTAATAAAGCTTGAATTAGTTTGTCTGTATTGAGCTGGCCTTTCATTTTTCTGTCATACAACCTTAAAAGATCTCTCATGATTTATTTATTTATTTATTGTTTTGAGACAGAGTCTGTCTCTGTCCCCAGGGCTGGAGTGCAGTGACACGATCTTGGCTTACTGCAACCTCCGCCTCCTGGGTTCAAGCGATTATCTGGCCTCAGCCTCCCAAGTAGCTGGGATTACAGGCATGCACTACCACACCCCGTTAATTTTGTATTTTTAGTAGAGATGGGGTTTCGCCATGTTGGCCAGGCTGGTCTCAAACTCCTGACCTCAAGTGATCTGCCCACCTTGGCCTCCCAAAGTGCTGGGATTACATAAGTGAGCCACCGTTCCCGGCCTCTCTTATGATTTGTTAACTATTATCTTTATGTTTTCCTACATGACATTAAATTATACAATCTTTGAAATTTTACTATATACTTTCTTTTCCATGTTAGTGTTAAAACTTCCCCTTACAGAGCCGGGTGCGGTGGCTCATGGCTGTAATCCTAGCAATTTGGGAGGCTGAGGCAGGCAGATCACTTGAGGTCAGGAGTTCGAGACCAGCCTAGCCAACATGGTGAAACCCCGCCTCTACTAAAAATATAAAAATTAGGCAGGCATGGTGGTGGGTGCCTGTAATCCCAGCTACTCAGGAGGCTGAGGCAGGAGAATTGCTTGAACCTGGAAGGCAGAGGTTGCAGTGAGCTGAGATTGCGCCACTGCACACTCGAGCCTAGGTGACAGAGACTCCATTTAAAGCAAACAAAGAAACAACAACAACAACAAAACTTCCCCTTCCAGAAAACTTTTATCCTTTCAGACTTAAGCTAAAGTCTGAAACCACAAAACTCCTAGAACAAAAAATAGGGGAAAATTTCCTTGACGTTGTTATTGGCAATGATTTTTTTTGGATGTGATACCAAAAGTACAGGCAATAGAAACAAAAATAAAGAAGTAGTACACTGCATCAAATCAAAAAGCTTCTGCACAGCAAAGAAAACAAGCAACAAATGAAAAGAAAACCCACAGAATAGAAGAAAATATTTAGAAACCACGTATCAGAGAAGGGGTTAGTATTTAATATAGAAAAAGAAGTCATACAACTCAATAGTGAAAGACAAAAAACCTGATTTAAAGATAGGCAAAGGACCAGAATAGACATTTTTTCAAAGAAGATGTACCAATGTCCAGCAGGTATATAAAAGGTCCTCAGCATTACTAATCATCAGGTAAGTGCAAATCAAAACCACAATGGGATATCACTTCACACCTGTTAGAATGGCAATTATTAATATTTTCATCCCTGAGAGGTCTCAGAAATAAAAAAAAACAAATTAAAAAATAAAAATTTTTTAAAATAGAATGGCTATTATCCAAAAGATAAAAGATGAGTGTCTGCAAGGGTATGGAGAAAGGGAACCCTTATACACTGTTGGAGGAAATGTAACTTGGTATAGCCATTATGAAAAACAGTACGGCAGTTCCTCAAAAAATTAAAAATAGAACTCCTATATGATCCAGCAATCCCACTTCTGGGTATGTAGTCAAACAAAATGAAATCGGTATCTCAAAGAGATATCTGCATTCTCATGTTTATTGCATGTTATGATATCAACTTAAGTATTCATCCACAGTTAATGGATAAAGAAAATTTGGTATATATATAT
This sequence comes from Homo sapiens, assembly GCF_000001405.40. NCBI lineage: Eukaryota > Metazoa > Chordata > Mammalia > Primates > Hominidae > Homo > Homo sapiens. The sequence continues at coordinate 54,080,126 of NC_000004.12, forward strand.
ACATATATATATGTGTATATATGTGTATATGTATGTGTATATATATATGTGTATATATATGTGTATATATATGTGTATATATATATATATTCAGCCATTAAAAAAAAGAAAATTCTACCATTTGTGACAATGAGGACATTATGCTAAGTGAAATAAGACAGACAAAGAAAGACAAATGCTATATAATCTCACTTATAGGTGGAATCTAAAAAAATTGAACTCACAGAGGCAGAAAGTAGAATAGTGGTTTCCAGGAGCTGAGGCAGGGGTTTGGGGTGCAGGGTAAGGGGAAGAGATGGGAAGATGTTGGTTAAGGGTACAAACTTTCTGTTGAAAGATTAAAGAGCACTGGGGTCTCGGCTGGGTGCAGTGGCTCATGCCTATAATCCCAGCACTTTGGAAGGCTGAGGCAGGTGGATCATCTGAAATCAAGAGTTCAAGACCAACCTGAGCAACATGGTGAAACCCCATCTCTACTAAAATACAAAAAATTAGCTGGGCGTGGTGGCACACACCTGTAGTCTCAGCTACTTGGGAAGCTGAGGTATGAGAATTGCTTGAACCCAGGAGGTGGAGGCCGAGATCGCACCACTGGACTCCAGCTTGGGCTACAGAGTGAGACTCTGTCTCAAAAAAAAAAAAAAAAGTACTGGGGTCTCTAATGTACAGCATGGTGACAATGGTTAATACTGCATTGTATACTTGAAATTTACTGTGAGAGTAGATCTTAAGTATTCTCACCACACATGGTAACTATGTCAGATAATGGATGTGCTAATTAGCTTGATTGTGGTAATCATTTCACAATGTGTGTGTGTATATATATATATATATATATATATATATATATATATATATATAAAATCATCACACATATACCTTAAATATATACAATTTTTATTTGTCAATTAAATATATACAAATTTTATTTGATTAATATCTCAAAAAGCTGGGGAAAAAAAAGACTTAGGTCTGAATCCAGATTCCACTGCCTATAAATTAAGACCTTGGGCAAATTAGTCCTTTATTTGTTTCTTTTCTTTTTTCAGAGACAGGGTCTCACTATGTTACCCAGGCTGGCCTTGAACTCCTGAGCTGAAGGGATCCTCCTGCCTTAGCCTCCCAAGTAGCTAGGACTACAGGCACACACCACTGTGCCTGGCTTCAAATTACTTCTTTGAATCTTTGTTTTCTAGTCTATAAGATGGGCATGATACCCTTCTTAATCTTTATTGTGATAGTTAAATGTAATAACATTACAAAATGCTTAGTAGAGTGTCTGGCATGGCAGACACTTGATGAATGATACTTATTATCGCTATTATTCTCATCATCTAAGATACTTCAATTTGATGTAGTCAAATATTCTATTCTACTTATCTACCTCTCTAAGTGAGGGCTACTCTGTAACATACTGCTATGGAAAGATCAGGAATCTGCCCTAGACATGTATAAATAAGTACTTTATGCCCAAATGAGTATAAATTTTACCTCTGGTATAATTTCTATGGGGAGATAAAACTTTAATTGCCATATAGGAAACCACTGGTGAATTTGGGATGATTTGATGTGCTTGTTTTGGGTTGCTTGTTGCTGTTGTTGTTGTTGTTGTTGTTTTTAGAGATGAGGTCTCACTATGTTGCCCAAGATGGTCTCGAACTCCTGGTCTTAAGTGAGCCTCCTGCCTTGCCCTCCCAAAGTGCTGGGATTATAGGTGTGAGCCATAGCACCCAGCCTAAGTTTTTACCATTGGGAAGCAAATGTTTTGTGGAGAAGCCATAGTTTTGAATAGCAATTTAAAGATGAAAAATAGATGATAGAGGTGGAGAAAGGTGTCAATGGGAAACCCCACATATGGTAAGATAACTATGTGTGCCATGGACCACAAACAGGCTAGCCTGGTCGAAGCAAAAAGGTTGATCCCGAACATAATGGGATGAGGGCATTAGATAGGTAAGGAAGTGACTGATGGAAAATCAAGAGTGATAGCTGATGATGAATGGTGATACTGTATATGATTTTGTGCATTGATATACCATTTTTCCTTTCTTTTTCCATCTACATGGATCTCAAAAATGAGCAATCTTCTCTCTGGAGGTGGATAAGACAGAACATTTTGCAAGCCCTTTAAGTCCTTCAGGAAACACAAACATCCTGTGATCTGTCACTCAGGATTCTGACTCAGACTGGGAATCTGAGCAATGCTCATGGCAATAAGCCAGGACCAGGCCCTAAACATCTGGCTGCTCCACTGTATGGATCTTTGGCATGTTAAATGTCAACAGACCTTGTGGATATAAAGTTGACTCAGTCAGAAAACATCTACGGTCTACATGGAAAAGAAAGTCTTTTGGAAAGAAAAGAAGGCAGGGTGTCTGAACCCTCCATCAGGATTTCCCTACTCCACTCTATTTCTATTAGATGAGAGGGATGAGGAAAGAGTACTCAGCCACCTTTTCAAGTCATCTGGTGGTCAGGGCTATTTGTAACTCTAATCTCATATTCATACCAGTCGTTTCTAAATCCAATCCCATATTTACACCAACCTGTCTTACAACCTTAATTTGGTTTCCCAGGTGTATTCCAGTTCCACTGTCAAATAGTAAGTACTGGATTATCCCTAGATAGACTCACCAAAAGATTATACAAGTCCTTAGAGGAGGGAAGTGAGACTGTAGAAGAGACTCAGCATCCAACAAATATATCACATAATATATTCAAACTACTCTAAGTACTACACCAAAACAATGACTTTCCTGACCACCATCCTAACCATGACACCAACCCTGGGTAATTTCATCTCATCATATTGCTTCAAATATTATATATGCTTTAAATAATATAGGCTGATGCCATTTTTATTTCTACTCTCACTTTCTTTTTTCTTTCTTTCTTTTTTTTTTTTTTTTTTTTTTTTTGAGACTGAGTCTTGCTCTATTGCCCAGGCTGGAGTGATCTCGGCTCACTGCAACCTCTGCCTCCCGGGTTTAAGCGATTCTCCTGCCTCAGCCAGCCAAGTAGCTGGGATTACAGGGATGTGCCACCTCACCCAGCTAATTTTGTATTTTTAGTAGAGACGGGGTTTCACTATGTTGGTCAGGCTGGTCTCGAACTCCTGACCTCAGGTGATCCACCCACCTCAGCCTCCCAAAGTGCTGGGATTACAGGCATGAGCCACCACGCCCAACTCCAATCTCAATTTCTGTTAAATTCAGATCCATATTTCCAACTGCTACTCTACATCAAAAATTTCCTCTTGGCTATTCTTATAGCACTTAAAACTCAAAATGTTTACAACCAATTTATCTTTTTTCTGTTCCATTCACTCTATCTACAGTCTCATCTGAAACAACAAAAAACTGCTTATCTTTCATCTGTAACCACTATATTTGTTAACACAATCATATTCAATACAGACACCTGAGCTAGAAACCCAAGTCCCCACTGACCCATTTGTCTTTCTGTACCCCTGTCCTATCTAATTAGTAACCAAGGCTCATTGGTGCTACCTTCCAAATTACTCTTGAATTTATTCTCTCCTCTCCATTCCCACCACTACTGATTAATGTGACACTTATCATTTCAAGTCTGGACTTTGGTACTGGACACTAACTGTCTCTGGTTTCTCTCTCTTCCAATCCCATCCTTTACAATGATTACAATATAATCATTTCAATTTTCTGCTTAGCATCCTTCAAAGACCATTCATCTTACTACAGAGGCCTTCATACTTCTTCACCTGCCACTCACACTCTTTGCTTTCTGCCACTAAGCAGCCCTTCCTGCTTCTGTCTCCTGCATGCAGCTTAATGCATATCCATCCTCTGGGCCTGTGCTCACTCTTGAAACTTTGGCCTAGAAGTCTCTTCTCCTGCTGTTGTTTTTACTCTGAGCATCTCCTAGAAATAGTTCAAGCCTCAGTCTCAGAGTCCATGATGCCAGCAGGAAGAAAGAACAGATCTCTCCTCCATGGTTCCACAGTTGTTGCATGCCACTATCACACACTTACTTGAATTCATTGATGGCTATGGTTAGGTGAGCCACTGTGCCCAGCCCGGGGTCTAGTCATCTTTGTAGCCCTAGTACCTAACATATGTAGGCACTCAGTAAATAATGGTGAATTAAACTAAATTGAATTTTAATAGCAACTGTCTCCTATTTCCAGAAGTTCCTCTAACAATATGATGCAGGCCTTATATTTAAAAGTAGCCATTATTCTGATAAGTTTTATATTTTGTTGACAGCTAAGTACACTAAGAGTCCTGTCTGGATAAGGGTCATTCTTTGGCCAATTTAAATGGAATTGTGATTATATTAGGCCCATATTGTTTGGAATCTAACTAACTTGTCTGATCTCAGAAAAATTACAAAAAAAAAAGAAAACACAGGTAAAAACCCCTCTCAAGGACAGCAATGACATAGTTAACTTTGGCTACCAATGCACCTTCTACATTCATAATTATTGTCACTGATGCTTTAGAGCACCCAGAATAGTGAAATAGTGTATAACTGAGACCTATTAAATTCTAACAGGCTAAGCACAGTGGCTTACACCTGTAATCCCAGTACGTTGGGAGGCCAGGGCAGACAGGTCACTTGAGGCCAGGAGTTTGAGACCAACCTGGCCAACATGGTAAAACCCCAGAAAGCAAAAAATTAGAGTATACTCAAAAAAGTATAAAAAATTAGTCAGGCGTGGTGGTGTATACCTGCAATCTCAGCTACTCGGGAGGCTGACACATGAGAACCACTTGAACTCAGGAGGCGAAGGTTGCAATGAGCCAAGGTTTCACCACTAAACTCCAGCCTGGGAGACACAGCCTTGCTCTGTCTCAAAAAAAAAAAAAAAAAAAAAATCAAACAGGTAGCATAGAGACAAAATCTGTGAAAAGCTAAACACTGAATTGATATAAATAAAGTGTTCTACTCCTTATCTCAAAATGTTAAAGTGCTATATTTTCCCCACTCACATAAAAAAGTAACAATTTATGTCATTCAAATGATAAAGAAATAACTCATTTATTTTATTAAATATGAATGTCCTTAAGGAACAAGTATTATCTTTAAAAACCTGTTCAGAATTGGTAATTTTATATTTACATCTATCTTCTGAATTATATTACCTTTTTACCACTTTTGTAGGTTACTATGATAAATTCTTGCCTTAACAACAGCTATTGATTTTAATTATTGAGATACCAATGATCTCGTAGGGGGATGCCAATTATTACGAAGTATCTGTGGAAGACAATGGTGCTGTGTATGCATACAGAATTAGGGACACTGTCTTGCTCAATCAATTTTCAGTCAATGAGCTCATCAGCTAAATCTGATGGACTGACAGAGAATCCAAACAGAGTAATACAATGACTAAGACAGTAGTTGGTTTGCCCAGAGCAGTCAGATGAGGAAGGGCATCGAGCCAAGTCCAGAGACTCAGGGCAGACTCCAAATGAGCTCTAGCTAACAACAAGACAATATCTCTTGTTTTCAACCCTGTGTAAATTATAAAAACAAGAGGATGTGGCCATTATGGTGTGTTTCCCAAAAACTGTTCATGTAGCTGTGATGTGAGCAGCTAAAGAATTCCACAGGCCGACAGTGGAGGGAGAACCTTAGCCCTAATCTCAGGGCCACTGGATTTAGAAGCATCCACAGTAAATCCAGTAACTTATTAGTTTTCCTCATTTAGCCAGGAGGTCTGGAAAGGGAACTTGTCTCCCACCAAAAACAAAATGATACTTTGATTGCAAGTCTAAATCCAGGATCTGATTTTGGCAAGTCGTTTAACCTCTCAATATCTTATTGTGGAAATAACAGTTAAAAAAAAAACAAAAAGTCCTATCTAGCTTAAATAATTGTGCTAACCCAAGGACATAACTGGTTAGAGTCTTTATAAACTGCAGTCCTGTATACAGGTAAAATAGAATGGTGAGGAAGCATCCACCTAGAACACTGACATTCTTCTTTCAATCCTTCATAAATTATTGAGCATCTCCTCTGCCAGGTTCTGCTTTATATGCTTAGGAAAGCATGTAAACAAGATAGCTTAGATCTCATTCATTTTGAAGCTTCCACTAGGCCTTTGATTCATGTGCAACCAGCTTGCAAAATGCTGGTCATACACAAGTTTTGGGCTCTGCCCTCAAGCAGAGGGGCATGGAGAAGATTATGAGACAGATGATGATAGTAATAAGATGATGCATTGAAATCAGTGCAAATCCATTTCATCTCCATCCCAACCTCACCCTTTTACTGCACCATTGAGTTTGGGGTTTGGTTTAGGAGGTCCTGGATGTAAATTCACCCTCTCTTTGAAATAATAATGGCCCTCTTCTCATAGGGTGGTTGTTCTCAATGAACCCAGTAGACATAAATATCCTGCAGGAGCTTCCATTCTAGCAGGGAGATTCAGACGATAAACATAAACAGAAGATATTATGTAGCATATAGTTGGAAAGTGATGACTGCTATGGGAGAAAAAAATAGAGCATGGAAAAGGGATTGGGAGTGCAGAAGGCACAGTAGCAGCTTTGATATTTTAAAAAGAGTGAGAAAGCGGCAGCTAGAAAGATCTGGATTCTCATTTCAGGTCACCATTCAGAAAAGCTAAGTTTGCTGTACAGTAAGGCTCAGGAGATCTGATCCTGATTGTAGAAACCTCTGATTACAGAATCTTGGATTGTATCTCCCACTGTATCCTCCTAGACCATCCTGCAAGATCTATAAGAGTCCTTTTGGGAAATCCCTAGGAGTTCTTGGAAAGAAGAAAGATTGTTGGTTGGAATAAAAAGGGTTGAATGAGTTCCAGAAAGCCGGGTTCTCAATCTCATGGACAACAATCTGCAGAAGAAGACAACTTCAAAAAACCAACTAGAAGCAACATGCAGAGATGAGAGGGGCCTCCTCAGGAAAGAAGGCAGCTGGTCCACAGCAGAAAAATCTTGAACCACCTCTCTCAGGAAGATGTGGGGTCGCTCTGCAGAGAACTTCTTAGCTTCAGGATCCGTGAGGAAGACCAGAAAGAACAAACAGAGGACTCCTGGAAACAGATATGGGGGCAGTACCAGCAAAGCACCTCAGACCCCAGGGAAGGAAAGAGCCTGGGCAGACCTCACTGTTGAAAGCGAGGACGCATTTAAGAACAGAATGGAAGTTAAAGTGAAGATGCCTGAAGAATCGAAACCATGGCTTGCTGGGGACTGGAACTTAGTTACCAAGCAGAAGCAGCTGTTTTAACTCCCTGCTAAGCAAAATGTAGATGCAATTCTAAAGGAGTATGCAAATTGTAAAACATCGCAGGGAAACGTCGATAATAAGGCATAGGCAGTTAATGAAATTGTGACAAGAATAAAAGAATATTTCGACGTGATGTTAGGCACTCAGCTGCTCTACAAATTTGAGAGGCCCCTGTATGCAGAAATCCTCTTGGCTCACCCTGATGCTCCTGTGTCCCAGGTTTAAGGGGCACACACCTACTGAGGTTATTTGTAAGAATAGGAGAAATGTTGGCCTATATATCCCTTGATGAGAAGAGCCTTGCGTTATTGTTGGGCCATTTGCATGATTTCCTAAAATATCTGGCAAAGAATTCTGCATCTCTTTTTACTGGCGGTGATTACAAAGTAGCTTCTGCTAAGTACCACCACAAAGCCCTGTGCTGGTCTACAGACCATTCACTGTTATTTCCCTGAGATCTGGAAACACTTTTTGTTCTTAGTCTTTTTCTTGTAAAATGGATATTCTTTAACATTGTTAATGTAAAACAGGGCTTATGTTTCAGTTTGTTTTCTGTTCTGTTTTAAACAGAAAATAAAAGGAGTGTAAGCTCCTTTTCTCATTTCAAAGTTGCTACCAGGGTATGCAGTAATTAGAACAAAGAAGAAATATTCAGTGGAACATTTTATTGCCTAGTTGACAACATTGCTTGAATGCTGGTGGTTCTACCCCTTTGACACTACACAATTTTCTAATATGTGTTAATGCTACATGACAAAATGCCCTGACTCCTAGTGCCAAACATTCAATTTGATATATATACCCAAAAACCCATGCATTTGTTCTCTTTTTTTTAATGATGCTTGAAGTAAAACAGCCCATCCTCTGCAAATCCGTCTATGTTGTTCCTTAGGCATTCTGTCTTTGCGCAAATTGTTGAAGGGTGGTCGTTTGTTTCATGGTTTTTGCATTTGAGTCTAATGCATGTTGTAACGTGATAGAGGCAATGCATTATTGTGTAAGCCACAGTTTTCTGAAAAAGTTGATATTTTAGGAATTACATTTCAGATCTTAAATAAAATTTGTTTCTAAATTTCAAAGCAAAAAAGAAAAAAGACAGTAAGAAAGTGTCTTTGGAGGAAAGACCTAAAGGTGAGGAAGTAAGACGTGTGAGCTTGTAGGGGAAGAGTTCTCAACAGAGGGGAAGGCTAGAGAGGGCCAGACCAGCAAGGAAAACAGAGGGAGCAAGTAGGCCAGTGGTTGGAGTGGTCAGAGACAGCCATGGTGGCATCATGGAGGGCCTTTTGTTCTTGGTCTGACCTGATCAGACTTCTATTTCAAAACGATCCTTCTGGCTGCTCTGTTGAGAACAGATTGTAGAGGCAAGTATAGGAAGAATGAACCCAGTCATCCCTATGCAGTGGTGATGGCTTGGACCCGTGCGATAGTAGTTGGAGTGTTAAGAAGTGGTCAGTTTCCAGTTACATTTGAAGTTAAAGCCTTCAGGACTTCATGATGGGTTAAATGTACAGGATTAGAGAAAGAGCAAGAGAGGAGTCACAGAAGATTCAAAGGATTTGGGCAAGAGCCACCAGAAGATGGAGGTGCCAGCAACAGAGACCTGAGGGTAATGCAGGAACCTGGAACTCCTGTACCTTCTCTTCTCCTAGTTTCCAGGGCATCTTCCTGCAAGTGTATAAAACTGTAGGTAGAGGAACAAAGCTGATATGGTCCTATTTGGTGACTGTAGGAGAGACTGACCACTAAGACCATTTCATCCCTTGAGACCTCAGTCTCCCTACTTATAACATGAGATAGGTCAGTTACATAAGGACAGAATTCCTTTCTTGCTGTTAAATTCAAGAACCTAGATCTGCAATCGGTTCTCCAATCTTTCAAGCCTTCTTTTTGATTTTTTTTCCTTGGGAAAACATCTCAATAATGAAATCCAATCTTTAAAAATTTTGGTTTTAAACAAAATTATATTGTGATCAGCTTGAGCCTAGGAGTTCAAGGCTACAGTGAGCTATGATCCCACCACCACATTCCATATATATATATATATATATATACACACACATATATAGTGATCAAAATATTTGATCAAAATATCAAAAAATGTTTTTAATAAGTCAGCTTCTCTAAAATAAAAATAAGTATGTCTTGCAATTGTTTATACAATACCTTGTTCCAGGGAGGTACATGGCTAATCAGGAAACATATTTCCTATGTTGTATTTAATCAGAAATTTTGCTCACAAGGTTAAATTACAGCATTCATTTTGTGCCACTGTGAAAATATTCCCTTCCATTTTAACAGGACTAAAAATGCTTCCAAAGCTGCCTAAAAGAATATTCAGCTCCTATAGGTTCTTGCTGCATTTTTATTTCCCTTGGTAACAGTACTTTTGATAACATTGGTGGAAGAAAAGAAGTCATAGTAAAGGATGAAGATGGAGTATCTGATACTATAACACTAGCCTGATGCTAGAGGAGAATGTAATACAGGCTGAATATTGAAAATTTGCAACTTATTGAGCACCAACATGACATCACAAGTGGAAAATTCCACACAGAAGTACTTAAAACATATTGCTTCATGCAAAAAATCATTTAAAATATTGTATAAAAAACTTTTAGGCTATGTACACTGAATAAGCTGTATGTGAAATATAAATGAATTTTGTGTTTAGACTAGGGTCCTCTTCCAAGATATCTCATTATATACATGCAAATGTTCCAAAACCATAAAAAATCCAAAATCTTCAGACACATCTGGTCCCAAGCATTTCTAATGAAGGATACTCAATCTGTATAAATTATACACAATTTAATTATTTTATTTTATATATATATATTTTTTAGATGAAGTTTTGCTCTATGGCCCAGGCTGAAGTGCAGTGGTGCAATCTCGGCTCACTGCAACCTCCACCTCTCAGGTTCAAGAATTCTCCTGTCTCAGCCTCCCAAGTAGCTGCGGCTACAGGCGTGTACCACCACGCTGGCTAATTTTTGTATTTTTAGTAGAGATGGGGTTTCACTATATTGGCCAGGCTGGTCTCGAACTTCTAGCCTCAAGTAATCTGCCTGCCTCGGCCTGCCAAAGTGCTAGGATTATTGACATGAGCCACCACAACCGGCCTAATTTAACCTAAATCCAGAAATAATCCCTTAAATTTTGTAGCTCACAAACGCATCCTCCCTCTTTCCCCACAACATTCCATCAGACTCAGGGAACGTCATCACACATCAACGTCGTCATAGTTTGTATACTGAGTGCTAAGTATGTGCAAGGCGTTGTGCCAAGGGATGTCAGGCTTAACTCACTTAATGCTCACAACCATCCTGTGAGAAGAGGGTCATTATTATTTCCATGGTCAGAGAGAAGGTGGATTCACATCCAGGACCTCCTAAACCCAATCCCAAACTCAGTGGTGCAGTGAAAGGGTGAGGTTGGGTTGGAGATGAAATGGATTTGCACTGATTTCAATGCATCGTCTTATTACGATCAGTGTTTGTCTCATAATCTCCATGCCCCTCTGCTTGAGGACAGAGGCGACAAAACTTGTGTATGACTGGCATTTTGCAAGCTGGTTACACATTAATAAAAGGCCCAGTGGAAGTTCCAAAACAAATGAGATCTAAGCTATCTTGTTCTCACGGTTTCCCAAGCCCAAGTAGAGCCTGGCATACTATAGGCACACCATGGGTGCTCCCTGAGTACATGAACATAAAGATGATCCACAGGTGGGTGAACAATACTGGGGGCAGGTGAAAGGGAGGACCTCGAGGCAATACTGCCAGAGCCCCTCCTGCTTAGAGTGTCCAGGCTTCTACATGGGGAGACAGCGCACCCCCCAGACACTCCCGCCCACTCCTTTCTGGCTCGCTGAGTGACGCCAGTTTCAAGCCTCAGCCCACGCCAGGCTCCAGGACCAGCAGAGCGGGTCTGCGCGGACAGAGGCACTGGGCTGCGCCCGTAGCGCACCCCACCAAGAGGAAGGCGTGCCTAGTGGGGAGGCGGGGCTCCAGGGGCCGGGCACACGCAGACACACTCCTGCTCTCTCTACGCACGTTCTCACACTCTCATTCACACCGCACTCACCCTGTGCACATCCCCAGTTTCTCGTATTCCTCACATTCACACATTCATACACTCATATATTCACACACACCCATGCTCCCAAACACGCTTCACTCACACAGCTCCGCGCACAGGGATCAAAGACCACATTGGGTACAGTGTACACTGCTTGGGTGATGGGTGCACCAAAATCTCAGAAATCACCACTAAAGAACCTATCCATGTAACCTAACACCACCTGTTCCTCAAAAAACTATTGAAATAATTTAAAAATAAAAAAGGAAAAGCAATCTCATTCCCTACCCTCATTCTAATTCACTTTTCACCTCTTCACACACCATCACGCCCACGTACCTTAATCTCACTGTTGACAGTACACTTATGCTCGCGCTCATGCACACTCGCCCCCACCTCGCCTTCGCTCTTTACACGAGCTTGCGCGCAGACACACTCAAGGACTCCCTACCCACTTACACTCACGCATGCGCACAGGCGCACACGCTAACTCTGCCTCCTCACTCGCGCTCGTGCATGCGCATCCGTCGCGGAGAGGACTTTGTGCCTGGTGTGGGAGCGGGTGTTTGGTGGCCTTTGCGGATGGGCTTGTTTTGAGGCTGTGGGGTCAGTGCGATCGTTTAGATTTCCTTGGTTTCCCAGTGAGAAATAAGTTAGCCAGGAAGAGAGAGAGGCGGAGACCCAGGGAGACCGAGACTGGAGGAAGGGAGTAGGTTGAGGTTTTAGAGCCGTGGGAGCAAGAGCGCCGGGTAGGAGCTGTCGCGCAGAGAGCACCTCGCGCAGCCCCAGAGCCTGTTTGTTTACCCTCTTCCTCGGAGCGGCTTCTCCAGCGTCTCATTTCTTCTGCCTCCCTTGCCCTCGCCCAGGTGTGGGACGCGGGCGAGTGAGGACAGACTTACAACCGTCCTCGGCCGCGCAGCACAGGGTTCCCGCGCCCTGTCCCTATGCCCCGGGGACACAGGGCAGGAGGCTGAAAAAGGGACTCAGCGTTAGAAACTATGGTTGGAATTCTCCCCCTGCCACTTGCTATGTGGCCTTGGCCAGTTTACCGTTGTCTCGGAGCCTCCGTTTCCTATCTGAAATAAGGAATCATTCATTCAACAAATATTAATTGCCATCCTAATATATGTCACCTCTGGTCTGGACATTTGGCATACACTGGTGAATACATAAAACAGACCCAGTTTCTGCCCAGGAGCAGTTTGCAGTCAACAAGCATACGGATTGATTATGAAGAGGGCTTTTGAATTAAATAATAAAATATTGCTTTCATCCACTCCAAATGTTTTTCAGCGCTTACTGTGTTCTGGGCACAGGTGAATAAAAACAATCATGTTCCCTGTCCTCATTCTAATTTCAGTCCGTACATTGGACTGGCCCTCAGAACCTTTAATATGTAGGAAAACCAACCACACTAACCAACAAATGGACAGCCAACAAATAAGGAAGTAATAAAAGCACCTACCTCACAGGGTTGCTGTGAGAAATAAAGGAGGCATTAAAGTCTTCAGCCACTGCCAGGCATATAGTAGGTGTTCAATAAATGCTAGGTGTTATCAGGTGGTTAGTATTGCTTAGTGCCTAAAAGGCTCTGCCATCACTAGCTGTGTGACCTTGGTTCAGTCTTTGAACTTCAGTAGTTCAAATAGGGTTCTCCGCAAACATAATGAGGAGAAAATAATGGCATTTTATCTGGGAGGGCTGTTGTGCGGATTAATGAGGTCATGCAGGCAAGGCTCTTGGTTCAAGAACTGCCACACAGTGAGAGCTCAGAAAATGTACCTACGAGTATTGTCATATACTCGAAAGGCGACTGTTTTCCTCCTATGCAAAGCAGGTGGGTGTGCAGCAAAGCTGGGAGGTTTCTAATATCATAGGAACGTTTTGAAATTTAGGGCGCAGTCCCAAGTAGGGACGGCCAGGACGCCAGAGCCTTTGACGGGGGTGGGGAGTGGCGAGGTTAATGTAACTGCTGAACAAACATATGCCCGGAAACCGAGGGATAGAAAGGCCCCACACTGGGCGCCTTCAGGGTGCGAGCGCCAGGCTGTGGAGGAGCCTTAGAGGGCAACACTCGGCCGGGAAAAGGCGCGGGGGGACGGAGAGATGATTGTGCAGCGGCTTCCTGGCTCCTAGTTGCCAAGCCCAGGGACTCTGATACCTAATTTACAAGCTTCAAGAGCCTATGGAGCTGCAGGTCTCAGATAATAATAAAACCAACAAGAGAAGCCACGAGCCTTACCAGGCACCAGGCCCGGTGTTAGGCAGTCCTGAATTCCTCACAAAAACTCGAAGACGATGGCATTTTCTCTATTTTACAGATGCAGAAACTGAAATTCTTTCTCCACTTTCCTAGGCCTCCTTTCAGTTTTTGCAATTAACCAAGAGAAACTCTCGGAGGCTCCCGTGAGCACCCTTAGGTGGCCGGGAACGCATTCCCCATCCCTCTTTCCCAGGCCAACACCCGCACATCTTGCAGGTCTCCGTTTAAATGTCACTTCAAGCTTCGGTTTTATCATCACCCAGAGCCCCTTGAGCTTTTCTTTCATATTCACACGACCTTTTTAACTCACCAGCTCCGAGTTAATTTGTTGATTCGCTTAACCTGGAAACTCCCCGGGGGCGGGTCTTGTGCTACTGAATTCCCTTGCGCGCAGCCTGGGGTATAATAGGCGCTCAATACACACTTTCCAACTATCAAATGACCAGATAAGGCTCAAAAAAGTTACGTTGCTCTCTTCAGATTCCATGGTAGGAGGGCGTAGGGGGCAGGATTTATCAGTTATTTCTCAACTACATCAGAACCGCATGCAGAATTCTGGTTGACTTCTGTCTCCCCCTCCATCTACACCCCGCCGTGTTCCAGCCTCACATCATTAAATCGAAATCCCTTAGGTAATCAGTATTTTTATAAAGCTCTCCAGGTGATTTTTGTAGATGACCAAGATCAAAAACCAGAAGGGCTGGGCTGCTAAAAATTATAAAGAATTGCTCTTATTTTAGTGACTTTTTTTTTTTTAAGTCTTTGCTCCCATAACTAAGCAGCTATTTTGGCTCCAAGCTTTCAGAAAATTTAGGCCAAGGGAAGTGGGGAATTGGTATGCATGTGAATAATTCAACCCTCCTCTTACACACTCCTGCCTCCCCCGCCCGCCCTCCAATACAAAAACCACATCTCTGAATAGGGTAGTAAAAAATAGTAAGTGCCAGGAGAACTGGAGAGGGAGGGAGGGAGGTGAAGCATTTGCTTCAATTATCCGGATAATTGTTCCCCACCTCAGGCCATTGTTACTGAAATGAAACAATATTCTATTGGATACTGTCTTGGCCTTTTCAGGCCTGCTCCCTGCAGTGCCTAGCACACGCTGGGCACAGAGTAGGCGCTCGATAAATTTTATTCTGATGACAGAGGAGAGCTCTGAGGGTGGGAGAGGGATGCCTTGTTCGGCTTGAGGATTTGGGGGTGGGCGAATATTAATTAAAGTGAAGTGGGGAGCAGAGGGGCTGTGTGGCAGGCATTCAGTGCCATCACAACTTTTTTCCAACTGGGCCGTTCCTGAAATTCTAAGCCAAACCCCTCACTTATTTCTCAGAAGACCTCCACTACCACCCCCCACCCCCCTCTCCCCGCTGCTTCTTCTCAGAGGGCCGAATTGAACTCTTGCAACTGTGGTGAGCACAAAGGCGAATTCAGGTTTCTCAAAAGCCCATCCGTTCTGAATAAACACCAGGGAGAAGCAAGATTATTTTTGGTGGTGCATGAACACAGGGCCCACAGCCTGCCCTCCCTCTAGAAAGGCCTTCCCTGGCCTTGCATTAAAACTAACAATATTGGGGCAGCTGAAGGAATAGCCTGGCTCCTGAGCCCCCCATCACTCAAGCAGTACAAGAATGTGGGGACTAGCTCCCAACTGCCCTCTTTCATCTTGACCCACAGCTTTTCAAGAGGAGCTTGAGTTCTCTATGAGTGTGTATTTGCTAATTGCAGCCGGGGCTTTAATGAGATTCTTTTAACTCCCCCAAGCTCGTTTGCAGGTTATAGCCTTATCTGGGGACCCACGTTTTCCACCCTGGCTACACATCCTGTGAACAATTGCCTCTCCAGAGCCTGAAAGGAGAGCGAGCGCCCCATTTCTGCTGAATACACTTCTCAGTTCATCCAAGGCTGGCGGGCTTTTGATGGCCACAATGCAAGTTACGCCCAAAGAGTGTCTCTTTGGTCAGATCGACAACGCTTGGCTTCACGTTTGCAAGTTAAACGGGCAGAAACCCGGCTGAAACTCCCACGCCAGACGCCAGGGACGTTTCCCTCCGCCCTGCTCAGAGCAAAACTGGGGAATGGGTCTGGGCGGGGGGAGGAAAGAAAGGAGGGGTAGTTGTGAGCAGAGGGTGGGGGAGAAGAGAGTCCTTATTCTCAACAGCCATCTAGAAGAAGAAAGGGGGGGGGGCATTTTCTCTGGCATTTCTTATTTTTATTTTTTCCATTTTGCTTTGTTGGCAGCTTTACCCAAACAAAAAATAAAATAAAATGAGAGCATTTTCTTCTTGTCTTCACCTAGGTAGCTGCTTTCCTCCAGCCCCTGAAAATGTGACTCCTTCATAAAATCAAAATTTATGATTATTCAAATGTTGGGGACTGTGAAAAGAGAGGAAGAAAGAGAGAAAATTAATATTGCAGCTGTTCTTCTGATTAATGAGAGATAATTGCTCATGAAAAGTCACCCCTGTGGCATTTTGTTGTCTCCTGGATCTTTGTTCTTTTCCACTATTATTGAGGACTTTCTTGAAGACTAAGCGGTTCTTTTCAATTTTTGGGTATTCAGAAAGGGTTGCCTGGTTACAGAGAATGGGGAAATCTCGGGCTATATCGGGTAAGATGTGCCACAGACAGCAATATCACAATGCCACTCGGAGAAAAGGATGGATACAAGTTAACGATGCACTTTCAATAAAACATTCATAGACTTGTTCACGCTTTGATAATGACCTCATTAAAGGGAGCTGGGGGCAAGTAAGTCCTGTCTCCTGTTTGTGTTCGGCTAACAAAACCCAGCTTTGAGATCATTCATCGCTTTGGAAACTAATATGAAATCAATGTAAGAGGAGCAAATAAATCCGAGGCGGCCCCGCCAACTCCCCGGCTGTCCCGCCCTGCCTGCAGCCTCCATTTGGAGCTGGAGAACCATGTGGGCAAATGCTGAAACTAAGAGAAAAAAGGACTGGGGATGAAAGTGGTGGTGGGGGAGGTGGGGAGGTTTGGAGGACACAGAGGGAGGGGCAAAGTGGGAGTTACAGCCTGAAAAAAACAGCTAAGCACAGGAACGGGTCAGAACTCTGGGGCCTGTTGAATAAGCAATGCTAAGTCCCTGCCCTTTACTTGTCCTGACTTTGCCCATGAAAGCAAACAGGAAGAAAGAGAAGTGAGACAGGAATGTGGGGTTCAGGTCAGGTGCCATTCCAGAGCTGGGAAGAAGTACTGGAGACCTTTTGGAAGCTAGAACTGAGAATCCAAATCTCAGGGTTGGGCTGAAAGGAAACTGCTCACCCAGGCTCAACTTGGAGAATCGAGAGACAAGAAGGCCATGCCTCTGCTGTTCTTTCTAGAATAGCTTTGATTTTTTTTTTGTAAGTTGAGGGTAAGGGTGGAGTGCCTTGGCCAGGAGGAGGTACAAAGAACAATTTTGTTACCATCACATATGTGACACTGTCTTGCACTCAAGGAAGACAAAACCATACTCTATTGTCCCAAGCAAGAGGGAGATAATAAAAAGATTTCCCCTTTCCTTTAAAAGAACTAATTTTCTCCTTGAATTATGAAAGTAATGGCTTAGGTAACAGCCTGTACTCTGTACCCGACTGCTTAATACAGAATAAATCCTTCCACGTGGCTCCTGGAGTTGTGGCAATTAGAGCTCATTATAGGCTCATAAGAGCTCTCATTTTGGGGATTACTTAATGGACGATGAAATTTTATCGGACAGAATCACTGAGAAATAAAATTGTGTGGCGGCTCAGACACCATGGGCACACGCCAATGGTCTGTCTGTTCCCTCTCAGGAAAAGAAAGCTGAACTTGGGGTCTCCTGCTGGTTCAGGGCACTGCACTCTGGGGAACAGTAGGGCTGGGCAGGGCTGGGGTGGGGGGTGGGCAGTGCTGCCCCGGGGGCATGGAGGGTAGGCTTCCTTTGAGGAGGGGATAGGCAGGTAGGGCCAGATAGGGGCTGGACTCAGAAGAGAAGGAGGGAGAGAGACTGGCAGACACTGAGAGATCCAAAGAGAACTAGAGAAGTGAGTCAGAGTGGACAGAAACTGTGCAAGAAATGGGATTCCAGTATACTTGCTCTTGGTGGGCTGAAGGAATTAACCAAGTACCCTAAGGGTCAAGTTTTTCAGACATGGTCTTGCTTTCAGCCTCAGCCTGGTCTGAAACCACTGCTCCCCTTGAAGTCTTTAGGAAACCCCATGAGCCCCTCACATTTCTCAAAACTCCTTGGCACTGAAAAATGAAAGTTTCCACAGTCAGACACAAATTGAATAAGATGCACAAGCCTCTTGCATAGTTAAGATTCTCTAAGGTAAAATGGTCTGCACATGGGTGCGATTTCTAGGACTTTAGCATAGGAGCTCTTCCTCTGAACACATCCCAAACTGCTGGGAACATTGTGACTCAAACCATCAGCCCAAAACAGACTGTGGATAACCTGGGACCTAACCCAGAGGAGGAAAAGAGAGAAAGCTATTATTCTTAAAGAGTATCTGTATCTATATCTATATATGCTTGTATAGTTGCAAAGTGAATGGGGGGAATCGAGTCATCTATTTGGACAGTTTAGGACTGTAAAAAATATCCTGCCATTCAGCAGGGTATGTTTTTTATTGCCATTCTCCATCAGTGGCTCCAAGCCTTCTTCTTGGGGCTGAAATGATTTCGGGGATTGCCTAGATCCTCCAGTCATGAACAAGGGCGGGCTGGGGTGAGCCTGAGCGTCTGCAGACCTTGTGGTACAAAAGTAGTTACAGCTGAGCTGCCCCATGTTAAGCCCTGAGACTCCTTAATTGTTGTCACAAGATGTTGGATTAGCACATTTCTGGAATAGCTGTCTGTTTACACTCCAGAGACCCACCGTCCACTAACCGCTTTCTAATTGAATTCTAATCACATTCAAATAGCTCAATAACCAGCCTCAGCTGCAATTCATAAAACTTTAATTGCCATCCATAAATCCTGGGCTCCCCAGAGCCGGGCATCCCTACAACCCAATTACACTTCTCTAGCAGGCAAGAGAGACTGTCACAGAGATGGAGAGGGGAAGACAGAGGATGGAAAGATAGAGCCGTGCCTCTAGCTAGTGCTCTCCTGGATTTGGGCACCTTGTTCTCTCAGGTGGAGGGAGTCCTGTCTCTAAGTTTCTTAGCACCATCATGAACTCAGGATTGAAGTTAGCTGCTCTGGAAAAAGGATCAGACTTCTAACTATTGCCCAACCACATGGCCCCAGCCCGCTTTTCTGCAGGGGGAAATGAAGAGAGAAAATGGCCACCTCTGCTGCCTTGCCTTCTCCGAAGATAAATAGTCCCAATAGTTTGGCAGCCACCCTCTCTCGGGCAGTAAGGGGTGTGCAAGACTTCCATGGACCAGAGAGAGTTCCCTTACAAAGCCACTTCTGCCAATCAGAGGCAAGATTCCCTGGATGGCTGAATCCTCTTCATCCTTTTTAGGTTCTTAAGATGCAGAGGAAAGAGTGCTTCCTGGTTAGCCTTGCTAAGCTGCCCATGATTGGTAAAAATGAGGGACAGGAAATCCTCAGACCCAGAGCGAAGGTCTATCTAATCCCTGCTGCGTCTTTAGGAGGGCTTGGTGTTTGAGGTCCTCCCTCCAAAATCTTCAGGATGGAGTTTGTAGGATTGCCCTGGAATGCCATGGTGTTACTACTTGGAGAAAGAAAAGGGTGACTCTTCAACATCTCTCTCTCTCTGCGGAAGTGGGAGGTGCCGATCAGAAAGGGAAACAAGGAAGGGTCGTTGGTCTGAGTGGCCCCAGGAGGGCCCCAAGTACAAAGACACTTCAGACCTTGTCGAACATCAGCATGAAAAGCTTGACGGTTTCTTAGCTGGGAGGCCTCACAGTTCTGCGCCGGACAGTCCTGAACTAACCACCTGAATGACCTCTGCCAAGTCCAAAAGCTGTGGACAGGGGTAGGTGTAACCGTGGCCAGAGCTGCGCTCAGGGACTGGACGACTGCCAGTCCGTCGCCCGCACAATCCTGCTCCAAACCGCAGGCCTCACACTTCACCGCGCCGCAGCCACCCCTACCACAGAGGAGCTGGAAACACTGAGCATTCCTATTAAATAAGCCTCCAAGTCCCCACCTGGTACGCTTTGCGGTGGGGCGTGGGGAAGAGTTGGGCTGCGGCCAGGGTAGCGAGAGGGGGTGGGATGGAGGATGCAGCGCTGTGATTTCTCAGTAAAGCGTGGAGAAAGAGGGGGAGGAGGCCGGCCTCCCCGGGAAATTAACAAAACCTACACTTTGCAAAGTCTCCCCCATCCCCCTCCCCCGAGTTCTTCCCCGCCGCGCGCCCGCCCCTCCTCGCGGCTTCTGTTGTGACTCGGGCAGCCTATCCCGAGGGTGCGGAGCTGCCGAGGAGCCTGAGCCGAGCGGTACTCCGCAGCATCACGTGCCAGGGTGGGGGGCTATAAAATACCCGAGCCGGGGCGCCGGGCGGGGGACGTGAGGACCAGCCCTCTCCGGGGACCCCTTTGTTCCCAGCCCAGACGCCAACACCTCTGCGTCCCCAAGGGCTTGACTGCCCGTGTCTGCGCGGCTCCCAGGGCAGAGCTTAGAACACTAGAGGAGAGGGGTCGCCGCGAACTGCCGGGGCTTCCAGCCACCCACCCCTCTCGACATGTCGCGCTCCTTCTATGTCGACTCGCTCATCATCAAGGACACCTCACGGCCTGCGCCCTCGCTGCCTGAACCGCACCCCGGGCCGGATTTCTTCATCCCGCTTGGCATGCCGCCCCCATTGGTGATGTCCGTGTCCGGCCCCGGCTGCCCGTCCCGCAAGAGCGGCGCGTTCTGCGTGTGCCCTCTCTGCGTCACTTCGCACCTGCACTCCTCTCGGGGGTCTGTGGGCGCCGGCAGCGGGGGCGCAGGGGCCGGGGTTACCGGGGCCGGAGGCAGTGGGGTGGCAGGGGCCGCAGGGGCACTGCCTCTGCTTAAGGGCCAGTTCTCTTCGGCTCCTGGGGACGCGCAGTTTTGCCCGCGGGTGAACCATGCGCATCATCACCACCACCCGCCGCAGCACCACCATCACCATCATCAGCCCCAGCAGCCTGGCTCGGCCGCGGCGGCGGCAGCAGCAGCAGCGGCGGCGGCGGCCGCGGCGGCCTTGGGGCACCCGCAGCACCACGCACCTGTCTGCACCGCCACCACCTACAACGTGGCGGACCCGCGGAGATTCCACTGCCTCACCATGGGTAGGGCGGGGTCTTGGGGCACCTGCGCTCCGCGCCTTTCGCGCTCCTGGAGCAAACTTTCCACCTCCAGTGGAGGAAGTGGGAGCCCGGGGACAGGGTGAAGAGAGAGGACGGGCTTTTAGTGTAACCGTAGAGTCAGCCACAGAAGTTCCACGAAAGTGGAAGTTAGTTTGCCAGCTTCTCCACTCAGCCTGGTGCGTTTTACTCCTAGTAGTAGGTGCTCGAGTATTGCCTTATTAATACTGGGGCCTTAGGGACCTCGAACGTCACGGCGGATAAACCAGAGGTTAACTGCTTGGGATTTGGGGTGGGTGTGTTTGAACCTGTGTGGCATCCCCGCGTCGGGGCGGCTAAAGCGTCTTGACGTTTTTGGCTAAGCCTGCGCGCTTCTCCGCTTGGCTCAAAGGGAGGCGATCAGATAGTGCAAGCCCCCATCCCTCTTTAATCCTGTGACTTCGCATCCTGCGCATCGAAGACCTTTATTTGCTTTGCACGTCTCTTTTCTTCCCCGCTAAGCAACCACGTGCCTTGAAATGGGAAAGGGATACAGATGTTCGGCTGGGCTTCCCCGGGTGGGTCCCTGAAATGCGTCCTGGTTAGCACATGGGGTGGGAGCACCTTGCCCGAGCCTTACCTCTCTACCCTCTCTTCGCCGGTCCGCAGGAGGCTCTGACGCCAGCCAGGTACCCAATGGCAAGAGGATGAGGACGGCGTTCACTAGCACGCAACTCCTGGAGCTGGAGAGAGAATTCTCTTCCAACATGTACCTGTCTCGACTCCGGAGGATTGAAATCGCCACTTACCTGAACCTGTCGGAGAAGCAGGTGAAAATCTGGTTTCAGAACCGCCGAGTGAAGCACAAGAAGGAGGGGAAGGGCACGCAGAGGAACAGTCACGCGGGCTGCAAGTGCGTCGGGAGCCAGGTGCACTACGCGCGCTCCGAGGATGAGGACTCCCTGTCGCCGGCCTCAGCCAACGATGACAAGGAGATTTCCCCCTTATGAGGGAGGGCCTCCTCCCTCACATCCCCCGCTCCTGGCAGACCAGGCAACGCCAAGGCGTGGGGCACCCAGGGGCCAGAATCCTTGCTCATTGCAGTGGTCCCATCTGGAGAAGAAACGAACCTGGAAGTTCTGGAATGGACAAGCCGGGACCTGACCCTTCGCGTCTCCTTCTTGACCTGTTTATCTAGGACTCCAACTTGAAGTTACAGATTTTTTTAAAAAATGTAAATAACCTATAATTCAACTCATTCTTGTCGTATAACAGAGGAAAAACAGGGTTGGTTTAAGTTTAACACTGTATGGGGTTTTTGAAAGCACATGTCAGTTCCCCATCCCTACTCTCTTTCAGAACTCGATAAGAACACAGGATTTATTGATTATTTTCTGTTGTCGTTTTCAAACAAAAACACCCAAGTTGAAAATAATTTAGAAAATTAGACCTTGTAGGTCTTGCTTTCTGAAATTTCGCCTGGGGAGAATTTAAAATCTAAGTCGCTGGAAGTCCCTTTGTATGTGAATAGGTTTATATAAAATTTATATTTATATTTATTTAAATAAATGAAACAAAAACCAGAATTTTAAATCTGTGGTGTTTGCTCTCCCTATCTTCTCCTGCCCCCTCCTCCAATGTCTAGAGAAAGGCATATGCAGGAAAAAGCTGTCTGAGGAATTCGAGGAAAATGTTGAGTAAGAACTTGGTAATGTGGGTCTCTTGACTGAGGGAGTTTGTGGCTCAATGGGTTTTCTATGTAACAGAACTTTCGCCAAGGAGACACCTTTAGTCATGATGGCATCTACCAGGCAGTGCCTCTCCATCCTTAAAATAGGCAACCTCCTCACAGTTGATAGGACAAATCACTCCATTTGGAATGACACTGACCATTAACGACAGGTAAACCTTTATTTAGCAAGGAAGGGTAAAAATCCCCCATCTAGTTTTTGTTTTCTTCTTTCTACTTCCTCATTTCTCTCAGTACGAAAACTTGAATTATGTGAAGGAATTTGTAGAGTCAGAATAGTTTTAGGAAGAGCAACAATCCATCAAACAGGTCAGAAGCAAACAGTGGAAACTTAATAACGATGCTACAAGCAGAATTAGCGGGTTTCCCTCAATGTTAAGAAAACAAAAAGTCAGGGACAGGAAGTATTCTGTTCAAAGATTTATAATCTCACTTTTTCAAAGCAGCCCAGAGATGCCTTTAGAGCTTTGAGTTTTGGGGCTTTTTTTCCCGGTCACCCTAATATTCAGTTAATTTGGCTCCCTTCTAGTCCCTTCCAGCCCACCCCCCTTCCCATAGCCTAGCAGAATCACTTCCTTTAAGCCTGGTCCCAGAGAAGACTTATTTCTAGCTCTTCCCTCAGCAGGGCAACTGGCTCTCTCCTCAGTGCGGCCTGGGCTTGTTATCTTAGGGAGAGAAGTGAAGAAACTGGAAACAGGAAAACGAAGAGATCTCATTCCCTGCAAGCTGAGCCCCACTAATCCTCAACCGGTGTGATTTCTGATTAGGTTCTATAAAGACGCCACCCAATAGGTTCAAGCCACAGGAGTTAATGACAACACACATACACAAGGGCTTTAGGTCTGAGTTACTAGAGGCCGGTCGGACTGAACCTCACCAGGTACGGCTGGGGTTCTAAAACTGGACACGGTTTTCCCTGAGTGTTGTCTTTAGCGCGCGCGCGCGCGCGCACACACACACACACACACACACACACACACACACACACACACAGTAGGCTCAGAAGGAAAATCCCTCTTCGTTCCGTCAAGGGACATAGGGAGGAGGGCCCGCACTGTGTGAGGCTGAAAAGGGAGCTGCCGGCGCTTTGTGCAATGTGCTGAGCTCTGTCCTGCGCAGAGGTCCCAGACAGCCGGCTCACTACTGCCTGGCCTGGGAAGCTCAGGCCTCTGGATCTCTTTCCTCCTGTCTCTCACGCGCAGAGCTCCGGGCTCTTCGCCCTGCCCGCCACGAAAGGGAGGAGGCGCAGGCCGGCTGCCTTTCCAAAAGATTCTGTCTCCCTTCTTCCCAAGAAGCAGGCCTCTCCGCGCGCGAGAACAGAGGTGGGAGGACGGGAGTTTGCAGGCGCAAAGAACAGGAGTTTAAGCAGACTATTTCCACCAGGGGAAATAAGAAGCACAAAGAGCGCCTGCTGCAGCTCTTTGCGCTCTTGCCCAAAGCTAAGCTTCCTCTGGGCTGTGGGGAGACTCCTCTGGTCCCCGTTCCATCTACCCAGCCCGGCCCCTCTGGGGCTCAGCGCTTGGGTTTAGCCCTCCCCTATGTCCATGACTAGCCCCGATCACAGTCTCTTAAGCCTCTCCCGGCCCCCGGCTCCCAGGCCCTGCGGAGCCAAGCACTTGGAACACCAGGTACCGCGCGCGGTGGACCCAGCTCTGCCATGCCGCAGATAGCCGCAGTGCCAACCCTGTTTAGATGGTTTGGATCTGCTTGGATGGCCCCAGCCCCTCTTGCTTCGATCTTTGGGGAAGTTCCCTAGGGAAAGGAGAATAAACAAAGTATTTCTGCCCAGAGGCAAAAAAAAAAAAAAAAAAAAAAAAAAAAAAGCGTAGCGATACCTATTTAGATGTTGGGACACTCTCCATAGAAGAAAAGGTTCTCCAGGGTTCCCAGGGAGGTCTTCCTTCTAGGACATCCGATGCAAAGTGGACTCCTTTGGTCACTTTCAGAATGGAGTATGAGGTCTCCTACTATGCTAGAATAAGTTTTACATGTTTCCCTATCCCCACTCCTCAAAAAATATCAGTTGATGTTTTTGAAGTTTTCAAATCGGAATAATGCTTTGGTATTTTGGAGTCGGTCTGATTCTAAAGACCAACAGTTTCACTTTAGTTTAAGAGCATTTAAGCCAACCCTCAGAAACTCACATTCTCAGCTAAATAATCTTGATATCAAACACCCATTTAAGAGGAAAGTTTAAGATGTATGGGGTCACCCTTGACAATTTCTCTACCTGGGAAGCACTAGATACTAGTTTCCATTATGCCCCAATTGAAAAACAGAAACAGAACTATGTTCCCCCAGAGCATGACCTCTTAGAGAGGTCATGGAAAGAAAGAAAGAATGGAAAGAAAGAGAATGAAAATGAGAATGAGAATTAGAAAACAGGAACTTGCTCCACCAAGAGAAAATCAGTGGGTAGCACCCGCTGTGAGTGTGGTTGAGTCCATCTTTTTGAGAACAAGTCTCATGTTAGTTTTAAACAGGAAAAGAGCTGGGGGTGGAAGGCAGAGTGGAGAGCAGGAAGGATGACCTCTCACCCATGTGCCCTGGCCCAGCCCAGACATTCAGAGCATAGAGGAGGAACAGAGACTTTTCCCCTTCACTCTCCCACTCAGCCACCAACAAATGCCTAAGGCCAAGGGCCTGATACTGATAGCAAACTAGGCCAAAAGCAAAAGTGACCCAGTAGCCCATCCTTAGGGTGTCAGTGGGCCTGCATGATGGAGACACTGGTGCCCATAGACCTCTTTTCCTCTAGGGTCCTTATTCTGAAGTGGTCATCATAGCTCAGTCCCTTCCCCACTCCCCTAAAGAATATCTAATAATTTTAGGAGAGACAAAACACTTGGGGATGTGAAGTCTTTGATTTCTGACCTCCGCCTCCGTCTCCTCATTGCCAACCACCACCCCGCTAACCCACAACGCCCCACCAGTTCTGTCCAGTTATATCTGGTCAGGATTAGAAATGCAGTTTGCTTGGCACACTCTAACTGTGGTCAGACAATTGCCAGAAAGGTGGTGGTTCTAACTAAAAGCAGTCACAGAGGGCAACAGGGGCTTTGTATGTACATGTGTGTAGTGTGTGCATGCATGAGGCACATGTGTGTGTGAAAGAGACAGAGAGGGTCCTTTGATGGTGGTGATGTAGGTGGAAAAGAGTAATTTTTAACCAGGTTTTCTTTTTCTTTTTGTTTCCCACTTATACCTTTCCTGCAGGTTCCACTCGCTTTTAATGGCACTCCTTGAGAGATTTCTTTGAGGGAGATGGGGAGGTGCTCAGTGTTGGGTTGTGGGGAGGAAAAACAGTCTGAACATGGAGGGGAGACATGGAGAAGAGCTCTGGGGCATGATCTCAAGCCCAGCCTTACGGGTGTGAGAGAGGGGAGGAGAATGACACTCCAATAGAACCTATTTGCTAGAGGAAATCAAGTTTAAAGGAGCAATCACTCCTTTCAAAAGAGCTCCTCCCATCTTCTCCAAACACAGCCCAAAGCTGTCCTAGACGATGAATGCAGTTCAGTGCATCAAAGCAATTGTTCCTATTTTCATTATTCACAGGAAATCTTTGAATGTACCTGTTAAGGTGACAGACCTTTTAAAAGGGAACATTTTTTTCCATGCAATTAAATGGTGCATTTACTAGGCGTCTATTAACATAATTTAATATAAATCTATTTTATAAATCTTTAGGCTCACATTACTGAAAATTGAGCTTCTCTTAAAAAATGCCCACATCTCTTCCCTAAACTACATAGAATAGAACCCAAAAACTTGCTATTCTAAGCCAGCTAGAAATATTAAAAGTAATAGAATCCTTTGTATTGTCTTTTGTTAATGGTGGGGGTATGAAGAAAAGGGGCAACTTGTCTCATAGAAATTCTATAAGGACCCGAGGCTTCTACATCCAACATCTGGCACTTGGAGTGGGCAACACAGGCTGGAACTAAGGGAGGGGCCAAAGAAGCACAGAACTTAAGACATCTCTTAGAATCAGACTTGAATCAGAACTCAGATTAAAAAAAAAAAAAAACTAAAAAAAAAGAAAGTCAGCAAAACTCCAACTTGCAAAGAAATTTGGATTCCAGTTTCTTCTGTTTGGGGAAAAAAATTCTGAGGCCTGTGAGACCTCTAGTGCTGCTCCATGTGGCAATAGATAACCTTGTCTGTTGCCATAGCCAGACTACTTATTCTCAAGTGTACCCTCCAAAATCCTGGGCATCCCATTGTCTCTGAAAATAGTGTTTTGTGCTCTCTTAATATACTGATGTCAATGCCGCCCTTCGGTACTGGACACTGCTTTTCTTCAAGCTGAGCCCTATGTTTTCCTGAACCCTTGCTGTATCTTTGTTGAGCCTTCTAAATCCCAAACCCAGGAAGGCCCCAGGGGCTCCCCTGAGTGAATCCTAACAGATCGGAAGTGTATGCTGTGTGCTTAGGAAAGTAACTAGTTTCAGATTAATGAAGCAGTGACAATTTCAATCTGCTTAAAGGCGGAGGTTGGCACTGCCCAGGCCTGAGCGTGGGGAGCTCGCCAGGCTGGGCTTTATATTGTCCCCTTTTCTGAAGAGCAGACAAAGATGGATAGAGAGACATTGAAAAGCAAGGGGAGTATTTCAAACAGTCTCATAAAGCAGGCTGTCACTTTAAGACAAGAACCATAGTGCTTTGATGACTTTGTATTAGCTGCACCATTTCAAATAGGGGACTCAAGTCTCTAGTGAGAGGGAGGCAAGGGGAGAGAGGAGAGAGAAGACAAGAGAGAGAGAGAGAGAGAGAGAGAGAGAGAGAGAGAGAGAGAGAGAATGTAGTAATATTTAGCCTGTGAGCACTGTGGCGAAAGTAATTCTAGGCAACTACTTGGTTTCTGAAGTTCAAGGAGAAACCACCCACAGCAGGTGCAGAGAAAAAAAGGCAGGTGGGAGTTGCTCCCGATGGGAAAGAGCTCCCTGCCTATGAGTGGCAGCCGGCTCCAAGGAGCAGAAGCCAGCTTGGTCTCAGTTTGCTGCGAAGGGATGGAGCAGGGTGAGAAGCTCTGCCTGCCCCAGACCTTGAAGGATTATAATGGAAATTTTTGAGAGTGTGAAAAAGAAAGAATACGAAGGAGAGGGAGTGCATGCTTTTGGAGACTTCCTTCACAAACCCTAATTTAGATTGTTTGGGGTCAAGCAGCAGCCAGCCACCTTCCTCCTTTCCTCCTTAATTAATTAATAAGAATGATTAATTATTAGGATTTTGAATGTCAAGGCTTCAAAATGCCTTTGGCTAGAGGCTGATGAGTTGCTTAAGCCATACATGTAGTTTTAACTTGGGATAAGGGAGTTGAGACTTTAGAGGTGTGTTTGCTGTCACTCTGTCTTTTTTTTTTTTTTTTTTTTTTTTTGCCTTTGCATCTGCTTCCCCAGTGATCTTTCTCTGTCTGCATTTCTCTGTCTTGTCTCCATCTCCTTCTGCCTTGATATCCGCCCCCACCCCCACCCTTTGTTCTCCTGGCCGTTTTCCCCATCCAGTCTCCCCTGGCCATGGCTCAATCCTCCTAGCTCTCCGGGGAAAGAGGAGGATGCTAAAGCTGCCATTCCTACTTGGGTATCTACTGCGGGCACAGGCATCTCGGAATCCCACTGCATCATCGGTGGCAGGAAGTGGGTGGGCATTAATGTAGTTTCACTCGCTGGATCGAGAGTTATTGACAGCTTAGATTTTCTTTTTTCTGCTTGTCAAAAATTTCTTTCTCTTTCTTTTCTTCTCTTTTTTTCTTTTTTTTTTTCTTGGATACGGGAACCAGAACCACGAAATCCTGCAAGCTTTGAAGGCCGGCGAAAGGGCTCCCCCGTCGGTGGCGCCGGAGGGAGAAGCGTTTAGTCACTGTTTCATTAGGCACTATTTGAACCTTGCAACATGTGGTAATTTCTGGGGCAAGCTGAAAAGGGGGGATTATGTAGGAGGGACATAAGGAAATTAGCCAACGGTTAATTTAACTCGTTTTCTGCTAGACTTTTCGATACATTCCTAATTGACTGAGGGGCAGGTGAAGCTCCCGCCCCATGCAGGCTCATTCACGGTGGGAATAAATGGCTCTTTCTCAACTCACACTGCTCACAATATATCATCAGGGAAAAGACATGCAATGAATATGTTGATTTTTTTTATTAATGGAATTACACCCTGCCATGCAGGTGTGAGGGTAAAAACCTATACTGCAATGAAATAAGATTAACAATGAAATTAGAATTTTATTAGCTTTATATGTCACACAGACCTGGATTTGAACTGTCAAAACAAGCAACAAGAAAAGATATTCTGAACGCAGCCCTGTCAATCAACCAGGAGAAACGAACAGCGTGGTATCGAAATCATAATCACCTTCCAGTTCTTCAGCGCCTCACTTGGGCCTTACGTGAGAAGCAAGTGGGTGGAGGACCCCGCGTGGGCAAAGGCCTGGTCTCTGGACCTGCAGATAGTAGATGAAAAACACCACCTGGGTTCGGTAGACCCGGCCTAAAAAAGGCTCGGGTCCAGGCTAGAAGGGCCTGGATGGCCCGAGGCCTCCAAGATATCAGACGGACCGGCTGGGCACCCGCGGCCTGCAGGCCATATTTCGCGTCCTCCAAATCAGCTGCCTAGGGCGGGCCGTGACCCGAGGGAATTGGAGAGAAAAGTCCAAACGCTGGGCGAGAGGCGGGGTAGGGCGCCCTTTGGAAACCGCCCTGGGTTTTGTTACTCCGGGGCCCCCGGAGCTTCGGCACAGCTACCTGGGTCTGGCAGGCGCAGAGGTGCCGTATGCAAATGGTTCACTATTAGGCGAGAAAGAAATACTTCAAATGGCCCTTTGTAACCTTCTATAGAAAATCGAGGTACTCTGCATGACAAAGCACAATTAAGCTTTCTATTCAGGAGTTCTGCAGCTGGTAGCCCATTGGGAAAGTGGGAGGAAACGCGAATATATTAATAGTGTGGCGAAAGTTTTTTGTGTGCGTGTCCTTTTCTAGGTCGGGGGTGGGGAGGGGCGGTGGGTGGACGCAGAGGGAGGAAGGCTCAGCCTTGGATCCTTGCCACCTGAACAACGTCGCCTCTGCCCACGTGGAAAGCCTCGCTTGTCTGGCAGCCGGGGTTCTGAATGGTTGCCGCGACCCCTGCGCTCCCAGCAGGGCCAAGAGGACCTCGCGGGCACCAGCGTCCGGGCGGGAAGGGACGTGTGCCCAAGCCTCGCCTCCTGGCCCTCAGTGGGCTGGGACGCCCTTGATCACCGGCGCAGGAAAGAGGCTCCCCAGCCCGTGAGCTTCGTCCGGGCGCCAGGGCAGGGATGGCTGGTGGTGTGCACTGGAGAGCACGACGGTGACGCTGCGTGGGAAAGAGACGTGGGAAGGGCATAGCCGGATTATCCACTCAGCTCCAATTTTCTCCAAGCGCCACTCACCCCACAGTTGAGGTTCGCTTCCCGATTGTTCATTTGTAGAGTCTAAAGGGAAAGAAAATTTTGCCTCTGAATAAATAAAGGGCCCTTAAAAACAACTCTGCTGATTATCCTGCGTTTTCCATCTGGATCCATTTCGCCCTCTTCTGCCCTGCTGGGTGCCCTCGGACACTGACCTTTGTGGACAGTATTAGTTCCTTTATCAACTGCGTCACTGGCAGGCGCTTGCCTCTGGCTTCCATTTGCATTTGGTGAATAAGTGGCACTGCAAATAACCGAACAACCTAAGGATAGAGAACTGCAGGTATATTGTTTCTGGGAATGTTATATTGTTCCAGTTCTGGCAGTTGCTGCTTCTCTAGAAATTCTTTTTCTCTTTGAGAGCCTATTTTCCTAGGCTCTGGCTTTTAATCAGACTCCCCCTGTGCCTTCAGGCATGAAGTGGAAATGCCTTCTAGTTTCTGCTAGTCCCCTGGGTGCATCAAAATTCTTGTTAGTTCCATTAGCCCTACACACATCTCTGCAAATAGTCGCTTTGTTGAAAAGTGTCTTTAAAAACCCTAGCTCACATTGGTTACCTGGCTCCTGATCAGCCATGTTATGTTTAAGTCAATCCCTTCTATAACAGCCAGCTCAACTGTCACCATACTTTTGCTGGGACAACTCCTGTGAGAGGAACTCCACCCTCTAACCCATTTCATTTTCAGACAGCTTTGACCATTAGAAACTTTCTTGTGTTGGATTAGAATCTTCATTCAGTATTTTTTATCCATTGGGTCCTACCTAGTTCTTTCTCCATGGAACTTCTAAGTGTCTGTCTTCTCCCTATTCCCAACTGTGAGGACATTGATGACAGCAACTGCATCTTTCATCTCTATATCCTTAGCATTCATCACAATGCCTAGCACCTACTAGCAGATGCCCAGTAAATGCTAGCTGGGTCAGTGCATCATCTTACTTCCAAGTCTCTACCAGTTGCATCAATCATGGAGGACTTAGAAACAGCTATGATGAAATATAGCTTGAAGATGGGATATATCTATAGGTGTGTGTATACACATGATAAATATATGTAAATGTTTATATAGGCTAAATATCATGTACATAAGGTAAATATATTGAGAAGTTTCTGGAGACAATCTACGTGCTTTACCATTTACTAGCAGTGTGACCTCGGGCAATTCACTTCATCCCTCTGACTTCCACTTGCCTCATTTGTAAAATAAGGATAATTAATAGTTGAGAATTAAATAAGGACATTGATAGTTAAATAAGGAAATAGATGTGAAGATATATAGCTATTTAGATAAAGTAGCCATGGAAGGTCTAACTGAAAAAGTAACTTTTGAATAGAGACCTAAAGAGAATGTGGAGAACTGATCACATGGCTTGCTGGAGCAAGAGAATTCCAGACAGAGGTAGAAACAAGTGCAAAGACGTAGATGGGAACATGCCTGCAAATAAAAAATATGTGGGTAAATATAAAAGATGTTTTTAAAAGATCTCTTTTAAAGATAATTGAATATTTTAAAGCAAAAATAGTAATATATTGTGGAGTTTATAACATACAGTTTTTTTGTTGGTTTTTTTTTTTTTACTTTTTAAAAAAAAATTAGAGATGGGGTTTCACTATGTTGCCCAGGCTGATTTTGAACTCCTGGACTCAGGCAGTCATCCCACCTCATCCTCCCAAAATGCTGGGATTACAGGTGTGAGCCACTGT
The DNA here is from genome assembly GCF_000001405.40 of Homo sapiens. Lineage (NCBI taxonomy): Eukaryota > Metazoa > Chordata > Mammalia > Primates > Hominidae > Homo > Homo sapiens. Next base: position 54,111,797 of record NC_000004.12, read on the forward strand.
GTCTGTCTCAGCTGATTCTTTTTAGTCATGATAGTTATGCTCTGTAAAGTTGTTGAAAATGATGAATTAGTGAACACTGAACATTGTTCACAGGGGAAATACAGAGTTAGATTCTGTAAACCTCTGGTTGCAACACTTTTGTCAAGCAATCAACACATAACCTTGTTTTATGTGTGTCTCTATTTAAAGACAGCTTATGTAATATATATCATTGATTTATTAACATGGAGCTCACAGCCAACATGTCTGAACAAAGCTCATCTAACACACACATAAGGCACATCCATGTCTTCTCGTACTAGGAATACCAGATATAATTTTACAATTGCCCCTGGGAGCCATTTTTTTATGGTGAAAAATATATATGGCATAAAATTTACTATTTTAATTATTTTTCAGTGTACAATTCAGTGCCATTAAGCATTTTTATATTATTCTGCAACCACCACCACCACCATTACCCATCTCTAGAACGTTTTCATCTTCTCAAATGAAACCTCCATACCCATTAAACAATAACTCCCCTGTCCTGTGCCTTCTGCCCTGACAACCACCATTCTACTTTTTGTCTCTATGAATTTGAGTACTCTAGGTACCTCATTGTTCTGTGAAAGGGCTGTATATGCAAAGAGATCCCCAAATACCAAAGAAGTGAAGAAATCAAAGAAGGAAGCAGACAAATCCAGTTTGTTGGTATGAGATTATTTATCAGGGGAATTTATGGACAGAAGCATGGTCTTGGGGGCTGCAAGACAGGTAGATCTTAGCACCACAACCTCCCAGATCCTTAGGGAGGCTGATGTCTTGGGGAAAAGTATAAAAATATGTGCTCTGGAAGGAATGTATAGGTGCTACAGGAATCCTAGCCTATGATGTTTGTAACAGCATTAAGTGTTGTTTTGGAGGAAACTTACAGTGACTAGCTGTTTCTACACAAAAAGTACTGACACCTAGACATTATGGAGGCATTTTTGGACTCAGGGTTAGTCAGAAGTCACTCTTGTTCCCACACTCATATAAGTGGAATCATACAATATTTGTCCTTTTGTGACAAGGTTGAATAATATTCCCTTGTATGTATACGCCACATTTTGTTTATTCATTCATTCATTGATGAACGCTGGGGTTGCTTCTATCTTTTGGTTATTATGAATAATGCTATAATCACAGTGTGATATGAACGCAGGTGTACAAATGTCTCTTTAAGACCTTGATTTTAGTTCTTTGGGTATACACCCAGAAGTGGAATTGCTGGATCTTATGGTAATTCTATGTCTAATGTTTTGAGAAATTGCCATACTGTTTTTCACAGCAGCTGCTCCATTTTACATTTTTCCTCAGCAATGCACAAGGGTTCCTGTTTCTCCACATTTTCACCAACACATTATTTGTTGTTGTCATTTTTTAAAATAATAAGTAATAGCCATTCTAATGGGTGTATGTGAAGTGGTATTTTACTGTGTTTTGTTATTCATTTCCCTAATGCTTACTGATGTTATTTTTTATTTATTTATTTTTTTGAGACAGGGTCTTGCTCTGTCGCCCAGGCTGGATTGCAGTGGCATGGTCTTGACTCATTGCAACCTCCACCTCCTGGCCTCAGGCCATCCTCCTACCTCAGCCTCATGAGTAGCTGGGACCACAGGCATGTACTGCCATGCCCAGATAATTTTTTTTTTTTTTTTTTTTTGTATTTCTAGTAGAGATGGGATTTCACCATGTTGACCAGGCTGATCTTGAACTTTGGCCTCAAGTGATCTTCCCACCTCAGCCTCCTAAAGTGCTGGGATTACAGGTGAGCCACTGCACCTGGCCTCATTTTGACCATTTTTAAATGTACTTATTGGCCATTTGTATTTTTTTTGAAAATCATTTATTTGAATCTTTTGCTCATTTTAAAATCAGGTTGGTTTTTTTGGTTGTTGCATTTTAAGAGAGTTCTCTATATATCTTGAATATCAATCTCTTATCAGATATATGATTTACAAATACTTTCTCCCATTTCGTGGATTCCCTTTCACCCTGTTGATAGTGCCCTTTGATGCACAAAAGTTTTCAATCTTGAAGAAGTCCATCTTATCAATTTTTTCTTTTGTTGCCTATGCTTTTGATGTCATATCCAATAAATCATTGTCAAACCCAATGTCATAAAGCTTCTTCCCTAATTTTTTTTTTGAGACAAGGTTTTACTCTGTCACCCAGGCTGGAGTGCAGTGGTGTGACCACAGCTCACTGCAGCCTCTACCTCCCAGGCTCAAGTGATCCTCCACCCTAGCCTCCTGAACAGGAGGGACTACAGGCGTCCGCCACTACGCCTGGCTAATTTTTGTATTTTTATAGAGATGGGGTCTCCCCATGTTGCCTGGGCTGGTCTCAAACTCCTGGACTCAAGCAATCCACTCTTCTTGGCCTCCCAAAGTGCTGAGATTACAGGCATGAACCACCACGCCCAGTTTTATGTTTTCTTTTAAGAGAGTTTATAGTTTATAGTTGGGTCTTTGATCCATTTTGAGTTTATTTATTTTTAAAATAGTTTTAAAATTTTCATTGCGGTAAAAAACACAACATAAAATGTATCATCTTAAGGTACTGGGGGTTATGACTTCAATGTGTGAATCTGAGGGGACACACTTAATTCAACCTGTAATGACAAAATTTGAGGAAAAACTAGGTTTTTATCCTTAGGCTGTGTTGATTTCAGCAAACCAAAGTGATATTTAAGCAAATATTCTTTAATTATCTGATTGATAAACATAAAGCTCTTGAGCAAATGTGAGCCCAAAACACAAAATAGACAAACAACTCTGCCTCTTTTCTCTCACAGCATATTTTATGATCTGTGTAACTGTATTAGCCCCTCCGAACTTCTACTTGATTTCTCCCCCAAAGGCAAAGCATCTGGAAGGGTCACTGAGCCAGGAATTTCTGTATATCTTAGTTATACATATGCACTAAAATAAGATTTTAAAAATTGTGGTTAAAAAACAAATCATAAAAGTTACCATGTTAACAATATTTTTTTTTTTTGGAGATTGAGTCCAGCTCTGTCGCCCAGGCTAGAGTACAGTGGCGTAATCCTGGCTCACTGCAACCTCCACCTTCCGTGTTCAAGCAATTCTCCTGCTTCAGCCTCCCGAGTAGCTGGCATTACAGGTGCGCACCACCTTGCCCAGCTAATTTTTGTATTTTTGGTAGAGATGGGGTTTCACCATGTTGGCCAGGCTGGTCTCGAACTCCTGACCTCAGGTGATCCACCCACCTCGGCCTCCCAAAGTGCTAGGATTACAGGCATGAACCACCACGCCTAGCCCATAATTAACCTTTTTTAAGTATACGGTTCAGTAGTGTTAAGCATATTTACATTGTTATGAAATAGATCACCAGTACTTTTTCATCTTGCAGAACTGAAATTCTATATCCATTAAACAACATCTCCCCATTTTCCCTTTCCCTCATCCCCTGGTAACAGCCATTCTACTTTCTATATCAATGAATTCGACTATTTTGGATACCTTATATAGGAAGAATCACACGGTGTTTGTTCTTTTGTAACTGGCTTGTTTCACTTAGCATAATGTCCTCAAGGGTAATCTATGCTGTTGCATGTGACAGGATTTCTTTCCTTCTTAAGGCTGCATAGTATTCCATTGTGCATACATATTGCATTTTGTCTATTGATTCATCCATGGATGGACATTTAGTTTGTTCCCAACTCTTCGCTATTGTTAATAGTGCTGCTAGATATAGGGGTTTGCAAATCTCTCTTCAAAACCCTGATTTCAGTTCTTTTGGAGATATATTCAGAAGTGGGATTGCTAGACCATACGGTAGTTCTGTTTTAACTTTTTGAAGAACCACCATACTGTTTTCCACCGTGGTTGTACCATTTTATAGTCATACCAACAGTGTTCAAGGGTCCAGGCCTCTCCATATTCCTGCCAATACTTGCTGTTTTCTGGGGTTTTGCTTGTTTGTTGTTTTTGATATTCTAAGAGGTGTAAAGTGATATCTCATTGTGGTTTTGATTTGCTTTTCTCTGATGATTAGTCATGTTGAGCATCTTTGCATATGCTTGATGGTCATTTGTGTATTATCATTGGAGAAATGTCTACTCAAGCAGATCCTTTATCCATTTTTTTCACTTTTATTTTAGGGTCAGGGCTACATGTGCAGGTTTGTGATATAGGTAAGCTGTGTCTCACAGGAGTTTGGTGTACGGATTATTTTGTCACTCATATAATCAGCATAGTACCAGATAGGTAGTTTGGCCATCCTCACCCTCCTCCCACCCTCTACCCTCAGGTAGGTCCTGGTGTCTGTTGTTCCCTTATTTGTGTTCATGTGCACTCATTGTTTAGCTCCCACTTATAAGTGAGAACATGCAGTATTTGGCTTTCTGTTTCTGTATTTGCTTAGGATAATGGCCTCTAGCTCCATCCATGTTGCTGCAAAGGACATGATCTTATTTATTTTTATTTTTTTTGAGACAGAGTCTCGCTGTGTCACCCAGGGTGGAGTGCAGTGGCATGATCTTGGCTCACTGCAACCTCCACCTCCCGGCTCCAAGTCATTCTCCTTCCTCAGCCTCCTGAGTAGCTGGGATTACAGGCACCTGCCACCACAGCCAGCTGTTTTGTATTTTTAGTAGAGACAGGGTTTTACCATGTTGGCCAGGCTGGTCTTGAATTCCTGACCTCATTATCTGCCTGCCAAAGTGCTGCGATTACAGGCATGAGCCACCGCACCCGGCGATCTCACTCATTTTTATAGCCACACAGTATTCCATGCCTTTACCCACTTTTAAAATGGGTTATTTGATTTTTTTATTGTTGTTGAGTTGTAGTTGTTTATATATTCTGGATCCCTTATCAGATATAGGATTTCAAAATATTTTCTCCCATTCCATAGGTTCCCTTTTCACTCTGTGGACTGTGTCCTTTGATGAGCAAAAGTTTTTGAGTTTGATGTAGTTCCATTTGTCTTTTTTTTCTTTTGTTGCTCGTGCTTTTGGTGTCATATCCAAAGGAAGAAATCATTATCTAATATTTATCATTATCCAGTGATATCCACTAAATCATTGCCAAATCCAACATCATGAAGCTTTTCCCCTATGTTTTCTTCTAGGAGTTTTATAGGTCTAGGCCTCATGTTTAGATCTTTAATCCATTTTGAGTCCATTTTTTTTTTTTTTTTTTTTTTTTTGAGACGGAGTCTCCCTGTCACCCAGGCTGGAGTGCAGTGGCGCGATCTCGGCTCACTGCAGGCTCCGCCCCCCGGGGTTCACGCCATTCTCCTGCCTCAGCCTCCCGAGTAGCTGGGACTACAGGCGCCCGCTACCTCGCCCGGCTAATTTTTTGTATTTTTAGTAGAGACGGGGTTTCACTGTGTTAGCCAGGATGGTCTCGATCTCCTGACCTCGTGATCCACCCGCCTCGGCCTCCCAAAGTGCTGGGATAACAGGCGTGAGCCACCGCGCCCGGCCTTGAGTCCATTTTTGTATATGGTATAAGATAAAGGTCCAACTTTATTCTTTTGCATGTGGACATCTAGTTTTCTCTTTCTTTCTTTTTTTCTGTTTTTTTTTTTTGACAGAGTCTCGCTCTGTCGCCCAGGCTGGAGTGCAGTGGCATGATCTAGGTTCACTGCAACCTCCACCTCCTGGGTTCAAGTGATTCTCCTGCCTCAGCCTCCTATGTAGCTGGGATTACAGGCATGTGCCACCACGCCCGGCTAACTTTTGTATTTTTATTAGAGACGGGGTTTCACCATGTTGGCCAGGCTGGTCTCAAACTCCTGACCTCAGGTGATCCGCCTGTCTTGGCCTCCCAAGGTGCTGGGATTACAAGCGTGAGCCACCGCGCCTGGCCTGACATCCAGTTTTCTTGACACTATTTGTTAAGGAGTCTGTCCTTTCCCTATTGAGTATGGCTGGAAGCCTTGTTGAAAATCATTTGACCATATGAGAGGGTTTATTTCTGAGTTCTCTATTTTCTTCCACTAGTCTCTATATCTGTCTTTATGCCAGTACCAGTCTATTTTGATTACCATACCTTTGCAGAAAATTTTTAAATCAGAAAATATGAGACTTCTAACTTTCTTCTTTTTCAAGATTGTTTTGGCTATTTGGTGGTTCCTTGAGATTCTACATGAATTTTAAGATGGACTTTTCTATTTTTGCAAAAAAAAATGTCATTGGGATTTTGATAGGAATTGCATTGCATCTGTAGATCACTTTGGGTAATATTGACATCCTAACAATACCAAGTCTTCCATGAACACCAGATGTCTTTCCATTTACTTATTTCTTTCAACAACATTTCATAGTTTTCAGTATACAAGTCTTTTGGGGGGCCACTTTAAACAGTGAAATCATCTACATGGAAAGCACAACATATAAACAATGTGGCAATAACTAGACCAAAAATAGGACACTTATTTACATTAGAAGAGCTGAAACAAAGAAGACAGGCATTGCCTTATTTCTTCTGATTGGATTGTGAACCTCAAGGGACTCAAAGATTTTGCTGCTCTGAGCATGTTCACAAATAATTACAGAATTACCATATAGATTTTGGAGTTACAAATAAATTGTAGCAAGTAGGTGACTTTACAAATATAGAATCTGTAAATAATGAGAATAAAGTGTATACAGAAGTAAAGTAAAAGGCAACAATAGCACAGAAACTGGGAGAGAAAAATGGAAGCACACTGTTGTAAGGCTTTTATATAATAGGCCAAATTCTTCTACAAAAGGTGGTCTAGGCCAGGTGTGGTGGCTCACGCTTGTAATCCCAGCACTTTGGGAGGCTGAGTTGGGTGGATCATTTGAGATCAGGAGCTCGAGATCAGCCTGGCCAACATGGTGAAACCCTGTCTCTACTAAAAATACAAAAATTAGCTGGGCGTGGTGGCACAGACCTGTAATCCCAGCTACTTGGGAGCTGAGGCAGGAGAATCACTTGAACCCGGGAGGCAGAGGTTGCAGTGAGCCAAGATTGCACCACTGCACTCCAGCCTGGGCAAGAGAGCAAGACTCCGTCTCGATTAAAAAATAAATCAATAAAAAGGTAGTCTAATATTATTTGAAAAGAGACTGATAAGTTAAGAAGGTACACTGTAGACTTTGCAGGGTGTAGTTGTGTGTACCCATAGTCCCAGCTACTTGAGAGGCTGAGGTGGGAAGATCGCTTGAGCTCTGGAATTCCAGGCTGCAGTGAGCTGCGATTGCACCACTGCACTGCAGTCTGGGTGATGGAAGTGAGATCATGTCTGTAAAAAAGAAAGAGAAAAAAGAACAAGTGAGGAATGTACACTGTAGACCCCAAAGCCACAAACCCAGACAAAAGAGAACAAATAAAAAGAGATACAACCAATAAGCTAATAAAGACTATAAAATGAAATATTAAAAAGTAGTGCTAGTGAGAGATAAAGAATTAAAGGAACTAAAAAGTCCACTAATGAAAGCGTAATGACTGAAGCAAGAAATAGACCAAATGTGAAGTGTTGGTTTATATTCTGAGCATATTAGGAGAAAGGCAAACTGGAATCTATTCTGGGGAAAATAGCCAGGACATGCAGTCTTGTTGCTTTTGCCCCCTGCTTGTCTCTCCAAAGATGATGATGAGCTCATCTCCTCTTTTTTCAATCCTAATGACCAAGAGCTTATATTATTGAGAAGTAACGGTTCTGAGATATGGCAATTGTTAGTCAAGGAAACAATTCTTCCAAGTGTGATTAGTTTGTGATAATTAGCTGGTGTTACTATGTCGAAATGATTTGAACTGTTTTAGTAAACTATGCAGGGCTACTGAGCAATGCAAACACAGTTTTATGATTGTAAGTAAACTTTAAAAAATTACTCCTGGATATATATCCAGAGTCAATGTGGATAGCCTTGCTAAAGAGATGAAGATTATGTTAGTATTTGTAAAAACCTCAAAGAATCCAAAGATATCTTTAAAGAAACATATATATATTATTTTCTTTTGAGACAGGATCTCACTGTGTCCCCCAGGCTGGAGTGCAGTGGCATGATCATGGCTCACTTCAGCCTTAAGCTCCTGGGCTCAAGCGATTCTTCTACCTCAGTCTTCTGAGTAGCTGGGACTACAGGCACGTGCCAACATGATCGGGTAATTTTTTTGTTTTGTTTTGTTTTGTTTTTTGTATTTTTTGTAGGGACGGCATTTTACCATGTTGCCCATGCTGGTCTTGAACTGCTGAGCCCAAGCAATCCACCTGCCTCAGCCTCCCAAGGTGCTGAGATTACAGGTGTGAGCTACCACACCTGGCCAAGAAACCACATTTTTTTAAAAATCTGGAAATATAGTCACCTGTGTATTGAGAAGAAGCTTACCAAGATGAGGTTTTATTTATTTAATTAATTAATTTATTGTTTTTGAGATGAGGTCTCACTCTGTCACCCAGGCTGAGGTATAGAGGCATTATCACAGCTCACTGCAGCCTCAATCTCCCAGGCTCAAGCAATTCTTCCACCTCAGCCTCCTAAGTAGCTGGGAATGCAGGCAAGCACCACCATGCCCAGTTACTTTTTAAATTATTATTATTTTGTTTTGTAGAGACAGGGTCTTGCTATGTTGCCCAAGCTGGTCTTGAATGTCTAGGCTCAAGCAATCCTCCTGCCTCAGCCTCCCAGAGTGCTGGGATTACAGGTGTGAGCCACCATGCCCAGCCCCAACAATTGTATATATGAGTTACAGTTGATCTAAAATTTCACCAACTCTGTAGACTCAGGCTTCTTAACTTTTGGCAATCCAGTGGGTGTAAAATATAATTCCTTATGGTCTTATTTTGCTAATTACTAGTGAGTTTGAGGAACTTTCATATCTCTTTTCACCATTCATATTTTCTCTTTTGTGAGATGCCTGCTCATACTTCCTGTCCAGAACTATATTGCATCATGTGTGTTTTACTGATTTACTGTTTTATGGATTACTAATTTTTTGGACTTTGGATATTCTGGATACTAACCCTTCAATGATTATAAGTGTAGCAAATAGCTTCTTTATTTCTCTATGGTGCCTTTTAAAGAACAAAAGTTCTTTTTTTTTTTCTTTTTTTGAGACAGAGTCTCACTCTGTCACCCAGGGTGCAGTGCAGTGGCGTGATCTTGGCTCACTGCAACCTCCACCTCCTGGGTTCAAGTGATTCTTGTGCCTCAGCCTCCTGAGTAGCTGGGATTACAGGCGTGCACCACCATACTCAGTTTTTGTATTTTTTAGTAGAGATGGGGTTTCACCATGTTGGCCAGGCTGATCTCAAACTCCTGGCCTCAAGTGATCCGCCCGTCTCCGCCTCACAAGTGCTGGGATTACAGGCGTGAGCCACCGTGCCTGGCTAAAAGTTCTTAATTTTAATGTAGCTGAATTTATCTGTGCCTTTCAATCTTGTTTAAGAAATACTTCCCTACCTTAAGGTTATAAAAATATTATCCTATAACGTTCTCTAAGAGAATTCAAGTTTTGTATATAATACAGCAGAGACTGCTTCTGTGTATGATATATAAGTATATGATTTTCTTTGTTTTTTTTCATAACCTATTGTCCCAACACCATTTACTGAATAGTTCACCATTTTTGTCATAAATCAAGTGTCCACGTAAGTGTGGGCCTTTTTTTTCAGGCTTTCAATTTTGTTCAGATGATTACTTTGTCTATCTGAACTGATACTAAGCTGTGTTAAGTACTATGTCATCTATGATAAGTCTTGCTATCTGACAGGGCATGTCCTCACTCATGTTTTTTGTTGTTGTTGTTCTTCAGGGCTATTTTAATTATTTTGGGGTCTTTTATCTGTTACATAAATTTTAGAGTCAGCTTAAGTTACTCAAATACTCCTTTTGGGATTTTTATAGGAAAAGCATTGAGTCTGTAGGTAAATGTGGGGGATGTTGTGAAGTGTAGTGTGTAATTGTATAATTATATACATTGTATAATACTAAGTGTTCTCTCATCAATGCAGTGTGTTTCTCCTTTGTAGTCTTCTTCATATCTTTTATTTCTAGGTACTTATATTTATTACTGCTATTGTAAGTTTTATCTTTTGAAATTTTGAAATCATTTTATACTCCTAAAGGTGTAAAAATAGCATAAAGAATTCCCAAATATCCCCTTCACTAAGATTCTCCAAATGTTAACATTTTATCTTATTTGCTTCTCTCTCTCTTTAAATATATATGTGTGTACACATATATTTATTTATGTATTTTTTTTCTTAAATGTTTGAAGTTAAGTTACAGATTTATAGTACTCTTAAGTACTTTACCTCTAAATACTTCACAATGCATTTCCTAAAATTAGATAGTTTTTCTGGGTATACAATTTAAGATTGACAGAATTTTTTCTCAACACTTTGAAGATATTATTCCACTATCTCCTGCCTTCCCACATTATGAAAAAGTCTGTTATCACTCTAATTGTCATTCCATTATTGGTAATCTATTTTATCTCAGTAGTTGCATTCTGTGTGTGTGAGGGGAGTGGTAGGGAGGGGCATTGGTGTTTTGTATTTCACAGAAATATGTTTAAGTGTAGATTTCTTTCTATTTGTTTTCCTTGGTATTCATTTTCCATCTGTATCTGTGGATCAATGTCATACATTGCTTCTGGAAAATTCTCAGCCATAATAGCTTCAAATTTTTTTTTCTTGAGACAGAGTCTCGCTCTGTCACCCAGGCTGGAGTGCAGTGGCGCGATCTCGGCTCACTGCAACCTCCGCCTCCCAGGTTCAAGCAATTCTCCTGCCTCAGCCTCCTGAGTAGCTTGGATTACAGGTGCCTGCCACCATGCCCAGCTAATTTTTGTATTTTTAGTACAGACAGGGTTTCACCATGTTGGTCAGGCTGGTCTCGAACCTCTGACCATGTGATCCACCCACCTCAGCCTCCCAAAGTGCTGGGATTACAGGCGTGAGCCACCGTGCCTGGCAAATAGCTTCAAATATTGCCACTTCTCAGTCTTATCTGTTCTCTACTTCTGGATTTGAATTAGATATATACACTTCTATCTCTTATCATACTATCCATTTGGGAGTGAGAGGGCTGTATTCTGGATAATTTATTCTACCCAACTTCCAGTTTACTAATTCTGTTTTAAGCTGTATCTAATTTTTATCCATATATTCAAATTTTTACTTCAACAATTTTTAAAAACTAAAAATTCACTTTGGCTTCTTCTAAAGTCTGGCCACTTTGGATAATCTTTTATTCCTCATATTTGTGTTTCTGTAATTTATTGCTTTATGACTCCTATTTATTTCTTCTTGTTTGTTTTCTTTTTCTTCCACATCAGATGGATAACGTACTGACATCATAACAAGGTTTGAGGGAAGCACATCTCACACATAAACATGAAAACCCAATCATCGCATTTATGAACTACAAAAAAGATCTCCTATTTATTTAAAACATCTTATACATAATTAAAATAATTAAGGGTGTCCAAATCTGTTGTTTGTGATTTCAGCTGGCTCTCACTCAGAAGAAACTCATTAACACGTATGCTTGGCAGTCAGATTTCATTAACCTTAACTTGTAGAAAATCCGTCGAATGAAACTGTGAGCGGAATAGCTTCTGCTAGGAGTCACTTTTGTTCCCTTTCTTTAATCAGGAAAGCTCAGCTTCAGCTTCTATTTTTTTTCTATTGACCCAAAATTTGAACTCTACATTGCAGAGCTGATATCACATATGCCTGCAGGACAAGCTGACTTTTTAAGCATCTTAGGACTTCTATTCTGGTGTCAGTTCAAGGTTTGGACCTACTGTCAGAGGTTTACCTTATTTCCTGGAAGCCCAGCAATAAACATTTTGTTTTGTGCAGGATCTCATTATTTTGTAGTAGGGAATTCCTTTAGACTATTTTGTCTACCACGTCAGTTTTGTTTTTTTTTTCTTTCTTCAGCTGAGGAAGATTTTTTTCCCCACTTTTTTTTTTTTTTTTTTTTTTTTGAGACAATTTCACTCTTGTTGCCCAGGCTGGAGTGCAATGGTGCGATCTCAGCTCACTGTAACCTCCGGCTCCCGGGTTCAAGCGATTTTCCTGCCTCAGCCTCCTGAGTTGCTGGGACTACAGGCATGTGCCACCACGCCCAGCTAATTTTGTATTTTTAGTAGAAATGGGGTTTCTCCATGTTGGTCAGGCTGGTCTTGAACTTCCGACCTCAGGTGATCCACCCACCTCGGACTCCCAAAGTGCTGGGATTACAGGCGTGAGCCACTGAGCCCGGTCTGGTTATTACTTCTTATGTTAAATGGTCAAACTTATCTTAAAGGTATTATGGTCAGAATGGCATGTATTGGTTCGACAGCTGTCAAGTAGATCTGTAAATAGAATAGAGATTGTAGGAACATATTTAGGTATTTGTTAGGACTTAATATATGACAAAGATGGCACTGCAATCATTGATAAAGTATGGTTTATGTAATAAATAGTGTAACATAATTGGTTATGTATATGAAAGTAAGAGGTTTCCTTCCTCATTCCATATAGATAGGTAAGTTTTATCTTTAAAATTCACTTAAATGTAAAAACAAACCTATACAAATATATGAAAAAATGGAGAAAAGTGTTTTTATAGCGTCATGGTGGAGTTGACCTTAAGCAATGTGGGAAATTCAGAAACAACAACTGAATGTTGGCAGAATTGACTACTATCTCATGTTTAAGAATTTATCCTATACGAAAAAGTCAGTTAACAATGACCAAAGAGTCCAGTCTTAAGGATGGATGAGAATAGGCTGGGCGCGGTGGCTCACGCCTGTAATCCCAGCACTTTGGGAGGCCGAGGCGAGCGGATCACAAGGTCAGGAGATTGAGACCATCCTGGCTAACACGGTGAAACCCCGTCTCTACTAAAAATACAAAAAATTAGCTGGGCGTGATGGCCGGCGCCTGTGATCCCAGCTACTAGGGAGGCTGAGGCAGGAGAATGGCGTGAACCCGGAAGGCGGAGCTTGCAGTGAGCCGAGATCGCGCCACTGCACTCCAGCCTGGGCAACAGGGCGAGACTACATCTCAGAAAAAAAACAAAAACAAAAACAAAAACAAAAAGATGAATGAGAATAATGATCTGGATTCTGTTTAAGTCTGCTTAAACTAAGTTACCTTGAAGGTCTATGTAAGATAAAAATGCAAGTAGGTAGATGTGGTTTCCCATTGCCTCCTTTGTCTTTTTATGGAAAAGTCTCCAAAGGTCAGAGATGCTAACAATTAGTTGTTAGCATAGATATAGAATGAGATGTCTGCCTGGTGAGAGAATCACAACAATGTAGAATTTAGGTCTTTTATATCCTCAAGAAGGTCAGCTCCCAAAATTATACTTACTATTGTAAAAAGTAACCATCCTTGGAAAGGCACATCATCCCCGAACCAAATGGCTGCATTCTAGAACATGTAATTCTTGCTGTATTGTCATTGAAACAATATTTCCTCATCTGTTCTCATGCGGAAGAATTTTTTTTTTAATTTTCCTTACTTTGGGGCTTTCCATGGGCTACCCTCCCTTGGCCTAGCCAGCCAGTACATAAGGTAATACACAAAAAATCCTGGCATAGTGACTGGTACACAATAAATGTTTGGTAACTTTTAGCATTATAATTAGACTTGTTACAGACAACATGCACTACTTTTGTAATTAGAAAAAAAGCCCCCTAAATAGAAAAATAGAGGAAAGAAATACTAAAAAAAGTTTAATATGTTTGCACATTGACACTGTAATTCCAGTTCTAAAAATTGTTCTTCAGAAAGAATCACACAAGTACAAAGATGTGCATAAAAGGTTGATTGTATCAGCATTGTTTGCTATAGGAAAAATTATAAACAGCCTAAAAGTTCAGGCATTGGTTAAATAATGTATAATATATTAATTATATAGAATACAATGTAATCTTATATATACACACTAAATGTGATACTAAAGTAAAAAATATACATGCAGAACATTACTTTAATCATTTAATCAATGAATATTTATTGAATGATTACTATGCATTAGACACTGCCAAAAATTAGGGATATAATGTTAAAGAAAACAGACAAACCCTCATGAAGCTTATATATACATATCAACAGCAGTGGTGGCCTTTGCTTTGTAGAATTGGGGCTGGAAGGAAGTGGATTTTGTAAATTTTTACGCTTCCTTTTTTTTTGAGATGCAGTCTCACTCTGTCACCGAGGCTGGAGTGCAGTGGTGTGACCTCAGCTCACTGCAACCTCTGCCTCCCCGGTTCAAGCGATTCTTCTGCCTCAGTCTCCTGAGTAGCTGGGACTACAGGTGTGCGCCACCACGCCCAGCTAATTTTTGTATTTTAGTAGAGACAGGGTTTCGCCATATTGGCCAGGTTGGTCTCGAACTCCTGAGCTTGTGATCCGCCCACGTTGGCCTCCCAAAGTGCTTGGATTACAGGTGTGAACCACCACGCCTGGCCATTTTTACTCTTTTTACTTTTTATACTTAGCTTATACAACATTGTATTGTAAGACATTTTCTAGAATGATTGTATAATTTAAAACCCAATAGATTTTTTTTTTTTTTTTGGAAGCAGAGTTTTGCTCTACGGCCCAGGCTAGAGTGCAGTGGCATGATCTCGGCTCACTGCAACCTCCACCTCCTGGGTTCAAGCGATTCTCCTGCCTCAGCCTCCCGAGTAGCTGGGATTACAGGAACAAGCCACCATGCCCAGCTAACTTTTGTATTTTTATTAGAGATAGGGTTTCACCATGTTGGCCAGGCTTGTCCCAAACTCCTGACCTCAAGTGATCCACCTGCCTTGGCCTCCTAAAGTGCTGGGATTATAGGCATGAGCCACGGTGCCTGGCCCCAGTAGATATATTTTTTAAAATTTTAGTTATTATTTCTGTCTGAGTCTGTCTGTGCTGCTATAACAGAATACTATAAATGAGTAATTGATAAAGAGTGTAAATTTATTTCTTACAGTTCCAAAGGTGGGAAAGTTCAAGATCAAGGCACCAGCATTGGTATTTTGTGAGGGCTGCTGTCTGCTCCCAAGACGTCACCATGTTGCTGTGTTCTCAAGTGGTGGAAGGCGGAAGAGCAAGAGAGCAAAAAGGACCTAAGCTAGTTCACTCCATTCATGAGGGCAGATCCCCCAGGACCTAATCACTTCCCAGGAGGTCCCAGCTCTTCTCAGGCCATCCTCCTACCTTGGCCTCCCAAAGCACTGGGATTACAGATATGAACCACCACGCCTGGCCACTGGTAGTTAATTTCTTTTTTTAAAAAAATTATTATGTTAAAACTTTTGTGGGTACATAGTAACTGTATATATTTATGGGGTACATGACATAGGCATGCGATAAGCAATAATCACATCATGGAAAATGAGGTATCCATCCCCTCAAGCATTTATCCTTTGTATTACAGACAATCCAATTACACTCTTAGATATTTTTAAATGTACAGTTAAATATCATTGACTATAATCACTCTTTTGTGCTATCAAATACTAGGTCTTACTCATTCTTTCTAACTGTATACACTTTTTGTTCCCACTAACCATCCGCAGGCTGGGCGGAGTGGCTCACTCCTGTAATCCCAGCACTTTGGGAGGCCCAGGCAGGCAGATCACTTGAGGCCAAGAATTCAAGACCAGCCTGGCCAACATGGCGAAATCTTATCTCTGCTAAAAATACAAAAATTAGCAGGTGTAGTGGTGGGTGCCTGTAACCCCAGCTACTTGGGACACTGAGGCATGAGAACTGCTCGAAGCTGGGAGGTGGAGGCTGCAGTGAGCCAAGATCATGCCACTGCACTCCAGCCTGTGACAGTGTGTGACTCTGTCTCAAAACAAAAACAAAAACCATCTCCGCTTACCCCCAACCCCTCACTACCCTTCCCAGCCTCTGGTAACTATCCTTCTACTCTCTATCTCCACAAGTTCAATTGTACTGATTTTTACCACCCACAAATAAGTAAGAACATGTGAAGTTTGTCTTTCTGTGTCTGACTTATTTCACTTAAGATAATGACCCCCAGTTCCACACATGTTGTTACAAATGACAGAATCTCATTCTTTTCATGGCTGCATAGTACTCCATTGTACATATGTATCATATTTTCTTTATCCAGTGATATGTTGATGAACATTTAGGTTCCTTCCAAATCTTGGCTATTGTGAACAATGCTGCAACAAACATGGAGGTGATAGCTGACATACTGATTTCCTTTCTTTTGGGTATATACCCAGCAGTGGGATTGCTGGATCGCATGATAGCTCTATTTTTAGGTTTTTTTTGAGGAACCTCCAAACTGTTGTCTATAATGGCTATACTAATTTATATTCTCACCAACAGTGTATGAGGGTTCCCTTTCCTCCACATCCTCACCAGCATTTGTTATTGCCTGTCTTTTGGAGATAAGCCATTTTAACTGGAGTGAAATGATATCTCACTGTAGTTTTGATTTGCATTTCTCTGATGATCAATGATGTTGAGCACATTTTTATATGCCTGTTTGCCATTTGCATGGCTTCTTTGGAGAAATGACTATTCAAATCTTTTGCCCATTTTTAAATCAGATTATTAAATTTTTCCTACAGAGAGGTTTGAGCTCCTTATATATTCTCGTTATTAATCTCTTGTCAGATGAGTAGTTTGCAAATATTTTTTTCCCATTCTGTGGGTTGTCTCTTGATTTTGTTGATTGTTTCCTTGGCTGTGCAGAAGCTTTTTAACTTGATGTGATCCCATTTGTCCATTTTTGTTTGGTTGCCTATGCTTGTGGGGTATTACTCAAGAATTTTTTGCCCAGACCAATGTCCTGGAGAGTTTCCTCAGTGTTTTCCTGTAGTAATTTCATAGTTTGAGGTCTTAAGATCAAGTCTTTAATCCATTTTAATTTGATTTTTGTATATGATGAGTCGTAGGGGTCTAGTTTTATTTTTCTGTATATGGATATCCAGTTTTCCCAGCACCATTTATTTAAGAGACTGTCCTTGCTCCAATGTATATTCTTGGCACCTTTGTCAAAAATGAGTTAACTGTAGGTGTATAGATTTGTTTCTGGCTTCTTTATTCTGTTCAATTGGTCTATGTGTCTGTTTTTATGCCAGTACCATGCTGTTTTGATTACTATAGCTTTGTAATATAATTTGAAGTCAGGTAATGTGATTTTTCCAGTTTCATTCTTTTTGCTCAGGATAGCTTTGGTGAGTCTGGGTCTTTGTGGTTCCATATAAATTTTAGCGTTGTTTTTTCTATTCCTGTGAAGAATGTCATTGGTATTTTGATAGGGATTGTATTTAATCTGTAGACCGCCTTGGGTAGAATGGACATTTTAACAATAATGATTCTTCCAATACATGAATATGGAATATATTTCTATTTTTAAGTGTCCTCTTCCATTCCTTTCATCAGTGTTTTATAGTTTTTATTGTAGAGATCTTTCACATCTTTGGTTAACTCCTGGGCATTTAATTTTATTTGTGGCTATTGTAAATGGGATTCCATTTTTGATTCTTTTTCAGATTGTTCACTGTTGGCATATAGAAATGCTACAAATTTTTCTATGTTGATTTTGTAACCTGTAACTTTACTGAATTTGTTTATTAGTTCTAATAGTTTTTTGGTGGAGTCTTTAGGTTTTTTTTTAAATATAAGATCATATCATCTACATACAAGGATAATTTGACTTCTTTCTTTCCAATTTGGAGGCCCTTTATCTTTCTCTTGTTTAATTTTTCCATTTAGGACTTCCAGTACTTTCCATTGTTGAAAGTGGACATACTTGTGCTCCAGATCTTAGAGAAAGGCTTCCAGTTTTTCCCCATGCAGTATGATACTAGCTGTGAGTCTGTCATATATGGCTTTTATTATGTTGAGGTATGTTCCTTCTATTTCCAGTTTTTGGAGGGTTTTTATCATGAAGAGATGTTGAATTCTATCTAATGCTTTCTCAGCATCGATTGAAATGATCACATGGTTTTTGTCTTTCATTCTGTTGATATGATGTGTTATATCACATTGATTGGTTTGCGTATGTTTGACCATTCTTGCATCCCTGGGATAAATCTTACTTCATCATGATGAATGAATAATCTTTTTAGTGTATTGCTGAATTAGCTTGCTCATATTTTGTTGAGGATTTTTGCAAAAATATTCTTTAGAGGTATTGGCCTGTAGTTTTCTTTTTTTGATGTGTCTTTGTCTGGTTTTGGTATCAGGATGATACTGGCCTTGTAGAATGAGTTTGGAAGTATTTCCCTCTCCTCTATTTTTTCAGTTCATTTTGAGCAGGATTGGTATTATTTCTTCTTTAAATGTTTGCTAGAATTCAGCAGAGAAGCTATTAGGTTCTGGGCTTCTCTTTGCTGGGAGACCTTTTAATTACGGCTTTGATCTCATTATTTGTTATTGGTCTGTTCAGGTTTTGGATTTCCTCATGGTTCAATCTTGGTAGGTAGGTTGTATGTGTCTAGGAATTTATCCATTTCCTCTAGACTTTCCAATGTGTTGGCATACAGTTGCTCATAGTAGCCACTAATGATCCGTTGAATTTCTGTGATATCAGTTGTAATGCCTCCTTTTTCATCTCTGATTTTATTTATTTTGTCTTCTTTCTTTTTATCTTTTAGTCTGGATAATGATTTGCCGATTTTATATTTTCAAAAAACCAACTTTTTGTTCTGTCAATTTTTTGTATTTTTCGTTCATTTTAAATTCATTCATTTCTGCTCTGATTTTTTTTTTTTTTTTTTTTTTTTTTTTTTTTTTTTTAGATAGAATCTGGCTGTGTCACTCAGGAGGCACAGAGGTGTGATTTTGGCTCAGTGCAACCTCCACCTCCTGGGTTCAAGCTATTCTCCTGCCTCAGCCTCTTGTGTAGCTGGGATTACAAGTGCACGTCACCATACCCAGCTAATTTTTGTATTTTTAGTAGAGACTGGGTTTCACCATGTTGGCCAGGCTGGTCTTGAACTCCTAGCTGGGATTACAGGTGTGAGCCACCAAGCCCGGCCCATACATTACATTTTAAAAAAACTGCATCTGAATTTCTGCTCTATACTCTACATTTTATTTGAATGTCCTCTGATCAAAAAGTTACCAGATTTATTAAAAATACCTTAAAAATTATATCTTTTTACACTATCTTCCTCAGAATTTGGCAGATTAAAACAAACATTCACAAATTATTGAGAGTAAACTGTTTCTCAACAATTGAAATGTGTAGTCCTTGTAGCTACACATTTTGACTATGTCCTTCATATGATTTAAATTTCCTTTGCACAATTTCTTAGAGGTTTGAGAATTTCTCAATAGAATAAAAGAAAAGCACAAGTCCTCTACCCATTGAAAAAATTTTTTGAGAAATGCTATCAGGTTGATAGACTTTATGAATTCAAAAATTTGGAAAACTTTTCTATATGTCTAAGCAGCAATTTAGTTTTTCATACATGTGTGTATGTGTGTGTGTATACACATATATATGTTACCTTCTGGACACAGCATTCAAACAATAATTTCTAGGAGAGAATTGTAGGTAAGAGCTAAAGGATGTGTACTCAGGAAGCCAGTAATGGCGTGTGGTGCCTGGGTTCCAAGCTAGCCTTTTTTTTTTTTTTTTTAATGATATGATCTTATTTTATTTTATTTTTTTATTTTTATTTTTTTAATTTTCTTATTTTATTTTATTATTATTATACTTTAAGTTTTAGGGTACATGTGCATAATGTGCAGGTTAGTTACATATGTATACATGTGCCATGCTGGTGTGCTGCACCCATTAACTCGTCATTTAGCATTAGGTATATCTCCTAATGCTATCCCTCCCCCCTACCCCCACCCCACAACAGTCCCCAGAGTGTGATGTTTCCCTTCCTGTGTCCATGTGTTCTCATTGTTCAATTCCCACCTATGAGTGAGAACATGCGGTGTTTGGTTTTTTGTTCTTGCAATAGTTTACTGAGAATGATGATTTCCAATTTCTTCCATGTCCCTACAAAGGACATGAACTCATCATTTTTTATGGCTGCATAGTATTCCATGGTGTATATGTGTCACATTTTCTTAATCCAGTCTATCATTGTTGGACATTTGGGTTGGTTCCAAGTCTTTGCTATTCTGAATAGTGCCGCAATAAACATACGTGTGCATGTGTCTTTATGGTAGCATGAATTATAGTCCTTTGGGTATATACCCAGTAATGGGATGGCTGGGTCAAATGGTATTTCTAGGTTGCCTTTTTTGAAAAAACGTAGTGTTGCCCATACATATGCAAATGATAATAAACCAATAATGTATTAACTGTAATCTACTAGAAAGATTTCACCAGCAATAAATGTTTGCTGTAGATACCTTTTGGGGGTAGATGCCTTTAAGATGTCAAAAAGAGTCACATTTTATCTTTGATTAAAGTGTTTCATAGAGTAATATGCCATGAGAGTGGCTAGAAGAGGACTATTACACATAGTGTGTTTGAGTAAAGAAAACATGATCTACTGATAATAAAATGTTAGAAAATAGACTATCATGATTTCAAGTTATACAGTTGCACTGCCTCTGACCTGAAGATGAGCAGCTGTAAAGGGATCTGATTTGAGAGAGGAAGGGACTAAGAGAGCTTCTGTTGCCTCCCATTTCACTTCTGCACCTGCCAGACCCTGATACCTTAAATGGGGAATGGGGAGATTTGCAGAGTACTACAGATACTGAGTACTGTCTATCAGCAGAGTTTGATACACTTAATGGAAATTCTACCTATTAAGTGATTATTCATTCATCTATTAGATAAATGAGAATGCTTTGCAGGAGGTAGGCACCTAGTAAGTGCCAGATGGCAACTTAAGTTTCAATACAGTCATGCGGAGCTTAACAACTGGGACACATTCTGAGAAACGCATCACTAGATTTTGTCATTGTGCAAAGATCGTAGCATGTACTTCCACAGACCTAGAAGGTATATATATTATTATTTATATATATTCTTCACATGGAAAACTAAATGCCCTATCACCATTATTGAATATCAATCTTTTCCCCCACTTAATGTGCAGTGCCAGTATCTTGTGCCAGGTATCAGGTTTCTATATGTGCTCCATTATAATCTTATGGTATCACCATCATACATGTGGTTCATCATTGACCAAAACATGGTTATGTGGCACATGACTGTATTTTGGAAGGATGGAGACTTTTGATATTCAGCATCTACTGCTATTCTCTTCACATGCTCTATTTTTTGCATTGATAGCTAAAAACTACAGTATCCAGGCTCCCTTGCAGCTAGGAGTTTAGATGTAGTCTCTGCCCTTGAGGCAGTTACATGACATTTGAAAATAGAAGAAAGTGAGGCACAGTGGCTAGGCTGGGCACGGTGGCTCACGCCTATAATCCTAACACTTTGGGAGGCTGAAGTAGGCAGATCACTTGAACTTAGGAGTCTGAGACCAGCCTTGGCAACATAGTGAGACCTTGTCAAAAAAGAAATAGAGAGAGAGAGAGAGAGAGAGAGAGAGAGAGAAAGAAAGAAAGAAAGAAAGAAAGAAAGAAAGAAAGAAAGAAGAAAGAAAGAAAAACAGAGAGAGAAAGAGAGAGAGAGGGGAGGGAGGGAGGGACGAAGGAAGGAAAAGAAAGCGGAAGAGAGGTGGAGGCCATTGTATTCCTGTGGAGGTGCAGGAGCACATGTAGGCTCCAATAGATGTGAGTGTGGGCAGTGCTGGGCAACATTGCCTATTCTACTGCCACAGTGGCTTCCTGACCTCTGGACCCCAGAAGTGGCAATGTATCACCTTGAAGCCAAAAGCCTAGTCCTAGTGACCAATTTTTGCTCCTTTCAAAACCATCTTTCAATGGTTTTGTAAGCATCTAACTTTCTCTACTAAGTTCCTTCCTGATTAAAATAGCTTTTTCCTGCACTAAACCCTGACAGGTACTAATTGGTGTAAGGTGAGGGATTCTACCCCTTTGTCTTTCTGCATACTGCAATAGGCCACGTAATCAATGGATCAGTCCTACTGTTGCAAATTCAATCAGTCTTAACTGTACTGCAGCATATCCTGATGAGCTCAAAGATGTCATACCCCACCATTTTAGTTCACTCAGGCTGCCATCACAAAATATCATAAACTGGGTCGCTTATAGATAACAGAAATTTTATTTCTCACAGTTCTGAAACTGGGAAGTCCAAGATTAAGGCAACAGCAGATTTGGTGTCTGGTTGAGGGCCACCTTCCTAATGGAGGGAAACTTCTCACTATGTCCTCACAAGGTGGAAGTAAGGGGTCTCAGGCCTATTTTATAAGGACACAAATCTCATTCATGAGGGTTCAACTTTTGTAATATAATCACCTCCTAAAGGCTTTGACCACCTAGTACCATTGCCTTAGGGATTAGGATTTCAACATTTGGATTTGGTGAGGGATGCAAATATTCAGAACACAGGACACACCATCTCCAAAGCCTAACTCATTGGTAGACTATGGCTGCTCAGTTTTCTCTAAGGTTAAAAAGAGTTTTATTTTGGCCAGAGCAATTAGGCAAGAGATAGAAATAAAGGGCTTCCAAATGGCAAAGGAAGAAGTCAACTCAGTCTGGTTCACAGATGACATAATTTTATTTTCATTTTTATTTTTTATTTTTTGAGACAGGGTCTCCCTCTCTGTCTCACCCAGGCTGGAGTACAGTGGTGTAACTGCACACCAGCCTCAACCTTCCAGGCTCAAGCAATCCTCCTGCCTCAGCCTCCTGAGTAGTTGGGACTACAGGCCCACACCATTATGTCTGGCTAATTTTTGTATTTTTCATAGAGATGGGATTTTGCCTTGTTGCCCAGGCTGGTCTCGAACTCCTGGGTTCAAGTGATCCACCCACTTTGGCCTCCCAAAGTACTAGGATTATAGGCATGAGCCACCATGCCTAGCCAATATAATCTTATACTTAGAAAAACCTAAAGACTTCACCTAAACATTGTTAGAAATAACAAAGTCAGTACAATTGTGGGATACAAAATCAACATACAAAAATCAGTAGCACTTACATAAGCTACTGTAAGTGGGCAGTAACAATCTGAAAAACAAATCAAAAAAGCAATCTCATTTACAATGGCTACAAAGAATATAAAATATCTAGGAACCAATATATCCATAGAAGTTAAAGATATATATATAAGGAAAACTATAAAGTACTGATTAAAGAAATTGAAGAGGACACAAAGAGTGGAAAGATGTTCCAGGCTCATGAATTGAAATCATTAATATTATGAAAATGATAATCTTACTCCAAACAATTTATAGATCCAATGCAATCTCAATCAAAATACCAATGACATTCTTCACAGAAATAGAAACAAAATCCTAAAATTTACATGAAACCACAAAAGACCTTACATAGGCAAAGCAGTCGTGAGCAAAATAAACCAAAGCTAGGCCAGGTGTGATGGCTTGAACCTGTAATCTCAGCACTTCGGCAGGCCAAGGCAGGAGGAATATTTCAGCCCAGAAGGTTGAGGCTGCCGTGAGCCATGATAGCACCACTGCACTCCAGCCAGAGTGACAGAGAAAGAACCTGCCTCTAAATTTTTTTTTTAATTAAAGAGAACAAAGCTGGAGGCATCACATTACCTGACTTCAAAATGTACTACAAAGCTATAGTAACCAAATCAGCATAGTACTGGCATAAAAACAAACACATACACCAGTGGAATAAAATAGGGAACCCAGATATAAATCCACACATTTACAGCCAACTCATTTTTGACAAAGGCACCAAGAACATACCTTAGGTAAAGGACAGTCTCTTCAATAAATGGTGCTGGGAAAACTGGATAACCATATGCAGAAGAATGAAACTAGACCCCTATTTCTTACCGTATACAACAGAACTAACCAAAATAGATTAAAGACTTAAATCTAAGACATGAAACTACTGGAAGAAAACATTGGGGAAACTCTCCAAGATATTGGTCTGGGCAAAGATTTTTGTGTAAGACCTCAAGAACACAGGCAACCAAAGCAACAATAGACAAATGAGATTATATCAAGCTGAAAAGCTTCTGCACAGCAAAAGAAACAAGCAACAGAGCAAAGAGACAACCCACAGAATGGGAGAAAATATTTACGGCTATCCACCTAACAAGAAATTAATAACCAGAATATATAAGGAGCTCAAACAACTCAATGGTAAAAAAAAAAAAAAATTAAATTAAATTAAATTTAAAAACCCACACAAATGATTCAATTGTTTTAATGGGCAAGCAATCTGAATAGACATTTCTCAAAAAAAAATACATACATATAGCCAACAGGTATATAAAAAAATGTTCAACATCACTCATTATCAGAGAAATGCAAATCAAAACCACAATGAATTATCACAAGTCAGTTAAAATGGCTTTTATTAAAAAGACAGGGAATATCAGACTCTGTTGAGAATGTGGAGAAAGAGGAACACTCATACACTGGTGGTGAGAATGTAAATTAGTACGGCTATTATGGAAAACTATATAGAGGTTTCTCAAATAACTAAAAACTGCTATATGATCCAGCAATTTCACTACTGGGTATATATACAAAAGAAGCAAAATCAATATGTCAAAGGGATATCTGCACTTTCATGTTTACTGGAGCACTATTCACAATAACCAAACTATGGAATCAACCTAAGTACCCATCATTGGGCGAAAGGATAAAGAAAATGTGGTATATATACACAATGGAATATTGTTAATCTATAAAACAGAATGACATCCTGTCATTTGTAGGAACTTGGATGGAACTAGAGGTTACTATGTTAAGCAAAATAAGCCAAGCACAGAAAGGCAAATATCACATGTTCTCATTCTTATGTGGGAGCTTAAAAAGTGGATCTCATGAAGATGAAAATAAATTTGTCATTACCAGAGGCCAGGAAGGGTGAGGGGAATGAAGAAAGCTGGGTTAATGGGTACAAATATACAGTCTGATAGAAGAAATAGGATCTAGTGTTTGCTAGATCAGTAGAGTGACTATATTTGTAAACTATAGCTTACAATAGTTTATTGCATATTTCAAAATAGCTAGAAAACAATAATGCAAGTGTTTCTAGCATAAATAAAAGACAAATATTTAAGGTAATGGATATCTCAATTACACTGATTTGATCTTTACAAATAATATAAATGTATTAAATTATCACATATGCCCCAAATGTACATTTTTAAAAATTAAAAATTAAGAGAAAAGTTTAATTTTCAAAAACAAAAATATTACTGACACAATTATGTATAAGAATGCATCAACAGGCAGTTCAAAAAAGTGGAAATAGAAATGGTCAATAAACATATGCAAAAACACAGCCTCATTAAAAATGGCAAAATGCAAATTTTTATTAAAATGAAGTAACACTTATTAGATATATCGGCAAGAAAAAAAAAATCAAGTTTGGGCCAAATGCAGTGGCTTATGTCTGTAATCCCAACACTTTAGGAGGCTGAGGTGGGCAGATTGCTTGAGCTGAGGAGTTTGAGACCAGCCTGGGCAACACGGCAAAACCCCATCTCTGCAAAAAAATACAAAAATTAGCTGGACATAGTGGTGCATACCTGTAGTCCCGGCTCCTTGGAAAGCTGAGGTGGGAAGATCACTTGAACCTGGAAGATTGAGGCTGCAGTGAGCAGTGATCGCACCACTGCACTCCAGCCTGGGTGACAGAGCAAGACCCTGTGTCAAATAAATAAATAAATAATCAAGTTTGATATTATCAAATACTGGCAAGACCATGGATAAAATAGATATTTCATGCTCTGCTGGTGGGAATATATATTGGTGCAGTAACCTGTAAGCGGAATTTGACAGATTCTACTGAAATGTTTAAAATGCACACTCAATGACTGCATTTTAACCTCCATGCACACAAGGAAAAATGTACAAGCATATTCATTGGACCATTGTTTAAAATAGGAAGAGATGTTAAGCTTAAAATGTCCATCAATAAATGACCACCTAAATAAACCAGGTCCAACTTTGAAAAACTAGGCAGCTATTAATAAGGATGAGATGGAGCCATGTATTCTTATCTGGGAAGATCTCCAAATTCCATTGGTAGGTGTAAAAAGCAAGTTGCAGAAGGATTCATCAGGCATGCCATTTTCTTAAAAGCATATTTTCTACTATATATATTTAATAAGCACATATTTATCCATTGAAGTACATTAGAAGTGGCCTGAAAGAATACACACTAAGCAATAATTACCACTGGAGAATACAGGAAGGGTAGCAACATGCTGTGAGCCTCATTTCTTACATTTTACAAAATTGAAAAGCCAGTTAAGTAGAGGTCGGATAAGAGAGTTTCTGTTTGCATAGCCTATGCCAGAGGTTTTCAAATGCTAAATATGGTCCTAAAATTATTCAGGAAGATAAAGATAAAGATACAGATTTTAGACCACCACCTCCAGGAACTTTGACTTATGTACATATAAAGCAAAGCCTAGGAATGAAATGTTTAAAAAGCTTCCCTGGTAAGTATAAAGTGATTGGAGCCATGCTGAAGGTCACTGTTCCCAGCCCAGCTAAAATTAATTCAACACATAGAAGAGCAGAGAAGCAAGGATAAGACATTGGCTATATGTGCGTGCCTTCTACTAGGGTAGAAATACCCAGTGCTATTGCTAGAAAGCACAGACTTGACTTACCAATTACTAATAAAGCCATTCTCACAGGGTTAATAAGAATTTTGGACAGAAATATAGCTATAATTAAGCATTAATCATGCTATATTTTGACCCACTTCTTTGTAACCAAAAGTCACATAGCACTAGATACTCACAATTTGCAACCCTGTTTTTCCTATAGATAGGATTTCTGACATTAGATTCATAAGACTTGTTTAAGAATTGCTTAAGCAGACTCTGAATTCCAGTGGAATGGCTGATGCCAACCAGTTTGAAGACCCCCACAGCAGAACTGAATCAGCATGAAAACACATTTTTTCATCTTCCTGGGCCATGATTTCACCCTGCACTCTTCGACCAATCAATATCTCCACACTTCAGCCAACTCCAAAACCCTTAACAATCCTAGCCCCAAATTTCTCAGGGAGATGGATTTTAGGTTTACTCTCATTTCCTCATTCAGCAACCCTTCGCTTAAACCTCTTTCTCTGCTGCAATCCAATATATCAGCACGTTGACTTGCTGTGCACATTGGGTAATGGGCATATTACAGTTACACACACTTATTGGTGCCTGAGAAATTAACAGAGAATGGGGTAGAGCAAGACGGCTGATAGAGGCTTATACTGTTCATCCTCCACATAGCAACACCAAATTTTAACTACTAACTACACACAACAAGCACCATCATAAGAACCAAAAATCAGGTGAGCAATCATAGTACCTGATTTTAACTTTATATCACTGAAAGAGACATTGAAGAGGGCAGGAAAGACAGCATTGAAGCACTGACGCCACCCCTCCTTCATCCCCCAGCAGCGGCCATGTAGCACAGAGAATCTGGGTGCTTGGGAGAGGGAAAGTGCAGCAATTGTGAGGCTTTTCATTGAACCCAGTGCTCCCCTGTTACAGTGGAAAGCAGAACCAGGTTCTACTCAGCTGATGTTCATTTGGCCCAGCTCTAGCCAGAGAGAAATTGTCCATCCCACTGGTGGGAGCTTGAGTTCCAGCAAGCCTCATTACCGTGGGCTGGAGTGCTCTGGGGCACTAAGTGAACTTAAGGGTCAGTCTAGGTCACAAGGAGTGCAATTCCTAGGCAAGTCCTAGTGCTGAGCTGGGCTCAGAGCCAGTGGACTGGGCAGGCATGAAACCTACTGAGACACCAGCCGGGGTGGCTTGGGAGGGTGCTTTTGTCACCCTTCCCTCACCCCCCAGCAGTGGCCATGTGGTGCAGAGAAATCTTTGTGCTTGGGAGAGGGAGAGCACAGCAACCGGGGGACTTTACATTGAACTTAGTGCTGCCGTCTCACAGTGGAGACCTGGCAGGATTCATCTCCTGCTGACAAAAGAGCCCCTAGGCCCTGAATAACCACCAGCAATACCCAGGTAATACACTATGGGCCTTGGGCTCTGAGACATGCTGGCTTCAAGTGTGACCCAGCACATTCCCAGCTGTGGTGGCTACAGCGAAAGATCTTTCTGTTTGAGAAAAACAGGGGGGAAAGTAAAGGGGACTCCGTCTTGCACTTCAGGTACCAGCTCAGCCACAGTGGGGTGGAGCAATAAGCAGACTCTTCAGGTCCCCACGTCCAAGCCTAGGCTCTTGGTTAGCATTTCTGGACCTGCCATGGACCAGAAGGAAGCCCACTACTCTGAAGAGTGAGTGTCAGGTCTGGCAGCACTCATCACAAGCTGACAAAAGGGCCCTTGGGCTTTAAGTGAACATCAGCGGTAGCCTGGCAGAACCCCTCGTGGGGTGCTTATGGTGGTGGCCACAGGGAGAGAAAAGTGGGAAGGACTTTGTCTTATGGTTTGAGTGCCAGCTTTGCTGCAGTAGAGTAGAATACCCGGTAAATTTCTAAGGTATTTGACTTAAATCCCTGGCTCTCAGACAACATCTCTGGACCAACCTAGGTCTGGAGGAACTCACTGCCCTGAATGGAGGGACATAAATCAGACTGGCTTTGCCATATGCTGATCATAAAGCCCTAGGTCCTAGAGTGAACTTAGGTGGTAGCCAGATAGTAGTTACAGCAGGCCTTGGGTGGGGCCCAGTGCTGTGCTGGTTTCATGTCTCAGCCAGCACAGTCCTGGTGGTGGTGGCTACAGGGTACTTGTGTCCCTCCACCTCCAGTTCCAGGAGACTCAGCACAGAGTCAGGGAGAGACGCTGCTTGTGAAAAAATAAGAGAAAAAAATAAAAGTGTCTGCCTGGTAATCTAGAGAATTCTTCCAGATCTTATCCAAGACTACCAGAGCAGCACCTCTATGAGTCTGCAAGAAACATAATATTATTGGACTTGGGGCCCAAGTTCCTTCAAAATACCCGGAAAGCCTTTCCAAGGAGGATGGGCACAAATAAGCCCAGACTGTGAAGACTACAATAAGCGCCTAACTCTTCAATGCCCAGACATTAACGAACATCTACAAGCATCAAGACCATCCAGGAGAAAATGACCTCACCAAACAAAATAAATAAGGAACCAGGGACCAATCCTGGAGAAACAGATATGTGACCTTTCAGACAGAGAATTCAAAGTAGCTGTGTCGAGGAAACTCAAAGAAATCCAAGAAACACAAAACAGAAATTCAGAATTCTTTTTTTTTTTTCTTGAGATGAACGCCCAGGCTGGAGTGTAGTGGTACGATCTTGGCTCACTGCAACCTCTGCCTCCTGGGTTCAAGTGATCTTCCCACCTCAGCCTCCTAAGTAGCTGGAATTACAGGTATGTGCCACCACACCCAACTAATTTTTATGTTTTTAGTAGACATGGAGTTTTGCCATTTTGGCTAGGCTGGTCTTGAACTCCTGACCTCAAGTGATCAGCCTCCCAAAGTGCTGCGATTACAGGTGTGAGCCACTGCGCCTGGCCAGGAATTCAGAATTCTATCAGACAAATTTAACAAAGAGATTGAAGTTATTAAAAAGAAATGAAATTCTAGTGCTGAAAAGTACAACTGCCATGCTGAAGAATGCATCTGGGTCTCTTAATAACAGACGTGATCAAGCAGAAGAAAGAATTAATGAGCTTGAAGACAGGCTATTTGAAAATCCACAGTCAGAGGAGACAAAAAGAAAGAGTAAAAAACAATGAAGCATGTCTACAAGATATAGAAAATAGCCTTAAAAGGGCAAATCTAAGCACTATTGGCCAAAAAGAGGAGGTTGAGGAAGAGATGGGGATAGAAAGTTTATTGAAAGGGATAATAACAAAGAACTTCCCAAACCCAGAGAAAGATATCAATATTCAAGTACAAGAAAGTTATAGAACATCAGGCAGATTTAATCCAAAAAAGACAACCTCAAGGCATTTAATAATCAAACTCCCAAAGGTCAAAGATAAAGAAAGGATCTTAAAAACAGCAACAGAAAAGAAACAAATAAAATATAATAGAGCTCCAATACATCTGGCCTCAGACTTTTCAGTGGAAACCTTATAGGCCAGGAGAAACTAGCATGACATATTTTAAATGCTGAAGGGAAAAAAAAAACTTTAACCCTAGAATAGTATATTCAGCAAAATATATCTTTTAAGCATGAAGGGGAAATAAAGACCTTCCCAGACAAACAAAAGCTAAGGGATTTTCATCAACACTAGACCTGTCCTATAAGAAATGCTAAAGGAGGCCAAGCGTGGTGGCTCATGCGTGTAATCCCAGCAGTTTGTGAGGCTGAGGCGGGTGGATTGCTTGAGGCCAGGAGTTCCAGACCAGCCTGACCAACATGGTCAGGTGTCTCTACTAAAAATACAAAAATTAGCTGGGTGTGGTGGCGCATGCCTGTAGACCCAACTACTTGGGAGGCTGAGGCACTATAATTGCTTGAACATGGGAGGCAGAGGTTGCAGTGAGCTGAGATCATGCTACTGCACTCCAGCCTGGGCAAAAGAGTGAGACTCCATCTCAAAAAAAAAAAAAGAAATGCTAAAGAAAGTTCTTACATCTGAAAGAAAAGGACATTGATGAGCAATAGGAAGTCACGTGAAGCTACAAAACTCACTGGTAATAGCACACAGAAAGACATAGAATATTATAACACTTTAATTACGGTGTTCAAAATACTCTTAAGCAGAAAGACTAAGCAATGAACTAATCAAAAATAATAACTACAGCAATTTGTCATGACAGACAGTACAATAAGACATGAAGAGAAACAACAAAAAGTTAAAAAGCAGGAGGATGAAGTTAAGAGTTTTTATTAGTTTTCTTTTTGCTTATTTGTTTGTTTATGCAATCAGTGTTAAGTTGTCATCAGTTTGAAACAATGGGTTATGAAACAGTAGTTGCAAGCCTCATGGTAACCCCAAATTGAAAAACATACAATGGGCCAGGCACAGTGGCTCACGCCTGTAATCCCAGCACTTTGGGGGGCTGAGACGGACGGATCGCTTGATATGAGGAGTTGGAGACCAGCCTGGCCAACATGGTGAAAACCCTGTCTCTACTAAAAATACAAAAATTAGCCAAGTGTGGTAGTGGGCACCTGTAGTCCCAGCTACTCGGGAGGCTGAGGCAGGGGAATCACTTGAACCTAGAGGCAGAGATTGCAGTGAGCCAAGATTGTGCCACTGCACTCCAGCCTGGGTGAAAGAGTGAGACTTCATCTCAAAAAATGACAACAACAACAAAAAACTGGACTCTTTCATCATTATATAATAACCTTCTTTGTCTCTATAGGCGGCAGAAACAAAGAAGGTCATTATATAATAATCAAGGAGTCAGTTTAGCAAGAAGATATAACAATTATATATGCACCCAACACTGGAGCATCCAGATATATGAAGCAGCAAATATTATTTAAGGTAAAAAGACAGCCCTCAGTACAATAATAGCTGGAGATTTTAACATCCCACTTTCACCAATGGACAGATCTTCTAGACAGAAAATCAACAAGGAAACATCAGGCTTAAACTGCACTATAGAACAAATGGACCTAATAGATATTTACAGAGCATTTCATCTGAAGGCTGCAGAATACACATTCTTCTCCTCAGCACATGGATTATTCTCAAGAATAGACCATATGTTAAATCACAAAACAAGGCTTTAAAAAATTCAAAAAAATTGAAATAACATCAGGCATCTTCTCTGACCACAATGTAACAAAACAAGAGATTTGGAAGCTATAAAAATACACAGCAATTAAACAATATGCTTCTGAATGACCAGTGGGTCAATGAAGAAATTAAGAGGGAAATTGAAAAATTTGTTGAAACAAATGATAATGGAAACAGAACATACCAAAACCTATGGAATACAGCAAAAGCAGTACTAAGAGGGAATTTTATAATTATAGGTATCTACATTTAAAAAGAAGAAAAACTAATCTAATAATCATAAATAACCTAATGGTACGTGTTAAAGAACTACAAAAGCAAGAGCAAACCAAACTCAAAATTAGCAGAAGAAAAGAAATAATAAATATCAGAGCAGGTGGGGTGTGGTGGCTGACGTCTATAATCCCAGCACTTTGGGAGGCTGAGGCAGGCTCATCACTTGAGGTCAGGAGTTCAAGACCAGCCTGGCCAACACTGTGAAACCCCATCTCTACTAAAATACAAAAATTAGCTGGGCATGGTGGCACGTGCCTGCAGTCCCAGCTACTCCGGAGGCAGAGTTGAGAGAATCGCTTGAAACCAGGAGGTTGCAGTGAGCCTAGATCATGCCATTGCACTCCAGCCTGGGTGACAGAGTGAGACTTGGTCTCAAAAAAAAAAAAAAAAAAAAGGATACATGAAGGCCTAAGTGGATTTTGAGTTTATCTAATTTATTGTTCTCTAATAGGCCTAGAATATAAAATAAAGAAATAGGATAATACTTTTTTTTGTATTGCTTCTGAAGTGATACAAATGAAATTATATCTTCCTCAGACCTTCTACAAGCTATAAAAATTCATAGACTATTTGAAAATAAGCCTTGCTACTAGTCTTATCAAAAACTTCAAAATGTTTCCACTTCTTTGAAGTGCAATTGGTGGCATGAAAAGAACCCAGAACTAGAAGATGAAGGGCACAGGTGGGTTTTAGCCCTGGCTTCTTTTTTTTTTTTTCTTTTTTGAGACGGAGTTTCACTTTTGTTGCCTAGGCTGGAGTGCACGATCTTGGCTCACTGCAACCTCCACCTCCTGGGTTCAAGTGATTCTCCTGCCTCAGCCTCCTGAGTAGCTGGGATTACAGGTTCCCACCACCACACCCAGCTAATTTTTGTATTTTTGGTAGAGACGGGGTTTCACCATGTTGGCCAGGCTGGTCTCGAACTCCTGACATCAGATGATCCGCCTGTCTTGGCCTCCCAAGGTTCTGGGATTACAGGCGTGAGCCACTGCAGCCGGCCTAGCCTAGCCCTGGCTTCTTTTCTTACAAGTTGTGTGTCCTTGGGCATTTATTTAACTTTTCTGATCTGCAGTTTTCTTTATCTGTAAAGTCAACAGTTGTAAAGATTAAATGAGATAACTTTTGAACAGTGCTTTTCAAACTAGAAAACACCGCAAATATTTGATTATAAGGTAGGTTTGTCCAAGTCCCAACAGCTGTGGGAGGACTGAAAATAAAAGATAAAATTTTTAAACTTACAATTGTATGTGCTAAAGGAAGATGGCCAGGATGGTGAAGTGTGCAGTGACCTTGTGGTTAGAAATGTGGTTGGAGGAACTAAGACTGTTACTCTGAAGCCTGAACACTGGGGTTGCAGAGAGGAGAATCAATATTTACAGCCTGGCCTGGTGGGAATCCTACTGTATGACTTGGCCTTTAGCAGTGTCAGATTTTTAAAAATATTCCTGTTTTATTTAGAAATGAGTTATCACCTCGCCTTGCTCATTTTCCTCTCATCTTTACATTCCCTTAATCCAAAAACCAGGAAGGATGCAGGCTTAGGTCTTCAGATGTCTCAGGCTGATCTCTCTGTGCTTATAGAATCTTTTTAAGGCCACAGGAGAGGTAGGTGACATCTGGATGTAGTCTCAAAACAAAGCTCAACATGCATATCTTGGTGGAAATCTGAAGGAAATGGAACAGGAGGAAAATGAAGACACAACTTTGAGGCACATATGGATTGGAAGTTGTCTAATGGAAGGTCTGGATACCTTTCAGAATTCTCAGAGGATATACTTTTTAAGGTATAAGTGACTCATGACAGGAGGAGTGGAGAGCTGGTGACCAATTTGAAAATTGCTCAGGAATGCGGATTGATGTTTGGAACATCAATTTCCATAGTTTATATACTTTCTACTATTCAATCAAATTAAGATTGATGTTTGGAACTCCAATTTCCACAGTTTCTATTGCTTCTCTTTTCTCATAATAGTCTTTCTACCTCTTTTTATTTAACCAAATAAGACACAGTGAGTTTAATGAATTTTGGGTTTTTTTTCCCCCAGTTGGGAAGATCTGTCAATATTTCATAGGCAAGCAAAAAGAGGCACTAAAAGGGACCTATTAAAATATTTTAGTCACTTCTGAAGATCCAAAGACAGGTTCTTTTTTTGCAAAGCTTTATTCTCTTTTTATGAATTCCTCTTTTTGCTGATTTGTCTTTTATTTCTTTCCTTTTTTTTTTTTCTTTTGAGACAGAGTTTCACTCTGTCTCCCAGGCTGGAGTGCAGTCGCATGATCTCGGCTCACTGCAAACTCCACTTCCCGGGTTCAAGCGGTTCTCCTGCCTCTGCTTCCTGAGTAGCTGGGACTACAGGCACACACCACCATGCCCAGCTAACTTTTGTTTTTTTTATAGAAATGGGATTTCACCATGTTGGCCAGGCTGGTCTCCAATGCCTGACCTTAAGTAATCCACCTGCCTCGGCCTCCCAAAGCACTGGGATTACAGGCATGAGCCACCATGCCCAGCCTGATTTGTCTTTTGTGATTACTCAAAGATCAAGCAGCTCATACTATGTACATCAGTTTTACAGACCTGGCAAGGTAGCCCTTTGGCTTGCCTTCATAGCTGTGAACCTGCAATTAAGTCATCAAAAATTTTCAGCCTGCTGCCTATTTACAATGTAAACAAGTGATTGCTAGTATCAAGCTATTTGTGAATACAGAATTTTTTTTTCTTTTTTCAGAGGGAGCGTCGCTCTGTCACCCAGGCTGGAGTGCAGTGGCACAATCTCGGCTCACTGCAACCTCCGCCTCCTGCGTTCAAGTGATTCTCCTGCCTCAGTCTCCTGAGTAGCTGGGACTACAGGCATGCACCACCACATCCGGCTTTTTGTATTTTTAGTAGAGACGGGGTTTCACCATGTCAGCCAGGCTGGTCTCGAACTCCTGACCTCAAGCAATCCACCCACCTTGGCCTCCCAAAGTGCTGGGATTACAGGCGTAAGCCACCGTGCCTGGCCTGAATACAGAATTTTTGAAACATTTCTTTGGCTAAAACAGCATTTTTAAATAAGGAAATTTGCAGAGTTGAGGTTTCATTAGAGACATGAAGATTTAATTTGAGTTGTAATTTTTGACATCATTAAGAGTGAAGCAAAGTTTTTCAGAGATTTGAGCTATTTCATTGTGTTGACAGGTGTAATGATTAGAGCATCATAATCTACATGGATGTGGCTTCACTAAGCAGAAAATATAACATTTTGTATAATTAGAAGTTTGCTGTTTTGAGTACATCTTCTTCCATCTATTTATACTCACAAGTTCACCAGGGAAACACTTTCCCTCCAAATGCAGTGGGGTAGATATGAGTTGCTCTACATACTTGGGTGTATGAGTTGTCACCTCATCTATATGTTCTAAAATTACCTCTGATTCTTAACCTCGACTAGCCAAAGCAGTGAGAAAGTCCATTTCGGATATGTTTTGGGAAATTTCCCCCTTTTGTTAGGGTCACCTAAAAATCCAAGTTGAAGACTCTACTTCCAGGTATAATTTCTATGGTTTATTACTGGAAAAGTTTCTCTAAATATGTGGATCGCTGGAAATAAGAGGAAGCACAGGGTTCTCCGAGTGAAGCTGGCTTTTGGAATTACTTGGCTGCAACTGTCATTTGCTACTTTAAGATTTTACTTATTGATTTTTTTTTTTGAGACAGAGTCTCACTCTGTTGCCCAGTCTGGAGTGCAGTGGTGCGATCTCAGCTCACTGCAACCTCTGCCTCCCGGGTTCAAGCGATTCTCCTGCCATAGCCTCCTGAGTAGCTGGGACTATAGTCATGTGCCACCACGCTTGGCTAATTTTTGTATTTTAGTAGAGACAGGGTTTCAGCTGCTCTGCCTATGGAGTAGCCATTGTTTTATTCATTTACCTTAATAAACTTGCTTTTTTTTTTTTTTTAAATGAAAACCGCTCTGTTGGCCAGGGTGGTCTTGAACTTCTAACCTTAAGTATTCCACCTGCCTCAGTCTCTTAAAGTGCTGGAATTACAGGTATGAGCCACTATGCTCGGCCTGCCATTTTCTATTGATAATTTTCTTCGCTTCCTTGGGGAGAGTAAAAGGGAGAGAACACAGTCTGAGTAGTTCCTCTTCAAAATAAGCTGGGCGCAGTGGCTCACGCCTGTAATCCCAGCAATTTGGGAGGCCAAGGAGGGCAGAACACCTGAGGTCAGGAATTTGAGACCAGCCTGGCTAACATGGTGAAACCCCGTTTCTACTAAAAATTCAAAAAATTAGCTGGGCCTGGTGGCGCTTGCCTGTAATCCCATCTACTCAGGAGGCTGAAGCAGGAGAATCGCTTGAACCCAGGATGTGGAGGTTGCAGTGAGCTAAGATCATGCCATTGTAGTCCAGCTTGGGCAACAAGAGCAAAACTCCATCTCAAAATAAATAAATAAATACAGAAAATATAATCGAAGTTGGGAAGGGTCGTTGTCCTATCCAGCCAGTGGGGCGGGGCCCAGTCTTAACTGGAAGCATTGGGTTTCATTGCCTCAGTCTGCTCTGCTACAGGACTTTGTTACTCAGACCAGCCCTCCCTGCCCTTGCACAGGGATTCTTTCAGCAGGCTGAGGGACACTGTTCCCATGGTATGTCCGTAATTGGTGGGTTCTTGGTCTCACTGACTTCAATAATCAAGCTGCAGACCCTCATGGTGACTGTTAACAGTTCTTAAACATAGTGTGACTGGAGTTTGTTCCTTCTGATGTTTGGACGTGTTCGGAGTTTCTTCCTTCTGCTGGGTTCCTGGTCCCACTAGCTTCAGGAGTGAAGCTACAGACATTCGCTGGGAGTGTTACACCTCTTAAGGCAGCACTGGAGTTGTTCATTCCTCTCAGTGGGTTCATGATCTCACTAGCTTCAGGAGTGAAGCTACATACCTTCAGG
Source organism: Homo sapiens (assembly GCF_000001405.40). NCBI lineage: Eukaryota > Metazoa > Chordata > Mammalia > Primates > Hominidae > Homo > Homo sapiens. Next base: position 54,148,680 of record NC_000004.12, read on the forward strand.
TGAGTGTCACAGCTCATAAAGGCAGCAAGGCTCCAAAAAGTGAGCAGCCACAAGTCTTATTAGGAAGAACAAAAGAACAAACCTGCCACAACATGGTAGACGACCCAAGCAGATTGCCGCTGCTGGCTCTGGCACCCTGCTTTTATTCCCTTATCTCACTCCACCCACATCCTGCTGATTCGCCCATTTTACAGAGAGCTGATTGGTCCATTTTACAAAGAGCTGATTGGTCTGTTTTATAGAGAGCTGATTGGTCCGTTTTGACAGGGTGCTGATTGGTGCGTTTACAATCCCTGAGCTAGACACAGAGTGCTGATTGGTGTATTTACAATCCTCTAGCTAGACATAAAAGTGCTCCAAGTCCCTACTAGATTAGCTAGACACAGAGCACTGATTGGTGCATTTATAAACCTTGAGCTTGACACAGGGTGCTGATTGGTGCGTCTACGAACCCCTGCCCCCCACCAATGCTAGACACAGAGTGCTGATTGGTGCATTTACAATCCTCCAGCTAGACATAAAAGTTCTCCAAGTCCCCACTCCACTCAGGAACCCAGCTGGCTTTGCCTAGTGGATTCCCGCCCCAAGGCTGCTGGCAGAGCTGCCCACCAGTGCCCCGCCATGTGCCCGCACTCCTCAGCCGTTGGGCATCGATGGGGCCGGGCGCCGCGGAGCAGGGGGTGGGGAGGGGGCGGGGCGGCGGGGCTCCGGGGCTCGCGCATGGCGGGCTGCCAGTCGCCAGCCATGGGAGTCGGGGGAGCCGGGGGAGGAAGGCAGCTGAGGCCCGACGAGAATTCGAGCGCCGACCCGGTGGGCCAGCACTGCTGAGGGACCCGGCGCACCCTCTGCAGCTGCTGGCCCGGGTGCTAAGCCCCTCACTGACTGGTGCGGTGGCGCCGGCCGGCCGCTCCAAGTGCGGGGCCCGCCGAGCCCACGCCCATCCGGAACTCGCGCTGGCCGGCGAGCACGGGGCACGGCCCCGGTTCCCGCCCGCGCCTCTCCCTCCACACCTCCCTGCAAGCAGAAGGGTTCCTCAAGCGCGGCCAGAGTGGACACCGTGGCTTGAGGAGGTGCCGAGAGCGAGGCAGGGCTACTAGCATGTTGTCACCTCTCAATGGGTCTCTCCACTGACCACTGCCTCAGCCCACGGACACTCTCGCTGTGGTTCCCAAGGTATCTGTGTCCCCGGCCTAGCTCTCTGGCTTCCTGAAGCCATCTCTTACTGGTGCTCCATGCATGCAAACCTTGGGCCTCTTATCACTCTCAGAGGCTCCTTCTTCTTGTCTTTCTCTAGTCTTGGAGAAATATCTCTTAAGTTTCAGCATCAGCTTCTTCTCTTTCCCCTTTATAGACTTCTATCTCACCCACCTGCAAAAGAATAAACAGTGTGAGGGGCCGAAATGTCACTCCTTACACCACACCTCCTAAACAGAGAAGACAAAACATAAATGAGTGTCTCCCGTAATTGCCCCTCACACCAGTATTATTTTGCATCGTGTCTTTTTTGTCAGAATCTATGAGGTTTTTGTTTGTTTAAGTTCTCTCTCTGTCACGCAGGCTGGAGTACAGTGGCACAATCATGGCTTACTGCAGGTTCCACCCCCTGGTCTCAAGCAACCCTTCTGCCTCAGCCTCCCAAGTAGCTGGGACTATAGGTATGCACCACCACACTTGGCTAATGTTTAATTTTTTTTGTAGAGACAGCATCTCAATGTGTTGCCAAGGCTAGTCTTGAACTCCTGAGCTCAAGTGATCCTCCTGCCTTAGCCTCCCAGGGTGCTTTTCCTACTAGATACCCTACATACCTTCTTGCTAGATCAAAAGCAGACAAGAATCTGCTTTTGATCTAGCTGGAAGGTATGTAGGGTATCTAGTAGGAAAAAAGCTGGCTTCAGAGCTGTGAGTCCTGCCAGGGGCTGGGAAAAGGTGGAAAGGGGAGAAACTGCTTAGTGGGTAAGGAATTTTACTTTGGCGAGATGAAAATGTTTCTGGAATTCGATAGAGGTGATGGTTGTACAATATTGCGAATATACTCAATGCTATGGAATTGTTTACTTTTAAGTATTTATGTTATCTGAATTTTACCTCAATAACTTATTAAAAAAGAAAAAAGCAATGAGTCCTCATGCTGGTGCCATGGGGCTTATTGGTACGAGAGTACACTGGGCTAAAAAGAGAACCCACCCGTCTCCCGCAGTTGGAAGCTAAATGACCTTGGTCAATTTCCCTAACCCCAGTTTTCTCATATGTAAGCTGGGGATAATAATTCTCAGTTGGCAAGGATGCTGTTAGGGCAAAATTAGGTCATTTGTGAGAAGCACCAGGCACAGTGTCTGGCCCATTGAGGGGGTCACTTCTTCATAGCACCCAATCTCTGCTTCTTAGGCAGATGATCTAGGTTCTGCCAATGCCTCATGTTTGACCTGTTGGCTTTGGGGAATGAGTGGAAATGTCATCAGCTGAGGTTGAAAGAGAAAGAGGTTCTCATTAGGTAAGAACACTGGTTTGGGACATGCTGAATTTGAGACGATTGTGAGACATAATAGGTCGGAAGCTGGAGTCTGAGGCTGGCAGAGATGGCAGTCAGACTGGACATTGAGATTTCAGTCATCCAGTATGTAGGCAGCCACTAGGACCCTGAAAAAGGACTTGGCCCAGGGGAGATTGGAGTGAACAGGTAGAGGGCTTGAGGTGAAAGACTGGGAAATATCATTTAAGGGTTAGGTGAATCCTGTACTCATGAAGGTTATTCAACCCTATCTGTCCACAGGCTTACCTTGTACACCTCTCTGTCTCTGCTCACTCCATTCTAACTTACTCTGTTCATTCATCTTTCCAGATTTCTATCTACAGAGCTTTTCCAGTCTTGATGTCTGCTTGGTTTGTTTCTCTGCCTCTTGACTCAGTGCTTCATTCTCTGGCTAGAGCACAAATTTACCCATCCTGGTTCCCCAAGTTCCTTTCATCCAGCGTGGCATCAAGGAAGTCTGTTCATGATAACCAGGTCCAGTGTGCTCTCATAATTGATCTCCAAAGAGCAGTGCTTTCTAGATTAATTCTCAGCTGGGTCTTGTCTCTTCACACTTCACTTTTTTTTTGAGATGGAGTCTCACTCTGTCACCCAGGATGCAGTGCAGTGGCGCAATCTTGGCTCATGGCAATCTCCGCCTCCCGAGTTCAGGCAATTCTCCTACCTCAGCTTCCCAAGTAGCTGAGATTACAAGCACGTGCCACCATGTCTTGCTAATTTTTGTATTTTTAGTAGAAATGGGGTTTCACCATGTTAGCCAGGTTGGCCACAAACTCCTGGCCTCAAGTGATCTGCCTGCCTCAGCCTCCCAAAGTGTTGGGATTACAGGTGTGAGCCAAGATGTCCAGACTCTTTACACTTCATTTCTAACATGCCAGGTCCTACCCTCTTCCTTGCTTACCTTGGCACCTGGATTTCCCTGATTTTGAACTGATTATTTGGCTCTTGATTCCTGGCCTTACTTTGTCTTTGTGGATATTTGTTTGTTCTGTCTGTTTTAATTCAGCAAATATTTATTGAGGGCCTACTATGTGCCAGGCCTTATTTTAGGGTCTAGGAATACAGCAGAAACAAAACAGAACAAAATCCCTATGTTTGTGGAAAGTAGATGGGGAAAAAAAAAGCGGGAAAGTGGGATAAGGAGTGTTGAGGAGTGAGTTACAAGTTTAACTAGGGTGGTCAGGGCATCCTCCCACTGAGAAGTTATCATTCAGGACAGAGGAAAGAGCCAGTCAAAGGCCTTGAGGCAGGAGCATACCTGGAGTGTTTGGGAGCATCAAGGAGGCCAGGATGGCTACAGCAGAGAAAGTGCTAAGGAGGGTTGTCAAGGAGAGATCAGCACAGTACAGGTGGTGATGAGGACATTGTTTAGGGTCCTACAAGCCACTGTAAGAAAATCAGCATTTCCTATGAGTGATGGGGAGCCTCTGGAGCATTTTGGGGATCAGTCTGGCTTTGTGGAGACCCAGTCATCCAGCTTCCTACAGTCCACTTCCAGGCTTGCCTCCACACTTTTTTTTTGTTTGTTGTTCGGTTTTAATTCATGTCATTGTACCCAGAGAAAATGTTTCAGCTGGACCCTGCTTCAGTTCTACTTCTAATAACTATGCCTCAATTCACGTGTCACTTGGAAAGTAAATGAAGATGGTATTACTGATTCAATCATCCGTCAAATAGACATATAATTATAAACTTAGAAAAGTGCTATCAAGAAAAATTGCATGAGGGCATACCAAGGAATGCCAAGAATTGCTGGCAACTACCGGAAGCTGGGAGAGTTCAGGAATGATTCTTCCCTAGAGCCTTTGGAGAGAGTGTGGCCCTGCTAACACCTTGACTTCTAGCTCCAGAACTATGAGACAACAAATTTCTGTGGTTTTAAGTCCCTCCACACCCACACCCAGAAGTACATGATGTTTGGCAGTGCATCATGGGGAAAGAGACTGGGTAAACAAGGCAGAGTCCCCTTGAGAAAGTACCTTGAAAAAAAAGATTTTACTGTTTTTTTAAGAGACAGGGTCTCATACCATCACCCAGGCTGGAGTGCAGTGCCATGATCATAGCTCACTGTAGCCTCAACTCCCGGGTTCAAGTGATCCTCCCACCTCAGCCTCTTGATTAGCTGGTAACCCAGGTGTGTGCCACCACACCCAGCTAATTTATTAAAAACAAGGTTTGAAGGATGAGTAGGAGTTAGGTAAGTGTGAATGGGGGCAGAGGGATATGTTTTTGCATGTAGACCAGTATCTACAAAGGCCCTAGAGCAGAGAAAAGTGAGGCCAATTCCATTAAAGGAAGAAAGGCTAGTGTGAGGTTGAAGCACCAGGTTGGGAAGAGAGGCAAGAATTGAGCATGGGGAGGTGACACCATGTAAACAGTTGTGTTTTTAGCATTTGGCAGTGAATCTTTTAGCGTTAAATCTGTGAATATGTTTCCTGACTGTGACCGTAAATTTTTTGTGTCAACTTGACTGGGCCATGGGGTGCTCAGCTATTTGGTCCAACTTGATTCTGGGTATGTCTGTGAGGGTGTTTCTGGATGTGATTAACATTTGAATTGGTAGAGTTAGTAAAGCAGTTACCCTCCTCCAATGTGAGTGGGCCTCCTCCAATCCAGTGGAGGCCTGAAGAGAATAAAAGGCTGAGTAAGAAAGGATGCTCTCTCTCTCTGCCTGTCTTTGGGCCAGGACATTGGTTGTTTCCTGCCCTTGACCTCAGGCTCAGGCTGGATGTATACCATCAGCTCTCCTGGATTTGGACTTCTCAGCCTCCATAACTGTGTGAATCAATTCCTTATAATAAACTAATTTCTCTATCTCTGTTTTTCTACATCTCTGTATCCATACGTCCTACTGATTCTGTCTCTCTGGAGAGCCCTGATTAATCCTGACCAATTGACATAAGCAAACAGAGAGATTATCAATCAAACTGTGTCTGGAATTGGTGGGTTCTTGGTCTCACTGACTTAAAGAATGAAGCCGCGGACCCTCGCGGTGAGTGTTACAGCTCTTAAGGTGGCGCATCTGGAGTTTGTTTCTTCTGATGTTAAGATGTGTTTGGAGTTTCTTCCTTCTGGTGGGTTCATGGTCTCGCTGGCTCAGGAGTGAAGCTGCAGACCTTCGCGGTGAGTGTTACAGCTCTTAAGGCAGCGCGTCTGGAGTTGTTCGTTCCTCCCGGTGGGCTTGTGGTCTCTCTGGCTTCAGGAGTGAAGCTGCAGATCTTCGCGGTGAGTGTTACAGCTCATAAAGGCAGTGTGGACCCAAAGAGTGAGCAGTAGCAAGATTTATTTCAAAGAGCGAAAGAACAAAGCTTCCACAGTGTGGAAGGGGACCCGAGCCAGTTGCCATTGCTGGCTCGGGCAGCCTGCTTTTATTCTCTTATCTGGCCCCACCCACATCCTGCTGATTGGTAGAGCCGGGTGGTCTGTTTTGAGAGGGTGCTGATTGGTGCTAGGTTTACAATCCCTGAGCTAGATACAAAGGTTCTCCATCTCCCCATCAGATTAGTTAGATACAGAGTATCGACACAAAGGTTCTCCAAGGCCCCACCAGAGCAGCTAGATACAGAGTGTCGATTGGTGCACTCACAAACCTTGAGCTAAACACAGGGTGCTGATTGGTGTGTTTACAAACCTTGAGCTAGATACAGAGTGCCAATTGGTGTATTTACAATCTCTGAGCTAGACATAAAGGTTCTCCAAGGCCCCACCAGAGCAGCTAGATACAGAGTGTCGATTGGTGCACTCACAAACCCTGAGCTAGACACAGGGTGCTGATTGGTGTGTTTACAATCCCTGAGCTAGACATAAAGACTCTCCACGTCCCCACCAGACTCAGGAGCCCAGCTGGCTTCACCCAGTGGATCCTGCACCAGGCCGCAGGTGGAGCTGCCTGCCAGTCCTGCGCCATGCGCTCGCACTCCTCAGCCCTTGGGCGGTCGATGGGACTGGGCGCAGTGGAGCAAGGGGCAACGCTCGTCGGGGAGGCTTGGGCCACACAGGAGCCCACGGAGGGGGTGGGAGGCTCAGGCCTGGCGGGCTGCAGGTCCCGAGCCCTGCCCCGAGGGAAGGCAACTAAGGCCCAGTGAGAAATCGAGTGCAACGCCAGTGGGCTGGCACTGCTGTGGGACCCAGTATACCCTCCACAGCCACTGGCCCAGGTGCTAAGCCCCTCACTGCCTGGGGCCGGCAGGGCCGGCCGGCTGCTCCGAGTGCGGGGCCGCCAAGCCCACACCCACCCGGAACTCCAGCTGGCCCGCAAGCGCCGCGCACAGCCCCGGTTCCCGCTCGCGCCTCTCCCTCCACACCTCCCTGCAAGCTGAGGGAGCCGGCTCTGGCCTTGGCCAGCCCAGAAAGGGGCTCCCACAGTGCAGCGGTGGGCTGAAGGGCTCCTCAAGTGCCGCCAAAGTGGGAGCCCAGGCAGAGGAGGTGCCGAGAGCAAGTGAGGACTCTGAGGACTGCCAGCACGCTGTCACCTCTCAAAACCATATCGGTATCTACGTTCAGAGCCTACATTCAGGCTCTTCCTTTATCCAGACAGCACCTAGATATTTCTTTGGGGAACCTACTTCTCCCTGCCTAGGGAATTTGTAGTAGTCAAGTGCTTTGAGTAGTGTTGTGTTAGTCAATTTTGCATTGCTGAAAAAGAATACCTGAGATTGGGTAATTTATAAAGGAAAGAGGTGTATTTGGCTCATAGTTCTACAGGCTGTACAGGCATGGCACCAGCAGCTGCTCAGCTTCTGGTGTGGCCTTAGGATGTTTTACTTGTGGCAGAAGGCTGATGGGGAGCAGGTGTGTCACATAGCAAGAAAGGGAACAAGAGAGAGAGGAGGAGGTACCAGTTTCCTTAAACAACCAGCTCTCATGTGAACTAATAGAGTGAAAACTCATTCATTACCTCAGGGCAGGCACCAAGCCATTCATGAGGGATCCACCCCTGTGACCCAAACACCTCCCACCAGACTCCACCCGCAACACTAGGGATCACATTTCAACATGAGACTTGGAGAGAACAATTATCCAAACCATATCAAGTGTGGGCTATGCCTGTAGCCATAAGCATAGGCTTTGATTGTTGGAAGTCAATCAATATTTTCTGGAGGCTTCATAGTGGTCCCTAGTAATGTCATCTCTTTTCTAACTAGATTCTGAACAATCAGTTGAGAGATAAACCAGAGTAATATCAAGGTCCCAAACAGCACTTTTATTGCCATACAGCAATTTGAACCAGCTAGAACACATGGTTCAAATCTGTTAAACAAGTGGACTCAACTCCAAATAATGCAGACCTAGGCACCCAGTCATAGGCCGTGATGGACTTTGATAGGTCCTGCTACATGGATTAACAGAAGAGAACTCCTCTTCTCTGAGGGAAGTTCCCCAAATGGAATGGCAGTTCTGCCTTTCCAAAAGAAAACTGTGTAGAGCATTCTCAGTTAAGTTTTACAAAATTATCAATCAGATGGGTTGATATATCTTGCCAGAGCCAGAGAGGCTAGAGTTACACTAATTGAGACAACATTAGGCATGAGAAAGAAGCATTCTTCATAAAATATGCTAGTTCATCCTTCTTGCCACAGTGATTGGTTCAAAGATAAGTAGTAACTCAGGTCTAAGCCCATAGAAATTCCCTATCCTGGCTGGGCACAGTATCTCATACCTGTAATCCTAGCACTTTGGGAGGCCAAGGCAGGAGAAACACTTGAGCCCAGGAGTTCAAGACCAGCCTGGGCAACATAGTGAGACAATCTCTACCAAAAATTTTAAAATTATCTGGACATGGTGGCACCCGCCTGTAGTCCCAGCTACTCAGGAGGCTGAGGAGGAAGGATCACTTGAGCCAGGGAGGCCAAGGCTATAGTGAGCTGTGATTGCACCACTGTAGTCTAGCCTGGGTGATAGAGTGAGACCTTGTCAAGAGAAAGGAAGGAAGGAAGGAAGGGGGGAGGGAGGGAAAAGAAAAAGGGGGGGGAGGAAGGAAGGAAGGGGGGAGGGAGGGAAAAGAAAAAGGGGGGGGAGGAAGGAAGGGGGAGGAAGGGAGGGAGGGAGGGAGGGAGCCGGGCATGGTGGCTCACACTTGTAATCCCAGCACTTTGGGAGGCCAAGGTGGGCGGATCACCTGAGGTTGGGAGTCCGAGACCAGCCTGACCAACAGGGAGAAACTCTGTCTCTACTAAAAGTACAAAATTAGCCAGGCGTGGTGGTGCATGCCTGTAATCCCAGCTTTTTGGGAGGCTGAGGCAGAAGAATCGCCTGAACCTGGGAGGCGGAGGTTGTGGTGAGCCGAGATCACGCCATTGCACTCCAGCCTGGGCAACAAGAGTGAAACTCCGTCAAGAAGAAAGAAAGAAAGACAGGGAGAGAGAGAGAGAGAGAGAGAGAGAGAGGGAAGGAAGGGAGGGAGGGAGGGAGGAGGGAGGGAGGAAGGAATTCCCTAGCCTCAGAGATTGGTCCAGATTGCCCCAATCAGAATGAAGTGCCAGTGTTTGATACTAGAAAGGGGCCTTTGGAGGGAAGACTTCTTGTTGTTAAACACTTTGCTTCCATGAGGTAAGTTAGCCTGAGGAGGAAGCTGACTTGTGGAGGAGAGCAGAGCTGTGAAAAAAAGGGAAATACTGAGTTGGAGTCCTGATCAAAACATGCCTGACATGTTCCTTGGGTTTTTTTTAGTTACATGAGCCAATAAATGTTCTTTACCATTTAAGCCAGCTTAAATTAGGTTTTCTTTTACTGTAACCAGAATTCTTCTAAAAGATACACTTATACCTCATCTATTTTAAAACCAGACTCAAATCTCATCACCTCTAAGAATGTTTCCATAATCAATCCTATGTACCTTTATATTACACTTGCCTGGGGCTGAGAGTTCTGGGTTACCTAGTGTATACTGTAATTTTTTTGCACTATTATCACTTATTAGTGTTTTCATGGTATATATTTTCTCTTTTTTCTTTCAGTCTGTGTCCTTAGAGTTTCTTGTGAACAGCATATAGTTGAGTCTTGTTTTTGTTAAAATTTAGTTTGACAGTTTCCACTGTGATGTTATTCTATTTACATTAAATTTGCTATAGATATGATTGGTTTAATGGGCCCTATATGTTCTTTGTTATTCCTTTGTTGCTTGTTTACAAATTAAGTTAAGGAGAAGGAGAGGAGGAGGAGGAAGAGGAAGAGGAAGAAGAAGAAGAAGGAGGAGGCGGTGGCAGCTGGGCATGGTGGCTTATGCCTGTAATCCCAGCACTTTGGGAGGCTGAGGTTGAAGGATTGTTTGAGGCCAAGAGTTCGCTACCAGCCTGGTCAATACAGCAAGACCCTGTCTCTATTAAAAAAAAAAAAAAAAAAAAGTTGGCTGGGTGCAGTGGCTCACACCTGTAATCCCAGCACTTTGGGAGGTGGAGGCGGGCAGATCACGAGGTCAGGAGATTGAGACCATCCTGGCTAACACAGTGAAACGCTGTCTCTACTAAAAATTACAAAAAATAATATTAGCTGGGTATGGTGGCAGGCGCCTGTAGTCCCAGCTACTCGGGAGGCTGAGGCAGGAGAATGGCATGAACCCAGGTGGTGGAGCTTGCAGTGAGCCAAGATCACTCCACCGCACTCCAGCTTGGGCAACAGTGTGAGACTGTATCTCAAAAAAAAAAAAAGGTAAAAAAAAGTAAAAATTAAGAATTATTCACTATTCTCAATATATCAGTATTATATATTATATGTTACATAAGGATTATTCAGTATTCATGTATATGTGTGTGTATATATATATATATGTATGTATTAGAGATGGGGTTTCACTTTGTTGCCCAGGCTAGTCTCAAACCCCTGGTTTCAAGTGATCTGCCTACCTCAGCCTCCCAAAGTGCTGAAAGTATAGGCATGAGCCACTGTGCCCAGCCAGTATTCTATTTTATCTTACCTATTGTTTTTCTAGTAATATCTCTTGGTATTTTTTTAGTGGTTACTAAAGATTACAATATGTGTTCTTACCTTTTCCTTATTTTATCATTTCATAAACAATGTAAGAAACTTACTACAGTATAATTTTATTACCCTTCTGCCCTTGTGCAAATGTCATGTATTTTTTCATTATCGATTATTTTGCTATTCTATTTGCTTTAAATGGTCAATAGTCTCCTAAAGAAAGTTTCTAAAGAGTACTTTATGTTTTTTCACATCTTTGCCCATTCTGGTGGCGTTCACAGATTCCTGGAGAAAAACTTCGTTGAGTGTTACTCATAATGCTGGTCTGCAAGTGACAATTTTTTTCTGTTTCTGTTTTTATTTAGCTTTCATTTTTAAAGGGTGCTTTTGAAGGTATAGATTTCTAGGTTGACAGGTTTTGTTTGTTTGTTTGTTTTCCAGATGTCGTTCCATCATTTTCTGTCTTCCGTTTTTTTTCTCTTAAGAAGTTAACCAACATTCTTATTTTTCTATTCATAAGCATAATAGATCCTTTCCCCTGCCCTGGCTTCTTTTAAAATATCTCTAGGTATAGTTTTTTTTTTTTAAATCTAGCTTAGTGTTCACTGTGATTATTGGATATATGGGTTCATATCTTTCATCAATTTTAGAAAACTCTTGGCCACTATCTTTTAAAATATTTATTTTGCCCCAGTTTCTCCTCTGTTCCTGGATTCCAATTACCTGTATGCTAGATATATGGTTTGAATGTGTCCTCCAGAGTTCACGTATTGAAAACTTAATCCTTGGCTGGGCACAGTGGCTAATGCCTGTAATACCAGCACTTTAGGAGGCCAAGGTGGATGGATCACAAGGTCAGAAATTTGAGACTAGACTGGCCAACATAGTGAAACCCCATCTCTACTAAAAATACAAAAATTAGCTAGGTGTGGTGGTGCATGCCTGTAGTCCCAACTACTCAGGAGGATGAGGCAGGAGAACCGCTTGGACCTGGGAGGCGGAGGTTGCAGTGAGCCGAGACTGTGTCATTGCACTCCATCCTCAGTGACAGAGTGAGACTCTGTCTCAAAAAGAAAAAAAGAAAATAGAAAACTTAATCCCCAATGCAACAATGTTGAGAGGTAGAATATTTACAAGGTGATTAAGTCGCAAGGGCTCTGCCCTTGTGAATGGACTAATATAATCATGAGAGTGGGTTTATTATAGTGAGCATTAGTTTATGAGGAAATCAATTTTAGCTCTCTCACTCTCTGTCATTCTCATGCATATACCTGCTCTCTTGCCCTTTCACCTTCTGTCATGAAATAACGCAGCAAGAAGGTCCTCAACTCATGCAGGCCTTTCAACCTTGGACTTCCCAGACTTCAGAAATGTAAGAAATAAATCTCTGTTATTTATACATTATGCAGTCATGGGTACTCTGTTATAGCAGCATAAAACAGACTAAAAGACAACTCAGTTGCCTAATATTTACTTTTAGTCTCTGATTCTTTGTTCCCCATTTTTGTTTTCCTCATTCTTTTATTCTGTTTTCAATTTGAATAATTTTTACTGACCTATCTTGCAGTTCACTTATTCTTTTTTCTGCTATATTGATTTGTTATTAAACTTATACAATCAATACTTCATTTTAGATATTGTTATTTTTTTAGTTCATTTTCTTATTTTAGCTGAGATTCTCTTATCTCTTGTTTCACTCATCTTTTTATCTAAATTGTTTAACATATTTGTAATAGTTATTTGAAAATTTTTGTCTGCTAATTCTAACACTAGGGTTACCTGTGAGTCTGCTTTTATTGAGTTTTTTTTCTTTTCATTATGGGTCATATTTCCCCCCCTTTTTTTTACATATTTTGCATTTCTTGTTTTAGACTTCCGTGTGTGTATGAGTATTTATAAATAATATTTACCACCACCACCCCTGCTCCCCACTGCACCAAGATGATTCCCTTTCCTCTATCAGGAAGCTAGGTTTGGTTGGGGGTAATCTCTTCAGTCTAATCAGAACTTGGGGTTGCCACTTTTGTTGATTTCAGTTCAATCCACTTATGGTATTGTATGTCTTAGGCATGATCCAGTTTCTTTTCTCTGATAGGGCTTTGAAATTTTAGCATCATGAGATCCCTATGCTTTCCAGCCCAGTCATCAGTTTCTTGTTTCACGAGAGTCAAGCAGGTAATTTTAACAAGTAAAGTCAGCCAGATGGGGACTATTGTGATCTGGAGGGCAGGGGGAACCACAAATCAACTCTATTCTACTGACACCATTCAAGAATTTGAGTCCTGGTTGTCAGATTTTCCTTTTCTTTTCTAAAAGAATCCTGAAATTCAGATCCTTATGTGTATTTCCCAGTATTTTCTGTTGGCTAATCATTTAAAAATCTTTCAAAGCACAGCTCAGGCCTGACAAAATATATCTTTTTCCTTAATTCAGTCCATGGACCACTAGTTTTCAGTCTCCAATGTCATCCAGCTGCTTCGTGTTAGGTAATAAGGCCCAAACAGTACTTAACCTAACTCAGTTCAGAAAAGACAGCTTCCTACAAAAAATTAGCCAGGTGTGGTGGTGCGCACCTGTAATCCCAGCTACTTGGGAGGCTGAGGCATGAGAATCACTTGAGCCTCGGAGGCAGAGGTTGCAGTGAGCCGAGATCGCGCCACTGCACTCCAGGAGCCTGTGCGACAGAGCAAGACTGTATCAAAATAAATAAATAAGTAAAGTAACTAAAAATAAATAAAAAGAAAAGAGGACTTCCTGAAGCTAAGAAAAATCAATTCTTAAAAGTTAATACAATTTTAAATTTGATTGCCAGTTTATTATAAGATGTTTTAATCAGATATTTTGCCAAAGTTAGAAAGGGCTAGGATCATGCCTGTAATCCGAACACTTTGGCAGCCCGAGGTGGGTGGATCACTTGAGGTCAGGAGTTTGAAACCAGCCTGGCCAACATGGTAAAACCCCATCTCTACTAAAAATACAAAAAAATTATCCAGGCATGGTCGTGGGCACCTGTATTCCCAGCTACTTGGGAGGCTGAGGCAGGAGAATCGTTTGAACCTGGGAGGCAGAGGTTGCAGTGAGCCGAGATTGTGCCACTTCACTCCAGCCTGGTTGACAGAGTGAGATGCCATCTCAAAAAAAGAAAAAAAAAAAAGAAAGAAAGAAAAGAAAATATAAAAACAGTTCATCCAGTAGAATGAGACATGGTGGATTAATTTTAGAGGACAGTTATGTCTAAGTGTAGATTTTCCACTGCAAAGACAGATGTATTAGTATTATCTCCAGATAATTAAGGAAATAGACAAAACAACTCAAACATACAAGTTCTAATGTTTTTATCACACAAACATATACGAATTTTGCCCTGTATTCTTGGAGAAACACAACCATTTTCTCCCTACAACTTGCTTCTCTAGCAATAGGATCTGCCAGAGAATACAGCTATGAGTATGTTTTCCAGGAAAAATTTGTTGTATTTTAAATTGACAATTTTTTCATCTTTTCATATGAAAGCCTTATTTGCTATTTATAGAGGCCTATTGTTTTAGCTGCCTACCTGGTTGGAGTGACAAAGAACCAGCTTTTCTTGCTGAAAACTGAACTAAACCATTTTAATACTCCTGCTTCCCTAGACAAACTTTTTCTAAATAAACATAATCATGGGTGCTGGGTGTTTTATTTTGTAATTAAAGCCTAAAATCATCCCTTGTCTTATATTCCTCTTCACATCTATACATATACTCATCCTTTTCTACCTCCCTCATGCACAGAACCACAAATTTACAACTGACTGAAATGAATATGTTTCATGATGTATTTATTTTTCTCTCCAAGTTCTGCAAGAAAAACTGTCTAGAAGCCAGTGACCATTAATAACTCCTTTCTTGCCAAGTAGCTACTGGTATTTGTTCAAAACATATTCATAGCTTGCCACTCTAACAACTTGGAAAGTAGTTTAAAATCACTACCATCCTTTTCCATCCCACAGCAATTTTGCATTTCAGTGCTTCACTGGACATCTCAGGAATAATCAATAGGACTCAGATTTTCCTCTTAACTTGTAGGGTAGAACTTTGATTGGTAGGGATGTCAAATCTTGGAAGGTTTGACTAAACCCCACTTCCTTCTCCTTCCCCTCAATGTGGGCATCCCTAAGACTCTGTCCTTTTCTTGCTCCTAATTTTCTTCCTCAGAGCTCTCACCTCTCCCGTGGGATCAATGATTCCTTTCATAAAGATGGTTGGTAGAACTATCATCTTACTATGTTTGTGTTCTTATATGTAACATTGTGTATTTTATATATAACATAAAATGTACTATTTTAGCCATTTTAAGCATACATTTCAGTGACATTATTGTGCAACCATCACCACCATCACACATCTCCAGAACTTTTATCTTCCCAAACTGAAACTCCATCCCATTAAACAGTAACTTCCCATTCCTTCCTTCTCCAAGCCCCTGGCAACCACCATTCCACTTTTTGACTCTATGATTTTTTTTTTTTTTTCAGATAAGGTCTCACTCTGTCACCTAGGCTGGAGGGCAGTGGCGTGATCTCAGTTCACTGCAACTTCTGCCTCCCGGATTCAAGTGATTCTCCTGCCTCAGCCTCCCAAGTAGTTGGGATTACAGGTGGGTACCACCATATCTGGCTAACTTTTGTATTTTTATTTTATTTATTTATTTATTTTTGAGATGGTGTCTCACTCGGTTGCCCAAGCTGGAGTGCAGTGGCATGATCTCGGCTCACTGCAACTTCCACCTCCCGAGTTCAAGTGATTTTCCTGCCTCAGCCTCCAGAGTAGCTGGGATTACAGGCGCCTGCCACCATGCCCTGCTAATTTTTATATTTTTAGTAGAGATGGAGTTTCATCATGTTGGCCAGGCTGATCTTGAATTCCTGACCTCAAGTGATCCGCACGTCTCGGCCTCCTAAAGTGCTGGGATTACAGGCGTGAGCCACTGTGCCTGGCCAAAGTTTCTTTTCTAACATCTCGTATAAAGACTTCTCTTCTAAGCTCCATCTCCACACTTCCAGCTGTAGTGGATACTTTTCTTAGTTGTGCTATGGCTGATCAGTCCTTCTGTATGAAACTCCTACTCCTCAGTAACTCAGGCTTAAGAAATATAAGGTAGCTTTTACTTTTCATCTCTTTTATTGTCATTATTCCAACTTAGACTCTTAATATTTTTACCTCTACCTCCAATTCATACTGTTCTATCTTGCTAAACTAAACTTAAAATATCTTCTGTCACTTTCCTTTCCAATACCCTCTAGCTTATTAAATAATTTCTAAAATTCTTAGCTAAATGTCAGAGGCCCTCTTGATCTATTCCTTACTCTTAGTTTGTTTGGAATACTATAACAAAATATCTTAGACTGGGTAAATTATAAATAAGAGAAACGTATTTTTCCACAGTTCTGAAGGCTGGGAAGTCCCCGATCAAGGCACTAGCAGATTTGAGTCTGGTAAAGGCTTACCCTCTGGTTCATAGATGACATCTCTTGCTGTGTCCTCACACGGTGGAAGGGGCAAACTCTGTGTCCTCACATGGCAGAAGGGCAAAAGTGGGAACAAATGCTGTGCCATCACATGGCAGAAGAGATGGAAAGGCCAGGAAGCTCTCTAATGGACTTGTAAAAGGCCATTATTAATTCCATTGTTTGAGAGTTAATCACTTTCCCAAATGCCCCACCTCTTAATACCACCACGATGAGGATTAATTTTTTTTTTTTTCAACCTGGAGTTTCACTCTTGTTGCCCAGGCTGGAGTACAATGGCACGATCTCAGCTCACTGCAACCTCTGCCTCCCGTTTCAAGCGATTCTCCTACCTCAGCCTCCCGAGTAGCTGGGATTACAGGTGCATGCCACCACGGCTGGCTAAGTTTTGTATTTTCAGTAGAGACAGGGGTCTCACCATGTTGGTCAAGCTGGTCATGAACTCCTGACCTCAAATGATTCACCTGCCTCAGCCTTGGAAAGTGTTGGGATTACAGGCATGAGCCACCGCACCCAGCCGGAGATTACATTTTGACATGAATTTTGGAGGGATGCAAATATTCAAACCACAGCACTAGCCGACATTTTTAGTTTCCATATCAGTTGATTAATCTCAACAGAGTCAACCATCCACTCCACTCCATCTGTATCTATTAAACTCATTAAATGCCTTGTGTTTTCCTGCCTGAATATCTTGGCCATGCGATTTCCTATATCTGGACAGCCTTTCTCTCTCTCTTCACTATCTCCTCCTACACATCTTCCTGTGGATTGCAGCACACACTGATGTCTCTCTTTTCTCTCTTTAGTAATTATTGTAAATCTCTCTTTTACTTCTTAGCAAATAACTGTCTTGGAATTATTTTTCCACTTTTCTATGTCTTAGTTTCCAGCTAGATTGTACATTCCTGGAGTCAGGGACTATGTCATTTACTTATTCATTCCATAGTGACTGAGTACCTCTGGAATGTTTTTGGCCCTCTGCTGGGGTTACAAATTGGTTTGTGGTGTGCTCACTGCTTTTAAGTTGCTCACATGGGGATATAGACACAAAGGCAAATTATTGCAATTCAATATGATAATGGCTTTAGTGGAGCCACAGACAGAAAAAGAATAGCTAACCTTACCTAGGGGAACTGAAAAGGGCTTATACTTGACATTTCCACATTGACCAATGATCCCCTAAAGAATCACATAAATTCCTTGTAGGTGATAACTCATGATTTTCACAATTGATTTTTCTGTCACTCTAGAGAAACCATTAGTCTTTTCATGAATTTGTCTGCAGTATTCACATGTGTGGATGTTTTTAAACTACCGAATGTTAGGAAAAATTGTCAGGCCCTAATGAATTAGAATTTTTTTTGCAATTCAAATTTACAATGGGTACATATAGACCCCTACCTTGAAGACGGTGTTCCAGGAGTCAGGAAATTGCTGCAGTACATGGTCTACTTCCCAAAGCCTGGATGATTGGTGAAGAATGGATGTCTGGAGAATAAAGTGATAGTATTCAAGGCCAGGCACAGTGGCTTATGCCTGTAATCCTAGCACTTTGGGTGATTCTCTTGAGCCCAGGAGTTCAAGACCAGCCTGGGCAACATGGTGAAACCTCATCTCTACAAAAAATACACACACACACACAAAATAGCCAGGGATGGTGGCATGTGCCTGTGATCCTAGCTACTTGGGAGGTTAAGGTGGGAGGATTGCTTGAGGCCAGGAGTTGGAGGCTGCAGTGAGCTATGATTGTTCACCGCACTCCAGCCTGAGTGACAAAAAGAGATCCTGTCTCAAAAAAAAAAATACATAAAAATAAATACATAAAATAAAAATAGAATAAAAAGAGGATACTATTCAGGTAACACCCAGTACTCAAAAGAAAAGATGGTAAAACTTTTAAAGATTATGTTATTTTTGATGGGGGGACGTGTCTTAGTGCATTCCTGCTGCTGTAATAAAATGCCACAGACTGAGTAATTATAAATATTAGAAATTTATTTCTCCTAGTTTTGGAGACTGGGGAGTCCAAGTTCAAGGCTCAGACACATTTGGTGTCTGGTGGGGACCCACTGTCTGTTTCCAAGATAGCGCCTTGTTGCTATATCCTCCAGAGAGGATGAACGCTATGTTCTTACCTGGTGGAAAGGATTGTAGGATAAAAGAGACTAAGATGCTGTCTTCAACCTTTTTTATAAGAACACTAATCTCATTCCTAAGGATGGAGTGCTTATGACTTAATTGCTTCCCAAAAGGCCCCCACCTCTTACTGTTATCACATTGGGTGTTAGGTTCCAACATGAATTTTGGAGAAAAACACACATTCAAATCATAGGCAAGTGGGAATCTTATATGTAGATATTTTCATTTCTCTTCCCTTCTCATAAGGTCCATACCTCAAAGCCTGCTGGATGTCGCTGATTTCATGTGTTAAAGAAGGAAAACCCTTTCCTGCCTCTGAGGACTTTTGCCTAGAGTTCAGTTAATTAGGAAAGGGGAAAAACTAGTCTTGAGAATCTGCCCCTAATGGGATGACATCCCAGCTCTTTAACGCTGCATCTATGATATTCCTCACCTGTACATCCAGTTAAATGAGACCATTTATTGCTTTATTCAACAGTTACTTGTTGAAGGTCTATTGTCTGCCAGAGGCTCAGAGTAAATCACTGTTAGTCCATTTGTGCTGCTATAACAAAATATCCAAAACTAGGTAATTTATAAACAAGAGAAATTTATTTCTTACAGTTCTAGAGGCTGAGAAGTCCAAGATTAAGGTGCTGGCAGGGTCAGTGCCTGGCGAGGGCTGCTCTCTGCTTTCGGATGGTGCCTTGTTGCCGTATCTTCCAGAGGGGATGAATACCATGTCTGCACATGGTGGAAGGACAAAAAAGGGGCTCTGCAACTCACTTGAGCTTTTTTTATAAGGAGATTTATCCTATTCATAGAGCCCTCATGACCTAATCACCTCCCCAAAGCCCCACCTCTTTTTTTTTTTTTTGAGACAGGGTCTCATTCTGTCAACCAGGCTGGAATGCAGTGGCATGATCATGGCTCACCGCAGTCTCAAACCGAAACGATCCTCTTACCTCAATTTCCTGAGTAGCTGGGACTACAGATGTGCACCATTATACCTGGCTAATTTAAAAAAATTGTTTTTGTAGAGATGGGGGTCTCACTATGTTGCCCAGGCTGGTCTTGAACTCCTGGGCTCAAGCAAACCTTCCACCTTGGCCTCCCAAAAAATGCTGGAATTACTGGCATGTGCCACCAAGCCTGGCCCAAGCCCCACCTATTGATGTCATTGCCTTAGGGGTTAAGTTCCAACATGAATTTTGGAGGGACACATTCAAACCATAGCAATCACAGGAATGGTGTTTACCTTTTTGGAGCCGACACAGATAAAATAGAGTCACAAACAAGAATTAATTAGAAACAGTGATAGGTTTTATCAAGGAAGCACAAATGTCAGCAACAGAGAAAAATTAGGTAGGACTCTCTGTGTTTGCCCAGAGAAGTGTGTTCCAAGGAGGTGACATTAAAGTTGGCAGAAAGATGAGGAAGAGCCAGGCAGCCTTAGAGTAGAGGGAGTGTCCCAGGAAAGAGAGAACTGTGTGTATGAGAGGGTCCCAGGATGGGGGGACAGGGAGAGAGGAGGGCTGGAGAGCACTAACCCCATCTAACTGGCAGGGATATGACATGGGAGTTAAAGAGTACAGACTCAGGAACCAGATTGACCTGGTTCAAGTCTCCACTCTGCCTCTGCTAACGCTGTGATTTCATGTAAGCTTCGAGTTCAATTTTTCAGTTGTCTCATCTATAAAATGGAGGTTAAACATAATACTTGTCTCATAGGGTTTCAGGAGAAGCCATAAACCCACTTTTTAACATGAACTCTCCCAATTTTTAAATTTTGGTCACTTATTTGGAAAGATTAAAAAAAAAAAAACTGAGTAAATTGACAGGGCCCAGTGGCTCACGCCTGTAATCTCAGCACTTTGGGAGGCAGAGGCGGGTGGATCCCTTGAGTTCAAGAGTTCAAGAGTTCAAGATTAGCCTGGGTGGCCAGGCGTCGTGGCTCACGCCTGTAATCCCGGCACTTTGGGAGGCCAAGGCAGGCAGATCATGAGGTCAGGACCTGCCTGGCCAGCATGGTGAAACCCCATCTCTACTAAAGGTACAAAAAACTAGCCGGGCGTGGTGGTGTGCACCAGTAATCCCAGCTACTCGGGAGGCTGAGGCAGGAGAATCAGTTGAACCTGGGGTGACAGGGCAAGACTCCACCTCAAAAAAAAAAAAATTAGCCTGGGCTACATGGCAAAACCCCGTCTCTACAAAAAATACAGAAATTAGCCAGGTGTGGTGGCATGTGTCTGTGGCTGCAGCTACTTGGGAGGATGAGGTGGGAGGATTGCTTGAGCCGGAAAGGTTGAGGCTGCAGTAAGCTATGATGGCGCCACTGCACTCAAGCATGGGTGACAGAGTGAGACCCTGCCTTGAAAAAAAACAAAAACAAAAAAACCCAAACTGAGTATTTAACTCCATTTGTGAACTCTTTATGACTTGGGGGGGGTCACTAGTTTACAGTCTTTTATTTGGTGCCTCATATGGCCCATAGTTTGGATTTTTTCCCTCAAGTTTTATGGGAATTCATTGAGATGACATAATCTGACCTATGTTTTAAAGATGATGTGACTGCAGACCAGAAAATGGATTAGAGAGGGCAACGGGGAAGCAGTAAGACTGTTAAGACTTGGATGCAATTTCTAGAATGACCCTAGAATGCTTTAATGACTCAGCTCAGCTGTTTAGTTACTTCCTTTTCCATTTGCTCCCATCCCTAAACTCCCGTTAGTCCAGAGTCATTCTGAGACTTTCTTAAGGCTTCATCCATTTACATTTGGAAGCCTCTGCCCATATTATCTATGTATTTGTTCATTCATCCATTCATTCAACAGACACTTACTTAGTATTTTTCTCTGTGCCAGGTACTGTTCACTGTTCTAAGCACTTGACATTTACTTCTCACAGTCTTCTAGAGGTAGGTATTATTATTACCCTTTTTTTTTTTTTTTTCTGAGACAGAGTCTTGCTCTGTCACCCAGGCTGGAGTGCAGTGGCACAATATCAGCTCATTGCAACCACCACCTCCCAGGTTCAAGTGATTCTCCTGCCTCAGCCTCCCAAGTAGTGGGGACTACAGGCGTGTGCCACCATTCCAGGCTAATTTTTGTATTTTTAGTAGAGACGGGGTTTCACTATGTTGGCCAGGCTGGTCTCAAACTCCTGACCTCAGGTGATCCGCCTGTCTTGGCCTCACCCTCCTGGAACCCCTAAGTATCTAAAGTCCTGAACTCAGTGGCCTGAGGGATGGGCTGGCCTCACAGTGCTCCCAGTCTCTATCCTCCACCTCTGATCCTTTCCTGTCTGTATCTGGGATCCTGGCCCCTACTGGTTCAGGCCCTACTGACTGAAACCCTGCTCCAAATCCCTGCCTAGAATTGAGCTCCTGCTGCTTTGCTTTCCTCTTGCCAGTCCTGCCATAGGGCACTGGAGTTTTGCCCTGCAGATCAGGGGATTGAGTTCCAGATCCCCTGGCCTCACCTGCCCTCTGTGTAGTGTCTGCGGCTGGATTCCCTCTCATTTAGCCTACCTGGATTGCAAGTCACAGGAGCTGACCATTTCCGAACAAAACCCTGAGAGCCAAATCCGTTGTGTTTCTTGGACATTGTGCCAGTCCAGTCAGTACCTCTATTTGGCAGCTCTATCGTGCCAGCCTCCATTCCACCCTGGAACTCAGGGCGGGTGATGGATCCACTTTGTTGGTTTTTCTGCCTTTTCTCCCACTATCTCTGATGGACCTTCTGGGTACTGAGTAGCACTTCCTTTACATCTGCTTATGTGATTATTTGGATTATTTATGTCTTCCTTGTTACTCATAAGTTCTGCAAAGGTGAGGCTCAACACTGATTTTGCACAGCATTGTATCCCAGAATCTAACAGTGCCAGGCACTTAGATGGTGCTCCGCATATTTTTATTGGATAGATTAATGACACTGAGGTGCATTTTGTATTTACCCTTCCTGTTCTGTTCCCTTTTTTTCTCTTCCCTTTTTCATTTTTTCCTAGTTCCTCTACTCTCTTGGCTTCTTCAAATTCTTAATCTTTTTATCTGATAAGAGATGGTTCTCCTTTCCCTGTTCATGTATTTTGAATCAAAGGGCTGCTATTTCCCATTTCCATCTTCATTTTCAAATGTGTGGTCATACAATGCTGTTCCAAATATATATATCTGGAAGACCAGGTTAAAGGCTCAGATAGATTTGGTGTCTTGTAGGGACCCTGTCTCTGTTTTCCAAGATGTTGCTTGGAAACAGCAGCCTTGTTGCTACATCCTCCAGAGGGAATGAACACTATGTTCTCATGTGGTGGAAGTGATGGTAGACAAAAGAGACTAGGGTGCTCTCTTCAACCTTTTTATTTTTGATGGAGTCTCCCTCAGTTGCTCAGGCTGAAATCTGAAGGCGTGATCTTGGCTCACTGCAACCTCTGCCTCCTGGGTTCAAGAGATTCTCCTGCCACAGCCTCCCAAGTAGCTGGGATTACAGGCGCCTGCCACCACACCAGGCTAATTTTTGTATTTTTAGTAGAGACAGGGTTTCACCATGTTGGCCAAGCTGGTCTCGAACTCCTGACCTCAAGTGATCTGCCTGCCTCCACCTCCCAAAATGCTGGGATTACAGGCATGAGCCACCGTGCCCAGCACCCCCTTATTTTTTTTTTATAAGAACAATAATCCCATTCGTAAGGATGGATATGGCCAGGTGCAGTGGTGCATATCTATAGTCCCGGCTACTCAGAAGGCTGAGGCAGAAGGATCGTTCGAGCCCAGTAGTTGGAGACCCAGCCTAGGCAACAAAGCAAGAACCTGTCTCAAAACCACAACAACACAAAAAACAAGCGGCAGCTTCAGCAAATGGAATTATAAGGTGGATGTATAGTACTCTCAAACACCATAACACTGAAAAAAAAAATCAGAGGAAAAAGAGAACTAAACTCTGCACAGGAAAAAAGGCAGTGGGTAGTATTTTTCAAATGTCTTGACATTCTAAGAAGTCTCTCAACAGTTAATAAATACGATTTTCTTTGGAAACTGCCTGTGAAATATTTTAATATTTAAGATTTGTTTTGGTTATTAAGCTTATGTAACATGCCAAGGCAGAAATTAAGTTACAAAAATTCTTGTCACAGTTGGATATGACAACAACCCATTAGTCTAGACCTTAAAATGAAACTAGTTCATACAGTAATTTTTTTTTTTTTTTTTTTGAGACAGGAGCTTGCTCTGTCATCCAGCCTGGAGTGCAGCATGCAACGCCAGCTTACTGAAACCTCTGCCTCCTGGGCTTAAGCCATCCTCTCACCTCAGCCTCCTGAGTAGCTGGGACTACAAGCGCATGCCACCACACCCAGCTAATTTTCTTTTTTTTTTTGATGTTTTGTTGAGACAGGGTCTCACTATATTGCCCGGGCTGTTCTCTAACTCCTGGGCTCAAATGATCCTCCTGCCTCAGCCTCTCAAAGTGTTGCAATTACACGCGTGAGCCACCACAACCCACCCATAATAAATATTTGTAATTTCTACAATGCTTGTCATCTGCAGCCCTTCAATGACCAGCAAACACAAATAGCCTTATTTTCCTGTGGTTGAATACATTTCATAACACCTGGTAGCCAAGCTTACTCTGAGCCCCATGAGACAGGAAGGGAAGTATATGCTTAGATCAAGACACTTTGTATCTTGCAAGAAAAGAAATGGGTGCTAAAAGGTAAGTGGCCTGACAACATTTCCTAGAGAAATGCGTGAGGTATGGGGAACTCTGAGTAGAGCCCAGATTTTTCTTCTGGGAATCATCAGCTCTGAGGAATTAAGGGAAAGGTGAAATCATGGTTTGTCCTGTGTTGAAAAGTTTAGTAATCTTTCAACTCACATATCATACTGGACTATTCCCTACTTTTTTTTTATTGTTTTATTTCTTATTTATTTATTTATTTATTTTTGAGACAGAGTTTCGCTCTTGTTGCCCAGGCTGGAGTGCAATGGCATGATCTTGGCTCACCACAACTTCCGCCTCCCAGGTTCAAGCAATTCACCTGCCTCAGCCTACCGAGTAACTGGGATTACAGGCATGTGCCACCATGCCTGGCTAATGTTTTGTATTTTTAGTAGAGACAGGGTTTCTCCATGTTGGTCAGGCTGGTTTTGAACTCCTGACCTCAGGTGATCCACCCACCTCAGCCTCCCGAAGTGCTGAAATTACAGGAGTGAGCCACCACACCTGACCTTTCTTTTCTTTTTTGTTTCTTTATTTTCTTTCCTTTTTTTTTTTTTTTTTTTGAAAGAGTCTCCTTTTGTCACCCAGGCAGGAGTATAGTGGTGTGATCTTTGCCCATTTTAACCTCCACCACCTGGGTTCAAGAGATTCTCCTGCCTTAGCCTCCTGGGTAGCTGGAGCTACAAGCATGCACCACCACGCGGGCTAATTTTTTATATTTTTAGTGGAGACAGGGTTTCACCATGTTGGCCAGACTGATCTCGAACTCCTGACCTCAGGTGATCTGCCCCTCTCAGCCTCCCAAAGTGCTGGGATTACAGGTGCGAGCCATGGCGCCCAGCCAGTTCCCTACTCTTTTATACCATTAGGATATAAACCAACAGACTGGTTGATTTGCACATTTAGAACAGCTTTTCTGGTACTTAGTGTCTGTCAAAATATGGAGAAAACAATGTAACAGAATCAGTGGTCAGCTGAGTTCACTTGAGTCCTGGCCCTGCCAACAAGTTAGCTATGTGCCCTTGGGCGTATCTCACTGTCAGACCTCAGAAGAGGAAGGAAGGGAGGGAGAGAGAGTGAGTGATTGAGAGAGAGAGAGAGAGAGGAAAGGAAGGAAGGAAGGAAGGAAGGAGGGAGGGAGGGAAGGGTGGGCGAAAAAAGAGAAGAAGAGAGGGAAAGAAAGGGAGAGTGATGAAGGGAGAAAGGGAGTAAAGGAAGGAGGGAAGGAGGAAGAAAAGAAAGGGAGGGATGGAAAAAAGATGGAACAAAATGATTATGAAGCTCTGTTTCAGTTGTAATAGTCAAAACCATGATTCTTTTTTATTTCCTTTTCCTTTTTCTTCTTTACAACACAAGAGCAACTTCACAAGAAAAAATGCAAAGTCACAATTGATAGATACACATGGCTTTCTCCCATCTGGTTTTGGCAGGACATCCAATGATTCCTTTGTTCTAAAAAAATATTTAAAATCATAGATGATAAAAACAAATGGAAAAACATTCCATGCTCATGGATTGCAAGAATTAATATCATTCGAATGGCCATACTGCCCAAAGCAATCTACAGATTCAACACTATTCCTATCAAACTACCAATGTCATTTTTTACAGAATTAGAAAAAAACTATCCCAGAATTCTTTTTTTTCTTTTTTCTTTTTTTTTTTTTTTGAGACGGAGTCTCGCTCAGTGCAATGGTGTGATCTCAGCTCACTGCAACCTCTGCCTCCCAGACTCAAGCAATTTTTCTGCTTCAGCCTCCCAAGTAGCTAGGATTATAGGCACCCACCAACATGCCCAGCAAATTTTTGTATTTTTAGTAGAGACGGGGTTTCACCCTGTTGGCCAGGCTGGTCTTGAACTCCTGACCTCAGGTGATCCACCCACCTCGGCGTCTGAGGCTGAGGCACACTTACAGGTGTGAGCCACTGTGCCCGGCCCTCAAATTCATATGGAACCAAAAAAAAACAAAAGAAAAAAAAAGCTTGAATAGCTACAGCAATCCTAAGCAAAAAGAACAAAGCCAGAGACATCACATTATACAACTTCAAATTATACTATAAGGTTAGAAAGAACCAACACAGCATGACACTGGTATAAAAACAGACACACAGACCAATGGAACAGAATGAAAACCCCAGAAATAAAGCTGCACACCTACAACCATCTGATCTTCAATAAAGTTGACAAAAACAACAATGGGGAGAGGATTCTCTATTTAATAAAATAAAAGGTGCTGGAATTACTGGCTAGCCATATGCAGAAGAATGAAACTGGATCCCTCCCTTTCATCATATACAAAAATTAACTCAAGATGGATTAAAAATTTAAGTGTAATACCTCAAACAATAAAAATCCCGGAAGAAAACCTAGGAAATACCATTCTGGACATTGGCCTTAGCAAAGAACTTTTGATTAAGTCCTCAAAAGCAATTGCAATAAAAAAAAATTGACAAGTGGAACCTAACTAAACTAAAAAGGTTTTGCACAGCAAAGAAACTCTCAACAGACTAAACAGATAACCCACAGAATGGGAGAAAATTTTTGCAAACTATGCATTTGACAAAAGTCTAATGTCTAGAATCTGTGAGGAACTTAACAAGCAAAAAACAACCTTATTAAAAAATGAGCAAAGAACATGAACAGACACTTCTCAGAAGAAGACATACAAGTGGCCAACAAACATATGAAAAAATGCTCAAAACTACTAATCTTCAGAGAAATGCAAATCAAAACCACAATGAGATACCACCTTATACCAGTAGAGTGGTTACTATTAAAAAGACAAAAAATAACAGATGCTGGCTGGTTGCAGCAGCTCACGCCTGTAATCCTAGCACTTTGGGAGGCTGAGGCAGGCAGATCATCTGAAGTGGGGAGTTCAAGACCAGCCTGACCAACATGGAGAAATCCCGCAAACACTAAAAATACAAAAATAGCCGGGCGTGGTGGTACATGCCTGTAATCCCAGCTACTAGGGAGGCTGAAGCAGGAGAATCGCTTGAACCAGGAAGGCAGAGGTTGTGGTGAGCCGAGATCATGCCATTGCACTCCAGCCTGGGCAACAAGAGCGAAACTTGGTCTCAAAAAACATAAAATAACAGATGCTGGAGAGGCTGCGGAGAAAAGGGAATGCTTATATACTGAAGGTGGGAATGTAAATTGGTTCAGCCTCTATGGAAAGCAGTTTGGAGATTTCTCAAAGAACTAAAAATAGAACTACCATTCCATCCAGCAATCTCATTACTGGGTATATATCCAAAAGAGAATAAATTGTTCTACCAAAAAGACACAGGCACTTGTATGTTCATTACAGCACTATTCACAACAGCAAATATATGGAATCAACCTAGATACCCATCAGCAGTGAACTGGATAAAGAAAACGTGATACATATACAGCATGGAATACAATACAGCCATAAAAAAGAATGAAATCATGTCCTTTGTAGCAATATGGATGCAGTTGGAGGCCATGATCCTAAGGAAGTTAACACAGGAGCAGAAAACCAAATACTGCATGTTTTCACTTTAAATGGAAGCTAAACATTGGGTAGATATGGACATAAAGATGGGAACAGTAGACACTGACAACTGCTAGAAGGACAGATGGAGAGAGGCAAGGCCTGGAAAATGACCTATAGAGCACTATGCTTACTACCTGGGTGATGGGACTATCTGTACCCCAAACCTCAGTGTCATGCAATATGTCAAGTAAGAAACCTACACATGTATCTCCTGAACATAAAATAAAAGTTGAAAAAATGCTTTGTGTTGTGTTTCCTCACAAGAAAGAAGCAGCTAACCAGTCTGGATCATCAGAGAGTGCCTCTCCTACCCAGTGGAAGGAGATCCTTTTGCTTGGCTGGGGCAGAATTATTAGCTGGCAGGTACAGAAACTGCAGGGGCATCTGGACATTGCATTTTCTTATCTCATTTTTGCACTTTGCCCGTATTAACCAACTACCTAGATCTTCACTGCATACCACATGGACTGTGAATGGCTGCTTTCACTTGCTTTGCTGTTAAGTCATATTAATATACGTGTATCAAATTTCTAGAAAATAATGTCTTTGCAGTGTAGGGAATATGATGAAACCAATGGCACTGTCCCTACCCTAGTGAGATTTGAATGGGCATAGAGAAATGTGCTCTTTCTCTTCAAGGCATGCAACTTGGCCTCCCCTTTCCTTCTCTTTGTTTGGATTCTTGTAGTTGCAAAGGCTAGAAAAACTCTATTAATAAAATTTCCCATAGCAAAATGGGGATCTCTACTGGCTTTTAACACAGACCAGTTTGCACACAGCCGGATTTCGGGATTCAATTATGTTACTGAGTCAGGTCCATCTCTTGGCTAGAATTTCCCTCATGTACACTTTACTCTCTGGAAGGTCATCGTCAGAAAGGTGAAGCCCAGCAGAACAGCTGGCCTAATCTTCACAACTTTCATCCAGCAACAAAAAAAATAATACCTCTTTTCTGGTCCCTTCAGCAATAGTTGTGGGATTGGTTCAGAGTGGGTCTGATTGGGTGGGTGCCATTCCTGAATCAGTCACTGTGGCTAAGGGAAGGGATGCTCCGATTGGTCTGGTCTTAGTTAACAGTCAACAAAAGGAGCTGAGAATGTGGTTGACCCCACTTACTCAGCTACAGGGACTGACAATGGGCAGGGGACAAAATTTCCCAAGAGAAAGGAAGGACACCTTTACTTAACTCCAAGAAGAGTGAATGAATACTGGCCGGGCTATGTGAA
This sequence comes from Homo sapiens, assembly GCF_000001405.40. NCBI lineage: Eukaryota > Metazoa > Chordata > Mammalia > Primates > Hominidae > Homo > Homo sapiens. The sequence goes on from NC_000004.12 coordinate 54,177,215, forward strand.
CCAATATCCACATTATCCTATAACATGAATCTTCTGAATCTCTTCATTCAGAAGAATAAGGGAGACTAAGCAGGCAGAGGGACGATGAGATCAACCAGGTTGAAGTTGGATACTTGACCAACCCCAGTATCATTTTATCCTAAGGACTAACTGAACCAAGTACTAAGTAGACTGTCCACTTTTCTGTTTATCTTTGTCATATCACAAGTTAGAATTCTTACAAATCCTTAGTAAAGCTGCTCCTTATAATGTACACAGGGTTTTGCTACATTATTGTTTAAATGTTGAAAAGGGTTTCTTTTTTCATCCCTCATTGCATTTTGGTTTTTCATAGTGTGCAATTTTGCTGCATTTATAATCATTATGTACTTTGTTTTGGGAGAATGCATTTTGTCATAAAAGCTCTTCACACAGCAAGAGGAATGATCAGCTTCACGATCAATATCCCAGGACAACCTGTTTTTTTTCCTCCCTAAAAATATTAAAAATAAATTGTAAAACTATATGTATAGAAATTGAATAAAGAAACTGAAACCATTTTGATTCTTTTAATCAAGAAATAATTAATGTGTGCATGACAATATTAGAATATTATTTTTAAAAGGCTGTATGTATTTCTTTCCCTTTTCCTTTCACAAAGTTGTCATTTAAATCTAGCTTTGTTTGTGATATAATAATGCAGCACTTGTGCACAAAGTGTGACAAAACTAACAGAAAGACTTCTTATGAATAGGAAAAATGAATGTTTTTTAACTTAAAGGAAACTGTATTTAAAATTCAATTTTTGAAAAATATAATAAAGTCAAATATAAATATTATGAACAGATGTTTCTTAAGAAGCTTCTGAAATGAATAGTCACCATCTGGAACCATTTACAAGGAGAAGAAGGTAAGCACGCACCTGTTTCTTTCTTTAAAAAGATGTAATCTCTGTCCCAAATTATAAAGAAGTATGGCAGTTACCATAAAAATGTAATACTCAATTTGTCAAACTGTTTAGAAAAATATTGATAAGAATGTAGATGGTTTAGAAAAGTGTGCTTCTAAAAGGCTTAATCTGTCTTCAGATTTGTTTATAATTTTTTAAAGATAAAACTCTTTAAAGTGGATGCATGTTCTAAGTTTCAAAAAACATGCGCAAAACCTCAATAGACACTATCACTGCTGCTGCCACCACTATCATCCAAGGTATCTATTTGCTCATTATTGCATGTTAGATACTCCACAACAAAAGTTGAACCCATATACTCCTTCCAGTTAATATGATTGATTGCATTAGTGGCTCTAATTAATGCCCTTCCTTTATCCATGGCCTTTGCAACATGGTATTGCAGCAGCTTTCATCAAAAAATGGAGTTTTTGGCCGGGCATGGTGGCTCACGCCTGTAATCCTAGCACTTTGGGAGGCCGAGGCCGGTGGATCTCCTGAGGTCAGGAGTTCGAGACCAGCCTGGGCAACATGGTGAAACCCCATCTCTACTAAAAATACAAAAATTAGCTAGGCATGGTGGCGGGCGCCTATAATCCCAGCTGCTTGGGAGGCTGAGGGGCAGGAGAATCACTTGAACCTGGGGGGTGTAGATTGCAGTGAGCTGAGATAGCACCACTTCACTCCAGCCTGAGAGAAAGAGTGAAACTCTGAAATGGAGTCTTGTTGCCCATCCTTTGCATCTGGGCTGAACTTGTAACTTGCTTTGGCCAACAGAATACAGGAGAAGAAACAGCATGCCAGTTCCAAGACTAGATCTCAAGAGGTTTTGTACTTTCTCATTCTCCCTCGTGGAGCCTTGCTACTGCCATGTAAATAAACTTGGATTATTCTGCTGGAGGAGGAGAGATGACATGGGGGAGAGCCTTGCAAAGGCCATCTTAGAGCAGTAAGACAGCAAGCCAAGATCAGCAAAGCAGCCTTACTTAGCTGTTTGCCTGCAGCAGGAGGCTTTTAATTTCTCCCTGTCTTAGGATTGAGAGGGTGATACAAAAGTTGCTAAAAGATTTTGGGAACTTCTGGCTACTGTCCTTGAACTGTAGGGAGGTAGGCATAGTTGCAGGGACATAGTGCAAAAGAGAAGATGCTGGGATTTACAGATAGATCTTGATTTGCAGATTGGAGGCTCTAAATAAACAAAATAGGAAAAACTCATGGGGTTTGTATAGAAATACAATTAACTTATTGAGGAGGATAATCTATTTTAAATTATTTTGGCATATTTTTAATATAATTACAAATGAGGCTAATCTCTTTATCAAAACTCTTCCTTCCTATAAATGAATTCTTCTTGTTCAATAGTTAGCTCCACATGCTGTATGTTCTTCTAAAACACTCAACTACTTTATCTGTAAGTTAATTCATTTCCTAGCTAATTCATCTTAATTAGAATACTTTTACCATAACTGAATTGAGTTGTATTAACTCCATTAGTAAATTTATCTGAAAGTTCTTGAAACAAAATTTCAAAGAGTGAAGCAATGAAGAGTTACTTTTCACCGGGTGTGGTGGCTCACGCCTATAATCCCAGAACTTTGGGAGGCCGAGGTGGGCAGATCACGAGGTCAGGAATTCTACACCAGCCTTGCCAACATGGCGAAACCCCGTCTCTACTAAAAGTACAAAAAAATTAGCCCAGTGTGCTGGCAGGTGCCTGTAATCCTAGCTACTTGGGAGGCTGAGGCAGGAGAATCGCTTGAACCCGGAAGGTGGAGGTTGCAGTGAGCCAAAATCATGCCATTGCACTCCAGCCTGGGTGACAAGAGCCAAGACTCTGTCTCAAAAAAAAAAAAAAAAGAATAAAAAGAAAAGTTATGTTTCATATTGGTAATGATCATTTATTGGTTACTTCCCTGGCATCTATCTTCCAGTTTTCCCTTTACCTTTACTCCACAATGTGAAAACCTCCACAGTGTAAAACCCTCATTCCTGGTCATGTGATTTGGGTGGAACCAACTTTACTCCAAATGACAGGGGTGGGCTCTGATTGGCTTATGTCCCATGGTCACTTGTGTTGGTTCTGGGGTGATATGCTGCACAGTCAGAGACAACAAGATGCCAGGAGATGTTTGTTGGCCTTCTGTTGTGGAAAAGCTGGGCAATTTCCCTGCATGGTATGAGAACTAGAATTGCGCCGGGCGCGGTGGCTCACGCCTGTAATCCCAGCACTTTGGGAGGCCGAGGCGGGCGGATCACAAGGTCAGGAGATCGAGACCGTCCTGGCTAACGCAGTGAAACCCCATCTCTACTAAAAATACAAAAATTAGCCGGGCCTGGCGGCGTGTGCCTGTAATCTCAGCTGCTGGGGAGGCTGAGGCAGGAGAATGGCGTGAACCCGGGAGGCGGAGCTTGCAGTGAGCCGAGATTGCGCCACGGCACTCCAGCCTGGGCGAAAGAGTGAGACTCCGTCACCAAAAAAAAAAAAAAAAAATGATAACTAGAATTATGGAAGTTTCCTTCCTTCCTTCCTTCCTTCCTTCCTTCCTTCCTTCCTTCCTTCCTTCCTTCCTTCCTTCCTTCCTTCCCTCCCTGCTTGCTTGCTTTCTTTCTTTCTTTCTTTCTTTCTTTCTTTCTTTTTTTGACTGAGTCTTGCTGTATCGCCCAGGCTGGAGTGCAGTGGGGACGATTTCGGCTCACTGCAACCTCTGCCTCCTGGATTCAAGCGATCCTCCTGCCTCAGCCTCCTGAGTAGCTGGGATTACAGGCATGCACCACCAGGCCCAGCTAATTTCTGTATTTTTTAGTAGAGATGGGATTTCACCATGTTGGCCAGGCTGGTCTTGAACTCCTGACCTCAGGTGATCTGCCCACCTCGGCCTCCCAAAGTGCTGGGATTACACGTGTGAACCACCAGGCCCAGCCAGAAGTCATTTTTCTATAAGCAGAGGAAAGGAGATCCTAGAGTTGCCAGAGAGCCACAAAGTGGAGTCTAACGGTAAAGCCAGACCATAGAAGGCAGAAAAGAGACATATAGAAAAAAAATGGGTCCTTGGAAACATTATTCGAGCTGCTAGATACAGCCTTGCCTGAAGTTAACATTGCCTCTGGAGTTTTTGCTGATGAGACCGATAAATTTCTATTATTATTTAAACCAAATTGAGTTGTTTTCCTCACTTGCAAGTGAAAGATCACTGAAACAATCTGTACCTCTTAGTTTCCAGGTTTGCCTCAAGCACCCTAGTTCAGGCCCTCTTTCCTCTTGCCTGGACTACTGCACTCTCTTAACTACAGGCCCTATTTCAAGACTTTACCTTCAGATCTCTACTTCCCTACTGGGTTAATATCTATTTTTTTTTTTTTTTTTTTTTTTTGAGACAGAGTCTCGCTCTGTCACCAAGGCTGGAGTGCAGTGACGCAATCTCTGCTCCTTGCAACCTCCGCCTCCCGGGTTCAAGCAATTCCCCTGCCTCAGCCTCCTGAGTAGCTGGGATTACAGGCATGCACCACCACGCCCAGCTAATTCCAGCTAATTTTTGTATTTTTAGTAGAGAGAAGGTTTCACCATATTGGCCAGGCTGGTCTTGAACTCCTGACCTCGTGATCCACCCGCCTCGGCCTCCCAAAGTGCTGGGATTACAGGCGTAAGCCACTGCGCCAGCCCATGGGTTAATATCTCTTAAGCACATCTACAGTCATATCTCCTTGCTCAAAGACCTTCAGTGGGTCTCCAGTGCTGACTGGACTGTACTAAAAACAAACATCTTATTTTGACATTCCAGGCCCACCTCCGTGTTTCCCAGCCATTCTTAAGGCTTCCCATGATCTCCATTCAATGTTGGTAAGTCAGAAAATATCTTTTCACTTTTTCTTATTCTTTTTTTTTTTTGAGATGGAGTTTAATTCTTGTTGCCTAGGCTGGAGTTCAATGGCGCGATCTCGGCTCACTGCAACCTCCACCTCCCAGGTTCAGGCGATTCTCCTGCCTCAGCCTTCCTGAGTAGCTGGGATTACAGGCATGTGCCACCAGGCATGGCTAATTTTGTACTTTTAGTAGAGACGGGGTTTCTCCATGTTGGTCAGGCTGGTCTTGAACTCCCGACCTCAGATGATCTGCCTGCCTCGGCCTCCCACGCCTGGGATTACAGGCATGAGCCACCGCACCGGCCAACTTTTTCTTATTTGACAGCTCATTAGTGTTTAGCATTGTTGATGGCTCTCTACTAAGACGTTCTTTTCCCTAGTGTCTGTAATACAGCATTCAGATTGTTCTTCTCTACTCAAATATTAAATGTTGGACTTTTTCACGTTTGTATTCTAGTATTGCTTTCTTCTGAGTTGACATACATCACATTTTCTGGACATCTCTCATCTATTCCTATGACTTAAAATTCCCCCTTTTTGTCTTTACTTTCTTTTTCTTTTCTTTTTTTTTTTTTTTTTTTTTGAGACGAAGTTTCGCTCTTTGCTCTTTTCATCCAGGCTGGAGTGCAGTGGCGCGATCTCAGATCACTGCAATCTCCGCCTCCCCAGTTCAAGCAATTCTCCTGCCTCAGCCTCCTGAGTAGCTAGGATTACAGGTGCATGCCACCACCAGCTAATTTTTTGTATTTTTAGTAGAGACAGGGTTTCACCATGTTGGCCAGGCTGGTCTCAAACTTCTGACCTCAAGTGATCTGCCCACCTTGGCCTCCCAAAATGCTGACATTACAGGCGTGAGCCATCGCACTTGCTTTTTTTTTTTTTTTTTTTTTTTTTTGAGACGGAGTTTTGCTCTTGTTACCCAGGCTGGAGTGCAGTGGCACGATCTCAGATCGCTGCAACCTCTGCCCCCCAGGTTCAAGAGATTCTCCTGCCTCAACTTCCTGAGTAGCTGGGATTACAGGTGCCTGCCACTACACCCAGCTAATTTTTTGTATTTTTAGTAGAGAAGGGGTTTCATCATGTTGGCCAGACTGGCCTCGAACTCCAGACCTCAGGTGATCCACCCGCCTCGGCTTCCCGAAGTGCTGGGATTACAGGCATGAGCCACCGTGCCCAGACTTTTTTTTTAAAAAAAAAAAAAAAAAAAAAAAAGATGAGGCCTCACTATGTTGCTCAGGCTGGTCTCAAACTCCTAGGCTCAAGTGATCCTCTTGCCCCTTGGCTTCTAGAGTCACTGGGACGGCAAGGTGCACCACCACATCTGGCTAAAATACCTTTTAAATGCCAATGACTCCTAAATCCAAGGCTCCAGCTGAGACTTCTCCTCTAAGTTTCAAGTCCCAACATCCATTTTTTCCATTGGACATCCTCATCTCAGCCTTTCCACGTTCCCCTTTCCTACTCCCATAGTTGTCACCACTTATCTAGGTGCTCATGCCAGAAATTTCGAAATTATGCTGGTCTCTTGCACCTTTTTAATTCTTCAAATCTAATCAAACACTAAATCCTCTCAATTCTACATGCTAAACATCTCTTGTCTTTGTTACTTCTCTCTGTTCCCTGGCCGTCACCCTCTAGGAAAAGCCAAAAATCACCTGTCCTGAACTATTCAATAGTCTCCTAACTGGTTTCCCAACTCCCACAACCTTTCAACATTTACTGGGGGGCTTAATTAAAAATACTAAACACAAATTGGGCTGGACGCAGTGGCTCATGCCTGTATTTACTTTTTTTTAATTTAAATTTAATTTCTTTTATTTTTTTAAACAGAAATTCACTCTGTCACCCAGGCTTGAGTGCAGTGGTGTGATCTTGGCTCACTGCAGCTTCTCTGCCTCCCAGGTTCAAGCGATTCTCCTGCCTCAGCTTCCTGAGTAGCTGGGATTACAGGCACACACCACCACCCCTGGCTAATTTTTGTATTTTTAGCAGAGATGGGGTTTCGCCATGTTTGACAAGCTGGTCTCAAACTCCTGGCTTCAATCGATCTGCCTGCCTTGGCCTCCCAAAGTGCTGAGATTATAGGCATGAGCCACCATAAAATACTTTTTAAAATTTTAAAAATACAGAAGGAGTCTCACTATGCTGCCCAGACTGGTCTCAATCTCCTGGACTCAAGCAATCCTCCCATCTTGGCCTCCCAAAGTGCTGGGATTATAGTTGTGAGCCATTGTGCTGGCCTCATGTATATAATCCCAGCACTTTGGGAGACTGAAGTGGGAGGATTGCTTGAGGCCAGGAGTTCAAGACTAGCCTGGGCAACATAGCCAGACCTTGTTTCTACAAAAACAAGAAAACTATCCAGGTGTGGTGGCGCATGCGTATCATCCTAGCTACTCAGGAGGCTGAGGTGGGAAGATCGCTGGAGCCTAGGAATTTGAGGCTGCAGTAAGCTATGATTGCCGCCACTGCACTCCAGGCTGAGCAACAGAGTGAGACCCTGTCTCTTGAAAATAAATAAATAAACACAAATTCTGTCTTTCCTTTTTAAAATGTCATGCTTACATGTGCGTGAAGATTGAAAATAAATTAAAAAGGAAGCTAAATGTTTTGCATAAAATAAATTTCTCAAAGTATATTATTAGCTTGTGAAATAAAGAAGCGGATACAGATGCCCCTTTTAAAATAATATTTTAAAACCATTATTTAAATAAGTCTCTTACAAAGGAGTATATTTGAGAAAGCAAAGAAGTAAAAACTCTCAAACCTCTTAGCATGTTTCTATCTTCGTATCTATTTGCCACAGTGGAGAGAATTGCTGACAAAAAAAAAGTTAAGTACTATAGGTCATGCAAATAGGCAGTTGCTAATGACAATGTTACAAGTTAAAAATTTGAATTATAAACGTTGAATTAATTTTCATTGCATGTGGTTTCTTTTGATAAGATCCTTTTAAATGTAGTCTAAATTTTAATTTATTGCACTTAAAAATAAAATCAATGCCATTTATTAAAAGAAAATGTGGGCTGATTGTTAATTCAGCCTTTGTGTTTGGGGTAAATGAGTCAGAACCTCCTAGCATCTAAGCTTTTCTTAGGTGGTAAAGGGAAATTCTTGGGAACCTTTATTAACTTTTCCTAGCCACATGAACATGTTCAAAAAGCTACAGTTCGAAAGCTGTGCTAACAAAGAAGAATGCAGGGCCCAAACTCAAACTGATTGCACTGTTCAGTTCACTCAGTAAACAGTCATTTCCTACATTAGCCAGTTATCAGAGCTTTAGGAGATATGCCAAATACACATAATTAGTTTTTGAAAACTTAGTACATAATAACTGCATTTAAGGCCAAAAATATACTAAACATAATTTTAGGTATTTGTGAACTTAATAATTGATACTGTTCATAGCATTATGCTACATGCCCTGCATGCACTATCTCATTTAATCCTCCCAACAATTCAATGTGATATGTACTATTATTCTCTATTCCCTTTACACAATGGAGGCAATTGAGGCTCAGAGTGGTTAAGTAACTTGACCATAGCCACACGGCTAGGGGGAGCTAGAATTACGGGCCATGGAGCTGGGTGTGGTCGTGGGTGCCTATACTCCCAGATGGGAGGATCCCTTGAGCCCAGCAGCATAAGGGCAGCCTGGGCAACAAAAATAAGACCCTGTCTCTGAAAAACAAAACAAAACAAGCCATGTTTTCCGACTCTGAAGCCAGTAGATTTAGTCACAATTGTGTACTACTTCTTTTTAGATTACAAATTTGAATATTCCTGTCCTGTAAGGTGTGGAAATGATAATACCAATTTCTGATTATACAATAATGAAAAGCTGAATTTGACGCCATATTTAATTTTTCAAATTTCTCACAGGAAATATATGTTTCTCCCAGAGAGAGTTTTAGCAATCAAAAAACAGTTCTTCCAGGAAATGGGTGGACTTCTCTTATCTCAGGACACTTGGTGGCTTATCAGTATCAACTTGATTTCCCAATACTTGTTTTAGAGTAATTTAAATTCTATTAATGCTGATAAGCCCTGCCCATCTCCGTATCAGTTACAGGATAGGACATCTGGGAGGCAGGCTCTGTTTGATGGGGACAGCCCAGTGGGGATTTGCCTGGGGGAAGAGGAAATAAGTGCACCTTAAGCAGAGAATTGAGAAAACTAGAGTCTAGCTCACTGCAACAGTTTGTTTGTTTCTTGAGACAGGGTCTCACTCTGTTACCCAGGCTGGAGTGTGGTGGTGCAGTCATGGTTCACTGTAGCCTTGGCCTCCCTGGCTCAAGCAATCCTCTCACCTCAGCCTCCCAAGTAGCTGGGACTACAGGCACACAACACCATACCCAACTAATTTTTGTATTTTTGGGGTTTCTCCATGTTGTCCAGGCTGGTCTCGAACTCCTGAGCTCAAGAAGTCCTCCTGCCTCAGCTTCTCAAAATGCTCAACAGTTATTAAATAAAGGTGGAGCATCCCTGACCTGAAAATCCAAAATCTGCAATGCTTCAGAATTTGAAAACTTTTGAGCACCGACATGATGCCACAGTGGAAATTCCACACCTGACCTCATGAGATAGGTAGCAGAGATTATTTAAAATATTGTATAAAATTACCTTCAGGCTACGTGTAGAAAGTGCATATGAAACATAAATGAACTTTGTGTTTAGATGTGGGTCCCCTCCCCAAGGTATCTCATTATGTATATTCCAAAATCTGAAAAAATTCCAAATTCAAAACACTTCGGGCCGGGCGGGGTGGCTCACCCCTGTAATCCCAGCACTTTGGGAGGCCGAGGCAGGCAGATCACCTGAGATCGGGAGTTAAAGACCAGCCTGGCCAACATGGTGAAACCCCATCTCTACTAAAAATACAAAAATTAGCCAGGTGTGGTAGCACACATCTGTAATCCCAGGTACTCGGGAGGCTGAGGTAGGAGAATCGCTTGAACCTGGGAGGTGGAGGTTGCCGTGAACTAAGATTGTGCCACTGCATTCCAGCCTGGGTGACAGAGTAAGACTTCATCTCAAAAACAAAAACAAAAACAACAACAAAAAACCCACTCCAGTACCAAGCATTTTGGATAAGGGAATAAGGGACACTCTACCTGTTCCTGTCATGTGTTAGGCACTGTGCTCCCCACTTTTATCTGGTAATATTGGCTTTTACAGTTGAGGAAACTGAGGCCCAGAAAGGTGTGACAGCCACAGTCACAGTAGTGCAGAACCCTAATGTGTCCGACTTTTATCCAACACTCTGCTCCGCAGCGCTGTCGGGTGAAGGCATGCACAGAGGCTGGAATCCAGCACTCACTGCCTGTTCAGAGTCCCAGGACAGGGCAACTCTGAGCCAGCACAGTGAGGGCTGTGAGAAACATGGGACACTGCCGCCTGCCTTTCAGAACAATGCAGTTTCGCTTCCTCTGGGATCAAGTCCAACGACGATTGTACTTCCCAATCTCCTCTCCCAGTTTATTAACAGACGCAAGTTTTCTTTATCAAAAAAAATAAAAAACCTTTCCTTGACCTTGCTACACTTGGAAGCAACCCCCTTATCTTTCAGCTCTTCCTTGCTCAACCTCTCTTAAAAGGGGTTTACACCAAGGCCAGGCGCCATGGTTCGCGCCTGTAATCCCAGTATTTTGGGAGGCCAAGATGGGCAGATTACTTGAGGTCAGGTCGAGACCAGCCTGACCAATGTGGTGAAACGCCATCTCTACTAAAAATACAAATATGAGCTAGGCATGGTGGCACACGCTTGTAATCCCAGCTACTAAGGAGGCTGAGGCAGGAGAATCACTTGAATTTGGGTGGTGGAGGTTGCACTGCACTCCAGCCTGGGTCACAGAGCAGACTCTGTCTCAGAAAAAAGGAGAGGCCGGGGGTAGGGTGGTTACACTAGCTGCCATGGGTAGGGTGGCCCTGGGTTACCCAGGACATAGGAGTTTCCTGAAATGTGTGACTTTCTGTGCTAAAAAGGGGACAGTCCTAGACGCATTAGGACAGTTGGTGACCATAATACCAAGAGGATCCTCTCCTTACTCTGGGCTTATGTTCAGATTTAACCTTAGGAATCTGCCTTTCTCCTCCATCCACTGAAACCAACACTAACACCTAAACTCAGTGGGTTTTGTTGTGTTTTCTTAGTTCTGGAGCATTTGACTGGTGAACTTTTCCTTCTTGAAATTCCTTGGTTTCTTTCTTCACCCTCAGTAGCCCCACAAAGTTATAATTTTATTTCTTCTAGGTGGCTCATGCCTGAAATCCCAACACTTTGGGAGATTGAGGCAGGTGGATCACTTGAGGTCAGAAGTTCGAGACCAGCCTGGCCAATATGGCAAAACTGTGTCTCTACTAAAAATACAAAAATTGGCCAGCTATGGTGGGGTGCTTCTGTAATGGTATGGTGTACGGTATGGCCGGGTATGGTGGGGTACTTCTGTAATGGTAGGGTGTACAGTATGGCTGGGTATGGTGGGGTACTTCTGTAATGGTAGGGTGTACAGTATGGCTGGGTATGGTGGGGTGCTTCTGTAATGGTATGGTGTACGGTATGGCCGGGTATGGTGGGGTGTTTCTGTGCTACTCAGGAGGCTGAGACACGATAATTACTTGAACTTGGGAGGTGGAGGTTGCAGTAAGCCGATATCACACCACTGCACTCCAACCTGGATGACAGAGTGAGACTCTATCTCAAAATAAATAAATAAATACAATAAATAAATAAATATATAAGCTGGGTTCGGTGGCTCACGCCTGTAATCTCAGCTCTTTGGGAGGCTGAGGTGGGTGGATCGCGAGGTCAGGAGCTCGAGGGCAGCCTGGCCAATATGGTGAAACCCTGTCTCTTTTAAAAATACAAAAAAAATTAGCCAGGCATGGTGGCACACGCCTGTAGTCCCAGCTACTATGGAGGCTGAGACAGGAGAATCACTTGAACCCAGGAGACAGAGGTTGCAGTGAGCCAAGATTGCGCCACTGCACTCCCGCCTGGGCAACAGAACAAGACTCCATCTCAAAAAAATAAAAATAAAAATAAATAAAATTAAAATAAATACATAATTTTCTTTCTCCTAACAAATTCTTCTCTGTCTGTTTCATTGACTCCTTTGACTACCAAATTCTGACATCAAACTGCATGGGATCAGGTGGATCTGGGTTCAAGATCTAGTTCTTTACTTGTGAGTTCTGTTAACATGACAAGTTATTTGATTCCCCTGAACCTTAGCTTTCTGGTCTGCAGTACTGAGTTAACAACACTTACTTACACTGTACCATAACGACTGGGAGAGAAATATTTCAAATATTTAAGGCAGCTGTTGGAAGAAAGCAAGCCTTATTAAAAGGAAGTTATAGTTATGACTGTGGTTCATCATATCTTAGGGCTTCAACTTTCATTTCCATGCAGCTTGACAGACTGCAGCCTCAAGTACTCTTTCTACTTCTATGACCTAATTTCTAATTGCTGCCTTTCCCAGGTTGTCTTCTAGCTCTATCAGTGAAAAATACTAGAGGATGAGGTGGCTCACGTCTCTCATCCCAGCACTTTGGGAGGCCAAGGTGGAAGGATCCCTTGAGCTCAGGAGTTTGAGATTAGCCTGGGCAACATAATGAGACCTCATCTCTACAAAAAATTAAAAAATTAGCCAGGCATGGTGGCACACACCTGTTATTCCAGCTACTCGGGTGGATAGCAGGATCGCATGAGCCCAGGAAGTTGAGGCTGCAGTGAGCTGTGATCATGCCACTGCACTCCAGTGTGGGTGACAGAGTGAGTTCCTGTCTCAAAAACAAATTTAAAAAATTAAAATTAAAAATATTTAAGGCCAGGCACAGTGGTTCACACCTGTGATCCTTGCATTTTGGGAGGCCGAGGGGGGTGGATCACCTGAGGTCAGGAGTTCCAGACTAGCCTGGCCAACATGGTGAAACCCCGTCTCTACTAAAAATGCAAAAAATTAGCCGGGTGTGGTGGTATGCACCTGTAATCCCAGCTACTTGGGAGGCTGAGGCAGGAGAATCGCTTGAACCCAGGAGGCGGAGGTTGCAGTGAGCCAAGATGGCACCACTGAGCTTCTAGCCTGGGCAACAGAGCAAAACTCTGTCTGAAAAACAAACAAAAAAACAATTTAAGGCCAGGCGCGGTGGCTCATGCCTATAATCCCAGCACTTTGGGAGGCCGAAGCGGGTGGATCACGAGGTCAGGAGTTCGAGATCAGCCTGGTCAACATGGTGAAACCCCATCTCTACTAAAAATACAAAAAATTAGCCAGGCGTGGTGGTGCATGCCTGTAATCCCAGCTACTCAGGAGGCTGAGGCAGGAGAATCACTTGAACCCAGGGGGTGGAGGTTGCAGTGAGCCCAGATCATGCCATTGAACTCCAGCCCCGGAGACAGAGCAAAACTCCATCTCGAGAAAAAAAAACAACAAAAAAAAAGCAATTTAAGACCAAAGCTATCATCTTCTCCTCAAACTAAATCTAAGAAACAGTGTCTCCTCCTAGGTAACAGGATTCTCAGGAATCCAGGTTGAAACACTCCTGGCTAGCTTTGACTTATTCTCTGATTCTTCTGTCTCCCCATCCACATCTAATCAGTTCCAAATCTGACTCATTTTCTATGGTATGGTTGTTGATTTTCCTTCCTCTTGTATTGATTCCCAGTGCCACTGCTCTTCCCGCTTCTGCCCACCCCCTAACCCCCCGGCTCCCATCTCAGTGTCTCATAAGCTTGTACCCGGGCTATTCCAGTAGTCTTTTTACTGACTCCTCAACCCACAAGATCTTTTGTGCCTGCTTTTGCCGGATTAATTTCCTAACGCAAGACTCAAAAAGACCTTCAGAAACAAATAAGGCACAAACTCATTGGTCCGACTTTCAAGGCTAAAGGTTCAAGACTTTCGAAAATGACTTAGCCCACATCATTTGATTGCTTAATAAGTGCTTCTTGAGTATTCAGATTCAAGCAATTCCTTGAGAAATACTATGATTATTTCCTCAATTCAAATCAGGATTGGCTGGGCATGCCTGTAATCCCAATACTTTCGGAAGCCAAGACAGGGAGGACTGCTTGAGGCCAGGAGTTCAAGACCAGCCTTGGCAACATAGTGAGACCCCCATATCCATAAACAATAAAAATTAGTCAGGTGTGGTGGTGCACCTGTAGACCCTGTTACTCTGGAGGCTGAGGCAGGAGGATAGCTTGAGCCCAACATTTTGAGGCTACAGTGAGCCATGATTGCACCACTGTACTCCAGCCTTAGTGACAGACTATCTCCAAAACATTTAAAAAATCAGGATTTTGTCCCCACCTTCCAATAACATTCCTGTTTGCAAGTTCACCTATAAGCTTACATTCCCAAATCCAATGCTACTCTTTTTTTTTTTTTAGACGGAGCCTCACTCTGTCACCCAGGCTGGAGTGCAGTGGTGCGATCTCAGCTCACTGCAACCTCCGCCTCCCAGGTTCAAGTGATTCTGCTGCCTCAGCCTCCTGAGTAGCAGGGATTACAGGTTCGAGCCACCATGCCTGGCTAATTTTTGTATTTTTAGTACAGATGGGGTTTCAACATGTTGGCCAGACTGGTCAGGTGATCTGCATGCCTTGGCCTCTCAAAGTGCTGAGATTACAGGTGTGAGCCACTGTGGCTGGCCCCAGTGCTACTCTTCTTTGCATTCATGCTATCCCACCTCTTGACTGTAGGGCCTCACCCTCCTTTACACATTTCCTCTCCTCTGCCACAAGGAATGGATCAAGAATGGTTCCAAAGTATTTGATCTGAGCAACCAGAAGAATGCAGGTCTGAATATGGAAAGGAATGGGAATGAGCTGGAAATATGAAAATGGGATGCTTGATTGAGGCTATAGAAAAAGGCTTAAGAAAATATTAAGAAAGACAAAATCCAGAGAGGCCCATGGGAGTGTATGGTTAAGATAGGGTAGAGACAAAATTATTAAAGGTGAGGAGATTAAGAAAATGAGCTGTGTGTGGTAATACATCCCTGTGGTCCCAGCAACTCCAGGGGCTGAGGCAGGAGGATCCCTTGAGCCCAGGAGTTCAAACCCAGGGGTTTGAGGCCAGCCTGGACAACATAGCCAAGCTTCCACCTCTAAAAAAAAAAAAAAAAAAAAGAAAGAAAGAAAAGAAAAGAAAAGAAAAAACGAGGCTGAGGGCTGGGTCCAGTGGCTCACACCTGTAATCCCAGCACTTTGGGAGGCTGAGGCAGGCAGATCAGTTGAGGTCAGGAGTTTGAGACCAGCCTGGCCAACATGGTGAAACTCCATCTCTACCAAAAAATACAAAAATTAGTTGGGCATGGTGGCATGCGCCTGTGGTCCCAGCTACTCGGGAGGCTGAGGTAGGAGGATCACTTGAGCCCCAGAGGTGGAGGTTGCAGTGAGCTGAAATTGCCCTGCTGCACACCAGCCTGGGTGACAGAGCAAGACTCCATCTCAAATAAATAAATAGGCTGGGTGCATGGCTCATGCCTGTAATCCCAGCACTTTGGGAGGCTGAGCTGGTAGATCACCTGAGGTCAGGGGTTCGAGACCAGCTTTGCTAACATGGAGAAACCCGTGTCTACTAAAAATACAAAAATTAACCAGGCATGGTAGCGGGCACCTGTAGTCACAGCTACTCAGAAGGCTGAGGCAGGAGAATCTCTTGGACCCGGGAGGCAGAGGTTGCAGTTAGCCAAAATTGCACCACTGCACTCCAGCCTGGGTAACAGAGCGAGACTCCATCATCAGAAAAAAAAAAAAAAAAGAAGAAATTAATATTGACATTGCTAGTATCTCATATTCATACCCCATTCAAGTTTTGCCACTTAGATCAAAAGGATTCAATGCCAAATCAAGCATTATGTTTAGTTTATCATGTTCCTTTAACCTACTCCATTATAGAAAGTTTCCTTGGTTAGTGCCTCTGCCCGGCCGCCAACCGTCTGGGAAGTGAGGAGCGCCTCCGCCTGGCCACTGCCCCGTCTGGGAAGTGAGGAGCGCCTCTGTCTGGCTGCCAACTGACTGGGATGTGAGGAGCGCCTCTACCCGGCTGCCAACCGTCTAGGAAGCGAGGAGCAGGCGCCTCTGCCTGGCTGCCAACCGTCTGGGAAGTAAGGAGCGCCTCTGCCCAGCCACCCCATCTGGGAAGTGAGGAGCGCCTCTGTCCGGCCATTGTGCAACCTTCCAAGTGTGAAGTGACAGCCTTGTGTGTGATCTTTTCTGTCTTCCCCAAGTTTGCATTTTCGACATTAAAGTTTACTTTTTAATTAAAAGTTTTAAATTGGAGAATATATACATAAAAAAGAAAGATTCCTTGGTCTTCTATTGACTTTTATGACCCTGATAATTTTGAAGCTTGTAGTTAGCTTATTTTGTAAAATGCCCTTCAATTTGGGTTTTTCTGATATTTCCTTGTGATTAGATTCATGTAGCAGGATGATCACAGAAGTGATGTCGTGTACTTCTCATTGTATGGTACCAATGGTGCACAGTTTCAATTTGTCCCATTACTGATGTCAAAAGACAAAATCATGAGTTTAGTTATAGACCTAATTGGCTTTTATTTGGAATTTATGAGTTAAGATAGCCTCTATTCTACAAAATAGAAGAATAGATTGGCAGGGGGCAAAAGAGAAGTGGGTTTTGTAAGGTGAGAACAAGGAAACAGAACAATAGAAATAAAGCTGATTGACCAATGTCAAGTTACTTCAGGTTACTTTTTTCCCTTTTCTTTCTTTCTTTTTTTTTTTTTTTTTTGAGACAAAGTCTCACTCTGTAGCCCAGCTGGAGTGCAGTGGCATGATCTTGGCTCACTGCAACCTCCTCCTCCTGGGTTCCAGCGATTCTCATGCCTCAGCCTCCACAGTAGCTGGGACTACAGGTGTGTGCCACCACACCCGGCTAATTTTTGTATTTTTAGTAGAGGTGGGGTTTCGCCATG